>NC_000001.11:160684587-161934587 GCF_000001405.40 Homo sapiens
TTAGGTTGATCACAGGACAAAATGAAGGAAATAGGAAAAATCTCTAGTTTTCCTTCTCTTCAAAGCTTAGACTCACTAACTTCAGAAGAGGTGTTAAATGTCCTAAGATTGTTAATTTGGATATCTGTTGACCTAGGCTCACTCCCAAATAGAATTGGATCAAGGAAAAATGAATCAAACCTGTCCTGAGGTTTTTCTCTCCTCCTCCCCGAGAGTGCCCCATGCCTCCCAGGAAGCCCTACAGTGGTCCATCTGGGGCCACTGGAGTGGGGATTTGCTCTTTGGCTCCCCTGACTCACCAAGCACTTGCAGCTTGATCTTCCATTCTTGCTCATTCCCAGTCTTTTTCAACACCCTCATGATGTAGGTGCTGTTGTCCTCTTTCTGGACCTTAGAGATGTACAGTGCGCCACTCTGAGGATCAAGTCTGACCCTGCCTTTAAATTTGGATTCAAAGTACTTAGATTTTCTGGAATCCCATTCTACAATCTTCTGGTCGAAAGTATAAAACCAGGTTAGTTGTTTGTAGTTCTCAGGCAGGCTCTCAGAGATGTTCAGAGTCACGTTGCTGCCGGAGACCACGGTCATATGTACCAAGTGACCTGCCAATGAGATTCAGAGTGAGACCTGCGCTAGAGGAGGCAGTGTTGCTGACAGGCCCAGGGTATAGCCTGGGCTGGTGGAACAGGTGAGAAGGAAGGGATTTCTGCTTAGGAGCAGTGAGTATGGTTTTCACTGGAGGTCCAGGTCTCCTGCTTAGGAACTCAAGAAAAGTTGAAGCTTGAAAAGTGGGCATGGGGGAAGGGGATGCTGCTTATAATTAATCTAGTACTGTCCCCAGAAAATGAAAGAATTGAGTAAGGCCAACTGAGGTTGGGCCTGGCTCTCTCCCTTACTCTCATACCAGTAGACTTTCAAATAAACTGATGACAAGTCATATCTCTGCTCTGGTCTTGTGTTTCCTGTCTATTCTCATTTCAGTAAGCATGTTGTTAGTCCCTAGAGGCATAGACATAAAAAGTACATGATTCTGTTTAAAAATATTTAATATACCAATGTGGGAGGACAAACACACAAACAAATAATCCTAATATATTATCTTGATGACTATAATAAAGGTAACGTGGGGACCAAGGGAAAGCTTCCCCTTCACCTTCTGAAGGTTTGCCAAAAATCACTGACAAGAGGCAGATTAAGGAGGAAAGGCATACAGATCAATTTAACGTGTAAGCAGAGCCTTCCTAATGAAGAGCCAAAGATACAGGGCAAATTGTCCATTTTTATGCTTAGGTTCAACAAAGTATGGACAGTCATGGAGAAATATGATTGGACAAAAAGGGTATGATTGAATGCCAATAGACTGACTGCGGGAAACCCAGCAAGGCCTATCTTTCTAGATTCTGCTTGGCCTTTCTGTGCCAGATTCTTTCCTTCCTCCCGTGTGTGGGTCAGGCCCTCTCTAGAATGGGGGTCTTATGATTCACAATCAAACAAGATAGGTCAGATAATTTCTTTATAGCTATTTTTTTTTTACAGAGAAAGGCTCAAGGAAAGTTAGGGTGGTATATTTAAATTTTATGGCTGGCTTTGGGGAAAAGGGGTTTTGGCTTCTATGGCCCACCTTGGGAAAGAGGGATTCCAGTGTCTATGGCTAGCCTAGGGGAGAATGGGACTGATAGACAGGAGGGCAGGAGAAGGTCAGAGAAAAACTTTCACTTCTGAGGCTGCTTCTGAGGCCATCATTTTAGGGCATCATTTCCTGACTCCTGACAATAAACACAGTGTGCTATGGGAATATATTCCTATCCGGAGGGTAGGGATAGAAAATGGAGAAAATACTAAGAAAAATCTCTTTGGAGGAGATGACCACTAGGGTAAGCCAAAGGGTGATTAAAAGCTAATATTTGTTAAGAACTATCTGTCAGGCACTATTTGAGACACTTGGGATACATCAATGAACTAAGCAGCTATCGGGGAATCTGCCCTGATATTCACATAGGTTCTTTTCTATTTTTCCTAAGCATTGGCCAGCTTGAGAAATAAAGGGACAGAGTACAAAAGAGAGAAATTTTAAAGCTGAGCATCTGGGGGAGACATCACATGTCGGTAGGTTCCGTGATGCCCCACAAGCTACAAAAACCAGCAAGTTTTTATTAGAGATTTTCAAAAGGGGAGGGAGTGTGCAAATAGGTGTGGGTGACAGACATCAAGTACTTAACGGGGTATTAGAATACCATAAGGCAAGAGGAGGCAGGGCGAGATCACAGGACCACAGGACCGAGGTGAAATTAAAATTGCTAATGAAGTTTCGGGCACCATTGTCATTGATAACATCTTATCAGGAGACAGGGTTTTGAGATCAACCAGTCTGACCAAAATTTATTAGGCAGGAGTTTTCTCTTCCTAATAAGCCTGGGAGTGCTATGGGAGACTGGAGTCTATTTCACCTCTGCAGTTTCGACCATAAGAGACAGGAGCACCTGGGGGTGCTGTTTATAAGCCTATACCTCCAGGCGCGTATTCTCTTTCTCAGGGATGTTCCATGCTGAGAAAAAGAACTCAGCGATATTTCTCCCATTTGCTTTTGAAAGAAGAGAAATATGGCTCTGTTCTGCCTGGCTCACCGGTGGTCAGAGTTTAAGGTTATCTCTCTAGTTTCCTAAACATTGCTGTTATCTTGTTCTTTTTTCAAGGTGCCCAGATTTCATATTGTTTAAACACACGTGTTCTATAATTTGTGCAGTTAATGCAATTATCACATGGTCCTGAGGTGACATACATCCTCCTTGGCTGACAGGATTAAGAGATTAAAGTAAAGACAGGCATAGGAAATCACAAGGGTATTGACTGGGGAAGTGATAAGTGTCCATGAAATCTTTACAATTTATGTTTAGAGATTGCAGTAAAGACAGGCATAAGAAATTATGAAAGTATTAATTTGGGGAACTAATAAATGTCCATAAAATATTCACAATCCACGTTCTTCTGCCATGGCTTCAGCCGGTCCCTCCATTTGGGGTCCCTGACTTCCTGCAACATCTCTCCCTTTCTTTTTATATAAATGTGCCATGGCAATGAAGGCTTGTTCATTCTCTTGATTTTGACACAGGATTCTTTGAGTGGTCTGGGACACTAAAAACAAGCTGATTAAACACAGAAACATATTCCAAAATTTACTACAGTGGAGCCCCCAGTAGACTTAATCCAAGTAGTGGGGTTTAATCCATAAAGATTTTCTGCCACCTGATCTAATGCCTCAGCTCCAGGCATGATGGATAAGTGAGCTTGAGAGGCTTCAAAAATTTGTTTCTTTAATTTAGTTATGTCCAATGATAAATTATCTTCTCTACCTAGAAGGTGTCCTTTGACCATTTCCTATGAATGATCAGTCTCATTATAGGAATACGGGGTGATGCAGAAATCTGAAGTATTCCAATCGCACTGCATTTGCATGTGATGTTTGAGACTCACTACCTGATCTCCAAGCCAAATAACAGACTGTCTTAAATCATTAATTTGACTTGCCAATTTTTGATGGATGCCTTGTTGAGAATTCCACATTTGGGTGGAATTGGCTTGCCAATCATTAACAAAATGAGCCGTTTGAATAGATTGATGTAATGCCATTCCATCAGTGGTGGCCATTGCAGTGACTGTAATTAGGCCCGTGATAACAGCGATTAAAGTGAAAACAAATCTCTTAGATCTTTTTAGAATTTGCTGTAGCACTTCATTAATTAAATGTATTGGGGGGAGGATTCGCAAGGTCTAGGTAAAGTTACTGGAATCCAGATTCCTTCTCAAACTCGAACCAACATTACACTTTTCCTGGAGTCAAAATGGGAGTTAATACAAGTGTATAGATGACAATTAATGCATTGGAAAGTTTGATTATTTGTCCAAATTTTAATATTTCCTACTAACAGCATGTAAGGAGGCTTAACACAACTCTGTATGGGAATAGTCAGGTTGGAGGTAAGTAAAGCAGAATGTCTGGGTCTATGTTGATACTGAGAGAGTGGGACAGTAGTGGGAACAACAGTCAAAATAGTTTTCCCTTCCCATACTCGCAGTCCAGACATGGCAATAGCCAATTTCCAAAGTTCTGGGTGTTCTGGGCTCAGAATGGGGAGTATCATACGAGGCTTGGGGGGCGGGTAATGCCTTTATCTTCCCATTTTAAGGGAAAGAATGAGCTGATCCTCCTATGCAAAGTAGAATGATGATTCTCGTTCTCCTGATAAGAAATAAAATAATTAGCCTCCAGGAATTCCCTTCCACTAGAGGAGCAATTATTTTTTAAATAGCCCTTTGGTGCCCAGTCTATTACTAAACCATATGAGTCATTTTTTAATATTACTGCATGTGAGTTAACACAATCATCCTAAATTAAAGTTTTAGATGGGCCCTCAAAATTTTTAGGGCATGGTTTTCCTGCAGGTTTATATTGAAAGTATGGGGTATCTCCCATTACTTCTCCTTTCATTTGTTTTAAAGGAGAAAGGGAGAGGCCAGAGACTAAATGTCCTATTTTATCTGTAGCTGATGTTTTCGGAAGATAAGCAGCCTAGAATTGAGTTTCTAGGTGGATGCAACCAGGTGCATGTCCGAGGCACAGAGGGGGGTATTTATAATCTATGGTAACATTAAATGCAGTGCCTTCTTCTCCTGGTTGAGCAGGGCAACGGTCATCTGTGGCTCTAGGCATCTACACACTATCATTAGTGTAGATTTCTGCAGGAGCATCTATCTAGGTGAGAGGTCGAATAAGTGGAGGAAAAGGCACATAAGCCTAATAAGAATAATTATGTGTAGCAGGTAAATCAGTGTGAGAGGAAACTGGTGAGACAGAAAGTATAAGGAGGAGAATCATTAAATAAAACCTAGTGTAAGTGAGATTGAGTGCTGAAGGAGGAAGAGAAGAACAGAGGGATGTTATTTTCAGGCTAATAGAAATGGTGAGATTTTTAGGTTTGTAAGGAGAAAAAGAAAAGTAATCAGGAGAAGTGGGATTAGTTAGATGGGTCTCCACTGCCATCAGGGAGGATTGATTTACACCTATTGTGATTTGGTGTGCCTGTTTCTGAGGAGTCAGCAGAGATCTCACCACGTCTGAAGGCAATCTCTGACACAGATGTTTTTTGTCTGTGGTTTTAGTTGTCAGTATTCACCTGAAGCTTGAGTCTTCTGGTGGGTACCTAGACATGGGATTGATGATCTCCTGGTGAAACACAAGCATATCCTCTTCCCTACGTTATAATTGTGCCAGGTTCCTAGGTATTGGTTTGAGAGTTTTTCCATAACACTGACTTGCCTTCGTTTATGGAAAATTTTTTGCCTGTATAATGGCGTTTGGCTGCAGTTACAGTATTATCTTTAGGAACATTTAAAAAATTTAAAGTAAATAATGCCAAATGTAATTGGGAGTGTGGAGTAGTTAAATCATGTTTTGGTTGTTCAGACTGTTTGGACAATTGGGTTTTTAAAGTGCGATTGGCCTGTTCCACCACAGCCTGTCCTTGAGGATTGTAAGGGATTCTAGTAATATGGGAAATTCCTTACTGTTGTATAAATGAATCAAAAGCCTTACTAACATATCCAGGGGCATTGTCTGTCTTTATTTGATATGGAAGCCCCATAACTGCAAAGCAAGAATACAGATGTTTTTAAAAATGGGCCGTGCCTTCCCCTGTTTGTCAAGTAGCCCAGATAAAACCTGAGAAGGTATCTACTGAGACATGCACATATGACAGTCTGCCAAAGGAGCTAACATGAGTCACATCCATTTGCCATCAAGCATTAGGAGTTAGGCCTCTAGGCTTAACACCAGGTTCCTGATTTGGAAGTACGAAGACCTGGCACTGAGGGCAGCTGTGAACAATAAACTTAGCCTGTTTCTAGGTAAGAGCAAATTTATCTTTTAAGCCAGTGGCATTGACATGAGTGAGATTATGGAACTCCTGAGCTTCTTGGGTCATTAAAGACACCAAACAGTCAACTTCATGGTTACCAGCAGACATGGGTCCTGGTAAAGTGGTATGAGACCTAATATGTGTAATATAGGAAGGGTGTCTACACTGGTGAACCACCTGTTGTAACCTTGAAAATAAAGAAGCCAATTCAGAATTATCAATATGTTTGATAGTAGCAGTTTCTATATTTTTAGTGGCATGTACAACATAAGCGGAATCTGAGACTGTGGGGAAAAGCAAGAGAGGTCAGATTGTTACTGTGTCTGTATAGAAAGAAGTAGACATAGGAGACTCCATTTTGTTCTGTACTAAGAAAAATTATTCTGCCTTGAGATGCTGTTAATCTATGACCTTACCCCCAACCCCGTGCTCTCTGAAACATGTGCTGTGTCAAACTCAGGGTTAAATGGATTAAGGGCGGTGCAAGATGTGCTTTGTTAAACAGATGCTTGAAGGCAGCATGCTCATTAAGAGTCATCACCACTCCCTAATCTCAAGTACCCAGGGACACAAAAACTGCGGAAGCCTGCAGGGGCCTCTGCCTAGGAAAGCCAGGTATTGTCCAAGGTTTCTCCCCATGTGATAGTCTGAAATATGGCCTCGTGGGAAGGGAAAGACCTGACCGTCCCCCAGCCCGACACCCGTAAAGGGTCTGTGCTGAGGAGGATTAGTATAAGAGGAAAGCATGTCTCTTGCAGTTGAGACAAGAGGAAGGCATCTGTTTCCCGCCCATCCCTGGGCAATGGAATGTCTCGGTATAAAACCCGATTGTACGTTCCACCTACTGAGATAGGGAGAAACCACCTTAGGGCTGGAGGTGGGACATGCAGGCAGCAATACTGCTTTGTAAAGCATTGAGATGTTTATGTGTATGCATATCTAAAAGCACAGCATTTAATCCTTTACCTTGTCTATGATGCAAAGACCTTTGTTCACGTGTTTGTCTGCTCACCCTCTCCCCACTATTGTCTTGTGACCCTGACACATCTCCCTCTCGGAGAAACACCCACGAATGATCAATAAATACTAAGGGGACTCAGAGGCTGGTGGGATCCTCCATATGCTGAACGTTGGTTCCCCGGGCCCCCTTATTTCTTTCTCTATACTTTGTCTCTGTGTCTTTTTCTTTTCCAAGTCTCTCATTGCACCTTACGAGAAACACCCACAGGTGTGGAGGGGCAACCCACCCCTTCATCTGGTGCCCAACGTGGAGGCTTTTCTCTGGGGTGAAGGTACACTCGAGCGTGGTCATTGAGGACAAGTCGACAAGAGATCCCGAGTACATCTACAGTCAGCCTTACGGTAAGCTTGTGCACTCGGAAGAAGCTAGGGTGACAATGGGGCAAACTAAAACTAAAAGTAAATATGCCTCTTATCTTAGCTTCATTAAAATTCTTTTAAAAAGAGGGGGAGTTAGAGTATCCACCAAAAATCTAATCAAGCTATTTCAAACAACAGAACAATTTTGCCCATGGTTTCCAGAACAAGGAAATTTAGATCTAGAAGATTGGAAAAGAATTGGTAAGGAACTAAAACAAGCAGGTAGGAAGGGTAATATCATTCCACTTACAGTATGGAATGATTGGCCCATTATTAAAGCAGCTTTAGAACCATTTCAAACAGAAGATAGCGTTTCAGTTTCTGATGCCCCTGGAAGCTGTATAATAGATTGTAATGAAAAGACAAGGAAAAAATCCCAGAAGGAAACGGAAACTTTACATTGCGAATATGTAGCAGAGCCGTTAATGGCTCAGTCAACGCAAAATGTTGACTATAATCAATTACAGGAGGTGATATATCCTGAAACATTAAAATTAGAAGGAAAAGGTCCAGAATTAGTGGGGCCATTAGAGTCTAAACCACGAGGGCCAAGTCCTCTTTCAGCAGGTCAGGTGACCGTAACATTACAACCTCAAGCGCAGGTTAGAGAAAATAAGACCCAACTGCCAGTAGCTTATCAATACTGGCCACCGGCCGAACTTCAGTATCGGCCACCCCCAGAAAGTCAGTATGGATATCTAGGAATGCCCCCAGCACCACAGGGCAGGGAGCCATACCCTCAGCCGCCCACTAGGAGACAATCCTATGGCACCACCTAGTAGACAGGGTAGTGAATTACATGAAATTATTGAGAAGTCAAGAAAGGAAGGAGATACTGAGGCGTGGCAATTCCCAGTAACGTTAGAACCGATGCCACCTGGAGAAGGAGCCCAAGAGGGAGAGCCTCTCACAGTTGAGGCCAGATACAAGTCTTTTTAGATAAAAATGCTAAAAGATATGAAAGAGGGAGTAAAACAGTATGGACCCAACTCCCCTTATATGAGGACATTATTAGATTCCATTGCTCATGGACATAGACTCATTCCTTATGATTGGGAGATTCTGGCAAAATCATCTCTCTCACCCTCTCAATTTTTACAATTTAAGACTTGGTGAATTGATGGGGCACAAGAACAGGTCCGAAGAAATAGGGCTGCCAATCCTCCAGTTAACATAGATGCAGATCAACTATTAGGAACAGGTCAAAATTGGAGCACTATTAGTCAACAAGCATTAATGCAAAATGAGGCCATTGAGCAAGTTAGAGCTATCTGCCTTAGAGCCTGGGAAAAAATCCAAGACCCAGGAAGCGCCTGCTCCACATTTAATACAGTAAGACAAGGTTCAAAAGAGCCCTACCCTGATTTTGTGGCAAGGCTCCAAGATGTTGCTCAAAAGTCAATTGCCAGTGAAAAAGCCCGTAAGGTCATAGTGGAGTTGATGGCATACGAAAACGCCAATCCTGAGTGTCAATCAGCCATTAAGCCATTAAAAGGAAAGGTTCCCGCAGGATCAGATGTAATCTCAGAGTATGTAAAAGCCCGTGATGGAATTGGAGGAGCTACGCATAAAGCTATGCTTATGGCCCAAGCAATAACAGGAGTTGTTTTAGGAGGACAAGTTAGAACATTTGGAGGAAAATGTTATAATTGTGGTCAAATTGGTCATTTAAAAAAGAATTGCCCAGTCTTAAATAAACAGAATATAACTATTCAAGCTACTACAACAACAGGTAGAGAGCCACCTGACTTATGTCCAAGATGTAAAAAAGGAAAACATTGGGCTAGTCAATGTCATTCTAAATTTGATAAAAATGGGCAATCATTGTCGGGAAACTACCAAAAGGGCTAGTCAATGTCGTTCCAAATTTGATAAAAATGGGCAACCATTGTCGGGAAACTAGCAAAGGGGCCAGCCTCAGGCCCTGCAACAAACTGGGGCATTCCCAATTCAGCCCTTTGTTCCTCAGGGTTTTCAGGGACAACAACCCCCACTGTCCCAAGTACCTCAGGGAATAAGCCAGTTACCACAGTACAACAATTGTCCCCCGCCACAAGTGGCAGTGCAGCAGTAGATTTATGTACTATACAAGCAGTCTCTCTGCTTCCAGGGGAGCCCCCACAAAAAATCCCCACAGGAGTATATGGCCCGCTGCCTGAGGAGACTGTAGGACTAATCTTGGGAAGATCACGTCTAAATCTAAAAGGAGTTCAAATTCATACTGGTGTGGTTGATTCAGACTATAAAGGTGAAATTCAATTGGTTATTAGCTCTTCAATTCCTTGGAGTGCCAGTCCAGGAGACAGGATTGCTCGATTATTACTCCTGCCATATATTAAGGTTGGAAATAGTGAAATAAAAAGAACAGGAGGGTTTGGAAGCACTGATCCGACAGGAAAGGCTGCATATTGGGCAAGTCAGGTCTCAGAGAACAGACCTGTGTGTAAGGCCGTTATTCAAGGAAAACAGCTTGAAGGATTGGTAGACACTGGAGCAGATGTCTCTATCATTGCTTTAAATCAGTGGCCAAAAAATTGGCCTAAACAAAAGACTGTTACAGGACTTGTCGGCATAGTCACAGCCTCAGAAGTGTATCAGAGTACTGAGATTTTACATTGCTTAGGGCCACATAATCAAGAAAGTACTGTTCAGCCAATGATCACTTCAATTCCTCTTAATCTGTGGGGTCGAGATTTGTTACAACAATGGGGTGCGGAAATCACCATGACCGCTACATTATATAGCCCCATGAGTCAAAAAATCATGACCAAGATGGGATATATACCAGGAAAGGGACTAGGAAAAAATGAAGATGGCATTAAAGTTCCAATTGAGGCTAAAATAAATCACGGAAGAGAAGGAACAGGGTATCCTTTTTAGGGGTGACCACTGTAGAGCCTCCTAAACCCATACCGTTAACTTGGAAAACAGAAAAACTGGTGTGGGTAAATCAGTGGCCGCTACCAAAACAAAAACTGGAGGCTTTACATTTATTAGCAAATGAACAGTTAGAAAAGGGACATATTGAGCCTTCATTCTCGCCTTGGAATTCTCCTGTGTTTGTAATTCAGAAGAAATCCAGCAAATGGCGTATGTTAACTGACTTAAGGGCTGTAAATGCCGTAATTCAACCCATGGGGCCTCTCCAACCTGGGTTGCCCTCTCCAGCCATGATCCCAAAAGATTGGCCTTTAATTATAATTGATCTAAAGGACTGCTTTTTTACCATCCCTCTGGCAGAGCAGGATTGTGAAAAATTTGCCTTTACTATACCAGCCATAAATAATAAAGAACCAGCCACCAGGTTTCAGTGGAAAGTGTTACCTCAGGGAATGCTTAATAGTCCAACTATTTGTCAGACTTTTGTAGGTCGAGCTCTTCAACCAGTTAGAGACAAGTTTTCAGACTGTTATATTATTCATTATTTTGATGATATTTTATGTGCTGCAGAAACGAAAGATAAATTAATTGACTGTTATACATTTCTGCAAGCAGAGGTTGCCAATGCAGGACTGGCAATAGCATCTGATAAGATCCAAACCTCTACTCCTTTTCATTATTTAGGGATGCAGATAGAAAATAGAAAAATTAAGCCACAAAAAATAGAAATAAGAAAAGACACATTAAAAACACTAAATGATTTTCAAAAATTGCTGGGAGATATTAATTGGATTCGGCCAACTCTAGGCATTCCTACTTATGCCATGTCAAATTTGTTCTCTATCTTAAGAGGAGACTCAGACTTAAATAGTAAAAGAATGTTAACCCCAGAGGCAACAAAAGAAATTAAATTAGTGGAAGAAAAAATTCAGTCAGCGCAAATAAATAGAATAGATCCCTTAGCCCCACTCCAACTTTTGATTTTTGCCACTGCACATTCTCCAACAGGCATCATTATTCAAAATACTGATCTTGTGGAGTGGTCATTCCTTCCTCACAGTACAGTTAAGACTTTTACATTGTACTTGGATCAAATAGCTACTTTAATTGGTCCGACAAGATTACGAATAATAAAATTATGTGGAAATGACCCAGACAAAATAGTTGTCCCTTTAACCAAGGAACAAGTTAGACAAGCCTTTATCAATTCTGGTGCATGGCAGATTGGTCTTGCTAATTTTGTGGGAATTATTGATAATCATTACCCAAAAACAAAAATCTTCCAGTTCTTAAAATTGACTACTTGGATTCTACCTAAAATTACCAGATGTGAACCTTTAGAAAATGCTCTAACAGTATTTACTGATGGTTCCAGCAATGGAAAAGTGGCTTACACAGGGCCAAAAGAACGAGTAATCAAAACTCCATATCAATCGGCTCAAAGAGCAGAGTTGGTTGCAGTCATTACAGTGTTACAAGATTTTGATCAACCTATCAATATTATATCAGATTCTGCATATGTAGTACAGGCTACAAGGGATGTTGAGACAGCTCTAATTAAATATAGCATGGACGATCAGTTAAACCAGCTATTCAATTTATTACAACAAACTGTAAGAAAAAGAAACTTCCCATTTTATATTACTCATATTCGAGCACACACTAATTTACCAGGGCCTTTGACTAAAGCAAATGAACAAGCTGACTTACTGGTATCATCTGCATTCATAAAAGCACAAGAACTTCATGCTTTGACTCATGTAAATGCAGCAGGATTAAAAAACAAATTTGATGTCACATAGAAACAGGCAAAAGATATTGTACAACATTGCACCCAGTGTCAAGTCTTAGACCTGCCCACTCAAGAGGCAGGAGTTAACCCAGAGGTCTGTGTCCTAATGCATTATGGCAAATGGATGTCACGCATGTACCTTCATTTGGAAGATTATCATATGTCATGTAACAGTTGATACTTATTCACATTTCATGTGGGCAACTTGCCAAACAGGAGAAAGTACTTCCCATGTTAAAAAACATTTATTGTCTTGTTTTGCTGTAATGGGAGTTCCAGAAAAAATCAAAACTGACAATGGACCAGGATATTGTAGTAAAGCTTTCCAAAAATTCTTAAGTCAGTGGAAAATTTCACATACAACAGGAATTCCTTATAATTCCCAAGGACAGGCCATAGTTGAAAGAACTAATAGAACACTCAAAACTCAATTAGTTAAACAAAAAGAAGGGGGAGACAGTAAGGAGTGTACCACTCCTCAGATGCAACTTAATCTAGCACTCTATACTTTAAATTTTTTAAACATTTATAGAAATCAGACTACTACTTCTGCAGAACATCTTACTGGTAAAAAGAACAGCCCACATGAAGGAAAACTAATTTAGTGGAAAGATAATTAAAATAAGACATGGGAAATAGGGAAGCTGATAACGTGGGGGAGAGGTTTTGCTTGTGTTTCACCAGGAGAAAATCAGCTTCCTGTTTGGATACCCACTAGACATTTGAAGTTCTACAATGAACCCATCAGAGATGCAAAGAAAAGCGCCTCCACGGAGATGGTAACACCAGTCACATGGATGGATAATCCTATAGAAGTATATGTTAATGATAGTGTATGGGTACCTGGCCCCACAGATGATCGCTGCCCTGCCAAACCTGAGGAAGAAGGGATGATGATAAATATTTCCATTGGGTATCATTATCCTCCTATTTGCCTAGGGAGAGCACCAGGATGTTTAATGCCTGCAGTCCAAAATTGGTTGGTAGAAGTACCTACTGTCAGTCCTAACAGTAGATTCACTTATCACATGGTAAGCGGGATGTCACTCAGGCCACGGGTAAATTATTTACAAGACTTTTCTTATCAAAGATCATTAAAATTTAGACCTAAAGGGAAAACTTGCCCCAAGGAAATTCCTAAAGGATCAAAGAATACAGAAGTTTTAGTTTGGGAAGAATGTGTGGCCAATAGTGTGGTGATATTACAAAACAATGAATTCGAAACTATTATAGATTGGGCACCTCGAGGTCAATTCTACCACAATTGCTCAGGACAAACTCAGTCGTGTCCAAGTGCACAAGTGAGTCCAGCTGTTGATAGCGACTTAACAGAAAGTCTAGACAAACATAAGCATAAAAAATTACAGTCTTTCTACCTTTGGGAATGGGAAGAAAAAGGAATCTCTACCCCAAGACCAAAAATAATAAGTCCTGTTTCTGGTCCTGAACATCCAGAATTGTGGAGGCTTACTGTGGCCTCACACCACATTAGAATTTGGTCTGGAAATCAAACTTTAGAAACAAGATATCGTAAGCCATTTTATACTATCGACCTAAATTCCATTCTAACGGTTCCTTTACAAAGTTGCATAAAGCCCCCTTATATGCTAGTTGTAGGAAATATAGTTATTAAACCAGCCTCCCAAACTATAACCTGTGAAAATTGTAGATTGTTTACTTGCATTGATTCAACTTTTAATTGGCAGCACCGTATTCTGCTGGTGAGAGCAAGAGAAGGCATGTGGATCCCTGTGTCCACGGACCGACCGTGGGAGGCCTCGCCATCCATCCATATTTTGACTGAAATATTAAAAGGCATTTTAAATAGATCCAAAAGATTCATTTTTACTTTAATTGCAGTGATTATGGGATTAATTGCAGTCACAGCTACGGCTGCTGTGGCAGGAGTTGCATTGCACTCTTCTGTTCAGTCAGTAAACTTTGTTAATTATTGGCAAAAGAATTCTACAAGATTGTGGAATTCACAATCTAGTATTGATCAAAAATTGGCAAGTCAAATTAATGATCTTAGACAAACTGTCATTTGGATGGGAGACAGGCTCATGACCTTAGAACATCATTTCCAGTTACAGTGTGACTGGAATACGTCAGATTTTTGTATTACACCCCAAATTTATAATGAGTCTGAGCATCACTGGGACATGGTTAGACGCCATCTACAGGGAAGAGAAGATAATCTCACTTTAGACATTTCCAAATTAAAAGAACAAATTTTCGAAGCATCAAAAGCCCATTTAAATTTGGTGCCAGGAACTGAGGCAATTGCAGGAGTTGCTGATGGCCTCGCAAATCTTAACCCTGTCACTTGGATTAAGACCATCAGAAGTACTATGATTATAAATCTCATATTAATCATTGTGTGCCTGTTTTGTCTGTTGTTAGTCTGCAGGTGTACCCAACAGCTCCGAAGAGACAGTGACATCGAGAACGGGCCATGATGACGATGGCGGTTTTGTCGAAAAGAAAAGGGGGAAATGTGGGGAAAAGCAAGAGAGATGAGATTGTTACTGTGTCTGTATAGAAAGAAGTAGACATAGGAGACTCCATTTTGTTCTGTACTAAGAAAAATTCTTCTGCCTTGAGATGCTGTTAATCTATGACCTTACCCCCAACCCCGTGCTCTCTGAAA
Organism: Homo sapiens; assembly: GCF_000001405.40. NCBI lineage: Eukaryota > Metazoa > Chordata > Mammalia > Primates > Hominidae > Homo > Homo sapiens. The sequence goes on from NC_000001.11 coordinate 160,699,202, forward strand.
CATGTGCTGTGTCAAACTCAGGGTTAAATGGATTAAGGGCGGTGCAAGATGTGCTTTGTTAAACAGATGCTTGAAGGCAGCATGCTCATTAAGAGTCATCACCACTCCCTAATCTCAAGTACCCAGGGACACAAACACTGCGAAAGACCGCAGGGACCTCTGCCTAGGAAAGCTAGGTATTGTCCAAGGTTTCTCCCCATGTGATAGTCTGAAATATGGCCTCGTGGGAAGGGAAAGACCTGACCATCCCCCAGACCAACACCCGTAAAGGGTCTGTGCTGAGGAGGATTAGTATAAGAGGAAAGCATGCCTCTTGCAGTTGAGAGAAGAGGAAGACATCTGTCTCCTGCCCATCCCTGGGCAATGGAATGTCTCAGTATAAAACCCGATTGAACATTCCATCTACTGAGATAGGGAAAAACTGCCTTAGGGCTGGAGGTGGGACATGTGGGCAGCAATACTGCTTTGTAAAGCATTGAGATGTTTATGTGTATGCATATCTAAAAGCACAGCACTTGATCCTTTACCTTGTCTATGATGCAAAGACCTTTGTTCACGTGTTTGTCTGCTCACCCTCTCCCCACTATTGTCTTGTGACCCTGACACATCCCCCTCTCGGAGAAACACCCACGAATGATCAATAAATACTAAGGGAACTCAGAGGCTGGCGGGATCCTCCATATGCTGAACGTTGGTTCCCCGGGCCCCCTTATTTCTTTCTCTATACTTTGTCTCTGTGTCTTTTTCTTTTCCAAGTCTCTCGTTCCACCTTATGAGAAACACCCACAGGTGTGGAGGGGCAACCCACCCCTTCATGAGACAATATTTAAAGGTTTGGGGAAATCCTGTAAGGCAGTAATCACAGCAATTAACTCCGCCTTTTGAGCAGAAGTATAAGAGGTAGAAATAAGTTTGTCTGTAGGACTTACATAGCCAGCATTGCCATTACTGGAGCCATCAGTGAACACTGTAACGGCCTCAGGAATGGGTTGATTTTTGGTTAATCGAGGAACCACCTAAGAAGTCATTTTTATAAAATCAAATAATTTGTTTTTTGGATAATGATTGTCAATAACGCCAATAAAATCAGCCAAGTGAATTTGCCACAGTACAGAATGTTGAAAGGCAGCTTGAACTTTGAGCCAATTTAAAGGAACTACAATTATATTTGGATCAAATCCAGAAATTTGAAGTATTCTGCACCAAGCCTGTCTAATTAATATGGCTATTTGGTCTAGATAAACAGACAAAGTTTTTGAGACAGAATAAGGAAGAAAACATCACTCCACTAAATCATTATGTTGAACTATTAGTCCAGTAGGGGAGTGTAATGAAGCAAAAACTAGAAGCTGAAAAGGCTGAAATGGCTGTACTCTAGATAACTGGGCAGTCTGGATTCTTTCTTCTACAAATTCCAGTTCTATTAAAGCCTCAGAGGTCAAAATCCTGGCGCTGTGGAGATTGGAATCTCCCCGCAACATAGAAATCAAGTTAGACAGTGCATAGGTTGGAATGCCTAAAGTAGGTCTTAAATAATTAATGTTACCTAAAAGTTTGTGGAAGTCATCTAAAGTTTTTAAAGAATCTCTCCTAATTTGAACTTTTTGAGGTTGAATACATTGTTTATCGACCACCATTCCTAAATATTGAACAGGAGTGGTCTGATGAATTTTATCTTGAGCAATGTGTAATCCAGCCTCTATAACACAGCAGCTCAAAATTTGGTAACAGTCAATTCTTTATCAGTGGGGGCAGCAATTAAAATATCATCAATATAATGATGAATATAGGCCTCGGGAAATTGGGCTTGAACTGGTGAAAGCACTTGCCCAACATAAAGCTGGCAGATTGTAGGGCTATTTAGCATTCCTTGAGGAAGTACTTTCCATTGATAATGAACTGCAGGTTCCTGATTATTGATAGATGGTACAGTAAAAGCAAATTTTTCACAATCTGATTTATGTAAAGCAATATAAAAAAAAATCTTTAAGATCAATAACTATGAGAGGCTAATTTTTAGGTATTAAAGCCAGGTTGGACGGCCCCCATAGGTTTAATTACAGCATTAATGGCCCTTAAATCGGTTACCATCCGCCATTTGCCTGATTTCTTTTTTACTAGGAACACAGGAGAATTCTAAGGGGAAAGAGAATGTTCCACATATCCAAGTTGCAACTGCTCAGAAACCAATTGATTTAAAGCCTCCAGTTTTTCTTTAGAAAGCGGCCACTGCTGAACCTAAACGGGAGTTTTAGGTTTCCATTGTAAGGGAATGGGATCAGGAGGTATGGCAGTGGCTGCCACTAAAAAGAATAACCTAAACCAGCCCTGTTTTCTTTTATAGTGACTGGGAGGGGTTTGGTAATCCAGGAACAAACCTTATATTTTCCATCATATGCTGACTGGGAGCACTAGAAGAGTTATGTGGAATATTAATTTCAGCCCTCTATTTTGCCAGTAAATCTCTACCCCAAAGATTAATGTGAATTGGCATGATATAGGGCTGAATTGTACCTTTTTGACCATCAGGGCCAGTGCAAAGCAAGATAAATGTGCTCTGATAAATTTCCTCGGCCTTTCCAACACCTACTAGTCCTACCTTAGTGGGATGTTTAAGCCAAGAGGAAGGCCATAAACTAGAGGAAATAACAGAAACTTCGGCACCAGTATCTACTAGGCCCTCAAACTTTTTTCCTTGAATGTGTATGATGCAGGTGGGCCGTTGTTTAGAAATTACATTAATCCAGTAAGTGGCCTTTTCACCGCCGGAGCCTATCCCAGGGCCACATGTCTTATCGCCTTTGTTTAAAATGATATTAGGTAGTAAAAGCAGTTGAGCAACTGACTCACCAGACGCAATGGAAATAGGAAACTTGGCAGACACAATTAATTTAATCTCATCAACAGAATCAGAATTAATGAGACCAGTATGAATGGTGAATCCTTTAGCAGAGGTGGATGCTCTACCTAACACCAGGCCCACTGAACCTTGAGGTAAAGGGCCAGTGACCCCCGTGGGGACAATCAAAGGCAAAGAATCAGGAAGTAAATTTAGAGGAATAGTACTAAAGAGATCAACCACCCCGCCTCCTACTGTGGAGGAGGACAAGCATTGTACTGAGACAGAAGTAGAGGCTGGGACCTATTTGGTTTGGTTGTAGGTAGATTTGTTTGTGCTGGGGGTTGCACTGGGACTGCCTGAAGTGGAAACGCAATGTTGGTCTGAGTTTGAAGTGTCCTATTTGATGTCGGGTCCATCCCAGGCCCCGCTCCCTGTTTCCCTGGTGTTGTGGTAGGGGGTTTCCATCTACATTATACCTAGAGCGGCAAACATTTGCCCAATGTTTACCTTTGCGACAACGTGGGCAAACAGTAGGAGCAGCATTTGGCCATGTTTGTTGAACCGACTTGGCCGCTTGTAAGTTTTTAACAGTGCAACTTTTTTGAATATGACCAAGTTGGCCACAATTATAGCAGGCTCCAAGAGAAGAATTAATGGGACCAGTTTGGTTGGTGTCCTTCATGGCCGGTGCCCACAGAATAGCTTTGTGGGTATCTGATCCAATGCCTTCACAAGCTTTAATATATGCAGGCAACACCTCGTGATCAGGTAAATTTTGCGTTGGACAGAATGCATGGCCATTTTACATTCATGGTTTGCATTTTCAAAAGCTAACATATAAAGGAGAATGCCTTGAGTGCGCTCATCAGAGACAGATTTTTGAACAGCATCTTGTAATTTAGCCAAAAAATCTGGGTATAATTCAGAGTGACTTTGTTTAACTATGGTAAAAGGAACAGGAGCTTGGCCTGGAGCGTGTAATTTATCCCAAGCTCTCATACACACCTTTGTTACTTGTTCTGTGGTAAGGGCATCAAAGTTTAACTGGGCATAAGCATCAGAGAAACTATCGGAGCCTGTGAGCTGAGCCTGAGTAATTAGAATGCCATTACTGCTATTTAGCTGAGCCTGCAAATGGGCCTCTTCTGACCACCAGGTATGGAATACGGAATTGTAAATGCTGAGATGGGGTTAGAACAGCTTTTGCCAAAAGGTCCCAATCTAAGGGAAGTAAGTGACTTCAGTACGAAAAGTTTGTAAAACCATCTTAACATAAGGAGAAGTAGGACCATACTGAGTACAAGCATCCCTAAATTCTTTTAAAAAAGGTAAGATTGAACAGCGCATATCGATGCAGACCGGTTTAGGACCCGAAACGACAGGAGGGTGAGGGGCTGTAGTGGATGGGGGATGGCCTGGAGAATGATAGGTAAAGTGTAGTTTGGTCCTGGAGCCATTAGCTGATGCTGGAGGTTTGAAGAGAGAAGAATTAGCATATCTATGGTACATGCAGCAAAGATCCCTACCTTAACAGAGCTTGCATTAGAGTGGGGTGAAAAAACGTAAGCAATCAACACACTAACAGAACACACTGTATAGTATGTAAGGAGATGATAACTGCCATGACAGAGGAGAAAACCTAGAATAAGGTAAGGGGAGTCACAAGTACTGGTAGGGGCAAAAGGGTGAACTTCATTTATAAGGTGATAAGTAGGTCACATCTGAGTAAAGACTTGGAGGAGAGAGGTGGCCAAGAGGGTATCTGGGGTAGGAGGGACCCAGACAGAGGAAAGAGCCAGAGCAAAGGCCCTGGGGCAGGGATTTGCCTGCCATACATAAACAACAGCAAGGAGGTGGCGAGTGGGTAGTGTGGAGTGAACAAGGGGATTGGGTGTTGAGAGACACAGTCAGAGAGGGAGTGAGATTGGAGAGAGTAGATACATTTTAGCTTTATTAATAATGTCTTGTCCTGTAAAAAAAAAATGCTTTCCTGTAAAAGTGGCTCATGTCTTGTGTGTGCATTTACAATGTATTTAGAAGCAAGTTATTAGAAGGTAACAAAGTGGAGACTGTATAAACCATTGTTTCACAAAGTTTGGATCAGAGGCAGATTTCCCGTGAAAGTGATGAAGCTGAAGCTTCAGGGCTTCTTGGATGGCCCTGGAGGAGCCCTAGCAGTATTCATGTAATCCATTTTACAAAACATATCTTAAACATTAATTAGACCACAGCCTCTGTCTACTCTAACATCCCCTTCATCACATTTCTGTTTTTGTTGGGTGGCATCTCAGTTATGGGCATTTTGAGGTCTGGCCAAGGGGAAGTAGAAATGGGAAGTACTTAGTTGGGGTTAGCGGGATACATGTATGAGGGTTGCAAACTCTTGTGTGTGAAGTTCCCGCTACCCACTTCAGTGAAGAAATGGCATCCAGGAATATTCTTGCTGCCCTCTGCACTGACTCACTGGCAATGGCCATGGACATGTTGCAATCGGGCTGCAGGTGGGAAGCAGAGGAGAAAGCAGGTTGGAAGTGAACAACAGCCAGAGCTATTCAGTAGCAAAGTATTGTGGAAGCACGAAGGCATTTAATTAACTAAAATTATGCTGCTATTTTTTATGCTGTCATGTTCTTTGTAGTATTTGTATTTTTTTAACCTGAACTAATTCCCTGGGATTTCTTTTTTTTTATTCTAATTGAATTTATTTTTGTTCCTATTTGTATTTCCAGTTTTGTTCTTTTATTATTTTTCTTTTTCATGAGAATACTCCAAATTATATAAGCCTCAGGTCATTTTTAAAAACCTGGTTTGGTTAAGATAAGGAGAAAGAAAAGATGATAAGGACAAAGTACAAGATGAAGGGAGGTCCATTGGTCCTTTTTGTGGAGGGAGAACTTAGAATATGTATACAAAGGCTAAACAAGAGCTGTGGAATAAAAGCTAAAGGTAGAAGAAGAGGAAATATGTCCTATATCACTCTGGTGTCATATGCTGCCGCACAAAAACTCAGTTGTACTCTTCAACATGATATATACTAGCTGTTCACTTTCCACATATCCATCATTTCCAAAAACATTCTCAACCACTAAAAGATAAAAATGTCTGTGACCCCAGGGCTTTCAAGTTCCTGTTCATTCAGCCTTCCAACCATTCATCCATCTATTCAACAAATGTTTATTAAGCACTTACCCTGTCCTGGTTTGTACACGGAAATACCTAGGCATTCATTTCTACAGTGCTTCTGATTGGTCCAGCCCATGCCCTATAATCCCTCTGACAGAATAAGTTCAACCCTCATACATGTATCCCACTAACCCCAACTAAGTACTTCCCATTTCTACTTCCCCTTGGCCAGACCTCAAAATGCCCATAACTGAGATGCCACCCAACAAAAACAGAAATGTGATGAAGGGGATGTTAGAGAAGACAGAGGCTGTGGTCTAATTAATGTTTAAGATATGTTTTGTAAAATGGATTACATGAATACAGTCATCGCACAACCACAACATGCCTGGCGCTGTGCTAGACTCTGCTGTCAGCAAGGCAGATACAGTCTCTGGCCTCTTGGAGCATACAGCCTAGGAGGACATTCTTTCTAGGAGTTTAAAATCACTAGACATATTCCAGATTTGTTCTCCTTCTGTTAGTTGTTTCCACATGAATTAATAGAAGCGGTCATAATAGGCAGTCTAGATCAATGTTTTTCAGTCTTGACATTATTGACATTTTGGGCCACATAATTCTTTTTTGTAGGGGGCTGTTCTGTGCATTGTAAGATGTTTGCCAGCATTCCTGGTATCTGCCCACTAGGTGCCAGTAACACTTGTCCAGTTGTGACAGCCAAAAATGTATCCAGATATTGCCAAATGTCCCTTGAGGGACAAAATTCTCCCACATTCACCCTGGTTGAGAAGTACTGAGCTAGGTCATCTTTGGCAGACTCCCCAGGATGTCTCAGACTTACACTCAGGAAGATAGCACAATCCACTGTCTGATGACAGAGGCAGGTAGTAACACCAGACAGATCACTTATATATATATAATTTTTTTTATGGAGTTTCACTTTTGTCACCCAGGCTGGAGTGCAGTGGTGCAATCTCAGCTCACTGCAACCTCCACCCCCCAGGTTCAAGCAATTCTCCTGCCTCAGCCTCCCAAGTAGCTAGGATTACAGGCATGCACCACCACGCCGGGCTAATTTTTTGTATTTAGTAGATACGGGGTTTCACCATGTTGGTCAGGCTAGTCTCAAACTCCTGACCTCAGGTGATCCACCTGCTTCGGCCTCCCAAAGTGCTGGGATTACAGGTGTGAACCACCATGCTCAGCCAATTTCAGTATATTATGAGTGCTGATGACAGGTAAGCATACAGTATTGTATCTTTCTTCTCTCCCTCCTTAACCACCCATGTGTAACAATTCCAAAAAGGCTGTCCTGATGGTTGGCTGTAACTTCTTACCGAGAAATAAAGAAGTGATTAACTGCTGATAAAATCTTGATTTGCCTTCTTAACAATTCCACTTTTTAGGAAGTAGCTGAAGCAACCTTTTAAAAAACTACTATTTTGATTTAATTCTAACAGGAAGTATTTGGTGATATGTCTGGATGATTGGGATAAAGTAACAAAGTTGGATCTTATTCTTTTACTTTCTTAATGAACTCGCTTTCACTTTTAAAAAAAAGAAGAAGAAATAGAACCAGATCCTGTCTGTGCCCGCCCATGTTTCTAGTCTGTAGAAAAACAGAATTGTAACGGGAAAAAATTCAGATCAAAGGAAGTCATAATCCCAGGACCATAGAGTCTCCCCAGGAAAGGGAAAGGTTTTAAAGAGTAAGTTCCGGTTACTCCAATAAAACAAGACACATGGTTGGCTTCTTTGGTTTCCTCATATATTGAGAAAAATAAAAATAATAAAAACAAAACACATGGTTTCTAGTAAAACTCTTAAGGAAGAAAAGAAGATGAGTGTTAAGGATGTGGAGACAGAGTTACCTGAAGCTCTCTCATAAGATTAAATATTTAACAAGCCTGTACAACCCTTTTTAGGAAGTAATTTTGCAATAGCTACCAAGACCTCAGGTTTGTGTCTTGGTGAGAAGCTGAGCAGGCTACTATTTTTTGAGATGGGAACTATAATGAGTTCAGTGGGCAACACTGCAATGCAATCTGAAGGTGAGGAAGGAGAAACAATAAAAATAGACTCTTCTCTTCAGACGTTGCAATTTGAATGGGAAAAAGAATGGTAGGGCGGTATGTAAAGGGTCATGAAAAAGTAGAGAGTATTTTGTTTTTGTTATTCAAGTAGGGAAAGACCTAAGCTATGGTAGGCCAAGGAAAGGATTCAGTGGAGGGAAGACATGAAGAGAAGGGAGGTGATTGACGAGCCTGGGCTAGTGGGACTCAGAGCAGAGTTAGTGGCACAGGTCTTGACTGGGAGGAGGGACACTTCATCCTCTGAGGGAAAAGAGAAGGAGGAAAGACAGCTGGTGGTGGAGAAAAGTTACCAGTTTGAAGATAGTGGGCAGGAAGTTGAAGGGCTTCCTGCCTAATGGTCTCTAGTTTCGATTTCTTCTGCAAAGAAGGAGGCACATGCTTTGCTGAGAGGGCAGAGGACTGAGGTAAGGGGCCTTGAGGATAGGGTGAAAGTTTGAAATAGCCACTGTGGGAAATGGGAGAAAGAATTTATCAGGGCCAGTAAGAGCTACTCTGAGACCCCAGCTTGACTGAAACAATGACTCAAAATTTATTCCTTCCTTCTTTCCTTTGCTCCCTCCCTCCATCCACCCATCCCTCCATGCATACATGCGTACATGAACTTCCTCATGTATTCACTCATCGAATAACTATGCAGTAAGCAGTTACTATGTGCTTGGCTCTGTAAGGGTGCAATAGATAGATGTGGCTCCTTCCCTTGAGCTTCATTCCAGTGAATCAACAAAATTAATCAGATGATTTCGCTATTGGTGATAAGTGTTAGGAAAAGGAAAATACGGAATGCTTAGAGGGCATATAAAAGGGAGCACCTCACTTGAATTTGGGGGTTGAGAATGGCTTCTGTACGAGGAATTAGCCTAAGTGGGATGAAACCAGGGAAAGATGACGACTGGGGGTAGTGAATATTCCAACAAGAGGGAAAAAGAATCAAACGCCCAGAAACACAAAAATGAAATTCATTTGCGGAGTAGGAAGTAGCTCACTGGCTAGGACATAGACTAAGGAGGGTAGCAAGTGAGCTCATTATGAAATGTGAACTTTAGGCTCACAGCTTCTGCTTTCTCATTTCCCACAGTGGCCACTAAAGATTTTAAGCAGAAGAGTGATGCAAACAGAGAACCATTTTAGAAAATGTATACCGACAGCAGGGTAGAGAACAGGTTAGCTAGAGAGAATGCAGTAAATAGAGCAGTTAGGATAGTGGATCATTGTGGAAATTGGTGATAAGAGAAAATGGTGGCTTGATCTGAGATAGGTAGCATGGGGCTGGATGGAATTGGACATATTTGAGAGATATTTTTGAAAGTAGAATTAACAGGACTTACTCATTGGGCATGAGAAGCAAGGGAGAGAAAAGAAGCAAGGATGACTCCTAGAATTCTGGCCTGAGCAACTAGACAAGTGGAGATGTCATTTATAGAGGTGGGGAACAGTGGAGGAGCAGTAGGTTTGGGGGAAGAAGGATTGTAGTATTTTTTTTTAAGTCTGTAAATTTTTTGATGGTCCTCTCATCAAATGATGGACTTTGTGCCCCTTCACCTTGAAATTGAGTAGGCTCGGTGATGGCTTCAATGAATGGAATACACCGGAAGTGTGACCTGCAAAGCTAGCTTAGAAAAGACCATGCAGCATTTGCCTATTTCTCTTGGGACACCAACTCTGGGAGGCTTCTGCTGAGTGGCACTAGCCACCCAGCACTTTGAGCCTCCCTCTGTTCAGGCAGTAGCCCTGTGAGTGAAGAGCCTTGCATGACTCTAGGCCACACCATGATCTGATTGCAAGCACATGAAAAGCACATGAAAGTGAGACAGGATGAACAGTCTTCCCCCAAATCTGTGGGCAAAGTAAATCATTGTTATTATTTTAAGCCACGGTATTGTGGCAGCTTGTTAAATAGCAATACATAGCGGAAACAGAGATGATGACTTAAGTTTTAGACACGTGTCTGGAGAGTCTAGAGAAGATGTTTAAGAGACAGAAGTTCTGATCTTGGGCTCAGGAGACTGCTTGGGGCTTAAGAATTTACTGATGCTCTTCCCAGGTTTTCATCTGTATCGGATTCCGCATGTGTCACAATTGCAAAGCAATTGCACATTTTTTATTTTATTTGATCTTAATAGCAACCCCTTGAAGAAATGAGGAACAGATTATTATACCCATTATGGAGCTGAGGAAGCTGAGGCTCAGGAAGCTTTAATGACTTGTTGAAAATTCCACAGCATGGAACCCAGATAGAACTAGGTCATCTCATTTCTAGTACAATACTCTGTCTACTTCATCCTGCTAAGTGTTGTGGACAGATGGGGAATTGGGTAGTTGTGGAGCATGCCCTAAATCATTGCCTTGAAACCAAAGAACTGAGAAACCCAAGTCTGAGGAGAGAAGGAAGAAGAGAGCTAAGAGTGCTTCTCAAAGTTTTCCACAGAAGCATCCCTTACGGCAGAGGAGAGAACTACTTGCACTTCTCAGGAAGATATGGATGTGTAGTCCAAAAGGAAGTTTTTTGAAGTTGTTCATTCATTTGTGTAACAATTATTTATTGAGCACATGCCACACTCCAGGCCTGTGCTAAGTTCAGCAGCACAACACTGCACATGGTTTCTGTCCTCAAAAAGTTCAAGGAAACAGATGATCCACCAAGCAATTCACAAACCATAATCTGGAGCCTGAGGTTCCCATCTAACCATGCCTTCAGAACACAGTCACAGGCAGACAGTCCAAGAAGAAGTCACATAAAAACAGAAGCCTAAAAGAGAGGCAGGGAGAGGGCAGGAGGGAGAGAAATCTAGGTGGAAAGAAGGCATGTACATAAGCCCAGAGGTAAGAGAAAACGCCTCTTTTAAGGCAAACAGTAAAATTAAGAGATTTAGACACATTGACCTTCACCAAGATTCCCTCGCCTTAGTCTAGGAAAGGTATAATCATAATAGAATGGTTTGGAAGTTAGACCTGTGTGCCCTTAGGAGAATTTCTTAATCTCTCTGCAAGACAGTATTCTCATCTGAAAAATGTAGATAATAATAGCCACCTCACTATTTTCTAATGAAAGTTAAATGAAAAAGTATGCAAAAGGCCTAGCACAATGTCTGACACACAGTAAGTGCTTAATTTGTATTTTACTAACCCAGGTTATAGCCCGGGTGTTATAACCCAGGTTTACTAACCTCATCAAAACCAATATTATCCATTCAAAGGATAACATAATCAGGTGTGGTCTGATTGTTTCAAAGAAGAATAAATGACCAAGATGAAGCCTAGAAAAGAAGTCAGAGAAAGGTCAACTGTCAGGATGTTTTCAGTATGCCTAGAGAAAGTCCTAAAATATTCCAATTCTCATTGGCAACCCTGCTTTTCCCAATAGTTAGATGAATACTTCACATCAGCCCCCAATCCCAAGGTCATACCAATGTCCTATGCATTGAGTCAGGCCCACAGAACCTATATAGCCGTAGACTCACACAGTCATGAACCAAAGGACTCTACCTGAGAGGTAGAATATGTGAGAGACCGATCCTCCACACATTCTACCTCATCTCCCCAAAAGTTACAAACTATCATCATTTTATGCCACAGTGTGACTACCACATGTTTGTTGATTTTTACTGTTTTACTCAGAGTGGTGAGCATTAAAGCCCTTTAAATTAAAAAGACTTGAGTATTTACTTGGGGGAATAGCAAGAAAGTCAAAGGTTTCACTGCTGTTTCTCAGCTGGCATAAGAAGAGAGGTACTGGATGAAGAAAGAGGGTGAGGCAGCTCTAACAGGAGAAGGAAAGTTAGCTCAGCCCTTGGTCACACACCGGGGACCGAACAGGCTGTGGCAGAGGAATGGACCTTAACTCTTAGCAATCAGATGTGTTAAGGTTCCTTTGATGCTGAAGCACTTCCAGCCTCTTCTCAGACCCTCATTCAGAGACCCCAGACAGCAATCCTTTCCAAGCTTTTCTTCCTATAATTTTGATCTATCTTTTCTTTGGGTCAATGACAATATCATTTACCTTGGCTCAGGATGCAACACCTCACATATACAGAGGTCTCAAAGAATGCCTAAGGGAGTACAGTGTGTCTGAGCATAAAATGCAGCAGCTGTCAGTGTAGAGCTTCTTCTTATTCAAAATGAAAAAACAAACACTTTTCCACAACTTCATGGACCACCAACCACGGGACAAAATATGAGGAGCCTACTTCTCTTGCTCCCCAGGTTCCTGTTTTGATCACATCCCCGTGGGAAAGGAGATGAAGCTCCATTCATCAGTGCTAAGAAAGGCTCCCCAACCATGCCATGGCCATGCTATTGGAATGGAAATACCTGCTTTCCAGACACCAGATCTGGCTTCTAGGGTTGAACTACATCCCGTCTCCCCTTTCCCAACTGACCATGCCTTCAGTGCACAATCACAGATACACAGTTGGTGGAAAGTACCTTGAATGCTGGTCACCAGGAGTGACAGAGGCAGCAGTAGCAATTCCAGAGCCAGACACGAATCCCAACCTCTGGAGCACATGCTTCCTTCCAGAACTTCCCAGCAACGCAGGAGACAGTTGAGAGCCTGGCTAGAAAAAGGCCGGGGCTAAAAACGGAACTTACCAAACAGGGTTAGAGAGAAAAAAAAAAAAACCACTGAGATTTTCTCTCCACCCAGCACACTTGTGTGGGGCCCCAGAAACCAGAAACCGGAGGTCTTGTAAATTTTTTTATCTAAGAGCATCACGGAAACTGAGAACAATTTTGTTTGAAGGTACATGAGTGCTTTTTTGTAGGGGGAAGATTCATAGCTTCTACTGTACTCTCAGGGGGGCCAGTACTCAGAAAAGAATAAGGGACCCTGATAGAGAATGTCTGCTTTTCGTTCCCAGGCAGGAATCCCTCTGATTAATTCAGGGGCTAAGACATAGGAGCTTCCCAGTCAAGCCTGGGTAGGTGTCATTCAGAGCCTGAAGTCTGGGAAATCAGACCCACGTAGCCTTTGTGCTGCATATCTTACCCCCAGCACCACCCTCTGCTCTTCTTCCTTTATGATAATTCACTATTTGAAGTTTGACATCAGCCTATCCACTGAACATCAGAAAAAAAGTAAGATTACTTGGCCCAAAAGAATGGATTTCCCACCCTTGTAGTCTGTATTAGTCTGTTCTCACACTGCTAATAAAGACATACCCCAGACTGGGTAATTTATAAAGGAAAGAGAGGGGTTTTGTTTTGTTTTGTTTGTTTTGGTTTTTTTTTTTTTTGAGATGCAGTCTCACTCTGTAGCCCAGACTGGAGTGCAGCAGTGCAATCTCAGCTCACTGCAACCTCCACCTGACAGGTTCAAGCAACTCTCCTGCCTCAGCCTCCTACATAGCTGGGATTACAGGCAAGCACCACCATGCCCAGCTAATTTTTGTATTTTTAGTAGGGTTTCACCATGTTGGCCCGGCTGGTCTTGAACTCCTGACCTCAAGTGATCCACCTGCCTCAGCCTCCCAAAGTGCTGGGATTATAGGCATGGGCCTGTGCCTGGCCAGGAAAGTGGTTAAATTGACTTCTAGTTCAGCATGGCTTGGGAAGCCTCAGGAAACCTACAATCATGGTGCAAGGGGAAGCCAATACGTCCTTCTTCACACGGTGGCAGGAAAGAGAAGCACTGAGCAGCAATGGGGAAAGCCCCTTCCTTATGAAACCATCAGATCTAGTGAGAACTCACTATCACGAGAACAGCATGATGGTAACTGCTCGTATGATTAACTTACTTCCTACTGGGTTGCTCCCATGATATGTGGGGATTATGGGAACTACAATTCAAGATGAGATTTGGAAGGGAACACAGCCAAATCATATCATGTCTAGGAAATTTCAAGCTCATTCCTATTGAATGTAAATTAGTTATTTGCCCACCCAGGACCCACAGGCAAGCCACAGTTCCTGATATAACATATTTGTAATCACTTTTTAATTGGGGACATTTCTGATTCTCAACATGGAGATGAACAATAAAATGTCTGCTCTTCTCAGTCCTCAAACCTGAAGGACATTATGTTAAGTGAAATAAGTCATGCACAGAAAGATAAAAAACCACGTTCCCAATCATATATGGAAGCTTAAAAAATGAGCTCATAGAAGTAGAGAGTAAAATTGTGGTTATCAGAGGCTGGGAAGGGTAGAGGGAAGTGGAGGATGGGAAGAAGTTGGTTAATAGATACAAAGTTACAGCTAGAGAAGAGGAATAAGTTCCAGCATCCTGTAGCACTATGGAGTGAATACAGTTAAGAATAATTTAATGTATATGTTCAAAAAGCTAGAAGAGAGGATTTGGAATGTTCCCAACACAAAGAAATGATCAATGTTTGAGGTGATAGGTATCCTAATTGCTTTGATTTGATCATCACACATTGAATACATGTATCAAAATATTACTCTGTATCCCATAAATATGTATAATTATTATATGTCAACTAAAAATAAAAGGGAAAAAAACATAAAAGTGAAAAGAAAGAACCCTGCAAATAAAATTTGAAACAGCACCAGAATCAAATTCCTCTTGGTCAAATTGTTACACTTTGGAACTGTGTGTTATATTTTTCCTATAAATTGATTTAACCTTAGGATACGACCCTGCTCCTTCAGCAAGAAAAGATAACATTGTATTAGATTTTTAAAAGAGACCCTGTAAATTAATGTTACATTCTCTTTTTTGGGGGGAGGGGGGCACAGGCTCCCACTCTGTCACCCAGTCTGGAGTACAGTGACCACTATGCATGGCTATTTTTTTAAAATTTTTTGTAGAGATGAGGTCTCACCATGTTGCCCAGGCCAGTCTTGAACTCCTGAGCCATAGGATCCACACTCAGTCAGTGGCAGGACGGGGAGTGCTGTGACCTGCTTCCACCTTGGGCACCAGTGTCTAAATGAAGGGAACACAGTGGCACTAAGAAACTCGGAGATGCCAGCAACTGCGGAGCCCTAAGGGGTGTTACAGCTTTGCTTGGGGAATCCCAAGGCCTGAGACCCCAAGAAATGTTACAGCTCTCTCTCTCGTTCCTGCCACCTGCAGCTCAGCAAATGAGGGCACCTCACAGCTCTTGTTCAGTCCCACTGCCTGCAGCTCAGCAAATGGGGGCATGTCACAGCTCTTATTTAGTCTTGCTGCCTGCAGTTCAGTGAATGGGGGTGTGTCACAGCTCTCACTTGGTCCCAGTGCCCACAGCTCAGCAAATACGGGTATGTTACAGCTTGTTCCTGCCACCTGCAGCTCAGCAAATGAGGGCACCTCACAGCTCTTGTTCAGTCCCACTGCCTGCAGCTCAGCAAATGGGGGCATGTCACAGCTCTTATTTAGTCTTGCTGCCTGCAGTTCAGTGAATGGGGGTGTGTCACAGCTCTCACTTGGTCCCAGTGCCCACAGCTCAGCAAATACGGGTATGTTACAGCTTGTTCCTGCCACCTGCAGCTCAGCAGGTCCTGGGTTCTTGTCCTGCAACCAAGAGGAATAAAGCATGCAGACAAAGGAGAGTGAGTAGGTCAGAGAATAATTTTATTGAGTGACAGAAGGAAAGCTCTCAGCAAAGAGGGGACCAGACAGTGGGTAGACCACTGTGTGAGAGGGGCCCCAAAACAGGTAGCCCTCTGTGAGGCTGAGTCTGGGGTTTTCATCGGCTCAGATTTGTCCATAGGCAGGCCTGGAAAAAGCACCATTCGATTAGCTAAAAGGTATCAAGGAAGTTCTCACTCTGGTTGTGGACTCTACCCAGAACTGGCAGCCCAGTTTTCAGGCTTTAAACTGTCTTTGTCTTGAAAGTCTAGTTTCACCAGGGACCCTTTTCTATCTGTCCAGGAATTTGTCTGTCTCCTGTCGCTATCACTTTGGGAGGCCGAGGAGGGCAGATTGCCTGAGCTCAGGAGTTTGAGAGCAGCCTGGGCAACATGGCAAAACCCCATCTCTACTAAAAGTAAAAATAAAAATAAATGTTAAAATACCTCCTTTGAATGTTGTTGTGAAAAGTTGAAGAAAGGAAAGAACTTTTATCTGAAGAATGTGAGTCCTTCAAATTATCAGAGAGACATTTAAATGAGACAGAAATCACATTTTACTTCCCCCTACTCCACCTTTGGGCTATGTATTCACCTCTTAAAACTACTTGCTATTGCTGCAAGTAACCATAAATTAATCTAATAATGCTGCACTGGACATATAACCCACACCTTACAGCTTAACAATATGTAACCAATCACTAATTAATGTTATTTCTGCAAACCAATGAGAATTCCAAAAAAAAAACTTTGTATCACTTTTTTTGCCTTTAAAAACCTGCTTGTAACAAAGGCTGAGCAGAGCTCAAAACCAATTTTACTTGGGTCTGAGTCTTCCAGGCAGCTGTCCTCCCTTTGGCTCAAGTAAAGTCTTCAAATCATATTTTGTGTTTCAGCCTCTTTCTTTTAGATTGACAAGTAAACAGCTCTATAATTCTCAACAGTCTGCTTAGATGTGAATTAATAGCCATGGGATATAGGCTGATGTTAAAACAAAGGATGAAATATAAACTTAAGCCAAGGAATCTTCCTCCTTTTGCATGGTAACAGCGGGCACTGAAGTACTATGGGTGCCCATTCTGAGGTTCAGGACTAGCTAGTTAGGCTTCTGCATAGATTCAAAAACAAGTCTGAGAGAAGTGACCAATAAAGGCTCAAAAGCCCTCTCCCTGCCCTAAGTGAATCAGCTGTTCTTGCACCAAAGCCCTGGTTGCAGAAATCCCTGAAGTTTGGGCATACCCAGAGGTGGGGCTGCAAAGACCCTAGAAGATGAAGTACAGGTCAACAATCCTCATGATGTGAATTAAAATACACACTCTTCTCAGTATCTAATCTGGTGGGCACTTGACCTACTGCTTGACTTTGACAAAGTGATAGTAATGACAGAAGCTATTATTTTCTGTGTATCTACTAAGTCAAGTACTTGCCAGGACCTTTGCCTATATTATCTCATTTAATCCTCCAACATTTTACAGAAGGATCAGGTTTCAAAAACAAAAACAACAACAAAACAACAAAATAATAATCCTCCAACATTCACATGAGGATATTTATAAACACTATTCTTATTTTACGGAAGAGATAACTGAGGTTCAGACAAGTCAAATGGCTTGCCCAAGGGCATTTTGCTAATTAGAACCAGAATCAAAATTCAAATCTACGTCTGTCTGATGCTCCAGCTGGCATGCCTAACTACTATGCACACAGACTCTGGGGTTATCAAGGTTCTGGGCATCAGGGGATCTGCAATATGCCTACAAGAAATGGAGAACACATAGGAAACACTATGAGAGTCATGCCAATGTGAAATTAGGAACTCAGAGAATATAGGGCCTTGAGTAGCCCAAAAATGTTCAAGGAGGGGTATGGTATTGAGCTGAGGATGGAAGACAGACCCCTGGTAGGTTAAGCAGGGCCTTGAATGCCACAACAGGCACAGCTTTGCTAGTGCCTGGAGAGTGAGAGAAAGTGAAGTCATTCCAATAAATTTTCCCCAGAAACAATGAGAGCAAAGATAGGAACAGGGTCGATCTCCCAGAAGATAGAATTGATGAGAACAGGTGGCTAATGTTACAGTAGGTAGTCAGGCAGACGTGAGCAGGGCAGGAGAGAGCCTCCCACACCACCAGCAATGACAGGCGACCATCAGGTGATGGTCAGACAATTGTTAATGTGCCTCTCTAAAATAATAATTGGTCGCAGCCAGCACCAGGGCATGGTGGCTCATGCCTACAATCCCAACACTTCGGGAGGCCAAGGCAGATGGATTGCTTAAGAACAGGAGTTTCAGACTAGCCTGACCAACATGGTGAAACCCCGTCTCTGCTAAAAATACAAAAACTAGCCAGACGTGATGGTGAGCACTTGTAATCCCAGCTATTCAAGAGGCTGAAGCATCAGAATCACTTGAACCCAGGAGGCAGAGGTTGCAGTGAGCCAAGATCATGCCACTGCACTCCAGCCTGGGCAACAGAGAGAGACTCTGTCTCAAAGAAAAAAGAAAGAAGAGAAGAAGAACGCCTCAGGTGAGCATGCATACAACTCCAGTGAACACACTGAATGTGTGGCCCCTCCCAAGTACTAGCAGGCCACTGCGCATGCAGACAGCCCACCCCAAGGAAAGAATCAGGGAGAAGGGACACTAACGTACTTTGGTTCCATGACTCAGATTTGTTCTCTGGTTGTTAGAGATCTCTACACCTCGCCTTCTTTGGCTGGAGTCATTCAACCCACATATGTGGTTTTCTTCTCCCTTTTGCTCTCCTGCTTACTAACCAACCCCTAAAACAATTCCTCTCTGCCGTCCTGGACAGGAGGCTTGCAAGAGTGATAGGGCTAAAGCCTGAGACTGTGCAATTTCTGGGGTTTCCTCTGCTTTTTCAACTAAAATTGGCTCTTTCCCCAAAACCTGCGATGCCTATTCTCCTGCTTTCTCTGGATGTATTCTGAAATGGCCTTGCGCACCCACTGAACCGTCCACCTCGGGGGCAATTTGCCTTTTCTCTGTTTTCATTTTTCATGCCATGTAACTTCTTAGGCACACACTCCCAGTTGCTCTTGTGCCCGTGGCTCTTGCTGTGGCCCATGGCTCTTGCTGTGTTTGTGTAGCAGCAAAGACATGGGCTCCCTTCTGGATATCCCTTGAGATTTACATTTGTTCTTACCCTACCAGCTCAGATGACCTCCAACCCTTTCCCTGTCTGCTAGCACATTGCCAGGACAGATACTAATGGGAACCTCAGCTCTGCCAATTCCTTATGACTTATCATATGCTTTTTATCCCCATTATGTCCCAGGGCCAAATTTTCTGGTGCCTTCTGAAGCAGTTTGTCCACCTGCGTAGGACCTCATTCTGTGGTCCTTTAAGAACCCTGCCTATGTGATTTTTTTGAGTTAGCACCCCTTTGGGAGGAGGGAAAATTCTTCCTTTGCCATTTGTGAGTTTTTACTCCAAGCCTCAAGTCCTCCAGAGGTTACTACTTTATGTTAAGAGGGCAAATAAAGGTTGTCCTCTCAAATCCAAAGGCTGCTGTTTTTGTGGGAACATGAAGCCTTTCCGTGAGTATCTCCCTCACTTCCTCCCTCTTCCTCGGTAGCCTCCATTTCTCTAATCACTTCCACACCCTTCACAACATTCATCAAAGCTTTCAAGTTCCTATTCAAACAAAGGGAAGTCCAGCTACTTGCTGACTAGCTGAAAAACAGGCTTCTGGGAGGCTGAGGCAGGAGAATTGCTTGAACCCGGGAGGTGGAGGTTGCAGTGAGCCGAGATCATGCCAGGCACTCCAGCCTGGATGACAGAGCAAGACTGTGTCTCAAACAAACAAACAAACAACAAAACAAAACAAAACAAAAAAAGTCTTCTTATCTACTTAAAAAATGTGGGAAATGGGAATCTGAGAAAAGAGAGAATCATTTTGTTGCTAGAATGCTCCAAGCAAGAGTCACTATAAGGTCATGGAGACAAGGATATAGGCTGGCCCAAGGCCACAGGGGTAAGAGAGTCATAGGACAGAGATGAAGGTTGGTCCCAGGCTAACAGATTACCATTAGAACAGAGATAAAGGCAAGGTTAGGGGCACATGGTAAGACCAGTTTATTCTGGAGCCCCAAGAATGAACAGGAGGCCCCCTCTTCACTCCAGTATCTCCTCTGTTCTCAAGTGGGTAATTGTGATGAGACGGGACCAAGGTTAAGGGTACATGGGAAGACTGGTTCATTCCAGAACCCTAAGGATGACTAGGGGAACACCTTATTCTGGATAAAAGGAAGTAAGAGGGGACATCTTCTTTTTCTTTTTCCTTTTATTCTGTTCTGTTCTCTTTTCACAGACAGATAATCACGTCTCCATACCACAGGATATGACCTTTGGATGCATCCCCCAAAACTGAGAAAAGTTTGATTTCCTCAACCCTTAAAACAAAAAACTAGTTTTCCTTTGTAATACTGTCTGGCCTAAAAATAAACAGAGAAAATTACAAAAGTCACCCTTAGATCCCAGTCCCCTTATGCAGGAAATCTTCAAATTAGCCTCCTAAGTCTTTTATAACTGAGAGCAGAATAAGGAGGACAGAACCAAAGAAAAGAAGAAATGCAGGGACAAGAGGCAGGCTCAACTACTGGCTGCTTTACAAGCTCTCCAGCCCCCTCCAGGTAACTGCCATTTGTGCAAGAAGACAGGCCGCTGGAAGGTAAACTGCCCCAATGGGATAAATCGGAAAAATACCTGCACAGCTTGTCCCCTCTACCACAAGCTCAGCCACTGGAAAAAGGATTGTCTTTAAGGCTAAAGGGCCCCTGGGACAGAATCCCAACCCCTGACGACCTTGAGCTCTCTCTACTCTGCCTGGCTTCTAAATTAGACACTACCATCAATAGGGCAAAATCAAGGGAAACTCTGGAGGTGTCAAGTACAATTATAATTCCCTTTCGCATTCAACAACTGCCTACTCTGTGCTAATCTTTTTCTCTGAGCAACTCTCCTCCAAATTCTGTCAGGTAAAGGGGACAAATGGCACCCCGTCCCTCCAAAAGAAAAGATTCACACTCCTTTATATTACTTAAGGGGCTAACTGCCATTCTCCCACCAGTCCCTGGTAATGTCTAAATACCCCACACCTCTTTGGGGCAAAAATATGCTTTTCAAGATGGGTGCCTATTAAATATTTACCCAACCTCTGAATTCATCTTTCTCTCTATCCCTATTTCTCTTGGGGAAGCTACCTAAATCTTTAACCAATAACTTCAATCTAGACAGTTCTAACTCAGGGGCTTAGAAATAGCCCACACTTATTCAGATAAACCCTAGAAAAATCTAAATGAACAATCTTTTGAGGGGGGATATCTTCTACAGTATGCAGATAACTTTCTAATTTGCTTCCCCTTCACAGGACTTACTCAGCAACATGCAGTACAAACCTTAACTTCCTAACAGAAGGAAAATGACTTTTGTCTAATTCAAAGGTTATAAAGGTAAAGGGGTATTTTGGGTAAGGAACGTTAAAAGAAAATATATTTTGTATGACAAGGGTCTTGTATGGTAAATTCTTGTCTTAAAGTAAAATAACTGGTTGTCTAAAAAGAAGGACATTTAGGACAAGTCCAAAAGTCAAAGCATAGATGGTCTGTGTAAGTTGTGGAAGGGAATGTATGAAAGAAATGTTCTACAGTTTTAAAGTTTATGAGGCCTACTAAGCATTTCATACACTGCTACTATGACTCTTAACAGTGCAACTGGCCTGCTTTAAAGCTAGTTAAGGCTTGGGGACATATAGAGTTAGCCATGCCCCCTAACCATGTGGGAACGAGTCAGACCTTATCTGCATTCCTCTCTGGTGTTCCAGGCTTGAGACTACTGGAAAAACAATTTTACATGCAAGACATTTAAGGAAAGTAGAATGTGCTTTTGGTAAAAGATCATAAGAAGACATGGGAATATGGATTTTTTTTGCCTAGTTTAGAAGGTTAAAGGACAGTTTTAAGTTAGCTAAGATAAAGCTGAAGCTTTAAGCAAGTGGTAGAAGGCTTATGAAAGATTAATCTTGTAAAAGAATTTCTGTGTGTGAGCATATTAGCTAAAATTAAATTTCATCACTAGAAAAAGTTTTTTCCTTATGCCCCACAGAAGGGAGTGAAGTGGGGGGAGGAGCCACTTCCTGTTGTTCTGGTTCCTGTTTTCTTTTCTCTTTAAAATTCCTGAATTCCCTTCAGGTGGAGAAAATGGGCAGTCTGACTTACTGTGATCTGGCACATAAAGGGGGTATAACGCAGAGCATACTAGACTCGATGTGGTCAAAATGGTAACATTAGTAAAATGGCCCTGCTCAAATCCTCTTTTCAGATTAAAAATTAAAGGGATATTATTTAGATTTTCTGTAAATTGAACTTTGGAATAAAAGCACAACAGAGTTCTATTAAAGCATTAAACTGCTCTTTATAAATGTGTTATTGGTACATATTCCAAAATTATGTGAAACTCCTATAATTCTGATATAACAGTGTATATTATTAGTAATAATTATAATCATTAAATTATTGGGTGCCACAGAGGTAACAAATTTCTTGGTCAATTGTGTCTTTGACTGTGGCTGCCCTAAGACTTCTTATTATTTATATAGACAATTGTTGTCTTGTTTTTATCCCCTTAGAAGGTGGTTTTATAATCATCTATAGAACTCTGACAGGTGCTCTTGAATGCAGATTCTTAATAACTTTGGAGACTGTGACAGTAGAATAAAGGAAAAACTTTTAGGACTCTCATGGATACCTGAAATGCTTATGAGTATCAGGCAGAACAGAAGTTAACTGCATGGACTGAAGTAATACAACACTGAAATAATCCATCTATTTATAGCTCTTAACAATTGAGTAAAGTACACTCCTATAAACAAAGTTTAGAGCATATTTCTCTCTACTGGATTTCTCCAGGATTTGGAAACTACTTGTGAGTATTCTTAACTTATGGCAATATAGTTATTTGCATAAGTACAGTAAGAATCTGTTTTCTTTTGCAACAAAACACAATTGGAGAAACTGGATATTTTACCAAGGCTTTGACTGGAATGGTGTGCTTTCCTTTAAAGAATCAAATTTGACTTATAAAGCCAATAAAAGCTCTTTGGGAAAATTGGCCTCATACCTTATCTACACAGTCCCTGTACAGGGTTCCAGTCCTGTAGTAAGTAAAGAATGTCACTTTCTGACAGGCCCAGGAGACCCAAGTTATCTTGGGACCTCAAAAGGAGAGAAATTTACTCAATTAATATAGATATTTGATGGCACAAACCCATAATTGGGCTCCAGGCTTTAAAAACATCTTATCTGAAATTCCTTATGAAACAAAGTTCTATCAAAGACAATTTTAATAGGAACCTATATGGCAAATAATTACTCTTGCTGTGCTTTATGCAAGTAACAAGCCAAGTATAATAATACTAAAGCTTATTTTACAAACAAATCTGCCCTATTGTAATTTGTTTTTAATAAAGATCAGGACTAGAGAGAGAAAAATTATGTTTCAAAAATGATGGTACACCTGTTATTAGATTCTAGTCTCATCAGTTGTTTTTAAGTTAACTCTGCTTATCCCTTTGAACCAACCAGTAATCTCTGGCTGCAGGTCAGAAGAAACAAGAAGGTTGAGTCATGTAATAACCTGGATTCATATTTTAAATCTGGGTTTTGTGTTGTATGTGCCAAAGTTGCAATGCATATGCAAATTGAGCACTAAAACGCAAGGTCCATTATCAGTTTTTATAGTTTGTGGAAGGTCTAAAGTCATAATGGATTCAAAAAGATGAGCAATCGCATCTTTAGTTTTTTTTTCAGGTCTGGGGGATACCATGTATTAAGCCCATATAACTGTTTACAGTAACGTGGAGAAATTTGAAGCATCTAAAGGGTGGATATTGAGTAACATTAGTTTGCCAAATAGCATTAGGTACTAGACCTTGTAGGTTGGCACCAAGTCCTAAGGAAAAAGCGGATAGAGAATGTCATTCGCAATCAGGGTAGGTTTTAATGATCATGCGAGCTTGAGCGAGCATCAAATGAAACTGTTGTTTAAGACTGTGGGCATTCTGGTGAAAAAAGGAATGATTAGCTTGAGCTCGCAAAAAGGCAGCAGAGTCTGCAAACCACATTTGTGGTTGTACCAGAGCATCGGCTCAAGCGTTTCCTTCTGACAAGGGACGAGGTAGCCTACAATGAGAGGGATTGTGTGTGATGTAAAGAGGGTGACAACAGGCATAGAAGAACTCTTGTGCTTCGAGAAATAAAGCTAGTAGGGGTTCATTAGTAATGCTCTTCACATATGCAAGATCTAAATGAGTAATATGATCCACTGCATAAGCGGAATCACTAACTATATTTATGTCTTGATGAGGAAAAGTTTGTAAGGCCAATATTAGGGCACTTTATTCCGCCCGTTGTGTGGTTTTGAAATGTTCTTGGATTTTGTGCTACCAGTTTTGCATGGCATCTTGCCACACTATAGGTGCCTTTCTAGTTTTTCCTGAGCCATCTGTAAAGACAATAGTGGCATGAAGCAAGGGCTTAGAGACAACAATAGATACAAATTTAACAGGCACATTTGTAAAACCTTCAGGAGCTTAGAGGCTGATAAATGGAAGCTGATGTCACCAATACAGTCGGCCATTGCTACTTGCTAATCAAGATCACAAGCTAGGAGAGTATGAAACTATTACTTGCTTAAAGGTAGGAAAAGAGTAGCAGGGTCATATTCTGACAATTGGATGCAACGTCAGCATTCCTTTACAAGAAGAGAAGCTATTAAATCTGTGGTCTTTTGTATGTGTTTAGAGGGGTTATGAGACAGGTAAGGGCAATGGCTTTTTTACTGGGGAGAAAAAAGCTCCAGTCCATCCTCATCACTAGAAAAAGTTTTTTCTTTATGCCCCACAGAAGGGAGTGAAGTGGGGGGAGGAGCTCCTCCCTGTTGTTCTTGTTCCTGTTTTTCTTTTCTCTTTAAAATTTCTGAATTCCCTTCAGGTGGAGAAAATGGGCGGTCTGACTTACCACGATCTGACATATAAAGGGGGTATAACGCAGATCATACTCCAGGTGGTCAAAATGGTAACATTAGTAAAATGGCCCTGCTCAAATCCCCTTTTCAGGCAACCACCCACCTGCTCCCATGACTTTAAGTCTAATATTCCTTGATTAGGGAACCAAGGGCATTCCTGCCGAACTAAAAGCGTAAGCGTATGCAAAGCTTCAGACTCTCTGGTGCACTGGATAGCCTTAAGCAATTGTCTCACCATTTTAAAAAATACTTTCTGCTATTTGGTCAACTTCTCACCCGTGGTAACCCGAGCCCTGGTATTATACACATAGGTCCTGTCCTCCTGAAAACGGGTCAGGACTGGCCAGGCGCAGTGGCTCATGTCTGTAATCCCGGCGCTTTGGGAGGCTGAGGCGGGCAGATCACCTGAGATCAGGAGTCCGAGACCAGCCTGACCAATATGGAGAAACCCCGTCTCTACTAAAAATACAAAAAAAATTAGCCAGGCGTGGTGGCGCATGCCTGTTATCCCAGCTACTCAGGGGGCTGAGGCAGGAAAAGTTGCTTGAACCTGGGAGGCAGAGGTTGCGGTGAGCCGAGATCACGCCATTGCATTCCAGCCTGGGCAACAAAAGTGAAACTCCATCTCAAAAAAAAAAAAAAAAAAAGAAAAGAAAAAAGAAAAGAAAAGAAAATGGGTCAGGACTGTCCCTTATCGGTATTCCCTGAAGATTGGTATGTCATCCTGCTCCACGAGTAATTTCAAGGCGATCACATCGGAGTCACCACTTGCAGCTTGCTCTGCAGTGAACGCCGAGAAATAAGTATTGAGACAATTACAGCTGAACGGGGCAGGGAGGAGCTCCTCGAGGGAGTGCTGCTCCAAGATCTGTCCACCAAGTGTCTGTTGAGAGGCTTGTTAAACTACAATTCAGACCAACAAAAGACATCCACCAGGTGGCTTTTTGCAGTCGTGACATGAGGCACATATGGCCTTGTTTATTACATCTAAAAGCACTCAAACCGCCTTCTTAGGAGGCTGTGTTCAGCGCCCCTTATCACACATTCTGCTCCTTGTCCTGTTTTCAGGGTCAAGGAGTTATAGTCTCATGCACAAACAACACACACACAGTGCCTCAGTTATTTTTTCAACCTCAAATGCCTTGTACATAAGCTTGAATATGTTGTTGTGTGCCCCCTACACTGGGCACTTGTTGGAATTGGCTAGCAACCCCAGGCATGCAAGTCTTAGCAGGCATGAATGTAACCACCAGCTACCTGGATGTGTCAGCAGCCTCAAGATTTTTTGGAGCTGCCCTCACCTCCTTGTTTCATTTTGACATCTCTACTTGTCCTTTTTGGTCCATGTCTTCTATATCTAATAACCTGATTTGTCTCCTCTCCAGGGCATCAAGCTCCAGATGATCCTCAGTGAGGAATACATCCTCTCAACATTCAAGAGTTATCCTTCTACACTGGACCCTTACACTGCCCATTAGTGGGACATGACAGAGGTTAAATCCTGCCCCTTTCTCTGTTGGACTTGGCTGGAAACTGCTTTCATGAACCCACAGAGTCACCTGCCCTAACAGCTAGCAGGAGGCCAAGATTCACAGAACAACAACCACCGGCCCTCTGTGAGCAGGGAGCAGTTTACAGAAGACTGGTGTTTGTCCATTTTCCCCCAAAATTTGGGGTACTGGACTCTTGACGGGGGGAATGTTACAGTAGGTAGTCAGGCAGACATGAGCAGGGCAGGAGAGGATACCCCCTAGGAATGTCAGGTAACCATCAGGTGATGGTCAGACAGTTGTTAAGCTGTCTCTCTAAAATAATAGTCACAGCCAGCATGAGGGAAAGGCAGTCTCCCAACAGATAAAGCAAAACCCAAAGCTGGTGATCAGCAGTTTCCCATTAAGATCTCAGGAGTTGGGCGAGTGGGCTCACACATGCGTACTAAAAGGCAAAATGGCAGCATTTAACTGGTATATCACTTTCCTCTAGGAACACTCAAATGGTAAGGGAAGAACACCTCAAGTGAGCATGCATACAACTCCAGTGAACACACTGTGCTCGCAGCCCCTCCGAAGGGCTAGCAGGCCACTGCGTGTGCAGACAGCCCACCCCAAGGGAAGAATCAGGGGAGAAGGGATGCAAGACCCCAGAAGCATGCTAACATATAAAACACCAAGTCAAAGGTCAAACAGTGCACTTGGTCTCTCAAGCCACCCGCTTCCAAATGTATTTTGATTTTAATTCCAGCTCCAAAGCTTTTTAATAAGCTTTCACTCCTACTCTAAAGCTTGCCTTGCTCTCTCCCTCTGCCTTATGCCCCATGGTTGAATTTTTTCTTCTGAAGAGACAGTAATTGAGGTTGCTGCAAACCCATACGAATTCACCACCTCTAAAACTAAGATGCAAAAATGACACCTGCCACCTCTGAGCTCCAGGTTCCAGAGGGTAAAAGAAAATGGAGGTTGAAGAGCCCAGTCAGAGGACTATAGTCCTCCGGTCGTGAGTGTTCAGAAGGTCTACTGCCCAGTGTTTTTGCTGAGTCATTTGAGGTTTTAGTCAGCATAGAATAATAAAACCTATTTTCAACCCCACTAGGACTAGGGCCACTACTATTCCTGGCTGGCTTATCACTGGTTCCAATGTAACCAAGTGCCCCCATTATTCTAAGAGATAATTTAATTGTTGTTATGTGTTTTTTTTTCCTTTTCTTTTTTCTTTTTCCCTTTCCCTCTACTCCCTACTTAGCCCTTTCTGAAATGCAAAATAACCTCTCACCAGACACTCCCTACAGGGCAAGTTCACCTATGTGCTCCAAGACAGATCTGTTGATTTGCAGATCAAAGCATGTCCTTATGGAACTCCTCCCTTCGGGCGGTTGCCTCAGAAAGGCATGTGGAAAGCATGCCTATTTGGTCACTTTTACAACTTACTTCTGCCCGGGAAGGCACCAACTCAACTGTTCAGTATTTAACTGCCCAGTAGCAGGGAGACCCCCCTGCCCTTGCTCACTTCTTCCTTTACCTTATAAAAGTGTTCACTTTTTGCTCCAAAGGCAAAGTGGCACATTTAAAGGAGGATACTTCCTGCCCTCCTCCCAGACTTGTTTTGGAAATACATTCACTTTTCTTGTGCCAGGCCTCGTTCTTGTTAACTGTGGCGAGCGACTAACCTGCTTTTCAGTTATACCAGGAGGGGGCAGTACAACACTGCCTGAGTAGGCTCCAGCTTGGAGGCCATTCCCCAGGGAGACTAAAAGACCCGAGGGACTCAGGACGATTTCCCAGGGTAAATTTAACATTTAAGAGACAATAGAAAAAAGGGATCCTGAAGAGGAAAATAAGGAGGATCAGTCAGATAGCAAGGAGAAGGTGGTCTCAAAATTTGAGAGCAAAAATTTCAAGACTATATCCAGATTAACAAAAAGTGCTTCCATTTCATTTAGCAATTGTGTAGTCAGTAGCCACCTTGGCCATGATGAGAGCCATTTTAGTGGAGGCAGAAGCCAAATTCTCCATTTCTCTCCTCCTTTTTTCTCATCCCCACTTCTCTTCCTTTCTCCCTGTTGGATATTTCTTGAGCTGCATCTGGAGATGTAGAAATGAAAGTCATAATATTGCTCTTAAGCAACTCACAGTCTCATGGAGAAAACAGAGAAGCAAAACATTGAGAAGCTGCAAAATGAGAAACTGTGGTGTCACATAGAAAGGGTGCCTAATGCAAACTGTGTATGATCAGAGGAGGTCTTTGTAATGAACATGTGTAAAATCTTTTTTTATACACACAAAAAAATCAAATAACAATAGGGTTTTTTGTTTGTTTGTTTGTTTGTTTGTTTGTTTGTTTGTTTTTTGAGACGGAGTCTCACTCCGTTGCCAGGCTGGAGTGCAGTGGCACAATCGGCTTACTGCAGTCTCCACCTCCTGGGTTCAAGCGATTCTCCTGCCTCGGCCTCCCAAAGTGCTGGGATTACAGGCATGAGCCACTGCGCCCGGCCAAAGGGTTTATTTTTATACCTTTGCTACCCAAAGAACTTGGCCAGTTCAGGAAAATGAGGATATTTCAGTGTGGCTGAAATAAAGACTGGATACAGAAAGCAGGTCCCGTTTCCAGACTGGTCCAGATCACTAATGTTTTAGTGTACATGATGAAGGGTTTAGATTTTATCCTGAAGGCTCGTGAAGGGAGCTAATTAAAGGGTTTTGAGCAGATTAGTGATATACTGTGGTTCACAACTTAAAAAGAATATTCTGGTAAACAGGAGAATGAGACCACAAACAAGGGGGGACATTTTAAGGCTATTGGGGGGATCCAGCCAAGGCCTTCATTATTGCTCAACTTGGCTGAAGCAGAGGTGGTGGTGTGAAGGGCAGGGGTCAGAATGAGCAGAACTTGATACCTGGTTGCATATGGGGGTAAAGGAAGAGGGAAGAGGAAAAGTCTGGTTCCTGGCTTGTGTGGTTGCATCAGTGGATAGGATAAGGGACAAGTTGGGACATGAGAGATGATAAGTTCAGTTTTGAATATATTAAGATTAAGATATCTAAGAGGCAGATGAATATATGTATCTGGGGCTCAGGAGAGAGACCTGTGCTATGTGCCAGCATGCAAATAATTATGGCACACAAATTCTTACTCAGAAAGAATATGTAAAGTGAAAGGAGGTTGGGGATGGAATCCCCTGGTAATACCAACATTTAAGGGATGGCAAAGGATGAGGCATATGCAAATGAGACTGACAAAGATTTACTAGAAAAGAAGAAAGAAAATTAGAGCATTTTGGCCAGGCGCAGTGGCTCACACCTGTAGTCCCAGCAGTTTGGGAGGCCAAGGTGGGCGGATCACGAGGTCAAGAGATCAAGACCATCCTGGCCAACATGGTGAAACCCAGTCTCTACTAAAAATCCAAAAATTAGCTGGGGGTGCTGGTGCGCACCTGTAGTCCCAGCTACTCGGGAGGCTGAGGCAGGAGAATCGCTTGAACCCGGGAGGCCAAGGTTGCAGTGAGCTGAGATCGTGCCACAGCACTACAGCCTGGAGACAGAGCAGGACTCCATCAGATAGATAGGTAGATAGATGATAGATAGATAGATAGATAGATAGATAGATAGATAGATAGATAGATAGATATAGATAGACAGACAGAGAAAGAGAGAAAGAAAGAAAGAAAATTAGAGCATTTTAAAGGAAATTAAAGAATCTGAGGAATTAAGATGTTAATGGTGTTGAGTGCCTGCAGCTTTTACAGGCTCAGGATATAAGTGGCCAGTGGCTCTACCAGTGTCAGGTATTCCTTTATAGCAATGCAAATTGAACTAATACAAAAAAAATAGAACTGAGGAGTTGGGCATTGCTGTAAAGCAATTGCTGAAATGTGAAAGTGGCTTTGGAACCTGGTAATGGGCTGGGGTGGGCAGAGTTTGGAGGGCTCAGAAGAAGACTAGAAGATGAGGGAAAGTTTGGAACTTCTTAGAGACTTGTTAAGTGATTATGACCAAAATGCTGACAGAACTATGAACGGTGAAGGCGAGGCTGATGAGGTAATAAGAATGAACATGGTAAATAGAGTCAGTAGAGAAAGACAATAGGAGTGGTACCATGGAGAGCCAGATAACATAAAGTTCTGTGGAAGAAATTATAAATGGGTCAAATGCATCTGCTTCTGGTGAGAGCCTCAGGAATCTTCCAATCATGGTAGAAGGTGAAGGAGGAACAGGCACGCTACATGCAAGAGAAAGAGCAAGAGAGAGAGGGGAGGAGGTTCCAAGCTCTTTAAACAACTAGTTCTTGTGTGAACTAATTGCTGCAGGGAGGACACCAAACCATTCATGAGGGATCCAACCCCATGACCCAAACACCTTCCATTAGGTCCCATCTCCAACACTAGGGTCACATTTCATTTGGAGGGGACATACATTCAAACCGTATCATCCCTGAACTTGCAAATTAATGTTAGAAGTGAGAGATTTCTTGAGGAATACCCACTAATTTCACATTTGACTAAACTTTGAAGATTCTTTCTGGAGGTTGAGGGAGTACACAAAGAGGTACCATCACCTCCTCCCCTTTTGGATCTTACAGAATTGCAGGCACACTCGATCATCAGAGGTGGGGATTCATAACAAGTAAGTTAAAACTACTTTTCTGTGGTGGTGGCAATGTACTGTAAGAGATTAAATTGCATTCAGTTATTACACTGTTCTCTTGGTTACCCTCCACTGTTTCCATTATTTGAGAAGAACTTTTTATAATTCTGATTATGCTGTTATATTTTCAGGAGGCAAATTCCTTACATGATCCAGTAAACATATCATCTTCCTTTTGTGCTGGTCTAACACCATGCCTTATATCTTAGTTCTTGCAGCAGTTGTATCCACCAGTCAAGGAGGAAAATAATAGTTTATCAGGTCTGTGGCTGGTGTCCATGAGTCTCAAGTATTAAATTATGACGGTTACATGCATTCTCAGGAAGGCTTTAACATCAGTATAAATATTTCACAGAAAATTGGAAGAAGTATTCTATTCAAGATGTCCGAACTTTGGTTAAATAGTGATTAAAATATATTAGTGGCCAGGCACGGTCGCTCACGTCTTTAATCCCAGCGCTTTGGGAGGCCAAGGTGGGTAGATCGCTTGAGCCCAGGAGTTTGAAACCAGCCTGACCAACACAGGGAAACCCTCATCTCTACAAAAAGTACGAAAATTAGCCCAGCATAGTGGCACACACCTGTAGTCCCAGCTATCCACGAGGCTAAGGTGGGAGGATCACTTGAGCCTGGGAGGTCAAGGCTGCCGTGAGCCATGATCATGCCACTGCACTCCAGCCTGGGTGACAGAGCAAGACACTGTCTCAAAAAAAAAAAAAAAAAAAAAATATATATATATATATATGTATGTATATGTATATATGTAAGGTATTCAAATATTCCTGTACTTTTTTTAGCTTAAAATTTAAAGTTCTCTATTTCACGTTTTAATGTCAAACTTAGTTATTTTACAGAGATAGTTGTTGGGTTTTGTTTGTTTGTTTTGAGACAGTCTGGCTCTGTCACCCAGGGCTGGAGTATGGTGGTGCAATCATAGCTCAGGACAGCCTCGAACTCCTGGGCTTAAGTGATCCTTCTGCCCCACCCTTCTGAGTGGCTAAGAATACGAGTGTCCACCACCATCATGAGCTATTTTTTTAAATTTTTCTATAGAAACAGGATCTTGTTACATTGCCCAGGCTGGTCTTAAACTCCTGGCCTCAAGCAATCCTCCCTCCTCAGCCTCTCCAAAGTGCTGGGATTACAGGTATGACGCATCTAGCCTAAAGAATAATTTTAGATGATAATTGAGTGCAAAATCACATTCATAAGAAGGTGGCTGCACACTATTCACAATAGCAAAGACATGGAATCAACCTAAATGCCCATCAATAGGTAAAGAAAATGTGGTACACATACCCCATGGAATACTATGCAGCCATTACACAAGTTTACCTGTGTAAAAAACCTGCACTTGCATCCCTGAACTTAAAAGTTAAAAAATGAAAAGAAGGTGACTGCTATGCTTGCTATATAACATACTCTAATTATGGGCGTTTTGAAAAACAAGTGATTATTGAAATGCTATTTTTTAAAAATTATTATACTCTTAAGTTCTAGGATGCATGTGCAGAACGTGCAGGTTTGTTACATAGGTATACACATGCCATGATGGTTTGCTGCACCCATCAACCCATCACCTACATTTGATATTTCTCCTAATGTTATCCCTCCCCTAGCCCCCTACCCCCCGACAGGCCCCATTGTGTGATGTTCCCCTTCCTGTGACCATGTGTTCTCACTGTTCAACTCCCACTTATGAGTGAGAACATGAGGTGTTTGGTTTTCTGTTCCTGTGTTAGTTTGCTGAGAATGATGGTTTCTAGCTTCATCTATGTCCCTGCAGAGGACATGAACTCATCCTTTTTTATGGCTGCATAGTATTCCATGGTGTGTATGTGCCACGTTTTGTTTATCCAATCTTATCATTGATGGGCATTTGGGTTGGTTCCAAGTCTTTGCTATTGTGAACAGTGCTGCAATAAACATAACATGTGCATGTGTCTTTATAGTAGAATGACTTATAATCCTTTGGGTATATACCCAGTAATGGGATTGTTGGGTCAAATGGTGTTTCTGGTTCTAGCTCCTTGAGGAATGGCCACACTGTCTTCCACAATGGTTGCACTAACTTACACTCACACCAACAGTGTAAAAGCATTCCTATTTCTCCACATCCTCTCCAGCATCTGTTGTTTCCTGACTTTTTAATGATCACCATTCTAACCGGCATGAGATAGTATCTCCTTGTGGTTTTGATTTGCATGAAATGCTGTTTTTAAAACTACACTAGTTGTTTACAGTACTGTTAAGGGTGGCTTAAATAAGCAACAACAGTTTCTCAATTTGAGATGACACAAACTCCCCCCACCCCCAGAAAAGCAGAAGCATTCTTTCTAAATTTTCTCTCAACTTTCTGGAGTTTCTAAATTTTCCCCCACACTCTGCTCTACCATCATACCAATCTCACAAAAGATGCAGTCATGAGGGCCTGAGAAATCACACAGTTTTGTGCTCCTAATTTTCTTCTCCAAATACAAAGAAGAAAATGCTGCATATCATTCATAATTACTCAATTTTTATTGCTCAGGACACCCACTTACTCATTTGATATACATATTGAAGGTCTGCTATATACCAGGCACTCTTCTAGTTACTGGGGATAGGGCAGCAAACAAAGCAGACAAAGTCCTTCTTCTGATGCTTCTTAGATTTTAGGGTAGCAGATCCTAGAAGGAAAAAATAATAATAAGGCAGGGTAAGGAGATAGAGAGTAAAAGATCAGGGAGTGATGTTCTATAGGGGCACAGGAGCCCCTGTCTGATAGGTGACACTGAGTAGATCTCAAGAAAGAGATAGCCATATGGTCATCTGGGGAAGGGCCCTCCTCTAGTGCAAAAGCTTTGGAGTGTGCTTGGAATATTCAAGAACATTGAGGTGGTTAGTGTGACAGGTGTGGAATACGTCAGGGGAAAGTGATGGGAGATGACATTAAAAAGGTAGCCAAGAACCATCATATGGGGTCTTGGAGGCCCTGGGAAGAAGTTTGTATTTTATTCAAAGAGCTATGGGAGACAACTGGCAAGCAGAGGAACAACATGATCTGACTTATGTGTTTAAAGAATCACTTTAGTAGCCTGTGAAAAATACATTATAGGGGACAAAGATAGAGGCAAGGAGACTAGTTAGGCGGCTGTTGCAGTAGTGCAGGTGAGAGATGGTAGTGGCGAAGGTGGTGAAGGCAATGAGAAGTTATCAGGTTCTAGGCATTTTTTCCAAGGCAAAGTCAATAGAATTTTCTGATGGATGGATATGGGGATAAGAAAGGGGAGTCATGGATAATTATAATTTTCTGTCCTGAAAACCTGAGTGATTGGAGCTGCAGTTTACTGAGTTGGAGAACACAGATGGAGGAGGAGGTAGAAGGTAGGCAAACAGGAGTTTGATTGGCACATGTGAAGTTTTAGATGCCTTTTAAATATCCAAATGGAGATTCTGAGTAGGTAGCTGGATATACAAGACTTGAATTCAAGAAAAAGGTTACAGTTGGAAATAAAATTTGGTATTTCAAACCAAGAGACTGAATGAGATCACCTAAGGAATCAGGATAGATTAAAAAATGAGTAAGTCTAAGGACTGAACCCAGAGACATTTTCCATTGCTATAAAGGAATACCCAAGACTGGGTAATTTATAAAGAAAAGAGGTTTATTTGGCTCATGATTCTGCAAGCTGTACAAGAATGGCACGTGTATCTGCTCAGCTTCTGGTGAGGGCTTCAGGAAGCTTACAATCATGGCAGAAAATGAAGAGGAGCAGGCATGTCATATGGTGAGAGAGGGAGAAAAAGAGAGAGGGGAGAAGGCACCAGGCTCTTTTAAACAACCAGCTCTCACATGAACTAATAGGGCGAAATCTCACTTATTACTATGGGGAGGGCAACAAGCCATTCATGAGGGATCCACCCTCATGACCCAAACACTTCCCACTAGGCCCCATCTCCAACACTGGGGATCACATTCCAATGTGAGATTTGGAGGGAATAAATATCCAAACCATATCACTTGGGAAGGAAGGAACCAAGAGAGAGTACAGTCTCATGGGCCAAAATGTCTCAAGAAAGAGGGAATGATTAACTACCAAATGCTTTTAATTAAATTTTATTTTACAAAGGCAGTCACTTTCTAATTCAACATAGGCTTTACTTTCATTTTCAGTTCTTCTTTTGATGTTTTTTTGGTGGAGTACCCCCAGGACTTTTCACTGATCTCATTCCACCCAGCTCAGGCCCCTTTCCATTTCATAATAGTTTCTCTCCATATCTTCCCAGAAATCTTGGCTTGGTCATTTTCAGGAATAAGGAAAGCTGAGACATGGAAAAAGAGTAAAATTGTTTGAATGAGAATGAAATATCTGCTCCAAAATCACCTCTAGGTCAATTTATACAGGATATCTCATCTCCATCCTCATTCTGTTTGCCAAGATTTTCAGGATTCATAATCATGGCACTTTAAAACTACTATTTCTGCCATTGCCACATTTGTACTAGTATGGTGCACAAATGGGTGATACCTCATAATGGAAACATTACTGGGTTTGAGGTCATCACAATATTTTAGTTTCTGGCTTGGCTGTGCTAATAAAATGCTGTGTAACTTTGGGGAAAATACCTCTCTGGCTCTTAAGAAAATAAGGTCAATATTAGTAAACAAGTTGTCAACCTGTGACCCAAGTTAGAAAAATGTCTTGTTTACAATTATGGTCAGACATTATGCTCAGTCTCTTATTAGTTCTCACTGTTTGCAGATTCCTTTGGATTTTCTACATCCACAGTGATAGGGTCTGAAAATAACAATTATTTGTCTCTCTTTCTAATCCAGTTACATCTTCTTTACTTTTCTTGTCTCATTGCTTTGGCCAAGACACCAGGTAATTAATAAATACTATCAGTGACTAGAGAAATCCTTGTCTTAGTCTTGACTTTGATACTACTTCTTCTAAAGGTTCAGCATTAAGTATGATGTTTGCCAAAGTTTACTAAACATTTTTGAAATTATGAATCCATATTTTTATCAAAGTTTTTACTATGTCTTCTGAGATGATCATATGTTGTTTTACATTTAATCAATGTGATGGACTATGCTGATAAATTTTTGAAATATTGGCCCATTCTCACATTCATGGGATAAATGCTATTTAGTCATGGTGTGTTTTTATATGCCAACGGCTTTGATTTGCTAAAGTGTCATTTAGGATCTTTGCAACTATCTTCATAAGTGATGCTGGCGTGTAATTTTCTTTTCCTGTATTTGCAGGATTTGTGTATCAAGGCTCCTTTTAGCACATATGCCCTCCCTTTCCATGTGCTGTGGATTTCTGCACTGTTTCTCATTCACAGAAATTTTTCCCTTAGTTTTGAGCAAGGCCATACATTTTAATACATTTGAAAATGCTTTATCTATCATTACTGTGTTTTTCAAGTCCACATGGATTCGTTTTGCCACTTGACAGGAAGTCTTTTTTAAAAGATTTGACCATTATTTCAATCAAGTCAGTGGAGAGAATGGATATAAAAACATGTGATCAGACATGAGAAATTACAGACAAGATGGAGTGAGTGAATTTATCTCTATTCTTGCCACTAATTACAAATTTTAAAAAAAAAATCCTGGACATAATATATAAAACACAAACACAAGAAGATTCTAAACAGTTGAGAGATGAAGGGGGGCAAGGAGCCTCTGGACATGAGGAATGACATGACAATGAGTTACCCGTGTTTTCTTTTTGTCCCCTGTGTATTGTAGGCCATGTGCTAGATAAGAATATAATCTAGAAACGCCAATCCCAAGGATTTTCTGTTCTCTCCTGCCAAAAGACTGGAAAGGGGACTGCTGGAATAGAAGCCTTTAAACAATAATCACCATATTCTAGCCAAACATCATGTGGAAATATGGGACACCACCCCCCCGCCAACAGCAAAGGCCAAGTGGAAAACCTATATTTAAACCCCCCACCCCACCCCTTGGCAGTAAGGAATCATCCCTCCCCACTCCCCACTCCCCACTGGGGTGGCATCAGAAGAGGCTAAGTAGGAAGACTGAACATGCACTCCCTCCCTGAAGCAATGAGGCACTCCTCCCAATTCTTGCTTTGGGTGGTGTCAGAAAAGGCCAAATGGAGGGTCTGGATTTTTACCACTGCTCAGCAGTAATGTGGTCCCCTACCTTATCATCACTGTGTCAAAAATCACTCATCATAACAAGAACCAGGACAATCTTGACTTGAATGAACAAAAGGCAATCAACAGACACCAAAACCAAGACAACACAGACGTTAGAATTATCTTACAAGGATTTTAAAGAAACCATAGTAAAAATGCTTCAACTAGCAGCTATGAACACATTTAAAACAAATAAACAAAAAAACTAGAAAGTCTTTAAAAAAAGAGTAGAAGATATAAAGAAGAACCAAAGGGAAATTTTAGAATTGAATAATACAATGACTGAAAGGTAAAACTAATTGAATGAGTTTAATGAGCTTAATAGCAAAATGGAGGCCAGGGCCAGTGGCTCATACTGGCAATCCCAGCACTTGGGGAGGCCAAGGTGGGCGGATCACCTGAGGTCAAGAGTACAAGACCAGCCTGGCCAACATGGCAAAACTCTGTCGCTACCAAAATATAAAAATTAGCCAGGTGTGGTGGCGGGTGCCAGTAATCCCAGCTACTTAGGAGGCTGAGGCAGGAGAATCGCTTGAGCCCAGGAGACAGAGGTTGCAGTGAGCTGAGATCGTGCACTCCAGCCTGGGCAACAGAGTGAGACTCTGTCTCAGAAAAAATAAAAAAATAAAAAATTGCAAAATGGAGATGAAAAAGGAAAGAATCAGTGTACTTGAAGATAAACAATAGAAAATACCCAATCTGAAAACAGAGTGAAAATAGGCCAAAAAAAAAAAAAAAAAAAAAAAAAAATGGAGCCTCAGAGCCCTGTGGGAGAAAAACAAAAGATTTATAACATTCATGTCATCAGAATTTTAGGAGAGAAGCGAGAATGTGAGGCTGAAAAAAAAGTATTCAAAAAATAATGAAATTTCCCCAAACTTAGCAAAAGGTAAAAACCTACAGATTCAAGAGACTCAATGAATCACAAATAAGAGAAACCCAAAGAAATTCACACCAAGACACATTATAATCACACTTCTGAAAACTAAAGACAAACAAAAAACTTTTAAAACAGCTAGAGAAAAATGACACATTACCTACAGGGAAAACAACTTAAATGACGGCTGATTTCTCACTGGAAACCATGGAGGGGAGGAGTGTCATGACACTTTTCAAGTGTTGAAAGAAAAAAAACTGTCAACCTAGAATTTTATACCCAGGAATGAGGGTTAAATCAAGACATTCTCAGGTGAAGGAAAACTAAGATAATTTGTTATCAGCAGGCTTATCATAAAAGAATTCCTAAAGAATATCTTGAAACAGAAAGAAATGATTAAAGAAGAAAACTTGAAGGCTGGGTGTGGTGGCTCATACCTGTAATCCCAGCACTTTGGGAGGCCAAAGTTGGTGGATCACCTGAGGTCAGGAGTTTGAGACTAGCCTGGCCAACATGGCGAAACCTGATCTCTACTAAAAGTACAAAAAGTAGGTGGGCATGGTGGCATGAGCCTGTAGTCCCAGCTACTCAGGAGGCTGAGGCAGGAGAATCGCTTGAACCCAGGAGGCGGAGATTGCAGTGAGCCAAGATCATGCCACTACACTCCAGCCTGTATGACAGAGCAAGACTTCGTCCAAAAAAAAATAAAAAGAAGGAAACTTGAAACATTAGAAATAAAGAAATAACAATGAAAAGAGTTAAAATATGGGTAAATGTAATGGATTGTCCTTCTCCTCTTGAGTGTTCTGAATTATGTTCAACAATTGAAGCAAAACTTATAATCTTACCGATATGGTTCTCAATGAATATAGACAATATATTTAAGACAAGTATAAAGATAGACTAATAAAGAAACCTAATATAGGTAAGTTTTCTATACCTAGTTCAACTGGTAAAATGTCAACACTGATAGGTAGATCAAAAGTTATGTATGTAAAATGCAATATGTACAGCAACCAGTAAAAAAACTCTTCAAAAAGATACATTATAGATAAATCAAAATGGAATTATAAAAAATATTCCAGTAACACACAGGATGGCCAGGAAAGTGAAACAGAGGAACAAAATAAACAAACAAAAGCCCAGAAGAACAAAGAGAAAATAATAACATGGCAAACTTAAGCTCTGATATATAAATAATTACATTATGTAAGTCAGTTAAATAGAATAGATAGCTCCAGAATATACCCACACAAGTATAAGTGCTGATTTTTGATAAAGATACAAAAGTAATTCAATGTAGGAAAGATCATCTTTTCCATCACATGGTAGTAGAACAATTGAACACCCACAGGCAGAAGAAAAAAAAACACGCACATTGTAATCATACTTCTGAAAACCAAAGGCAAACAAAAAACTTTTAAAACAGCTAGAGAAAAATGACACATTACCTATAGGGAAAACAATTTAAATGATGGCTGATTTCTCACTGGAAACCATGGAGGGGAGGAGTGTCATGACACTTTTCAAGTGTCGAAAGCAAAAAAAAACTGTCAACCATATTACCTGATATGGTTCTCAATGAATATAGACAATATATTTAGGTGAATCTCAACCTAAACTTCACACCTTACATTAAAACAGGATCATACATTTAAATGTAAAACATAAAACTATAAAACTTTCAG
Organism: Homo sapiens; assembly: GCF_000001405.40. Classification (NCBI taxonomy): domain Eukaryota; kingdom Metazoa; phylum Chordata; class Mammalia; order Primates; family Hominidae; genus Homo; species Homo sapiens. The sequence continues at coordinate 160,738,676 of NC_000001.11, forward strand.
GAGAAAACCTTTGGACCCTAGTGTGGGTAGAAAAAAAACTGATAAGTTGAATTTCATCAAAATTAAAATTTTTGCTCTGCCAAAGACCCCGTTAAGAAGATGAAAAGACAGGCTACAGACCAAGAGAAAATATTTGTAAACCACATATCTGACAAATGACTCTTATACTTGGAACATATAAGGAATTGTCAAAGCTCAACAGTAAAAAAAATAAAGAATCTGATTATAAAATGGACAAAAGACATAAATAGACATTTCACCAAGGAGGATATGGATATATAGATGGCAAATAAGCACATGAAAAGATGTTCAACATTATTAGGCTTTAGGGAAATGCAAATTAAAGCCACAATGAGGTATCACTACAGCACCTATTAAAACAGCTAAAATATAAAATGGGAATATACCAAATGCTGATGAAGATGGGGAGCAAATAGATCTCTCATAGATTGCTGGTGGCAAGGTAAAATGCTCTATTCACTCTGAAAATAATTTAGCAATTACTCAATCTCACATGTCTGCGGCGTGACCCCTCCTGCTTCTTTAAATATCAGCTGGGGAAGAGGTCTGAGTAATACCTAAGAGGGAAGTGGCTTCATTTCAGTGGCTGACTTCCAGAGAGCAATATGGCTGGTTCCCCAACATGCCTCACCCTCATCTATATCCTTTGGCAGCTCACAGGTGAGTCCGGCCGGATTCTCTTCCACTCTCCTGTCTACCCCATCCTGAATAGTTCCAGGTTTCTTGTTCCACTCTGGGCCTCTGGCTCAACTCGGGAGGCTCTGTGTTCTCATCTAACATTTGCTTTTTATCAATCTCTGATCTCTGATTCTCAGGTCAGGAAGAGACTAGAGAGAGGGGGAAAAATGGCTCTGGGAACTGACTCCCCTGTTGACTGTCCCAGGGATGAAGGAGCTGAAAGAAGTGGTGCTGGGTATCAGAGACCATTTTTCTAATCCAGGTTCTGCCATGAGTTAGATAAGGAATGTTAAAGTTTTCCTGGGCCTCAGAAACTTTATCTTCTAGCCTTCTCTCCTTTTGAGGGCAACTTTAAGAACAAGATGATACTATACAGGTATGTATTTATTTACTTATAAATGTATTTATAAAATTGGTTATGCATAACAGTAATATAAATGGAAAGAATCACTTGAATTTTCTTTCCTTACTCAAGCAATGTAATCAGTCTCTACTTAGAGAACCAACTCATACCATAGGCACTTTATGTTTAATCCCATGGAGGACAGAGGACAGTTCTCCACCTGTCACTGGTATTCTAGTCTTTGAAGATTTTTCTATCCTAAGGGCTCTCAGAAAGGATCAGGAGCCCTATAAGTGAGAAATATCTCTTCTGTCATCAATCTCATGGAGTACTACCATGAGGTCCCCCTATAAGGACTTCACATAACTGCTTCATTATGTGTATCTGAGCCTGCCTGGAGTGATCTGCCCAAGACCACGCAGGCAGCTGGTGCCCCCAATATTTTCCCCTGCATCGCTAAGTGGTCAGCATCAGCAGACTCTTACCCACTTTGAATTCATCAGAAGTTTGTATTTTTGAGAGGTACCTGGGTCTAACCAGGTGGTTCTGGAATAGGCCCTCACTTTAAAAAAAAAAAACAAAAAAAAAACTCCCTGAACGGAAATGATGAGCAGAAATAGAACTTGAGGGAGATAAGGTGGAGGGGTTGGGGAAAATTATAGAGACTTTGAAAGCTACAGGTGTCCATCTGAAATCAGTCAGCGAAAGAGCACAAGTATGAAAAACTGCCATGCAGGTCCCCCTCTGCCCTCCTCCAGAGGCAGCCTGTGTAGTGTACCTCCTGAGGCTGAAAGGAGACAGAGATTGTCCTGGAACTTCCAGTGGGCAGGGCAGTGGAACAAATCCTGGCACTGGACAAGCGCATCCTTGGTTTGACTTAGTAGCTGTATTATTGTAGGCAAATTACTCTTCCCTTCTGAGCCTTGCTCTTCTCAGGTGTGTAACAGAGAATGAAATCTAAGTTGCAGAATTATTGTGACATTTTAAATGACATATCAAATGCAAAATAATTATTAAAATAATCACCATTTATTAAGTTACTACATCGCAGGTGTTTTTCATACCACCTCCTCATGAGTCTGTAAGACAGATATCATTATCCCTGTTTTACAGTTGAGGAAACTTAGGCTCAGCAGAGAGATCACGCTTCTTGGGCAAGATAACACAGCATTTATAAGGTAGCCAGAGATTGAGTTTAGAAAGCTAGAAAGCTAGTGCTCTTTTAATCATAACAAGCCGTCTATCACTGGACCTGGCACCAAAGAGATGCTCACTACATGTGCATTTGAGCTGAATCTTCCTCAGGGAGTACCAGTTGGGGTTTCTTCCCTCTCCAGGTACATAAATCTGAGGTAGAAACTGGAAAGGCCCGAGAAGAACGGGTAGCTCTGTTTCTGGGATATGGGTGTACCAACAGGGGGCCACCCTGGCTAAACTCAGAGGGTCCATGAAGCAGTTCTCATGGCCTCAGTATTCTCATCTGAAAAATGGGCACAGTAATCTGCCAATGATTTGATGATACAGTAGTGTCAAGGAGACAATCAATAAAAAGAAAACAAAAAAGTGGGTGAGGGGAATTGGGAGAGTGTTGAAAAGAACCAGAAGAAACAAGGAAGAGGGGGCAGGAGATGAGTGAGGAGCAGAGTGGTGAGCAACCTAAATGTGAATGTGGTCGGTTAGGGCTAGAGTGATGGGAAAGGTGTGTGGTGAAGCGGGAAACTTTCAAGCCTCTGTCTGTGGCTGCCTTGTGTGGCATTGAATTACACTGCTCTTTCGTGAGTACATTCGTTAAGGGGGACTTGAGTAAAGTGCAATAGATTTCAAACCACTTTGGGTTTTTTTTGCCTTTTTTTTTAAATCCATGGTTTCCTTTTATGGAATGAAATTTTACACAGAAAAAAACAAATAAATGACTCCAATGTATAGAGTTGAAGCCTAACGGAAGCAAGTCCCATAGCCTCCTATCCTACGCTCACCCCTTAAACCTCCTCCTGAGCTCCCAAGAAATACACTGAGGCACTGCCACAGCCTCCAAAGGTGGCGCCATGGGGCACAGTCTGTGAAATCCTGCCTTAGGAGCCTTGGCTCCTAATCCTGGCCTTCCACTGGTTTGGGAAACATCACCATAACCTTCTGAATATCAGCCTTCTTATCTGTGAAATGGGATTGGACTAAGTAATCCCTAAGACTCCTCCAAGCTCTGAGATGCTCTGGTTCATGGTTTTCATGAGGAGAGTGCCACAACACACTGCTACATTTGGACAGAGGCACCAAGTGTTCAGAGAAGTGCTTGGGGACGGGGTTGGCAAGCAGGAGGCAGGCTTTTCCACTCTCCCCTCCCCCAAAGTCTTCCTGCTTTATCACCATCCCTTGGTTCTGGCTGCACTGATAATGTATCTTCCTCATAATCGGGCTCCTTCCCTCCACTCAACTCTTGAGACTCTAGGGGACAGGACAGGGGAGGAGGTGACAACCAAGAGGAAAGGAAGGTGACAAAGGGCAGGACCTGTTATCCCTTCCTGTTACAGAGGAAATCTCACAGCTGACTCCTCCTGATGCAAAGACATCTGAGTCTTGGCTGGGGCAAAAGACAAAGGGTCTCCTGCCCCAGCTCCCTCCACCTTCAAAGGCAGGCGGGGGATGTAGTGGGGAATGCTCATGGCCGTCTTAACTTTCTGGCTTACTTTGCTGAGAAGCCATCCAAAGGTGTTTTGGGATATCTCTGTTTCTCATTTTTAGCTATCTGTGCAGAAATAAAACCAAAAGATGGGAAGCCTCCTCAAGGCCTGACTCTCATGCTCTCATTTCCTGACCTTGTCACCCGCATCCCACCTTCTCGTTAGGCTACTCTGTACTTCTCAAAATGCTTTCAAATCTGTATTCACACTTCATCTTCCCCAAATGCCTGGAAACTAAATGTTGTTATTTATTTCTCGTATGAGGGTTCAGAAACCAAAACTCGAAGTGGTAAGTGGTGAAGCAATATTGGAAACAACACAGACCACTGAGGCAGAGGAACTAACTCCTCTTCCCTCTTCCAACATTTCTTCATTGGGGCTTTAGGAAAGTCACCCCACTTCTCAAAACTCCAGTATCCCAATTTATAAAGCAGGGCTTAGGCTGTATCTCACGGGGCTGTTCTAAGGATCAGGAGAGAGGATGCCCACTGATCTGGCTTACAAACCACAGAGTGACACCAGGTGTTTGCTGCTGGAGTTATGACTACGGAGGCGGCAGAATGGACCCAGAATGGACCCTGACTCCCAGTTAGGCCAGAGCCCTTTCTCCCTCTGCCACATGCTGGAGGAGGAGAAGCGACCTCTACCCCTCTCTGGGCAGGACTTGGTGACCCCATCATTGGGTGATCTGGCCTCTAATCCTGTGGACCAATCATTGGCTAATCCACAGCAAAATGATATATGCAGCGACCACCAAGGGAGGATATTTCTTTCTGGAGAATTTAAAGTGTCAATGAAGTGAAATTAGTGGTAAATTTTCAGGGGATGTGTGAGAGGAAGAGTTGGAGGCTTCCTCAGGGAAGAGCTTTGAATTAGATACAGGGTTTGAATAAGATTTACATGAACAGAGAGGAGGATAAAGCACAAACAAGAGTGTGAGGTAGAAAGTGAGCTGAGGATCAGGGGAGGGAGGAGGCCGGGATGTTTGTGTGGTGGCCACATGTGAGTGGCAGTCCCAGCTGCATATCTTTCCACAGCAATACATTGTCATCCTGGCCTTACGCAGTCAACCCATGTCATGTGACACCCCTGAACTAATTACTGTACATGAGAAGGGCTACCACCTGAACTGGGTAGCCCAAACCATTTGGCTTGTACGGAATGAGGAAGGGGTAAAATGGATGTAAAAGAGGCAGGTTACAACCTTCACTGCACTGACTCAGGTAGAAGGTTGGCACCTGAGGAGAGTGGATGAATATCATGGGACCCAATCCTCTCGAGTCTTGTGGGTAGAGGTTGGTAGCCACTCTGTCTCCAGGGTCTCACTCTGTCATCCAGGGTGGAGTGCAGTGGCACGATCACGGCTCACTGCAGCCTCCACCTTCTGGGTTCAAGGAATCCTCCCACCTCAGCCTCTCGAGTATCTGGGACCACAGGTGAATGCCACCACGCCCAACTAATTTTTTCATTTTTTGTAAAGACAAGGTCTGGCTATGTTGCCCAGCCTGGTCTCAAACTCCTGACCTCAAGTGATCCTCCTGCTTCAGCCTCCCAAAGTGCTGGGATTACAGGCATAAGCCACCAATTCCAGCATCTTCCCTTTCCATAACACATGTAGTTATTTATTTAATGACTATCTACCAACTCCGTAAGTGCCAGAATTATGACTGTCTTGCTCCCCAGTTATACCCTCAGCTCCTAAACAATGAGAACTAAATAAATTCTTGTTAAAAGAAGGAATGACTGAATCTGACAAGTGTGACCTGCTTAGATATGGTAAAACTCTATAGGGTCACACACTGCAGGTGCAAAACCATCACAGAAAGAAGAGCTTCAGTTCAGCCTTGGACAACTGAAAAAAGAAGTGTCTTGTTTCTGGATCCCTTTTCGTAGTCAGCTGAGAAGCAGAAGCAAAACTGGTTAGGAATCTCCAACCTTGCCCCTGTCCTCTGAACCCACATTCCGAGAATGGCATGGAGCTACTGTTTTCTTTCGTTACCCCTTGTCTCACCCTGAAGATACATTTAAGATAGAACAATATACTCCATCTATAGGCTCATGTTGGTAATTTGCCCTGTCTCACTCTCAAACTGTATTCTAACAAGAAACAATGCGTTTGGCAACATTTTCTTATATCCCACACGAGTCATGTCCCTTGGCATTTACCCTGAGAATACAGCACTACGTGTGTGGAAGCGTGAAAAGAGTAATTGCATGTGAAAAGAGTAGTTGCATGCTAGCAACTAAAGCCACATCTTTGTAGTTTTGCCACTTCCTCACCTTAAATTATAGCTTCAAAATGAAATGTGAAAATGAAATTACTTGAAGGTTGCCCTAAGTGTAGAAACTGTACCCATTTGGGGCCAAATGATACCCAATCTTTATTTGACTTCATAAGATTCACCCCTTTCATCTCTGCTGTTGAAGTAAAAGAACAAATGCATTAACTGATCAAAATTTCAGAATAAAATTGATTTTGTCTGTAACATTTCCTGGCACTATTTGGACTTGACACTCCTAAAGATGAACAAAGAGAGCAGTCGAAAAACCATCCCGGCCTTAATATTAAGGAAGCATAGAGAACAGTTTTTTTAAAAAATCAGATTACTTAATGGGATGATTTAATAAAAGCTTGAGTAATCCAAAGTATATATGTACCAACTGATACATTTTAGAGGGAAAAATGTTTGAAAAGAGAAATCAGCTCCTAAAAGATACATACCCAAGAAGAGGAATCAGTACTTTGGAGATAAATTTAGCAAAACGTTGGCAGAGACTTCAGATCTGTAAGCAAGGGAGTGGGTCACCATTTGGTAGCATCAGATTTCCTCACCCTGGGGCACTGGTAGGGCAGTTTATGCTTGAGGGAAGGTCACCAGAGGACAAGAAGGGAAATTATGGTCCAATGGCACCCAAGGGCTTTGAAATTGACACTAGAGTCCCTTAGGGGGATGGAGAAGGGGAGTGAGGGAGAAGGCTGGAGCTGGTACAAACGCCAGGGGGCCTTCAAATTGAGCCATAGTGAAAACAGTCCAGGTCCCAGAGCTGGAGAGACATTGGGTTAAATCCTCAAATCGTCACCTGCTAGCTTTGTGCCCTTGGATAAGTTACTTAGCTGTTGTTATTTGTTGTTGTCGTTGTTTGAATCTCAATTTTCTCATGAAGTCAGGAGTTAGCAAATTTTTTCTGAAAAGGGCCAGAGAATAAATATTTTAGGCTTTACAGACAATAAATCATGGTCACAATTATTTAACTCAGCCTTTGTAGTGAAAAAGGATCCATAGACAATATGTAAATGAAAGAGCCTGGCTGTGTTCCAGTACAATTGTATTTACAAAAACAGGCAGTGGACCAGATTTAGCCTATGGGTTATAGGTTGCTGATCCTTGTGTAAAAGGGTCAAAATGCCTAATTTGCAGGATTGCTTTGAGTGTTAGGCATACTCTTTACAATAAACGTTTGGTGCAGAATAAACATTTAATACATGACAACTCTTATAATTTGGAAACCCTTGCCAAGATATTTGATTTTAACAGGGACCAAAGAAATAAATCTCTAATGAAGCAATTTTTGATATCTGGATATGTCTGTATAGGAATTTGTCCTTTTACTAGAAAAGGCATGAGTTACATCAGTACTGGAGTAGAAGAAAAGATTGTGTCTAAGAGAGCAGGCTGTGAAATGAAACAGAGCCTGGATGCTTGGTCAGTCTCACAGGGCCAATTACACACAGGAGACACTGTACATAAGGCCCACGATAGTTTTAATTTTAATTTCTTTTAAAATCAGAAGAGAAATGAATATAGCAATAACAATAACAATGAATATATAATGAATCCAGCCCGGATCACATTCATTTTATACCAACACAGTCATGAAATATGATTTTTAATATTTCTTATGGAAGAAGGACCAACAAGGTCAAAAGTACACAGGAACCACAAAAGTCACCATGTAGCCTTGCAGTAGCATCATTAGAACTGTCAGGATCCTATAGCTTGGCTGTTTTGTTGGCTTTGCTTCTTTCATTTGTGCTTTTCATGACTGAATTAATAAAAATTCCATTTAAAAATTTCACCCTGACACTTTATGTTAAGAGGCAGAAGGGGAAATAACTTTGGGTTTTGTACTTTTAAGGAGAACACCTTTGTTGACAGCTGATGTGAGACCTCAGTTCTTGTCTACTTAGTTTAAAAGAATTTATATGAGAGATACACAGCAAAGGAAATACAGCATAGGGTAATTGATTGCAAAAGAATAAGAATATTTTGACAGTTAAGTGCAGAAAAGACAGTACATTCTGAGAGAAGGAAAATTCAGGGTGGGCTGCCCATAAGGATGAGACAGCAAAGACTGGCACTGGGGAGACCCCCTTTATGGGAGTCTTACATGATTATTCATAAGAGGGTGGGAAGAGGTGTTACTAGTAACCATGTTCTTGGTGGTCCTCTGGGTGGACGTGCACAGTAGCTATACATGCTTCTTCATAAATCTCGTGTCTCATTAGCATCTTAAATCTCCACCCATGGGTGTGTTTTTTACTATTATAATGAGCAAAGGGTCAGTTTGAGAACAAGTAAAATCAAAATCCGCATGCTCTCTACAGCGGAAAGTCCTCACTGAAGATAGCTTTGCTTAAATGAGCTCAATTACAATGTGAATGCTGAGGCTTATTGTATTGACTGTAGGGTCACCAGAGTTACTGCCTCCTGAGAACACTGTTACTTCCTTGACTACCTAACCTGCCTCACCTTTAAGGATTTAGTCTTAGTTTTTGTATTTCTATCAGCCTTGAATAAGTTCTTATCATTTCTACTATTTAGTTTTCTCATCTATAAAATATGCCCTTCAAGGTCTCGACCCTGTGGGTTTTGGTGTGTACTCTGCCTCTTACTAGGTGGCTTGAGTAAGTCATTTACCCCCACTGTGCCTCACATTCCTGATCCGTAAGATAGGGATATAAAGAATGTTTCTTCAAAAAGTTGTTTTAAGAGTTAAACAAGGCTGGGTGTGGTGGCTCATGCCTGCAATCCAGCACTTTGGGAGGCAGAGGCGGGCAGATCACTTGAGGTCAGGAGTTCAAGATCAGCCTGGCCAACATGGTGAAAACCCCACCTCTACTAAAAACACAAAAATTAGCTAGGTAAGATGGCACACACCTGGACTCCCAGCTACTCAGGAGGCTGAAGAAAGACAATCACTCTGAGGCAAGACAATCACTTGAACCCAGGACGTGGAGGTTGTAGTGAGCTGAGATCGTGCCACTGCAATCCCGCCTGGGCAACAGAGTGAGACTCTGTCTCAAAAACAAAAGTGTTAATCAAGATTATAATTTATGCTTTTAAACTGCTAGTCCCAAACTAAATTCTCTCACTGCTCTGTGTTATTCCCAGAGTCTGTCTCTCAAGTTTAATAGGTAAGAATAAGATGACTTACTCCCCACATCTGTTTACTGGTAATGCTCAGCTGGCCACTTCTGGAAGTTTCTTCAGCAGACATTCTTAACTGTTTTTCACCTACAACCACATAATCAGTGATGATTTTTTATAAGTCATACTCTCTGGGAGTGAACTAAGATTGTTGTGATACATAAATTTCTAATATAATGCTTCCATGTGAGCACTTACATAATAGGGTAACATGTGAGGGACCTCTATATGAGGTTCCAAAGGCTTTTCCAGGAGGTTGTTGTGTTGGACTGAGTGGGTTTCTCAGATCTCTCCAGGACCCAAAGGGGGTGAGTAATTGGTGACAAGGACAGGGAATCAGGCTTATTTTATGGTTCTCTGTGTTTATAGGGTCAGCAGCCTCTGGACCCGTGAAAGAGCTGGTCGGTTCCGTTGGTGGGGCCGTGACTTTCCCCCTGAAGTCCAAAGTAAAGCAAGTTGACTCTATTGTCTGGACCTTCAACACAACCCCTCTTGTCACCATACAGCCAGAAGGGGGCACTATCATAGTGACCCAAAATCGTAATAGGGAGAGAGTAGACTTCCCAGATGGAGGCTACTCCCTGAAGCTCAGCAAACTGAAGAAGAATGACTCAGGGATCTACTATGTGGGGATATACAGCTCATCACTCCAGCAGCCCTCCACCCAGGAGTACGTGCTGCATGTCTACGGTGAGCAAAATCAGTTCCAATGGTGGATGGCTGCCTTGGTGAGGTGGTGAGCTCCTTGACATGAGAGATGTTTAAGCAGAGGCTGAATAAACACTTGGCAAGAATGTGGGAGAGGGGACTTCTGCATGAATGAAATAGATGTAGCTGACCCCTGAGGTCCCTGCCTACTCAGAGATGTTGTAAGAAGCAGCGTGGTGCAGTGGATGGCTGATATGTGCAGTGGCCATCGCATAGATCAAGGTCAAATGCTGGCTTCTTTATTTAGTCACATGACCTTAGCCGAGTTATTTAATTTCTTCAAGTCTTAGTTTCCATATCTGTAGTGGGGAGGAAAGAAATGCCTACCTTAGGAAGATTTTTGGGCAAAATATCGATCACATCTCTTTCTCTACAGATTACAACCAATTGATAAATAGATGCAAGAAGGAGGGGATTAAAATATCAGCATATTTCTGGTAAATCTAGACAGGAGAAATGCTTCCTTTCAATTCTAGACCTTGGCACTCATCCAGGGAAGTTAAAATTATGAAACAATGACTCAAACTTCTTCAAGAAGAATAGCTGCTTCACTCACTGAGCCACAGTATCAGGAACCTTAGGGGATGGGCCTCCAGACTTGCTTGTAGGAGGTAGGCACTGCACCTGATCCAGGTGTGTCTTCCATATAGACATGGTTGAAGGGAACAGAAGATATGTATTCTGCAGGCTAACTAGTCAGGGGAGGAAGAAAAAGGGCAAAACACATTTTAACTGCAACCTTTAACGTCTCAAACCCATGAGTAGAGAAAGGTAAATGATGAATGTCAGACTCTTACCATCTCACCAATGAACCAACTACTCATTCTCTGAGGCAGGGGAGTGAGCACAGAGTAGAGAAGGGGGCCAGAAGGGCTACTCCAACACAATTTTCTCCTAGAGAGTAAAGTGAACTCTCATAGAGAGTAAAGGGAAGCCTGAGGACAGAGACTAGGGAACCTCTAGAACAGATAATATTAGCGGACATCTAACATGCGTTATCACAGTGCTTGCCATGTGGCTATGCTTAGTAAATGACAGTTATATTCTTATTGCATTATTATTTCTATTATTTCTATTGTTGTTATTGTTATTATTATTATATAGCTATGGTAAAGCAGACCTAGGTAGTTCTCTTTTCCAGATACGAATGAGGATTCTGCTCTGAATTACTGCTTTCTCTCCAGTCTGGAGCTCCCAGGGAGATTCAGGTCCAAGGTATCCAAGGATAATTCAGAGAATGGAGAGCTATAGGCAGAGTTTCCACCTCTGGTTTTCCTTCCTCTCACAGAGCACCTGTCAAAGCCTAAAGTCACCATGGGTCTGCAGAGCAATAAGAATGGCACCTGTGTGACCAATCTGACATGCTGCATGGAACATGGGGAAGAGGATGTGATTTATACCTGGAAGGCCCTGGGGCAAGCAGCCAATGAGTCCCATAATGGGTCCATCCTCCCCATCTCCTGGAGATGGGGAGAAAGTGATATGACCTTCATCTGCGTTGCCAGGAACCCTGTCAGCAGAAACTTCTCAAGCCCCATCCTTGCCAGGAAGCTCTGTGAAGGTGACTGCCTCTCCCCTCTCCACAGGAGACTCTGCCCAGGTCCTACACCTTCTTCAGCTCCTAGCCCCCATGGGAACAGACACTGTATGGAAACTGGAGGCCGCTGGGTGGTCACCAGGCTGGGAGGAAGGTGGCAGGTGCTCCAAGACCTGGGTCGTTTTCCTGAGCTGACTTTTCTCCCTTCCCTGTGCCTCCACCCATTCTCTGAAGGTGCTGCTGATGACCCAGATTCCTCCATGGTCCTCCTGTGTCTCCTGTTGGTGCCCCTCCTGCTCAGTCTCTTTGTACTGGGGCTATTTCTTTGGTTTCTGAAGAGAGAGAGACAAGAAGGTAGAGCGTGTACTATTTTTGTCCTCACCCACATTCATGTTTTTCTCCTTCACTGATTCAACAAGCACATATAGAGCTGTGTGCCAGACTTGGCATGAGGTGTTGAAGATGCAGAGATGAAGAAGCCACAGTCTCTGCCCTCAAGAAGCATACAGTCAGCCTGTGCTCCTTAGTTCTGGAGTAGAGAAAGTGCTGGAGGTCTTTCCCAAGGACACGGTTCTCCCAGTTCCCTTTCCAGGGCTCACTTCTCTCCTTCTCCCAGAGGGACATCCTGATGTGGCTCTTCTGTTGATACAGGCCCCACACTGCTGACTCTGCTCCCCTGACCTGGGAGGTGATGGCCTCCAACTCTGAGGTCCCCACAGACCAGCATCCTCTAGTCAATCCTTCCTATCCCTGTCAGAGCCCACAAACCACCCACACCCTTTCCACAGGATCAACCCAAGACCTCGCTTTACTGCCCACTAGACACATGGCTCCTGGGGAAGCCTTTCCCTGTCTCTCTCCAGTTGCACCCCATCCTGTGTTCCTAAACCCTGCTGATTGGTCTTCTGGGCTCCCACTGTCCATGTGGGTGATGGGGAGGGACCTAACATCAGTTGGGTATGACTTGCAGACTTTGAAATCTCCCTTCCCTCCTGGAAGCCCCTCTGAAAGTGTCTTTGACTTTCTCTACTTCCCACTTTGACCACCTTGATGGAGAGATCAGGAAGTGAAATGTTGGGGGTGGCCAATTCATCCTGATTTGTTTAGATTTTCCCAGTTTTAACACTGAAAGTCCTCTATCCTGAAAACCCTTCCATTACAAGGAAACTCGGCTGGTTGGTCACCCTAAGTGGGTCATCCAGGAGAAATGGTGGGCCAGTGGAAGTGGTGAGTGGTTGGAGAGGTGGCTTTGATTCTCTCCCAACTTGCTTTTAGAGTACATTGAAGAGAAGAAGAGAGTGGACATTTGTCGGGAAACTCCTAACATATGCCCCCATTCTGGAGAGAACACAGAGTACGACACAATCCCTCACACTAATGTGAGTCCCTTCTCATCTTTCCTGAGAACTGATCCTGTCTCTGAGGCTCTCCTTGTGAGGTTTTTCCATGGGTTTGGACAACATGGGAATGAAGAGGGGAGTGAGGATATATAGACTTAAAACTCAATGCACCTGTGCCTCCTCCAAGTCTTCATGGATTCTCTTCTGTGCAGAAGAAGCTGGTGGTCTCTGGAGCACCTGGTTCTGACTCACAATGCTCATGCTGTGGTCTGTGAAATCACCTGCTCCCCTCCACAGTTCATAACGGCCACACAAAAGGCCAGATTCCTTTTGCATAAGGCAGTGGGTAGAAGAGTGTGACTTTGACAGGATGTTTGAATCATGGTATCAGAAGACTTCTCTAGAGATCTCTCTCTCTCTCTCTCTCTCTCTCTCTCTCTCTCTCTCTCTCTCTATATATATATATATATATATATATATATATATATATATACACACACATATATATATAATATTTTTGAAATTCATTTTAACACAGTACAGTTTAAAAATAATGTAATGGCTTCCTGAAAAAAGTTATCAAAATTTATTATAATAGCAGTCACCAACAAGAGAACTTCCTACCTCCCTTCCCTGTTCCAGAACCCTCCTTTTCCTCTCACATCTCCTCCCATCTCTGCTTTCCCCTCTCTGGATTCTGAATGTCTCTCTGGCCTTGTCTATGTGATTCAGGAGGTGGGTGATGATTTCTTTTGTTTGTTGTTTGTTTTTAAAAGAGAACAATCCTAAAGGAAGATCCAGCAAATACGGTTTACTCCACTGTGGAAATACCGAAAAAGGTAAGAAGCTTTAGAGCTTAACTTCATCTTAATGGTTCCATTTCTTTTCCTGCTTCATGTTTAGGTCAAAATTTCTTGGACCCAGGTATCTCATACTCTCTAGAATTAAAAAGTACCCTAGTAGTTCCCCATTCCCTTTGCTTAGGGTTATACAAGAACATGGGGGATGGAAGAGAATTGTGTTTTAGGAATCGAATTGGGTAATCTGGAACAAATAGAGTAGGACAGAGGTTCTAGATCGGAATAATAAAGAAAATCAAAAGCCTTCTGACTGAAGTTGCAGACAAGGAAAAAGACCATGGCTTAGATTGTGCATGGAATGAAGAGAGGAATAGCTGAGAGGAGAGTCCAGCTTTCTCCTGAGACACCAGGAAACTGCAGGAGGGAGAGATCTCTACTTTTCTCCCATGGTCCAGCTATGTTACATCTGCTTTGCACCCTCCCCTCAGTTAAACTACTAATGCAGTAGCTTTAAGGCTTATTCCTTCACAGAGTACGGTTGGCAGCAGTAATGGTATCTTTCTGTCTCCTTTTTCTTCCTCTCCCAAACAGATCCAAAAAGATAAGAATCATTAAAGCAGTTTGCTTAGTAATAGAAAAGGTTGGTTTAGTGAATTATTACAACTGAACAAGGAAAGTTCAGTTCATTAAGCATTCAGCAAGATAAATATGCGTTAAACTTACAGAATAGTTTCTCTAAGCTAGGGGTGATTAAAATCAAACAGTGGGAGCCAGCATGCCAGCCGATTTGGGTTGGGTAACCTTGGAAATAAAGTTTCCTGGATGTCAGGGTCTCCATGGACGATCCAGAGCCCTGCTCACCTCCCTCACTCTACTTTCTTTTTGTCTGTCTTCAGATGGAAAATCCCCACTCACTGCTCACGATGCCAGACACACCAAGGCTATTTGCCTATGAGAATGTTATCTAGACAGCAGTGCACTCCCCTAAGTCTCTGCTCAAAAAAAAAACAATTCTCGGCCCAAAGAAAACAATCAGAAGAATTCACTGATTTGACTAGAAACATCAAGGAAGAATGAAGAACGTTGACTTTTTTCCAGGATAAATTATCTCTGATGCTTCTTTAGATTTAAGAGTTCATAATTCCATCCACTGCTGAGAAATCTCCTCAAACCCAGAAGGTTTAATCACTTCATCCCAAAAATGGGATTGTGAATGTCAGCAAACCATAAAAAAAGTGCTTAGAAGTATTCCTATAAAAATGTAAATGCAAGGTCACACATATTAATGACAGCCTGTTGTATTAATGATGGCTCCAGGTCAGTGTCTGGAGTTTCATTCCATCCCAGGGCTTGGATGTCAGGATTATACCAAGAGTCTTGCTACCAGGAGGGCAAGAAGACCAAAACAGACAGACAAGTCCAGCAGAAGCAGATGCACCTGACAAAAATGGATGTATTAATTGGCTCTATAAACTATGTGCCCAGCACTATGCTGAGCTTACACTAATTGGTCAGACATGCTGTCTGCCCTCATGAAATTGGCTCCAAATGAATGAACTACTTTCATGAGCAGTTGTAGCAGGCCTGACCACAGATTCCCAGAGGGCCAGGTGTGGATCCACAGGACTTGAAGGTCAAAGTTCACAAAGATGAAGAATCAGGGTAGCTGACCATGTTTGGCAGATACTATAATGGAGACACAGAAGTGTGCATGGCCCAAGGACAAGGACCTCCAGCCAGGCTTCATTTATGCACTTGTGCTGCAAAAGAAAAGTCTAGGTTTTAAGGCTGTGCCAGAACCCATCCCAATAAAGAGACCGAGTCTGAAGTCACATTGTAAATCTAGTGTAGGAGACTTGGAGTCAGGCAGTGAGACTGGTGGGGCACGGGGGGCAGTGGGTACTTGTAAACCTTTAAAGATGGTTAATTCATTCAATAGATATTTATTAAGAACCTATGCGGCCCGGCATGGTGGCTCACACCTGTAATCCCAGCACTTTGGGAGGCCAAGGTGGGTGGGTCATCTGAGGTCAGGAGTTCAAGACCAGCCTGGCCAACATGGTGAAACCCCATCTCTACTAAAGATACAAAAATTTGCTGAGCGTGGTGGTGTGCACCTGTAATCCCAGCTACTCGAGAGGCCAAGGCATGAGAATCGCTTGAACCTGGGAGGTGGAGGTTGCAGTGAGCTGAGATGGCACCACTGCACTCCGGCCTAGGCAACGAGAGCAAAACTCCAATACAAACAAACAAACAAACACCTGTGCTAGGTCAGTCTGGCACGTAAGATGAACATCCCTACCAATACAGAGCTCACCATCTCTTATACTTAAGTGAAAAACATGGGGAAGGGGAAAGGGGAATGGCTGCTTTTGAT
Organism: Homo sapiens; assembly: GCF_000001405.40. NCBI lineage: Eukaryota > Metazoa > Chordata > Mammalia > Primates > Hominidae > Homo > Homo sapiens. Next base: position 160,754,587 of record NC_000001.11, read on the forward strand.
ATGTTCCCTGACACATATCTTGAATGGAGACCTCCCTACCAAGTGATGAAAGTGTTGAAAAACTTAATAACAAATGCTTGTTGGGCAAGAATGGGATTGAGGATTATCTTCTCTCAGAAAGGCATTGTGAAGGAATTGAGCCAGATCTCTCTCCCTACTGCAAAACCCTATTGTAGTAAAAAAGTCTTCTTTACTATCTTAATAAAACAGATATTGTGAGATTCACATACAAAAAGATGCATTATTTTGCTATTTGCAATAGTGAAATTCTGGAAACTGCCAAAGAAACTGACCACCACAGGTGAAGGTCTGTTCATACATAGACATTAAGAATTATGGGTTAGGCCGGGAGCAGTGGCTCACGCCTGTAATCCCAGCACTTTGGGAGGCCGAGGCAGGTGGATTACTTGAGGTCAGGAGTTCAAGAACAGCCTGGCCAACATGATGAAACCCCGTCTCTACTAAAAATACAAAAAATATTAGCCGGGCATGGTGGTGAGCCCCTGTAATCCCAGCTTCTTGGGAGGCAGAGGGAGGAGAATTGCTTGAACCCAGGACGGGGAGGTTGCAGTGAGCCAAGATCGCGCCACTGCACTCCAGCCTAGGCGACAGAGCAAGACTCCATCTCAAAAAAAGAATTATGGGTTATACTCAGCATCATGAAATATACCTGTGTAACCTACACATGTAGCTTCTGAATCAAAAATAAAATTAAAAATAACAAATTTTTAGCATGTGCCTGTGGTCCCAGCTACTTGGGAGGCTGAGGCAGGAGGATCTCTTGAACCCGGGAGGTGGAGGTTGCAGTGAGCCGAGATCGCACCACTGCACTCCAGCCTGGATGATAGAGTGAGATTCTGTCTCAAAAAAAAAAAAAAATTGTTTAAAAAAAACTATGGGTTGGCCAGGAGTGGTGGCTCATGTCGGTAATCCCAGCACTTTGGGAGGCTGAAGTAGGAGGATCACTTGACCTCAGGAGTTCAAGACCACCCTAGGCAACTTAGCAAAGCCCCATCTCTACAAAAAAATACAAAAATTAGCCAGGCATGGTGGTGCATGCCTGTAGTCCCAGCTACTCAGGAAGGAGCTGAAGAGGGAGGGTCGCTTGAGCCTGGTAGGTTGAGGCTGCAGTGAGCTATAATTGTGCTACTGCACTCCAGCCTGGGCAACAGAGTGAGACTCTGACTCACAAAACAACAACAACACAACAACTATGGGTTTTCAAGTTAGAAAATGTTATGACATCACAAATATAAAAAGTAGAATGCAAATTTAATGTGCTATATGATTACAGCTGTGTTTTAGAAAAAATCTCTACAGGGAAAAATTTGGAAGAAAAAACATCAAAATAGTAACACCAGTTGTTTAGGGAGGGTGAAAGCTTAGGTGGCTTGGTTTTTTCCTATTTTCATTCATTTTCTGAATATTCCTCAATGAGAAAGTATGTATTGCATAATAGAGTAGAGGAAATTTTAAATAGGTGCTCAGTGAGAAAAACGAGGCACTACTCACTACGTGGGGTTGAGGGGAAAGTCTGAGACCCTCATGGTAAGGGTGTGGGGGAGGATGGAAAGACCTCCTCGAGTGAGAATGGGTGGGGAGAAAGGAGAAACCCTCCACATAATGACAGAGGAGAAGATGACTTTCCCTCAGAGAGGGCTGCTGGAGGCTGAGGGGAGCTTCACAGTGTGTGAAGACAGAGGCGTGGAGAGGGGGATGCTGGGACTGAGGATGCATCTGTTCTGCCTTCCCCTCTCTCCTCAGAACCCATTCAGATGATAAATAATTAGGGTTAATCATACTTTGGGGTTTTTTAAACCAGTGACTGAAACAGGACCTAGGGAGACCAATAGATCTGGTCTCTGGACACTCAATAAATTCTGTCCCAAAGCTAGTTGCAGAAAGAAGCTTCCCCTCATGAGTTCAACCAGTAGGCAAAGGAAACCACCAGCTCTTCAGGGTGAGAAGTCACACCACCTCATAGCCCCATTACATGCAGCCTCCAGAACTGTGTGGTTTGCAACTTGTGAGGTGCAAATAACAAATTCGTAAACATTGAAACCTTGGTGGAAAGTAAAGAAGGTATCTGTACCATTTCAGTAAGGCTTTCACTCATTCATTTGATCATGTATGCATTCATTCATTTATTCATTCAGCAGTACTTATTGAGCACCAGTAAGTGCTGGACATTATGCTGAACTCAGGGAATACAGCAGTGGGCCACAACAGAGGTCTCTGCCCTCAGGGTGCTTACATTCTAATGACAGAGGCCAACACTCAAATATCCTTTAAATAACATGGTTGCAGTGATGACTGCTATGAAAGAGAGGTGTGTGGAGCCAAGAATGGCAAATTTTCCTGTGGTCAGAGACAGTATCTCCAAAGTGATGAAGACTGAGCTGAGATCGGAAGATGAGTAGGAGCTACTTACAAGAAGTGGGAAGGGAAAATAAAACCCTTCTAGCCAGAGGTGCAAAGGCCTTGTGGTGAGAGGACCTAAAAGAACGAAAGTCAGTGTGGCCAGCAGAGAGAGTTGCACTTTTAAAATTTCATTAGTTGCAGTATGGGAAACAGATTGTAGGGGGTCAAGACTGGATGTAGGCAAACTGAGTCAGAAGGCTCTTACCGTTATCCAGGAGAGAGGTGATGGTAGGTTGGACAAGCATAGTAGGATGCAGAGAGAGGGAAGGATGCTCTCAAGAGGTATCTAAGGGATAAGGAGGTTCCTGCTTTCAGTACTGTCTTGGGAATGTGTGCTGATCTGGAAAAGGAGGTGGGAAGATGGGCCTTTGCTTTTGATAGCCTCTTGGGACTAGAAGGACAAAGTTTGGAGTCTGGGGCTACCAAGGTTAGAGAACTGGTAAATCCCTCATCTTTTTGACTTGGGACCCCAAAAGACTTACCCTAGGAGACTTATCCTTCTTGTAAACAAGAAGTACACCAGTTTTAATTCATCTATGGGGCCAAGAAAATCTCAAAACTGGTATTAGATTAAAGAGATCCAAGCTTACGAGTGCCCACAAGTACCTTACAGAAGCAAACAAAGACCATCACTAAAAGAAAATAACATTCTTAGGCCTCACAATTTTCCTACAAATAATTTTTCATAAGCAATGTTCATCATATGTTCAGAGATATCCAGGCCCATGAGGAGGATCCAGGCCCATGGGGATCATCCTCCTCCATGAGGAGACCCATGAGCAAGACCCTCCTGGTGGGGACAGCCTATCACAGACTGCAGCCCAGGATGCAGCCCGGCCCACCTCCCTCTCATTTCATCCCAAGAAGATGGAAGGAGGAACTTCCAGCCTCCTCAGTTCATGTACTTGTAGACAGACTTTAAAGATGTTTGGAGTTCTGACTATAGTCCTAAGCATACTCTTTATTGCAATCTGTCAAGAACATAGCCAGCAACAGGGAAGAGTTGATAAACCATAACATGATCATTTATAATATTTAATGTTTAGTACAGTCACAATTGCCAATCATTGTTCTAAATAATACATATATATATGTGTGCATGTATATACATATGTACATTTATTTAATCTTCATAACAAACATAACCATTTTATAGATGAGGTAGTTGAGACCAAGATTGTCTTTTGTCTAATTGGGTTTTGTGGGTTGTTTTGTTTTGTTTTGTTTTGTTTTGTTTTGTTCGGCTCATATGTATTACTGCTCTAGGCAGTATTAATTAATTGATTAATTTATTTAAAATTTATTATTTTAAAATAAATGCTGGTACTGCTTGTCTTTACTAATTATAAAAGTTATTTTTTCCTGCAATTAAAACTTATTATGCGTCTACAATGTGCTCCCCATACTTCTAAGAGCTCACAATCAAGTGGGAGACAGGGATATCAACAGACATTACAAGTTAAAATGGTAGGTAAGAAAATAAAGGCATATAAGACATATAGGGGGTTGTATTACTCATGGTTTTCCTGAGAAATAGAACCAATAGATTATTTGTAAATATATATAAAAGGAGACTTATTATAGGAATTGGCTCACGCATTAGGAAGGCCAAGAGGTCTCATGATCTTCTGTCTGCGGCTGGAGAACCAAGAAAGCCTGAGGAGTAATTCAGTTCATGACTTGGAAGGCCTGAGAATTGGGGAGCCAAAGGTGTAACTCTCAATATGACCCAGAAAGCCAGAGAAATGAGACTACCAGTGCCCAAGGGCAGAAGAAAAATGCATGTCTCAGCTCAAGCAGAGAGACCAAATTTGCTCTTTCTCTGTTTTTGTTTTTTTGGGGGTTTTTTTTGTTTGTTTGTTTGTTTGTTTTACCTTTTTGTTTTGTTTTGTTTGACATGGAGTTGTATGTTGCCCAGGCTGGCCTCAAACTCCTGAGCTCAGGTGATCCTCCTGCCTCAGCCTCCCAAGTGGCTGGGATTACAAGTGTGCACCACTGCATCTGGCCTTCCTCTGCCTTTTTTGTTCTATTTAGGCCCTCAACTGATTGGGTGGTGCTCACCCACATTGGTAAGGGTGATCTTTACTCAGTCTACTGATTCAAAAATAAATCTCTTCTGGAAACATCATCATAGACACACCCAGAAATAATATTTTACCAATTATCTGAGCATCCCTTAACCCAGTCAAGTTGACACATGAAATTCATCATCACGAGTCCACCCCTTGTCAATTTGGCACCCATACCAATCTCCTAAAACTCATACTTAATCTCCAAATAAAGAGAATAACAAGGCCATAATTCAATCTAGCATGATACAACAATCTTGCATGCAACTGAAAACACACTAGCCTCTTCCCCAGAAGAAGAGGTAAAGTCTTTGAGTAATATTTACTCTTCTCCTGATAGCTGTAACTTAAATATTATGACGTAAAATTAACAATACTTAAATACTGATATAAATTTAATACATCTTGTGTTACATGATAAGAAAAGATGACAGGAAAGAAAGCAAATATATTTGCCTAACATACATACACATAATTGTATTCATAACAAAATAAGGAGGAAATATCCATGACAATTACAGTCCTTATTTCTGTAACTGGTCATATGGTTGTAGCTGAAATTTACAATTACCTTTTTCTACTACACATTCTGTATTTCCTTTAACTTCAGCAAGCACCTCAACTGGTTTTTGTTCTTTACCTGGTAGGGTGACCCATACCTTCATTCCTGAAGGGCCTGGGCCATTAGCAGTTCTGCCTGCATTGGATTGTCATAGTTTTCCTTTGAACTTAATCACAGGGCATGATAATACTAAGAGATGCCCCTAAGGGAGCTCTTTGTATTCCAGACCCTTACCTGCTATTGTGAAATACTAGACTAGTTTCTCCCTTGGCAGTCAGGATCAGTATCCCAGCCAACACCAAAATTCCCTTCTTTGCCTGTTGATTCAGAGGAATGAGGAGGCCAAAGTACTCAGGTGGCAGCCTTGACTCCCAGTTCAGTGGAATCACTGTTGTGTCTCCTAGTGGAAGCATTCCTCCCTCTGTAGCTAAGACATTGAGGCCAGCAAAACACAAAGTTGCAAGAACAGGAAGCAAAATTTTTGCTAGTGGGTCACTAGGGGGTAATAGTGGGTGGTGCCACTCCTGTTGCCATCTCCTAGATTCCACAACCCATGAATACTGGCTATTGGAAGAAAGAGCACTATATGTTGAACACTGATTCCAAGCATAGACACAACCTTCTGGAGAACCTTGCCCTAGTCCCTCAAGGTATGTGATGGTCTAAAGGTTGGTATCCCAGCGAAATTCATATTTGGGACCTATTGCCCAATATGATAGTATTAAGTGGTAGAACCTTTAGGAAGTGATTAGGTCACCAGGGATCTAGCCTCATGAATGGGATTAGTGCCTGTAGGAAAGAGGCTTGAGAAGGCCAGTTGGTCCCTTTCACCATGTGAGAACACAGCAACAAGGGGCCATCTATGAAGCAGAGAGCCCTCATCAGACACTGAATCTATTGGTATATTGATCTTGGACTTCCCAGCCTCCAAAACTGTGAGCAATAAATTTCTGTTGTTAATAAATTACTCAGTCTAAGACATTATGTTATAGCATTAAGAACAAATGAAAACAATATTGCCACCTAGCTCATGCTGTAACTGAGTCTTCCAAAGCCCATTCCACTGTTCTATTAGGCCAACTGCTTCAGAATGATGATAAGCATGGCAAGACTAGAGAATTCTAGGAACATGGGCCCATTGCCACAATCTTTTGCTGTGTAATGAGTTCTTTGATCAGCAGCAATACTGTGTGGAATATTATAATGGTGGATAAGACATTCTGTAAGTTCACAGATGGTAGTTTTGGCAGAAGCATTGCATGCAAGGAAGGCAAATCCATATCTAGATTAAGTGTCTATTACAGTAAGGACAAAACACTGCCCCATGATGGAAGAGGTCCAATGTATTCAACCTGCCACAGGGTAACTGACTTATCAACTTGGAGCATGGTGCCATATTGGGGTCCTAGTGTTGGTCTGTGCTACTGACAGAGAACACAGCCAGTGGCCATTGCCAGGTAAGCTTTGGTAAGTGGGAGCTCATGTTGCTGAGCTCATGAAAAACCCCATCCCCGCCACCATGGCCACTTTTTTTATGAGCCCGTTGGGGTGGCTGGGGAAAGAGGCTGACTGGTATCCATAAAATGAGTCATCCTATCCACTTGATTATTGTAATCATCCTCTGCTGAGGTCACCCTTTGGTAAGTACTCACATTGGACACAAATATCGTCACTCCTTTTGCACATTCAGAGAGATCTATCTAGATACCTATTCCCCAAATTTCTTTGTCACCAACTTTCCAGTCATGACCCTTCCAAGTTCCTGCCCACTCCGCCAAAGTGTTGGCTACTGTCCATGAATCAGTATATAATTATATATCTGGCCATATCTTCTTCCAAGCAAAGTACACAACCAGGTGCACTGTTCAAGTCTGGCACACTTGGGAGGATCTTCCTTTACCACTGTCCTTCAGGGATATCCCAGAAAAAGGCTGCAGTGCTACAGCTGTCCACTTTCAGATGGTGCTTGCATGTCATGCAGGACCATCTGTATTCCAGGTCTGAGTCTTCTCCAATCTTCTCTCCTCTGTAAATTAAGAATATGGAACTACCCATGAGACCATAGATTCAGACTGCAAGAGAGAAAGTAGTGTAGCAGGAATGGGGACCATGGGTATTTAGGCCACTTCTTTATGTAATTTACTTGTACCTTCAGGGGCTGCTTGGCCTCATTATGTATATAACTCTTCCATCTGATGATGGACTATTGCTGTGTATGCCAAAATTTATGGCTTAGGGGATCAGATAATACCCAGTTTAAGATGGGCAGCTCAGGATCATACGGTAATTTGGTCAAACATTCAGTCTCTACTAAGGCCCAGTAATAGGCCAAGTGCTCTTTCTCAAAAGGAGAGTAGTTATCTGCAGCTGACTCCAGGGCATTGCTCCAAAATCCTAAAGGCCTGTGCTATGATTCACCTACAGAGGCCTGACAAAGGCTCCAAACAATACCCCTGTCTGCTGCTGACACTTCAAGCACCATTGGATCTGCTGGAGCATGTGGCCTAAGTGGTAAAACAGCTTACACAGCAGCCTAGACCCATTGCAGAGCCTTCTCTTGTTCTGGGCCCCACCCAAAACTGGAAGCTTTTTTGATCACTAGGTAAATGGGCCAGAATGAGGAATATGTTGTCTCAAAAATCCGAAGTGGATCACTCGGCATTGTGCCACTTTCTTGGTTCCAGGAGGGTCCAGATATAACAAGTTATCTTTCACCTTAGAAGGGATAGCTCTGTCTGCCCCATATTGCTGAACCCCTAGAAATTTCACTGAGGTAGAAGACCCCTGAATTTTAGTCAGATTTATCTCCCACCCTCTGACATGCAGAGGTCTTACCAATAAGTCTAGACTAGATACCACTTCTCACTCACTAGGTCAAATCAGCATAATGTCATGAATGCAACTGACCAGTGTCATATCCTGTGGAAGGGAAAGGTGATCAAGATTCCCTTAAATATGATTATAACACAGGGCCACAGAGTTGATATTCCCCCAAGGTAGGATATTGAAGGTATACTGCTAGCCTTGTTAGCTAAAAGCCTACTGTTTCTGGTGGGTCTTATGGATAAGAATGAAGAAAAAGGCATTTGCCTTAAGAAAATAAAAAAAGGTATTTGTCAATTTAAAAACAAAAGCTACATACTAGATACCAAGGAGTATGTTAATTACTCAAACAGTAAAACCACATCTGGTATGGCAGCTGCAACTGGAGTGACCACCTAGTTAAACCTATGATTATCCACTGTCATTCTCCAAGATTCATCTGTTTTTTGCACAGGCCAAATAGGAGAGCAACGAGGATGTAGTGGGAATCACCACCACCCCTGCATATTCCAAGTCCTCAGTGATGGCACCTGTCTCTGCAATCCCTCCAGGGATGTGGTACTGCTTTTGATTTACTATTTTCCTAGGTACACCCATTTCTAATGGCTTCCACTTTGTCTTTCCCACCGTAACAGCCCTCACTCCGTAGGTCAGGGAACCAATGTGGGGACTCTGCCAGCTGCTCAGTGTGTCTATTCCACTTATGCATTCAGGAACTAGGAAAATAACAACAGAATAGGCTCAGGGACCCACTGGACCCACTGGGAAATGGATCTGAGCTAAAACACACTTGACCTCCATAAGCCCCTACTCTGATCGAAGGGCCACAGTGATGTTTTGGTCTTCTGAAATCAGTGTCAGTTCAGGGCCAGTGTCCAATAGTTCTCAAAAGATCTGACTATTTCCTTTTCCCCCATGCACTGTTACCATAGTTAAAGGCTATAGGTCCTTTTGGAGAAGGCTGGGAGAAAGATTAACAATATGAATACTCTGTTGTATACCAGGGTCCTTCCTCCAGAGAACTCGGTCTCCCCCTTATTCAAGAGGTTTTGGATCTGTAAACTGGCTCAAGTCTAGGAATTGATTCAGGGACTGTGACTGTTTTTATGAATTGAGTTAAACTTTTGTTCACTTGATCTAAATTTTTTTTTCTTATACAAATCAAGTAAGAATTTAGTAGGCTTCCTATCTGTTTTTCTTCTGGGAACACCATCATTACCTCATTAGTGCCACAGGTCTGCACAAGTCAGACTATTCTGATTGCTGCTTTGACTCTGCTGTCTATTATGGTAACTACTCCCATTTTGCCTTTGGCGGTTCAATACCACACTTGGCTCCTGCCACCTAAGGTCCAATTATTCCCATTGTGTTTAGGTTTTCCAGTTGAGTGGCTGTGGTTCCCACTGTAAGATGTAATCAAAGTGAAGAGTGATCGTGGAGCTCTCCAAGGATGCTGGGGCTCCCCTCATAAATTTATTTCTCATAATGTGTAAAAGTTACGTCTTCTGGATACTCCCAGTGTGGGTGAGTAAGTCTTAAATAATATATTCATTCTAACATTCGAATCTCTCAAAGTCTCTGATCCTTTTCTCTACACTAAACAAGGGAGGTCAGGCATTTCCATTTCTTACGGTGGGTAAATTTTGGTCCGTGATTTCAATCTACCAGACAACCTCTTGGGCCCTTTCAAACATCATGAGCTGCAACACTAAATGTAGAATCTCTGCTCAGTCAGCATATTAACTAATAAATAAAGTGAGACCCAACTTTATGTTCCTTCTACCATTACCCCACACCCTTATTATCCATTCCCACAGGTTTCCCAGATTTTTGTTTATATAAGTTAGAAAACTCATGTAGTTCTTTTGGAATATAGTGCACCTCCTCATGGGTCCCACTTTGTACCTCATCTTTAGGGGCCTCCTGGGACTTGAGTTTAGTTATAGGTCTCAAAGCAAAGAGGGGTGGGGAGAGTGGGTCCGGAATCAGTAGTGTTTTGCATGGTAATTGCCTTAGGGGAAGGCATTACTCTTTTCTTTGGCAATGTGGCACCTCAGAAGGAGGTGGAAAGACCAAGACCACTGTGGGTGGGGAGGCTACTTTCACTGGGGATGAAGGAGGACTTTTCCACTGGCAAAGAAGGTTCATAAGCATATAGGGGCTGAATATCCCCAGCTCTATCATGGTATTCCCAATGTCTCTTTCTCAGCTTACAGGATATCATTCTTTCCCAATGAATGCCATCGCTTTAACAGTAGACACCCTGCAAGTTTGGGAGTTCAACTTGTATTGTAATTCAGCCAATCACAGGATGAGGTTCTGCATTTGGTTTTCAGCCTCTCAGCTATAGGAGATAAGTCTCTTCTTCAGGGCACACTACAAGCTTTTAGGTCATTTATGCCATGCTCCAGTTGGGATATATATATATATATATATTTTTTTTTTTTTTTTTTTTTTGAGATGGAGTCTCGCTCTGTCACCCAGGCTGGAGTGCAGTGGTGCCATCTCAGCTCACTGCAACCTCTGCCTCCCAGGTTCAAGCAATTCTCTTGTCTCAGCCTCCCAAGTAGCTGGGACTACAGGTGCCCGCCACCACACCCAGCTAATTTTTGTATTTTTAGTAGAGACGGGCTTTCACCATGTTGGCCAGGCTGGTCTCGAACTCCTAACCTCAGGTGATCCATCCACCTCGGCCTCCCAAAGTGCTGGGATTACAGGGGTGAGCCACTGGGCCCAGCCTCCAGTGGGGAATTTAAATCCCCAAGCTCATCCCTTTCTTTCACCACTTTGTCCATTGATATTAGGAGAAACCAACCAATGTCATTGTGTTCTCTTATTTTCTAAAAATGTTTAAAAGTATCATATACAGAGTAAATGAGCTCCTTGCTTCATATAAGTGATTAGATATAAGTTGATTAGAAGTATTCAGTGCAGATATTTTTCCTATCTCTATATAAATAGTGTATGTCACAGACTATCACTGCTTTCCTTACTACTAGAAATAGTCATTAGTATCTTTAAATCTAATCAGATTGGAGAGCCAATTCCAGAGACTCCAGAGCCAATTCAGAATAACCATTCTTAAAATTGTTTCCTGTAGAACCACTCTCAGTACCAAACTCTATATTAGCCAGGGTTCTCCAGAGAAACAGAACCAATAGGATGGAGATATATGCATGTATAAAGATTTATTATAGGCATTGCCTCATACAGTTATGGAAGTCAAGGAGGTCCCATGATCTGCTGTCTACAAGCCAGAGAACCAGGATAGCCAGTCGTATAATTCCGTTTAAGCCTGAAGACCTTAGAATTAGGAGGCCAGTGGTATAAGCCTCAGTCTGAGTCCAAAAGTCCAAGAACCAGGATTGTCAATGTCTGAGGGGAGGAGAAGATGGATGTCTCAACTCAAGCAAAGAAACTAATTTCCTTCCATCCTTCACCTTTCTGTTTTTATTTTATTTTTTAATTTTTATTTTAGGTTCAGGGGTATATACGCAGATGTGTTATGTAGGTAAACTCGTGTCATGGGGATTTGTCAGGTAGATTATTTCATCTCCCGGATACTAAGCCTACTATTCAATCATTATTTTTTCTGCTCCTCTCCCTCTTCCCACCCTCCACCCTCAAGTAGGCCCCAGTGTCTGTTGTTCCCTTCTTTGTGTCCATGAGTTATCACTTAGCTTCCACTTATAAGTGAGAACATGCAGTATTTGGTTTTCTGTTCCTGTGTTAGTTTGCTAAGGATAATGGCCTCCAGCACCATCCATGTTCCCGCAGAAAACATGATCCCATTCTTTTTTATAGCTGCATAGTATTCCATGGTATGTATATATTTTTAATTGACAAATGATAATTGTACATATTCTTGGAGTACATAGTGATGTTTAGAGCCATATAATTTGTAGTGATAACATAAGGGTAATTAACATACTTGTCATCTCAAACATTTATCATTTCTTTGTGTTGGGAACATTCAATGTCCTCCTTCTAGTTATCTAAAACTGTACATTATTGTTAACTGTAGTCATCCTAGAGTGGTATAGAACACTATAACTTATTCCTCTTATTCCTCCTATCTAGCTATAATTTTGTAATCTTTAACAAGTCCTTCCTTATCCCTCCTCTCTGCGTTTTTGTTCTATTCAGGTCCTCGATAGATGTGTGATGCCTGCCCTCATTGGTGAGGGCAATCTTCTTTACTTCATCTACTGATTCCAATGCTGATGACCTCTGAAAACACCCAGCAACAATATTTTATCTGGTATCTGAGCATCCCTTAGCCCAGTCAAGTTGACACATAAAATTTACCATGACAAGGACCAAGAGTTGTTTTCCCTCTGCCAAGGTAGATCCTGTATAAGGCAGGGACAGCCGCATGGGATAGCTTCCAGAAGGGACAATCCTGGAGCTGAGTTAGTCTGGGAAGAAAGCAAACAAGATGAGGACAGGGAGAGATGAAGGTGAGGCCCAGAGGCTAACCACTAAGATCTCCACTTCAAAGATGGGCAGACAGCAAGGCAAGTGGTTGAGGCAGTTAAGAGGAGACATTGGTGTGGATCCTGGCTCTACTTTAGGGCTGAGGCTACCTAAAGTTTTTGCTTTTGCTCTTCCATGCATACCACCTCCATCCCAAACAAGGCAGAATAAAAAACCAGGGGTGAGCTGGCTTAGAGCACCAGGAAAACGAAAGGAAAGGATGTGTAATTAAAAAGGGGAAAAAGAAGAAAAAACCCATGCTACCCACAGTGGTTAGTCACTAATCTGCATTACTTTCACCACACTGAAAACTTGGAGAGGAGAGAGGAAGAGATACAGAGAGGGGAGGGGGGAGAGAGAGAGAGAGAGAGAGAGAGAGAGAGAGAAAGAGATAGAGAAAGAGAGAGAGAAAGAGAAAAGCAACTCTGGACGTCATGTATCTTCTCTTAGTCCTATGACCATGAGCAAAATGCTTAGTTTCTTGGAACCTCAGTTTTCTCTTCTATAAAATGTGAAAGATACTTTCTACCTCATAGGATTGTAGTGAGATTAAAGGTAAAGATAATCATACACGTAAAGTGTTCAGCAGAGTATAACATCACAGTCCTTCGACAGAAGTTACCTCATCATAAAGAGACTACTGGCTAATTATATAGATTCCATTCAGAACTGAGCCTCTAGAACTTTAAGTATAAAGAGTAACTGAAGACCTGAGAATAGCAGTTAATCATATCATTATAAAGTTGAGGCATATAATAAGAGGCAGCTGACCAGTGCTCACAGATCAAGCAAAGTAGCAAACACTCCCCTCTGTGTCATTCACTCATTCACGCCACCCTTACAGAAGGCTTGTCAGCTATAAGGCTCTGAGCTGTTCCTCCCCTCACTCCTCCGGTGCTCTTTCTAGCTCCTCCTCTTTGCTGTGTTCTCCATGTTCCCTCCCAGTCACTTGCATGCTGGGACCTGTGCATCTCCCCAGGAGCAGAAGCAAGCCTTGCTGAGTCAGGCTGCTAAACGGACTTTCTGGTTCTGGAGGTTCTGCAGGCCCAACTGTCCTGTGGGTACAACTCTGCCTGTCTCCTCCTGGTCAGTTAGGGACCTAGCACAATCCCTCTGATTGCTTGGCTCTGTGGAGAGCCTGTTCCCTGCTCCCATCTCACTTGGACCCAGTGAATTTCATTCATTTCCTGCTTTGCCTGGTCCCTGGATCTGTCTGATGCCTACTGGTCAAGCCCTGGTCTGACTTCCTACCCAGCCTCATACCCTCCAATCCAGGCAGCCTCCTCGCCACTATGACAACCGTAGGGTCTGGAAGGCCCCATGGGAATGTAAGCTTCATAAACGGAGGGAATTTTTGTCTGTTTCCTTCACTTTTCTCTTCCCAGACCTAAATCAGTCCCAAACATCTATTTAAAACTTACACAGAGAATTTTGGAGCTGGAAGAGACTCTAAGGATCATGTAGTCTAACTCCCTCATCTCAGAGAGAGAAAATGAAAGCAAGGTCACAATGCAGGCTGATGGTGACAGGATCCTCCAAGCCACACAGCAAGCCCTGGGTTAGCTCACTGCTGCCTCCTCTTGGCCCAGCTGGCAAACCATGCACATATTCAGCAATTTTACTAGTCTGTTTCTTGTTTTGTTGTCTGTTTTTCAATAAAATATAGAACCTTATGAAAATACCTGCACATTAAGCTTCATGAACACTGAGGAAAACACACAGTATTTCCTCTTCTTCTTCTTCTTCTTTTTTTTTTTTTTTTGAGATGGAGTCTCACTCTGTTGCCCAGGCAGGAGTGCAGTGGTGCAATCTTGGCTCACTGCAACCTTCATCTCCTAGGTTCAAGCAATTCTCCTCCCTTAGCCTCCTGAGTAGCTGAGGAGCTGGGATTACAGGTGTGCACCACTACACCCAGCTAAATTTTGTATTTTTAGTAGAAATGGGATTTCACCATGTTGGCCAGCTGGTCTCAAACTTCTGACCTCAGGGGATCCACCTGCCTCAGCCTCCCAAAGTGCTGGGATTACAGGCATGAGCCACCGCACCCGGCCTTACACACAGTATTTCTGTAGAGTAAAACTGTTGAATGGAATCTGCTTCTTAAAGTCTTCTAAGGGAAGAATATTGAGGTAACATAATCTGAATGAGAGTCTAAAAAGAATACAAGGAAAAGAATAGCTTAGAAGGCAAAATATAAGGCTGTATGAATAGAAAGGAAATAGATACCCCTGAATTTTGTGTCCATTTTTCAATTTCCTTATTGCTTCGAAATTTAAAATAAACATCAGCAGGGATGTGAACTCTCCCTAGCCAAACCCAGAACTGTGGGAAAGGCAAACAGCAATGGATAGGTTGCTTCTCTCACAGAGACTTTCATTCATTCATTCTGTTTTTGTTTTTGTTTTACATTCACTTACTCTGTAAGACAAAGTAGCAAACATAAGAGGCCATGTTTGCTCATTCAGCTGCCAGCAGAATTTCACAAAGCCCCTGACTCAGTGACTGAGGACAGCCCTTCGGAAGGATGCCCTGAAGATGATAAGAAGGATGGAGCCCAGGTTACCACATCTCTTACCTAAATCACTGCATTTTTAGAAAAGATAAATTCAATGATCCTGGCCTTTGTCTTTTTGCTGTACATAAGATAATGGTTGACAGGATTAATCATTATGCCTCTGTAATCTATAACTAGATGTACCCTTGCACCCAAACTTTGGTGAAATTTTGCTCTTACATAACTTTTGAGCACAGGCAGAATGACTGTCACCTTATGTATAAGCTGTAGGCTGAAACACTGCTTTGGAGCAGTCTAACAGAAACTCTCCGAAAGACTCTCCTGGGTTGCCAACCTCAGTAAGACTAAATAAAACTCACTTTAATTCTTTAAAAACTTGGCTTTTCTTTAGTTGACAAGTGTTTCAGCAAGTATTTAGTGAGCACCAACTATGTGCTATGGCCAAGAAGCAGGGATGGATAAAGCATGACCCCTAACTTCAAAGAGCTCACAACCGATGGAAAAACAAATGGGTCAAGAAGCAACTTGACACAGATTGAGCCAGATGGAGAAAGGTCAATGAGTCCCCTCGAGGAGAAAGAAAAGCAAGGTCATAACACAGAGACATGTGTAGTGACCGTGGGGCTTTAATGGCTGTACTTTGGGGTGTGGAGAGAGTGGGTAAAACTACAGAGATGCCAGATTGTAGCAATCTGTTTACTTTTCGGCTAAGAAAAATGAAGGGGGCTTTTCCAACAATTTGTTTTTGCATAGTCTGAACTGTCAACTTACTCTTTCATAGGGTGGTAATCGATCTGCTCCTAAGGGTCATTAGTCGTTTCCTCCTCTTTCAACCTGTTCTCACCTCCTCCTGTCACACAGCAAGGGCATCTGGCAGCACCAAGGCAGGAAGCCTTCAGATACATACAGTTCATACTTCACACCTAAAACAATTTCCAGTAGACACTCACTTCCCTGGCTTTTTGTGGGTAAGTGGCAGGATTTGAGCTCTTCTCTTCTAGTGCAATCTCAGAGCTTTCAGTATCTTGGGACCTTTTCCAGCAGGCATTAGCTTCTCTATCTTGGGACCCTTTCCAGCAGGCATTAGCTTCTCATTTTGCTACCCCGAAGTTAGGGGCCAGGAGATGAAGCATTCCACTCCTACAAAATGCTGGTGACTTGAAGAGCTCAAAAACAGGCATTGTACTAATTCTTCCTTCTCCTTCACATTCAGACGGCAGGCTGCCGCCCAAGAGTTAAGGGGTTCTGGTTCTCTTCAGACGCAAAGAGTGAATAGTGCTCTGTGGCAGAGGTTTGTATTTATACGTCTATGCCTTTAACAATGGTGCATTTGCTCTCAGGATCATGCTACCTGGAGTCCCTGAATGACAGTTGTCTGGAATAACAAGCAAGATCACTGACAGCCCCAGAACTGCTTCCCTAGCTATGAAATTTTGTTATATCTGTAAATAAGCATAAATATTAACTAGTCAGTAATGTTGAATTTTGTTGAATGTATAATTGGACCTAGATTTGGAGAAAAGATATTCAACTCTAATTTTGTTTCAACTAAAATTTGACTGATTAGTCTCTGCCTCTTTGTTTAAACCATTCACTCTTCCTGTAGAACCCCGTGGCCCATTAAAATCCTCCCATTTCCACCCAGTCAAGTTCCTAGACCTTTGAGTTCTCTTTTTGGTTATTGTTCTTCATCTCTTGGTGCATGTGCTTTCTAATATTTTAATTTTTTTCAAAATACTACATATATATAGTTATAAAATTCAACTAATAGCATAAGACATAATAAATTTTGAAAAAAAAAAAAGCAGCAGTCTTCTGCCACACTACACCCAGAACTGCTGTTCTGGCAACTGTTGTGCTGGCAACCACTGTCAATTATTTGTTTTTTCTCATGATACTTCCTTGATATTTAGAAATGATATATTTGTTCTGTCCTTTCTTGATTTTAGACATTAGTTATTGACTTCCTGCTATGGAGATAGGTATTTGGCTCTCTCATCCACTGTCCTCCACACTCTTTAGCCACTCAGCAACACAAAGGCCTTTCTGCCCATCCCGCCAGAGTATGTTGTAACATAGCTTTTTGCTAAACTGTATTTAACATTTATGACAATAAGTATTCACATTCGAGCCATGTAGAGTATTCAATTTCCTTCCTAACCATTCTTTGTTTTTCCTATAGTTGATAATGTCTTTCACTGGGTGCTCTGGTCCTGCTGCCTCTATTAATCCCCAGTACAACAGAGTTGAGAGGTGGGAATTTTAAGAGCCCTCATGAATTGGTTAATGCCATTATCTTGGGAGTGGGTTAGTTATTGGGGGAGTGAGTTCCTAATCGAAGGATGGGTCCAGCCCCCTCCCCTCTCTCTCTCTCACACACACAAACACACACACACACACACACACACACACTCACTTTCTGATCATGTTATGCCTTCCACCATGTTATGATGCAGCAAAAAGGTCCTCACCAGATGCAGCCCCTTGATCTTGGACTTCCCAGTCTCCAGAATCATGAGACAAATAAAATTCTACTGTTTATAAATTATCCGATCTGTGGGATTCTGCCATGGCAGCACAAAATAGACTAAGACATGTCCCTTTCTGGAACTGTGTTATCCAGGGGTTGGAGTTCCTGGGCTGATTCTTTAATGGCCTTATCTTTTCTCTTTTATTTTCATCTGTTTGTCTTTAGTTCTACTTTCTGAGAGAGTTTCTTCATTTGATTTTCCAACACTTCCATTGAATTTTAGAAGTTTTCTGCTTTTTATTTATGTATTTATTGTTACTAGGGCTCTTTCTTACTCTTGGACTTTTCAGTTTTTCTTAGGCTGGCACCCTGTTTCTGTTTTTAAGTGAAAATCTTTTTATATGTCTCTAAGAATATTGTTTGAGGGATTTTATTTAATTTTCTCCTGCTCCCTGTATTATCTCTTTTCTTCCAAGTTTCTTTTTTCCCCCTGATTCATTTGGTTTGGAGATTGTCTTTCATGTTAGAGGCCTTCCCCAAATATCTTGTGATCCTGTCTGCCCTCTTATATTTCCAAATAAGTCATTAACTACTTGATTGGAAGCTTTGTGTGTAATGGGTGATATTTGCCAATCCTCTCTGTGAATGAACTAGGAAATGAGCTGATCAACTGAGAGTAAGAAAAAGAAAGAGAAGCTCAAAGTTTCCCACCTAAATTTTGCTTTTGGTTCAGTTATTTGTATATGGTTCAAATTCTAGATTAACGTATCTAGCACTGCAGAGCAGCTTTCTGTCAAAACAAAACATAAATGTTTCTTTTATTTTAACTTTTTCTTTTGCTAACTGTTGAGCATTCTAGGAAACTTTTAGGATAAAGATTTAATTTGCTGCTTCTCTCCATCAAAAGCAGAAAGAGAAAACAGACAATGGTGTAGGCCCCAGATCCTTGTAAAACCTCCTAATAGTCTTCAAATCTTAAGAAAAAATATTCTCAACTCCAATTCATTCTTTCATTCATTCAGTAAATGTTGAAGTATCTATCATAAGCCAAACACTATTACCCTTTGGGTTTTTAGTTTTGAAAAAATATATATAGAAATAGTTCTTATCCTCATAGAGCTGAATATCTTGTGAGGGAAATAAACAATAAATAAGTAAACCAACAAATAAGTGTGCCAGGCATGGTGGTCTATGCCTGTAATCTCCGCACTTTGGGAGGCCAAGGTGAGAAGATCACTTGAGGCCAGGAGTTTGAGACCAGCCTGAGCAACAGAGTTAGATCCTGTCTCTATGCAAAATAAAAAGAAGAAAAGAAAATATTTGATGGCTTAAATGGAATTCCCCATTTAGAGATTACCTGGTGGTTTCCGACTGGTTAAGTCATTCTGAGTTGGTTTTCTGTTTGCTTGTGTAGAATCCCAGATTGCTAGGGCCGTCTCAGCCTAACAGACTCCAGATTATTTTTTTAAACATACATTGATTATGAATGAGAGGAAAGATCTACTTAAGTATAGTGGCCAAAGGCTGCTCCAAGGAGATGACATTCAAGCTGAAGCTGGGCTGAATCTAGTTATTTAAACATTAACAAAAACTTAATAATATATATGTGTGACAATAACAATGTTTTTATGTTCCATTCAATTTTTCTTAAATAAATAAGCTCCTTTTTCTTTCTGAACACTTAAAAACACACTTCAATAAAACATAAACAGATTATTTTAAACAGAAGACACATAGCAGTTTCCTGATAATTTTGAACTCAGTTTGTAAATGAAATAGGGTTTATGCCTTAATCAGTGTCAATGTCCTTCTCTCACACCAGGAAATGCTGGCCTCAGGCAGCACTCCACATGCGAACTTCTTTAACTCTGTGTCTCACAGGATGGCCGCCATCTCGTACTTCTCTTCTTGGTTTCTCCCCATGTCCAGGTGAAATCTATTCAATCCCCAAAACTCCCAGAATCAAAAAAGGAAGAAATTCTTTCCTCAGGGAGTGGGGTACAAAGGAGGCTGAATGAACAATGACCACAAGTTAGTAATTGGGAGAAAAGGAAGACAGGAAGACAGAGAAACAGGGAAAATGATTTTGAAGGAAGACAAGTCAGAGGCATGGCTGGGCTGGAGGCCCCTTCAGGTAGCCGAATGTGGGGGCGGAACTGAAATGTCCATCAGGCCCCGTAGAGAGAGGGAGACTGTGAACGTCTACAGCCAATT
The DNA here is from genome assembly GCF_000001405.40 of Homo sapiens. Taxonomy (NCBI): domain Eukaryota; kingdom Metazoa; phylum Chordata; class Mammalia; order Primates; family Hominidae; genus Homo; species Homo sapiens. The sequence goes on from NC_000001.11 coordinate 160,774,137, forward strand.
ATCATGTCTGCATGTGTCCCACAACACCCAGCGCAGATGCTTTTTAAATACTTGTCAGACCCACATTTTTTGACACCTATTACTCGTTGTGTATTAGAGATGCAGAGAACAGTAAGAATGTGTTTTTCTCACAGTTCAGTGGAGAGCACAGACACAAAAAGCCCATAATAGAACACATTCAATGTTGTCTTTGTACAACAAAATACAGAACTCTCCCAAAGTCATTTCCCAGGGCTGACTGGAAGATGAAATGGCCAAAAAGCTAGTCAGGTGCAGGTTGTGATGATTGTAACAGTGATTTACATGAGGGGTAGAAATTTATCTGGACCTCTTCTTCATTGTATCTACAATGGTTAGAACAGCACAGGGTTCATAAAAGATACTCAGTAAATACCTGTGGCTTAAATGAATGAATAATTGTTTAAATACCTTAGATAGTGGGCAGACATCATAGGGCTTTTTTTTAGTTTTTAAAATATTTACTATTTTTGATTGACAAATCACAGCAGCATGCATTTACGGTGAACAATGTGATTTTTGATCATGTATACAATGTGGCATGATTAAATCAAATTAATTAACATATCTTCACTCACCTACCATTTTTTACGGTGAGACATTTGAAATGTACTCCCTCAGCTATTTTGAACTGTATAATACATTATTATTGACCATGGTCGCCTTCTGTGCAATAGATCTCAAAACCTATTCCTCCTGTCTGTCTGAAACTATTACCGTTTAATCAACACTTCCACATTCCCTCTCATGTCCTAAAGTTTTAAGCTAAAAAGTAACACAAGCATTTCTTAATTTAGAATTAGACCTCTGGCAGTGCAATCTGGAAGATGATTGGGAAGGAAAAGATTAAGGAAGGAAGGAGTGGTTAGGAGTTTGTGGAGTGGTCCAGGCAAGGAATAAAGGGAAAGGGTGAGCAATGGCAGGATGTGGTGGGGAAGAGGAGGGGCCCTAAATGACACTGGCATTTCTGCCTTTGGCAACAGAAAGAAAACAAGGGGAGTGGAGAAAGGCCTGAGGCACCAGTCTTGAGAAGGATCCTGATCCAAGGGAAGATGTCCCAGGAGAGAGCAGCCCAGGTGACAAAGGAGAGCAGGTTAATGTGTCAAGTGCTGGGAGAAGCCAAGGATAACAGAATTTAAAAGTGGCCAATGAATTTATCCATCAGGATGTAGCTGGAGGGGCAAATCAGCAGCAAGTGGGTGGAGAATGAATGATTGAAGATCTGGAGTCAGGAAAGACAGCTGTTTCAGAAGGCAACTGAGAAGAGGAGAGACAGGATATGTTTGAACTAACACAGTTTCCAGCCATGACCTATGACTAAGCCAAATGGGACCAGGGACACCATGAGAGGCCTCCCCTTGCCTGCCAGAAGAGCACAGCCTCAAGTGTCTCTCAGAGCACCTCTAGGCAAGGGGAGGTGGTAAGTCCTCTCTGAGAACACAGGCAAGGGGTTTCGAAGCTCTCCTCAGTGGGCTGTGCAGGGTTGAGTGTGGGTGAGGCAGCACTTTTCCTCAGGGAGTCCCAGGAATGAGCTGAATGCCTCGCTGAGTCTGCAGCAGGTCAGGCACAGAGGACCGAGGCCAACAGAGAAAAGGTGGACCGAAGCGGGCCCTGGGATGGTGGCTCCAGAGCCCTTGTCTCCTGCCACCCCAGAGACACTTCCTGCTGCCAACTAATCTGGCTCCTCCCTTTCTTCAATTGCTCCTGGATCCAAGAGGAAGAGAGGCAGGGATGCTAAGAAACTAGACCAAGGCTTGCCAGGAAGAAGAGAGTCAGAGAAGGAAAAACATTACCTGAGCAAAGGGGTCTGGTAAGGACAGAGCTGGAGCTCTGGCTGGTGGGATTCCTGGCAGTGCAGTGATAGCTCTCACTTTCCCCAGATATCCAGGGGACACTGAGAGTGGTCCCCCCATGGGACACAACTGCCCCATGACTAGGAGGCTCCCAGCTGTTCTGCACATTCTCTCCAGCCTGTTCCAGGGAGCAGGCCAGGGTGATGAAGCAGGTCCCATCCTTCATGATCTGGGAGCTGGCAAAGATGTTCAACTCCTACAGCATCTCTGAACCAAGAAGGGAAAGCTTGAGCTATGAGAAGGCTCTGGTCTGGCCAAACAGGGTAGAGGAAAGCTCAGTTTCAAATGTGGGGCCCTCCAGCCCTCCTTACCATAGACAAGCAGGGTGAAATCCCTGGTGATAATGATTGAGGAAGTATGCAGAGTTACCCAGGCTTATAGGCTTATAGTCCTGCAGCCTCAGGGGGCTGATCTGAAGAGAGTAGCTGTGGTGGGGAATGTTCAGTCATCCACTGTAGGGTCCCTGAGTCTCAGAAACCAGAACTGGTTTGTCTGTTCATCCTTGTTGTAAAACAGCAACACGCTCTCAAGAGCTCCATGTAACACTTTCTACCTCTTGCTCTGCTGGGACCTCCAGGGGCCAAGTGGCCAACTCCCCAAGGATATCTTCCCCACTGTATCTTCTCCCAGTGTTCCTGACCCTGTAGACAAAGAAGAGAACCCACAACCTCAGTGTCAGTGTCTCCCCACCTAGTCAGGAAAGCCACAGGCTCCATCCAGCTCCTCCTGTGTGAGTCCCTCCAGCCTCCCCACCAGCTCCAGTGGGTCTTCTCCTCCCACTGCCATGACCACACAGACCAACACCCACCCACCCCAGACTCCCACCCTCCCAATGGTGTTAGCCCCCTTGCCCCAGGGTCTGAAGGGAACCAGGACTTCTTCTTCCACCCTCCCTGTCAACCCCAGAGCTGCTCAGGCCCCTGGGCAGACTGAGGAGCCTGGTACATATGCAGAAGTGAGGCACTGAGATAGGGTGGGAGCTGCTGTTACTGAATGGGTTCTTGACCATGCAGGTAAAAGTTAGAGCACTGTCCCCAAGCCTCAAGGAGACACTGAGGACAGACCCTCCACAGGACACAACAACAGTCTGGGGTCCCAGGGGTGTCCAGCTGTAAGTCACACTGCCTCCTCTGCTCTCTGCCACACATGTCAATGGCATATGAGAGTGACAATGCAGCATCCATCCTCACTAATCCTGGAGCTCAGTGTGACATGAGGCCAGGCCAGCTGCTCTGTGTGTGCGAAAGGGAATAAACTGAGGACTGGGAAACTGCTCTGGGCCTCCACTTCACAGGACAGAAAATGCACGGCATTAGTGCCCAAACCTTGCATCACCTTGAATACACAGAAGGAACAGCAGAGGCAGGATCTGCCCACATCTGTTCCAGAACTTTGTGCTATGTAAGGCCATGTCACTTAACATCTCAGTTGATTTCCAGAACAACTCCATGAACTAAACAGGGAAGATGTTATATCAACTCCATTTCACAGGCTCAGAATGCTTAGATAACCTGCCCAAAGTCTCATCTAGTTAAGTGGTAAAGCCAAAATCCAAATCCAGTGAATTTGAGCCCAAAACTGAGTTTCCCAACCCTGCCCTGAATAGATAAAGGAATGCAAGTACGGAGCTGTGTTGTAATTACATATTTTCCCCGTAGGGGGCTCTGCAGCATACACTGAGCTTCCAGGTGTTGATCAAGAGTCCCAGAGGAGGTGGCTGTGTGCCTTTGAGGTTTCTCCCACTCCCTTGCACTCCCTTGGACCTGCTCCCCGTCTCCTCTTGCCCCAGGGCCATGACCCAGATATTCTTAAGTGCTCGAGGTGTCCACATTGCCATTATTTGTCCACCAGCCTCCCAGGCCAGACCCAGGAGGATTTGGGGGAGGCGAGAAGAGCAGCTGCAGACACCAGGCCTGAAACACTCAACAAAGTCATATTGCATAGAACAAGGCTACTCTGCTACTCAGCCTCAGCCCTGTGGCCCACACGACTGCAGCCCCAGGGGAAACTCAACTGTGCAAAGTAGGACCACACAGGCCCAGCGTGTCCCCCAGGAGAAGGCAGCCTGGACATCCCCACAGGTGGGTACCTTGCTGCTGGCTCTCCCCACTGTGTCTCCTATATATCAGGCCCTGGGATGCAAGCCACTTGACTTCTATTGGCCCTTTTCTCATCCAATAAATATGGCGACATACCAGAAACCCAGAGAATGAAGGCACAGGGTACAGCATCAGAATACCTGAGTTCGATTCCCAAATCTGCCACTTTCTAGCTCCATGTCATAGGTGTCTTATTTTCCCTTTCTAAGATTCCGTTTCCTTCCTAGAAATGAAAACTCCTGACCTGCATACTGGCAGGGCTGTTGTGAGGCTGCAGTGATGGGAAACACCCTGTGAAGGATGGAGCCTGACCATTAGCACTGCCTTGCCATTGGGATGTCAACCCAGAGAGAGAAGGGCTCTCTGGAAGACCCCACCCCTGATGGATTGGCACAACCCTATCCTCTACCCAGACTCCACCTGACACCATACCACACTAAGTAAGTGCTATCAGAATGACTATCAGCGAGGCCAAAGGGCCTCTCCCACCAGTTTTGGGCCCACCCTACCCTAGTGAGCAACCCAACCCCAAGTCCCAGCAACCCACTTCCATTGTGCCCTGGTCCTGTTGTGAGAAGCAGGCCATAGCCAGCCCAGGCCTGATTTATGGCAGACACGCCTTCTCCCCAGCCATGTGGACCTGACCAGAGAGCAGCCCCATCAACTCCACTAAAAGAGTGCCTTCGTCTAATAGGAAGATTTCCTATCACAGAATCCAAGAAAAATGTCTGTGAAGGTTCTCTGCTGGCCTTCCCATGTCCATCCTCACTCACCACCTGTCCCCCTCGCTCATTGCAGGGGAACGGCTCTGCCATAGCACCCTGAGACCTTGCACATCTCTCTCAGGCAAAGGTTTCAACCTCTGCTAAACTGGGTCTTGGCAAAATGCCTTGTGATCCACCCAGAACACGAGAGTTCAGGTGGCCTGTGAGGCACAGCCTTGAAGCCATCTCCCCTGGGAGGCTGTCATGAGACTATTTCCCCTGGCTCCTGGGGTTCTGATGCAGTATGGGACTTCTTGTCCTCAGAACACAGCTGCGGTCTCTAAGTCCTCTTTGCTGAAGGTAGAATTGGCCCCTCGGCATCTGGGTATTCCACAGCTCCCACTGCAGCCATCTGGCCCCTTTTGTTTCAATGTCATCTTTTCTGGTGTGGGACAAGTGCCCAGGGATCTGGAACCCTTGGCTACTCTTCCATTCGTTATATGAATAATCAACTGTCTGAATCTCAAAGTGGCTCAGCGTAGCATCTTTCATAGGCCTTTCTCGGTGCTGTGTGTGCTTGATACCCACCCCATTGCTTCCTTTGTAGTTTCTCCTGCTAAGATTTTTTAAATTTCTTTAAGGAATTTGATAAGAGCATCCCTCTGCATCTGCATAGGCCTTTCCAAAGCACTTTCATATGTTTTCACTCTCACAAAAAGGTATTGTTCCCATTTTAGTAATGAGGAAGCTCCAGGCCACAAGAGGAGGTTGTGGAAAAACTCAGTTCTCAGGGCCTGAAATCCCATTCTCTGACCACTACTGTCCCAAGAACTCTGCTTCAGGTGGTCTAGGGTAGGTCCTGAGGCTTGACATTTTTCAGGAGATTCTCTCTGGCAACTCTAACTTACATATCTTTAAAAACAAAAAACAAAACAGTGCGCATAAATTAGTCTTGCAAATTGCGAATGTTACTAAAGCTGTAGAAATGACTGAGAGGCTGACACTGCCTCACCCACTGCTGCCATCTCTAAGACACCCACTATAGACTTGCAGATGGTACTCCCAGGTGAGGGTGCTGCAGGAAATCCTCAGGTTAACATGGGCTCGGTAGGGCCCTGTATCCTCCCAGCTCAGGTTGCTGATCTACACGCAGGGATAAACCTGGACTCATGACACTCAAGCGACCCGAGGACCAGGTTTCCGCTTGGTAAAAGATGTCTGGGCCCCCAGCTTCTCCCATGGTTACTGTGGTGATCTCCATGGGGACCGAACGCGATATCCAGGAGATGGTCGCCACCTCCTGTCCAGAGCGATATCCAGGAGATGGTCGCCACCTCCTGTCCAGAGCGATATCCAGGAGATGGTCGCCACCTCCTGTCCAGAGCGTCTGCAGGGGCAGAATGACAGACCCTCCTAGGTCCCAGTGACCACTAGGGGTGCTGTGGTCCCTCTGGAAGTCCCTGGTCCTGCAGACACAGAACAGAAGCTTCAGGGGGTAGCCTGACTACGCCAGAAGGTCACAACAGGCCTGAGAGGGGATTATTATCCCCATTTTATAGACGGGAAAACAGTGACAAAGAATTTAGGTGACTTGCTCGAGACCACATCCCCATAAGGCTTTGTCCAGTCACTTCTGAAACAGATGTCACATCCTCTGAGGCCTAGCCAGGATTCCTGGGAACACATCTTTCTAGAGCAGGAGAACTTGTGGTGTGCTGGCCAAGCCAGTTTAAGGGTGCTCAGGGGGCAGCTGTTGGGATCCCAGCCTATACTTAAGAGGAGAGTGTAAGCACTGGGGAACCAGTCAGACTGCCCGAGTTCAAACTTGCTCTACCAGGTACTAGCTGTGTGATCTTGGGCAGGTGCTAAAACTCTCTGAATCTTGGTTTCTTACCTGTGAAAAACAGGAAAGGCCATCTTCTAGGATTTTGTGAGGGTTAAATGAAATAATGCAAGTAAATACTATTCACTATTAGTATTCACTATAAGTATTGTGAATTATTATAATTCACTTCAATCCACTATTAGTATTATTAAAGGCACTTTATATCACTGGAATAAATTAGTGAATGCACCTTGTTTGCATCCTCACCAAAACCAGTCAGAACTCTTGTAGAGCAATTTTGAAAACCACTCCTCAGTAGCATGACCTATCTCTGTCAGAGTATTTCTGCAGCACAGACATGCAGTCCCAGGAGGCAGAAATGCTGAAGCTGACCAAGGTCTACTACACACTTTTCTCTCTGTACAGCTGCGTACAGAGAGAAAAGGCAGCATGGGGTCTAGGGTTTGATTTCAAATTGGAATCTGGAAGCACTGGCTACATAACTACTTCTTAGACTGGGTGATGAGGGTCCTTGCCAAGCTGAACTGAGGGGTCCTGTGACAATAGCTGTGGTCACGAGGAGTGGGAGGGTGTTTGCTGTCTTGTGAGGGTGTGTGCACCAAGCCAGGGGACATGCAGTGTCCTGGTGCACTCACCAGACTCCGCTGGCTGGCCCAATGTTATGTTCTTCCATGGAACTAACTATTCTGGCTCTGCCTGGAGTGGGCAGCAAGAAGCATCCCACACAGGGTGTTGCTGACACCAGATAGATATTCCTCTCCCCAAATACAGCCCAGGCCTGAAACCTAAGCTGGAGGTATTCCACCTGGAACAAGCAGCTTTGCCCCCGGCTTGTACCCTCTAGTGTGGTAACTCGCTAGACCGGTTTCCATTCTGCTTCCTTGTTACAGCCTTATCTGAGCTCTATACTTCTGGTCCAGCCACGCCTTCCCCTTAGTTTCCTTTGGCCTGTGCTTTTGTTGAATTGTTTTGTTTCAAGCATTTACTTCATTCTGCCTCATACAAATAGCTGTGCTGTGTGTCTTTCCCTAGAGCCCATGAGCAACCCACGGAGAGAAGTTGGGAGGGAATTAATATCTGAGTAACAAGGTAAAGTAAGGCCAGCGGTTTAGCCTCATAGTTAGGTGTAGTTGGGGGAATCCAGTGAATCCTGTTTCTGGATTCAAGGGAGGAGGGGAAAGAGACAGAGAAGGATCAAATGCAGGGCACAAATCCCAAAAGCCAGACACTTTGCCAAGCATATTATGCACATTACTTTCCTTAACCTTCCCAACAGACTTGTAAGGTAGGTATTCTTTTATCTCCACTTTATAGATGGAAGACCATGAGACTCAAAGAGCTTAAGGAACTTGCCCAAAGTCACCAGCTAGGAACAGCAGAGTACCGGTTAAAACCCAGGTGTGTCTGTCCCCAGAATCAAGGCTCTGTTTACTACACCAGCTGCCGGCAGCAGGCCTTCCCATGCCAAATTCTTTCCTGTGTCACACTGTCACCCGCTTTTCCCTAGCCACACACAGCATAGGACCTGGCACACAAGAGGACTTAACTGATGTTTCTAGAACTGAACTGAGGAACTGTGAACATTTTTAAGGCCACACTTGTCTTACTCAATCTCTTGCCGTGGGCCCAAGAGATGCCCCTGTGCTCAGTGATTACCAAGGGCCTGGCCCAGATGCTGTGGAGGGAGGAAAACACCGATATGCATGCTCCACAGTGGAAGAGGAAAAACGCAGGTGTGAGAAACATTGCAGTAATCCAGCTTCTTGGTTTCAGTTCTGTCTTTGGTCAGGGACACTGTGGTTCTCTGATACACTCCTTGTTGCTCCTACCCAACAGCACAGTTGGGCTGTGCTGACTTTCAGTTTCGCAGATCACTGGAATATGCCACGTAATCTCTCTGAGCCTCAGTCTATCATCTATAAAATGGGTGAAATGCTACCTGCCTTGTCCATATCACAAGACTGTTATAGGGATCACTTTTTTTTTTTTCGAGATGGAATTTTGCTCTTGTTGCCCAGGCTGGAGTGCAATGGCACGATCTCAGCTCACTGCAACCTCCGCCTCCTGGGTTCAAGCAATTCTTCTGCCTTAGCCTCCTGAGTAGTTGGGATTACAGGCATCCACCACCATGCCCGGCTAATTTTGTATTTTTTAGTAGAGATGAGGTTTCTCCATGTTGATCAGGCTGGTCTCAAACTCCCAACCTCAGGTGATCCACCTGCCTCAGCCTCCCAAAGTTCTGGGATTACATGTGTGAGCCAGTGCACCTGGCCAGGGATCACGTTTTTAAAGATTTAAGTTAAAGTTCTTGATGAACTATCAAGGTTTAAACACATCTAGGGGATTCATCAGTTTATTAAAGGAGATCCCTAAAGGCTGGGGTGAAAACAACCCTGAACGCAGGTGACTCTAAGAACAGAATGTGGGGGAGGAGCCAAGATGGCCGAATAGGAACAGCTCCGGTCTACAGCTCCCAGCATGAGCGACGCAGAAGATGGGTGATTTCTGCATTTCCGTCTGAGGTACCAGGTTCATCACACTAGGGAGTGCCAGACAGTGGGCACAGGTCAGTGGGTGCAGCACACCGTGCACGAGCCAAAGCAGGGCGAGGCATTGCCTCGCTCGGGAAGCGCACAGGGTCAGGGAGTTCCCTTTCCTAGTCAAAGAAAGGGGTGACAGACGGCACCTGGAAAATCGGGTCACTCCCACCCGAATACTGCGCTTTTCTGATGGGCTTAAAAAACAGCGCACCAGGAGATTATATCCTGCACATGGCTCGGAGGGTCCTACGCCCACAGAGTCTCGCTGATTGCTAACACAGGAGTCTGAGATCAAACTGCAAGGTGGCAGCGAGGCTGGGGGAGGGGCACCCGCCATTGCCCAGGCTTGCTTAGGTAAACGAAGCAGCCAGAAAGCTCCAACTGGGTGGAGCCCACCACAGCTCAAGGAGGCCTGCCTGCATCTGTAGGCTCCACCTCTGGAGGCAGGGCACAGACAAACAAAAAGACAGCAGTAACCTCCGCAGACTTAAATGTCCCTGTCTGACAGCTTTGAAGAGAGCAGTGGTTCTCCCAGCACGCAGCTGGAGATCTGAGAACAGGCAGACTGCCTCCTCAAGTGGGTCCCTGACCCCTGACCCCTGAGCAGCCTAACTGGGAGGCACCCCCCAGTAGGGGCAGACTGATACCTCACACGGCCGGGTACTCCTCTGAGACAAAACTTCCAGAGGAACGATCAGACAGCAGCATTCGCGGTTCATGAAAAACCACTGTTCTGCAGACACTGCTGCTGATACCCAGGCAAACAGGGTCTGGAGTGGAACTCTAGCAAACTCCAACAGACCTGCAGCTGAGGGTCCTGTCTGTTAGAAGGAAAACTAACAAACAGAAAGGACATCCACACCAAAAAGCCGTCGGTACATCACCATCATCAAAGACCAAAAGTAGATAAAACCACAAAGATGGGGAAAAAACAGAGCAGAAAAACTGGAAACTCTAAAAAGCAGAACACCTCTCCTCCTCCAAAGGATCGCAGTTCCTCACCAGCAATGGAACAAAGCTGGATGGAGAATGACTTCGACGAGTTGAGAGAAGAAGTCCTCAGACGATCAAACTACGAGCTACAGGAGGAAATTCAAACCAAAGGCAAAGAAGTTAAAAACTTTGAAAAAAATTTAGACGAATGTATAACTAGAATAGTCAATACAGAAAAGTGCTTAAAGGAGCTGATGGAGCTGAAAGCCAAGGCACGAGAACTACGTGAAGAATGCAGAAGCCTCAGGAGCTGATGCGATCAACTGGAAGAAAGGGTATCAGCAATGGAAGATGAAATGAATGAAATGAAGCAAGAAGGGAACAAACAAAGCCTCCAAGAAATATGGGACTATGTGAAAAGACCAAATCTACGTCTGATTGGTGTACCTGAAAGTGACGGGGAGAATGGAACTAAGTTGGAAAACACTCTGCAGGATATTATCCAGGAGAACTTCCCCAATCTAGCAAGGCAGGCCAACATTCAGATTCAGGAAATACAGAGAACACCACAAAGATACTCCTCGAGAAGAGCAACTCCAAGACACATAATTGTCAGATTCACCAAAGTTGAAATGAAGGAAAAAATGTTAAGAGCAGCCAGAGAGAAAGGTCGGGTTACCCACAAAGGGAAGCCCATCAGACTAACAGCTGATCTCTCGGCAGAAACTCTACAAGCCAGAAGAGAGTGGGGGCCAATATTCAACATTCTTAAAGAAAAGAATTTTCAACCCAGAATTTCATATCTGGCCAAACTAAGCTTCATAAGTGAAGGAGAAATAAAATCCTTTACAGACAAGCAAATGCTGAGAGATTTTGTCACCACCAGGCCTCCCCTAAAAGAGCTCCTGAAGGAAGCACTAAACATTGAAAGGAACAACCAGTACCAGCCGCTGCAAAATCATGCCAAAATGTAAAGATCATCAAGACTAGGAAGAAACTACATCAACTAACGAGCAAAATAACCAGCTAACATCATAATGACAGGTTCAAATTCACACATAACAATATTAACCTTAAATGTAAATGGACTAAATGCTCCAATTAAAAGACACAGACTGGCAAATTGGATAAAGAGTCAAGACCCATCAGTGTGTTCTATTCAGGAAACCCATCTCACACGCAGAGACACACATAGGCTCAAAATAAAAGGATGGAGGAAGATCTACCAAGCAAATGGAAAACAAAAAAAGGCAGAAGTTGCAATCCTAGTCTCCAATAAAACAGACTTTAAACCAACAAAGATCAAAAGAGACAAAGAAGGCCATTACATAATGGTAAAGGGATCAATTCAACAAGAAGAGCTAACTATCCTAAATATATATGCACCCAATACAGGAGCACCCAGATTCATAAAGAGAGTCCTGAGCGACCTACAAAGAGACTTAGACTCCCACACATTAATAATGGGAGACTTTGACACCCCACTGTCAACATTAGACAGATCAATGAGACAGAAAGTCAACAAGGATACCCAGGAATTGAACTCAGCCCTGCACCAAGTGGACCTAATAGACATCTACAGAACTCTCCACCCCAAATCAAAAGAATATACATTTTTTTCAGCACCACACCACACCTATTTCAAAATTGACCACATAGTTGGAAGTAAAGCTCTCCTCAGCAAATGTAAAAGAACAGAAATTATAACAAACTATCTCTCAGACCACAGTGCAATCAAACTAGAACTCAGGATTAAGAAACTCACTCAAAACCGCTCAACTACATGGAAACTGAACAACCTGCTCCTGAATGACTACTGGGTACATAATGAAATGAAGGCAGAAATAAAGATGTTCTTTGAAACCAACGAGAACAAAGACACAACATACCAGAATCTCTGGGACACATTCAAAGCAGTGTGTAGAGGGAAATTTATAGCACTAAATGCCCACAAGAGAAAGCAGTAAAGATCCAAAATTGACACCCTAACATCACAATTAAAAGAACTAGAAAAGCAAGAGCAAACACATTCAAAAGCTAGCAGAAGGCAAGAAATAACTAAAATCAGAGCAGAACTGAAGGAAATAGAGACACAAAAACCCTTCAAAAAATTAATGAATCCAGGAGCTGGTTTTTTGAAAGGATCAACAAAATTGATAGACCGCTAGCAAGACTAATAAAGAAAAAAAGAGAGAAGAATCAAACAGACGCAATAAAAAATGATAAAGGGGATATCACCACTGATCCCACAGAAATACAAACTACCATAAGAGAATACTACAAACACCTCTACACAAATAAACTGGAAAATCTAGAAGAAATTTATAAATTCCTCGACACATACACTCTCCCAAGACTAAACCAGGAAGAAGTTGAATCTCTGAATAGACCAGTAACAGGAGCTGAAATTGTGGAAATCATCAATAGCTTACCAACCAAAAAGAGTCCAGGACCAGATGGATTCACAGCCGAATTCTACCAGAGGTACAAGGAGGAACTGGTACCATTCCTTCTGAAATTATTCCAATCAATAGAAAAGGAGGGAATCCTCCCTAACTCATTTTATGAGGCCAGCATCATCCTGATACCAAAGTCGGGCAGAGACACAACCAAAAAAGAGAATTTTAGACCAATACCCTTGATAAACATTGATGTAAAAATCCTCAGTAAAATACTGGCAAACCGAATCCAGCAGCACATCAAAAAGCGTATCCACCATGATCAAGTGGGCTTCATCCCTGGGATGCAAGGCTGGTTCAATATACACAAATCAATAAATGTAATCCAGCATATAAACAGAACCAAAGACAAAAATCACATGATTATCTCAATAGATGCAGAAAAGGCCTTTGACAAAATTCAACAACTCTTCATGCTAAAAACTCTCAATAAATTAGGTTTTGATGGGATGTATCTCAAAATAATAAGAGCTATCTATGACAAACCCACAGCCAATATCACACTGAATGGGCAAAAACTGGAAGCATTCCCTTTGAAAACTGGCACAAGACAGGGATGCCCTCTCTCACCACTCCTATTCAACATAGTGTTGGAAGTTCTGGCCAGGGCAATTAGGCAGGAGAAGGAAATAAAGGGTATTCAATTAGGAAAAGAGGAAGTCAAATTATCCCTGTTTGCAGATGACATGATTGTATATCTAGAAAACCCCATTGTCTCAGCCCAAAATCTCATTAAGCTGATAAGCAACTTCAGCAAAGTCTCAGGATACAAAATCAATGTGTAAAAATCACAAGCATTCTTATACACCAATAACAGACAAACAGAGAGCCAAATCATGAGTGAACTCCCATTCACAATTGCTTCAAAGAGAATAAAATACCTAGGAATCCACCTTACAAGGGACGTGAAGGACCTCTTCAAGGAGAACTACAAACCACTGCTCAAGGAAATAAAAGAGGATAAAAACAAATGGAAGAACATTCCATGCTCATGGGTAGGAAGAATCAATATCATGAAAATGGCCATACTGTCCAAGGTAATTTATAGATTCAATGCCATCCCCATCAAGCTACCAATGACTTTCTTCACAGAATTGGAAAAAACTACTTTAAAGTTCATATGGAACCAAAAAAGAGCCCGCATCGCCAAGTCAATCCTAAGCCAAAAGAACAAAGCTGGAGGCATCATGCTACCTGACTTCAAACTATGCTACAAGGCTACAGTAACCAAAACAGCATGGTACTGGTACCAAAACAGAGATATAGATCAATGGAACAGAACAGAGCCCTCAGAAATAACGCCGCATATCTACAACTATCTGATCTTTGACAAACCTGACAAAAACAAGCAATGGGGAAAGGATTCCCTATTTAATAAATGGTGCTGGGAAAACTGGCTAGCCATATGTAGAAAGCTGAAACTGGATCCCTTCCTTACACCTTATACAAAAATCAATTCAAGATGGATTAAAGACTTAAACGTTAAACCTAAAACCATAAAAACCCTAGAAGAAAACCTAGGCATTACCATTCAGGACATAGGCACGGGCAAGGACTTCATGTCTAAAACACCAAAAGCAATGGCAACAAAAGCCAAAATTGACAAATGGGATCTAATTAAACTAAAGAGCTTCTGCACAGCAAAAGAAACTACCATCAGAGTGAACAGGCAACCCACAAAATGGGAGAAAGTTTTTGCAACATACTCATCTGACAAAGGACTAATATCCAGAATCTGCAATGAACTCAAACAAATTTACAAGAAAAAAACAAACAACCCCATCAAAAAGTGGGTGAAGGACATGAACAGACACAGGAACACTTTTACACTGTTGGTGGGACTGTAAACTAGTTCAACCATTGTGGAAGTCAGTGTGATGATTCCTCAGGGATCTAGAAACAGAAATACCATTTGACCCAGCCATCCCATTACTGGGTATATACCCAAAGGACTATAATTCATGCTGCTATAAAGACACATGCACACGTATGTTTACTGCGGCACTATTCACAATAGCAAAGACTTGGAACCAACCCAAATGTCCAACAATGATAGACTGGATTAAGAAAATGTGGCACATATACACCATGGAATACTATGCAGCCATAAAAAATGATGAGTTCATGTTCTTTGTAGGGACATGGATGAAATTGGAAATCATCATTCTCAGTAAACTATCGCAAGAAGAAAAAACCAAACACCGCATATTCTCACTCATAGGTGGGAATTGAACAATGAGAACACATGGACACAGGAAGGGGAACATCACACTCTGGGGACTGTTGTGGGGTGGGGGGAGGGGGGAGGGATAGCATTGGGAGATATACCTAATGCTAGATGACGAGTTAGTGGGTGCAGCGCACCAGCATGTCACATGTATACAAATGTAATTAACCTGCACATTGTGCACATGTACCCTAAAACTTAAAGTATAATTAAAAAAAAAAGAACAGAACGTGCTGGTTTTCTCCTGATGGAGAATAAAAGTGAAAGCTTGAAACTCTGGAGACTAAGAGCAGAACCTGTCCCCTCATCATGAATATCTCAAGATCTGTGTTCCCCTAGCCTCCAAGTCCCAGGCCCATCCCCCTGTCATCTGTCAGGTTCTTAGAGGTGAGCAGTGAGAATCCACAGGGACAGGAATTACCAGTGTGCCAGGCTTGAGCTCCCCCACTGAAACCACTTATGGGACATGAAAGGCCCAACTCAGGGTGAAGGGTGACTCCCAGCGGCTGGCAGGAGAGGGAGGAAGGGGAAAGAGATGCAAGAGAACCAGATACAAAACACAAATCCCAAGGCACTACATCACCACAGGTCTTTAAAAACCTGGACATCTCTGGAAACATGACTGAAATGACATGCTGCAGACTACATGCGTCTTGGAACTGACTGTGGCTGATCCTCCATCTCATGCCTCCACAATTCAGCCTCTCTGGAAATGCTCAGGCTCCTTGTGATACATTAGTCAAAGAGATGTGAGGGTCACAAGGACACCGTCTAGAGCTGCGTGACCTGAGGTTATAGCACATGCGCACAGACTTACGCACCCACGCGCACGTGCGCACACATACACACACACACACACGCACACACAGAGCCTGGCTCCCATAGAGGCAGCACCTCAATGAAAATTGCACATTCCTAGAGTAAACCAGTGTACGCAGCAAATAGACGAGCCTGGGAGGCAGTGGAGGGGTGGACTTACCTATGAAAAGACCAAGGAGGAGCAACAACCATGGTAGAGAATGGGCCATAAAGTGCACCTGCAGAACTGCTTGTCACATGGCAGCAGATGACGGACTATGCATGCGTAAATGTCAGCCTACTACCAGTTCCTGTTTTTAGTGTCACCACTTTAATCACATGTAGTTTATGTGTCACAAGATATGAAGATGAGCGGACGCAAAAGAAAGAAGGATGAGAAGCGCCTGAACGAGCTACTTAAAAGCCAACGCCGGTGACATCACAGCCTTGCTTTAAACCCCTCGGGGGTGTACCACCCCCACAAGGCTAAAGTCCGGGGTCAAAGTCCTTGTGGACAAGGCCCTTCATGATTGGCTTGTGTCTTGCCAACCTACCTGGCCACACTCTGTCACCAAGTCTCACAGCTTGGACTCCAGTCACCACAGACTGCTTCTAAAGCAGTCCCCTTGGGATTTCTCATTTTTGTAAATGCAGCTCTACTTCCTCAGGCCATCTTACTGATTGGATTGCCCTAGTCTCTGTCATCTACCTCACCCTAACACCCTCCTATTGCCCATCTCCAGTCATCACCACCTTGGGAAAGGCCTCCCTGAAGCCCCAGGCTAGGATGGTGCTAGGACATCCATTCCCTCTTGCTGTTGGACATCAGGCCTGTGGTTATGGGTCAGGACACTTGTACTACCAGCCTCCCAGTTCTCAGGCCTTCTGACTCAGACCGGGACCTACACCACCAGCTTCCCTGGTACTCCAGCTTGCAGTCACCAGATCATGAGACTTCTCAGCCTCCATGATCATGTGAGCCAATTCCTATTAAAAGAGAAAAAAGGAAACAATATATATATTCAAGGTGTGGTTTCTCTGAAGATCCCTGGCTAATACAACTGCCTGTGGCATTTGACACTTGAAATACTCTCTCCTCCTGGACGCCAGGATACCGTTCCCCCCGGGTTCTCTTCTCTCCTTCACTCAATGCATATTCGTTGAGTTCCTGCTAGGTGCCACAAAAGCTCTGTGCTAAGGACTGGGGATACAGAGATGAAAGGAAGTGTCTGCAACCGTGTTGCTTACAGTCTAGTGGGAAAGAAAATTTATGTCAATAAAAAATAAAGTAATGCAGGTGGTTTTACTTTCTGGTTGGGTACAGTGTGTTGGGCATGAGGCTTTCTGGTTTGAATACTGCCTCTGCTGCTTGCTAGTTGTGTGACCTAGGCAAACTACCTGCCAATCAATGAGAGTTAGGAGTTCTCCTTTATAATTTATTTCCTTGAAGATGGTTTTTGCACATAAAAATTTATTCATAGGCCATATTGCTTTTAAGAACTCATATTCAATTTATTAAATAAATAAATTTAAAACCTAAGTCAGCCTTAAGTTCAGTTCAGCTTACAAATCTTACTGTTCTGCTTACAAATTAGGCAAATTTTAACTACCCTTCTTGAGGACTATTAATAAGATTTAACTCATGGCCAGGCATGGTGGCTCACACCTGGAATCCTAGCACTTTGGGAGGCCGAGGCAAGTGGATCACTTCGAGCTCAGGAGTTCGAGACCAGCCTGAGCAACATGGCGAAACCCCATCTCTACAAGAAATACAAAAATGAGCCGGGCATGGTGGCTCATGACTGTGGTCCCAGCTACTCAGGAGGCTGAGGCTGGAGGATCGCTTGAGCAGGGAAGTAAAGGTTGTAGTGAGCCGAGATCGTACCACTGCACTTCAGCCTTGGTCACAGAGCAACATCCTGTCTCAAAAGTAAAATAATAATAATAATAATAATTTGACTCATTTTACAAATTTATAAGTTGATTCCCTTATTATTCTAACTTATAAATGTAATATATTTAGTTTTGTTTTAAAGTATTTTAATCAGCAAATAAACTTCCCAAATACTTAAAGGCTTGTAAACCTAATACATTAAACTTCTAAGTGTGGTCATTCTTAAGTTGTCTTAAATTATTCAATTCTTCATGTAAATTAAGATTTCCAACTAAAATCACAAATGCACAAATGTAAATCAATTGCATAGTTTAAATCAGAAACACAAATATCTCAGTTCATTCTGGCTGCTATAACAAAAATATCTTAAACTGGGCAATTTATAAGTAGTGGAAATTTATTTCTTATGGTTCTGCAAGCTGGGAAGTCCAAGATCAAGGTGCCAGCAGACTCTCGGTCTGGTTAGGGCTCACTCTGTGCTTCCAAGGTGGGGCCTTGTTGCTGCATCCTCCAGAGGAGATGAACACTGTCTTCACATGGCAGAATAGTGGAAGGGCAAGAAAGGGCCAGATAACTCTTTGAAGTCTCTTTTATAAGGGCATTAATCCCATATATGAAAGCAGAGTGCTCATGACTTAATCATTTCCCAAAAGGCCCCACCTCTCAATACTATCGCTTTGGGGTTTAAGTTCCAACATATAGGACAGGCACAGTGGCTCACACCTGTAATCCCAGCACTTTGGGAGGCCGAGGCAGGTGGATTACCTGTGGTTGGGAGTTCGAGACCAGCCTGGCCAACATAGTGAAACCCTGTCTCTACTAAAAATACAAAATTAGTCAGGTGTGGTGGCACGTGCCTGTAGTCCCAGCTACTCGGGAGTCTGAGGCAGGAGAATCACTTGAACCCAAGAGGCAAAGGTTGCAGTGAGCTGAGATTGCACCACTACACTCCAACCTGGGTGATAGAGTGAGACTCCATCTCATTAAAAAAAAAAAAGTTTCCAACATATGAATTTTGGAGGGACAAATACATTCAAACCGTGGCAACAAAGTTTACTACAATTTTAATGAACTAAATTTCCTCAAACAATACATATACTTAAAAAATACTAACTGATTACCTTGAACATGTCTATTTTGTATTCCTTATTTTCCCAGGATTGAAAGATTCATAACCACAAAAGAAACAATTATGTCATCCCATTTACAGCCATTTCCTGGGGTACCTTCTCAATTAGCTAAAGTTGCTTAATGACCAGAAATATCACTGACATGTTAACTAATGGTATTACCAGCACCCCTTTTTTTTTGAGGTGGAGTTTCGCTCTTGTTGCCCAGGCTGCAGTGCAATGGCACAATCTCGGCTCACCGCAACCTCCGCCTCCCAGGTTCAAGCGATTCTCCTTCCTCAGCCTCCCCAGTAGCTGGGATTACAGGCGCGTGCCACCACACCCGGCTAATTTTGTTTTTTTGTTTTTTGTTTTTTTTTTTTAGTAGAGACGGGGTTTCACCATGTTAGCCAGGATGGTCTCGATCTCCTGACATCGTGATCCGCCCGCCTCCGCCTCCCAATAATTTTGTATTTTTAATAGAGACAGGGTTTCTCCATATTGGTCAGGCTGGTCCTGAGCTCCTGACCTCACGTGATCTGCCCACCTCGGCCTCCCAAAGTGCTGAGATTACAGGCGTGAGCCAATGTGCCCAGCTGGCAGCACCACTTTTTGCTTGTTTTGTTGCTACCCTCTAAAAGGCTGGTCTCATAGCCTATATCCCTAGATTCCACTTGAACACTGTGACATTCCCTAATTCTTCCCTCTACTGTGGCTGCAGCAGTTGATTTGATGTTGAATTTCTTTAGCTCCTAACATATATTTGTCTTTCCATCTAAGTGTAAAAAGCTTTGAGCTTGTCAAAATTCTACAGTCTTTCATATTCTTCCAATCTGTAGTAGCATATATATACTGCAAGTCAAGACAACATTAGAAATAAAGTCCAAAAAATGCAATTGTGTAAAATGCAGGGTCGTCTTAATTGCACAGTGAATGAAGTGTTGGTTGGGGGCTGGTGGTGAAGCAACACAGCTGAGTATGTGGTTGTGGCTGCCAGACCCAAATCTCAACCCAGGCTGGAGTCTGATGCTACCTGGAGGCAATGCCCAGTTGACAGGGGTGATTCTGGGCCTGTAGCTGGCGGGACTCCAAGGACAGTAGCAGGGATTTCAAAAATTTTCCAGTCAGTCACACCCACTTGCTGGGGTGGTTGAAGTATACTGAGAAGGACAACACTGGAGACGCCGGGGCCAGCATCACTGGATGTTGCTCCCTGATTCCCAATGCTAGTGCCTTTGCCTCCCTGTCCTGATGAGAATATTAGCCCTCCCCATGTGAGGACAGGGCACACTTAACAAATGCATCATACCAAAATTTATATTAATTTAGGTTTTACTATACTTAAATGATAATACTTAAATTGGATTTTGTGTATTATAAGGCTGTGTCCTCCTATGGTCACAACTTCAAAGGAGGTCATTTCAGTGATGTTACTTTCCTAAATCTCAGTTTTCTCATCTCTAAAATGGGGATAATTGGAGTATCATCCAAATAGGGTCTATCTTAGGATTAAAGGAGAAAACATATGTAAAGTTCTAAACACAGAGGCTCACTCATAGTAATTACCCAATAAATGTTAGTAATGATTTTTATTATTACCAATCTCTCTGAATTCCCTTCTGCCTTTGCCCTCGCCTCCCATGCAGACTGTTCCTGCTCTCATGTTCTGTACCCAGACTCCTTCAATAGCTTCCGCACCTGTCTTCTCATCCCCAGGCTCATCCCTTCCACCCATTCTCCCTCCACTCTGCAGCTCCAGGAAGCTTCCTACTCCTACTGGATTCTTGTTGCCTTTAGCTTGGTAACAGGATGCTTTATCTGGGCTCTGGTAACCTCTCCTGACCGTATGTCCTGCAATCCCCTCTAGACAGCCCATGTTCTAGTCACAGGACCAAGGCTAGAGTGAAACAAGACACGCTCCTAGTGCACAAAATTTAAAGATTTTCGAGATTCTGTCACTTTCAATATTGTGCAACATCAGATCATGACCAGCCTCTAAAGATGCTTTCCATGGACATAAGCCTGTTATCTTAATGGTTTCTCTCTCTCTCTCCCTTCTTCCTTTGAACCCAGACTTCCTGGGTTCAAGTCCTTACTAACTATAAAACTTATAGTAAGCTATTTAACCCCTCTCCACCTCAGTTTTCTCATTTATAGAATGGGGATGATAAAAGATATCTCATAAAACTATTGTAAGATCAAATGAGTGAATATGTTAAAGTGTCAGAAGATGGACTAGCACTCTGTAAGCTTTCATCGAATATTAGCTAAAACTACACATTCTGCCAGCCTCAAGTTTTCCTGCCAAGTCCCCTTAATGTTACAGCCTAAGTAAACAAATGACCTGAAGCCCGAAACACAAACCATAGCATGGCCAGCTATTACGCTACTGACAAGAAGAAGGAGGAGAAAAAGACAGTTTCCCAAGTCAGGATATAGGGAATCATGCCATTCTCCAGCCTACCTTTTCAACTCAGTCACCTCTACGCTGTCACATACGATGTCCACCCCCATTGCAGTCTCCCTGATGCCTTTGTCCATATTAAAAGTCCTTCATTGCATGTGACAGAAAGCTAGCACAAACTGCCTTGAGCAAAATAGAAAATGTATTGGGTCACTGTATTAGTTATCTGTTGCTGTGTAACAAATTGCCCCAAACTTCACAGCTAAAAACAATAAGCATTTTTGATGAAAAATAAAAAATTGAAAAAAAATTTAAAAACCAAACATTTATTATCTCACAGTTTCTCTTGATAAGGAATCTGGGCATGGCTTAGCTGGGTGCCTCTGGCTTAAGGTACTCACACAACTAACATCACGGTGTCAGCCAGGGCTGCAGTCATTTCAAGGACCTCCTGGGGAGGATCCACTTCCAGTCTCACTCATGTGATTCTTGGCTAGCCTCAGTCCTCATGGACAGTTGGCCAGAGGAATCAGCTCCTCGCCGATTGTTGGCTGGGGGCCTCCCTCTGTTCTTTGTTTTGGAACCCTCTCCCTAAAGTATCTCACAAAACAATACCTGGCTCCCCTCAGTGTAAGGTAGGGAGACAGAGATAGTGGGAAAGACAGAGAGGGAGAGAGGGCAAGAGAAAGAGAGAGCGCATATGCACACACATGCTAACCCAAGATGGAAGTCACAGCTTTTTTGTAACCTAATCTCAGAAGTGACCCATCCCACATCTCTGCCACATTCTATTCACTTGAAGCAAGTCACTAAATCCAGGCCACACTAAAGAAGAGGTGATTACACAGAGGCATGAATGCCAGGAGGTACAGATCTTTAGCAGTCACCTTTAGGAGCCAAATTTAGAACCCAAGTCCCTTGATGTCAAAGCAAGTGATGCTCCACATCAGTCACAAATGAGGCCCTGAATAGACTTGGGACCTCTACCTGCCTGCGCAGATGGGAGGAGTCTGTGGTGTTTTGTATAAACAACCCTCCCTCTGAGACACACACACATACACATACACATGCACACACACACTCATATACACATGCAGAAGCTGTGACACGTGCGGAAGCTGTGGTAAGTGCATCCTCCTTCAGTCTCAGTTCTGAAAATAGATCATCATGGTGGCACCAAAGAGTCACACAGATGACTGGGCTCCTGGGCCTTTCTCCAGTAAGCCACAGAGGAGTCAGCTGCAAATATTCTCTTCTGTTCTACAGACCTCTCTCCTCTTCCTGCTCATGGGTAAGTCCACTTTATGGCCACCACTTCTTGCTACTGCGGTTCTTCTGAGGCCAGTTGCATTCCCTGCCTGGGAGATTCTTTTTTTTGTTTTTTGTTTTTTTTAACGGAGTCTCACTCTGTTGCCAGGCTGGAGTGAAGTGGCGCAATCTCGGCTCACTGCAACCTCCACCTCCTGGGTTCAAGCGATTCTCCTACCTCAGCCTCTTGAGTAGCTGGGATTACAGGTGCATGCCAACACACCCAGCTAATCTTTGTATTTTTAGTAGGGGCAGGGTTTCACTATGTTGGCCACGGTGGTCTCGATCTCTTGACCTCGTGATCTGCCCAGCTCAGCCACCTGAAGTGCTGGGATTACAGGCGTGAGCCCAGTTCTTGTTGGTAAAATCGGGAAACTCATCTCCTTGCCAGAAATTACTTTGCATGTGTGCATATTCGTGCACTATGAAGGGGGTAACATTCTAGCCCCGGTCTCAAATAGCTCTGGGCTCAAACTACATTTCTCTTGCCCTCACATTTTCCTAAGAAATGCCAAGTATATAATGAGTTTGTTCCCTGTATGGTGTGGATAAAACCCACAGAGGGATCCAGGAAAATCCCCTGATGAGAAGCCACCTAGCAATTTCCTAGGGATGGAGAGAACTTCTGGAGCTTCTTTCTATGTATCCTGCCTTGGTTATCATATATGCTGGCTTTATTACTGAGGTTTCACTGGGGACCTGGACGCGGTTAGGTGACCATGGGCAAGGTGGCGTTTATCTGGATATCCTTTTCTCCTCAACCTTATTCCTCCCTATCAAGGCCCAACTCCTGGGAAACATCTCTCCGCTGCATGGCCCGGAACCCCACTGTCCAGCAGATAGAGCCAATCCAGTACCCCAGAGAGGATCTCAGCCACCTGGGACTGTGGCAGCTACTGTCCTTCTGTGCTCCCGCTTTCTCCAGGGCTTCAGGGATGATGGTGCAGGTAGCACTAGAGATCTGAGAGCAGTGGGGGTTGGCAGTTGGTGCCTGAAGGGAGCTTTAGAAACACTCCTAGATGCAGATATGGGTGAACGAGGAGCCTAGACCTCAGAGCTGAGGTCCAGTCTGACCTCTTTTCACTTTCAATTTTATCTTGGCTCATCAAAACACACAGAAAGCAGCAAGGCTGTTTATGTTTACCTCCAACCTTTGGGGTGTTCCTTGATTGTGTTGAGCAAACCTGAAATAAGCTACATTCAAGGTCATCCAAGCCGCAAATGATCAATGCAGTGAATTTCAAACAGTTCAGAGCAAAGAGGCATCTCCATTGGTCTGGCTCCACTGATTAGGATGACCTCAAATCTCACTCTTTTGGTCTGAAAGGATGATGCTTTTGTATCTCCAAAGAGTCATTTCAGGAACTTAAAAGGCAGTCGAGTGAAAAGACCCCTCTCACTTTAGTATCAGGAACATCTGAAATTAAATCATTGCTCCATCATTTATTAGTGATGAGGGCCTCTATTTCTTAAGTGTAAAATATAGTTAGTAGGATGCATCATGCAACACTCTTACAGATTGTAGATGATCTATACACACACACACACACACACACACACACGTATAGTGGCACATAGTTGGCAGAAGCTATGATTGTTATTATTATAATTACTGTTACGTGCATTCTTTGGAAACTATTAAGAGACAGGTGAGTCAAATTCAGTTTTGCAATCTTTGAATGCTCTTTTATTATTTGTCCTACGGTGCAATTCAAAATAAAATGACTGGTACTGGGGACCTGTCATTGTACTGGGAGCTGCATTGCACTGTCTTCTGCAACAAGATTTGCCCTGTGAGGCCCACATCCTGCCCCCTCCACTGAGAGTCTGTGAGGCTTTTGTTTATGGTTTTTGTCTGATGTAAGAAAATTTGAAGTCAAAACGAGTCATATGCACCCAGTCAAGACCCAGCAGCTCCTGGGCTTCCAGGATACAGATGGGCAGTACTCCTGGCCTCCCTACTCCAGGGGCATCATGGACATAGGATCTGGACTCTGTGACTGATCAACCCTGTAATCTCAGGGAAGTGGATTAAATTCTCTAAATTTCAGCTCCTCATCTGTAAAAAGGGGCTAATTATAGTATAGTTATGAGAATTAAATGAGATAATTTACATAAAGTACCTAATGCACACATAGCAATCGTAAGCAGTCTCTTCCAGATGGGAAGAGCTCTCTTTTAGAAAACCTCAAACCAACCTCACATCAACTCAGCCTGAATCTGCCTAAAGAATCCACCTGACCCAACCTTCTCATGTCCAGGATCCCTAGCCCTGCATGCTCCATAGCTGCCTCTCCACAAGGTGCAAGTGCTTGGCTGATGGAGGTCTAAGCAGAGAACCCCCATGACCTGCACCAAGCAGCCTCTCTCCTTCCAGTGTCTGCATATTCTGTATCCTCTGGGTTTTCAGAGCTTGCTTCAGCTTTCTTCCGCCCCTCCAGGCTATGCTTATGCTCCTTTTTTGTCTCTAACATTTTCTACTTATTTTCCCACCCAGAATTCCTGGTGGAGTCTGGGTCCCAAACCCATCTGTTTTGGTCTAGAATTTCAAAAGTGCTCTCCAGAGCCTCGGAAGCCCTGGAATCTGGGAATCCAAGCTAGGGTCACCCAGAAGACACCCACAGGGTCCCTACAAGAAAATTAACTGCCTTGGCCAAATACCAGCTTCCTAGATGCCTTGGTAACAATGTTTATCAGGAATATGATCTTGCCTAAGATGAGGAAATCAGGAACTGTATTAGTACCACCAGCTATTCCCACCCCCAAACCTGGCCAAACCAAAGTCAATCTGAGATGCCATGGACAATAAGGGTGAGGTAGAGGTAGGAGAAGCTCCTTTAGTTCCCGACACTGCTATGAGAGTTCTCAAACATTCAGAAAAGTTGGAGCATTTACCCTGAACATTCATAGGCCTACTACCTAGATTCTAACACAAACGTTTTACTTTGCTTGCTTTATCACTCGCCTGCCCATCTAACCATCCCTCTACCCACCCATATTTTTAAAAATATGCTCCTTTTTACTTCATTGGCTCTTCACAATTTGCAGCAACCTGCTTTCATTTCATTTTTACCATATCCCTTGAAGAAAATGGTGCAGGTATGAGCATTTCAATCTTTTAGATAAGATTCACTGAAAAATTCAGAAATGTACCCAAAGTCACAAGGCTAATTCCTCTACTGGAACAGAAACCCAGAAGATCTGTTTCACAGATTGTTGTGGCTGCTTTTAAGGGAGACAGTGTTTGGGGAATGGAGGAATTAATGACTGTGCTAGGCAATTGACCTAGAAGAAGGAGGACAAGAATCTCATTTCATTTCTCAGCATCTGACATTTATGCCCAATGTATATTCACAGAGTGAAAGAAAGAAGGCTAGCTCAAGGAGTCTAGCTGCTCCTCCAAGTCCCTCTTCTATCTCTGCAGGACTAAGAGCCTCTGGAAAGGACTCAGCCCCAACAGTGGTGTCAGGGATCCTAGGGGGTTCCGTGACTCTCCCCCTAAACATCTCAGTAGACACAGAGATTGAGAACGTCATCTGGATTGGTCCCAAAAATGCTCTTGCTTTCGCACGTCCCAAAGAAAATGTAACCATTATGGTCAAAAGCTACCTGGGCCGACTAGACATCACCAAGTGGAGTTACTCCCTGTGCATCAGCAATCTGACTCTGAATGATGCAGGATCCTACAAAGCCCAGATAAACCAAAGGAATTTTGAAGTCACCACTGAGGAGGAATTCACCCTGTTCGTCTATGGTGAGTTCCAGAGAGCTTCTGTGTTTTGATCTTTTCTTTTTTTTATTTGTGCAAATTTATGGGGTATGTGTGAAATTTTGTTATATGTATATAGTGCATACTGATCAAGTCAGAGTTTTCAGTGTGTCTGCTGCCTGAGTACAATATATTCCTGTTAAGTATAGTCACCCTACTCTGCTATCAAAAATTGAATTGATTTTCTCTATCTTACTGTATGTTTGTACCCTTTAACCCACTTCTCTTCATCATCCCCCCACCACCCACTCCCCACACTCACCCTTCTCAGTCTCTGCTATCTATCTTTCCACCATCCACTTCCACATGATCAAAATTTTTAGTACCAACATATAAGTGAGAACATGCGATATGTGTCTTTTTGTGCCTAGCTTATTTAACTTAAGATAATGACCTCCAGTTTCAGCCACATTGCTGCAAAAGACATGATTTCATTCTTTTTTATGGATTTTTAAATTGTTTAAATATATTTAGGGGGTACAAGTGTAGATTTATTGCATGCACATATTGCATGCTGGGGAAGTCTGGGCTTTTAGTGCACCCATCACCCAAAGAGTGACCATTGTACTCAATAGATAATTTTTCAGCCCTCACTCCTCTCCCACCCTCCTACCTCTTGTAGGCTCCGCTATCCATTATTCCTACTCTGTATGTCCATGTGTACCCATTGCTTCCACTTATAGGTGAGAACGTGTGGTATTTTACTTTCTGTTTCTGAGTTATTTCAGCTAGGATAATGGCCTCCAGTTTCATCCATGGTGCTGCAAAAGACATGACTTCATTCTTTTGTGGCTGATTAGTATTCCATGATGTGTATAAATACATGTATGTATGTGTATACTGCATTTTCTTTATCCATTCTTCCGCTAAGGGACACAGATTAATTCTATATCTTTGCTATTGAGAATAGTGCTGCAATAAACATACAAATGCAGGTATTCCTTGCATATATCAATTTCTTTTCTTTTCCTTTGGGTAGATATCCAGTAGTGGTATTACTGGATCAAATGCTAATTAAATGTTTAGTTTTTTGAGAAATCTTCATATTGTTTTGCATAGTGGCTGTACTGGTTTCCATCCCCACCAAGAGTGTCTAAGATTTCCCCTTTTCTCCACATCCTGCCAACATGTGGTTAGTGTTTAAATAACAGCCATTCTGACTGGAGTGAGATAATATCTCATTGTGATTTTGATTTGTATTTCTCAGATAATTGGTGATATTGAGCATTTTTAATATATCTGTTGGTCATGTGTATGTCTTCTTTTGAGAAATGTCTGTATCCTTTGCCCACTTTTTAATAGAATTATTCGTTTTTTCTTGTTGAGTTATTTGAGTTCCTTGTATGTTCTGGATATTACTTCCCTGTCAGATGAATAGTTTACAAATATATCTGCCATTCAACTCGTTGTCT
Source organism: Homo sapiens (assembly GCF_000001405.40). NCBI lineage: Eukaryota > Metazoa > Chordata > Mammalia > Primates > Hominidae > Homo > Homo sapiens. Next base: position 160,801,510 of record NC_000001.11, read on the forward strand.
CTTCACTCTGTTGATTATTTCTTTTGCTGTGCAAAAGCTTGTTAGTTTAAATCCCGTTTGTCTATTTTTGTTTTTGTTACCTGTGCTTTTGAGGTCTTAGTCATAAATTTATTTGTCCAGACCAATGTCCAGGAGAGTTTTCCCTAGGTTTTCTTCTAGTATTTTTATAGTTTCAGGTCTTACATTCAAGTCTTTTAACTGATTTTGAGGAGGTTTTTTATATGATGAGAAATAGGGGTTCAACTTCATTCTTCTGCATGTGACTATTCAATTTTCCCAGCACCATTTATTGAAAAGTTGTCCGTCCACGTCATCGAGGGTGACCACCGCACACTCCTGGAGGGCAGCGGCCTGGAGTCCATCATCAGCACCCTGGCTGAGCCACGTGTGAGCGTGCGGGAGGGCTAGGCCCTCGCCCCCACCTGCCACTGGAGACCGCTCCGCCATCCCCACCTCACCGCCGCGCAGCAGAGCTGGAAGGGTCCTGCCGATGGGACCCTGCCAGGCCCAGTGCCACTGCCCCCCGAGGCTGCTAGACGTGGGCGTTAGGCGTGTCCCACCCACCCGCCGCCTCCCATGGCACGTCGGGAACACCGGAGCCGCCAACTTGGAGACTCCTGGTCTGTGAAGAGCCGCTGACGCCCGCAGGAACCGGGCTGGGCCTTGTGTGCCAGTGGGGTTTGTGCTTGGTCTTTCTCCGCTTGGATTTGCTTATTTATTGCATTGCTGGTAGAGACTCCCAAGCCTGTCCACCCTGCAAAGACTCCTCGGGCAGCATGCGGGTCCCGCACACTGCACCCATTTCCTGGATGTCCCCTGCAGGCGCGGGAGGCCATCCGGGCCTGCTGGCTGCGGCCCCCTCTCAGCCAGGCCTGGCTCAGCCCACTGCGTGGGAGGTCACCGGCCACTCCCCGAGGAGCTGGGATCCCCGGGATGCAGGCCCACAGTGCGGGGCTGCACCCATGATGCGGAGCTGGCCTCCAACCCTGCGGGCCGCGCCAGGCACCAACTCAGTGTTTGTCAGTGTTTGTTTTTCCAAGAAATGGTTCAAATTGCTGCTCAGATTTTTAAATTTACTGTAGCTGCCAGTGTACACGTGTGGACCCCATTTTATTTTTACACCAATTTGGTGAAAATGCTGCTTTCCTCAGCCTCCCCACAATTAAACTGCACATGGTCTCTAAAAAAATAAAAATAAATAAATAAATAAATAAATAAAAAGTATCTTTTCTCCCCAGTGTAAGTTTTTGTTGGATTTGTCAAAGGTCAATTGGCTATAAACCTGTGGCTTTATTTCTGTGTTCTCTATTCTGTTCCATTGGTCTATGTGTCTATTTTTATAACACCATGCTGTTTTGGTTGCTATAGCCATATACAGTATACTGAAGTCGAGTAATGTGATGCCTCTAGCTTTGTTCTTTTTGCTTAGCATTGCTATGACTATTCATGGTCTTTTGTGCTTCCGTATATATTTTAGGATTTTTTTTTCTGGCCAGGCACAGTGATTCATGCCCGTAATCCCAACACTTTGGGAGGCTGAGGCAGGCAGATCTCTTGAGGTCAGGAGTTCGAGACCAGACTGGCTAACATGGTGAAACCCCGTCTATACTAAAAATACAAAAATTAGACAGGGGTGGTGATGGGCACCTGTAATCCCAGCTACTCGGAAGTCTGAGGCGGGAGAATCACTTTAATCTGGGAGGCAGAGGTTGCAGTGAGCCAAGATCACGCCACTGAATGCCAGCCTGGGTGACAAAGTGAAAACCGTGTCTAAAAAAAAATTTTTTTTTTTAAAAAGTATTGTTTTTCTAATCTGAGAAGAATAAGGTTGGTATTTTGATACTGATTGCCTTGAATCTGTAGATTCTTTGGGCAATATGGTCATTTTAACAATATTGATTCTTCTGGTCCATGAGCATGGGATATTTCTCCATTTGTTTGTGTCATCTATGATTTTTTCATCAGTGTTTTGTAGTTTGCCTTGTAGAGATCTTTCACCTCCTTGGTTATACTTGTTCCTAGGGTTTTTTAATAGCTATTATAAACCGGATTCACTTCTTTATTTCTTTCTTGATTAAATAATTATTGGTGTATAGAAATGCTACTGATTTTTGTACACTGATTTCTATCCTGCAACTTTAATGAATTCATTTATCAAATCTAAGAGTTTTTTGGTGGAGTCTTTAGGTTTCTCTAGTTATAAGATCATATCCTCAGGCTAAGCGTGGTGGCTCACACCTGTAATCCTAGCACTTTGGGAGACCAAGGCAGGTGGATTGCTTGAGCTCGGAAGTTCAAGACCAGCCTGAGCAACATGGCAAAACCCCATCTCTACAAAAAAATACAAAAATTAGCTGGGCATGGTGGCATGTGCCTGTAGTATCAGCTACTCTGGAGGCTGAGGTGGGAGGATTGCTTGAATCCCAGGAGGCTGAGGCTGCAGTGAGTCATGACTATACCACTGCACTACAGCCTGGGTGAAAAAATGAGACCCTGTCTCAAAAAAAAAATTACATCATCAGCAAAGAGGAACAATTTGTCTTTCTCTTTTACACTTTGAATGTTTTTTATTTCTTTATTTTGCCTAATTTCTCTGAGTAGAACTTTCAGTACTATGTTGAATAAAAGTAGTGAAAGTGGGTATCCTTATCTTGTTCGAGTTCTCAGAAGAAAGGCTTTCAGCTTTTCCCCATTTGGTACAATGCTAATTGTGGAATTGTCATATATGGGCTTTACTATTTTGAGGTATATTCCTTCTATGCCTAGTTTGTTGAGAAATTTTTTCAGGAAGGGATTTGGACTGTATCAAGTGCTCTTTCTATAACCATTGAGATGATCATATGGTTTTTATCCTTCAGTCTATTGATGTGATGTATCACATTTATTGATTTACATACGTTAAACCATCCTTGCATCCCTGGGATAAATCCCACTTGATCATGTATTATCTTTTTGATATGCTGTTGGATTCTGTTTGCTAGTATTTTGCTGAGGATTGTTGCATCTATGTTCATCAGGAATATTGGCCTGTAGTTTTCTTTTTGTTGTTGTGTCCTTGTCTGATTTTGGTATTAGCATAATGCTGGCCTCATCGAATGAGTTAAGGAAAATTCCCCCCACTTTGATTTTTAAGAATAGTTTTAGGAGGATTGATATTAGTTATTATTTGTATATTTGGTAGAATTTGGCTGTGACTCCATCAGTCTCGGGCTTTTCTCTGTTGGGAGACTTTTTTATTACAGATTAATTTCACTACTTGTCGTTGGTGTCTGTTCAGATTTTCTATTTTTTACTGATTCAGTCTTGGTAGGTTGTATGTTTCTAGGAATTTATCCATTTTCTCTAGGCTTTTCAGTTTGTCAGAGTATAGTTGTTCATAATAGTCTCTGACGGTCTTTTGGATTTTGGTCTTTTGTATTCCTGTAATGTCAGTTGTAATGTCTCCACTTTTTCTGATTTTGTTTATTTGGGTCTTCTTTCTTCTTTTCTTAATTAGCCTAGCTAGCAGGTTATTAATTTTGTCTGTCTTTTCAAAGAGCTAACTTTTTCTTTCATTGATTCTTTGCATTTTTTTAGTCCCTACTTCATCGAGTTTTGCTCTGATATTTATTATTTCTTTTCTTCTACTAATTTTGGGCTTAGTTTGTTCTTGCTTTTCTAGCTCCTTAAAGTTCATTGTTACATTATTAATTTGTGATCTTTATACATTTTTCATGTAGGCATTTATTTCTATAAACTTCCCTCAGCACTGCTTTTGCTGTACTCCATAGCTTTTGGTATGTTGTGTTTTTTTTTTCATTTGTTTCAAGAACTTTTTTTAAATTTCCATCTTAATTTCTTTGTTGACCCAATGGTCAGGAGCATGTTGTTTAATTTCCATGTATTTGTATCATTTCCAAAGTTCCTGTTAATATTGATTTCTAGTTTTATTCCATTGGGATTGAAAAGATATTTGATATGATTTCAATTTTTTAAAATTTGTTGAGACTTGTACTGTGGTCTAACAAATAGTTTATCCTGGAGAATGCTTCATCTACTAATGAAAAGAATGTATATTCTGCAACTGTTGGATAGAATGTTCTGTAAATATCTGTTAGGTCCATTTGGTCCAAACTCCAATTTAAATCCAATGTTTCTTTGTTGATTTTCCATCTAGAAGCTCTGTCTAATGCTGAGAGTGGAGTGCTGAAGTCCTCCACTACTATTCTGTTGCAGTCTCTCTCTCTCTGTCTCACACACACACACACACACACACACACACACACACACACACTCTTACTCTCACTCTCTCTCTGGTAATATTTGCTTTATGAATTTGGGTGCTCCAGTGTTGGGTGCATATACATTTAGAGTTGTTATATCCTCTTGCTGGATTGATCCCTTCATCATTACATAATGGCATTCTTTGTCTTTTTTTTTTTTTTTTTTTTTTACTGTTTTTGACTTAAAGTTTGTTTATTTGATATAAATATAGCTAGCTATTCCTGCTTGCTTTTGGTTTCCATTTGCATGGAATTGTTTTTCCATTTCTTTACTTGTAGTCTATATATCTTTACTGTTAAGGTGAATTTTCATGTAATTAACATATAGATGGATCATGTTTTTAAATCCATTCCACCATTCTACATCTTTTAAATGGATAATTTAATCCATTTACATTCAGAGTTACTATTGATATGTGAAGCTTTTTCCTGTATACTGTTAATTATTTTCTGGTTGTCTCATATATTCTTTGTTTCTTTCTCTCTTATTGTTTGTCACTGTGGTTTGGTGGGTATCTGTAGTGACATCATTCAAGTCCTTTCTCTTCACCCTTTGTGTGATTGCTTTACAAATGAGTTTTATACTTCTGTGTGTTTCCATCATGGTAAATGTCATCTTTTGCTTCTGGGTTTAGGATTCCCTTGAGCATTTCTTGTAAGACCCCATCTAGTGGTAACAAATTCTCTCAGCATTTGCTTGTCTGGGAAACGCTATTTCTCCTTTTTTATGAAGAATAATTTTCCCAGATATAGTATTTTTGGTTGACTCTTTGAATATATTATTCCATTTTCTTCTGGCCTGCAAAGTTTCTGCTGAGGAATCCACCATTAGCCTGCTGGGCTTTCATTTATAGGTGGCTAGATGTTTTTCTCTTACTGTTTTTATGATTTACTCTTTGACTTTAGATAGTTTGACTGTGATGTGTCATGGAGATCTTTTTGCATTGTATTTTCCTGGGAATTGCTGAGCCTCCTGTATCTGGATGTCTAAGAGTCTTGCTAGACTTGGGGAGTTTTCTGCTATTGTTTCATTAAATACATTTTCTAATCAGCTCTTTGTCTCTTTGCCCTCAGGGATGAAATAATTTGAATATTTTATCACTTTATGAAGTCCCAAATGTAACAAAGGTTTAGCTCATTCTTTTTTATTCTTTTTATTTATTTATTTTTTGTTTGGCTGAATTATTTCAAAAGACCTGTCTTCAAGTTGTGAGATTCTTTCTTCAGCCTAATCTAGTTTATTGTTGAAGCTTTCAAGTATATTTTGTATTTCCTTCAGTGAAATCTTCAATTCCAGAATTCTATTCATTCTGTTTTTTAAATATCTATCTCTTTGGTTAATTTGTCATTCATATCCAAAATTGTTTTTCTGATTTCTTTGTATTGTTTTTCAGAATTCTCTTGTATCTCACTGAGCTTCTTCTTATTTTTTTAAGTTACTTTCATGGGGAGGTCTTTTTCCTGAATATGTGTCTATTGTGTTGTTGGGGTAGGGCACTCTGGCTTTGATTCTGGGTGCATGCAGTAGTATAGTATTTGTATGATTTATTTGGCTGTAAATAACATTAGTGGTATCTGTGATTTCCTCAGTAGGTCAGAGTGTGTTTATTAGCAGAGGCTGTGGTGAAGTTGCGCTGAGGATTGAAATGTCAAGTGGGCCAGTCATCAGGCCACAGTGGTGGCAGCATACCTATCTTTGTGCCTCAAGGCAGTGTATGCTGTCACTTGTGTTTATGCTTATCAGCAGGTCGATTTTTAGGTCTCCAGGTGGCTTGCTCAGATACCGATAATGGCAGCAGTGGACTGAAGGGTGGTGAGCAGGCTCTCAGGCCCCCTGGCAGTCAGTGTGGCATGGGGAATGACAGTAGTGGGATGATTCTCTGGGTCCCAAGCAGTGTGCATTGATGTTGATGGTGGCTGCAATGGCCTGGGCAGACCAGTCTCCAGGACCACAGGTGGCACTTGCAGGTAGGTGGTAGTGGCTGGGAGTTAGGCCCACCCTAGGCCCCTGTGGAAAAATGCTCAGGTGCCCAAGGCAGTGGATTGGGTTGGGCAATCCCCAAGATGCTGGCCTATGTGTTCTCTTTCCAAGGGGGAAGGGGGAAGCCAGGCTGAGTGGGCTTGCACTCAGGCCCCCCAGTGGTGAAAGCAAACACCAGCTATGGTATGTGGAAGCAGGGCCATCCTCAGGCCCCAGGCAGAGTGCTCAGGTGAGGACAGTAGCCGCCACCGTGAGGCCCTGCCACTGGAGAAGGTGAGGCCAGGTTCAGTGGCCACAGCCTTGGATGGCAGATGGGGAATATGCATCCCTCTCAGCCTCAGTCCTAGGAGGGCTTCCCCCAAGCCAGCACTAGCTGCAGGAGCTTTTGCCCAGCTTGCAACCAAGTTGCAGCAGCAGCTCACAGCCCACTACTTTACCCAGTCTCAGTCACAGCAGCATTCACTTCCTAGGACCAGAAACTGCAGCCCACACCTCTCTTGCTACTTAGCTCTACCTGCAGAGTGCTCCCAATCCATACTCTAGTCTTGGCAGCAACAGTTTTAGTTTTCCTAACACCTCAGACCCAGCACTGTTGGGCCCCAGGACAGCGTGCATTCTGCCAAAGGCTCAGTTTGAAAATGGTCCCTTACTATAACTGCAGAGGTCTCAGAAAGAGTATGGAACCCAGCAGGAGCTCCCTCCCTGGAGCAGTTCCGCCCCACAGTCTCCCAGCAGCTCCCTATGGTAGTTTCAGGGATTGGGAGGGTCAAAGGGGTCTCATGTGGCCAGGACTGCATGATTCTGCAGTGGGATGTGGGCCACTGGAGGTCTCTCGCTCACCTCTATTGGGAAATCACTCCCAGCTCCCAGCAGATCTCAGCCAGGGAGGCTGTCTCTGTTCCTTCTCCTTCCCTGCTTTTAGTGTTTCCTGTCACATCTCTGTTGAATTCCAGCATTCTCCCTTGGAAAATGTATTTGAAATATGACTGTTTGTATACTACTTTTGTTCTTCTAAGTAGAGGAGGTAGGCATTAAATGCTTCTAGTCAGCCATTTCGAAGCCCCTTCTCTTGATCTTTTATTTTTAAAAACAGACATTCTTTTTCTCCAGGAATTTCTCTCTCTAGGATAAATATGACTACTATATTGATCGTTTTTCACCTAATTCCATATACACAGATGTCAAAATTAGAAGACACACCCGTAAATTCCTTACATGTTATATAATCGCCATAATTCATGTAACGGGTCTCCTACTTGTAGAAATATTGTTTCTGCTTATAGAAATATTGTTTCCAATATTTCCTCTTATAAACAATGCTGCAATGAATATTCTTGTGCACCTATCTTTTCACGCTTATGTGACTAGGTTATATTCTGATGGATAAATCTAGAATATATATATGGGGTCAAATTACTGAATCTAATGGTATATGCATTCTTTTTTTTTTTGAGACATCATCCCACTACATCACCTAGGCTTGCCTCCAATTCCTGGGCTCAAGTGATCCTCCTGCCTCTATCTTCCAAGTAGCTGGGACTACAGGTACTTGCCACCATGCCCAGCTTTTAAATCCTGAATTTATTATTATTATTATTATTATTATTATTACTACTACTATTACCAGTATTTCATAGAGACATAGTCTCATTTTGTTGTCCAGGCTAGTCGCAAACTCCTGGACTCAAGCTGTCCCCTTCCCTCAACCTCCCAAGTAGCTGGGACTACAGGCATGTGCCACCATGCCTGGCTTTAAAATCCTCAATTTTTATTTATTATTATTTTATTTTGTAGAGACTGGTTCTCACTATGTTGCCCAGGCTGATTCCAAACTCCTGGCCTCAAACAATCCTTCCACCTCAGCCTCCAAAGAAGCTGGTATTACAGGCACCACTGCACCTAGCTTAGTATATACATTTTTAATGTTGCTAGATATTGCTGAATTTCCCTCCGTGTTATCAAGTAATCCTCCCACCAGCAATGTTTGAGAGACACCATTTCCTTATATTCTCAATAACAAAGTATTGTCAAACATTTCTTTGTTGATAAATTGAGTAGTTACAATAGTATTTCATGGCTTAAATTTATATTTTTCTTATGAATGAGATGAGCATCTCTTCATGTTTTATGTTTTATGTTTGTTTTGATAGACAGTCTTGCTCTGTTGCCCAGGCTGGAGTGCAGTGGTGCAATCTCAGCTCACTGCAACCTCCACCTTCTGAGTCCAAACAATTCACCCGTCTTGGCCCCCGAGGAAGTTGGGATTACAGGCATGCACCACATGCCTGGCTAATTTTTGTATTGTTAGTAGAGACAGGGTTTTGCCATGTTGGCCAGGCTGATCTTGAACTCCTGGCCTCAAGCAATTCACTCTCCTCAGCCTCCCAAAGTGCTAGGATTATAGGCGTGAGCCACTGTGTCTAGCCATCTTTTCATGTATTGAATAGCCATTTGTATTCTCTTTTCTGTAACTCTCTATTAATATTCTTTACTCATCTGTATTAGTGTGATAGGGATGCCATAACAGAATATCCCAGAATAGATGGCTTACACAACAGAAATTTATTTCTCACAATTCTGGAGACTAGAAATCCAAGTTCAAGGTGTTGGCAGGTTCGGTTTTTCCTGGGACCTCTCTCTTCGGCTTGTAGTTGGCCACCTTTTCACTGTGCCCCCACAGTCATTCCTTTGTCTGTGTTGTCTATGTCCTAATCTCTTCTTATAAGCACATCGGTCATACTGTATTAGGGTTCACCCTAACAATTCCATTTTAACTTAATTACCTCTTTAGATGCCCTGTCTCCAAATACAGTCACATTCAGAGGTACTCGGGATTAGAACTTCTACATATGAATGTTGTGGGAGGACAGAATTCAGCCCTAACATTCTACCCTCTGGCCTCTCAAAATTCATGTCCTTCTCACATGCAAAATACATTCACCACATTCCAACAATACCAGAAGTTTTAACCCATTCCAGCATCAACTGTAAGTCCAAAATCCATCTAAATATTATTTAAATCAGGTATGGGTGAGACTTGAGATATGATTCACCCTGAGGCAAAATTCTTCTTCAGTTGTGAACCTGCAAAACCAGAGAAGTTATCTGCCTCCAAAATTCAATGGTGGAACAGGTATGGAATAGACATTGCCATTCCAAAAGAGAGACATTGGGAAGAAGAAAAAAGTCACAGGTCCCAAACAAGTCCAAAACCTAACAGGGTAAATTCCATTAGATTTTAAGGCTCAAGCATAATACTCTTTGGCTCAGTGCTCTATCCTCTGGGCCCACTGGAGTAGCAGCCCCACCTCCTTGGCCCTGAGCGGCAGTTCTGCCCCCTGGAACCAAGGAGGAAACCACCTCACCCTACCCAAGGCTTGTGCCCTCTAGGCCTATGGTGGCAGTGGCAGCTCTGCCTACTTCTGAACTGCCTGTGGGGTCACTCTTCCCTTTTCTTGAAGGATAATACATATTTGCAGCTGTACAGCTGTATTGACTTATTTCATAAAATCCCAGAAGCCTGACACACTCCTTCATTTGTCCTGTCTCTGTCCCTTACAGTCCAGACTGGCAGCATTTCTGCTGAGGTGGTCAAATCTCATAACCTCTTTAGCAAACATTGCCAAGCCACAATCTTTGTGTTCTCTCCAGACACACTTTCTCGTTTTTCGCAATATGAATAGGTGACATTTTTTCAAAGCTTTAAGTTCTGGCTCCATCTTGCTTGACAATTCCTTATTTAACCTCTCTCTCTCTTCTCACATTTTATATAAGTAGCAAGGAGAAACTAGGCAGTGCCTTCAGCTCTTTGATTAGAAATCTCCACAGCTAAGTACCCAAATTTATCACTTAAACATTCTGCTTTCCACAAAACACTAGAATACAACGTGGCCGAGTTCTTTGCCACTTTACAACAAGTATGCCCTTTCCTCCAGTTTCCAGTAACATATTTCTAATTTCTGTCTGAGACCTCACCAGCAACACATTTAATATTTATATTTTTACCAACATTCTGCTCATGATCACATATGTATATCTCTAAGGTAATAGCAGCATTCCCTGCAGTGTTCCTATTTTCTTTCTGAGTGCTCACCCAAATTTTCGTTAACATTCATGTTTCTACCCAGAGTCTCTTGAAGACAATCTAGGATTTTTCTAGCACACACCTCAAAATTCTTCCAATCTCCACCCATCAGCCCATTCCAAAGCCACTTCACATTTTTAGATTTTTAGAGCTTCATCCCACTTCTGGTATCAAAATCTGTGTTAGTTTTCTAGGGCTGCCATAACAAAATACTGCAGACTGACTAGCTTAAACAACAGAAACGTATTCCACATTTCTCCAGAACACAATTCTGGAGGCCAATGAAGGTATCAGCGGCTTGGTTTCTTCTGCGGCCTCTCTCCTTGGCTCCCACATGGCCACTTTCTCTCCATGTCTTCACATGGGTGTCCCTCTGTCTATATTGTCTGTGCTCTAATCTCATCTTCTTATAAGGATACCACTCATATCAGACTAGGGCCCACCCTAATGGCCCCATTTTAACTTAATTACTTCTATCTCCAAATATAGTTCTATCTTCAAATACGGTCACATTCTGAGGTGCTAGAGGTTAAGACTTCAACATCTAAACTTTGCAGAGACACAGTTTAGCTCATAACACCATCTTTCTATCAGATAATTTGACCGTTTTCATTGATTTGTAGGGTATTCTGTATCTATTAAGGAAACGGAATTCTGTGCAGTTAATAGAATTAGAATGAATCAACTCCACATGTGTTGACAAATGACGTACAATAATTTCCAAGATATATTGTTAATTTTTTAAGGTTCAAAACAGTGTGTAAAGTATGCATATATCTGTCTATATCTAGAATACCTCTGGAAAGATCAACAAGAAACCCATAACAGTAATTGCCTCCAGGAATAGTAATTCTTGGGGAGATGAAATAAATGGCTGGAGGCTAGAAAGCTTACTTTTTTCATTATGTAGCTTTGGTATTTTCTCAATTTTTTTTAATGTATTACCTATTCAAAAGAAGAAATATTGGGCCAGGTGCAGTGGCTCATGCCTGTAATCCCAGCACTTTGGGAGGCCAAGGCAGACAGATCACCTGAGGTCAGGAGTTCGAGACCAGCCTGGCCAACTGGTGAAACTTCATCTCTACTAAAAATACAAAAATTAGCCGGGTGTGGTGCTGTGTGCCTGTAATCCCAGCTACTCAGGAGGCTGAGGCAGGAGAATCGCTTGAACCCAGGAGGCAGAGGTTGCAGTGAGCAGTGATCACGCCACTGCACTCTAGCCTGGGTAACAGAGTGAGACTCTGTCTCAAAAAAGAAATATAACTTAATGAAACATTCACACATGTGCACATACATGGTGAGCAGTGGAGATGGAACAAAAGGAAAGGAGAAGACAAGGAAGAAGATCTAGAAGCACAATGCATCCTAAATTCAGACCAAAGACACGGGCAACTCAAATTCTAGAAGCAGAGGTCCCCACTCCATAGCGTTTGGGGCTGGGCCATTCACCTATTTATTCATTGAACATTCATGAGTGTTTTTCATAAGGCAGGCTGGGTGTTAGATGTTCAGACACAGGAATCAGCCCTGTCATCAAGGAGTTCTTACACTGGTCGGGGAGAGAGAGAAGTAATCAGACTATTAGTCATGCTGAGTCATGGTGATAACACCTGTAGCGGATGTTATGGGAGTACAGAGGAGAGGCTGTCAACCCAGCCTGCAGAGAAGATGTCCCTGCGACAGGTAACGCTGGCCTCTCTCTGCTGCCCCCAACTCCCCTATTGTCACTCCCTTCTTCTCTCAGCGCTTTCCTGCTGGCAAAAGGATCTGAGCATCTTCCCATGCTGTTGTCCCTGCAGAGCAGCTGCAGGAGCCCCAAGTCACCATGAAGTCTGTGAAGGTGTCTGAGAACTTCTCCTGTAACATCACTCTAATGTGCTCCGTGAAGGGGGCAGAGAAAAGTGTTCTGTACAGCTGGACCCCAAGGGAACCCCATGCTTCTGAGTCCAATGGAGGCTCCATTCTTACCGTCTCCCGAACACCATGTGACCCAGACCTGCCATACATCTGCACAGCCCAGAACCCCGTCAGCCAGAGAAGCTCCCTCCCTGTCCATGTTGGGCAGTTCTGTACAGGTAACTGGCTCCAACTTGGCCCTTGAGGGAATTCCAGAAACAATATGAGCAGCTGTGGAGTCTAAACCCTAGGATCCTGGTCAGACACACAGGGGGTGGGGAAGCAAGAGGACAGGCCCCAAAACCCCTTATTCTCTACTCTCAGGGACATGACAGAGGCTGGCAGGACTTGGGAAAGCCCAGAACACTGTGATACTCTAAGGTTAGAGCAAGGGAGGAGAAGACAATATGGATACAGGAGTCCAGATTGGTCTTTGCTTGGGTGGAGGTGTTTCCGGGTACCCTCAGAAGGGCAGAGAGGGGACATGAGAGTCCAAGTATTCAGTGGGCACAGCCCAGTGGAACAGGTGGTCATGGAGAAGTAGCAGGCATGCCCCTCAGAGGAGGAGGCCAGGAGAAAGAGGAAGAGGAGGAGGGACTTCAGTCCCCTCAGTCCCCTTTAGGATGCCTGGGGGCCAAGGGAGTAGGGACAGTGACTGAAGCTGCAATGTCTCATCTGTGACCCCAGATCCAGGAGCCTCCAGAGGAGGAACAACGGGGGAGACTGTGGTAGGGGTCCTGGGAGAGCCAGTCACCCTGCCACTTGCACTCCCAGCCTGCCGGGACACAGAGAAGGTTGTCTGGTTGTTTAACACATCCATCATTAGCAAAGAGAGGGAAGAAGCAGCAACGGCAGATCCACTCATTAAATCCAGGGATCCTTACAAGAACAGGGTGTGGGTCTCCAGCCAGGACTGCTCCCTGAAGATCAGCCAGCTGAAGATAGAGGACGCCGGCCCCTACCATGCCTACGTGTGCTCAGAGGCCTCCAGCGTCACCAGCATGACACATGTCACCCTGCTCATCTACCGTGAGTCTCTGGGCAGGGCACCCATCACCAGATTCCTTCTCTGAAAGCTTTCTCCTCTGCTGCCTTCTCCACCTTCCGCTTCTCCAAGGGTCTTCCCTCATACTGAAATGCCTCAGACCACTAGGACAGCTGTTCAGTTCACACCAGTTGATTCATAGGAGGCAAACTCATGACTAGCTGCTGGACAAGTCTACCCGCCAAAGTGCCCCTGGCTCTAGGCTGCCAGTTAGGCCTCCACCACCCAACTTTAGGTGCTTGCCCCGGTCCTTCTGCACTGAGTGTCAGAAGGGACTAGGAGGCCAGGTGCGGTGGCTCACACCTATAATCCCGGTACTTTGGGAGGCTGAGGCAGGTGAATCACCTGAGGTCAGGAATTTGAGACCAGGCTGGCCAACATGGTAAACCCCGTCTCTACTAAAAACACAAAAATTAGCTGGGTTCGGTGGTGGGCGCCTGTAATCCAAGCTACTCTAGAGGCTGAGGCAGGAAAATCGCTCGAACCCCAAGGGGCGGAGGTTTCAGTGAGCCGAGATCATGCCACTTCACTCCAGCCTGAGAGAAAGAGCAAGACTCCGTCTAAAAAAAACAAAACAAAACAAAACAAAGGGACTGGGAACTCACCAACCTGCATTTTTAAATTTTTGAGATGGAGTCATGCTCTGTCACCCAGGCTGGAGTACAGTGGCACGATCTCAGCTCACTGCAACCTCTGACTACCAAGTTCAAGGGATTCTTCTGCCTCAGCCTCCCAAGTAGCTGGGACTACAGGCACACGCCACCACAACCAGCTAATTTTTGTACTTTTAGTAGAGATAGGGTTTTGCCATATTGGCCAGGCAAGTCTCAAACTCCTGACCTCAGGTGATCCGCTGCCTCAGCCTCCCAAAGTGCTGGGATTACAGGCATGAGCCATGGCACCTGGCCCCAACCTGCATTTTTATAAACTATTATCATTTTGAATAAGGCCAAAGTTGGCTGGGGTGAAATCAGAGAAGACTGAGGAGAAGCCCTTGGTGTCCAAAGACACTGTGGCCTCCAAGAAGGTGGGCCACTCAGTTCCCCTGGGGGTGAGGAACAGAATTTGCATTCTACCTCCTCAGCCCTGGGCCTCACAGGAGCTTGGCTTGGCAATTTGCATGGTTTATGTTTACCTGTTCCTTCACTTGTGCCATTCAGACATGGTCAGCATACCCCCTGCCTGAGTTTGTCAATGTCTAGGTATCTGTGAAGAGTCACTATCATGGTTTTGTTAAAATATGAAGCAAGTCGGCCAAGTCCATGCCTATTGCACACAATGCCTCAAATATAAAGGAACCCACAAGGTTAAGTAAAAATAATAAACAGGAAACAAATAGAGTCAGTCTTATTGTTTCTTTTAAAGTTGCTAACATTTATTGAACATTTACTCTGTGTCAGGTACAGCGCTCACCTCTCTGCATCCCTTATCTCATATAAGTAAACAAATCAGCCTCAAAGCCAAGCCTTGAAGGGTCTTCACAGCACATGGAAGTGTTGCGCTCATCTGTGTTGATTGGTTTGCTTGCTTTCACAGCTGTAACTAACTGTATAGAATGAGGTTGTGTCTTTCTTTCTTCACTTTTCATCATTTCCCTTGTTTCTCACCTGAGCATCAAGAGGCAAAGAGGTGTGTCTGAGATGTCACAAGTAGTGAGGAAAATGCCAGGTATACTCCAAAATTCCTGTGGCTCCTGGAGGCACTTTGCCGGCAGTATCAACACTCAGCTTCATGAATATATTTTCAATGAATGAAGACAGGTGACTGCTCAGGGGGCAGGCCTGATTCCACATGGAGTCTGCCTCTCTCCTCACAGGCAGGCTGAGGAAGCCCAAAATCACGTGGAGCCTCAGGCACAGTGAGGATGGCATCTGCAGGATCAGCCTGACCTGCTCCGTGGAGGACGGGGGAAACACTGTCATGTACACATGGACCCCGCTGCAGAAGGAAGCTGTTGTGTCCCAAGGGGAATCACACCTCAATGTCTCATGGAGAAGCAGTGAAAATCACCCCAACCTCACATGCACAGCCAGCAACCCTGTCAGCAGGAGTTCCCACCAGTTTCTTTCTGAGAACATCTGTTCAGGTTTCTCTCCATCTCTATTTACTCAGGTCACAGGACCTTGGGGCCTCCAAGAGTTTGCATCCTGACTGATTCTTTATGAAGTGCAGTAAGAGGCTGTGGGTGAGAGCCCTTTAGAGTGGCATGCTTCCACAGATATATGAGAGTCACGCATGTGATTTTAATGTTCTAATAGCCACGTTAGAAAAAGCAAGAAGAAATAAAGTTATTTTAATAATATGTTTTATTTAACTGAATATATCCAAAATATCATTATTCAACGTGTATTCAATACAAAAAAATTCATTAGACACTACATTTTATTTTGTACTAAGTCTTTGAGAGCCAGTATGTATTTTACACTTAGAGCACGTCTCGATTCCGATGCTAAATTTTCACTGAAAGTGTTTAATCTATATTCAGACTTCGTAAAATTTACAGTTGAAAAAATAGATTTATGCACCCAAGTTATTCCAAGCATATTTATCAGTTTTTCAAGAAGGAATTGAGTAGCCATTTTTAAATTTAAACTAAAACTAAATAAAAGAAGCAATTTGGTGTCTCAGTAATACTAGCCACACTTCAAGGGCTTATGCATAGCTTGTGGCTACCATATTGAACAGCACAGAGTTACAGGCTTGTGGAGAAAAGCCAATAGGAAGCTGATATGGAAAGGGATGTGGACCACACAGGAACAAAGGCTGCGTGAGTGGGAGCTAGAAAAGAAGCCCCAGTGGCCCTTAATAAATGCTAAGTACTATTCTAGGCCTTCAGGCATTTTTGCACAATCTTCGCAACAATCCTACAGAGTAGATATTCTCGTTTTTCCCCTTTATATGGATAAAGAAACTGAGGCTCAGAAAAGATAAGGGACTTATCCAAGGTCACACCATAAAAGCTGGTTTCGAACCCTGAGCTCTATCTTCTGCTCTTCCGTAGAAGGAAGCAGAAAAAAGGTACGGTCTACCCAGGATCTGACAATGTTGGGTCAGATTGTGTCTGGCAGACAGATCTAGAGTCCAGCTTAACAGGAATCTGGAACTCCCCTCATATCATTTACAGCGGGGCAGTGTAATGTGGCGATTAAGGGCGCTGTAGGATCTGCACTCGAACCTCAGGTCAGACACTTGAAACACTGTGACACTGGGCAAGCCGTAAACCTCTCTACCCAGGGACTGTCTGCCTCAGGTACTGCTATAACCTCTTGCCTAGAGTAATGCTTGCTCGAAAAATGGTTGTAGAATGAATGAAAAGAAAGACTTTCCACAACGTCATGGATTTTAAGGGGCAGGTAGGATGGCCATCATGTTCTGTGCATTGTTTGCTCCAGTGTGTCTTGTCATTATTTGAATTAACATCACTCATTTCCTCCTCAAAGGACCTGAGAGAAACACAAAGCTTTGGATTGGGTTGTTCCTGATGGTTTGCCTTCTGTGCGTTGGGATCTTCAGCTGGTGCATTTGGAAGCGAAAAGGACGGTGTGAGTTTCCGAGATCAATGTTGTCCGCCAGTGCTAGGCCATTTCCCTGGGACTTGTGGAGGCTTCTCTGCCCTCACACAATCCCGTGCTACCCCTCCCTGCCAGCATCTTATTTCTTCTCAGAGCAATGGGGGAGGGGTGTCAGTTGGGACTCTTTACTCACAAATAATAGAAGCCCAGTTCAAACTGGCTTAGACAGAAAAAAAAAGGCATGTGGGAGCAGGGAGAGTGATTTATTATTTTTTCACTTAAATAATCAATCTGTGGGGAAGGCAGGGATAGAGCTGGCATAATGGAGAAATGTCACCAGAGGCTCAAAAGTCATCAGAGCTCTCCACCTTTCATCTCTACTGTGTATTTTGAGTCAGCTTAACTCTTCCTACTGCAGCCCGCTGAGGGAAGGGGTGGGAGCGAGGGGAGGAGTGTACCACAACACAACAGCTGGCAGCTCCAGACCCACACATACTAACAGCTCCGACACCAGACAGGGAAGAAAATGTGCTTCCCTCTAACTCCAATTTAAAGAATGTCAGAAATAGCTCTGATTGGCCCAAGTTAAGGTCATGTGGCTGCTGCTTGGACCAATTTCTATAGCCAAGAAGATACACTATTATGATTGGCAGCTCCTCTAGAATCCCAGTATTGGAGTGGAAATGAAGTAGTAGCCAAAAAGAGCAGAATGGGTAGAACACATGGGGTCCCTGGAAGAATTACTGAATTGCAGGCAAACTACTCTGATCAGTGGCTATGGCAGAGGAGCTCTCTCTTCTGGAGGGATGGCAGGAAGCTCCAGAGCCTCCACCTCTGCAGAAAGTAGCCCTAGACTCTGGCCACCCCTTCACATAGGCCTGGCTTCTCATCAGGGTTCATCCTCCTTCCTGAAGCCTTTTCCCTGTCTATGTCCCAGAAGTCTCTCCCCTTCTCATTTGACTCTCACAGAATAAAAGACACCTCTCACCTCACAGCCCTCTTGATAAACCTTCTCTAACTTTGTTTCTCAGGTTCAGTCCCAGCCTTCTGTTCCAGCCAAGCTGAGGCCCCAGCGGATACACCAGGTAACATCACCCATGACACAGGCTATGGGGTATCTGGTCCAAATGGAAGTTCTAAAGTCTTGCTGCTCAAAGTGTGGTCTGCTGGCCAGCAGTGTGGGCATCACCCAGGAAACTTGTTAGAAATGCAAAATCTGACCAGGTGCCGTGGCTCACACCTGTAATCCCAGCACTTCGGGAGGCTGAGGCAGGTAGATCACTTGAGGCCAGGAGTTCAAGACCAGCCTGGCCAACAAAGTGAAACCCTGTCTCTACTAAAAATAGAAAAAATTATCTGGGCATGGTGGTGCACGCCTGTAATCCCAGCTACTCGGGAGGCTGAGGCATGAGAATCTATTTAACCTGGGAGGTGGAGGTTGCAGTCAGCCTAGATCACGCCACTGCACTACAGTCTGGGCAACAGGGCAAGACTCTGTCTCAAAAAAAAAAAAAAAAAACAGAAAGAGAAAGAAAGAGAGAGAAAGAAAGGAAGGAAGGAAGGAAGGGAGGGAGGGAGGGAGGGAGGGAGGGAATCTTGGGCATCACCCCAGAATACTGATTCCAAACCTGTATTTTAACAAGATCCATAAGTGATTCATATGCCTACTGAAGTTTGAAAAGGAAGGTAGCATAGAAACAAAAGCCAAGATAGACTCCTTAGAGATGGTCACCAGAGCTAGGAGAGGCAGTCTGTCCCCCAGGGTCTCTAGGGTTCCTTGGGCATTAGCCATTCACCATTTGAATGTGGACTACAATGAGGATGGAGTTATTGTCTCCATTCTGAGAACAGAGAAACAAAGGCCAGATGGAACAGTACATCTGTGGTAGAAAAAAATTTAAAACTTAATTAAAATTAAACTTCAGGAGACTGTACAACCTATTACCTAAGAGCATCGTGGGAAATGGAACTGCTCTGACAGGTTTTAGTGTGGGGAGCTGAGATGCCTGCCTTTACTCCCCCACTCCCATGCCACAGTGTCCTAAAATTTCACCTTAAACTCTGGAGCTCTGGAGTGCTAAGGAATCCCCAACCTGTGCTCACTCTAACCAAATCCTGCTTTAAAAAATAAATAAATAAATAAAAAATAAAACTATATGTCACCCCTCATGGCAGGGATTCCCCATGGAGATGGAATCAGAGGCAGGACTGGGCAGGGAGCATGTGACGATATGGGCTCTTCTGATGGAAAAGCATAACCAAGAGACAGGGGGCAAGGAAGGGAATTAGGCTGGACTATGAAGCTCCCCATCAGCTCCCTCCTCACTACTGACAGGACAGAGCCCTGGTGTCCCCCTGCCTGAACCCTCCTTCCTTGGGCAGAGGGTAAAGAGATGTTGGGGCCACCACCACCTCCCTACCTCTTCTCTCCCCCAGAACCCTTCTTGAACCTCCAAGGCCTGCTTCTTTAACCTCTCCAAGGTCTCCTCTTCCCTAGATCCACTGCCACTGCCTTAGTTCATGTTGTCACCAATTTGTTGTTTAATTGAATAGTTTTTTTTTTTTTTTAATTCAAAAGTCAGACTGGGCACGGTGGCTCACGCCTATAATCCCAGTACTTTGGGAGGCTGAGGCAGGTAGATCACCTGAGGTCAGGAATTCAAGACCAGCCTGGCCAACATGGTGAAACCCCGTCTCTACCAAAAATATAAAAATTAGCCAGGCATGGTGGCACATGCCTGTAATCCCAGCTACTCTGGAGGCTGAGGCAGGAGAATCACTTGAACCTGGAAGGCAGAGGTTGCAGTGAGCTGAGACTGCACCATTGCACTCCAACCTGGGCAAAAAAAGTGAAACTTTGCTAAAAAAAAAAAAAAAAAACCATATATTCACATGGCATACAGTTAAAAGTAGTTCTCTTTCCAAATTCCATCTCCAGGTTCTAAGTCTCTCCCCCAAGAGACAACCACTGCTGAGATTTCTACAGACCTGAATCCTTTCAGAAACTTTTAATGCATTTGCAGGTTTCATACATATTTGTGTGGGGAGGGTGTTCCTTTAACTTCACATATGGGAGCAATCTATAACACTTTTTTTCTAAACCTTGCTTTTTGATCTTAACAGTACATCCCAGCAATATTAATGTTTGTAGATTAAAACTGATTCCCATTTATTCCATTCTACACATTTGTTTAACTAATTTACTTTACCAGTCCTTATTAACAGACATTCTCATTCCTTGTTACTTCTTTCCTAAAATATGCTAATAGTTTCTTTGCAGACTATTTCCTCTCATCACTTTGCCAAGCTCAACTCTGACTTCTCTAAAACCCTCAATAGCCCCTAATGGCCTTTGTCTGTTCAAAAGGCGATATAACCAAGTGGTCAAGTGTATGGGTTCTGAGGTAGGATAACCCTGTGCTCAAACCCTAGCTCTCCTCCTTATGAATCCCTAAGCCTCAGTTTCCTTACCTTCCAAAATGAAGGTATCTATTTTCACTCAGTATTGAGCGAAAGAGAAAGAGGGGCCAGCCGGGAGGGGGCAGGATTGAGCAGCGGTTAAGAGCATCAGGGACAAGACTAGCTGTAGTCAAATCCTGGCCCTACCACTTACTCGGGAAAATACTTAATCTTTACGTGCCCGAGTTTCCTCATCTACAAAAAATAAATACGGATAGTTATTGTCTATGCTTCATGGGGTTTTAGGCAGACTAAATAAACTTATTCATGAAAAGCATTTAGAACTGTGCCTCGCACACGGTAGGCACTTACTAAATATGAGCATCAGGTCAAATTGAAGGGGCTATGTTGTCTGAGATATAAACTCAGGGTTTGTCCTCGCGTGCCGGGAAAGTTTAGGACACAGACACACAGGAGGAGTTTAGGAGCGGACGTTCAATAAGTAGAAGAAAAGAAAAAGAGAAACAGCTTCCTCTATAGAGGAAGGGGTCTCAGAGGGGTGGGGACCGGCTGCTGGTGAATGCGCTGAGTTCTATAGTCCAGTTTGAGGAGGCGGTGTCTGATTTACCTAGGGCTCACAGATTGGTTCGATAAGGCATGACGTTTACGTAGTGCCTGGGAAAGGCTGGTTGCCGCACCCTAATCTTCTTATGCAAATGGATTTTCCAGTTTATTGGCACCATCTTATCTGCTCCTTTCAATACAGTGGCTGGCAGGGAAGGGAAGATGGAGCCGCCATTTTGAAAATGTCTATTCCTTAGTCCCTGCTGGTGTTCACCCATGCAAGCTCCCAGCTTGCAGGCTGCTCTTTGTTAGAAAATGATTTGGGGCTGCTTTTCAATAAAAAGAAAAGCCTGACCAAGGACTCCCATATCCTTACTATCTGCCTAAGTAATTTCTTCTTAACTCCTGTATCAAAATGGGCTACTTCATGTGCCCCACAGGCAGGGTTGACATCCACCCAGTGTGCCATGACAGCGTTCACAGCATATCCACCCAGTGGGCCACACCGGCCCTCACAGCGCATCCACCATGCCACTGTTCACAGGTGCCCATGCTGATTGCCTAAGGCCTGACCATTGCAATTGTTAAGTATTTTTAATATCATCCTTTCGGAAAAAGAGACTGCTCCAGGCTTTACACCTGCCTCTAATCATGCTGTTCCCTCCTCCACCTAGAATACCCTTCCACTCATCGAAATATTGAATCCCTATTCAAGACCCACCTCAATTCTGCCACTTTCATGAGTTCCTCTCTGCTTCTCTAACCAGAGTCATCTCCTCTCAACTCTGCACTTTCCTCATACGTTCCATAGGATACTTGGCAAAGCTGGCCTTACATTACTGATTTACACATGCACCTGACTCCCCAGCTAGACAGGGTGCTCCTCCAGGGCCAGGTCTAATTTACCTTTGTGTTTCCCCAGAGTACCTGCAATGATGCTTGGCATGGTTTATCCCACAGGGCCAGAGAGTTGCTAAAGTCTATCACATGTCATATTTAATATTTATCAAATGAATGAATAAATGAATGCTTGAAAGGAAGGAGGAAGGGAGAGTGGAATGGACCCCCTGAGGGAAGACAGGACAAAACAATCTCCTTCGGTTCTCTAGGCCTCATCTAATGCAGGCATCAGAGCAGGCTGGGGCCTTGCAGCAAAGCAAGAAGAGAGGTGGGGTTGGCATACTTTTATCAGCCCTGCACAATGTGTTCCAGAACCCACAGCTGGCCACACGCTATACTCTGTGCTCTCCCAAGGATATGAGAAGCTGGACACTCCCCTCAGGCCTGCCAGGCAACAGCCTACACCCACCTCAGACAGCAGCTCTGACAGCAACCTCACAACTGAGGAGGATGAGGACAGGCCTGAGGTGCACAAGCCCATCAGTGGAAGATATGAGGTATTTGACCAGGTCACTCAGGAGGGCGCTGGACATGACCCAGCCCCTGAGGGCCAAGCAGACTATGATCCCGTCACTCCATATGTCACGGAAGTTGAGTCTGTGGTTGGAGAGAACACCATGTATGCACAAGTGTTCAACTTACAGGTGAGCCCTTCTGATCAATACACCTTCCTCCTCCTCCCATGTCTAGCGGCATCTGAGATCCTGGATGACTAGTTCCTCCAAACTGGGGGCTGGGGCCTGGAAACAGGACTAGGGGCATACGGGCAGGGACTCATGGCTGTGTCCATGTTTACCAAACCTTGGGATCCTGTGGAACGAGGGACTTGTCCCTCAGCTCTCATTCTTGGGCCACTAATAAGGAAGGTGTTGGAGAACCAGAGGCACCGTCCCCACTGCACTAAGGCAGCTCCCACCCTGTGTGTGAGATGGGAAGCCAGGGGGTATCCCCTCTCCTCAAGGGTTGAGGGTAAAACTGAAAAGCTCTCATGTGGTCACTAGGGCTCATCTGCTGTTGGTGTGTTACAGGGAAAGACCCCAGTTTCTCAGAAGGAAGAGAGCTCAGCCACAATCTACTGCTCCATACGGAAACCTCAGGTGGTGAGAACTACATTCTCTGTATCCCAAGGCCCACAGAGTGAGGAACTATTCCTTAGACCCTTTGAACTGAAAATCCGAGATTCCCATGGCTAAGGATCTTAAATTCTACCCACTATGCACCCCTCAGATACATTCCATGGTCAACAGAGATGCATAAACAAATATTCCTGACATCTGTGTGACCAAAGGCTGAACATTTCTAATTGATTTAATAATATCTTATGTTGGTTATTTTTAACACTGACCTGAATGACAGCTTATACACTCAAACAAGGTAGGGTCTTTATAGCTTTTTAAATCTATCTCTAACCCTAATCCTAATCTACCTAAATGACAACTTCTCAAAACCATTGAAAATTAGCTAACAATTTAACAACAAGAATTTTTGGAAAATACACCACCACCTACAGTACATTAGTTTTATTCTAGTGTTTAAAAAAATCCCAGCCGGGCGCGGTGGCTCATACCTGTAATCCCAGCACTTTGGGAGGCCAAGGCGGGTGGATCACAAGGTCAGGAGATGGAGACCATCCTGGCTAACATGGTGAAACTCCGTCTCTACTAAAAATACAAAAAAAATTAGCCAGGCGTGGTGGCAGGCGCCTGTAGTTCCAACTACTCAGAGACTGAGGCAGGAGAATGGCGTGAACCCAGGAGGCAGAGCTTACAGTGAGCCAAGTTCGTGCCACTGCACTCCAGCCTGGGCAACAGAACAAGACTCCATCTCAAAAAAAAAAAAAAAAAAAAAATTCCCAGCCTGGGCAACATGGTGAAACCCTGTCTTTATAAAAAGTTCAAAAAAAATTACCCAGGCCTGTGGTGGTACACACCTGTAGTCCCAGCTACTTAGGACACTTAAGTGGGAGGACCGCTTGAGCCGGGGAGTTCAAGGCTGCAGTGAGCCAAGATCATGCCACTGAAATCTAGCCTGGGTGACAGAGTGAGACCATGTCTTAAAAAAAAAAAAAAATCCCTTACAGGTAGAATTTATCATTAAATAATCATAATGATAATAATAACTGACTTGCTTTTATATGAAGTTTTGCAGTTACAATACCTTGATACACATTCTTCTTTGATCTTTGTAATACTTCTAGAAAAGTGTTGTCATCCACATTTTATAGCCAAAGAAACAGATTCAAGGAAGTTAATTTTGCCTAAGGTGACAAAGATAGTACTTGGAAGTTCCAGTATTAAGAACCATGAGGCGTTTTAAGATCATCCTGAGTAATCTTAAATAATTCACCTTGATCTGGCTGTCCATTTCATTTTCACTTTCCTGAAAACATCGTGTCCATTCATACTTTTGCTTTCAAATCTCCCCCAAATTCCCTCCCTATAACATATTCAAAAAAATATTTTTTAAAAAACTCTCGGCTGGGCGTGGTGGCTCATGCCTGTAATCCCAGCACTTTGGGAGGCCGAGGCAGGTGGATCACCTGAGGTCAGGAGTTCAAGACCAGCCTGGCCAACATGGTAAAACCCCATCTCTACTAAAAATATTAAAATTACCTGAATGTGGTGGCAGGCACCTGTAATCCCAGCTACTCAGGAGGCTGAGGCAGGAGAATTGCTTGAACCCAGGAGGTGGAGGTTGCGGTGAGCAGAGATCACACCATTGCACTCCAGCCTGGGCAACAAGAGCAAAACTCCATCTCAAAAAAAAAGAAAAGACTACAGTTGACCCTTGAACAATTCAGGGGTTTAGGAGTGCCAACCCCACCCCACTCCATGCAATCAAAAATCATTCTATAACTTTGACTCTCCAGAACTTAACTACTAACAGCCTACTGTTGACCAGAAGCCTTACCAAAAACATAAACATTTGATTAACACATATTTTGCATGTTACGTGTATTATATACTGTATTCTTACAATAAAGTAAGCTAGAGAAAAGAAATTATTAAGAAAATCATAAGGAAGATAAAATATGTATACTATTCATTAAGTGGAATTGGATCATTGTAAAGGTCTTCATCCTCACCTTCACATTGAGTAGGCTGAGGAGGAAGAGGAAGGGTTGGTCTTGTTCTTTCAAGAGTGGTAGAGGTAAAAGAGGTAGAGGAGGTAAAAGGGGAGGCAGGAGAGGCAGGCACACTCAGTGTGATGTTTATTGAAAAAAAATCTGCATATAAGTGGCCATGCAGTTCAAACATATGTTGCACTTATGCCTGGTGTTCCATTATTGGAACACTAAGCGTGTAGGAGTTATTTATATTCTACTGCTCAAGATCATCACCAGGGTCTGATTTTTCACTCATGCACAAATTCAAAAAATTGCAACCTCCTGCGTAAATGGGTTAAAGTTACTTGACTACTTAATAAATTGTATGCACAGTTCCTAAGGGTTTTTCAGAAGCTGAAGGTGGGGGATATCACTGCACTGTGGTAAAGAGGAAACACATCATGAAAAAGGAATTTGGGTTGGGCCTTAAAAGATGGATAGAATTTGCTCAGTAAACACTTGTTGGGATGTGTGGTTTGGTTCAACCATCATCCATCTCATCCTGACTTCTAGACAGTAGTCTAATGCTTAGCCAGCTAGAGACTTTGCCTTGGAACCTAAGGCCAAATCTGTGCTGTTCACTGCATTCCCAGAGCTGCTTTCTACTCTGGCCTGGCCCTTTGTGTTTGGGTCAATACCGGTCAAACTTAAAGTCAGTCCCTGCTCTGAGTTTCAGAATGACCACCACATGTCTGGTCAGTCCTGCAAGGCACACACACTACCCTGGAGACTGAGACCCCTGAAACCACCTCACTTACAGTGTAAGTTGAAATCATTGCATTTCCTGAGCCAAACTCTTGACAACTATATCTTTTGTCTTCAGAATTGTCAGGACCAGGAATTCTGGTTTTGGATCTCTGAAGGCCATTATTGCCTACTTGATCTGGAAATTCTCAAACCTACTTTAGTTCTTATTTCTGATATACCTCTCTGTACAACATCTCAAAGGTTTATGCTATCCCCAAGCTGTTGCTGGTACCCAACCTCCCGCTCCTCTGGGTCAGCACAGAGCTTATCTGCTCTTTAGAGCCTTCCCTGAACACTCTCAGACAGGGAAGCCTAAGAACCCTTGGGAACAGCTTGGGGACTAATGGTCTGGACCATTACTTTGGAACTTAACCTCTGCCATCTAAATTATCTTCTTATAAATGTTCGTTTTGTTTCTCCAGCTAGGGCAGAGATTGGAATCATTTGACAGTAGCTTCGTGAGGGCAAGCCCCTTCATTGTCATTTTTTTATCCCCTGGATTTGCTGCACTAAACTGTCTTGTGTTGTCCTTGCAGAGAGTCCAGCCCACAGCCTTTCCTATTAGGAGCCTCCATAAATGCTTGGCATCAGGCTGGTTGATTGCGCCATCCCTGGGCCAGCACATATGACTCTACTTCTGTAGGATGGACCAGTCATAGCCTGGCCTTGCCTTCCTCTTTCATCAGCCTCACTCTTCCAAGGCTTTATTAACCATATTCTTTTGTGGATTTTTGGCTCACAGGTGGTGCCACCACCACAACAGAATGATCTTGAGATTCCTGAAAGTCCTACCTATGAAAATTTCACCTGAAAGGAAAAGCAGCTGCTGCCTCTCTCCTGGGACCGTGGGGTTGGAAAGTCAGCTGGACCTCATGGGGCCTGGGGCTCACAGACAGAAGCACCTCAGAATTTCCTTCAGTGCCTCAGAGATGCCTGGATGTGGCCCCTCCCCCTCCTTCTCACCCTTAAGGACTCCCAAACCCATTAATAGTTCAGACACAGGCTCCTTCTTGGAGCCTATGGGCTTCAGATGTCTTTGCCCCATTTGTCACCTCGCACACTTATAGCGTTTCCTCCTCGAAATTCTACCAAGACTGGTCAAATGTTGCTGAGGGGCCTGGACCAGCTGTCCTTTACACCACCTTCTCAACACTGCTGAAAAGAACCCAAGAGAATTGTCACACATGACACAAGATGTACATAATATCATGCTCACTGCAGTGTTATTTAAAATAAAAGGCAGGAAATAACCTAAATGTCCATTCATTCAGTGAGAATCCAGTTACATATATGATTATATACCCATGCAACGGCAAACCCTGCCGCTTGGAAAGCAAGCAAGGACTAATAGGTGCTAATATGGAATGGGCTCTAAGATACATTATGGAGTGGAAAAAACAAAGTTCAGGACCATGTGCATTGTATGCTACCAGTTGGATTTAAAAAAAAAAATGTATGTTGGCCAGGCACGGTGGCTCATGCCTGTAACCCCAGCACTTTGGGAGGCCAAGGTGGGCAGATCACTTGAGGTCAGGAGTTCAAGACCAGCCTGGTCAACATAGTGAAACCCCGTCTCTAATAAAAATACAAAAAAACAATTAGCTGGGCATGGTGGTGTGTGCCTGTAATCTCGGCTACTTGGGAGGCTGAGGCAGGAGAATCACTCGAACCCAGGAGGCGGAAGTTGCAGTGAGCAGAGATTGCGCCACTGCATTCCACCCTTAGCAACACAGCGAGAGTTCATCTCAAGAAAAAAAAAAGAAGAAAGAAAGAAGAAAGAGAGAAAGAAAGAGAGAAAGGAAAGAAAGGAAAGGAAAGAAAGAAAGGAAGGAAGGAAGGAAAGAAAGAAAGAAAGAAAGAAAGAAAGAAAGAAAGAAAGAAAGAAAGAAAGAAAGAAAGAAAGAAAAGAAAGAAAGAAAAAGAAAAGAAAAGAAAAAATGTAAGTCTACATGCTTACATAGGCATAGAAAAGCTATGGAAAGAAATACAAAAAACATTAGTGGCTGCCTCTGGGGAGGAACTGGGAATCTCAAGTTGGGAAAGAGACATTTTTTACTGCACAATTTTTTGTACTGCTGGATTTTTTTAAAACCATATGTGTGTATTACTTCTTTGCTATTTTGTAAAGGTGCTTAAAATGCCTGTTTCAAATAAGCCTCCCATATTTACCCAAAAGAACTTCCCTTCTTATTGTCCAGTCTGGACACAGAATACCCACAGTATCTCTCCCTAAGACTGTGGCCACAGCCCTCTCCTCTGCCTGTAAGATGCACTATACTTGACTTATATTCGTGATACTCTAGTGTACATTTCTGTTACCATCACCTTGCAGCCCATCTAGGTCCTTTAATTGTGTGCTGCCTCTGTCATGCTCTCCTGCACATGATCCTGAACTCAGTATGGCTTCTGTCACCTGCAGTGGGTACTCCCAGGAGTTCAGGCAGTGCTTCATACACAGCAGGAGCTTAATTACTGCTTGTTCATTGACTGGCTTGTTGCATGGATAATTATCTTTGTGAGGCATTGTCACGGAAGCTCAACAATCAGACACATAACATGATGACCTTGTACATCTTTCTTTCTAGAATACAGCATCCTCAAAAGCCCTGACCCCATAGGGTCTCTTCTGCTCCTTAAATAAATCTGGCCAGTTCAAGATCTATGCAGGACACATGAAAGGCCAGCAGCAGTCAATGGTCAGAGTCCCTGGTGTTCATCTGGACTGTTTCTGAACCCCGTCATTTCCTGCTGCCTCTACTCACTAAACTCCTTGACTCTGCAACTCAACTCCCAGTACCTGCCTTGGACCCCCAGGCTCTTTCTGAATATATTTGCCTGGTTTTTAAGCTTCTCACTTGCTTTAAGATGTGGTCTGTTCACACTTCTCTCCAGGAGGAAACCAGCCTGGCCAGCAGCACAGTCTCAGGGGAAAGGGATCCTGCAGGATGTGACCAAGTGAGTGCCTTGGCTCTCCTTCACAAGATGGAATAGCCCCTAGTGTCTAGTTCTCTGCTGTCCCAGTGTGAACAGGGCTGAAGGACACTGCCAGCTCACCAGGAAGTCAGACCCTCTACAGCAGTGTTCAAACAGACATGTGTTTGTTGATGGCCCACAAGTGCCCTTCGGCTGCTATAGAGAATAAAAATGCAGGGTATGGAGAGGATACATAAATTTAATTCAGGCAAGGAATTCAGACTGCATCTGCATGATATCACCGTTTTATATGAAACTCCTATGTTAGATACAGGGTAGGAAAATTGAAGAACCAGGCTTTGTGCAGTATCACCTGTTGGGGTCTCTGAGTAAGTCCTCTCCCAGTTCACCCTTGTCGCTTTCCTGGGCTCAGCCAGAGTCACAGCCCTGCTCCCCACAGCCTTGTTGAAATGTCTGGCCTGACGACTCAGGGAACCCAGCATAGTGTCTAGATTCCAACTGCCTCATTCTCAGCCCTCAGCTGCCTGAGCCCTCCCTTCAATGTGCATCCTGGGGAACACTCATCAGGACTCAGAACTTAAATAGAACATGGTTTCTGAGAGGCCTCTTCCTCTGGGAAGCCACTTCTATGAAGAAGCCAAATGGATTTCTAACAATGCGTCTTCATAAATCAAACATCATACCATGGACAAAGCTGGTCTCAACACCCCAGTTATCAGGTCAGCATGTGCTCTGGGTGATTTTTCTACTTAGAGATGGGCTTGCTTTGCACCATCTACTCTCCCTTCAGCCCACTCCCCCTGGTGGCCAACTGGCCAGAGGTAAAGGTATGAGATGCAGGGAGAAAGTTTTTTCTCTGCAATTGAGTAAAGCCCAGGCCCTGGCCCCCACCCACGTGCAGAACCTGCCAGCCAGTTCACAGCCGGACAGTCCAGGCTTTCAGAGGAGGGCTGTTTCTTCTTCCCCTGAGTCACCATTATCATTCCTTCCTCTTGCTTTGGAAGATGGGCCTGGGCCGGCGAGAGTCTAGAAATGCAGTCAACCCAGAGAGGGGAGAAAAGGAAACAAGTGACAGCTTGAAAATCAGGTGGAGGGAATCTCGATGCTAATAACATCACTTACATAACACTTTCTAGATTACAAATACTTGGAATGTGGCCTTTTGTGAACAACCTAACCCCTCCACCCATTCATGTCTGATCTGTAAATTGGAAGATATTATTTAACAGCCTTGCTCTTATCATGGTTGTTAGACATCATTTTCAAAACAAAATATAGAACAAGAACAAATTTCCATATCCTCTCCAGACTAGGAACTGTTCTATAGAGACTCCTGTGCCGTCATCCACTGTGCCAATTCCCAAAGCAGATGCTGATGTGCAAGAAAGGTGAGAATTGCTGCAGCAACTAGGAATAAACATCAAAGTTCTCCAGCTCTTTGCGGCTCAATCGAGCAGGGTTCTGGGCTTTAGGTTGACTCTTTCCAATCTGCAAAAGAAAAGGAGAAACTTCAGACCCTTGCACTGGGAGGTCCTTATCACAATCCTGTGAGGTATGACTTGCCATCCCCATTTTACAGATTTAAAAAATGAAGCTCAGAGTGACAAAACAAATTACTCAGGATCCACGACTAGTGTGAAGTGCAGGAGGGACTTGAATCTAGTTCTTCTGGCTCCAATTCCAGTACTCTCTTAACCACATATGCTTTTTCATGACCTCACAAGCTACCTGGGTCTACACAGTGCCCTCTATGACCCTGGGTTGTCCAGTTGGCTTTAATGTTGGGTGATAGCTGAAGTGCCAGGAATTCCAGCAGGCAGCCACCCATCCCTCCCTTCTGACCAATGGCAGCATCTTTATTGGACCACAGGTGGGGAGGCTCAGGTGTAGTATGAGGCTAATGGGTAGTGGGGGAGGTTGGGGGATGCTCTCCATGCCTTAATTTCTCTGAGTATAAATGGAAAGTATAATTATACCTATCTTGTAGCATTCTGTGAGGACTAAATAAAATAATCCATGTGAAGACACTGGCAGGCTACCTTATCCATAATAAACCCCCAAGAAATGTTGAGTCCCTCCTTTCCAGTCCCTAAATGCTCTGATGGGAATCAATTCAACCACCAGGCTCAGTGGTCATCTCTGAACAGTGTTGACCCCTGAAGAAGATTAAGCTCACCTATGTCCTGGAATGGCTCCCAAAGACTTGCTAATTTTAGAAAATCATTTAGAGTCCTTTATCTTCCCCTCTCTGACCCCTCCTCCGAACACTCTTGGAAAGGAGAGATGTCCAGTTTGTGGCCCACAGCCTGGGAACTAGCTCGGGGACGGCCCTAATTTAAAACCCAAGCTGCCCAGTAAGTATCATATCTAAACACGCAATATGATCTTGGGTCAGACCCTCACTCTCCTTGGGCTTCAGTGTCTTCATCTCTAAAACAAAGACTTGCATTAGAAGATCTCTAAATTCCCTACAACTCTGAGACTGTGTGAATGATCTTTTCCTAAGTGTACCCTTTCATGGCTAGATTTCAGGGCTATGCAACAGACAGTAAACCCATTGAGGAGTTCCAGAATCTTACCACTTCATAGATAGTGCTATTGAAGGAAGGGCTGTGGTTCCTCTTCCTGGATCCAGACTAGAAATTCAGAAGGTAAAGAATACTTAACTTCGAGATAAGTGCTCTCCCACTCCTAAGTGATGTGAGAGGTCCCAAAAGAGACTCAGGGCCCAGAAAAATTCTGAGGCACTCTCAGCCAGAAAATGAATAGAATCTGTCACCCTAGGAGCAAAACAATGGTGTTTATGGTCTCCAGGGAAGACACAATATATACAGTATTTGCCTATAATATGATATTTCTGAACCAAAATCAGAATTTGCTGTTCCATACCCACATACACCTAAAACCCATACACATATGTGTGTGTGTGTGTATATATATATATATATACACACACACATATATATACATATTTGTGTATATATATACACACACACATTCCCAGAGCACACACACATACACATACACATACACATACACATACACACATATCCCTCAGGCAATCCTAATGCAAATACTGCCCCAAACCATGTATCTCTTCAACGCATGCATACACACACCCTTAATGTAAACAATCCAGGCATATAAATAATTGCCAACCCAAGGACACTAGAATTCAGAGGCACATTCAGTAGCATATAGAGTTTACATACACCAAAGCAGGTGAACATGGTGCCTGTGAACATCTATATGGCCTTATATTGTAGCATATAATTAAAAACAAATCTCTCTCACGATGGGATCCAAGTAGGTTGAATGGCTTATTGGAAGGAGGTTGAATGAAAAGTCTGAAAATCTGTCCTAAACCCCTTCAAACCTGTGGTCCCTGACCTGCATGGACTTCCACAGTTGTGTGGACTCCCAAATTCCCATACTACCATGTTAAGGCTTTCTGGCTTCACACTGTGGCTCCAGCCTTGGGAACACCACTCTTCCCATCC
The DNA here is from genome assembly GCF_000001405.40 of Homo sapiens. Lineage (NCBI taxonomy): Eukaryota > Metazoa > Chordata > Mammalia > Primates > Hominidae > Homo > Homo sapiens. Next base: position 160,833,440 of record NC_000001.11, read on the forward strand.
CCTTCCATACAAGAGAAAAACAATGACCATGTGTACCAGGATACCCAACTCTGTTTCCAAGTACACAAGAGAGCTACGAACTCAGCTTGGAGAAGGATTTCAGTGCAAAAGGATGGGTTGCCTCAGTCCAGAGGCCTCCACCAGCAGGTGACTGACTGGCCAGGACCTTTCTCTGGTCTCTGAAGGTCAAGATTGTGTCTCTCTAGATCCAGTCTACTCCTCCAGCTCCAGGCAATATGCCCTGCCTTGCAAACCCCTCCAGTATCTCTCACCATAGCCTCAGCTGACCTACTAAGTACCCCGTAGTCTCTCTGTGCAAAGCACCTCCTTTCTGTCTCTGACTGTCCTTTACCTCCCACAGAAACTCCCAAAAACTCATCTAGTCTACTGTTCTCTTAGTCTAGAAGCTGTTATTTTTCTCCAGACAGAACCAGTAAGGCATTTCTCATTGGCCCATTGACATTTAAATACAGTCATTTAACAGAAGCTACTCAGATACACACAATAAAGAACAACTTGCCAGGATGTGCACACACACTCTCACTGCAAACACATGCAAAATACACATCTACATCAACAACACCCCACCACCACCACGGGAAGAGGCTCACCTTCCTGGAAGGCTGAATTAATGAATATAATGTATATGCAGGTTCTTGTGACGTGGGAGCAGAAGACTAATGAGAAGAGAAATAAAATCATTTCAGAAGCACAGATCCAGCACAATCTTACAAAGGTTATCTCTTCCGTTTCTCCTCCTCAACCCTGCCCAGATGGAAGCTTCAAGTGTTAGTGAAAAGAGCCCTGGACTAGCCAGGAGGTCAGACAACCTGAGTGCTAGTCTCGCTCTGTCATTAATGAAAGCTTCTATTTGTTGAGCATTTATCTTATACATGTATTCTCCTCTAACTGTTTTTTTGTTTATTTGTTTTTGAGACAAGAGTTTCGCTCTATTGCCTGGGCTGGAGTGCAATGTCTCGATCTTGGCTCACCGCAACCTCTGCCTCCTGGGTTCAGGCAATTCTCCTGCCCCAGCCTCCTGAGTAGCTGGGATTACAGGTGCCTGCCATCATGCCCAGCTAATTTTTGTATTTTTAGAGACAGGGTTTCACCATGTGGGCCAGGCTGGTCTCAAACCCCTGACCTCGTGATCCGCCCGCCTCGGCCTCCCAAAGTGTTGGGATTACAGGCATGAGCCACCGCGCCTGGCCTCTTCTCTAACTCTTTTAACACTCCTATAAAATAAGAATGATCATAATTTGCCCCATGCCACAAATGAGGCTCCAAAAGGATAAATAGCCCAAGTCAGGCAGTGCGTACACAGTAGAAGCAGAATTCAAACCCAAGACTCTCCAGGGCTCTTTCCTCAACACCTCAATGCCTCCCTTTGGCAACTTGCCTCCCTTCCCTGGACTGGAACCAGGTGTCCTCTAAATCAGGTAAACATTCTCCTTTTAAGATGCTCCAGAGGAGGACTGTCATTCTCACCCAACACCATAGTTTGAGGGGACCTCTTTCTTGCACTGATAGAAATTCCTCTCATTGGAGTTCAATGTGGCTGAAACTAGAGAACTGGCAGATATCAACCGCTCTTATAATCAGATTTTCTTTGCCCCACAGCTCAGCCACCAAACTGAAGATGGTGCTCAATTTTTTTTTTCTTTTTTTTAAAGCCATTTTTATCAGAAAGTCTTTTATTACTGGCCACCAGGAGGCAGTGTTTCCCTTGGGAGAGATGTCCCAGCCTGGGTTATCAATGTCATTTTAGCCATCAGTATTAAAGGATGCTTCTCCAGTTTATGAGTGAATTTCTGTAATCCCAGAATATAAGAGGTGGAGTATGAGGAGGTGCAATGGAGACTCAGAAACCCTTTGGCTCAGCTCTGCCACTACCTAGCTATGTAGCCTTGAGATATCAGTTGACCTGAGTCTCGGTTTCCTCATTGTGATATGGAATGTAGACCACATCTAAAGTATTAGAACTATTTTCATGAGGCTGTTATGTGAGATTTAGTAAGAAAATACAGCTGGGTGCAGTGGTACACACCTGCAGACCTAGCTACCCAGGAGGCTGAGGTGGGAGGATCACTTGAGGCCGGGAATTCAAGGCTTCAGTAAGCTATGATTCTACCATTGCACTCAGCCTGGTAGACAGAATGAGATCCTGTCTCATAACGGGTATACCAAAAATCTCACAAATCACCACTAAAGAACTGACTCATGACACCAAATGCCACCTGTTCCCAAAAAAACCTATGGAAATAAAAAATAAATAAAGAGACCCTGTCTCTAAACAATAAAATTGTTTTAAAAGAAAAGAAAATGGACATTATTGCTAAGTCATAATAAAATAAAAGAGATCAATGCAGATTCATTCTTTCCTGAAAACGAATATAATAGGGAATAGGGATAAAAAGTGCAAGGGCCCCAAGTATTAGAAGCAGCAGCAGGGCAAGAAAGCAGAAGTTGAGTCCCCTAACCAGGTTTCTGCTCCTATAGACTTTATCTGGGCCAGACCTTCTGCCAGACACGGAAGAAGAAGGAATGTCCACATCAGGCTTCCCAGCTGTGTTAAGATGCTCTAGTATCACACGGATCTTTTCAAATAATGTGTTAATGCAACTGAAGCCAAGCTATCTTCTGGATTCTAGAAGCACCAAGATCTTATTCTGCCATTCAATGGTGTGAGTTTCAGGGGGGCATTAGGAAACCCCAGAGATAGGTATGGAATGGACTAGAGAAACTGGAGAGGTACCTGGGACTGGATCATAGAGTAGATGGTGCTCCCCCCTCCAGGAAAAGTCTGCTCCTGCTCCTGCACAAGAAATGGAGATGGGGTAACATGAGCGACAGTTCGGTCTGTCCAGATTTAGATTGAGTGGGGAAAAACAGCACAAAGAAGAGGGCTTTTCAGGAGACTGGGAGGGAGGTGGCAGGACTGGGGAGAGTCATTGATCCTCCCAAGATGGGAAGAGACAGGAAGAAGAGCAGTTTGGAGTGGAACCATTAGTATCAGGAGCAAGGAACCACCTAGGTGTGAGGGGTTCCAGCAACCCTGCTCAAAGAGAATGCTGTCACTTTCTTTCCTTTAGTAACTTAGAAACCCTTCCTTGCAGAGCTCTGAGTAGGGCTGTTATCTGAGCCTTACCTCAGAGCACTGAAATTCAGAAAGTTTAAACATTTCAAAGACCAAACACAGTTAAGCCCTCTCTAGATCATCTTTGAGGCCACCTTGCCCTTGACCTCAAGTCAGCGCCCTGGGCAGCTATAGTGCTGGGTGCAGCCCTGAACCCAAGGGCCAAAGCAGGAAGCAGAGCTTCCTGCTTCCCTTTTCTTGTTCCTACCCCTTAGGAAATCGGTGGTGGAGGTATTTCATGCTGCCGGCCACTGAAAGCATATTGCCAGTTTGGGTTCTACTGGGAGCCAGTGGAGGCAGCAGGGTTCATTAGGCAAGGTGCAAGCAAAATTCCTGGAAGCAAGAAGAAGCTAAGAGAAGCAGAGAACTGTCAGCTGTCCTTAGAGGCTGGGGAGTCATGGGCATCTGACAATGTCAATAACTTCATTTGTGTTTTAAAATACTGCAGGAGTTTGTTGCTTTTCTCTCCCGTCCAGACCCGTGTGAAGTGTTTCTAGAAAGATTAGAGCTGGGTCTCAAAGTGAGACCACATGAAACTTGAGATTTAGGCCTTCAAATTGGAGCCCTGAGACAATAGGGAGAGGCCAGAGAGGGCTGAGGCCAGGCAGGGAGGAGCTCTTGAGTCGGAAGAAGTAAGCTAATAGGCCTGAATCCCAAAGAGGTTTCCTTTGCTCTAAGTTGTTTTTCCTCCTGTGGTCTCCTAATCTCAAGTCATCTTCTTTTTGGAAAAATAGATTATTTTTAGCAAGCACCCGGGCATCACTGGCTGTGGGTAGATTCACATGCTTTCAGGAATTTGTACCAGAGTCTGGTAGCAGTGAGAGAAACAAAGTCCCCTTTTATTATTCACATTCCAATAGCCACTGCTTTATTTTTCACATTCCCATAGCCACTGCTGGGGCAAAAATAAATAAATAAATAAAGATAAAAATAAAAAAACAGGCATGGGGAGCTGCTCTAACAGCCTCTGAACCCAGAGGCATCTGGGAGAGGATGCTTGCCTGCTCTGCGAGGCTGCACAGGGCCTCACGTATGTGGCCAGCACGGAAGAGCCCCACCACATGTGCTTCCTGCGTGCTGCTGGGTCTCCACAGCAAAGCGCCAGGGGGCAGTGGAAAGAAGGCACTTCCGCCCCACTTCACCCACCCTGCCCCACTTCCTGCCAGCAGTTTGGTAGGCTCCATCAGAGCTTTTCCCCTGGGCCTGTCACCACATCTGCCCTAAGCGAGACACAGCAGTGGGGGCATCTGCAGGCCCTCTGCAATTTCCTCCTCTTCTAATTCTTGGATGACAGGCAGAGTTGGCCCCTGCCTGCTGCGAAGAGCAGGCGAGAGGCTCCTGGAGGAGCCTACTCAGGCTGGTGGGCTTTGTGCCAGGCTGGTTACTCTCTCTAGTACCTCAGCCACACTCAGGCCTCTTCTTCCAAAAGGCTGTGAATGCAGCCTATTGAGCCAGCTACAAAACTATTATGCTTTGGCTGGTCACACTTCCCAGCCTGTGTCACCATTAAGGGACTCATGAATGTAAGCCCTGACTCATTAGGAAAAAGAATTTGTGGTCAGACAACAAATACCACAGCAGCACTCTGCCTCTGTCATTGATTTCTGTTGTGCTCCATCCCTTCTCAGCAGGTGCAATTCTGCACCAAGATGCCCCTTCAGCCTCCCTTTCATCTCCTCTGCTCCTTTTGTTTCCTCTTTTCCTCCATCACCAGAACTAGGAAGCAGGTGGAGAAAAGATAGATGGGGAAGGGCTGAGGGTCACATCAAAAGGACAGTCGTTCAGTCCTTTTTGTCCCTCTGCTCTGAATAACCATCATTGAAAGAGCATTTTCCAAGCCAGCTGAGAGAGACCCCAGCCTCCGGGATGACATACGTGATTTCTCCTGGTTTTCAGATCCTTGACATCTTCGTAAATTGTCAAAAATTCCTTGGGACTGGTCTCTGAGGGAGGAAGAAAACAAAGAGCAGAGCTGCAGAAACCTCCAGAAGGGCTTTTGCTTCTAACAGGTCCCACCTCTACCCCAAATGGCCAAACCTTAAAAAAGGTTCTAGAAAGGAGGCAAGTTAATGCTCTTCCCAGGAACCCCAAAGAGCACAGAGGCAGCAACCGAACTGCCCCTCCCACACCTCCTCCCAAACCAGCTGTCTACAGGGAAATCTGCGCATTGGGATCAGAAGGCATGAACTGGGAGAGAGAGCCTAGCAACCTGCTTGCCCCCCGCCACCACGCACACAAACATACCAAAGCTCGTTGAGGAAAAGGAGATGCTGTGCTCCCAGACACATCCCACTGGACGCAGGACAAAGTCACAGGATCCAAGGCCTCAGGCAGGAGCACCACCCTAAGGACCTTCCACTCACCTGACTGCTTCTCCTTCCTCTTTCTCCTCCACACACAGAAGCAGGCAAGGGTGCCAAGGAACAGTGCGCTTAGAATCACGATGATCACCAAAAACGGCCAAAATCTGAATTCTGAGGAATACAGAAGGCGTGAGAACTGAGCTGTCAGCTCGCTCTCTTCTTCCTTCCCACCTGCCTGCTGCAGGGGCTGCCTCAAAACCCACTTTTCTCTGTGTTGTGGCTGATTGCCTCGTGCTCTGAGAACTCACGGTCAAGGTTTTCTCTTTGCTCATTTGGTTAACCTCCTCTGAGTGATGCCAAGAGCATAGATATATCAGACAGGCCTGGCTCAAATTCTAACCCTGTGAGCTCTGCACTATTTATTTAACCTCTCTGGGCCTCTCAAGTCATCTTATTTTTGGAAGATGCCTCAGAGCCTCTTAGATTTTCTCACCTGTAAAAGGGGATAACGTTATCTACCTATAGGGGTTAATTACATGATCTAATACAGTTGCCCTCCAAAGTTTTGAGTTCCACAATGTGGATTCAATGAATTGTGGATCCAGAATATTCAGGGAAAAAAAATGCATGTGTATTGAATATGTAGAGGCCTTTTTCCTTGTCATTATTCCCTAAACAATACAGTATAACAACTATTTAAATAGCATTTACATTGTATCAGGCATTATAACTAATTTAGAGGTGACTTAAGTAAGGTATACAGAAGGATGTGTGCATAGGTTATATGCAAAAACTGCACCTGTTTATGCCAGGGACTTAAACATTCGTGGATCTTGGCATCTGTGGTTGCGAGGTGGGTCCTGGAACTAATTCGTCATGGATACTGAGGGACATGTAGCACAACAAATGTTACATTTATCCATTCCTTTGTTTTTAACTCAAAAAATACTCATTGTACAGGCAAGTTTTCCGTCTCACTTTTCCACTATTCCTTCCTTCATGGCTCTTCCTCATTTGAACTTCTACTTAAAAGATTTGTGTCACACATGTAGCCTGATATATAATCCAGCCAACAAGAGGAAGGAAAAGGAATTAAGTGTTCCAAGGGCTGACAAGGCTCTTTGCAAACATTATCTCATTTACTCTTAACAGCAATCCTGTGAGGTACTTATTATCACCCCCATTTTACTCAAGGGGGGAAGAAAATTGAGGCTCAGAGAGGTTAATGAATCTGCCAGAGATCACAGAGCTTCTTTTTTTTTTTTTTTTAAATAGAGATGGGATTACACCATATTGTCCAGGCTGGTCTCAAACACCTGGACTCAAGTGATCCACCTGCCTCAGCCTCCCAAAGTGCTAGGATTACATGTGTGAGCCACCACACCTGACCTCTAAGAGATCACAGAGCTTCTGAATGATGAAGCCAGTGTCCTAGTTCAGTGGCATGATCTTGACTCACTGCAACCTCCGCCTCCTGGGTTCAAGCAATTCTCCTGCCTCAGCCTCCTGAGTAGCTGAGATTACAGGTGCCCGCCAACACGCCCAGCTAATTTTTTGTATTTTTAGTAGAGACAGGGTTTCACCATGTTGGCCAGGCTGGTCTCAAACTCCTGACCTTGTGATCCACCCACCTCAGCCTCCCAAAGTGCTGGGATTACAGGGAGCCACTGCGCCCGGCCTGCCTCAGTCTTGTTTCTTTTTTGTCCACAAGTAGTTATTTTTGTTGCCCCATTTGGCTATAAGTTCCTTATGAATGAGAGCTGTATGGTTTTTTTTTCCTATAATGCCCATGCTGCTGGTACATTAAGTCCCTGTTTATGTAATAAAAAGTTGTGGAACGGTAACTCAGGTAACTCTTAGGATGAGCATAAGCAACAGCCCAAGAACTCATCTAGGTATCCCTGGGGTCATCCTGATGCTCCTGCTCCAGGCTACTGCTGCACAGTGTAGTTACCTCTTGAACTATGTGGCTTGGAGAAAGTTATCACTCAAGAGGAGAGGACAGTTCTCCATCAGCCTCTCCCAGGAAGAAAATAATGTTCAGGAGCCATTTCAGGACTGTCACTCACCAAACAACTATGCCCTCCCTCTGCAGAAGAAAAGCTTGCATCTCCCAGAAGGAAATAGGGATAACATTTTTTTCCAGAGTAGGATAGGCCTAGCTTTACAGGAACTGTGTGCCTGGAGGCCAGGGCTACCCTGGGAAGGGCTACAAGGCACTGGGAGAGGAGGCCAAGGGATTTTATCTCATACCACATCTGTCTTGCACATGAGCCTGGTTGCGGGGTCCAAACCTTCAGCGCTTGTTATAGCCCAGTGTGTTCCACTTACCCTGATGGGCATTCTGACAGTCCTGAGTGAGATTCAGGGTGTGGCTTTCCCAGCTAACAGGATTGCTGACATTGCAGGTATATGTGTGAGTGCCATTAATGTCAACCTCCTCGTCCAGGTAGGTGAGGTTCCCTGCTGTCTGGATCAGCTTGCTCCCTCTGTACCAAGCATAGGACACATTGCCATCCCTGGAGACCAAGCAAGACAGAGCCACTTGGCATCTCCCTCTGTCCAGGATCTTCCCCTGCCCCTGTAGGCGGGGTTTCTCAACTTTATCTGGAAGCAGAGATTCTGATCAGAAAGGCATTGGAAATACAGAACTTAGAGGCCTATAGGAATCAGAGAGGGCAGTATGAACAGTCCTGGAGACTTACCAAATACAAAAACCTGGAACGTGGCTGTCTGAACTTTTCCAGATATACTGGTGACCTCCAGGCAGTAGAGGCCACTGTCCTGCTGCTGAGCTGCCTTGATGAGAAGACTCAAGTTCTTGACTATAAAACTGAATCTATCATTGGAAGTATTGGAAGGCAAAGAGCCATTCTCCCACTTCAATATGTGATGAAATCCATTTTGTGAGGGCAGCAACTTCTTCCATGCAATGCTGTCAACCTTCGTCTGTATGCTGTTTGGTTGTAACTGAAGAGGCACTCCCGAGATGCTAACCACATGGTCAGCTGATCCCTGGCATCCTAGGAAAGAGAACCCAAGCTGAAAGTAGCGGGAAGAGTGTCAGGCCTGAGCAATGTGGGCAGCTGGATGTGACTTCCCTTAAGCCAATTGGGTGGGGATGAGTATGAGGAGCCCAGAACCTAGGAGCACCTTAAAGCATATCCCCTCCATCTGCCTCCCCTTGTCCCCAAGCTCTGTGTCCCTAGTCTGAGGGATCCCATAGACCAATAGCTAAAATCTTGAGTACTTACTATGTGACAGGCAGGTTTCACACTTTATACATTTTAACTATTTAAGTTAAAAGGTATGATGAGTTAAAAGAATGATGAGCCTGAAACCTAGTCAGTTTGGTGTTATGTTTTTGTTTTCTTTTGTTTTGTTTTCTAGAGACAGGGTCTCACTCTGTCACCCAGGCTGGAGTGCAGTGGCGCAATCACAGCTCACTGCAGCCTTGAACTCCTGGGCTTGAGGTGATCCTCCCATCTCAACCTCCCTAGTAGCTGGGAGCACAGGTGCTAGGGAGCTTATTTGTTTACTCTTTGTAAAGACAGCAGTTTGGCTTGAGAGGATAAATTCTTAACCATGATGCTATAAATACCACATCTAAGGTGACTCCCTCCAAGCAGTGCTGAGGCAACTACTAATGGCAAGTAGTGACTGTTGGAAATTCTGAATGGTCAGGCCCAGGAAGACTAACCGTCCAAGCTGAACTCATGGCCCCTCAACCATCCTCTCACAGAGCTGAATACATAATCCTCTCTCGTGGCACTTGGTTCATTGGATTTTGGTCATTACTTATTGATGTTTGCCAGTTTTTCAGTGATCAGAAAGTCTCCACAAAAATTTCTCCCTAGAAAACAATTTTAAAAATAAAACTACACTTCCCAGGCAGATCCCAGCACTTGCCTCTCAAAGAATCAAGATGAAACCTAATGAATATGGGGGTGTGACAACCTAGAGCAATTCTGTGCAGTCAGTGTACAAAACTGGAAGTTCCTACAGCCATTTTTAGTAATAAAGCTATGTGGCATGGCCCAGCAGGTGCAGGAAATTAAAAAGTCTCTCTGGGTGAGTTGGGGAGGCTCAGGGAGGATTTGGAAGAGAAAATAAGAGATGGGGAGAGTTTTACAAGTGGCTCCGTTAAAATGGAGGCTATTAAGAAGAGAGCAATTGAGACAGAGGGGTTTTTATATGTCCAGTGCATTATGAATGCAGTCTCTCCAAGCCACAGCTTCACCCTGGCATTTTCTCAAGAGACTAAGTAAATAATTAAAGGACTTGTAATACTATTTGTTTGATGAAATATGTTTCTTTGATCTTGATGCTCCTAAGACTAAAACACATAGGTTCCCATTTATATTTATATGACTTGTACTGGCTCTGCCCATTAGCAAACCAAAAGCTTCTCAAAAGCAGAGACTGTGCTGTGCATCTCTGTGTCTCTGTCTCCTACGATCCTAGCACTATTTATAAGAACAAGTCAACCTACCAAATATTGCACAAAGACCCTGAGAACAAAGGTGAATGGAAAAAATCATTACTAAACCTACAAGGAGGACATATACTGTCTTCATCAATTATTCAGTCCTTACTGAGTCCCACTGCAATCCAGCCCCTGAAGAGGCAGGGCCTCTTCATGTATAAGGCATGATTCCTGACTCCAGAGAGTTTGTGATCTGGAAACAGAACACTTTCATTCTACAGCATCCCCTTAATTGTTGAGATAAAAAATCATCGAAGGAATTCTAATTATGTAATGAAAATCCAGGTTAAGACATGCTAACCAATCCTCCCACTAAAAATAGCTAGAAGAAAAATGAACAACATGTAAAAGCACATTGTTAAAGTTATCAGAGAGTTTATAAAGCAGTGAAAAATTATGGGGCCAATATCTGGAAGAAGGAAATTCAGAGAGGTGAGATCAGCATTTCTGACTGTTGTTCCCTGGAGGCATCTTCTGATTCCATAAATGGCAGCTAAAAGGCTGAGAAGCTGAGCAGAGCTCACAATAAAACTCAAGGAACTAAGAGAACATGAAGTTCACGTCCCTCCTATTAGAAAGCGGGTATACATAAAATCCATCAGTGTTGAGGTTGGTACCACAGAGGGCTATACCCAAAGAGTAAGAGTGAACGAGAAATGAACAGCCCTCACAGGAACTGAAGCTCAATTTTGAATCATCACAACCCTGGATTGAACTAATGATCTGGAATCTCTGGTAGCCCTAACCTGGCTGCCAACTAGAGGCAAATATAAGTTATGACTAGAGGAAAATAACATCAACCAGAGCATTAAATTATTCCTAGAATGTTTCATACACAATATCCAAAGTGAAGTATAAGAAAAGGAAACATCTCCAAAAACCAACAGAAGAATAGAGACAACAGAAACCAACAAACAGGGCATCTACATAATAGAGTTGTCAGTCATAAACTTTAAAGTAATCATGTCTAATATGTTCAAGGAAATAAAACATAAGTTTAAGAATTTCAGCAGAGAACTAGCGTGATAGAATGCAAAAATACCATGTCCTTGCAATGTGACTTTACAGCTCCTTCTGTTATCAAGAAATGGGGTTCATTTCCCTGTCTCTTGGAACTGGGCTGGTCTTCATGATGAAACGCAGCAAAAATGATGTTCTGCTAGTTCTAAGCCTAGATCTGAAAAGGCATTGCACATTTCTACTTGTTCTCTTGGAACCTCATCTGGCTGACCTGTGAACAAGCCTAAAATAGCCTGCTGGAGAATAAGATATCACATGATACAGAGATAAGCCAACACAGCTAAGGCCATTCTAAATCAGCTAGCCCTGGCCTGGTGCGGTGGCTCATGCCCGTAATTCCAGCACTTTGGGAGGCCAAGGCCGGCAGATCACTCAAGGTCGGGAGTTCGAGACCACCCTGGCCAACATGGTAAAACCTCGTCTCTACTAACGATACAAAAATTAGCCAGACATGGTGGCACACACTTGTAACCCCAGCTACTTGGGAGTCTGAGGCACGAGAACTGCTTGAACCCGGGAGATGGAGCTTGCAGTGAGCCGAGATATCATGCCACTGCACTCTAGCCTGCATGACAGAGCAAGACCTAATCTCAAAAAACAATAAAAAATAAATAAATGAATCAGCCACCCGTGGCCAGTCTGGCAGCTGACCACACATGCATGACTGATGCAAGAGGAAACCAAAAGAACCACCTAGCTGAGCCCAGCCCAAATTGCCAACTAGCAGAATCACTAACTAAATAGGTAGTTGTTTTAAACTACTGGATTTTGGAGTAGGTCATTATGCAGCAATAGTTACCTGAAATTGGATTTTTTTTAAAGAATTCAATGAAAATTACAGAAATAAAATGTAAAATAACTGTAAAACAAACTCAATTGAAAGGTTAAAAAGGCCATTTAGATGCCATTGAAAAGAGAATTAGAAAACTGTTATAAAATATCCAGAGTGAAGTAAAGAAAAACAAAAGGATAAAAATACACAAGAAGGAGTGTAAAAGATATTTGAGATATAGCAAAAACAAAACAAAACCCCTAAACTAAGTGTAATTGGAAAGCAAGGAGACGAGAGAGGAAAGAGGAACTAAGCAAAAGAGATAAAAGATAAGAATTTCCCAAAACTGACAAAAGCCATCAAGATAGATTTGTAAAATGTGTTACAAACCCCAAGCAAGATCAAAACAAACCGACAAGCTGGGCACGGTGGCTCACGCCTGTAATCCCAGCACTTTGGGAGGCCCAGGTGGATGGATCACCTGACGTCAGGAGTTTGAGACCAGCCTGGCCAATATGACAAAATCCCATCTCTGCTAAAAATGCAAAAATTAGCCAAGTATGGTGGTGCACACCTGTAATCCCAGCTACTTGGGAGGCTGAGGCAGGAGAATCACTTGAATCCAGGAGGTGGAGGTTGCAGTGAGCCGAGATCACGCCACTGCACTCCAACCTGGGCAACAAGAGTGAAACTCTGTCTCAAAAAAAAAAAAAGAAAAAAAACAAACCAATGAACAAAAGACAACCTCTCAATACATCAAAAAAATTATGGAAACCAAAGATAAATAGAAAAATCGTAAAATAGCCAGAGTGGGGGAAAACTAAATTCCCTTCACAAAACAAACAACTTAGCTGACATTTCAGCAAAAATAATAAAAAGCAGATGATGGAATGGTATCTTTTTTTTTTATTTTTCCATAGGTTATTGGGGTACAGGTGGTGTTTGGTTACAAGAGAAAGTTCATTAGAGGTGATTTGTGAGTCGGTGCACCCATCACCCGAGCAGTATACACTGCACTCTATTTATAGTCTTTTATCCCTCACTCCCCTCCCACTTTTCCTCCCAAGTCACCAAAGTCCACTGTATCATTCTTATGCCTTTGCATCCTCGTAGCTTAACTCCCACGTATCAGTGAGAACATACGTTGTTTGGTTTTCCAAGGAATGATATATTTAAAGTGCTGAAAGAAAATAACTGCCTATCTAGAATTTCGGTACTTCAAAGATGAAAGCAGATGCAGTGGCTCATGCCTGTAATCCCCGCACTTTGGGAGGCTGAAGCAGGTGAATCAGTTGAGGTCGGGAGTTGGAGACCAGGCTGGCCAACATGGCAAACCCCATCTCGACTAAAAATACAAAAGTTAGCTGAGCGTGGTGGCACGCGCCCATAATCCCGGCTACTCAGGAGGCTGAGGCACGAGAATCACTTGAACCCAGGAAGTCAAGGCTGCAGCGAGCCAAGATGGTGCCACTCCCCTCCTGCCTGGGTGACAAAGTGAGACTGTCTCAAAAAATAGTAATAATTTTTTAAATGAAGCTGAAATAAAGACATTTTTAGAAAAAATTAAAAACGGAAAGAATTTGTCACAAAAAGGCCTGCAGTAAAGGAAATACCAAAGGATGTTCTTTAGATATAAAGAAAATGGAAACTCAGGCACAAGAAGTGAAAAACAATAGAAACAGATGTAATTTGTGACAATAAAAGTGGGGGGATAGAGCTGTATAGGAGTTTTCTATAGTATTGAGGCTGAATTGGCATCAATTCAAACTATATTGTTGGAGGTATTCATTGTAATACCTGTGGTAACCATTGAGAAAATAACAAAATGTACAGAAAAAGAAATGAGAAGGGAATCAAAAAGATGCAGCACAAAAATATCAATTAAATACAAAAGAAGGCAATAACGGAGAAAATGAACAAAAAAAGACATAAGATGTATAAAAAATATACAGAAATAGAAGGAAATGTCATCATTATAAAAGAACCAATTAAGTAGGAATAAACAATCATCTTCAGTTTCTATGCATATAACAAGTTTAAAATATATAAAATAAAATTTGATAGAACTAAAAGGAGAAGTAAATCCACAACTATAGTTGGAGAGTTTTATTACATCTGTCTCTCTAGCTGCTACAAGAAGCACACAAAAAAATCAATAAGGCTATAAGAATTTGAAGATCATTAAACCAATATATATATAAATTATATATAAAACAATTCTCCTAACAATTGCAGAATACATATTCTTTTCAAGTGCACATGCAATAGTTACCAAAGTATTATCATATGCTGTGCATTAAAACAAGTGTCAACAAAGTTCAAAGTATTGAAATCATACCAATTATGCCCTCTAAGCACAGTAGAATTAAACAAAAAATCAATAACAGAAAAATAACCAGAAAATCTCTGAATGTTTAAAACATAAGAAACATATTTCTAAAAACCCATGAGTCAAAGAATAAATCAAATGAAATTTGGGAAATATTTAGAGCAAAGTGATAATGAGTATCAAATGTGCAATATAGCTAAGGCAGTGTTTAGAGGGAAATTTATAGCTTTAAATTTGTATATTGGAAAAGAAAGAAAGTTTGCAAGTCAATAATGCAAGATTCAATCTCAAGAAACCAAAGAAAAAGAAATAGTAATTCAAATAATGATGATGATGATGATAATCCAGAGAAAGGAGAAAGGAGAAAGTAAATGTAAGAGCTAACTTCAATAAAATAAAAAGCAAATACACAATAGAGAAAATTAGCAAAGCCAAAAGTAAATTCATTAAATAAAAGTGTTAAAATGTATATACCTGGTGCTTTGGAGGTGCCTTCACCACCTAGAGTCTCTTGCTATCAACCGTAGTCAACCCCACCATGTTCATTAATATAGCAGTTGACCATGAACCCTTGGACCGTGTCTCCTTGGAGCTGTTTGCACATAAAGTTCCAAAGACAGCAGAAAACATTTGTGTTCTGAGCACTAGAGAGAAATGATTTGGTTACAAGAGCTCCTGCTCTCACAGGATTATTGCAGAATTTATGTGCCAGGATGTTGACATCACACACCATAATGGCACTGGTGGCAAGTTCATCTATGGGGTGAAATTTGATGGTGAGAACTTCATCCTGAAGCATACAGGTCTTGGCATCTTGTCCATGGCAAATGCTGGACCCAACACAAATAGTTCCCAGTTTTTCATCTACATTGCCGAGACTGAATGGATGGATGGCAAGCGTGTGGTATTTGGCAAGTTGAAAGGGGGCATGAATATTGCAGACAGCATGGAGCCCTTTGGGTCCAGGAATGGCAAGACCAGCAAGAAGATCACCATTGCTGAGTGTAGACAACTCTAATCTGATATAAATCAAAAGACCCTCATTTCAGAGAAGTTCCTGCCTCAGATTCTAGAGAAAGAAATGCTACACAGAGAGACCAAGAAGAATCTGAACAGACAGGCCTTGCTGGGTTTCTCCACTCAGCCTGTTAGTATGGAATCATACCCTTTTCATCCAGTCACATTTCTACAAGGTTGTTGGTCATGCCTATGAAGTGAAGTCTCCATAAAAACCCAAGAGGACTGGGCTTGGAGAGCCTCCAGATAGCTGGAGATTCCTGGCATGCAGTGTGCCCAGGGAAGGCATGGAAGCTTCGTGTCCCTTCCCCCATACCTTGCCCTATGCCATCTCTTCATCTGTATCCTTTGTAATATCTCTTATAATAGACCAGCAAACATAAATGTTTCCCTGGTTTATGTGAGCCACTCCAGCAAATTAATTGAACCCAAGGAGGGGGTTGTGAGAACCCCAACTGGAAGCTGGTTGGTCCGAAGTTCTGGAGGCCCAGACTTAGAACTGGTGTGGTGGAGGGGTGGTGTTGGGGACTGAGCCCCCAGCCTCTGTGGTCTGACACTCTCTCCAGTTAGTGTCTGAACTGAATTGGAGAACACCCAGCTGGTGTCCACTGCAGAATACATTATTCAGTTTGCTGTGAGGAGAAATCCACCTCCCTGCATTTGGTCACAGAAGTCTTCTATGTTGATGATTGTTATTATTTTGATGTGGGAGCAGAGGAAAAACATGGTTGGAGAGGTTTGTTCAAAACAACAAACATTCACATTTGTACCCATCTCTTTCTTTTTTTTTTTTTTGTTTTACTTTAAGTTCTGGGATACGTATGCAGAACATGCAGATTTGTTACGTAGGTATACGTGTGCCATGGTGGTTTGCTGCACCTATCAACCCATCATCTAGGTTTTAAGCCCCACATGCATTAGGTATTTGTCCTAATGCCTCCCTCCCCTTGCCCCTCACCCACTAACAGGCCCTGGTGTGTGATATTCCCGTCCCTGTGCCCATATGTTCTCATTGTTCAACTCCCACTTTGAGTGAGAACACGTGGTGTTTGGTTTTCTGTTCCTGTGTTAGTTTGCTGAGAACGATGGCTTCCAGCTTCATCCATGTCCCTGCAAACTCAGGAACAGAAAAAGGATTCCATAATTACCTCTTTTAATCAACATTGTACTGGAGGTCATGGCTAGTTCAACAAAACAAGGAAAATAGTCAAAGGGAATAAAAATTAGAAATGAATATGTGAGGCTGGGCGCAGTGGCTCACGCCTGTAATCCCAGCACTTTGGGCAGCTCACCTGAGGTCAGGAGTTCGAGACCAGCCTGGCCAACACAGTGAAACTCCATCTCTACTAAAAATACAAAAATTAGCCAGGCGGGTGGCAGTCACCTGAAATCCCAGCTACTCGGGAGGCTGAGGCAGGAGAATCACTTGAACCCGGGAAGCGGAGGCTGCAGTGAGCCAAGATGGCACCATTGCACTCCAGCCTGGGCAACAAGAGCAAAACTCCATCTCAAAAAAAAAATGAATATGTGAAACTGTCATTATTCACAAACTATATACCTGTGTATATAGGAAACCAAGAGGACTATATGAAAAATTATTTGAGTGTAGAAGTCAGTTTTGCAAAATTGCTAGATATAAGGTCAATATACAAAAATCATTTTTATTTCTATATATTAGTACAAACAGATAAAAATGAAATTTTGAAAACAATACTATTTACAGCAGCACAAAAAAGATAAAATATATAGAAATAATTTCAAGAAGAAATATTTAAGACCTATACACCTATTGCAACAAAAGATTGCTGAGAAAAAATTAAAGAGCTAAATAAACAGGAGACTATACCATGGTTTTTATTGGAAGACTTAATATTGCTAAGATGTCAATTCTTCCTAAATTAATTTATAGATTCAATAGAATTCCAATAAAAATTATTGCAGGTTATTTTTATAGAAATTAACAAGTTGATTCTAAAACTTATATGAAAATGTAAAAGACATAGAATAGCCAAGGCAATCTTGATGAAGAACAAAGCTAGAAGGTTTTCACTACCTAATATCAAGATATATTGTAAAACTTCAGAAATTAAGATAGCATTCCAGTATTGCAAGGATTGAAAAGTAGTCGATGGAATATAATAGTCTAGAAATAGACCCTGTGTGTGGGAAAAACACTAACTGTTTTTCCTCTGGTTTCACACCACAACAATCAACACAGAAGACTTCTGTGACCAACGTGTGGGGAGTTTCCCACGTGCCAAGCAAGCAATCAGCTCTTCAGTGGACACCAACTGGATGTCCTCTAATTCAGTTCAATTCTGACACTATCTACCTGTAGATATCCACCAGATGCCAACTGCAAGCTCCAGATTGTTTTACCTGCGCTTCTGACCAACTAGCTATAAACTGGGTTTCCCGTTATTCCCTCCTTGGGTTCAATTAATTTGCTAGATGGCTCACAGAACTCAGGGAAACACATTCACTGGATTATTATAAAGGTTATTACAAAGGGTACCTATGAAGAGATGCATAGGACAAGGTGTAGGGGAAGGGATACAGAGTTTCCATGCCTTCCCAGGGCGTGCCACCCTCCAGGAACCTCCGCATGTTTAGCTCTCTGAACCTTGTTCTTTGGGTTTTTATGGAGGCCTCAATAAATGGGAATGATTGACCACTGGCCATCGGTGATCAACTTAACCTTCAATCCCTCTCCTTTTCCTGAAGGTTGGGGACGGGCTCAGAGTCCAATATTCCAACCCTGCCTTGGTCTTTCTGGTGACCGGCCCCTATCCCGAAGCTGCCTACAGGCTGCCAGCCATCGGTCACCTCATTAGCCTACAAAAAGACATCACTTCGGAATTTCTAAAAATTTTAGGAATTGTATGCCAGGAAAGGAGGTTGAAAACCAAATATATATTTCACAATATCACACAAACCAACACATACTTGATCTTTTCAATAAATGGTGCTTGGTCAAATTGATATCTATAAGGAAAAAAAACCTTGATATCTCCCTCATATCATATACAAAAATTAATTTAAAACAAATCATAAATTTAAATATGAAAGCTAAACCTATAAAGCTTCCAGGAAAAAGCACAAGAGAATATCTTCTACATCTTGAGATAGACAAATGTTTCCTTTTTTATTTTTACATTTTAATCTATTTTTATGTTTATTTTGAGACCAGATTATGAGACTGGCTAATTTTTGCATTTTTGGTAGAGATAGAGTTTCACCATGTTGCCAAGGCTTGTCTTGAACTCCTGGGCTCAAGTGATCCACCCGCCTTGGCCTCCCAAAGCGCTGAGATTACAGGCATGAGCCACTGCACCCAGACAACAAATGTTTCTTTAACAGGACACACACACACAAAAATAAATCACTAACCATAAAAGAATATTGATAAATTGGACTTCACTAAAACTTAGAACTTCTGTTTGGTGAAAGACAACATTGAGAGAGTGAAAAAGCAAGCCAAAGACTGGGAGAAAATGTTTGCAATACATACATTTGAAAAAGGGCTCATATCCAGAGTATATAAAGAATTCCATCAATAATAGACTGATGACAATAATAGACTGGAAATCAATAATACACTGATGACAATAATGACAAAAAAAGCAACAGACTTGGGCAGGCACTTTAGGAAAGAGAATATCCAATAGCCAATAGGCATGCATAAGGGTGCCCAACAACATTAGTTATCAGAGAATAATGAGATTTCACATTCCCACCAAAATAGCTAACATTTAAAGGTCTGAAGGCTGGGCGAAGCGGCTCAAGCCTGTAATCCCAGCACTTTGGGAGGCCGAGGCGGGTGGATCGCTTGAGGCCAGGAGTTCGAGGCCAGCCTGGCCAACATGGTGAAACCCCATCTCTACTAAAAATGCAAAAATTAGCAGAGCACGGTGGTGGCGCCTGTAATACCAGCTTCTTGGGAGTCTGAGGCAGGAGAATTGCTTGAACCCAGGAGGCAGAGGTTGCAGTGAGCCAAGATCACGCCACTGTACTCCAGCCTGGGTGACAGACTGAGACTTGGTCTCGAAAATAAATGTAAATAAATAAATGTGAAAATTCCAAGGGTTGACAGAGATGGGAGCAACTGAGATTCTCATTTATTGCTAGTGAGAGTGTAAATTGGTACCAGCACTTTGGAAAACTATTTTACGGTATCTTCTAAAACTAAACTTACATATACCCTTTGATCCAGAAGAATTTGTACACAAGAAAATCTGGGCCAGGCATGGTGGCTCATGCCTGTAATCCCAGCACTTTGGGAGGTCGAGGCAGGCGGATCACCTGAGGTCAGGAGTTTGAGACCAGCCTGGCCAACATGGTGAAACCCCATCTCAAAAAAAAGAAAAAAAATTAGCTGGGCGTGGCAGTGCACACCTGTAATCCCAGCTACTTGGAAGACTGAAGCAGGAGAATCACTTAAATCTGAGAGGCGGAGGTTGCAGTGAGCCAAGATCATGCCATTGCACTCCAGCCTGGGCAACAAGAGTGAAACTCCGTCTCAAAAAAAAAGAAAATCTGGTGTTTATATCCACTAAAAATATGTACAAGAGTGTTAATAATGGCTTTAGTCATAATAACTCAAAATGAGAAAAAACCCAAATGTCTATCACGATTAGATGAGCAAATAAATCGTGTTATAGTCTTATAAGGAATATTACACAGCAATGAAAAAGAAAAGCTACTTTTCCTGGCAATAATGTGGATGGATCTCACCACAATGATGAGTATTAATGAAGCTAGACTCCAAAAAGTACATAGTGAATTATTTCACTGATATAAAGTTTAAAATCTGGAAAAACTAATATATGGTGAGAGAGGTTAGAATGTGATTACCCTTGCAGGAGGGGGGTTATCAACTTGAAGGGCCAAAAAGGAATGACTGGGTGCTAGAAATGTGTTACATCTTGATGTGGGTAGTTTTGATATGTACTTACACATATAAAAGTTCATCAAGCTGTTGATTTAAATTTTGTGCACACAGCTGTGAGTTGTATCTTGGTAAAAAAGCAGAAAAAGAGTAATGACTACCTCTCACTCAACTGTTCTGACTATTAACTAAGATGTACTTTGATAAAAGCAAAATATGACTTGCCCATTGTGGAAACATTACCATAGCAAGTGAATTTGTAGATTTCCTCACTCATCTCAGCTAAACCCAACTCTTAGCTAAATATCAGAAAAGCCTGGGAGGCAGGGGTTGCAGTGAGCCATGACTGCACCACTGCACCCCAGCCTGGGTGACAGAGCAAGACCCTGCCTAAAAAAAAAAAAAAAAAAAAAAAAAAGTGAAAAAGGAAGATAGACCTAAAACAGCCAACTGAAATGCAATATGGAATGTGCTATGGAGGTGTGCCCAGGGTGTGAGGCAAGCATAAGGAAAGCATGTTTTCCTCTGCCCTGCAGAGTTAGGAGTGGCTGCCCAGAGGCGGTGGGTGGGAGCTGCCATTGAAAGAAAAAGCCAAGGCCTGCCTGGTGTATGCAGAAAGGAACAGGGAAGGTGGGTATTATGGACCCAGCAGTAGCATGGTTAAGGGAACACAAAACACACGTGTGGCTTATGGGTCTGGTAAAGATGGAGCAGGTTTGGAGAATGGGGTGATGGAACATGAGTTTAATTTTCAGGTGTTTAGTGGTGGTTTCACTTTATTTTTATCTTTTATAAAATTGTGAGAGGTAGCACAAGTATTAAAAGGTACTTAAATATAAATATACGGTGTAATGAAAAATAACGTAAACTCCCATATAATCCACCAGTAGATCAGAATGTAGAGCGCTATGTAGAAGAAGGTTGTTCTCTGCTATTATAAAACTGAATAGGAATCACACAGGAAAATGGTTAAGTTATTGTCTAGACTTCTTTGTTTGTTTGTTTGTTTTAAGACAGAGTCTCGCTCTGTCACCCAGACTGGTGTGCAGTGGCATGATCTCGGCTCACTGCAATCTCTGCCTCCCAGGTTCAAGTGATTCTCCTGTCTCAGCCTCATGAGTAACTGGGACTACAGGTGCCTGCCACCACCCCCAGCTATTCTTTTTTTTTTTTTTGTATTTTTAGTAGAGACAGGGTTTCGCCATATTGGCCAGGCTGGTCTTGAACTCCTGACCTCAAGTAATCCACCCGTCTCAGCCTCCCAAAGTTCTGGCGTGAGCCACCACTCCCAGCCATAGACTTCTAAATACTTAAAGAATGAAATGTGTGATCTACAGTCCTCATGCTATACTGCCTTTGGGGTCTTTTTAAAAATTAGGCCGTTATATTTTATTTTTATGTAATATTATATTAGTTTATACATTTAAGACTGGTTTGTCTGCAAATAAAAAGGAGCTAGAGAGAACACCAGGTGTTGTTTTGATTTTTCAACTGGAAGGAAACTGTACTAAAGGTAGGAAGCCCACAGAAAAGGAGCAGCTGAAGAAAGATGAGGGATGTCTTCACAGACAGCAGGTCCCAGGTGACTTCTGAAAGAAGCTCTGGTGCCCTGAGCACACAGGGGAGTATTGGTCAAGGACAGGGCAAGAACACTCTTGCCCTCAGCAGAGGCAAATGTGGCCATTTACAGGAGTAGATGAAGTACATTGACACTGGAGACTTGTTGGCAAGGTTGGTGGAATCCCTAACTTGTGCTTCTGTTTTCTTAAAGAAGGAGGTTGTTGGTTTGTGGAGGCTGAGATAGTGGAACAGGGCCTTGAAAGAGATGACGAAGGTGTGGAATTCTCCCACCTTTTGGGGAACAGGAGAAGCTGTGGGCCAGAAATGAGGATTCCCAGGACACTGAGAGTCCAGCTGGGGTTGGAGATTACGAATCTGTAGCTGCTCTTTGTTGCTGAATTTTCTCCTGCAGCCCCCAACAGTCCAGTGTGGGAAGGAGGAAGATGGTTGGAATGAGTTTCCATGGACGGCCTGGAAGGGGTGGGTGCCAGGGCAGGGGTGCAAAGCAGATACGGTGAAAAGGCAAGTAGACAAGTCACTATGTCCAGGGTATTGTGACTGATACAGAAAGACCTCAGTTTCTGTCCCAGAGGGGTACACACACCAGATAGGGGAGATGAAATGCTACTACGAAAACATAACTTCAACACAAGTTCTCACACATTTAGTGAGGCATAGAGGAGGACCCAACAAGTGAAAATTGTTTAGAGGAAAGAGGCCACAGTCCAGGAAGGCCCCCGGGCCCCTGCCACTGCTGTTGCTACTGCTCAGCAGCTTTGGGGGCCACCTTCCTGTGGTTAAGAACGGATGAGGTGAACTAGTAACTCTGAAAGGGAGGGCAGAGGGCAGATGATTAACTCCACTGCAGCCTCAGGAAGAACAGAGGATGGTCAAGGAGACAAGTACAGAGGATGGTGAAGGAGACAATCTGATCCAGCAGTGAGTCCCGCTCAGCCCTGAGCCCATGTGCAGAGCTCTGAGTCAGCTCAGCTTCCTCCAACCTGGACCTGCCAGTCGGAGGAAGGTGTGGGGCCTGAGCACCTGGGAGAAGGAGCACGGGAGGGTCTCAGAGCAAGTGGAATTTCCACCAGCCAACAAATAGATGTTAAGGTTTTCTCAGCTAGGGCTTGTGCTACCAGGCTTGGGGTGAAGGCATCAAAAGATGTACCTGCTGGGGACTAAGTGAACAGAGTCCAGTGAGATTCCAAAAGTACTGGGGCAATCCAGCTCTAGTCAGGGCAAAATCATAAGATAGATAAAGTATCCTATAGGGCCCACATCCCATTTCTTTCTTCCTCTCTATTTAGCTTCATACTGACCATATTAACTCTCTTCCTCAGGCAATGCAACTCCCTTACCTCTGTCAAAACTCACCTAGCCCAAGTCCCACTCTTTGCATCAGTTAACCAAATCATCTCATATGTGATATTGTTTCTCCATGATAACAAGTGCATCTCCCTTTCCTGTTTCCCATCCAAACCCCATGCAACCCTGGCTTTTCTGAGCTGTTTCCTCTGCTTCAATTGTCCTTCTACTTTGTACCTACCTCCTAAACTCTTATTTATTCTTCAAGGCCAGTTCCCCAGTGTTCCTACCTAGAAGGAATCTTCATCTTCTTAGCTCCTTTTTTATTCTAAATGTATCTTGCCTGTTAATGACACATAGCATTTCCATCTTCCCTTATAGTTGTAATTATACATACCCATTTTCCTCTGTCTGAAAGATTCTTAAGGGTAGAATAGACATCTGTTTCATCTTTGTTTCCCCCACAAAACCTTGCATAGTTCTTGGAGCATAATAAGGGCTGGGGAAAGAGTTTATGAATAAGACCTCAAAAGCACAGGCAACAGAAGCAAAATAAACAAATGGTATTACAGCAAACTAAAAAAAAATCATGTACAGTAAAGGAAACAATTCACAGAGTGAAAAGGCAACCAATAGAATAGGAAAAAAAATTGCAAACTATGAATCCTACAGGCAACTAATATGCAGAATAGACAAGAAATTCAAACGTCACAACAGCAAAATGAACAACCCAAGCAAGGGCTTCATGAATCCGTTTAAATTAATTAATTCAACAATGCATCTCACATAACTCCTAAAAATGACTCTATTGTCAGAATTTCATGCAGGATACCAGAGAAATCACAGAGCTGTAATTCCCTTGCCTTTGGCCTCTTGCCAAGCTCCACATTTCCACAATTTAATTTTCCATCTGCAGACCTTCAGAACCAAAAGCCAGTGGCCCCAAAGCAGCATGGAACTCTCATGCACTATTTGGTTCAACCACTTTGGAAAACAGTTTGACAGCATCTGCTAGAGTTACGTACACATACTCCATGGTTCTGCCCCTAGAGATATACCCAACAGACATGCATGCACAAAAGGCTCATCACAGCATTATTATAATAGCAAAAACAAAATTGAAAGCAACCCAAAGGTTCATCAATAATAGAAAAGGTGAATAAACTATGATATAGTCATGCGATAAAATACTATACAGCCATGAAAATGATCTGCTACAAATAATAACATACATAAATCTCATAAGATGTTGAGCAAAAGTAGTCAGACACAAGAGTGCATACCGTTTGATTCCATATATACGGACAAAACAAATCTGTGATGTTAGAAGTCAGAATTGTGGCTATATTTATGGAAGACAGAGGAAGTAATGAATGGGAGAGAACATGTGGTAGACACAAGAGTGTGTTCATTTAACAATAGCTCATTGAGATGTACATTTGTAATTTTGTGTACTTTTCTGTATGTTGCACTTCAATAAGAGAGGTTTGTCTGTGAAGACAATGGCCTGGCTGGGCACAGTGGCCCACATCTGTAATCCCAGTAATTTGGGAGGCCAAGGCAAGAGGATTGCTTGAGCCCAGGAGGTCAAGACCAGCCCAGGCAGCATAGCAAAACCCCATCTCTACACAAAAATTAAAAATAAGCCAAGTGTGGTGATACATGCCTGTAGTCCCAGCTACTAAGGAGGCTGAGGCAGAAGGATTGCTTGAGCCCAGGAGGTCAAGGCTACAGTGAGCTGTGATCACATCACTGCACTCCAGCCTGGGTGATAGAGCAAGACCCTGTCTCACAAAAAAATAAAAATAAATAAATAAAAATAAAAAATTAAAAAAAAAAACAAGACATGCCCTGTCTCTCCTTGAAGTGATTTCAGTGGATTCCTTTCTGGATGGTGCTGTAGCCCAGGGTACATTGAATTCCAATCTCTTTTCTGTGTCCAGCTACTTTGCCATTCACCCTTTGTTGGAGGGGAGGTGCAATGAGGAAGAGAAGAGCAAAAACGACTCCAGCCCTTCTACAGCTTGCCTGGATCCCAGCCAAAGCAGTCGCAGTTAGACACCACTCCCTGAGAAGTGACAGTTCCAACACAATCTACGCAAACAGCTGGCAACCCTTGGAGCTAATCTATAAGGTGTCACCTGTGCCCTTTTATTGTCCAGCAGATCTCAACTCAGGCTGTAAAGCATCTGGGGATTCATAGCCTCCAGCCTGTGTGTCCTTTGGGGTTTCCTCAGAACGGACAACTGAAACCTGAATTTTGGGTCTAAAATGAATTTTAGGGCCCAGGCCTATTCCCTGGGCAATGATTTGAAGATCCCTCCTTCCCAATATGTCTAACCCAAAAAACATCCCAGGCTGCCCGTTAAGATGCCTGAAAATAATTCACTTATTCACTCAACAAACATGTTTTGAACACCTACTGCATTGGCACTGCACCAGGCACTAATCACAACTGTAGTAACAGTGACTCAGGCAATCTAGCGCAAGCTCTCTGAACAAACGGGCCCTGGACTTACTTGCCACTGAATCCTCAATAGCCCTGGTTCAGAGCTATTCAAAATATATCCAGAGAAAGAATGGGAACAGAGAGGGGGCTGCTATTGTGAAAATAAGTATCTACTGAGGGTTGACTTGTGGCAGGTACTGCTCTAGATGTTGAGGAGACAACGGTGAGCAAAACAGACAAAAGCCCTGGCCTCAAGGATCTTACAGTCTAGGGGGCTGAAGAGGAGACTGGGAGACAGAAAATGAAAAACATAAGTAAA
Source organism: Homo sapiens (assembly GCF_000001405.40). Classification (NCBI taxonomy): domain Eukaryota; kingdom Metazoa; phylum Chordata; class Mammalia; order Primates; family Hominidae; genus Homo; species Homo sapiens. The sequence continues at coordinate 160,859,024 of NC_000001.11, forward strand.
CAGGATGGAACATAAATGGAGATGAGGACTATGGAGAAAAATTAAGTGGAGAGAGAGCTAAGAGTTTGCAGAATGGCAGGCTGACATTTTCAGTGGGGAAGGCATCACTGAAAAGGAGGTATTTGAGCAAAACTCTGAGGGGTTGAGGGAAGAGGCCATGTAGCCAGCAAAGGAGCAGCATCCCAGGCAGAGAAAACTGTGGATACAACAGAGAGCGAGGTCCAGGACCAGCAGGCAACATGGCTGAAATGCTGTGAGCAAGAGGAGAGACAAAGAGGAGTGGGTCTTGGACGCCAGGTCACGCACCATTGTAAAATGCATGGCTTTTACTCTGCATGAAAGAAGAAGTCTTTGGAAGAATTTCGCAATGCTCAAGAGTTATATGCACATCTTACATAAATAGTACTCCTGTTAAATTATTCAGTAAACAAAGTGGTTTTTTAAATTTCACTGTCATCATATGACTCCTGATGGGATGCGCTGAAAAAGACACAGTATCACTTTTGTGGTATTCCTGTCAAAAATGCATATAATATCTGCTGTCAATGGGCACAGAAAAAAATTTTTTTAAAGAAAAAATAATTTTAAAAATGCATATGATGGCTAGGCATGATGGCTCACACTTGTAGTCCCACCACTTTGGGAGACTGAGGCAGGTGGATCGCCTGAGCCCGGGAGTTCAAGACCACCCTGGGCAACATGGGGAAACCCTGTATCTACAAAAAAAAAAAAAAAAATTAGCCAGGCATGGTGGCACAGACCTCTAGTTCCAGCTACCAGGGAGGCTGAGGTGGGAGGATGGCTTGAGCCTGCGAGGTCGAGGCTACAGTGAGCCGTGAGCATGCCACTGCACTCCAGTCTGGGTGAAAGAACCAGATCCTCTCTTGAAAAATAATAATAGGCCGGGCACAGTGGCTCACACCTGGTATCCCAGCACTTTTGAGAGGCGGAGGTGGGTGGATCACTTGAGGTCAGGAGTTTAAGACCAGCCTGGCCAACATGGTGAAACCCTGTCTCCACCAAAAATACAAAAATTAGCCAGGCTTGGTGGCATGCATCTGTAGTCCCAGCTACTCGGGAGGCTGAGGCAGGACAATCACTTGAACCCGGGGGAGCAGAAGTTGCAGTGAGCCGAGATTGGACCACTGTACTCCAGCCCAGGCCACAGAGCGAGACTCCATCTCTAAAAAATAATAATAATGATGATATAAAATAAATAAAAATGCATATGATAACCTGAATCATATGAGGGAACATCAGACAAACCCAGATTAAGGAACCCTCTACAAAACAACTGGCTTGTCTTCTTCAAGAATGCAATATCATGAAAGATGAAGAAAGGTTAAAGTATGGTCATAGACTGAACATGAGAAACATAACAACTGAATGTAATACATGATCTTGATTGCATCTTGGGTCAGCAAAAAAAAAAAATAAAGCATATTCTTGGGACAATTGGTAATATGTGAATATGGAAAGCATATTTGATGGTATTAATGTTAAATTTACTGAATTTGACAATTGTGCTGTAGTAACATGAGAATGTCTTTGTTCATAGGATATAAGTGCTAAAATATTTAGGAGTAAGGGGACATAATGTCACAACTTGTTCTCAAGTGGTTCAGCAAAAATTATTGTACATTTATACACACATATACATACAGCTAGAGAAAGAGAAATAAAGTAAATGTGATAAAATGTTAATTGGTGAATCTAGATGAAAGAAATTCAAGAATCGTTTGAACTATTCTTGCAGCTTCCCTGGAACTTCACAATTATTTCAAACTAAAAAGCTTAAAAATTAAAGAAATAGAGCAGCTTCAGTCAACTTATGCCAGGCCTGCCCTATAGACACAGGATGGAGGAGGAAGCAGCTCAGGAAGACCCAAGTCCATCCCTCCCTGTGCCTAACAAGTCACTCACCAGCTTCACCGTGCAAGGGCCGGCATAGCCAAGCCCAGCTATGGTGCTGAAGCCCTGGGAATGGGGGTGGAGGGAGCATTGCCCTCTGTCACACAGGCTCATGACCTCAGGGTCATAACCTCAGCTTCTCTGTTACTCTCATCCCCACAGCCAGGCACCAATCCCATCAGTCCTCCTTCGGCTGTCTGAGCTGCATTCAAGGATCCTTAGACCAGGTTCCAACCTAGCTCTCCTGCCTAGAATCCTGGGCCACTAGGCCCCCCAACCCACCCACAAGAGCTGCAGGCTCCACTCCTCCCTCCCTGCTCCCTGTTCCTCATCATGCTCTGCCCTAGGCTGCCTGCATCCTTACAAATGTTGAGTCCACCTGAGCCTTGACTGTGTCTTCCTGAAGGACACAAGAATGCTCAGGGACTCGGTAACTGAATTGAGTACCTGGGCATGGGACTTTATTGCATATGGGGCTTCTACCTGGCCCTGAACCCACACAACACTATGCCTCAGTTTCCCCTCTTTGTGCCCAGAGTGTACCCTCCTCTAATTCCACGCTCTCCACCTCCGTGAAGCCCCTGCAGAGTCACTGATCTAAAATGCAGAACCCTGGCTGGGCATGGTGGCTCACACCTGTAATCCCAGCACTTTGGATGGGGGAGACCAAGGTGGGCAGATCACCTGAGGTCAGGAGTTCAAGACCAGCCTGGCCAACATGGTGAAACCTGGTCTCTACTAAAAATACAAAAATTAGCCAAGCATGGTGGCGCACGTCTGTAATTTCACCTACTCGGGAGGCTGAGGCATGAGAATCACTTGAACCCGGGAGGCAGAGTTTGTAGTGAGCCAAGATCACGCCACTGCACTCCAGCCTGGGTGACAGAAGGAGACTCTGTCTCAAAAAATAAATAAATAAATAAAAATTAAAAATGAAATAAATAAATTAATTCAATTAAATTAAATGCGGGATCCAGGTTTCAGAGCATCCTGGACCCCAGAACTGGAGAAAGAGGGGAGCAGCCCTCAGCTGGGATCCCCAGGAGTAAATGTTAGATGGCTCCATGCCTGGCTGACAGCTTTAGGTTTGCTGTGGAGCTTCCTCATATTGTCTCCTTCTTCTGCCCCAACCCTGCATGTCCCTAATAATTTCCAGGCTCCTGTGGCATCTGGATGGCTGAAGAAGCCGGGGAGATGAGGGACCATGCCTTCCAGCTTCTTCCTGGCTGCTGGCCTCGCCCTCCCCTCCCTGGGCTCAGCTTTCCTGCCTCAGGGGTCCATCCATCTGTCTCTGAGCTCGAGAACCACCCACTTCCTTGGGACTGCTTCTCTTCTCTCATGCCACAATTGGAGGATGCAATTTTCATCATCTTTACAGGCGGCTGGAAGGAGGCTTCTCTCTCCACTACACGGAAGGGTAAATTGAAGCCAGTGGGAAGGAATCTCCTCACCCAAGACTTCCTGGATTGCTGGTGGCAGGGCCAGATACCCCTCTCACAGACCTCCCAGTGCACTGCCAGCCTGTCCTGTCTGATTTAGACTGTCAGAGCTGTCAGGAGCTGCTCGGAGTCAAGTTCCAGATGACTGTGTATGTGGCACAAGCAGAGGCTCTGGCTCTGATCTCCCTGAGGGGCACAGCTCCTAGTCCCTCCCTCGCCCCACGCCAGGTAGGACCTCCTTACCTTTGCCCTGATACACCTTGAGGAGCAGGAGGAGTATGAGGGTGACCACTTGCCCCAGCATTTCCACAGGACAGAGGGGCCAGGCCAGCCCCTCCACCCCACCAGACTCTCTGCCGTGCACGGGCTCAGCAGTCCCCAGTCAGCAAGAGGACGATGGGGAGCAGAACTGCCTTGCAACCTGTCCAGCCACAGTTTCCTCAATTAGAGGCTGTTAACGCCTGCTGTGAGCTGACAAGGCCACTGAGAAAGCCCCAGCGCCTGGAGCTGGTCTGACAGTTCCCACAAGCCAAACTGGTGAAGCTTACCTCAAGTGGGAGGGTGCTTGAAGTTCACAGTGACTCACAAAGCCAGTTTCAAAATTGCATCCCGTTCTCTGCTTCAGCCCAAGAAGTCTTCCAATTCTCTGAATCCTATATGGAGAGACCCCCATGGGGGCCAAACAGCCAGTATCCCCAACTGTTCCATTCCAACAGACATTGTGGAGGTGGAGTGGAGAGGGGCTGGAGGAGGAGTGGGCTGAAACGTAGGGCCCTGGATAAGCGGCTAACAGTGTTGAAGGAAAGGAGGAGTAGCTGAGAGAACATAGGAAGAGACCTAAGGGCTGGAGGCACTAGAAAAATCTAGCAAGCCTGGGGATTCCATGCAAGTTGACACCAAAGTTTAAGCACATGTAAATTAAATTTGTTTCATAAGAATTTGTTTCACACGGGGCACAGTGGCTCACGCCTGTAATCCCAACACTTTGGGAGACTGAAGCAGGCAGATCACTTGAGATCAGGAGATCGAGACTAGCCTGGCCAATATGGTGAATCCCCACCTCTACTAAAAATAGAGAAATTAGCCAGGCTGGGTGGCGTGCACCTGTAATCCAAGCTACTTGGGAGGCTGAGGCAGGGGAATCACTTGAGCAAAGGAGGTGGAGGTTGCGGTAAGCCAAGATCACGCCACTGCACTCCAGCCTAGGTGACAGAGCGACACTGTGTCTCAAAAAAAAAAAAAAAAATTTTGTTTTGCTCCACATTTCCGATCTGTATGCCTAGATTCCCTCCCTTCCTCTTTTTCTACTTTTCTATAGTAGTCCTCTCTTCCCTCTTTTGTCTTCTCCCAGAAGTGACATGGGCCTATTTTTGCTGCCTTCCCATCCATGCTTGGACGCCACCCTCCAGGAAGGCCAGGCAGCTCTGGATCTGCTTAGGCCCCCATGGAGGGGTGGGGACAGCGGCATCCCCCCTCCCCTGGAACACTGTGCTTCAAGGCCAGGCCCCAGGGTTCATGCCTCTTTCTTTCTTCCTTCTGCTTTCCCCTTAACAAATACTTTCAGTTCCCTTCAAGTCCGCTCTTATTCTCTTTTTCCATCCTTTGGTCCATTTCCAGCCACCCTGTCTGAACTGGGCAGGGGGCAGCAGACTGACAGCTTCAGCTGCCAACAGAGGCAGCAGCGGGGCTCTGGACAGAGCGCTGGATTTAGAGTCAAAGACTTGGACTTGCAGCTCCCATTCAGCAACTTACAACCTATGTGATTCTGGCCTTGTTGCTGTCTGAGCCTGTAGGGTCAACAATACATCCTCCCCACCTTCACAAGGCAGTTTTCAGGATCAAATTAAAAATGATACTCCAGAATATGCACACAAAAAACACTGGACATAGATGAGGTTTTTGTGGTTTTGTTTTCATTTTTTTAAGCTCTGAATAGCTTTTTCCAGCGGGTCTAATGGTTATCATCTCTTCTCTCCTTTGTCTGCTCCCAAGGGGCAGCCCTCAACCCTGGGGAATTTCTTCAGAGTTGATCTGGCCATGTCCTTAACCTTGAGAAGTGGTGCACAAGACATGATATAACAAAGAAGGGTAAACTTCCTCACACGACAGGTGGAAAACAAGATCCAGCTGTTGGAACCCACTAATGAATGTGAATTAGGAATCAGCCTCTCCAATCCTGACCCCAACACCAGCTCCATCCTTCCCACCAGGCATGTGGATGACCTATCATCCCCTGGAAACAGAACTCGGAGCAGCTGTACCACTGAGTGTGTGTCTGTCTTGTGGTCCCTGACAAACTCTATCACACAATATCTGCTATTTGTAGGCTGATCGCAGTGGCTCATGCCTATAATCCCAGCACTTTGGGAGGCCAAGGCAGGTGGATCACTTGAGGTCAGGGGTTCGATATCAGCCTGGCCAACACGGTGAAACCTCATCTCTACTAAAAATACAAAAATTAGCCGGGTGTGGTGGTGTGTGCCTGTAATCCCAGCTACTCGGGAGGCTGAGGCAGGAGACTCCTTTGAACCTGGGAGGCAGAGGTTGCAGTGAGCTGAGATTGTGCCTCTGCACTCCAGCCTGGGAGACAGAGCAAGACTCTGTCACAAAAAAAAAAAAAAAAAAAAAGGTGCTGGGCGCAGTGACTCACACCTGTAATCCCAGCACTTTGGGAGGCCTAGGTGGGTGGATTACCTGAGGTTAGGAGTTTGAGACCAACCTGGCTAACATGGTGAAACCCCGTTTTTACTAAAAATGCAAAAAATAAGCCAGGTGTGGTGTTGCATGCCTGTAATCCCAGCTACTTAGGAGGCTGAGGCAGGAGAATCATTTGAACCCAGGAAAAGGAGGTTGCAGTGAGCCGAAATCACGCCATTGCATTCCAGCTTGGGCAACAAGAGCAAAAACAAACAAACAAACAACAATAATAAAAAAAAAAAACAACCTGCCATTTGTTCTACACACTGACCTCCCCAGCCCTGAGCTCTTCAACACAAAGTCTATGCTCTCCTTAGCTTAGTGTTTCCAAGCCTCACCCAGCGCCTGGTTCTTCAGAGTTGATTCGTAGATTGTCAAGTGCTGAAGGAATGAATGAATTCTCTAAGGAAGACATTTCTATTTCCCCTGAGATAGACTGGTTAGCTGAGTCACCATGGACCCTGCCCTCGTGGAGTTTTTATCTTGCCCTTCCTAATTTTTGTGCAGAGAGTCCTTCTGTGCAACTCAGCCACTTTAGCACGAGGACCCAAGACCTACAAAATCAATATAAACCAGAGACTCCCTTAGCTACATTTCCCATACATATTCACGAGATCTTTATAAGTCTGGGACAGGGGACTCAGACAGGGGCATTTAAAGGTTAGCGGCCATCTGGGAATCAAAGGTTCATAAACCCCTGCCCAAACCATGCTTTCATCAAGCTTCGGTGAGTCAAGGTCATTCCAGTAAATCCCACTTCTGATGCCAACTACAAATTTCATGAGTCCCCAGGACCACCCATTTCTGAGACAAATTGCAAGTTTGAGGTCCCCAAGACCATCTTCAGGTTTGATAATTAACTAGAATGACTCACAAAACTCACTGAAAGCTGTTTTACAAATGTTTTACTCAAGCCTTCACAAAGAACCCAACTGATCTTATAGGTATAGTCAACCAATCTTGCAAGAATTCAACAAATAACTTCTGTAATATTAGAGTTTATTAAAGCAAAAAATACAGATGAAAATGAGCCAAGGGAAGAGGTACCTAAGGCAAGGTCCAGGAGAGTCCCAAACAAAGGAGTCAGTCACAGCACTTCCAGTTCTCCTCTCCCAGTGGAGCTGTGCAGACAGGGCCTACTTCTCCCAGAAACTATGTGTGACAATACACACAGAGAATATTGTTAAGCAGGGAAGCTCTTCCAAGTCTTGGTGTCCAGAATTTTTATTGGGACTTGCTCACATAGACATGGCTGACCACCCATGTGGCTGACCATAGTCTCTGGCCCCTCCAGAAATTGAGTTGATGCTATGTGGTCAGAGCTCCCACCATAAATCACATTATAAGCATTGACAATGCTAACAAGGTCCCCAGTAATGAAGATACTCTTATCAAGCAGGACATTTCAAAGCTTAGAGATTACCTCCCAGGAGCCAAGGGCAAAGGTTGGGCCTCTCTTTGAACAAGGTTAATCCTTTACTGCACCACTGGAAAGAAGTTGTTAAAGTTGTCAAAGATGAACCATTCACAAAGAGCCCAACTGATCTTATAGGTATAGTCAACCAATCTTGCAAGAATTCAATAAATAACTTCTGTAACACCAGACACTAAATGAGAACTCATTGCCTTTATTTCTAACCATCTGAATATTGTCTGTGTTCCTGTTTGAATGAAACCATAACGACACTTTTAATAAGCACAATCTCTTTTTCTGTCTCTTTTTCTCAGAAGGGCTAGAAAATCGCTTTCCCTTCTATGTACATTTATCTTCTGTGGGCTTTCACTTGTTGGAAGAGAAGTAGCCAGTTATTGTTTATTTATTGGCTGTGATAACTTTCAGGTTCAGGTTAAAGGTAAGAGATGCAACAGTCTCATAAAGAAGATGGAAGACAGAGCCTCTCAAAACAATTTATGGGACATCAGATAACGCAGAGAACCCACATCCACAGGAGCAAAGGCTAAAGAGTGCAATCCATGTCTTAACTCATCTCAGAATTCAACATAACAAGAAATTTGCCATTCCCAGATTCAGTGTGAGAAACAGCTCTGACGATGCAGAGAACCGCAGGCTATCTCTCTGACACTAGCAATGTGGTGTGGGAAATGGAATCAATCTCTGCTTCCCTGTGTTGGAACAAAATGTTTCTACGTGAAAAAGGTACAAAAAAGTTTTCCCAAATTGCAAGGGAAATGCACCATAGAATAGCCTCCTATTTAGCCTCCTATTTAAAGATAATTAAATATAAATTTGTCTTATACATTTGTATCTTTTATTACATTGTATAAATCAGAATCTGATTTAGTATGAAATTATATTCTGAGATTTTTATGTTTGACATATTAGTAGACCAAGTGTTTTGCAATTAAAAAAAAAAAAACATAATGACTTCTAAGTGCCCTACCATCTAGTTTGTGAATTTTATCTAGTTTGTGAATTACAAATACAGAAAATCAAAATTGGGGTTATAATGATAAAGTCATTTGTGCAAGCCAATGTTCTCTTTTAATTTTTCTGTGCTACGTTGACACCTAGAAAGAAATGAATGTGATCAAAGTTTAGTGGTGTAATCAGATAAACTTATGATATGGTTTGGCTGTGTCCCCACCAAAATCTCAACTTGAATTGTATCTCCCAGAATTCCCACGTGCTGTGGGAGGGACCCAGGGGGAGGTAACTGAATCATAGGGGAGGGTCTTTCCTGTGCTAGTCTCGTGATAGTGAATAAGACTCACGAGATCTGACAGGTTTATCAGGGTTTCCACTTTGCTCCTTCCTCATTTTCTCTTGCTGCCACCATGTAAGAAGTACCTTTCACCTCCCACCATGATTGTGAGGCCTCCCCGGCCATGTGGAACTGTAAGTCCAATTAAACTTCTTTTTCTTCCCAGTCTTGGGTCTGTCTTTATCAGCAGAGTGAAAACAGACCAATACAACTTACAACCAAATTGTTATTTTAGTGGTTTGAATATCCATAATTGACCATGAAATTGTTTTGACATGACAAAACTTTACTGTGGAGTATTTTATTCTACATCACATTGCTATTTTATTCTATTTCACATTGCTGTTTATCCCTCATGTAGAATCCTCATCAGTGCTGAGAGTTTCCCTGATTCTATGTGTCACTGAACCTACCACACAGGTTGCATGGGCCCACACATTCACATATGAGATTATAGAAGATGAAGAACCTAAAACTGGCTTCCTGTTCTCTAAGAGTTCCTCTTCTTCTTCCCCTATCCGTGTGCTAACTGACCTCCCTACATGATTTTCATGTGAAGCTCTCTGGGTTTTTCTGGCATACCCTCTCCTGCTAAGAAGTTGCCTCTGGCCAGGTGCGATGACTCACACCTGTAATCTTAACATTTTGGGCGGCTGAGTTCAAGAATTTAATGGGCAAAAATAAAGAAGTCTGGTAATACCAAGTATTTGAGGGCATATGGATCAATTGGATCAATTATATACAGCTGATGGGAATGTAAATTGGTACAATTCTGTGGAAATAAATTGGTGTTATCTTGTAAAGTAAAATATTTATAAACTCTAATGATCCAGCAATATGACATCTAGTTATATACCTACATATAAGAGACAGTTTAGCACATATATACCTGGAGACACATATGACAATGTGCATAACAGCATTGTTTTTTATTGGAAAAAAAACTGGAGACAAAACAAATGGCAATGGGAGAGTGGAAAAACAAGATGTGATCTATTCATACAATGTAAATTCAATAGCATCAAAAATGAATGTGGGACAGCACAGGAGAACAGTAGTTACATAATGTCATAGGAAAAAATAAGCACCAGAAGACAATATACAATATGATAGTATTTTTATATAGTTTAAAAACAAAAAATTAAACATATTATTTGGGCATCTGCATGATGTGTGTGCATGATTGTTAAAAAGTAGCTTAAGCAATAGGATCTTAACCACAAATTGAGATAATGGCAACAACTAAGGAAGAAGGGAGGGATGGAGTGACATAGAGGAACACAGAGGTAGGTGTAGATTAATAATAATATTCTAGTTGTTGGGTTGTGTCATGATAAGCGTCCATTGCATTGTGAAACAAAGGAAGGTGAGAGAGAGGTGGACGGGGGTAGAAGGAGAGTGAGAGAGGGAGCTGACCTAGCTGCCATGCGTCTCTGGCTGCTTGTTACAACCACAAAGAAAGACCACTAATACCACCTCATCATGAAACCTTTCAGGTAATCATTAGTGTTGTTCACTCTGATACAATTCTCCTCTTTTGGGGCAGGGTGGGGACATGGAAGGCTGCACTTCTCTTTGGAGTTAAACAGGACCATGTGTCTTGCTCTGGCCAAGCAATGTAAGCAGAAAGTGTCACTGTCAGGCTGAAGCCTTTAGGAGAAGCAAGACACCAGTCAACACACTCCTTTCTCCAGCTTCAGTAAATACCTAAAACACGTAGCATTGGCTTGGTAATAGGCCTACTGATGATGAAGAAATTAATATTGAAGGTTGGAAAGATGGCACTCCATGTTATGTAAGAAGTGAAAATGTTAAGAGTGTTGCCTGTGGCCACTCAAGAAGTGTGTTATATACCTAGTGCCCTTGAGCTCTAAGGGAAGACATCAGGGAAACAGAATGCAACGCTGTGTGCCAGCTGCCTTTGGTAACATATTATGAAAGAGAGGCCCAAAGGAAAATCAGATGGTCTGTTTTGCAAGCAGCAATGAAAGAACTAACTGACTCCGTGTCTTCAACAGGTAAATGGTAAAGAAAGCTTTCATTAATAAATGATCTTCAATAAAGACACACACAAATACATACACGTGGCTGGGTGTGGAGGCTCACCCCTGTAATCCCAGCACTTTGGGAGGCTGAATCAGGTGGATTGCTTGAGTCCAAGAGTTCGAGACAAGCCTGGGCAATGTAGTGAGACCACAACTCTACAAAAAAAAAAATCAGTTAGCCAGGTATGGTGGCATGCCTGTGGTCTCAGCTACCTGAGAGGCTGAGGTAGAAGGATCTCTTGAGCCAGGGAGGTCAATGCTTCAGTGATCTGTGCTCATGCCACTGCACGCCAGCCTGGGCAACAGAGTGAGATTCTGTCTCAAAAAAAGAAAAAAAATACACACACACACACACATGCATGCACACTATAAAAATCTTTCTCTCCATCCACCTCAGTCAAGAGCAAGTATTAAGTGCATTCATACTCTTGTACAACCATCACCATCATCCATCTGCAGAACTCTTCATCTTGTAAAACTGAAACTCTATTTATTAAACAATAATGGCCCATACCCCTTTCCCCACAGCCCCAGGAAACAATCATTCCATTTTTCTGTCTATAAATTTGACTATAGGTACTCATAAAGTGAAATCATGCAATATTTGTTTTTTTCTGACTGGCTTATTTCACTTATCATAATGCTCTCAAGATTCATCCATGTTGTAGCTTCAGTCAGAATTGTATTCCTTCTTAAGGTTGAATAATATCCCTGTCTATAACTATATCTATATATAGATATGTGTACATATATTTGTATATATATGTATGTATACATATATGTACATATATATGTATACATATATACCACTTTTTGCTTCATCTGTCAATGGGCACTTGAGTTGTTTCCGCATTTTAGCTATTGTGAATAATGCTGCTATGAACATGGGTGAACAAATATCTCTTCAAGACCCTGCTTTCAATTCTTTTGGGTATACACCCAGAAGTGGAATTGCTGAATCATATGGTAATTCTATGTTTAATCTTTTTTTTTTTTTTGAGACAGAGTCTCGCTCTGTCCCCTAGGCTGGAGTGCAATGGCACAATCTCAGCTCACTGCAAACTCCGCCTCCTGGGTTCAAGTGATTCTCCTGCCTCAGCCTCCTGAGTAGCTGGAATTACAGGCATGTGCCACCACACCCAGCTAATTTTCGTATTTTTAGCAGAGACGGGGTTTCACTATGTTGGCCAGGCTGGTCTCAAATTCCAGACCTCAGGAGATCCGCCCACCTCAGCCTCCAAAAGTGCTGGGATCATAGACGTGAAGCACTGTGCCCAGCCTATGTTTAATCTTTTGAGGAACCTAATACTGTTTTCCACAGATGCTATACCATTTTACATTCTGATATGGTTTGGATCTGTGTCCCTGCCCAAATCTCATGTCCATTTGTAATCCCCAGTGTTGGATGTGGGGTCTGGTGGGAGGTGATTGGATCATGGGGATGAATTTCTCCCTTTGGTGCTGTTCTCATGATAGAGTTCTCACAAGATCTGGTTGTTTTAAAGTGTGTGGCACCTCCCCCTCCGCACCCCATGCCCACCATGTAAGATGTGCCTGCTGCTCCTTCGCTTTCCACCATGATTGTAAGTTTTTTGAGGCCTCCCAGAAGCTGAGCAGAAGCCGCTATGCTTCCTGTAAAGCCTGTGGAAACATGAGCCAATTAAACCTCTTTTCCTTATAAATTACCCAGTTTTAGATATTTCTTTATACCAATGTGAGAACAGACTAAAACACATTCCCACTGTCAGTGCATAAGAGTTTCCATTTCTCCACATCCTCACTAACATTTATCATTTTCTGTTTTGTTTTGTTTATAGTAGCCATCCTAATGGGTGTAAGGTGGTATCTCATTGGGATTTTGGTTTGCATTTCTCTAATGATTAGGGATGCTAAGCGTTTTTTCATATGCATATTAGGCATTTGTATATCTTGTTTGGAAAAAGGTCTATTCAAGTCCTTTGCCCATTTTTGAATTGGGTTGTTTGGTATTTTGTTGTTGAATTTTGGGAGTTATCTACATAGTCTGGATATTAATTCTTTATAAGATACATGATTTGAAAATATTTTCTCCCATCTGTGGGTTTTTACTTTGTTGATAGTGTGTTTAGGTGCACAACATTTTTAAACTTTCATAAAGCACAATTTGTTCATTTTTTTCTTTTGTTGCCTATGCTTTGTTGTCATAGTCAAGAAATTATTGCCAAATCCAGTGCTGTGATGCTTCTGTCCTATTTTGATCTAAGAGTTTCATAGTTTAGGTCTTACATTTGAGTCATGGGTCTATTTGGAGTTAATTTTTTTTTTTTTTTTTTTGAGATGGAGTCTCACTCTGTCACCCAGGCTGGAGTGCAGTGGCGCAGTCTCGGCTCACTGCAACTTCTGCCTCCTGGGTTCAAGTGATTCTCCTGCCTCAGCCTCCTGAGTAGCTGGGATTACAGGCATGCGCCACCACACCTGGCTAATTTTTGTGTTTTTAGTAGAGACAGGGTTTCACCATGTTGGTCAGGCTGCTCTCAAACTCCTGATCTCATAATCCACCCGCCTTGGCCTCCCAAACTGCTGGGATTACAGGCATGAGCCACCACGCCCAGCCTCAACTTTTATTCTTTTACATGTGGATATTCAGTCTTCTCAGTATCATTTGTTTGAAAACATTGCCCTTTCCCCATTGAATGGTCTTGGCAACCTTGTCAAATATCATTTGGCCATATATGCTAGGGTTTCTTTCTGGGCTCTCTATTCTATTGTATTAGTTTGTATGTCTGATCTTATGCCAGTAGCACACTGCTTTGTGTACTGTAACTTTGTAGCAAGTCTTGAAATCTGGATATCTGAGTCTTCAAGCTTAGTTCTTTTTCATGGTGGTTTTGGCTATTTGGAGTCTCTTGAGATTCCATATGAATTTTAAAATGGGTTTTTCTATTTCTGCAAATAAATATCATTGGGATTTTGATAGATATTGCATTGAATCTATAAATCACTTTGGGTAGTATTGACATCTTAACAATATTAAGCCTTTCAATCCATAAACATGAGATGTCTTTCCATTTATTTAAGTCTCGTTTAATGTCTTTCAGAAATGTTTTGCAAGGAGTCTCACTTCCTTGACTAAGTTAATTCCTAAGTGTGTTATTCTTTTTGGTGCTATTGTAACTGGAATTTTTAATTTTACTTTTCATATTGTTCATTGTTGCTGTATAGAAATGCATATGGTTTTGTTTGTTGACTCTGTATTTTGCTACATTGGTGAATTTATTTATTAGTTCTAACAATATTCTGTGGAATCTTTAGGGTTTTTTTGCATATAAAATCATATCATCCATTAACAGAGATAATTTTACTTATTCTTTTCAATTCAGATGACTTTCATTTGTTTTTCTTGACTTATTCCTCTGGCTAGAACTTCCAGTACTATGTCGAATAGAAGCAGCCAAAGTGGCCATTTTTGCCTCGTTCCTGACATAAAAGAAAATCTTTCACCATTAAGTATGATGTTTGCTGTGGGTTTTTGATCTATGTCTTTTATTTTATTGCATTGTAGTTGTTTTCTTCTCTTCCTAGTTTGTTGAGTGTTTTATCATGAAAGAGTGCTGATTTCTGTCAAATGCTTTTTCTGCATCCAATGAGATGATCATATAGCTATTTTCCTTTATTCTGTTAATGTGATGTGTTACATTGATCAAGTCTCATATATTGAAACATCCTTGCTTTTCAGAAATAAATCCCACTTGGTCATGGTGTAAAATCATTTTAATATGTGGCAGGGTGCTGAGTGTGATGGCTCATGCCTTTAATCCACCACTTTGGGAGGCCAAGACAGGCAGATTGCTTCAGCTCAGGAGTTCAAGACCAGCCTCGCCAACATGGTGAAACCCTGTCTCTACTAAAAATACAAAAAAAAAAAAAAATAGTGATATGTATATATATACATATATATATATATACGTATATATATTTGGTTTGCTAGTATTTTGTCAAAGGTTTTTGCGTCAATGTTCACAAGGGATACTGATCTGTGGTTTTCTTTTCCTGTAGTGCCTTCACCTGGCTGTTATCAGGGTAAAGCTGGACTCACAGAATTAGGGAGTTTAGCCTTCTCCTCAGTTTTTTGGAAAAGTTTGAGAAGAATTGATGTTAGTTCTTCTTTAAATGTTTCTTCACTGGTAGAATTCACCAGTGAACCATCAGGTCCAGAGCTGTTCTTTATCAAGAGATTTTTTATTACTGATTCAATCACCTTATTAGGTATACGTTTATTCAGATTTTCTATTTCTTCATGATTTAGTCTTGATAGGTTTTATGTTCCTAGGAATTTGTCCATTTTATCCAGGTTATATAATTTGTTGGTGTAAAATTGTTCATAAGCCTGGCATGGTAGTTCACGCCTGTAATCCCACCACTTTGGGAGGCCGAGGTGGGTGGATCACCTGAGGCCAGGAGCTCGAGACCAACCTGGCCAACGTGGCAAAACCCAGTCTCTACTAAAAATACAAAAACGAGCCAGGTGTGCTGGCATATGCCTGTAATCCCAACTATTTGGAAGGCTGAGGCACAAGAATCGCTTGAACATGGGAGGCAGAGGTTGCAGTGAGCTGAGATCGCACTACTGCACTCCAGCCTGGGCAACAAAACAAGACCCTGTCTCAAAAAATAATAACAATAACTAATATATATCAAGCAGTAACTATAAGCCAGGCACTCCTTTAAAGGCTGTACGTTATTTCATTTAATTTTTATGAAAACCACATGTGAGGACTTTACTGCTCTTATCTGTAATTTACAGATAAGGAAACTGAGATTCTGATAGACGAAAATTTTTTGAAGGGTCAGATTCATTTAGACCTTTAACAACTTCACTCTCTGGATGTGGGGCACAATGAAAACAATGACGGGTGAAAACTTTCCCAGCTCAGAGATCTCTGTGGTCACGCCAAGGTGGCAGGGAGAATTAAGGGAAAGCCACCTTCTCTGAGAGGTCTTCACTAACATTCCTTTCTGGATTGGGGATCGCTCTCCTGTGTTTCCACAGCTCCCCAGGAAGCTCTCATGGGAGACTTTATCACCTTGCACCTGAAGGGCCCCTGGGCTCCACCACCTGCAGCTTTAGAATTGGGTTTATCTGTCTTCTCTATCACTTCTTTATCACCGTATCCCCAGCACTTAGCCCAGGAACTAGTACACACTCAATGAATATTGTTGGAATTAATTCATAAAGGAATCTATAAAAGAGAAAAACTGTTCACCTCTCTCTCCCACCACCGTCTGTGCACTCCCAGCCAACAGTGTCTGGCACACAAAAGGTGACTCACATACAGGGGAACTCCAACCAGAGATAAAAACATACTCAGGTTTGTCTCCTCTAGTTGGAAGAAGGGCATCTGAGAGTGAAGAGGGACAGAGACGTCTGTGTTTCAGGATAGAGAATGGGGACAAGGGGTAAGAGAGAAGGCAGGAAAGAACAGATGACAGAAAATGAGTTATTAAAAAGGTAGAAAGAACTAAAGAAAGAAAGGCTCTAGAGAGAATACTAACAATTTCTAACCCAGGTCCAAATAGATCTAGTTTAAACAACAAAGAAAACCCTCCCAGACAATTTTTTTTTTGAGACGGAGTCTTAGTGTCACCCAGGCTGGAGTGCAGTGGTGCGAGCTCAGCTCACTGCAACCTTCGCATCCCAGGGTCAAGCGATTCTCCTGCCTCAGCCTCCCGAGTGGCTGGGATTACAGGCATGCGCCCCCATGCACAGCTAATTTTTGTATTTTTAGTAGAGACGGGGTTTCACCAGGTTGGCCAGGATGGTCTTGATCTCCTGACCTCATGATCTGCCCACCTTGGCCTCCTAAAGTACTGGGATTATAGGCGTGAGTCACTGCACCCCACCCCTCCCAAACATTTTCTAAGCAAACTTCTTCCCCTTCCTCTTTCCCTTCTTCTTCCCCTTCCTCTTTCCCTTCTTCTTCCCCTTCCTCTTTCCCTTCTTCCCCTTCCTCTTCTAATTCCTCTAAGGCCTAAGAACTTTAAACTTCATTTTCTAGCCAGTGAGAAGTAATTGACACTTAGAGTGGCGAAGAATTGGAAGGGCTAGTCATAATCCAATTTGCATTGTAGAGGAAACACAATATTATGCCTAATATTTAGTCACGGGTAAGAACTGATGCCATCCCCATCCTATCTGTACCAATAACCCACAGGGGATGATTTGGCCACATGTCTCCTTCTGAATGAGCACCTGCAGATGGGAGCCCAGGAATGGTTAAGCCACTGCACAAGGAGAGTCACCATCATCGCAACATGCCAGCCCATTCTTCCCTAAGGAGAACGCCCAGTCACTAAGGTTAGAACATACTAGATATAGATATTGGGTATATCTCCTTCTTCTTTGGGGCACCCCCCAAAAAATGGACGCTTTTCTCCTTTCGGGTCTTCAGGTTGAGGATACAAATTGATCAGTCCATGTGGGTGAGTTAGGAAGGGTTTGGATAAAATGCTTCCTTTCCCCTTGCCCTGTATGCCTCTGGCTATTTTAAGGGCTATCTGAAAGGGAAGTAGAGATGGCATGTTTCTCTATCAGGATTCCCGAGTCCTAACAGTCCAAGCACACACGCAGTTGAAGTACAATCAGCCAAAGCAATACACATGCTTTCGAAATTTCCTATAGTGCTTCACCCCTACAGGAAAGGAATTCACAGAAACACCAAGCCTTGAGTCAATATGATTTATTGTTTTCTCTTCTGCCATTAACATTCTAGCTACTGGGTAAGTTGTTCTCCATCCTTGGGATCTCATGGTTGGGAGGAGAGGTCTGGGTTCCCTCCCACAAAACTCTCAACGATAGAATAGAAGCACAGCTGCCTCAGTTATCTCACGGCTGCTGCTGTAACCAACATGAGTTCCATATCCACTCCAATCAAAACCAGAAAAATCTCCACACTGCTGGGGACTGGCCTCTGGAAAGTATCCTCCTCCACCAATGCAGTGCTGGGAAACAAAGAGAGGAAGAGGCAGTAATGAGAGATCTGCCAGTGAGGCCAATGCCATCTTAACAGCTGAATCCAGTGATTTCTTTGGTCCTCATCAGACTCTCCATTGACAGTGTTGATCTATTCTTCCCATAAAAACCTCTCTTCCTTGGCTCACACCTGTAATCCCAGCAGTCTGGGAGGCCGAAGAGGGTGGATCACTTGAGGCCAGGGGTTCGAGACCAGCCTGGCCAACATGGTGAAACCACATCTCTACAAAAAATACAAAAATTAGCCAGGTATGGTGGCAAGCACCTGTAGTCCCACTACTCAGGAGGCTGAGGCAGGAGAATTGCTTGAACCTGGAAGGTGGAGGTTGCGGTGAGCTTAGATCACGCCATTGTACTGCAGCCTGGGTGACAGAGTAAGACCCTGTCTCAAAAGAAAAAAAAAAAAACTCTCTTCCTTTAGCTTTAGTGACATTATTGTCTTGACTTCCTTTCAACTTTTCTGAATATTCATGCTCAGAGCCCCTGCCTGTTCTCTTCTTTCATAAATCCTCTAAGTGCTGCTCCCTAGTGGAGGACCTATCTCCCTCTCCCTTATAAACTGCATGACCACTGTGGCCTCAATTACTAAAAATTCACTGATGGCCCCAAAATCTCCATCTCCTGTTGAGATGCTTCTTGTGCTGAAGACCTCAAAGTCCAGCTTGGATCTCTACACAGGAACCTCAAGCTCCAAATGACCAAAATAGAGTTAATTATATCCCTCATTGACCCAGAACCTATTCATCATCCAGACACTCTGACTTCATAAATGACACTCCCTCACCCAAATGAGAACCATGTTATTCTATACTTCCTTGCCCATCCTCTGTATTCAACTGGTGACATGGTTTGGACCTGGGTCCCCACAAAATCTCATGTCGAATTGTAATCCCCAGTGTTGGGGGTGGGGCCTTGTGGGAGGTGATTGGATCATGGGGGTGGTTTCACATGAATGATTTTACCACCAGCTCCTTGATGCCGTCCTCATGATAGTGAGTGACTTCTCATGAGATCTGGACATTTAAAAGTATGCAGCACCAGCCAGGCATGGAGGTTCATGCCTGTAATCCTAGCACTATGGGAAGCTGAGGCGGGTAGATCACTTGAGGTCAGGAGTTCAAGACCAGCCTGACCAACATGGAGAAACCCCATCTCTACTAAAACTACAAAATTAGCCCAGTGTGGTGGCTTATGCCTGTAAACCCAGCTACTTGGGAGGCTGAGGCAGGATAATCGCTTAAACCTGAGAGGCAGAAGTTGTGGCGAGCCTAGATCGTGCCACTGCACTTCAGCCTGGGCAACAAGAGCAAAACTCTGTCTCAAAAAAAAAAAGTGTGTAACGCCTCCCCTGCCTTTGCTCCTGCTCCTGCCATGGGAGACACCTCACTCCTTTTTTGCCTTCTGCCATGATTGGAAGTTTCCTGAGGCTTTCCCAGAAGCCGAAGCCGCTATACTTACGGTACAGCCTGCAGAACCATGAGCCAATTAAACCTCGTTTCTTTATAAATTACCCAGTCTCAGATATTTCTTTTTCTTTCTTTTTTTTTTTTTTTATTGAGACAGGGTCTCACTCTGTCACCCAGGTTGGAGTGCAGTGGTGTGATCTTGGCTCACTGCAACCTCCACCTCCCAGGCTTAAGCAGATCCTCCCACCTCAGCCTCCCAAGTAGCTGAGACCACAGGCATGCACCACCACACTCGGCTAATTTTTGTATTTTTTGTAAAGACAAGTTTTGCCATTTTTCCCAGGCTGGTCTCAAACTCCTGAACTCAAGAGATCCACCTGCCTTGCCTCGCAAAATACTGGGATTACAGGCGGGAGCCACCATGCCTGGCCAGTATTTCTTTATAGCAGTGAAAGAATGGACTAATTACAACTGGTATTCTATTTAAAATCTTTGGAATTTGTCAATCCCACCATTCAGGATTCCTGAGCCTTAACATTTCAACCACAAAAAGGATGGCCTGAGTGAGGTTTCTAGAAGGTGATGTCCAGGACTGTCCCAGCAACTCCCCAGTGCAGTGTGTATCTAGGCAAACCATGGCTAGGGTTGGGGAGGTCCAGGTTTTCTCTGAAATATAAACCTCAGATGAAGGAAAACAACACCTGTGTTTCTCAAGGAATCTCAGCTCTAAAGACTTCTACACAATGTTTCAGCACACAAGCCTCACCCCAGCTCCAAGCGATTGAGTGTTTTCTCACAAAGGCTGAACACCCAGTAATGGTTCTTTTGAAGCCTCACCCCTTGATTTTGGTCTTCAAAGTGACAGGATATGTATACCTGGACAAAAGTTCCCATGGCCCTGGCCCCTGAAGCTCAGCAATGAGCAAGAGAAGGTCACACTCCCACACACGTACACACACACCCCAGTCATACCACACTCAACACACTCACACATACCAACACACACGGACAAACTCGACCTTACTCACAGGTCCCTGCAGTCCCCACAGAGACTCACGTGCTCAGTGTTACATCCGGTGACCCTCATTCCAGCACACAAGGCGTTGGCTGCTCTCTCGTTATTAAATACCCTGAACTGAACAAATCCCGCAGTGAATTCCCCTGAAAACAAGAGGCAGAAAACAGCATTCAAGGAAGATGCTAGAAATTGCTTTCCTTAGGCCAGCCCAGAGGCTCTCGATGCCAAAGCTCAGGCTACAGCCCAACACTCCAGCTGTACTGGTGGAGCCCAGCACCCCTGTGGCCAATGGCTGCTACATCCTGGCCTCAAACTTAGCTAAGAGGGACCTTTTCCCAACCCCAGAGATGAAGAGCTGGTCCTCAGAGAGGGCTCCTCATCTGCCAGAGGCTTGTGAAGAGAAATTCAACTCTGCAGGAAGATCACCACTGAACATCTCCAAGGGCTGAGTTGCAGAAATTAACAGATGTATTCACTCTGTTCCTGTTTACATTTTTCTTTTCTCCTTTATTTTAAAATCTCAACTCCAAAATGTAAATAATAACAGCTTTGAGTTCTATAATATATGCTCAGCCTCTGCGGAGCGTACTATGCTACCAACTTTGGCTTCACACAAAATAAACTCACAATAGAAAAAAAAGTCTCGCCATTTTTTTGGTTGTTCTGTGCACATGGACCTGGCCTGGTCCTAACAAGCTCCTGCAGGGCTGAGAGTGGGTTGTTAGGAGTAAAGAGTCTGGAGTCTGGAGCCTGGCCGGGCGTGGTGGCTCACACCTGTAATCCCAACACTTTGGGAGCCGAAGGGGGCGGATCGCCAAAGGTCAGGAGTTGGAGACCAGCCTGGCCAACATGGTGAAATCACATCTCTACTAAAAATACAAAAATCAGCTGGGCGTGGTGGTGGGCACCTGTAATCCCAGCTACTTGGTAGGCTGAGACAGGAGAATCATTTGAACCTGGGAGGCACAAGTTGCAGTGAGCTGAGACTGCGCCATTGCACTCCAGCCTGGGCAACAACAGCAAAACTCCATCTCAAAAAAAAAAAAAGTCTGGAGCCAAATTTCCTCACCCCAGTTGCTGATTCTTCCACATATGCCTTGTGATCTTCACAAGTTTCTAAACCTCTCAGTGCTTCAGTTTCCTAAAATGAGGTTAATAAAGTTCAGATCTCAAAGGCAGCCATGCAAATCAAGTGGGGCAATATAGGGAACATTACAGGAGAGAACCAAGCTTCAGTCCGATGCATAACTGTTACCTAGCATAGTTGAATGTATTCCCTTTCCTACCAGGAGTTCAGAGGATCATTAAAGACTCACGCTGGCCATAGGGTGAGTAATAAGATGCTGTTTTCTGGGCGTCGCCAAAATCATAGACCACAGGGATCACCGGGCCGTTGTCAGTCCAACACTTTCCTTCTCCATATTTCACTGGATATTTCTACAAAGAACACAGAAAAAGTCATGGAGTAAAGACAATAGCTTTGCCATTACCAGCATCTCCTGGGATGCTGCCATTCATAGAGGAGAAACAATGCTTTCTCAGTAACTGAGATTACTTCAAAACCAGTCAAAATAAGAATCTTTCCATGACACTGCTGCCAGTTAGGCGAGAGCTGTGCTTCTGCGGCAGCCTGGACCACTTCATTATCTCTCTCTCCTTCTCCCTGACCCATCCACACTCTTCCTGCCCCAGCTGTCCTCTCCAATAGGTCCCTTCTCTTGCCTGGCTTAGAATTCCTAAGAGAAGCAACAGAAGCCATCAGCAAATCTGGGTTAGAAGAACATGGGAGACAGACCCATTAAAAAATGACTCCTGCCCAACCTCTAACACTTGCTTCTCTGTACACCCATGAAAACCAGTCCCAGCCAGCAGCCTTCTGTACCTGGTAGATGCCAAACAGATTATGTCCCAGTGTCTGGAGGAAGCCAGTGTCCGTGCGGTACCTCAGCAGGGAGCTGTTTCTCCAGTGCTGCATGGGGGACTTATTGGGCACGTGCCAGATGCCCAGGTCCTTGGCCTGGATGTCGTAGTAGCCAGGGTTCTGGAAAGCAACAGACACTGAGCCTGACTGGGCCAGGAGGTCCCAGGAGGCAGAAGGTCCACACATGCAACTTCAGCTGGACTGTGAGAGCTCTGGACTCCAGATGAGCAGATGGCCAACCATACTCAGACACCCCACTCCCAGCCGATGATCCCACCACACCCAGGGCCCTAACAGCCTTGTTAGGAGGAAGTTGTGATTCAAAGTGTAAATTGGCTGGGTGTGGTGGCTCATGCCTATAATCCCAGCACTTTGGGAGACCAAGGCGGGCAGGTCACTTGAGGTCAGGAGTTCGAGACGAGCCTGGCCAACATGGTGAAACCCCATCTCTACTAAAAGTACAAAAATTCGCTGAGTATGGTAGTGGGCGCTTGTAGTCCCAGCTACTTTTGAGGCAGAGGATCACTTGAACCCAGGAGGCCGTGGTTGCTATGAGCCGAGATCACACCACTGCACTCCAACCTGGGCAACAGAGTAAGACTCCGTCTCAAGAAAAAAAAAAAAAAAAAAAAAGATATAAGTATTTCTCTCTTCTTCTCCAGCCCATCCCACACCCCTACCTTCCAGCCATCCCTCCTGCAGGCTTGTGGCCAGCCACACTCCACTCCTCACCCTCACCCGAGTGGGTAAGAAGTGGCACCAACCTTGTAGTCATCGCTCGTGGCCGCCTCTGCAGATCCAAAGGTGTTGTAGTTGGCCCAGTTGCCGTCCCCCTCTGGGTAGACTGCTTTGCTGCCCTGCTGACTGGACCAGCGATCGCCCACCGTGCACTTCCCACGCATGTCATTCTCGTGCACGCTGGCCACCAGGGTCCAGCCGCCACCCCCAGAGGTCATGTCACAGAAGGTCTGGTAGATAACACCATTCTCAGTGCGGAGAAAATACAGGCCATCTGTAGAGAGAACCAGCCCAGAGCCTCCCTGTCTGAGAGCTGAGGGTTCATTTCAGCCCCATGACAAGAAAGGCCCTAGGAACCAGAGACATGGCCTAAAGGCTCCTGTCCTGACTCACATCACTAAGTGCTCCCAGGGGTACTGGGGCCTCCCTGAGTTCAGAAGATCATGCTCCTGTAACTGAGGCAGAACATAGAATTGTATAAAATCCCAGTGACATTTTTCATAAAGTTAAACATGGAATTATTGTATGACCCAGCAATTCCACTGCAGGTCTATCCCCAAAAGAATTGAAAACAGGGCCTCAAGCTGATGCTTTTACACCAGTGTTCATTGCAGCATTAGTCACAAGAGCCAAATAGAAGAAACAATTCAAATATTCACCAACAGGTGAATGAATAAACAAAACATGGTGTGTGTGCATATATGTATCTGCAGTGGATAAAAGGGAATGAAATATCCATGCTACAGCATGGACAAACCCTCAAAACACTGTGCTAAGTGAAATAAGCCAGACACCAAAGGACAAATACCATATGACTCCAATTACATGAGGTAACTACACTAGGCAAATTCATGGAGATAGAAAGTAAAATGCAGCTACCAGAGACTGAGGGAAGAGAGTTATTGCTTAATAACTCCATGTTATTTTTTGTTTTGTTTTGTTTTTGTTTTTGTTTTTGAGATGGAGTCTCACTCTGTTGCCCAGGCTGGAGTGAAGTGGCACTATCTTGGCCCACTGCAACCTCTGCCTCCTGAGTTCAAGCGATCCTCCCACCTCAGCCTCCCAAGTAGCTGGAATTACAAACATGTACTCCACACCCAATTGATTTTTGTATTTTAGTAGAGACAGGGCCCCACCATGTTAGCCAAGCTGGTTTCAAACTCCTGGCCTCAACTGATCCACCCCTCTCAGCCTCCTAAAGTGCTGGGATTACAGGCCTGAGCCACCGCACCCGGCCCCTCCATGTTATTAAGTACAGAGTTTCTGTTTGGGGCACTGAAAAAGTTCTGCATATGGATAGCTGTGATGGTTGCACAACCTTGAAGGTAATTAATGCCACTGAATTGCACACTTAATGTTGCTTAAAATGGCAAATCTTATGTAAATTATAATATACATATACTTTACCATAATTTTTTAACTAAAAGACAAAAAGACTCCCAGAAGACACAATCCTGATACCCTGACTGAGCTCTGTTTGAATGTTTCATCACTCACCAAATGCACTAGGACATTCGTCTTTGATTTCCTTGCAGCTTCTGGGCAGAGATGGAGACGAAGAACAGGTCCATTCCTTGAAGTAAGTATTAGCCTCATCTAGGGAATACACAGGGTTTATTCTCATTCCCGGTTTGACACAAAACCTACCCTCTCCTATCACTAGTCCCACGCTCATTCCACCACTGTAGCAGAACCTCGCTGCCCGGGTGGTAAGGCCTGAGACAGCCAGTGTCATATCCACTCAGCCCATCAGTGTCACATCCACTCAGCCCATCGGCATCATATCCACTCAGCCCATCCGACCTGACAGCCAGCACAGGCTTAAAGTCTGCCTCCCGCCACAAGACCTGTCCTTGTGCTGGGTCCTGCCCTAAGCACTGAGTAATCAAAGACATTAAAGTTCCCCAGCAAGAGCTTGCCTCTAGAGGGAATTGCTAACAAGTCAACAGAAAATTGTATTGACAAGAATAAATGGTAGAAGAAAGGCAAACTCAAGAGAACAAAAGAAAGACTCTGAGGTAACAGTGGAGAATGGAAACGCCAGACAGTAAGCGGGGCAGTTGCCTGGGAGAAGAAGGCAAGACGGGTTGTCTCATGTCTTAGTCACAGAAGACCTTCCAGTCCAGGTGACATCTTAGCTTATTCTGAGAGAATAAACATGATTTATCAGTAGGAAGCCAATCCAAGGCAGGGAAAACAGCATATCCAAAGGCCTAGAGAAAAAAAAAAAAATACAGCGTAGTCCAGCTGTAGAACTACAAGCTGCTTAATATGGCTGAAACATGGGGTGTGAAGTAGGGAGTGGTGAGACTAATCTCTACTCCAAAAAGTCTGCAAACTATTCGAACAGTCTAGGGGAAAGCTGTGAGGTCAGAGGTGACTGACCTCAGTTTCCTCATACCTAAAACACAGTTAATAAACAGTGCTTTTGCAAAGATGAAGTAAGAAGATATTTCGAAACAGCCTTTTCTTTAAAAAAAAAATTTTTAGACGTGAAGAAAAATATAAATTTTAAAATGTCATTGTTATTCTTGTTGTAGAGAGGAAAACTGTGGAGAGAACATTCTCCAGGCACAAAGCAGACCATGTAGTTCCCATGGAAATCCCACAGCCAAGGCCACAGGAGTGGGCAGTGGCTGGAAGGTGACACAGTTCTTGCCACAGCCCCCTCAGGGCCACACAAAAGCACAGAGCCTGGACCCAGGACATGCCTCAAGCAATACCTTCACTGCCACAGGCCAGATTCCGCCAGAGACCAGAAATCGGCACTCAGTCTACATGCAAGCCAGCCGCTGTGCATCTCAAGGACATGCTCTGTGTCCTGGGAGAGACCAGGATCCCGGAAGTCATCCAGCTGAAGGAACTGCTGTCCCTAGCAGCGTGACTCACCTGTACTCCATCCTCTGGTGGTCGCTATGAGAAACAGCAGGAAGCTGAGTTGGTTCATTGTAATCTAAAGAAAGCAAGATGAAGGTCACCATCTTGGCCATCATTTTTCTCTACATCCCTGCCCCACCCCTGTCCAGTCTTACAAAGACTCCAAAACCCCTTGCCTTTTGTTTAAACTTCACACATCTCTGAGACCAAAAGCAGACCTAAGCTGAAAACAGGATTCCCCCAACTCACAGACCTTGTCTGAGTCTCAGCTGCACTTTCCTTGGGTACAGAGAGCTCCTTCACTCCCTCCCTCCACTGCGCCCTGGAGCTCAACAGAGTGCAGCTTTCTCCAAAAACGCTCCTGATGTGGAATGAGGTGCAGAAAGCTTTATGGAGGAAGCCCAGTGGGGCCAACCAAGGTTTCCAGCCTCACCCTCCCCTGGCACAATGCCCAGTGCAGGGGAGGCTTCTGGTTATCTCGGGGAGGTTATTTATACAGTGGAATTAACAGGTTCTAAAGAAAAAACCAATCCTAAGAATCACCTGCTAGCGTTGTTCCTGGATCTGGGGGTTTCATGGACCTGTGTCAAGTAGGAAGTAGACGAAGAGATTAACAAGAGTTGGTGTTGGTTTTGGGTTTTTGTGCCTTTCTTTCTTGCAAAATAAAAACTTTCTCTAAATTAAGCATCTGTTGGCTTGGCACATTGGCTCAAATCCCAATACTTTGGGAGGCCAAGGCAGAAGGATCACTTGAACTCAGGAGTTTGAGACCAGCCTGGGCAACATAGGGCAACCTCTTCTCTACTAAAAATAAAAGTAAAAAAATTAGCATGGCATGGTGGTACTTGCCTATAGTTTCAGGTGGGGCTGAGGCAAGGCAAAAGGGTAACTTAAGTCCCAGAGATAGAGGATTCAGTGAAATATGACCGTGCCACTGTACTTCAGCTTAGGTATCTCAAAATAAATAAATAAATGAAATTAATCATTGGCCATAATTATCAATTCATAGAAATAGAAAAAGGAAATTTTAACAAAATGGGAAAGTGATCATTTCTGAATAAATTGGTAAAAAGGAATGGAGGGGAAAGAGATACAAAACACACAAAAAAATACGAATAGAAAAGTTTTAAAAAATATATAAATCTTTAGTTTGAATAATTTAGTTTCACACAAAGACTCACTACTTTGTCTTTAATTTTGTCATTTTGCCACAAACGAGGGAAAATTTACTACAGGATTCATTTGAAACTGAATCAATACGAAACCTCTCTGCTGCTTCGAACCTCCTGTCTTATTCCTGCTCCTATGTCATGAAGTTCTCAAATGCTACCCTGCAGCTGTAATAGAATTACTCAGTTCTTCCCCAGTGATATCATACATTTAATACATAATGTCATTATAGCATTAATAATACTGCAACCTTTTCTTACAAAGATTGTGAATATCTTTTTTGTTAAGCTAATATTTCCTATTTGTTGGTTCAAAGTACTGATTTGCAAAAAATACTCACATATTGATAGAAGAAAATAAAATAGCACCCAAGAAGAAAAACTGCAAAAAAAAGTTATACTTTTGTAAATTTAAAATCTATTAGAAGCTATTTGCTCTGTGTATCTGGAAAATAATTAATTAAATAAAATTAAATGTATTAGAAACTAAATTAACTCATCAGTATAGGTAACAAAATGAACATACCCAGCTTTCATATTTACAAACAACAACCTCTTAGAAATAGAGGTCTCAGCCAGGCGCTGCGGCTTACACCTGTAATCCCAGCACTTTGAGGGGACGAGGGTGGCCAATCACTTGAGGTCAGGAGTTCAAGACCAGCCTGATCAACACGGTGAAACCGTGTCTCTACTAAAAATATAAAATTAGCTGGGCACGGTGTCAGGCGCCTGTAATCCAAGCTACTCGGGAGGCTGAGGCAGGAGAATTGCTTGAACCCGGGAGGCAGAGGTTGCAGTGAGCTGAGATCGCACCATTGCACTCCAGCCTGGGCAACAAGAGTGAA
The DNA here is from genome assembly GCF_000001405.40 of Homo sapiens. NCBI lineage: Eukaryota > Metazoa > Chordata > Mammalia > Primates > Hominidae > Homo > Homo sapiens. The sequence continues at coordinate 160,886,822 of NC_000001.11, forward strand.
ATTCCATCTCAAAAAAAAAAAAAAAAAATAGAGGTCTCTAAGTTTACAGTTCACAATAGTAAATACATGTATATAAAGTTAACACCAAGGGCCCAAGATCTAGAGAAAAAAATTAAACATCCCCTCAGTTGTTCATTACTGTGTGTAACTAACCACCTGAAAACTTTATGGCTTAATAAAACAGTAACATATTTGCAAAAATAAAAAAAGAAAATATACACTTATACTACTTTCTTTAGTTGATTCTAAGACACTTTTTTTGTATTTTGACATCTTTAATATCATTATGCATCTCATCCTTAATGGTACATGATGCCATCTAATAGACTGGGAAAACAGTACATCCATTTTAAGGACATTACCCCTTCTAACCATCATCATCCAATCAGTGATTGCGTCCCATTGATTCTACCCCTACTTCCTCTTGAATCTGTTCCCCACACAACTTCCTCCAAACCCCACTGCCCTGGACATTTATTTAGTTCAGTCTGGTTCCTTGTAGCTGTAACTAATAGAAACCCCATCTCAAAGTGGCTTTTCTAAAAAGTAAATCTATTACCTCATGAAATAGAAAATCGAGAGAGAGGGCAAGATCCAGGCTTGCTTGACAGCAGCTTCTCTTTATTTTATTTTATTTATTTATTTATGTTGAGACAGGGTCTCACTCTGTTGCCCAGGCTGGATGGAGTGCAGTGACACAATCTCAGCTTACTGCAGCCTCAACCTTCCAGGCTCAGGTGATCCTCCCACCTCAGCCTCCCAAGCACCTGGGAATACAGGCACACACCACCACACCCTGCTAACTTTTGTATTTTTGGTAGAAACGAGTTCTCACCATGTTGGCCAGGCTGGTCTCGAACTCCTAGGCACAAACAATCCTGCCTCAGCCTCCCAAAGTGCTGAGAGTATAGGTACGTATGTGACAGTATAGATGTGCATGAAGATAGAAGAGTGTGGAAGAAAGCCCCTCACCACCAACTCACTCCAGCCCCACATCTACATCTCCAGTGACTTGGAGAAGGTTTGTTGTAAAATTACACATACAGAGAAAGATATAAAACATTAAATGTGCAGTTTAATAAATTACAAGAAAGGCAAATACCTGTGTAATTATCATCCTAGCTAAGAAATGAAACTTTAGCAGCACCCAGAAGCTTCCCATATGCTGCTTCCAGATAACAGACCTCTCCCTTCCCAAAGGTAATTACTGGCCTGACTGTGATGGAAATCAGCACTTCCTTGTGCCCATACCACATTGTTCCAAATATTTTAGATTGATAAAATGTCTTGATATCCAGTAGAGCAAGGCTTCTCACTTTGCTCTTCTTTTTTGGTTATTCTTGGTCGTTTACCTCTACACATACACACACACACACACACACACACACACACACACACATGCACACACCCTTTAGGATTTTATTGGAATTACATTGAATCTATAGATCATTTAGAAATAATTTACGTCTTTAAAATATTGAGTGTGGCCTGTTTCTTCATTTATTTGTGTTTTTATTGCTTTTTCGTATCTTATAGCTTCCTTATAGGGATTTTGTGTATGATTTGCTATTTGTTCCTTAGTATTTGACTTTTTTTTTCTTTTTTTAGACAGGGTCTCACTCTGTCACCCAGGCAAGTGATTCTCCCACCTCAGCCTCCTAAGTAGCTGAGAACACAGGTAAATATCACCACGGCCAACTAATTGTTTTATTTTTTGTAGAGATGGGATCTCACTATGTTGCCCAAGCTGGTCTCAAACTCCTGGGCTCAAGCAATCCTCACACCCTTGGCCTTCCAAAGTGTTGGGATTACAGGCGTGAGCCACCATGCTGGCAGTGTTTGACATTTTTGATGCTATTATAAATGCCATATTTTTGAAATTTTATTTTCTAATTGTTTGATGCTTATATATAGAAATACAACTGATTTCACAAATATATATATATTTGTGAGATATATATATATTTGTAAGATATATATATATCTCAATGACAGCACAGGAAAGACAAAGTATCAAAATAAATATAAATTTTCAGCTTGAATAAATTTAGTTTTATGAAAAATAATATTTTTTCTTACTTTTCTCATTTTGCTACAAACCAATGAAAACACTCTTTTGGTGGGGGGTCATTCTAGAGTAGCACTGGCCCCCAGACTACATTTTGGAATCACTGATCCAGGACAAACTTCCTCTGATGCTTCAATACCTGCTTTGCCATTTCTGTCCCAGTGTCACTCCTCAATTTCCTGAGCATAAATGTCACTCATGCCTCTTCTCCCTCAACAATGGGATGGATCACTTCCTGCCCGGTGTTGCCACATCCCTTATGCCCATTATTATCTTAACACGATAACATGACCTTTTCACTGTTTACATGTTTCTCACAGCAGTTCTTAAGAAAAGGTTTATGAGGCACCATATTTGTTAAGCTAATACTTTATTTGTGGAGAGAAAATATTGAACTATATATTTTCAGATATATTAACAAAAGGAAATAGACTGTATCTAGGTCCAAGACAAATATTCGATTTTTTTTTTTTTTTTTTTTTTGAGACATGGTCTTGCTCTGTCACCCAGGCTGGGGTGCAGTGGTACAATCATGGCTAATTGCAGCCTTGACCTCCTGGGCTCAAGCGATACTCCCACCTCTGCCTCCTGAGTAGCTGAGACTACAGGCACATGCCACCACACCCAGATAATTTTCTAATTTTTTTTAGAGATGGGGTCTCACTATGTTCCCCAGGCTGGTCTCTAACTCCTGGGCTCAAGTGATTCTCCCACCTCATTCTCCCAAAGTGCTGGGATTATAGGTGTGAACCACTGTGCCCAGTCCAAATAAAATTTATGCTTCTTATAAAACTATGTCTAACACTTTCATATCTCTGATATTGAGTGCATCCTTCATTCAATGGCATATCATAGTTTGTATTTCATCTTGAGTGGTACATAAAACAATGGTGCATTTTATACCTTAGATTTGGTGAAAAAATGCTAGCTCTGACATTAGCATAGAGTTGGTACTCTGAAATGAGAACTCCCTGCAAGCCCATAGGCTTGAGCTCCAATCCAAGATCATGTACTAGACATGTGACATTGGGCAAACCACTTCATCCCTCTGGACTTCAGTTTTCATGCAGTAAAATGTGAATAACAAGGCCAGGTGCGGTGGCTCATGTCTGTAATCCCAGCACTTTGGGAGGCGAAGGCAGGCAAGTCACTTGAGGTCAGGAGTTCGAGACCAGCCTGGCCAACATGGTGAAACCCCATCTCTACCAAATAATATAAAAAGTAGGTGGCTGTGGTGGTGCGCAACTGTAATTCCAGCTACTTGGGAGGCTGAGGCAGGAGAATTGCTTGAACCCAGGAAGTGGAGGTTAGAGTGAGCTGAGATCTCGCCACTGTGATCCAGCCTGGACAATGCAGCAAGATTCCATCTCAAAAAATAAAAATAAAAATGTGAGTAACGAGCTCTACCTCACAGGACTGTTGTGAGGAGTGAAATGACAAGAGCAAAATGAGAATGTACATGAATATGTGAAAGGTGTGATTATCATTAAGAAAGATTATCTCAAAAACCTGGATTTCTCTTTACTACCACTGCCATCAGCAGCTCACCTCAGCTGGGAAGCCCCAAACTCAATCAACAGGTGTGTATAGCACCCATATTTTATTCTTCATGGATTTTTTACTTTCCTATTTGGCCTGTGCAAAAGCCCCCTTGCTTTACATAAGCCCTTCTGCTACATACTAAGGTATACTTACACACTGCATTGCTTATGTGAGGATTCAGAAGATATTTATTGAAAGACAGAATGATAAAATGTTTACAACTCCAAGAATAGACCTGAAGTGGACCTATAACCAGGGTCTGCTAGAGATTAAATGATTAAATGAAAGTGTTTGGTATTCTAGGAGACTGCTAGAACCAAATTTAAAAAACAAAATCCCAACATGCTTTCATGTTAAAAGCCCTCAACAAACTAGGCATTGAAGGAACATACCTCAAAATAATAACAGCCATATATGACAAACCCACAGCCAACATCATATGGAATGGGCAAAAGCTGGAAGCATTCCCCTTGACAACCAGAACAAGACAAGGATGCCCACTCCCACCACTCCTATTCCACATAGTGCTGGAAGTCATAGCCAGAGCAATCAGGCAAGACAAAGAAGTAAAAGGCATCCAAATAGGAAAAGAGGAAGTCAAACTGTCTCTGTTTGCAAACAATATAATTCTATACCTAGAAAACCCCACAGTCTCTGCCCAAAATCTCCTAGATCTCATAAGCAACTCCAGCAAGGTTTCAAGATTCAAAATAAATGTACAAAAATCAGTAACATTTCTATACACCAACAACGTCCAGGCTAACTGCCAAATCAAGAATGCAATCCCATTCACAATTACCACAAAAAGAATAAAATATCTAAGAATATAACCAACCAGGGAGGTGAAAGATTTCTACAATGAGAATTACAAAGCACTGCTTAAAGAAATCAGAGACAATAAAAAACAAATGGAAAAACATTCCATGCTCATGGATAGGAAGAATCAATATTGTTAAAATGGCCATACTGCCCAGAGCAATTTACACAATCATTGCTATTCTTATCAAACTACTGATGACATTCTTGGCTGGGTGCAGTGGCTCACGTCTGTAATCACAGGACATTGGGAGGCTGAGGTGGGCAGATCACTTGAGGTCAGAATACAAAATACAAAAATACAAAACTCAGCTGGGTGTGGTGGCCCATGCCTGTAATCCCAGCTACTCAAGAGACTGGGGTAGGAGGATTGCTTGAGCCCAGGAGGTGGAGTTTGGGACCAGCCTGGGCAACATGATAAAACCCTGTCTCTACTCAAAATACAAAACTTAGCCGGCTGTGGTGGCACATGCCTGTAATCTCAGCTACTCAGGTAGGAGGATCACTTGAGCCCAGAAGGTGGAGGTTGCAGTGAGCCAAGATAACACCACTGCACTCCAGCCTGGGTGACTGAGGGAGATTCTGTCTCAAAGAAATTAATTAGTTTAATTTAATTTAATTCATATGGAATGAAAAAAGAGCCCAAATAGCCAAAGCAATCCTAAGCAAAAAGAACAAAGCTGGAGGCATCACATTACCAGACTTCAAACTATAGTGAAATGCTACAGTAACTAAAACAGCCGGGTACTGGTACAAAAACAGACACATAGACAAATGAAACAGAATAGAAAGCCCAGAAATAAAGCCACACACCTACAACCATCTAATCTTTGACAAAGTTGGCAAAAAACAGCAAAGGGTAAAGGACTCCTTATTCAATAAATGGTGCTGGGACAACTTGATAGCCATATGCAAAAGATTAAAACTGGATCCCTTTCTCACACCATATAAAAAATCAACTAAAGACAGATCAACTAAAGATTAAATGTAAAACCCAAAACTATAAAACCCTAGAAAAAAGCCTAGGAAATACCATTCTAGACATAGGTCCTGGCAAAGATTTCATGATGAAGACACCAAAACCAGTTGCAACAAAAACAAAAACTGACAAATGGGATCTAATTACGGTATTTAATAAAGAGCTTCTGCACAGCAAGAGAAACTATCAACAGAGTACACAGACAACCCACAGATATTTGCAAGCTATGTATCTGACAAAGGTCTAATAGCCAGAATCTATAAGGGACTTAAAAAATTTTACAAGAAGAAAACAACCCCATCAAAAAGTGGGCAAGGTGTGGGAGTCACCAAGATAGCTGAATAGGAACACCTCCAGTCTACAGCTCCCAGTGTGAGTGAAGCAGAAGATCGGTGATTTCTGCATTTCCAACTGAGGTACCGGGTTCATCTCACTAGGGCTTGTTGGACAGTGGGTGCAGCCCATGGAGCAGGGTGGAGCATTGCCTCACCCAGAAAGTGCAAGGGATAGGGGATTTCCCTTTCCTAGCCAAGGGAAGCTGTGACAGACGGTACCTGGAAAATCGGGACACCACCATCCTAATATTGCACTTTTCCAACGGTCTTAGCAAACGGCATACCAGGAGATTATATCCCATGCCTGGCTTGGAGGGTCCCACACCCACGGAGCCTTGCTCACTGCTAGCATAGCAGTCTGAGATCGAACTGCAAGGCCACAGTGAGGCTAGGGGAGGGGCGTCCACCACTGCTGAGGCTTGAGTAGGTAAACAAAGCAGCCTGGAAGATCGAACTGGGTGGAGCCCACTGCAGCTCAAGGAGGCCTGCCTGCCTCCGTAGACTCCACCTCTGGGGACAGGGCATAGCTGAACAAAAGGCAGCAGAAACTTCTGCAGACTTAAACGTCCCTATCTGACAGCTTTAAAGAGAGTAGTGGTTCTCCCAACATGGAGTTTGAGATCTGAGAACGGACAGACTGACTCCTCAAGTGGGTCCCTGACCCCCAAGTAGACTAACTGGAAGACACCCCCCCAGTAGGGGCCGACTGACACTTCAAACAGACAGGTGCCCCTCTGAGATGAAGCTTCCAGAGGAAGGATCAGGCAGCAACATTTGCTGTTCTGCAATATTTGCTGTTATGCAGCCTCTGCTGGCAATACCTAGGCAAACAGGGTCTGAAGTGGACCTCCAGCAAACTCCAACAGACCTGCAGCTGTGAGTCCTGACTGTTAGAAGGAAAACTAACAAACAGAAAGGACATCCACACCAAAACCCCATCTGTACGTCACCATCATCAAAGACCAAAGGTAGATAAAACCACAAAGATAGGGAGAAACCAGAGCAGAAAAGCTGAAAATTCTAAAAATCACAGCACCTCTTCTCCTCCAAAGGACCACAGCTCCTTGCCAGCAACAGAACAAAGCTGGATGGAGAATGGCTTTCATGACTTGAGAGAAGAAGGCTTCAGAAGATCAGTAATAACAAACATTTCCAAGCTAAAGGAGGATGTTCAAACCCATTGCAAAGAAGCTAAAAACCTTGAAAAAAGATTAGATGAATGGCTAACTATAATAAATAGTGTAGAGAAGACCTTAAATTACCTGATGGAGCTGAAAACCAACCAAGAAGACAAGTTTAGAGAAAAAAGAGTAAAAAGAAATGAACAAAGCCTCCAAGAAATATGGGACTATGTGAAGAGACCAAATCTACATCTGATTGGTGCACCTGAAAGTGACAGGGAGAATGGAACCAAGTTGGAAAACACTCTTCAGGATATTATCCAGGAGAACTTCCCCAACCTAGCAAGGCAGGCCAACATTCAAATTCAGGAAATACAGAGAACACCACAAAGATACTCTTCAAGAAGAGTAACTCCAAGACACATAATTGTCAGATTCACCAAAGTTGAAATGAAGGAAAAGATGTTAAGGGCAGCTATAGAGAAAGGTTGTGTTACCCGCAAAGGGAAACCCATCAAACTAACAGCAGATCTCTCAGCAGAAACTCTACAAGCCAGAAGAGAGTGGGGGTCAATATTCAACATTCTTAAAGAAGAGAATTTTCAACCCACAATTTCATATCCAGCCAAACTAAGCTTCATAAGTGAAGGAGAAATAAAATCCTTTACAGACAAGCAAATGCTGAGAGATTTTGTCACCACCAGGCCTGCCTTACAAGAGCTCCTGAAGGAAGCACTAACCATGGAAAGGAACAAACGGTACCAGGCACTGCAAAAACATGCCAAATTGTAAAGACCAGCGATGCTAGGAAGAAACTGCATCAACTAATGAGCAAAATAACGAGCTAACATCATAACGACAGGATCAAATTCACACATAACAATATTAACCTTAAATGTAAATGGGTTAAATTTTCCAATTAAAAGACACAGACTGGCAAATTGGATAAAGAGTCAAGACCCATCAGTGTGCTGTATTCAGGAGACCCATCTCACATGCAGAGACACACATAGGCTCAAAATAAAGGGATGGAGGAAGATCTACCAAGCAAATGGAAAACAAAAAAAGGCAGGGGTTGCAATCCTAGTCTCTGATAAAACAGACTTTAAACCAACAAAGATCAAAAGAGACAAAGAAGGCCATTACATAATGGTAATGGGATCAACTCAACAAGAAGAGCTAACTCCTAAATACATATGCACCTGGCACTCCCAGCCGGCCACAGCCTGACACGCCGCGCGGCCCCCCAGTCTCCCGCGGCCGCTCCCCCAGGCATGGCACAGGGCCTCGCCTCACTATGGCAGCAGCACGGCACAGCACGCTCGACTTCATGCTCAGTGCCAAAGCTGATGGTGAGACCATTCTAAAAGGCCTCCAGTCCATTTTCCAGGAGCAGGGGATGGCGGAGTCGGTGCACACCTGGCAGGACCATGGCTATTTAGCAACCTACACAAACAAGAATGGCAGCTTTGCCAATATGAGAATTTACCCACATGGATTGGTGTTGCTGGACCTTCAGAGTTATGATGGTGATGCGCAAGGCAAAGAAGAGATCGACAGTATTTTGAACAAAGTAGAAGAAAGAATGAAAGAATTGAGTCAGGACAGTACTGGGCGGGTGAAACGATTACCACCCATAGTGCGAGGAGAGCCATCGACAGATATTGGCCCACCGCCGATGGGCGCCTGGTTGAATATGACATAGATGAAGTGGTATATGATGAAGATTCACCTTATCAAAATATAAAAATTCTACACTCGAAGCAGTTTGGAAATATTCTCATTCTTAGTGGGGATGTTAATTTGGCAGAGAGTGATTTGGCATATACCCGGGCCATCATGGGCAGTGGCAAAGAAGATTACACTGGCAAAGATGTACTCATTCTGGGAGGTGGAGACAGAGGCATATTGTGTGAAATAGTCAAACTAAAACCAAAGATGGTCACTATGGTAGAGACTGACCAAATGATGATTGATGGGTGTAAGAAATACATGCGAAAAACGTGTGGCGATGTCTTAGACAATCTTAAAGGAGACTGCTATCAGGTTCTAATAGAAGACTGTATCCCGGTACTGAAGAGATACACCAAAGAAGGGAGAGAATTTGATTATGTGATTAATGATTTGACAGCTGTTCCAATCTCCACGTCTCCAGAAGAAGATTCCACATGGGAGTTTCTCAGACTGATTCTTGACCTCTCAATGAAAGTGTTGAAACAGGATGGGAAATATTTTACACAGGGGAACTGTGTCAATCTGAAAGAAGCACTGTCGCTCTATGAAGAACAGCTGGGGCGCCTGTATTGTCCTGTGGAATTTTCAAAGGAGATCATCTGTGTCCCTTCATACCTGGAATTGTGGGTATTTTACACTGTTTGGAAGAAAGCTAAACCCTGAAGATCAGTAGCCCCTAATCACATGTGCTGCAAATAGCCTTCCTGACCTCCATATGCTGTACATGACATCAAAATGAGTCAGGCAATTGATTGTGAAGTCCTTAAAGTTTTCCTTTTTTTAGTAATTATTTTTAATTTAAAAAAGCAAATGGAAAATGTATATTTTGATGAGCTTAGGGTGTTTTTTTTGAAAGTCAGCTGAAGGATGGTTAGACAGCACAGCGAAGACTGCTAAATGCACTGACCCCCCCATTAGAATGTGATTTTTGTTCCTTTTTATTTATCTGTGGGCTTTTGTTTTTGTTTTTGTTTTGGTAGATCTTCAGTTTGGATATTTGGAGGAGTGAACATCGTTGTTTTGCTGGAGGGAAGATCTTGATGGTGTTTCTTTCCCCAAAAATTGACTTAGATATTAAAAATTGGTGCTTATAAGAGAGAGTTAAAAAAATAGGATTGCTTCAATTAAAATTACAAAAGAGAAAAAAAAATACATATGCACCCAATACAGGAGCACCCAGATTCATAAAGCAAGCACTTAGGGACCTACAAAGAGACTTAGACTCCCACACAATAATATTGGGAGACTTTAACACCCCACTGTCAACATTAGACAGATCAACGAGACAGAAAGTTAACAAGGATATCGAGGAATTGAACTCAGCTCTGCACCAAGTGGACCTAATAGACATCTACAGAACTCTCCACCCCAAATCAACAGAATATACATTCTTCTCAGCACCACATCACACTTATTCCAAAATGGACCACATAGTTGGAAGTGAAGCACTCCTCAGCAAATGTAAAAGAACAGAAATTATAACAAACTGTCTCTCAGACCACAGTGCAATCAAACTAGAACTCAGGATTAAGAAACTCACTCAAAACTGCTCAACTACATGGGAAATGAACAACCTGCTCCTGAATGACTACTGGGTACATAATAAAATTGAAGGCAGAAATGAAGATGTTCTTTGAAACCAATAAGAAAAAAGACACAACATACCAGAATCTCTGGGACACATTTAAAACAATGTGTGGAAGGAAATGTATAGCACTAAATGCCCACAAGAGAAAGCAGGAAAGATCTAAAATTGACACCCTAACATCACAATTAAAAGAACTAGAGAAGCAAGAGCAAACAAATTCAAAAGCTAGCAGAAGGCAAGAAATAACTAAGATCAGAGCAGAACTGAAGGAGATAGAGACACAAAAAACCCTTCAAAAAATCAATGAATCCAGGAGCTGGTTTTTTGAAAAGATCAACAAAATTGATAGACCACTAGCAAGACTAATAAAGAAGAAAAGAGAGAAGAATCAAATAGATGCAACAAAAAATGATAAAGGGGATATCACCACCGATCCCACAGAAATACAAAATACCATCTGAGAATACTATAAACACCTCTATGCAAATAAACTAGAAAATCTAGAAGAAACAGATAAATTCCTGGACACATACACCCTCCCAAGACTAAACCAGGAAGAAGTTGAATCCCTGAATAGACCAATAACAAGCTGTGAAATTGAGGCAATAATTAATAGCCTACAAACCAAAAAAACTCCAGGACAAGATGGATTCACAGCCAAATTCTACCAGAGGTACAAAGAGAAGCTGGTACCATTCCTTCTGAAACTATTCTAATCAATAGAAAAAGAGGGAATCCTCCCTGACTCATTTTATGAGGCCAGCATCATCCTGATACCAAAGCCTTGCAGAGACACAACAGAAAAAAAGAATTTTAGACCAGTATCCCTGATGAACATTGATGCAAAAATCCTCAATAAAATACTGGCAAACTGAATCTAGCAGCACATCAAAAAGCTTATCCACCACAATCAAGTCGGCTTCATCCTTGGGATGCAAGGCAGGTTAAACATATGCAAATCAATAAATGTAATCCATCATATAAACAGAACCAAAGACAAAAACCACATGATTATCTCAGTAGATGCAGAAAAGGCCTTTGACAAAATTCAACAGCCCTTCATCCTAAAAACTCTTAATAAACTAGGTATTGATGGGACGTATCTCAAAATAATAAGAGCTATTTACGACAAACCACAGCCAATATCATACTGAATGGGCAAAAACTGGAAGCATTCCCTTTGAAAACTGGCACAAGACAGGGATGCCCTCTCTCACCACTCCTATTCAACATAGTGTTGGAAATTCTGGCCAGGGCAATCAGGCCAGAGAAAGAAATAAAGGGTATTCAATTAGGAAAAGAGGAAGTCAAATTGTCCCTGTTTGCAGATGACATGATTGTATATCTAGAAAACCCCATCGCCTCAGTCCAAAATCTCCTTAAGCTGATAAGCAACTTCAGCAAAGTCTCAGGATACAACATCAATGTGCAAAAATCACAAGCATTCCTATACACCAATAACAGACAAAGACAGAGAGCCAAATCATGAGTGAACTCCATTCACAATTGCTTCAAAGAGAATAAAATATCTAGGAATCCAACTCACAAGGGATGTGAAGGACCTCTTCAAGGAGAACTACAAACCACTGCTCAATGAAATAAAAGAGGACACAAACAAATGGAAGAACATTCCATGCTCATGGATAGGAAAAATCAATATTGTGAAAATGGCCATACTGCCCAAGGTAATTTATAGATTCAATGCCATCCCCATCAAGCTACCAATGACTTTCTTCACAGAATTGGAAAAAAATACTTTAAAGTTCATATGGAACTAAAAAAGAGTCCGCATTCCCAAGACAATCCTAAGCCAAAAGAATAAAGCTGGAGACATCACACTACTTGACTTCAAACTGCACTACAAGGCTACAGTAACCAAAACAGCATGGTACTTGTACCAAAACAGAGATATAGACCAATGGAACAGAACAGAGCCCTCAGAAATAATATCCCAAAACTACAACCATCTGATCTTTGACAAACCTGACAAAAACAAGAAATGGGGAAATGATTTCTTATTTAAGAAATGGTGCTGGTAAAACTGGCTAGCCATATGTAGAAAGCTGAAACTGGATCCCTTCCTTACAACTTATACAAAAATTAATTTAAGATGGATTAAAGACTTTAATGTTAGACCTAAAACCATAAAAACCCTAGCAGAAAATCTAGGCAATACCATTCAGGACATAGGCATGAGCAAGGACTTAATGACCAAAACACCAAAAGCAATGGCAACAAAAGCCAAAATTGACAAATGGGATCTAATTAAACTAAAGAACTTCTGCACAGCAAAAGAAACTACCACCAGAGTGAACAGGCAACCTACAGAATGGGAGAAAATTTTTACAATCTACCCATCTGACAAAGGGCTAATATCCAGAATCTACAAAGAACTTAAACAAATTTACAAAAAAAATCAAACAACCTCATTGAAAACTGGGCTAAGGATATGAACAGACACTTCTCAAAAGAAGACATTTATGCAGCCAACAGACACATGAAAAAATGCTCATCATCACTGGCCATAAGAGTAATGCAAATCAAAACTACAATGAGATAACATCTCACACCAGTTAGAATGGCGATCATTAAAAAGTCAGGAAACAACAGGTGCTGGAGAGGATGTGGAGAAATAGGAACGCTTTTACACTGTTGGTGGGACTGTAAACTAGTTCAACCATTGTGGAAGACAGTGTGGCGGTTGCTCAAAGATCTAGAACTAGAAATACCGTTTGACCCCGCCATCCCATTACTGGGTATATACCCAAAGGACTATAAATCATGCTGCTATAAAGACACATGCACACGTATGCTTATTGCGGCACTATTCACAATAGCAAAGACTTGGAACCAACCCAAATGTCCATCAATGATAGACTGGATTAAGAAAATGTGGCACATGTACACCATGAAATACTATGCAGCCTTAAAAAAGGATGAGTTCATGTCCTTTGTAGGGACATGGATGAAGCTGGAAACCATCATTCTGAGCAAACTGTCGCAAGGACAGAAAACCAAACACCACATGTCCTCACTCATAGGTGGGAATTGAACAATAAGAACACTTGGACACAGGGTGGTGAACATCTCACACTGGGACCTGTCATGGGGTGGAGGGAGGTGAGAGGGATAGCATTAGGAGAAATACCTAATGTAAATGACGAGTTAATGGGTGCAGCACACCAACATGGCACATGTTTACATATGTAACAAACCTGCACGTTGTGCACATGTACCCTGGAACTTAAAGTATAATAAAAAAAAAAACAAAACAGAAACTTGGGGTGGGGTTGAAGGTAGTGACTTGATATTTACTGAGCTATACTGGAATTCAAATGTAGTTCTTCTCTTTCAAAGAATAAAATCTCTCTTAACTTCAAAAAAAAAGTGGGCAAGGATATAAACAGGCACTTTTCAAAAGAAGACATACATGTGGCCAACAAACATATGAAAAAATGCTCAATATCACTAATCACTAAAGAAATGCAAATCAAAACCACAATGAGATACCATCTCACACCAGTCAGAATGGCTATTACTAAGAAGTCAAAAAATAATAGATATGGTTGAGGTTGTGGAGAAAAGCGAATGCTTATACGCTGCTGGTGGCAATGTAAATAAGTTCAGCCACTGTGAAAAGCAATTTGGCAATTTCTCAAAGAACTTAAAACAGAACTACCATTCGACCCAGCAATTCTATTATTGGGTACATGCCCAAAGGAAAATCAATGGTACTACTAAAGACACATGCACACGTATGTTCATTGCAGCACTATTCACAATAGCAAAGACATAGAATTAACCTAAATGCCCATCAACAGTAGACTGGATAAAGAAAATGTGGCCCATACATACCATGGAATACTATGCAGCCCATAAAAAGGAACAAGATCATGTCCTTTGCAGCAACATAGATGGAACTGGAGGTCATTGTCCTAAGCAAACTAACACTGGAACAGAAAACCAAATACCACATTTTCTCACTTATAAATGGGAGCTAAATATTAAGCACACATGGACACAAAGAAGGGAAAAACAGACACCACGGCCTACTGGAGGGTGGAGGGTGGAGGGTGGGAGAAGGGTGAGGATCAAAAAACTACCTATCCGGTACTATACTTATTACCTGGGTAACAAAATAATCTGTACACCAAACCCCCACAACATGCAATTTACCTACACGTGAAATCTGCACATGTACCCCTGAATCTAAAATAAAAATTAAAAATAAAATAAAAAATAAAACCTTTGGCATAAAAAAATAATTAAATTAAAAATAAAAATTCCATTACTTCGGCATTTTCTTATTTTGTAATCCACATCACTTACAAGTTGAGACATTTCAAGTAGGTTATATGCTGCGTTAAATTTTCACTTTGAATGAAGGGGCTCTCCCTTGGAAATCGAGCATTCTGGCTACATCCATCCCCTGTTCAAAATCCTCTTAGGGCATCTTCCTGCTTTAATTCCCACTTACTGGTAGAACGGTGATATGGCACATGTTTTATATTCACTATTCATTTGCAGTTTTCCCAGAGCCACAGATCCTTTATCTGGAGATACTATTAATTAGAAGAATTACTTTATTCATGGAAAAGCCTGCACCCTTCTCCTTTGGAGGCTGAGTAGAGTGGACCTTTGTGCCTTTTCTGGCTACCCCACACCAGAACACCGTTCTTCTTTTGGAGGAATCTCTCTCACACCCTGTATCATGTAAGATTTGGAGGGAGGCAGAGCCCCATCTCTAACTAAGGAAGCTGAAGGTCCCGATTCTCCCTTGCACCCCTCTGGACAGTCCATGATGCAGGCTGATGACCTAGGCTTGGCTGATGATCACTAGGCTTGGCTAGTCAGCGTTGCAGCCCAGAATTCTAAATCTTGAGACAGAGAAGCAAAGTCAGAGAGTCAGTTTGGTAATGACCACAGTAGTGGCAGCATCAGCAGCCCAGAGCAGCCTCAGAGAGCCTGACAGACACAGAGCCAGCAGCAGCATCCTGACAAGATTGGAGCTGCAACCAACCACAGTTGTGTTCCCTGAAGCTCTCCCTCCTTTGAGTTCCAGCCCATTTTCCAAGCCTAGGATGCCATGCCAGCCTTCCCACTTTCCATTGATTCTAGAATAGTTCTGAGATTCTAAAATAAATTCCTTTCTCCTTCAGTGAATTGTGTGTGTGTGTGTGTGTGTGAGAGAGAGAGAGAGAGAGAGAGAGAGAGATCTAAAATTCTTGACCACAAGAAAAAATAATCTCAGAGGAACCCCATATTGACAATATTTCCAGTCAAAATTTTATGAAAAACTAGACAAAAGTATGAAGCAATTGTACTTTGTTATACATCTTAATCTTCTGCCAAAGTGAATATCATTTTTTGTTGTTGTTGTTCTTGAGACAGAGCCTCACTCTGTTGCCCAGGCTGGAGTGCAGTGGTGCAATCACGGTTCACTGCAGTCTCAACCCACTGGGCTCAAGCAATCCTCCCACCTCAACCTTCCAAGTAGCTGGGACTACAGGCACACACCACCACACCTGGCTAGTGTTTTTAGGTTTTTGCAGAGAGGAGGTCTCACTATATTGCCCAGGCTTGTCTCAAACTCCTGGGCTCAAGCAATCCTCCCACTTGGTCCCCCAAAGTGCTAAGATTATAGATATGAGCCAACATGCCAGCCAATATCATAATTTTATTCTTATCTCTTATTTTAGAAAAAGAAGAAATACAGTCATTCCCTCTTATCTTCAGGGTATATGTTCCAAGACCCCAATGGATACCCAAAACCAATGATAGTACCAACCCTATATGTAGTGTGTTTTTCCTATACACACGTACCAATGATAAAGTTTAATTTGTAAATTAGGCACAGAGGCCAGGCACGGTGACTCTATACCTGATATCCCAGCACTCTGAGAGGCCAAGGCAGGCAGATTGAGCCCAGGAGTCTGAGACCAACCTGTGGAACACAGTCAGAACTCGTTGCTACAAAAACTAAACAAAATTAGCCTGACATGCTGGCTTGCACCTGCAGTCCCAGCTACTCAGGAGGCTGAGGCAGGAGGATTGCCTGAGCCCAGTAGGTAAACATTGCAGTGAGCTGAAATCACGCCACTGCACTCCAGCAACAGAGTGAGACCCTGTATCAAAAAAAAATAAAATTGAAAATAAAAATAAGAAATAAATTAGGCACTGTAAGAGATTATCAGCAAAAACTAATAATAAAATAGAGCAATTATAACAACATATTGTAATGAAAGTTATATAAATATGGTTTCTCTCTCTCTCTCTCTCATTACCTTATTGCACTGTACTCACCTATTTTCAGACCATGGTTGACCTCAGGTAATTGAAATTATAGAAAACAAGGCCAGGCATGGTGGCTCACGCCTGTAATCCCAGCACTTTGGGGTGCCAAAGTGGGGGCATATCACTTGAGGTCAGGAGTTTGAGACCAGCCTGGCCAACATGGTGAAACCCCCTCTCTACTAAAAATACAAAAATTAGCAGGGTGTGGTGGCAGGTGCCTGTAGTCCCAGCTACTTGGGAGGCTGAGGAAGGAGAATGACTTGAACCCAGGAGGCGGAGGTTGCAGTGAGGCAAGATGGTGCCATTGCACTCGTCTGGGGAACAGAGTGAGACTCCGTCTCAAAAAAAAAAAAAAAAGAAAAGAAAAAAGAAAAAAAAAGAAATTATAGAAAACAAAACTGTGAATAAGGGGGTACTATTTGTATAAACAAACCTATGGATGCACAAAAGGTTGCAGATGCTCAAATGACATTGCTAAGTCAATCTTTTTGTGCTGCTGACACCATTGGCAGGGAGAACAGCTTTAAAAAAAAAGAAAATCAAAGAATTTGAAACTTCAGTTACTGCCCCAAGACTTCTCTGTATAATGCACACGCCTTCTCTCCTTAACCAGGCAGCCCTTCTTCTTCTAGTATAGAGCATGTGCTAGGTAAGGTCCTACCATACCAGGGTTGGGACAAGCCGACATTGTCTATCCCCTAGATGCTCTGAGAAGAACATAACAGCAACAACATATATTCCTGCCAGAGATGTTTAGCCTGGAACCAATAACCTGAAGGAAGCAGCCAGACAAACCCAAGTTGAGGAACATTCTGCAAAATAGTTGACCCCCTAGACTCTTCAAAAATGATAATATCATTAAAGACCAAAAATAATCTCAGTTACTAGTCTAGATTAAAGGAACCTAGGTACACACGACAAATAAATGCAGTGCATAATCCCTGGTTGGATTCTGGATCAAACAAAAAGCTATAAAGAACATTATTGGAATAATTAGTGAAATTTAATATAAGCTACTCTTAAGTACTAGTATTTTATTAATGTAAAATTTCTTGAATTATATTTGTATTATGTAGGAGATTAATGTTGAAATAATTAAAGGTAAAGTGTCACAGGCTGGGCAAAGTGGCTCACGCCTGTAATCCCAACAGTTTGGGAAGCCAAGGTGGGCAGATCACCTGAGGTCGGGAGTTCAGGATCAGCCTGGCCAATATGGTGAAACCCTCTCTCCACTAAAAATACAAAAAAATTAGTCAGGCATGGTGGTAGGCTCCTGTAATCCCAGCTATTTGGGAGACTGAGGCAGAAGACTTGCTTGAACCCAGGAGGCAGAAGTTGCAGTGAGCCAAGACGGTACCAATGCACTCCAGCCTGGGTGACAGAGGGAGACTCTGTCTAAAAAAAAAAAAAAAAAGTGTTACACTTGCAACTCTTTTCTAAGTTCTTCAACAAACCATAGTGAGAGAGAGAGAGAAAACAAATGTAGCAAAATGTCTAGATGAAGGAGTTCATTGCCAATCTTTTGCACCTTGTAGGGGATACATGGCAACATATTCAAGCTTCTATACAAGGCATTTGAGGTCGAGGTATGGCAAAATACTGAAGCACTGTGTGCATGTTTTTTGGGCATGAGACTGAAATTCCTTGACCCTGAAAACAGAGCAAGGAACAGAATGTGTGATAAGGAGCTGTGTGATAAGGAGTTGTGTGATAAGGAGCGCTGAAAACAGCCTCCTGAGAATGTGGTCTGAGTGATTTTAGATGTAATAAACAAGGCCGTATGTGCCTCATGACCCAACTGCAAATTGTTACCTAGTGGATGTCTCTTGGTTGTCTAAATTGTAATTCTTGTACAATTACAATTTAGATTACAATTACAATTACAATTAGAACTACAATTTAGAGAGGGCTTGTTGCCCTCTTAATAAATACTTGGCAGACAGATCTTAGAGTGGCACTCTCTCAGAAGAGCTACTCCCTGCCCTGCTCAGCTGGAATTCTCTGAGTACTTCATTCTTGGCGTTCGCTGTAGCTACAAGCTGCAAGTGGTGACCCTGACATAACTGCGTTGAAATTACACGTGGAGTATGAAAACTCATCAAACTTCAGGGAATACCAGTAAGGGACAGTCCCAACCCATTTCAGGAAGATGGGACCAACGCATATAATACCAGGGATTGGGCTATCATGGGTCAGGAATTGACCAAAGAGCAGAAAGTATTTTTTAAAATGGTGCAACAATTACTTAAGGCTATCCACTGCACCTTAGAGTCTGAAGATTTGCATCAGCTTATGCTTTTTATTCAGCAGGAATGCTCTTGGTTCCCTGATCAAGGAACATTAGACTTAGAGTTATGGGAGGAGGTGGATCACTGCCTGAAAACAGGATTTAGGCAGGGCCATTTTACTAAGGTTATCATTTTGACCACCTGGGCCCTGGTACGCTCTGCATTGTACCCTCTTTATATGCCAGATTGCGGTGAGTCAGACTGCCCATTAGCTCCACCTGAAGGGAATTCAGGAGATTTAAAGAAAAACAGGAACCAGAACAACAGGGAGGGGCTCCTCTCCCTACTTCATTCCCTTCCGTAGGGCATAAGGAGGACACTTTCTAGTGATGATGAGGACAGACCGGAGCTTTTTCCTCCCCCAATAGAAAAGCCATTGCCCTCCTTTCCTCCACCCCTAAAAAAATCCACATCTATTGGCCCTGTTCAGGCTACAGTGCCTCCCATCCCCCTGGAGGAGATTGGAGGCCACCCAAGGGATGGACGGTTCTTGGATAAGACCCCCTGTCAGTGAACATCTATATTGTCACGCACGTCCGTGTGAAGAGACCACCAAACAGGCTTATGTGAGCAATAAAGCTTTTTAATCACCTGGGTGCAGGCGGGCTGAGTCTGAAAAGAGAGTCAGCAAAAGGTGGTGGGATTATCATTAGTTCTTATAGGTTTGGGATAGGCATACAAAGTACATTCCCAAGGGCGGGGAGAATATTACAAAGTACCTTCCTAAGGGCAGGGGAGAATATATCATATCAGTTAGGGTGGGGCAGGAACAAATCACAATGGTGGAATGCCATCAGTTTAGCCTATTTTCACTTCTTTTGTGGATCTTCAGTTGCTTCAGGCCATCTGGATGTATACGTGCAGGTCACAGGGGATATGTTGGCTTAGCTTGGGCTCAGAGGCCTGACATATATGATCAGGTGAACGCGTTCTCAGTGACGACTCCTCATCAAACTTCCCTAGTAGAGGGGTGCCTCCAGGAGGGACTTAAAAAGGGAGACTCTTAGGCACTTTTTGGCGCATTCCCTGTCATTGTTCAAAATGATAGGAGACGGCATGAGAGTTTGCCTTTTACTGTTTTTAAAGAGATAAAGAAAAGTATCTGTGAAAATGGTGTACATTCACCCTTTACCCAGGGGATGATTGAGGCTCTGGGAAATGGCTATAAGATGACTCCGCATGATTGGAAAACTTTAGTAAAAGTTTTGGTTTCAGCTGCAGAATATACTGTGCGGTGGAGTGAGTACAGTGATCTATCCATGCAGCAGCCCTTGCAAAATTTGGATAATAATATCCCAACACAGCTTGATATGCTATTGGGACCAGGTCCTTTTGCTTGAGCTCAGGCTCAAGCTCAAATAAACAGCCATCTATTTCCACAATGCTTGCAGCTAGCAATACAGGCATAGAAGAGGATACCCACGGGACAATCCCAGGGTTCCTTTATAACAGTTAAACAGAGTGCCACAGAAACATTCCTTTATAACAGTTAAACAGAGTGCCACAGAAACATACGTTGAATTTATCAACTGATTGCAAGCTGCACGTAGTGACCAACATCACATCAGCAGAGCTATAAAAAAACTCTGCTATTCAAATCCACTGCACACGGAATAAATCAGAAGATAAAATAAAAGTCTGTCAAAATTCATACAACTTGTGAGTGAGTTCTAAAAAGCTTAGTTTAGAAGGGCTAGAGAAAGAAAAACTTCAATGGGGCCCAAATCAGAATGCTTGTAATGAAACCCAGTCTCCAGGAAAACAACACTCACATGTGTTCAATCATATAAAATGATTTGTAACATCTCTAATTAGGTGAATCAACTAGAAACAAACTCACTAGTCAAAATAAATTTTTAAAGTATCTTGTAACCTATATTTTACTTTTCTGAGTATATTAAGGGGCTGCCAGCCCAGAGATATACTTAAGATATAGGCAAAAAATCCCCAGGCCTTTACACAAAAGATTTCCACTTTCAAACCAATGTCAGTGGACATTGATAAAAGTATAGCAGCATCCTCTACTAAGGTGATTTCATTTATTCCCTGCAACCCACTAATAAATATCCCACTTCTCCCAAACAGTATTTAAGCTCCTAGCTAAGCAAAAAACTATTGTCTATTAGCATTCAACTGAAGAAAAGAAAGATAAAATATTGTCTTGTTTCCATCACTGTATTACTTGGGCAACATAATTACATAATTCTTACCCTAAGAGAAAGCCTTCATATTTTTTTAAAAGTCTTTTCAAATAAAATCTTCTTATGTTTTAAACAATATAAAATACAAACTTTCACTTTATTTATTGTAAATTATAAAGAGATCATTGTCTTAATATATTGTTAGCTTCAAGCTTCCTAAAATATAAAAACATTGTTGTCTAAAGTCACATATTAACACTAAGCTCCGTGGTTTACAGAATCTCCTACATTTTTGCAAGCTCAAGCTGATCATTCCTTTTTTTATCAGAACAACCACAGTCTTAAACAACAGTTTTATTTGGCGCTCACTCAAGCTCGCATGATTATTAAAACCTGTCCTGACTGCCAATGGCATTCGCTCTCCCCTTTTTCGTTAGGACTTGGTGCCAACCCACGAGGTCTGGTGCCTAATGCTATCTGGCAAACTGATATTACTCAGCATCCACCCTTTAGATGCTTCAAATTTCTCCACGTTACTGTAGACACTTATACAGGCCTGAAATATGCTACTCCTCAGACTACAGAAAAAACTAAAGATGCAATTGCTCATCTTTTTAAATCTATTATGACTTTAGGCCTTCCACAAATTACAAAAACTGATAATAGACATTGCTGTCTTAGTGCTCGATTTACATATGCATTTACAACTGTGGCACATACAACACAAGACTGGCATTCCTTATAACTCAACCAGTCAGGCCAATGTTGAGCGAGCTCATCAAACTCTTAAAGTATATCTTAACAAACAAAAAAGGGGGAATATTGGGCTTTCTCCTCGAGAACAGGTAGGAGACAACTGAACCCCTCCTGATGATGAAAGACCTGTCGTTGGAGAATCGACCAGCAATGATAGCGATGACTCGGAAGGCATCTGACATTACCTGAGGGCAGCTAAAGAAATTGGATCAACAGGCAACTATCCAGCTTGTTGCCATGGGAGCCCCTGCAATTGCAGAGAATTGGTTTCTTATGTATCTGGCAGTAATTGGGGGAGCTTTTGAGAAAGTAAGACAGACATGGATGCTGGGGTGGCTGGTGATTCTCATCCTTTGCCAAGTGGGATCAGCTCAAGAACATGTTTACTGGAATCATATTCTGAATCCCACTGTTGGAAATGTTATTATGTGGTGGGATGCTGACCCGCCTTTGTCATCTAATGATACTTCTTGGATGGGAGGTCGATGGATGCCCCTGTCTTACCCCTTAACTGAAAATTTGGGATGGATTAAACTCAATGACTCCTTGACTTTATTGTCTAGCAACCCCCTTCTTTGTTTTTCTACAATAGCCCATGATAAGCACATTACTCTTATTCCTCTGGAGTATCTTTACTGTCACCTCAAAAGGGATGCCAAGCCCGCAAACTTGACCTTTATTTCTGCTGTTACCATTAATCTCACTAAGGTCTCTAATGAAGCTACACAAGTGCCTAGTCTTCTTATATGCTGTCTGAGAAGGGACTGGCAATGTAAGTTTGAGGCTGTCCAGTGTGAACCCCATGCAGACAACCTGCGCCACGACAAGGGCCTCTGCTTAATAATGGCACCTTACTTGATTGGGGTCCCCATGCTAATCTTATGTCTGCAAATCAGACTATTGGATTTGGGAGTCCTCCAATAGTTCCATCACCTGGTCAGAGTATGGGCTTTCAGGACCAATATTACAACTAAAAGGGAAGCAAGCTTTAAGCCCTGCTCATACCCAAATTTGGAGACTAGGTCTTCCCTTTTTTGAATGCGTTGTTTTGTATGGTGATTACATTTACAGCAGTGGCAACTATACCCTCTCCTTGCACAATAATGTTACTGATACAGTCCTGATTTGTACTACACACCCCTAGATAATTTTGTCTGGGCAGGGTATTCCTAACATAGAACAGAATCAATCCTTATATAGTATTACTTTCTCTTCCAGTAGTTGGTACGCTACATGCTTGTCTCATCAAAATGTTACATAGTTAAATATAACCTATGGCATGATCCTAAAATGGCATGTAGAATTGTGGCTCCCTGTAAATTTAACCCTACGGTTATTTAGAAAAGCACTATCTCATACTCAAAAAAAAGATTTTTGGCCACTTTAATTGCCTTTTTTGTCTCAGCTATTATTATACTGTGTCCGGAACTGTTTCCTTCTGGTGGGTTCTTGGTCTCGCTGACTTCAGGAGTGAAGCCACAGACCCTCGTAGTGAGTGCTACAGTTCTTAAAGATGGTGTGTCCAGAGTTTATCCCTTCAGATGTTCAGATGTGTTCGGAGTTTCTTCCTTCCGTTGGGTTCGTGGTCTGGCTAACTTCAGGAGTGAAGCTGCAGACCTTCACAGTGAGTGTTACAGCTCTTAAAGGTGGCACATCGAGTTGTCTGTTCCTCCCGGTGGGTTCGTGGTCTCACTGACCTCAGGAGTGAAGCCGCAGACCCTCGTGGTGAGTGTTACAGCTAATAAAGATAGTGTGGACCCAAAGAGTGAGCAGCAGCAATATGTATTGTGAAGAGGGAAAGAACACTTCCACACAGTGGAACAGGACCCAATGGGGTTGCGGCTGCTGGCTCTAGTGGCCAGCGTTTATTCCCTTATTTGGCCCCACCCACCTCCTGCTGATTGGTCCATTTTACAGAGTGCTGATTGGTACATTTACAAACCTTTAGCTAGACACAGAGCACTGATTGGTGTGTTTACAATCCTTTATCTAGACAGAAAAGTTCTCCAAGTCCCAACAGGACCCAGAAGCCCAGCTGGCTTCACTTCTCAATACTAGCAACTGCCGCTACTACAGCTGTTTCTCTGACACAATCTATTCACACAGCCTTGGTAGCAAACCACATGGTATACAAAGTAACCCATGGATTTCAAGAACAAGTAAATATTGATAAAACTATTTTGTCTCACCTGGAGGCTCTTAAAGCCGCTGTTGAATGGCTGGGGGATCAGCAGCAGGTATTCATTACTTGTCAAAATTTACATTGTGATTGGCAATATAATTCTATCTGTGTCACACCTCTGCCATATAATAGCTCCCAATATACTTGGGAGAGAGTGAAGGCGCACCTACAAGGGGCTTATCAGGACCACTTATCCTCTCAAATTTCTACTCTTGAGTGCGAGTTAAAGAAACAACTTAAAGAATGATCACAGCAGGCCAGGCGCGGTGGCTCATGCTTGTAATCCTAGCACTTTGGGAGGCCAAGGCGGGCAGATCACGAGGTCAGGAGATCTAGACCATCCTGGCTAACACGGTAAAACCTCATCTCCACGAAAAATACAAAAAATTAGCCGGGCGGGGTCGCGGGCGCCTGTAGTCCCAGCTACTCGGGAGGCTGAGGCAGGAGAATGGCGTGAACCCAGGAGGCAGAGGTTGCAGTGAGCCAAGGTCGTGCCACTGCACTCCGGCCTGGGCAACAGAGCGAGACTCTGTCTCAAAAAAAAAAAAAAAAAAAAAAGAATGATCACAGCAATTACAAACAAATATCCTTCAGCAATTACAAGAAGGTTTTCAATGGTTGAACCTGAACACTTAGTTGTCTGGATTAAACATACACATTTGGGTGATGGCCACTATACCTATTCTTTTTTGTATCTGTTTGCTAGGCATCTGCAAATGGCTCTGTGCTGCCCCCCGCCCACGCATCTATGATCAGGAAAGAACGATAGAAGCTTACCTTGCATTAGATA
This sequence comes from Homo sapiens, assembly GCF_000001405.40. Taxonomy (NCBI): domain Eukaryota; kingdom Metazoa; phylum Chordata; class Mammalia; order Primates; family Hominidae; genus Homo; species Homo sapiens. The sequence goes on from NC_000001.11 coordinate 160,911,456, forward strand.
ACCAGCATGCTCTAAGAATTAAAGAAGGGGGAGATGTGGGGGGTGCACAGCAACATATTCAAGCTTATGTGCAAGGCATTTGAGGTCGAGGCATGGGAAAATACTGAGGCACTGTGTGTATGTTGTTTGCGCATGAGACTGAAATTCCTTGACCCTGAAAACAGGGCAAGGAACGGAATGTGTGATAAGGAACTGTGTAATAAGGAGTTGTGTGATAAGGAGGGCTGAGAACAGCCTCCTAAGAATGTGGTCTGAGTGCTTTTAGATGTAACAAATAAGGCTATATGTGCCTCGTGACCAGACCGCAAATCGTTACCTAGCCAATGTCTCGTTTGTCTAAATTGTAGTTTAAGAAGCCCTCTCAATAAATACTTGGCTTACCCATCTTAAAGCAGCACTCTCTCAGAAGAGCTGCTACTTGTCCCGCTCAGCTGGAATTGTCTGAATACTTCATTCTCGGTGTTCGCTGCAGCTACAAGCTGCAGACCTTGTTTCTTATTCTGCTCTTAACAAATTACCACAAACGTGGTGTCTTAGAACACAAATTTGTTGTTTTAAAGTTCTAGAAGTCAGAAATTCAAAATGAGCTTTATGGAGCTGAGAGGTGTTGGCAGAGCTGTTTCTTCTCAGGGCTCAGGGAAGAATGTTTTCTTTTCCAGATTCAAACACCACCCACACTCCTTAGCTCATGGCTCCTTCCTCTATCTTCAAAACACATCACTCTAACCTCTGCTCTGATCATCGCATTTCCTTTTCTGTACCCTCTGCCTGCCTTCTGTACCCTTGTTTGACCCTTTGCCTGCCTTTAAAGGACTCATGTGATTACATTGAGCCCACCTGGATAATCCAGGACACTCCTCTCATCTCAAAATCCTTAACTTAATCACATCTGCAAAGTCCCTTTTGCCATCTAAGATAACATATCCACAGGTTTCAGAAATTAGAATGTGGACATCTTTGGGGGGCCATTATTCTGCCTTCCATACCCTTTACTGTAGATTTGAACATTTTCAAAATAAAGAGTAAGGAAAATGTCTAGAAAATTAGAGCAATCAAAATAAATGTAGGCCTGTAACTCTTTGTGAAGCTTTGCGAAGGCCCTTCTTAGGAGCTAACCTTGGAGTCCAGGAAGCCTCGCAGGGGAACCAAGGCTAAACAGAGGTTCACAGAGGACTCCTGAAACCAGGAATACATCCTCCAGTCATGCAGTCCAGCATGGTTAATGAAAGAAAAAGCACAACTCTTCCTTCAAAAGCCCACTGCTGAGCCAGGTATGGTGGCTCAGAACTGTAATCCCAGCTACTCTGAAGGCTGAGGTGGGAAGATTGCTTGAGCCCATGAGTTTGAGTCAACCTGGGCAAAATAGCAAGACCCCATCTCAATTTTTTTAATAAAATTTAAAAAAACTTTTTTTGAGATGGAGTCTCACTCTGCTGCCCAGGCTGAAGTGCAGTGATGCGATATCAGCTCTCTGCAACCTGCACCTCCCAGGTTCAAGTGATTCTCCTGCCTCAGTCTCCCAAGCAGCTGAGATTACAGGTGCGCACCACCACACCCAGTTAATTTTTGTATATTTTTTAGTAGAGATGGGGATTCACCATGTTGGCCAGGCTGGTCTTGAACACCTGACCTCAGGTGATCCACCCGCTTCAGCCTCCCAAAGTGCTGGGATTACAGGTGTGAGCCTGTGGAGAAAAGAAAGAGAGATCAGATTGTTACTGTGTCTGTGTAGAAAGAAGTAGACATAAGAGACTCCATTTTGTTCTGTACTAAGAAAAATTCTTCTGCCTTAAAATGCTGTTAATCTGTAACCTTACCCCCAACCCTGTGCTCCCTGAAACATGTGCTTTGTCAACTCAAGGTTAAATGGATTAAGGGCTGTGCAAGATGTGCTTTGTTAAACAGATGCTTGAAGGCAGCATGCTCCTAAAGAGTCATCACCACTCCCTAATCTCAAGTACCCAAGGACACAAACACTGCGGAAGGCTGGAAGGGGAAGGCCGCTTGGGCCTCTGCCTAGGAAAGCCAGGTATTGTCCAAAGTTTCTCCCCATGTGATAGTCTGAAATATGGCCTCGTAAGAAAGGAAAGACCTGACCGTCCCCCTGCCTGACACCCGTAAAGGGTCTGTGCTGAGGAGGATTAGTAAAAGAGGAAAGAACGCCTCTTTGCAGTTGAGACAAGAGGAAGGCATCTGTCTCCTGCCTGTCCCTAGGCAATGGAATGTCTTGGTGTAAAACCCGATTGTATATTCCATCTACTAAGATAAAGGAAAACCACCTTAAGGCTGGAGGTAGGACAGCAGGCAGCAATACTGCTCTTTAAGGCATTGAGATGTTTATGTGTATACATATCTAAAGCACAGCACTTAATTCTTTACCTTCTCTATGATGCAGAGACCTTGTTCACGTGTTTATCTGCTGACCTGCTCTCCACTATTATCCTATGACCCTGCCACATCCCCCTCTCCGAGAAACACCCAAGAATGATGAATAAATACTAAAGGAACTCAGAAGCTGGCAGAATCCTCCGTAATGCTGAATACCAGTCCCCTAGGCCCCCTTTTTCCTTTCTCTATACTTTGTCTCTGTGTCTCTTTCTTTTCAAAGTCCCTCGTTCCACCTAATGAGAAACACCCACAGGTGTGGAGAGGCAACCCGCCCCATCATGAGCCACTGTGCCCAGCCTGAATTAAATTTTTTAAAGTTTAATTGAGCAATGAACAGTTCCCGAAACTGGCAGCCTCCCAAGCCAGAGTAGGTTCAGAGACTCCAGCGCAGCTACGTGGTGGAAGATTTACTGATGGAAAAGGAAAGTGACATACAGAAAATGGAATTGAGGTACAGAAACAGCTGCATTGGTTATAGCTTGGCGTTTGCCTTATTTGAACACAGTTTGAACATTTAGCCACATTTGATGGTCAAAATTTGGTGACTGGCACAAGAGTAGACCACAGTTTGTTCACATTTCCACTTAGGCTATAGTTCATGATGAAACCTTTAAGCCGAACTGAAAATATGTAACGAAGCCGCTTTAGGCTAAACTTGATTTAACAAATTCCCCCTTTTGGTCATCCTCTCAATTTTGAGAGATTTACTGAAACTTTAGTCATTGATGTCACAATCACCGTCATAAAAGTACTTATTTGGTCTTGAAACCCACTGGGAAATGGTAGAACAGTGGGTTTTTGCAAGGTGAGAACAAGGACTTTGGGTTGTTTTTTTAAGGGTAGAGGGTACTTCCTTATGCTGGGACGTCCTGTTTACAGGAGAAAAAACAAAACCTGGTCTGTTCTAGGATCTATGTGCTTCCTTAAAATCTTAATTTGATTATGTCACATTTAGAACAAGTGACTCCATTTTGGTTTGGTCTGGTCTGTTTGGGCCTAGTGCATGAGCTCAGTCCAAAACAATGGCCTTCCATAATTTGGTTTACAAATTTCCCCATTTGGTCCTCACTTAGGTGAGATGGTGACCAAAACTTAGTGTAACTCTCAGTTGCCATCATTTTGGATTCCAGTATCAGCATGTCATTCACAGGTTACAGTGCCCTCATGGTCACACATTTCTTTTCTTTTTTTTTTTTTTTTTTTAGACAGGGTCTTACTCTGTCACCTAGGCTGGAGTGCAGTGGAGCGATCTCGGCTCATTTCAACCTCCACCTCCTGGGCTCAAGTGATCCTCCCACTTTTGCCTCCTGAGTAGCTGGGACTACAGATGTGCACCACCACACCCAGCTAATTTTTGTACTTTTTGTAGAGATGGGGTTTCGCCATGTTGCCCAGGCTGGTCTCAAACTCCTGGACTCAAGGCATCTGCCTGCCTTGGCCTCCAAAAGTGCTGGGATTACAAGTATGAGCCACCATGCCTGGCCTATGGTCACACATTTCTTTCAGCCCTTGTCATTCCAGTTGAAGCAAGACCATTTGACATTTTAGTGATGGCTGCATGCAAACATTTAAAACTTTTGAGAGAATACAGTGCACCAAGGAGACTACTATTATGACAATCATGAGGATAATACCAAGAGTTTGGCATATATTCTTTACTCAGGGTCCCCATAAACCAACTCCTAAAATCAAATAGGTTAAAAAAAAATGAGCTAGATATACAGTCTACTTGCTTAACTAAGCAGTCTCTTCATTAATCCCTTACAACTGAATCGCTGTCATACCCAAGACAAGATATTTCTCATTAGGCTACAAAGTGTCAGCAGTTGCACAGGTATTTCTCTGTTTAGCCAGTAAGTAATCTAAAGCAATTCTATTATTTAGCATAACTTTCACAAATAATTTAAAGTCTGTTGTATAATCATATCTATTACAGTAGAATCTGCTGTAGAGCCTATCATGAGGGATACATTTCTAATCAATGCCTCTTTTACTCCAAACCATGGAAAAATGGACCTAACGAATGATGCCCTTCTAGAAGAGTGAAGACCTCCTGGCAATGTTCTCTTTAACCCATCATGTAAGTTAAGAGGGGTGAACCAATGTTCTGTTTCTGAATGATTATGAAGTAACATATGTACCATTAAAATTTCTCACCTACATTGAGCCTTCATCTCCCATCTATCAAGGTATAATATCATCCATGTATAAGGCTCACTACAAAATCCTTCACAGATAAAAGTATACTAACAGATCCTCTTTTTTTTGTTGGGGGGGGGACAGAGTCTTGCTCTGTCACCATTCCAGACTGGAACCCAATGGCATGATCTCAGCTCGCTACAACCTCTGCCTCCCAGGTTCAAGTGATTCTCCTGCCTCAGCCTCCTGAGTAGCTGCAACTACAGGCATGTGTCACCACACCTGGCTAGTTTTTGTATTTTTAGTAGAGATGGGGTTTCACCATGTTGGTAAGGCTAGTGTTGAACTCCTGACCTCAAGTGATCTGCCCTCCTTGGCCTCCCAAAGTGCTGGGATTACAGGCATGAGCCACCATGCCCAGCCGCTCTTTTCATTTCTGTTGTTCATAGAGGCATAAGCAAGGGAAAAAATATTCAAAGAGTCTCACGATAGTAGAGAGGTCTGGATCCATGGCCTCAGGAAAAAGCTGTTCACATCAAGGATGTCATCTTCTTCTGGGGAGAAACTTCCCTGATTGGCTTTACCTTAAGTGTTCCAATGGCTCTACAAGAGTGTGGAGGGACCCGTCTCAGTTGTGAGATTGTGAACCTGAGATTCGAAGTCCCAAAGTTTTGCTGCAGTGTGGATGGCAAGGGCAGTCTTTCTCTGATATTCTCAGAAGATCCAATCTTTGGGTTTTAGATTGTGAAGGGGTTGATTGTCCTCATAAAAATCTTTCTTTACCTGTGGCATAATAATCTACTGTTATAACATCAGCCCTCTTCCATGGGAAAGCTCTTATGCAACCAGGAAACATGCGTTGAAAATGACAATTGAATGAATTCTCTCTATAAATGTTTAAATGGCCCATCAGGTTGCAGAATGTACTTGAAGTTTTGATTGTCTTCCTGGGATGTGGGTTGACAAACCAAACATTGGTCATAAACTATTTTAGCAATTTAGAAGTCACCGCACCAATATGTATTTAATTTGGATCATTTTATCTTTTCCATAATGAGTCATAGAATGAAGAGCTTTTAATAACAAAAGCTTTAAGGACTCAGAAAGGACAAGGCAGACGTCCCAGTTCTCCATGAGTCCATGCTTAACTGGACTTATATCTTCTTGAATACTAGTTGTTTCTCCAATTTAGGGACATAGCACTGATAGCTGATGGGTTATCATAAGTAATTTGACTTAGACCATGGAATTCATTCAAATTGTATATTTAAACAATTTCAGTATTGGCTGATCCAGCATGAAAATCTGACAAAGTATTCTCTTGGTTTTCAAATAATTTTTGTTCTACTTGGATTAGCAGTTTTATAAACCAGTCAGTCTTTTTATTAAAGTTCCAGGAATTCTTATTCAGTCCAAATGATATGATTCTAAAGTCATCAGAAACCTGAATTCAAAAGTGCTTTTCAGGGTCCTTTTCATCCTTTCACGAACCTCCTAAAAGACACTATATTCTAGGATTTTGCCTGCTTATGAAGCTTTCAGAAACTGCATCAGAATTAAGTAATTAACTATGGAAATTACTTTAAATTGTCATAAAGACAAAATTGACAAGGAAATTTCTGTGGCCTACAATATCTTAATATAATAACCATAATTATTATTGATAGCATATACTCAGACATATTAGAATTTTAGAAATCCCATATGATTTGGGAACATGTATTAATAAATTCACTAAAATATAAGCTGAAGAAAGATAGACATTATTTCTTGTTTTAACAATGCTTCCCATGTAACTTGTCAAATAATTCTGTTTTCCTCTCTTTTGGATGCTTCAGGGGTACTCTGTAGCATCCCAAAGTTAGAGGTTAAAAAAGACTTAATTTTGAAGCTAAAATTTGATTTTGGGAAGCCTGTCAAACATGTTAAAGTTTTAAAAGACTTAATGTTATAAAATATAATTACAGGTCTGCATTTGTCCATTTTCACACTGCTGATAAAGACATACCCGACACTGGGCAATTTACAGAGGAAAGAGGGTTAATGGAGAACTCACAGTTCCATGTGGCTGAGGAAGCCTCACAATCATGGCAGAAGGCAAGGAGGAGCAAGTCATATTTTACATGGGTGGCAGCAGGCAAAGACAGAGAACTTGTGCAGGCTAGCTCCCATTTTTTTTTGTTTTGTTTTGTTTTGGGGTTTTTTTGTTGTTGTTGTTGGTTTGTTTTTTGTGTGGTTTTTGTTTTGTTTTGTTTTTTTTTGAGACAGAGTCTTGCTCTCTTGCCCAGGCTAGAGTGCAGTGGCACAATCTCAGCTCACTGCAACCTCCGCTTCCCAGGTTCAAGTGATTTTCCTGCCTCAGCCTCCCGAGTAGCTGGGGTTACAGGTGCCCTCCACTGCACCCGGCCAATTTTTGTATTTTTAGTAGAGATGGGGTTTTACCATCTTGGCTAGGCTGGTCTCATACTCCTGACCTCATCATCCACCCACCTCAGTCTCCCAAAATGCTGGGATTAAACTTCCATTTTTAAAGCCAACAGATGTCATAAGACTTATTCACTACCACAAGAACAGCACAGAAAAGAGCAACCCCCATGATTCAATTACCTCCTGTCGAGTCCCTCCCACCACACGTGGGAATTATGGGAGCCACAAGATGAGATTTGGGTGGGGACACAGAGCCAAAACATATCAAGCTCACTATAAGTCATTCATTTAGCCAAAATGATAACTCAACAATTTTTAAAAGGCAAAAACCTCTACTCATTGACAGAGGGAATACTTAGTTTCCCAAACTCTGTCTGTTGTCTTTCCCTTCCCTTTCCTATAGTTTATTCAAAAGACAAACAAAAATATTTCATAGCCAGCCATGGTGTCTCATTCCTGTAATCCCAGCAATTTGGGAGGCTGAGGTGGGTGGATTGCCTGAGCTAAGGAGTTCAAGACCAGCCTAGGCAACATGGTGAAACCCCATCTCTACTAAGATACAAAAATTAGCTGAATGTGCACACACCTGTAATCCCAGCTACTCGGGAGGCTGAGGCAGGATAATTGCTTGAACCTGGGAGGCAGAGATTGCAGTGAGCCAAGATTGTGCCACTGCACTCCAGCCTGGGTGACAAAGAAAGACTCCATCTCCAAAAAAAAAAAAAAAAAAAACTTTCATTATTCTTTCATATACATAAGTATCTTACTCAAGAGAAAAGCCAAGTTTCTTTTCTTTCTTTAATTTTTTATTTTAAATTCTGGGATACATGTGTTGAACATGCAGATTTGTTACATAGGTATACATGTGCATTGGTGGTTTGCTTCACCTATCAACCCGTCATCTAGGTTTTAAGCCATGCATGCCTTAGGTATTTGTCCTAATGTTCTCCCTCCCCTTTTTCCCCACCCACCAACAGACCCAGTGTGTGATGTTCCCCTCTCTGTGTCCATGTGTTCTCATTGTTCAGCTCCCACTTATGAGTAAGAACATGCAGTGTTTTGTTTTCTGTTCCTCTGTTAGTTTGCTGAGGATGATGGTTTCCAGCTTCATCCATGTCCCTGCAAAAGATACAAGCTCATTCTTTTTTATGGCTGCATAGTATTCCATGGTGTATATGTGCCACATTTTCTTTATCCAGTCTATCATTGATGGGCATTTGGGTTAGTTCTAAGTCTTTGCTATTGTAAACAGTGCTGCAATAAACATAAGTGTGCATGTGTGAGAAAGCCAAATTTCACCCTTGCATTTGTGTACTATTAATGTCAACATCAATTTTTAATAAAACCTTATAGGCAAATCTATCTAATCCTAATCAGTTTCACCATAAGGTAAGAGTCTCATAAGCCTCTTAAAACCCTTTACAAATTTTTGTTAAAGAGCAGATCAGTTCTCTAAGAAAACCCTGTTGTGCTTATTCCAATGTTCAATTTATGGAAAAATCAAATAATACCCCTTTAAATTTAGCTGATATGTTCCCACACAGAATTTCTTTTACAATATTAATGTTCTATAAACCTTCCACAACTTGCTCAAACTTTCAGCCTTATCCTATCTAACTTAAAACAATCCTTTAATCCTTTAATTTAGGCACAAACAAAAACCCACATTCCCTTGCCTTCTTATAATCTTTTGCCAAAATCACATTTTGCTTTCCTCACACACCTTGCATTTAAAACTGTTTTTTCAGTAGTCTCAATTACATGGTACAATGTTAACTCTTAGCAATTTTTATTTTTGATGAAAAACCTGGTAAGTGATTTTAATTATGTACTAGGTGTGGAGCCTAGGACACCAGAAAGAAATGCAGATAAAGTCTGATTTATTCCAGCATAGCCAGGAGGCATGGCTAACTCCACATGTCCCCAGGGCTTACCTAGAATGTAATGGCTCCAAAACAAGTAAGTTGAACAATTTTCAAAAGACAAAGCAGTTTATTACCTTAAAGCATTTAGCAAACCTAATATCTGACGTGCCTAATTTAGACCAAATAGCTTCATTTTACCAATAATCTTTAAAACTCTTCATTTCTCAAAGTCACATTAACTAAAAGGCATTAATTACAGTTTTTATTTTTGATATGGTTCAGCTGTGTCCCCACCCAAATCTCATCTTGAATTGTAGCTCCCATAATTCCCATGTGCTGTGGGAGGGACTAGGTGGGAAATAATTGAATCACAGAGGTGGTTTCCCCCATAATGTTCTCATGGTAGAGAATATATCTCATGAGATCTGATGGTTTTATGAGGGAAAACCCCTTTGATTTTGTCCTTGTCCACCACCATGTAAGACATGCCTTTCACCTTCTGCCATGATTATGAGGCCTCCCCAGCCATGCGGAACTGTGAGTCCATTAAACCTCTTTTTCTTTACAAATTACCCAGTCTTGGGTATGTCTTTATCAGCAATGTAAAAACGAACTAATACAGTAAATTGGACCAGGAGTGGGCACTGCTGTAAAGATACCCAAAAATATGGAAACGACTTTGGAACTGGATAGCAGGCAGAGGTTGGAACAGTTTGGAGGGCTCAGAAGAAGACAGGAAAATGTGAGAAAGTTTGGAACTTCCTAGAGACTTGTTGAATGGCTTTGACCAAAATGCTGATAATGACATGCATGCACAATGAAACCCAGGCTGAGGTGATCTCAGATGGAGATGAGGAACTTGTTGGCAACTAGAGTAAAGGTGACTCTTGTTATGTTTAGCAAAGAGACTGGCAGCATTTTGTCCCTGCCCTACAGATTTGTGGAACTTTGAACTTGAGGGAGATGATTTAGGGTATCTGGTGGAAGAAATTTCTAAGCAGTGAAGCATTCAAGAAGTAACTTGGGTGCTGTTAAAAGCATTCAATTTTAAAAGGGAAACAGAGCCTAAAAGTTCAGAAAATTTGCAGCCCAATGATGTAATGGAAAAGAAAAACCTGGCCAGGCATGATGGCTCATGCCTGTAATCCTAATACTTTGGGAGGCTGAGGTGGGCTGATTGCCTGAGCTCAGGAGTTTGAGACCAGCCTGGGCAACACGGTGAAACCTCATCTCTACTAAAATACAAAACAAATTAGCCAGTTGTGGTGGCATGCACCTGTAGTCCCAGCTACTTGGGGGGCTGAGGCAGGAGAATTGCTTGAATCCAGGAGGCAGAGGTTGCAGTGAGCCAAGATTGTGCCACTGCACTCCAGCCTGGGTGAGAAGAGTGAGAATCCATCTCAAAAAAAAAAAGGAAAGAAAAACCCATTTTCTGAGGAGAAATTCAAGTCAGCTGCAGAAATTGGCCTAAGTAATCAGGAGCCAAATGTTAATCACCAAGACAATGGGGAAAATGTCTCCAGGGCATGTCAGAGGCCTTGAAGCAGCCCCTCCCATCACAGGACCTAAGGCCTGGGAGGAAACAATGGTTTGTGGGCAGGACACAGGGGCCCCATGCTCTGTGCAGTCTAGGGACTTGGTGCCCTGCATCCCAGCCACTCTAGCCATGGTTAAAGGTGCCAAGGTACAGCTCAGGCCATGGTTTCAGAGGGTGCAAGCCTCAATCCTTGGCAACTTCCATGTGGTGTTGAGCCTGCAGGTGCACAGAAGTCAAGAATTGAGGTTTGGGAACCTCCATCTAGATTTCAGAGGATGTAAAAAAACACCTGGATGTTCAGGCAAAAGTTTGCTGCCAGGGTGGGGTCCTTATGGAGCATCTCTGCTAGGGAAGGGAAATGTGGGGTTGAAGCCCCCACACAGAGTCCCCACTGTGGCACTGCCTCGTGGAGCTGTGAGAAGATAGCCACCATCCTCCAGACCCCAGAATGGTAGATCCACCAACAGCTTTCACCATCCACCTGGAAAAGCCAAAGGCACTCAACACCAGCCTGTGAAAACAGCCAGGAAGTGGGCTGTACCCTGTAAATCCACAAGGGCATAGCTGCCCAAGACCATAGGAACTCACCTCTTGCATCAGTGTGACCTGGATTTGAGACACAAAATCAAAGGAGATCATTTGGCACTTTAAGATTTGACTGCCCTGCGAGATTTTGGAATTGCATGGGGCCTTCAGCCCCTTAGTTTTAGCCAATTTCTCCCATGTGGAATGGGTGTACTTATCCAATGCCTGTACCCCCATTGTAGCTAGGAAGTAACTAACTTGGTTTTGATTTTACTGGCTCATAGGTGGAAGGGACATGCCTTGTCTCAGATGAGACTTTGGGCTGTGGACTTTTGAGTTAATGCTGAAATGACTTAAGACTTTGGGGAACTGTTGGGAAGGCATGATTGGTTTTGAAATGTGATGACATGAGATTTGGGAGGGGCCAGAGGTGGAATGATATGGCTTGGCTGTGTCCCTACCCAAATCTCATTTGAATTGTAGCTCCCATAATTCACATGTATTGTGGGAGGGACTCAGTGGGAGATAATTGAATTACGGGGGCAGTTTCCCCCACACTGTTCTCATGGTAGTGAATATATCTCACAAGATCTGATGGTTGTATAACAGGAAACCCTATCACTTCATTCTAATTCTCTCTTGCCCACTACCATGTAAGATGTGCCTTTCACCTTCTGCCACGATTGTGAGGCCTCCCCAGCCATGTGAAACTGTGAGTCCATTAAACATCTTTTTCTTTATAATTTTTTTTTGAGACAAAGTCTCATCTCTGTCACCCAGGCTGGAATGCAGTGGCACAATTATGGCTCACCTCCACCTCCTGGATTCAAGTAATTCTCCTGTCTCAGCCTCCCGAGTAGCTGGGATTACAGGCATGCACCACCATGCCCAGCTAATTTTTGTATTTTCAGAAGAGACGGAGCTTCACCATGTTGGCCAGGCTGGTTTCAAACTCCTGACCTCAGGTAATCCACCTGCCTCAGCCTCCCAAAGTGCTAGGATTACAGTCATGAGCCACCGTGTCTGGCCTTTCTTTATAAGTTATCCAGTCTCAGATATGTCTTTATCAGCAGCATGAAAATGAACTAAAACAATTTTTCTGAAAAAATATTTGATTTAAATGCTTATTATTATTAAGCCAATTAATCAGAACTTTTTCATATAAACATCACACACAACACATAAATATATAGACAGAAGAAGATCCAGTAGTTGTAAGATTTTTCATTTGCCAGTTTTTAAGATTCTTAATTGGATTACTGGATTCAGGGTGGAGTCCTTTGAGGAACAGGGCTAGGAAAACATGCAGTTTCTAGGGCCTAATAAGCAGGCACAGCTGGAAAGCAAACAGATCTCCAAAAATTCAGGGTCCCATTTTTATACTGGATTCTGGATCCCCAAAAGAGAAATGCTGTGGAACAAGACAGTGCAATGATTTTACCGTACATTTCATTGCAAAGCAACCCAAACTCAATCAACCCAGTTTTGATCAGTCCATCCTCCATGGGAATCTTATCTCTCAGTGGGCAGGTAGGAGGACACCCAGCTAGGTGTGGAGCCTAGGACACCAAGCTCCTAGGCTAGTGTATCTTGATATACTAGGATATCCAAAAGTACATTTAGCCTTAGATTTTGAGAAGAATGGTATGCTTTGGCCGTGTCCCCACCCAAATATCATCTTGAATTCCCACATGTTGTGGGAGGGACCTGGTGGGAGGTAATTGAATCATGGGGACAGGTCTTTCCCATGCTGTTCTCATGATAGTGAATAAGTCTCATGAGATCTGATGGTTTGATAAGGGGAAAGCTGTTTTGCTTGGCTCTCATTCTGTCTTTGCCTGCTGCCATCCACACAAGATGTGACTTGTTTCTCCTTGCCTTCCACCGTGATTGTGAGGCCTCCCCAGCCATGTGGAACTGTAAGTCCAAAAACCTCTTTCTTTTGTAAATTGCCCAGTCTCAGTTATGTCTTTATCAGCAGCACGAAAATGGACAAATACAAGGGATTTATCTACTCTCAGTTCCTGGGGTTTCATGAGGAAAAAAGGTTTTTCCCAAAATGGGGTCTGTGGCACTTCTTCTGATTTTCCCAAGGAGTCTGGGCTGTTAGAAATTATCTTAGGTATTCACATCTGTAATCCCAGCACTTTGGGAGGCTGAGGTGGGCAGATCACAAAGCCAGGAGTTCAAGTTCAATGTGGCCAACATGGTGAAACCCCTTTCTCTACTAAAAATACAAAAATTAGCTGGGTGTGGTGGTGCGTGCCTATAGTCCCAGCTACTCAGGGGGCTGAGGCACGAGAATCACTTGAACCCAGGTGGCAAAGGTTGTAGTGAACTGAGATTGTGCCACTGCACTCCAGCCTGGGCGACAGAGTGAGACTCCATCTCAAAAAAAACAACAAAAAAAGAAAAAAGTAATTATCTTAAGTCTGGCCAGACATAGTGGTACATGCCTGTAATCCCAGCACTTTGACAGACTGAGGCAGGTGGATCACCTGAGGTCAGGAGTTCAAGACCAGCCTTACCAACATAGTGAAACCCCATCTCTACTAAATACAAAAATTATCCAGGCACGGTAGCGCATGCATGTAATCCCAGCTACTTGGGAGGCTGAGGCATAAGAATCACTTGAACCTCAGAGGCGGAGGTGGCAGTGAGCCAAGATCATGCCATTGCACTCTAGCCTGGGCAACAAGAGTGAAACTGCTTCTCACAAAAAAAAAAAAAAAAAAAAATTATCTTAGGTCCTCTCGTGTGTGCATCAAGAGTGGCAAGAAGACAAAATGAAGAAAATCAATTCAGTTGACTGAAAAGATAAAAATATTTTTTTCCTAGAAAAACAAGACCCAGAAAGAGAAAAAAAAAAAAACATAAAGGTCTTGTCAATATACCTATAGCTTGAATATCTGCTTTTAATTAAGTTGACTTTGAACCAAATATCTTATTACAAGACTCTAGCCAAAACAAGCAGCAAATATTTCTTACCTTTGAACTTTACCAAAGGCAACCTCCCAAGTGCTCAGAGAAAGGAAAATTCAAGACAGGAAGTCAGAAGTTGTTCATGGAGGGAAAGAGAATCAATAAATGGCAAAAGTCACACAGATATCAAACCAGAAAGTGTTACAACAGTGGGTAGCTAATTAGGTATGAGCAGGGCAGGAGAGGGCTCCCCACACACAGACACACACACACACACGCACTAGGAGTGTTGGGCGCCAATCAGGTGATGGTCAGGCGGTTGTTAACTGTTTCCTTAAAGTAGTAATCATTCACAGCTGGTGCCAGGGAACAGCAGTCTCCTAATAGATACAAAACACCTGAAACTGATCAGCAGCTTCCCAATAAGATCTCAGGAGTTGGGAGAAGTAACACAAGATCCTGGAAGGATGCCAACGTATAAAACCCCGAGTCAAGAGGTCAAGTTGTGCACTTGGTCTCTTGAGTCACCCACTTGGCTTGTATTTCCAAGTGTACTTTCCTTACTGCTCTAAAGCTTTTTATAAACTTTCCCTCGTGTGCTAAAACTTGCCTCAGTCTCTCCTTCTGCCTTATGCCCCTCAGTTGATTTTTTTCTTCCCAGGAGGCAAGAACTGAGGTTGCTGCAGACCCATGTGGATAACTACCACTGGTAAAAAAAGTACTCATTCCCTAAGTCGGGAATTGAACCCTGGCCACCACTGTGAAAAGACAGAGTCTTATCCACTAAGCCACAGCATCAGGCAGTTTCTGCTGCTCTTCCCAGAAGTAGCCTAGAGAGGTCAATTTTGAACTTCAAATGGCTTTTAAATGTTCAAAATAATTTTCAGAGCTGTTACATGAACTCCGAAATTCCTGTTCCCTGGATGATGGAGACCAAGACAAAGTATTGCTCTATGGTTACAAGATCAATCTCCCAATGACATTAAACAAGAAGATAGAGAAACCTCATCCAGCTTTTTTGTTTCAGGGATCTTCAGCAAAGTTTGTAACTAACCAGTTTGCCAGAATGGCTTGAACAGTGAGCTTATGGGGGTCCTAGGCCCACATTCTATTTTATTGTACCCCTTTTTATGACAGAACAATGCAGAAGGACACATTCATAGCACAAAGTACACCAGATTTGCTACAGCTTAAGACCAGCCTCACGAATCCTTTTACTCATTAATTAAAACTTTGCGGTCAGGCATGGTGGCTCATGCCTGTAATCCCAGCACTTTGGGAGACCGAGGTGGGCGGATCACCTGAGGTCAGGAGTTCAAGACCAGCCTGACCAACATGGAGAAACCCCGTCTCTACTAAAAATTCAAAATCAGCCAGCCATGGTGGCGCACACCTGTAATCCCAGCTACTCAGGAAGGCTGAGGCAGGAAAATCACTTGAACCCGGGAGAATTGCTTGAAGCCAGGAGAATCACTTGAACCTGGGAGGCAGAGGTTGCAGTAAGCCAAGATCACGCCATTGCACTCCAGCCTGGGCAACAAGAGAGAAACTCCATATCAAACAAACAAAAAAAAAAAGTCTTAAATGCTGGGCACGGTGGCTCACACCTGTAACCCCAGCACTTTGGGAGGCTGAGGCGGGCAGATTACCTGAGATCAGGAGTTTGAGACCAGCCTGGCCAACATGATGAAACCCCATCTCTACTAAAAATACAAAAATTAGCTGCGCATGGTGGCACGCGCCTGTAATCCCAGCTACTCAAGAAGCTGAGGCAGGAGAATCCCTTGAGTCTGGGAGGTGGGTTCACTGCAAGCCACTGGAGTGCACGCCACTGCACTCCAGCCTGGTGACAGAGCCAGACAAGAAAAGCAAAGGGGTGGAACACAAAAATCCATGCAAATTTCCAAAAGCCAAATTTTACACCCCCTGCAATATTGCCATTTACTACCTGTTTCTTTCTGACCCAGTCAGATGTAAGAGGCTTCTAACTAGATCCAAGCCAGTTGATCAGTTAATTACTGAATCCAATCTGGTCCTGGACCCAGTCTGGTTTCTGTCAGGACTTTCAAACCAAGTTTGGATCAGAAATTTGCTCAGAGAAACTCAGAGAGCTCAAAACACAAATCTATGGCGCTTCGGAATCCGAGAGAGAACTTACCCATGATCCCTGCTTGGTCACTCAGCACTCCTGGGGGTTGTGAGAAGCTCTACTTCAGATCCCACTTCTGACACCATCTGAAAAACTTCAGCCAAATTAAATTTAAAAGAGTTTAATTGAGCAGTGAATGATTGATGAATTGGGCAGCCTCCTGAGCCAGGGTAGACTCAGAGACTCCAACAGGGCTATATGGTGGAAAATTTATGGACAGAAAAAGGAAAGTGATGTATGGAAAATGAAAGTGAGATGCAGAAACAGCTGCATTGGTTATAGCTTGGTATTTGCCTAATTTGAACATTTAGCCACATTTGACTGACCAAAACTTGGTGGTGATTGGCACAAGAGTAGACTACAGTTTGTTTATACTTCCATTTAGGCCATAGTTCGTGATGTACAGAGAAACCTTTAGGCCAAACTTAAAATATGTAAGGAGGCAGCTGTAGGCTAAATGTGATTTAACAATGGAGAAAATTTAAGATTACATCACCCAAACAGAAAGAAGGGCCTGGGCACCTGTAGTCCCAACACTCTGGTAGGCCAAGGCAGGAGGATTGCTTGAGCCCAGGAGTATGAGACCAGTCTGGGAAACACAGGGAGACCCCATCTCTACAAAAAAAATTTTTTAAAATAAAAATTTAGGCCAGGTGCGGTGACACTGAGGTGGGCAGATAACCTCAGGTCAGAAGTTTGAGACCCACCTGGCCAACATGGTGAAACCCCATCTCTACTAAAAACACAAAAATTAGCTGGGTGTGGTGGCAGGCACCTGTAATCCCAGCTACTTGGGAGGCCAAGGCAGGAGAATTGCTTGAACCCAGGAGGCAGAGGTTTGCAGTGAGCTGAGATCATGCCATTGCACTCCAGCCTGGGCAACAGAGGGAGACTCCGTCTTAAAAATAAATAAATAAGGCTGGGCACAGTGGCTCACACCTGTAATCCCAGCAGTTTGGGTGGCAGAGGCAGGCGGCTCACAAGGTCAGGAGTTTGAGATTAGCCGGCCAATATGGTGAAACCCTGTCTCTACTAAAAATACAAGCCGGGCGCGGTGGCTCATGCCTATAATCCCAGCACTTTGGGAGGCTGAGGCAGGCGGATCACGAGGTCAGGAGATCGAGACCAACCTGGCTAACATGGTGAAACCCCGTCTCTACCAAAAATACAGAAAATTAGCCAGGTGTGGTGGCGGGTGCCTGTAGTCCCCGCTACTCAGGAGGCTGAGGCAGGAGAATGGCATGAACCCAGGAGGCAGAGCTTGCAGTGAGCCGAGATCGCGCCACTGCATTCCAGCCTGGGCGACAGAGTGAGACTCTGTCTCAAAAAAAAAAAAATACAAAAATTAGCTAGGCACAGTGGCGGGTGCCTGTAGTCCCAGCTACTCAGGAGGCTGAGGCAGGAGAATCGCTTGAACCTGGGAGGCTGAGGTTGCAGTGAGCCAAGATCACGCCACTGCACTCCAGCCTGGTTGACAGAGCGAGGCTCCATCTCAAAATAAATAAATAAATTAATTAATTAAAATAAATTTTAAGAAAAGAGAAAGAAAGTTTAATAATGATTTGAAAGGTTATATATCAGATATCACTTAAGGCCAGTCACAGTGGCTCACGCCTGTAATCCCAGCACTTTGGGAGGCCAAGGCAGGTGGATCACCTGGGGTCAGGAACTCGAGACCAGCCTGACCAACATGGTGAAACCCCTTCTCTACTAAATACAAAAAATTAGCCAGGTGTGGTGGTGCATGCCTGTAATTCCAGCTACTCAGGAGGCTGAGGCAGGAGAAGCGCTTGTACCCAGGAGGTGGAGGTTGCAGTGAACCAAGATTGTGACACTGCACTTCAGCCTGGATGACAGGAGTGAAACTCTCTCTCAAAAAAAAAAAAGAAAAAGAAAGGTATCGGCCAGGCGCGGTGGCTCACGCCTGTAATCCCAACACTTTGGGAGACCAAGGCAGGTGGATCACGAGGTCAGGAGATCGAGACCATCCTGGCTAACACGGTGAAACCTGTATCTACTAAAAATACAAAAACTTAGCCGGGTGCAGTGGCGGGCACTTGTAGTCCCAGCTACTCCTTGGGAGGCTGAGGCAGGAGAATGGCATGAACCCGAGAGGCAGAGCTTGCAGTGAGTTGAGTCGAGATCACGCCACTGCACTCCAGCCTGGGTGACAGAGCGAGACTCTGTCCAAAAAAAAAAAAAGCTATCACTTAAAAATAGCAGCAAGTGAATGAGTAAGTCAGCCTCACCTTCAAAATAGTCTAACCTGACCACCATTCACAATCCTACTGCTTTCATCCTCTTCTAAGCCACTAGCATCCCCTGGCTGGCTGCAAGTCTCCTCATTGGTCTCTCTGCTTCTGCTCTTGGCAGTCTTCAGTATATCCTCAACACAGCCAAAGTCATCCTGTTAAATCAGGCTACCCTCCTACTCAGACCTCTCTGAAGGCTTCTAGTCTTGCCCAGAAGGCCCACAATATCCTACACAATCTGCTCCCATCTTACCTTTGTGCTGTCATGACCTGCTGCTTTCCTCCATACTTATGCAGCTTCTGCTAGCCAAATCTCCCTGCAGCTCCCTGAACGCAGTGAAGATACTCCCATCTCAATACCTTGGCAGTTGCTATTCCCTCTGCCTGGTACTTTATGGCTCAATCCCTCACCTTCTTCAGATCCTTCCTCAATGTCACCTTCTCACTGAAGTCTTCTTTAAAGATCTATTAAAGTTGTAAACCACCACCACCCCCAATATATCTATGTCGCTACTCAACTTTCTTTTTCTCCATAGCACTTTTCAAACTTAACATTCTAGTCTGGGTGTGGTGGCTCATGCCTGTAATCCCAGCACTTTGGGAGGCTGAAGCGGGGGGATCATTTGAGCCCAGGAGTTCAAGAACAGCTGGGCAACATAAGGAGACCTGGTTTAAAAAAATAAAAATAAATAAATAAATAAAAACTTGACATTCTATTATTTATTTTTATAGCATATTGTATATTTCCTGGTACTAGGGTACAATCTCCAGAAAGGCAGAAATGTGTACCTGACTTGTTGCTATATCCCCAGCATCTAGAATATGTTCTGGCACATAATAGGCTCGCAATTAATGCTTTTAAAAGAAATAAACACACAAATTTGTGATTAGAAAACATTCATGAAGCCTGCTGTTAGTTCTAGAGCAGCCACTAAAAGGATAGAAAAAAAGCTTACAATTTTAAAACTAGTAGAGAGAAAAAAACAATGACACAATTGTGTCAGTTTCCTAGGGTTGCCATAACAAATTGTCACAACCTAGGTGGCTTTTTAAGAAATTACTCTATTTCAGAGGTGAGAAGTCCAAAATTAAGGCATCAGCAGGACTGTGCTCTGTCCAAAGACTCTGCAGGAGGATCTTCTCTTGCCTCATCCAGCTTCAGGTAGAAAGCAATCCTTGGGTTTTTTGTTTGTTTGCTTTTGGTTTTGATAGAAATGGAGTTTCACTGTATTTTTTGCCCAGGCTGGTCTCAAACTCCTGGGCTCAAGCAATCATCCCACCTCAGCCTCCCAAAGTACTGGGATTACAGGTATGAGGCACCATGCCTGGCCAATCCTTGGTATTTATTGATTTGTGGCCACATAACTCCCTTCTCTGCCTCCGTCTTCATACAGCTGCCTTCCATCTGTGTGTGTTTCTGCATCTGTGTCTCTTCTCTTCTTATAAGGATATTAGTTATATTGGAATTAGGGCCCACCCTAATCCACTATAACTGCATTTTAAATAGTTGCATCTGCAAAAATCTCATTTCCAAATAAGGTCACATTCACAGGTACCTTGGATTAGGACTTTAACATACCACTTTAGGGAACACAGTTCAACTCACAATAGCAATCATCAGTCTTGGTCTTGAATTATGTCTATATTCATACAGAATGCTCAGCAATGCTATGATCTGAACATTTATGTCCTCTCAAATTCATATGTAGGTTTGTTAATATCCTGTTTAGAATTGTTGCATATACAGTCATGAGGGTGGTTGGCTTATAATTATCTTTTCTTGTGATACTCTTGTGAGATTTTCATATCAAGGTTATGCTGGATACATTGTTAGAGGAGCAGCCCACAAGACCACCCTCACTTCTGACACCGATTGCAAGGTTGGGGTCCCCCAATATCCTCCTCCTCTCTGACATTAATTGTCAGCTTGGGGGGACCCCAAGACCACCCGTGAGTTTAATAATTCACAAGACAAACTCACAGTGCTCATGGAAAGTTACGGTTTATTGCAGCTAAGAATACAGGTTAAAATCAGCCAAGGGAAGGGGTACATAGGGCAGAGTTCAGGAAAGCTCTAAACACAGAACTCCCAGTTGTCCTTTCCATGAGTTGTGGACAGTGTTAATTTCCTGACATCCAGTGTGTGATAATACTCGCAGAATATTGTCAACCAGGGAAGCTTACTCAGGCCAGTTTATTAGGCTCAATCACATAAATCTGGTCAGCTGCCCTCAGTCTCCTAGCCCTTGCAAAGTTTGAGCTGATACCACTGTTCTGGTGTGGGGTTTTCATGAGGTTGCAGTCACATGGTGGCTGGGGTTGGGATAATCTTTAAGACTCTTTCTCTAACATGTCCGATCCCTGGGTGGGCAGACTGAAACAGCTACAGAAAGAAGCATATATGGCTTCTTGGGCATCTTTCTACTTCTATATGATCTTTTCACATGGTCTCTCCAGCATAGCAGCTTCAGGATAGTGGACTTCTCACTTAATAAATCAGGATCCGAAGGCACAAGTCCTAAGAAAGAGAAAGCCAGGAAGAAGCTGTATCATTTTTTAGGATGCAGTCTCAGAGGTCACACTTCTGCCATATTCTTTTCATGAAAACTTAGTCACTAAGCCCGCCCAAATTTGGTGGGGTGGGGGGAATTACCAAAGAATTGGCAGGCTATATGCAGAATATGCCATATCAGTGAATTTTCTATGTCAGAATGATCTTTCCAAGGTGAAAAACAATACTGGGTCAGGGTTGGTCTCTGGATTTTGAAAGCAACACATATAACATGTGAGCCTGCTGCTTTCATCTAGGCCAATTTTAAGTGGGGCACAAAGCAAGAAAAGCCTCCACGGCAAGTCTAGGCTTTGATGAAAATTTTCCTTCCACGTGGACCTTATGGTTGAGCATACCATATAAGATTGCTAGTTGGAAAAGGTATTTTAGCTCTCCCTTTCCCCTCCCCCTCCCCCCTCCCTCTCACTCTCCTTCTCCCGCTTTCTGCTCGGTCTCCCTCTCCCTCTGTCCTTCTCCGGCTTTCCACGGTCTCCCTCTGTTGCCGAAGCTGGACTGTACCGCCATGATCTCCGCTCGCTGCAACCTCCCTGCCTTTTTCTCCTGCCTCAGCCTGCCCAGTGCCTGGGATTGCGGGCGCGCGCCGCCAGGCCTGACTGGTTTTTGTATTTTTTGGTGGAGATGGGGTTTCGCCCTGTTGGACGGGCTGGTCTCCAGCTCTTGACCGTGAGTGATCTGCCCGCCTCAGCCTCCCGAGGTGCTGGGACTGCAGACGGAGTCTCGCTCACTCAGTGCTCAGTGTTGCCCAGGCTGGAGTGCAGTGGGGTGATCTCGGCTCGCTACAACCTCCACCTCCCAGCCGCCTGCCTCGGCCTCCCAAAGTGCCGAGATTGCAGCCTCTGCCCGGCCGCCACCCTGTCTGAGAGGTGAGGAGCGTCTCTGCCTGGCTGCCCATCGTCTGGGATGTGAGGAGCCCCTCTGCCCAGCCGCCCAGTCTGGGAAGTGAGGAGCCTCTCTGCCCGGCCGCCCATCGTCTGGGATGTGGGGAGCGCCTCTGCCCGGCTGCGACCCCGTCTGGGAACTGAGGAGCCTCTCTGCCCGGCTGCCACCCTGTCTGGGAGGTGAGGAGCGTCTCTGCCCGGCCGCCCCATCTGAGAGGTGAGGAGCCCCTCTGCCCGGCAGCCGCCCCGTCTGGAAAGTGAGAAGCCCCCTCCGCCCGGCAGCCACTCCGTCCGGGAGGTGGGGGGCAGCCCCCGCCCAGCCAGCCACCCCATCCGGGAGGTGGGGTCAGCCCCCGCCCTGCCAGCCGCCCCGTCCGGGAGGTGGGGGGCAGCCCCTGCCCGGCCAGCCGCCCCGTCCGGGAGGTGGGGGGTGCCTCCGCCCAGCCGCCGCCCTGTGTGGAAGGTGGGGGGGCGCCTCTGCCCGGCCGCCCCGTCTAGGAAGTGAGGAGCCCCTCTGCCCCGCCGCCACCCCGTCTGGGAGGTGTGCCCAACAGCTCATTGAGAGCGGGCCATGATGATGATGACGGTTTTGTGGAATAGAGAGGGGGAAATGTGGGGAAAGGAGAGAGAGATCAGATTGTTACTGCGTCTGTGTGGAGGGAGGTGGACGTGGGAGACTCCAGTTTGTTCTGTACTAAGAAAAATTACTCTGCCTTGGGATGCTGTTAATCTATAACCTTACCCCCAACCCCGTGCTCTCTGAAACATGTGCTGTGTCCACTCAGGGTTAAATGGATTAAGGGCGGTGCAAGATGTGCTTTGTTAAACAGATGCTTGAAGGCAGCATGCTCGTTAAGAGTCATCACCACTCCCTAATCTCAAGTACCCAGGGACACAAACACTGTGGAAGGCTGCAGGGTCCTCTGCCTAGGAAAACCAGAGACCTTTGTTCACATGTTTATCTGCTGACCTTCCCTCCACTATTGTCCTATGACCCTGCCAAATCCTCCTCTCCGAGAAACACCCAAGAATGATAAATAAATACTAAAAAAAAAAATTAAAAAAAGAATACCACAGGGAAAAGGTATTGTATGGAGTCTCTGACAAGCCCCAATAGGAGAACCACACCACTCACCTCTAGGGTTTTAGAGTAAGACTGTTTCTGTTTGGTCTTCTGCCAATTATTCTCCATTTGAACAGCTCCTGCCTTGCTGCTGGGTGCTGGAGAGGCTAAATGTATGACTAAGGAGCATCAAGTGACTACCAAACCCAAACTCCCCATCAAGCACTGGGTACGAACTGTGAGTAAAAACTTCCTGGCCAGGGGCAGTGGCTCATGCCTGTAATCCCAGCACTTTGGGAGGCCAAGGCGGGTGGATCACCTGAGGTCAGGAGTTCGAGACCAGCCATGGTCAACATGGTGAAACCCCTTCTCTACTAAAAATACAAAAAATTAGCCAGGCGTGGTGGTGGCGCATGCCTATAATCCCAGAATCCCAGCTACTCAGGAGGCTGAGGCAGGAGAATCACTTGAGCCTGGGAGGCAGAGGTTAGAGCAAAGTTCCATTTCTAAACAAAAAAAAAACAAAAAACTTCCTTCATGACAGTCATTTTTGTGTCTGTATGCCTTACCATACCCAAAACAAATTCCAGGTACCCTTAAAACACAATGTGACCAACAGACTTCCTCCCCTCAAAGAAGGTGATCAAAACAAGAGCTGCATTTATATATGTATATAATATATATATGCATTTATATATTATATATATTATATATTTATATTTATATATAATATTATATGATATATAATATAATAATATATAATAATATAAATATATATTTACATATATTATATATTTATATATACATTTATAGAATTATATGTAATATTTATATATAATATATATTTATATATGTACATATATATTGTATATATATGCTATATATATATATATATATTTATTTTTTATTTTTTTTTTTTTTGTAGAGACTGGATTTCGCCATGTCGCTGGTGCTGGTCTTGAACTTCCTGGACTCAAGCAATCCACCTGCCTCAGCCTCCCAAAGTGCTAGGATTGGCCAGGCGCAGGGGCTAACACCTGTAATCCCAGCACTTTGGGAGGCCGAGGCTGGGGGATAACTTCAGGTCAGGAGTTCAAGACCAGTCTGGCCAACATAGCAAAATCCTGTATCTACTAAAAATACAAAAACTAGTCAAGCATGGTGGCAGGCACCTATAATCCCAGCTACTCGGGAGGCTGAGGCAGGAGGATCGCTTGAACCCAGGAGGCAGAGGTTGCAGTGAGCCAAGATGGCACCACTGCACTCTAGCCTGGACAACAGAGTGAGACTCCATATCAAAACAAAACAAAAAAAAAAATGATTCTTCCTGCAGCACGTATGTGCTGTCGCTACAGAGCAGCGCCATGGCAGACTCAGAAGCACTGAGCTTCGAACACATAGGGCCTTGATCCCTGGCTCCTGCAGGCTGTCAACAACTTGGGCTGCTCGTGACCTACGGTGATCCAGGAAAAGGCTATCCCATTGGCCCTAGAGGGGAAGGACCTCCTGGCTCAGGCTGGCAGGGGCTCCAAGAAGACAGCTGCTTATGCTATTCTGATGCTGCAGCTGTTGCTCCACAGGACGGCGACAGGTCCAGTAGTAGAACACGCAGTGAGAGGCCTTGTTCTTGCTCCTACCAAAGAGCTGGCACAGCAGGCACAGTCCATGATTCAGTGGCTAGCTACCTACTGTGCTCGGGATGTCCGAGTGGCCAATGCCTCAGCTGCTGAAGATTCAGCCTTTCAGAGAGCTGTGCTGATGGAGAAGCCAGATGTGGTAGTGGGGACCCCATCTCGCATATTAAGCCACTTGCAGCAAGACAGCTTGAAACTCCGTGACTCCCTGGAGCTTCTGGTGGTGGACAAGGCTGATCTTTTTTCCTTGGCTTTGAGGAAGAACTCAAGAGTCTCCTCTGTCACTTGCCCCGGATTTACCAGGCTTTTCTCATGTCAGCTATTGTTTTTTAGTTCCTTCTTCTTCCTCTTCCTCTTCCTCTTTTCTTCTTCTTCTTCTTTTTTTTTTTATTATTTTTTTTTTATTGATCATTCTTGGGTGTTTCTCAGAGAGGGGGATTTGGCAGGGTCATAGGACAATAGTGGAGGGAAGGTCAGCAGGTAAACAAGTGAACAAAGGTCTCTGGCTTTCCTAGGCAGAGGACCCTGCAGCCTTCCACAGTGTTTGTGTCCCTGGGTACTTGAGATTAGGGAGTGGTGATGACTCTTAATGAGCATGCCGCCTTCAAGCATCTGTTTGACAAAGCACATCTTGCACCGCCCTTAATCCATTTAACCCTGAGTGGACACAGCACATGTTTCAGAGAGCACAGGGTTGGGGGTAAGGTCATAGATCAACAGCATCCCAAGGCAGAAGAATTTTTCTTAGTACAGAACAAAATTAAGTCTCCCATGTCTACTCCTTTCTACACAGACACAGCAACAATCTGATTTCTCTATCTTTTCCCCACCTTTCCCCCTTTTCTATTCCACAAAACTGCCATCGTCATCATGGCCCGTTCTCAATGAGCTGTTGGGTACACCTCCCAGACGGGGTGGTGGCCAGGCAGAGGGGCTCCTCACTTCCCAGAAGGGGCGGCCGGGCGGAGGCACCCCCCACCTCCCTCCCAGAGGGGGCGGCTGGCCGGGCGGGGGCTGACCCCCCACCTCCCTCCCGGATGGGGAGGCTGGCCGGGCGGGGGCTGACCCCCACCTCCCTCCCGGCCGGGGAGGCTGGCCAGGCGGGTGCTGCCCCCCACCTCCCTCCCGGATCGGGCGGCTGGCCGGCAGGGGGCTAACATTTAAGTCTTTAATCCATCTTAAATTAATTTTTGTACAAGGTGTTAGGAAGGGATCCAGTTTCAGCTTTCTACATATGGTTAGCCATATGTAGAAATGGCCATCTACAATTGGCCAGCACCATTTATTAAACAGGGAATCCTTTCCCCATTTGTTATTTTTGTCAGGTTTGTCAAAGATCAGATGGTTGTAGATGTGTGATGTTATTTCTGAGGGCTCTGTTCTGTTCCATTGGTCTATATCTCTGTTTTGATACAAGTACCATGCTGTTTTGGTTACTGTAGCCTTGTAGTATAGTTTGAAGTCAGGTAGTGTGATACCTCCAGCTTTGTTCTTTTTGTTTAGGATTGTCTTGGCAATGCGGGCTTTTTTTTGGTTCCATATGAACTTTAAAGTAGTTTTTCTAATTCTGTGAAGAAAGCCTTTGGTAGCTTGATGGGGATGGCACTGAATCTATAAATAACCTTGGGCAGTATGGCCATGTTCACGATATTGATTCTTCCTATCCATGAGCATGGAATGTTCTTCCATTTGTTTGTGTCCTCTTTTATTTCATTGAGCAGTGGTTTGTAGTTCTCCTTGAAGAGGTCCTTCACATCCCTTGTAAGTTGGACTCCTAGGTATTTTATTCTCTTTGTAGCAATTGTGAATGGCGTTCACTCATGATTTGGCTCTCTGTCTTTGTCTGTTATTGGTGTATAGGAATGCTTGTGATTTTTGCACATTGATGTTGTATCCTGAGACTTTGCTGAAGTTGCTTATCAGCTTAAGGAGATTTTGGGCTGAGATGATGGGGTTTTCTAAATATACAATCATGTCATCTGTAAACAGGGACAATTTGACTTCCTCTTTTCCTAATTGAATGCCCTTTATTTCTTTCTCCTGCCTGATTGCCCTGCCCAGAACTTCCAACACTGTGTTGAATAGGAGTGGTGAGAGAGGGCATCCCTGTCTTGTGCCAGTTTTCAAAGGGAATGCTTCCAGTTTTTGCCCATTCAGTATGATATTGGCTGTGGGTTTGTCATAAGTAGCTCTTACTATTTTGAGATATGTCCCATCAATACCTAGTTGATTGAGAGTTTTTAGCATGAAGGCTGTTGAATTTTGTCAAAGGCCTTTTCTGCATCTATTGAGATAATCATGTGGTTTTTGTCTTTGGTTCTGTTTTTGTGATGGATTTCGTTTATTGATTCATGCATGTTGAACCAGCCTTGCATCCCAGGGATAATGCCAACTTAATCTTGATGGATAAGGTTTTTGATGTGCTGCTGGATTGGGTTTGCCAGTATTTTAGTGAGGATTTTTGCATCAATGTTCATCAGGGATATTGGTCTAAAATTCTGTTTTTTTGTTGTGTCTCTGTCAGGCTTTGGTATCAGGATGATGCTGGCCTCATAAAATGAGTTAGGGAGGATTCCCTGCTTTTCATTTATTGGAATAGTTTCAGAAGGAATGGTACCAGCTCCTCTTTGTACCTCTGGTAGAATTCAGCTGTGAATTTGCCTGGTCCTGGACTTTTTTTGGTTGGTAGGCTATTAATTATTGTCTCAGTTTCAGAGCCTGTTATTGGTCTATTCAGAGATTCAACTTCTTCCTGGTTTAGTCTTGGGAGGGTGTATGTGTCCAGGAATGTATCCATTTCTTCTAGATTTTCTAGTTTATTTGCATAGAGGTGTTTATAGTATTCTCTGATGGTAGTTTGTATTTCTGTGGGATCAGTGGTGATATCGCCTTTATCATGTTTTATTGCATCTATTTGGTTCTTCTCTCTTTTCTTCTTTATTAGTCTTGCTAGTGGTCTATCAATTTTGTTGATCTTTTCAAAAAACCAGCTCCTGGATTCATTGATGTTTTCAAGGGTTTTTGGTGTCTCCATCTACTTCAGTTCTGCTCTGAGCTTAGTTATTTCTTGCCTTCTGCTAGCTTTTGAATTTGTTTGCTCTTGCTTCTCTAGTTCTTTTAATTGTGATGTTAGGGTGTCAATTTTAGATCTTTCCTGCTTTCTTTTGTGGGCATTTAGTGCTATACATTTCCCTCCACACACTGCCTTTAAATGTGTCCCAGAGATTCTGGTATGTTGTGTCTTTGTTCTCATTGGTTTCAAAGAACATCTTTATTTCTGCCTTCGTTGTGTACCCAGTAGTCTTTCAGGAGCAGGTTATTCAGTTTCCATGTAGTTGTGCAGTTTTCAGTGAGTTTCTTAGTCCTGAGTTCTAATTTGATTGCACTGTGGTCTGAGAGACAGTTTGTTATGATTTCTGTTCTTTTACATTTGCTGAGGAGTGCTTTACTTCCAACTATGTGGTCAATTTTGGAATAAGTGCAATGTGGAACTGAGAAGAATGTATATTCTGTTGATTTGAGGTGGAGAGTTCTGTAGATGTCTATTAAGTCAGCTTGGTGCAGAGCTGACTTCAAGTCCCAGATATCCTTGTTAACCTTCTGTCTCGTTGATCTGTCTAATATTGACAGTGGGGTGTTAAAGTCTCCCATTATTATTGTGTGGGAGTCTAAGTCTCTTTGTAGGTCTCTGAGGACTTGCTCTGTGAATTTGGGTGCTCCTGTATTGGGTGCATGTATATTTAGGATAGTTAGCTCTTCTTGTTGAATTGATCCCTTTACCTTTATGTAATGGCCTTCTTTGTCTCTTTTGATCTTTGTTGGTTTAAAGTCTGTTTTATCAGAGACTAGGATAGCAACCCCTGCTTTTTTTTGCTTGGTAGATCTTCCTCCATCCCTTTATTTTGAGCCTATGTGCATCTCTGCATGTGAGATGGGTCTCCTGAATACAGCACACTGATGGGTCTTGACTCTTTATCCAATTTGCCAGTCTGTGTCTTTTAATTGGAGCATTTAGCCCATTTAAATTTAAGGTTAATATTGTTAATATTTACATTTAAGTTTAATTATGTGTGAATTTGATCCTGTCATTATGATGTTAGTTGGTTATTTTGCTTGTTAGTTGATGCAGTTTCTTCCTAGCATCGCTGGTCTTTACAATTTGGCATGTTTTTGCAGTGCCTGGTACCGGTTGTTCCTGTCCATGTTTAGTGCTTCCTTCAGGAACTCTTGTAAGGCAGGCCTGGTGGTGACAAAATCTCTCAGCATTTGCTTGTCTGTAAAGGATTTTATTTCTCCTTCACTTATGAAGCTTAGTTTGGCTGGATATGAAATTCTGGGTTGAAAATTCTTTTCTTTAAGAATGTTGAATATTGGCCCCCACTCTCTTCTGGCTTATAGAGTTTCTTCTGAGAGATATGCTGTTAGTCTGATGAGCTTCCCTTTGTGGGTAACCTGACCTCTCTCTCTGGCTGCCCTTAATATTTTTTCCTTCATTTCAACTTTGGTGAATTTGACAATTATGTGTCAGATTCACCAAGATACTACTCTTCTCGAGGAGTATCTTTGTGGTGTTCTCTATGTTTCCTGAATTTGAATGTTGGCCTGCCTTGCTAGGTTGGGGAAGTTCTCCTGGATAATATCCTGAAGCATGTTTTCCAACTTGGTTCCATTCTCCCCATCACTTTCAGATACACCAATCAAACGTAGATTTGGTCTTTTCACATAGTCCCATATTTCTCGGAGGTGTTGTTCATTTCTTTTTACTCTTTTTTCTCTAAACTTCTCTTCTCAGTTCATTTCATTAATTTGATCTTCAATCACTGATACCCTTTCTTCTGCTTGATTGAATTGGCTACTGAAGCTTGTACTGAAACTTGTACATGCGTCACATAGTTCTCGTGCCATGGTTTTCAGCTCCATCGGGTGATTTAAGGTCTTCTCTACACTGTTGATTCTAGTTTGCCATTCGCCTAATCCTTTTTCAAGGTTTTTAGCTTCCTTGCGATATGTTTGAACATCCTCCTTTAGCTCAGAGAAGTTTGTTATTATGACCTTCTGAAGCCTACTTCTGTCAACTTGTCAAAATCATTCTACATCCAGCTTTGTTCCATTGCTGGCGAGGAACTGCAATCCTTTGGAGGAGAACAGGCTGTCTGGTTTTTAGAATTTTCAGCTTTTCTGCTCTGATTTCTCCCCATCTTTGTGGTTTTATCTACCTTTGGTCTTTGATGATGGTGAAGTACAGATAGGGTTTTGGCATGGATGTCCTTTTTGTTGATGTTGATGCTATTCCTTTCTGTTTGTTAGTTTTCCTCCTAACAGTCAAGTCCCTCAGCTGCAGGTCTGTTGGAGTTTGCTGGAGGTCCACTCTAGACCTGTTTGCCTGGGTATCGCCAGCAGAGGCTGCAGAATAGCAAATATCGCAGAACAGCAAACATTGCTGCCTGATCCTTCCTCTGGAAGCTTCGTCTCAGAGGGGCACCCAGCTGTATGAGGTGTCAGTTGGCCCCTACTGGGAGATGTCTCCCAGTTAGACTACATAGGGGTCAGGGACCCACTTGAGGGGGCAGTCTGTCCATTCTCAGAGCTCAAACACTGTGCTGGGAGAACCACTGCTCTCTTCAGAGCTGTCAGACAGGGATGTTTAAGTCTGCAGAAGTTTCTGCTGCCTTTTGTTCAGTTATGCCCTGCCCCTAGAGGTGGAGTCTACAGAGGCAGGCAGGCCTCCTTGAGCTGCGGTGGGCTCCACCCAGTTCAAGCTTCCAGGCCACTTTGTTTACCTACTCAAGCCTCAGCAATGGCAGACGTCCCCTCCCCCAGCCAGGCTGCCACCTCGCAGCTCAATCTTGTACTGCTGTGCTAGCAGTGAGCAAGGCTCTGTGGGCGTGAGACCCACTGAGCCAGGTGCAGGATATAATCTCCTGGTGTGCCATTTGCTAAGACCATTGGAAAAGCACAGTATTTGGGTGACAGTGTCCTGATTTTCCAGCTACAGTCTGTCACAGCTTCCCTTGGCTAGGAAAGGGAAATCCCCCAACCCCTTGTGCTTTCCAGGTGAGGTGATGCCCCACCCTGCTTCAGCTCACCCTCCGTGGGCTGCACCCACTGTCCAACCAGTCCCAATGTGATGAACCAGGTACCTCAGTTGGAAATGCAGAAATCATCCGTCTTCTGCATTGATCACGTTGGGAACTGCAGACCAGAGCTGTTCCTATTTGGCCATCTTGGAACCCTTCCCAATATTTAGTATTTTAAATATTTAGTTTCTTGTTAGCTGGTCTTCAGTTGACTTGGTTCTCTATCCAGTTACAGCCATGGTGCATGTTGCATGCAGTCGTCTATACATTATTTAAACGGGCTTAAATATTAAATGTGTTACCCACCAATAATAAAATAGACCCTTATGAAAACTATAAAAACAAAACACACAAAAAAAGCCATTGGGTACATTTGTTCAAATCTTTTTTTTTTTCGAGATGGAATTTCACTATTTGTTGCCCTGGCTGGAGTGCAGTGGCACAATCTCAGCTCACTGCAACCTCCGCCTCTCAGGTTCAAGCAATTCTCCTGTCTCAGCCTCCCCAGTAGCTGGAATTACAGGCACCTGCCATCACACCCAGCTAATTTTTAATATTTTTAGTAGAGATGGGGTTTCACCAGTTGGCCAGGCTGGTCTCGAACTCCTGACCTCAGGTGATCCGCTCCCCTTGGCCTCCCAAAGTACTGGGATTACAGGCGTGAGCCACCATGCCTGGCCTTAAATCTCTTTTTTTAAATGCTCTTGGGCTTGGCACGGTGGCTCAGCCCTGTAATCCCAGCACTTTGGGAGGCTGAGGCAGGCAAATCACGAGGTCAGGAGATCAAGACCATCCTGGCTAACACAGTGAAACCCTGTCTCTACCAAAAATACAAAAAATTAGCCGGGCATGGTCGTGGGTGCCTGTAGTCCCAGCTACTTGGGAGGCTGAGGCAGGGGAATGGCATGAACCTGGGAGGCAGAGGTTGCAGTGAGCCAAGATCTTGCCACTGTACTCCAGCCTGAGCGACAGAGCAAGACTCCATCTCAAAAAAAAAAAAAAAAAGTTCTTTATTGCCTTCAGCTGTCAGGGCTTCATGACTTCCATTCTATAGAATTTAAACAAAATCCTCTGTTTCTCAATGGCAGCACAGCTGGCATTTGAGATCAGACCATTCTTTGTCATGGAGCAGGGATGTCCTGTGCAGTGTAAGGTGTTTCACAGCATCTCCAGCCTCTATTCACTAGATGTCAGTAGCGCTCCTGCCAGGCCTTCCACCACCACTCATTGCGGTGTCTCCAGACATTGCCAAATGTTCCCTAGATGTAGGGTTGCCAGGTAAAATATTGCATGGGACAAACATACTAAAAATATTATCGATTGTTTATCTGAAATGCAAATTTAAGTTGGCCTTCCATATCTTTATTTGCTAAATCTGGCAACCCTATCTGAGAGGTGAAAAACCCTATCTGAGAGGTAAAATCACCACTACATCTCCTACCTCCCATCCCATTTGAAAACCAATGCTCTAGTCCACAGGGAGCAATGGAGAAAAAGTGTGGTAATGGGTTTGGGAAATGTTATGATTAGATTTGCATTTGGAGCAAAGCACTTTTTGTTTGTTTGTTTTGTGTTGTGTTGTTTTGTTTGAGACGCAGTCTCACTCTGTTGCCCAGGCTGGAGTGCAGTGGCACGATCTCAGCTCACTGCAACCTCCGCCTCTGGGGTTCAAGTGATTCTCCTACCTCAGCCTCCCGAGTAGCTGGGATGACAGGCACCCACCACCACACCCAGCTAATTTTTGTATTTTTAGTACAGACGGGGTTTCACCATGTTGGCCAGGATGTTCTCGATCTCTTGACCTCGTGATCCACCCGCCTCGACCTCCCAAAGTGCTGGGATTACAGGCATGAGCCACCGCACCCAGCCTGGAGCAAAAAAACTATAAGACGTCCAAGCCCTCTTCACCAGCCAGGACTGCTGTAGTCAACATCCTGTTTGAGACCTGATTGGAATGCCTGGCTCTCTTTTTTTTTTTTTTTTTTTTTGAGATGTAGTCTCGCTCTGTCACCCAGGCTGGAGTGCAGTGGTGCAATCTTGGCTCACTGCAACCCCCACCTACTGGGTTCAAGCGATTCTCCTGCCTCAGCCTCCTGAGTACCTGGGACTACAGGTGCACACCACCACACCTGGCTAATTTTTGTATTTGTAGTAGAGATGGAGTTTCACCATATTGGCTAGTCTGGTCTCAAACTCCTGACCTTGTGATTCGCCTGCCTCGGCCTCCCAAAGTGCTGGGATTACAGGTGTGAGCCACCACACCTGGCCATCTCTCCTTTTTAGTAAGCAACTAGAGTTGGGATTCCAGATGTGGCCAGGCACATGCACCTCTGGAGAGACTACCCTGTCTGCTAAAGCTGGAAGAATAAAAGAAATGGGTGATTGTGCTATCTCCTGTTTCTCTTCTTTAATATGTTTATATTGAAGGCTTAATTTAATTAGCTAATAAAGGTGCATTAGGAAGAACTAACATGAAATATTTTCTCTTGTCCTTAAATCCAGTTCAGGGATCTCCTAAAAACAGGAACATACTTGTGTTCTGGGACAGATGAGACTTGAAATTCCAAACCCAGAATGTCTTTGTCTTTATTTTTCTTTTCTTTTCTTTTTTTTTTTTTTTTTTTGGGTAAAGTTTTGCTCTGTCACCCAGGGTGGAGTACAATGGCGAGATCTTGGCTCACTGCAACCTCTGCCTCCCTGGCTCAAGCCAACCTTCCACCTCAGCCTCCTGAGGAGCTGGGACTACAGGCACGCATTACTTCCTAGCTAATTTTTGTACTTCTTGTAAAGATGAAGTTTTGCCATGTTGCCCAAGCTGGTCTCAAACTCCTGACCTCAGGCAATCCACCTGCCTCGGCCTCCCAAAGTGCTGGGATTACAGGCATGAGCCACCATCCCTGGCCCAGAATGTCTTTTTATTTTTCAATTTTTTTATATCTTTTTGCTAATCTTCTCTGTATTGTTCCAATTTTAGTATATGTGTTGCTGAAGTGAACATTTATTTTTATTCAATGGGTTCTTCCTAGCCACTGTGCAAGCCCAGAATATGTGAGGTGGAATTCACCAGAACCATAGGTATTCTTTTAAAATATCCCTCAACACATCAGCCAATTTATAAAAAGAATTCAAAGAAACATAGAGTTGCAAATTGATGTGATTTAGTCTCCTCTCCTCCTTGTTAGAATTCCAGTTTTTCCGTCTCCAAATAGCCGGGGTTGGAAGATGGGTTCTCGCCCTGACACCGCAGAGCTCTGTCTCATCTATAGAACAAGAGTACAGCCGCCTCCGTTATCTCCCGACTGCAGCTGCTCTTAACGTGAGTTCCATATCCATCCCAGTCAAAGGCGGAGAAGTCCCCACACTGACGGGGTTTGCCCTGTGGGAAGAACCCTCCTCCACCGATGCAGTGCTGGGAAACAGAAAGAAGAAACACTGTGAGGAATTTGATTTGCTGCTGACACCAGTGAGCGCAAGGCTGGTCTCGAACTCCAGACCTCAAGTTATCCGCCTGCCTCGGCCTCCCAAAGTGCTAGGATTACAGGTGTGAGCTACCACACCTGGCCCTATGCATGTATTTTAAAGTAGTAATGCATGCAGGAACATACACAAACACGCACTAATGGACAGTCTGAGGAGCACAGAGCCAGTAGAGAAACTTGTCAAGGAAAAGGGCATAAAGACATATACTCTAGTCCACCCCCACTGCCCACGTGGTCGTCATCCTCCGAATTCTAATCTGCGAGTCCCTCCATGAGAGAATAGCTGCCTCATCTTAGCTGGAAAATGAAAAAGCTGAAAGCTGGGGCAGGGAAGATGGAACCGTGAGTTCAGACTGTCAGTTGGGGAGGGAAGGGGGCCCTAAGTGAATGCCCTTGTTCTTGATGGCTCTGACGCTCTCTTCCTCCAACCCCTAGGCACAGGATGTCCCTCAAATACAATCTCCCACCACTACAACTGTGGTGCTGTCTCCTACAAGACTGGAAAAACAATAAAAATATAAAGCTTCTAAAAGTTAAGATTAATATTGGAGAATATTTTCACGACCTCGGTGTAAGGAGGTACATCTTAAAGAAAACATTAAAAGTACTAACCATAAATGAAAAGTTTGATAAACTGAATTCCATTAAAATAAATTATACTCAGCCGGGCACGGTGACTCATGCCTGTAATCCCAGCACTTTGGGATGCCAAAGTGGGCAGATTGCCTGAGGTCAGGAGTTTGAGAACATGGAGAAACCCATCTCTACTAAACCCATCTCTACTAAAAATACAAAAAAATTAGCCGGGTGTGGCAGTGCATTCCTGTAATCCCAGCTACTCAGGAGGCTGAGGCAGGAGAAACACTTGAACCCGGGAGGCAGAGGTTGCAGTGAGCAGAGATCCTGCCATTGCACTCTAGCCCAGGCAACAAGAGTGAAACTCCCTCTCAAAAAATAAATAAATAAATACATAAGATTTAAAAGACAAATAAATTATACTCAACTTCTGGCATCTACTACTCCAAACTTTGTACCACTTAATTTTTATTAAAAATATGGACTCTTCAGGCTGGGCGTGGTGGCTCACGCCAGTAATCCCAGCACTTTGGGAGGCCGAGACGGGCGGATCACGAGGTCAGGAGATCAAGACCATCCTGGCTAACATAGTGAAACCCCGTCTCTACTAAAAATACAAAAAAAATTAGTGGGGCGTGGTGGTGGGCCCCTGTAGTCCCAGCAACTCGGGAGGCTGAGGCAGGAGAATGGCATGAACCCGGGAGGTGGAGCTTGCAGTAAGCTGAGATCGCGCCACTGCACTCCAGCCTTGGTGACAGAGCGAGACTCTGTCTCAAAGAAAAAAAAAAAGAAAGAAAAGGACTCTTCAAAGAAAAAAAAAGAAATAAAAAATAAATTATATTCATAAGACATCATCAGGAGAGTAATGAGAGTAAACAGAATGAGAGTAAGCGAGTAACCACAGAGACACACATTGATACACCCCACACAGGTACACACATGTGCATACCCATGCACACACATGGTGAAGGGGGCCAGCCCCTCCACATCTGTGGGTATTTCTCGTCAGGTGGGATGAGAGACTGAGAAAAGAAATAAGACACAGAGACAAAGTATAGAGAAAGAACAGTGGGACCAGGGGACCAGCACTCAGTATACGGAGGACCTGCTCCGGTGCCAGCCTCTGAGTTCCCTCAGTATTTATTGATCATTATTTTTACTATCTTAGTGAGGGGAGTGTAGCAGGGCAACAGGTAAGGAGAAGGTCAGCAGGGAAACATGTGAGCAAAGGAATCTGTATCATGAATAAGTTCAAGGAAAGGTACTGTGCCCGGATGTGCACATAGGCTAGATTTATGTTTCTCTTTACCCAAACATCTCAGTGTAGCAAAGAGTATCAGAGCAGTATTGCTGCCAGCATATCTCGCCTCCAGCCACAGGGCGGTTTTCTCCTATCTCAGAATAGAATGAATGGGAGTGGTCAGCTTTACACCCAGACATTCCATTCCCAGGGATGAGCAGGAGACAGAAGCCTTCCTCTTACCTCAACTGCAAAGAAGCCTTCCTCTTTCACTACTCCTCCTCAGCACAGACCCTTTACGGGTGTCAGGCTGGGGGATGGTAAGGTCTTTCCTCTCCCATGAGGCCATATCTCAGGCTGTCTCAGTGGGGGAAAACCTTGGACAATACCCAGGCTTTCTTGGGCAGAGGTCCCTGCGGCTTTCCGCAGTGCATTGTGTCCCTGGTTTATCAAGAATGGAGAATGGCGATGACTTTTACCAAGCATACTGCCTGCAAACATATTGTTAACAAGGCACATCCTGCACAGCCCTAAATCCATTAAACTTTGATTCATTACAGCACATGTTTCTGTGAGCACAGAGTTGGGGCTAAAGTTACAGGTTAACAGCATCTCAAAGCAGAAACAATTTTTCTTAGTACAGATTAAAATGGAGTTTCTTATGTCTTCCTTTTCTACATAGACACAGTAACAATCTGATCTCTCTTTCTTTTCCCCACACGTGGGCCATTGATCTCCCCAAAAACTCACATGCTCAGTGTTACAGCCAGTAACTTTTATCCCAGCACAAAGGGCGTTGGCTGCTCTCTCGTTATTAAACACCCGGAACTGAACGAATCCTGCAACAAATTCCCCTGAAAAAGAAGAGGTGAAGAAACAGCCAAGTAGTCAAAGGATGAACTAGAAGCAGCATCCCATTGGCCAGTCCAGGGATTCCCTAAGCCAAAAGCTGAGGCTACAGCCAAACACCCCAGGCTGTAGGGGTGCAGCCCAGTACCTTTATGGCCAGTGGCTGGTGCACGTCAGTCCTAAACTTGTCCCCAAGGAAACCTCTGTTCATAGGGGGCAAGAGGACAAAGGCTGGGACTCACAAAAGGACCCAGGTCTGCTTACAGCTTACAGGAGAAACTAGACTCTACAAAAAGATTACCAAAAAGATCTGAGAAGGCCCAGCAGGAATAAGCAATGATCAGATGTGGCTGCCTATTGCTGTTTACACACTTCTCATCCAATTACCATGGGTTAGTTTCCCTGACCATCACCTGCTTTCATCAAAATATCAAAGGCAAACAGTGATGTCTTTGATTTTTTTATCCACAACTTAACTTCTGTGCTCTTATTATACTGAAAACTGTCTTTTGTAAGATAATTAAAGTTATCCTTCATAACAAAAGTAAATCTCTCTCACCACTCTGCTAGTGGTTCTTTCCTGTGAACCTCAGTGTGCACTTTTTTTTTTTTTTTTTTGACAGGGTTTCGCTCTTGTTGCCCAGGCTGGAGTGCAGTGGTGTGAACTCAGCTCACCGCAACCTCCGCCTCCCAGGTTCAAGCGATTCTCCTGCCTCAGCCTCCCGAGGAGCTGGGATTACAGGCATGCGCCATCATGCCCAGCTAATGTTTTGTATGCACCTTTTCTTAACTATTATTGAAGGGGTGGCCTGCCCCTCCACACCTGTGGGTGTTCCTCGTTGGGTGGAACGAGAGACTGAGAAAAGAAAGAGACACAGCGACAAAGTATAGAGAAAGAAAAGTGGGCCCAGGGGACTGGCGCTCAGCATAAGGAGGACCCGCACCAGCACCAGTCTCTGAGTTCCCTCAGTATTTATTGATCATTATCTCTACCATCTCAGAGAGGGGGACGTGGCAGGACAATAGGGTAATAGTGGGGAGAGGGTCAGCAGGAAAACATGTGAACAAATGTCTGTGTCATAAACAAGGTTAAGAAAAGGTGCTGTGCTTTTGACGTGCACATACATAAACATCTCGGTGCATTAAAAAGCAGTATTGCCGCCAGCATGTCTCACCTCCAGCCCTAAGGTGGTTTTCTCCTATCTCAGTAAATAGAACATACAATCGGGTTTTACACCAAAACATTCCATTGCCCAGGGATAAGCAGAAGACAGATGCCTTCCTCTTATCTCAACTGCAAAGAGGCCTTCCTCTTTTACTAATCCTCCTCAGCACAGACCCTTTGTGGGTGTCGGGCTGGGGGACAGTCAGGTCTTTCCCTTCCCACGAGGCCATATCTCAGGCTATCACATGGGGAGAAACCTTGGACAATACCTGGCTTTCCTAGACAGAGGTCCCTGCGGCCTTCCGCAGTGTATTGTGTCCCTGGGTACTTGAGATTAGAGAGTGGTGATGACCTTTAACAAGCATGCTGCCTTCAAGCACTTGTTTAACAAAGCACATCCTGCACAGCCCTAAATCCATTAAACCGTGAGTCAACACAGCACATGTCTCTGTGAGCACAGGGTTGGGGGTAGGGTTACAGATTAACAGCATCTCAAGGCAGAAGAATTTTTCTCAGCACAGACCAAAATGGAGTCTCTTATGTCTACTTCTTTCTACATAGACACAGTAACAGTCTGATCTCTTTTTCTTTTCCCCACAATTATAAGAGTATACAAGGTGGTGATGAAGAAACCTGGGATTACGTGCTGTGAAATGGGGATAACAGCAATTCTAACTTCATAGTTTTCTCATGGTAATTAAATGACACAAAATCATGTTAAGTTCCAAGACAAGAGTCTGGTGCATTTTAAGTGCTCAGTAAATACTAGCAATTATTAATTGTTGTTATTTGCCACCATTCTCCAAGAGTACAAGAAAATATTTATGACTGGACTTAGGGAGCAAACACTCACGTTGACCATACGGTGAGTAATAAGATGCAGTCTTCTTAGCATCACCAAAGTCATAGACCACAGGTATGGCTGGGCCATTGTCATTCCAACATTTCCCTGATCTGTATTTCACTGGGTATTTCTGCAGAGACCCAGAAGAAAGGTTTTGTGAGGACAGTAGAGATGCTGCCACAGTGTGGGGGGAGGAGGGGTTTCAAATTAACTGCCATTACCCAAAACCAATCCTCATAATAGTGACTGCTTTTCCCCATAGCTGTGTCTCCCCAACAGCCCCAAACCCCTTGTCCCTGTCTCTTTCTCCCCATGCTTTCCTGTCCCACAGGCCTCTTCCTTGCTGGCTTAGAGTTTCTGAGAGGCCAGACATGAGTTCACAGTGAATCAAAGGAAGGAGAAACAGCCAACCACTCAGTAGTGATGTGGAACCACAGGACAGATCTGCCCCCTACCCTAGACACTTCGATCTCTGTTCACCAAAGAAAGTGCCCCCCAGCCAGCAGCCCTGTGTACCTGGTAGATGCCAAACAGATTATGTCCCAGTCTCTGGAGGAAGCCAGTGTTGGTGCGGTACCTCAGCAGGGCGCTGTTTCTCCAATGCTGCATGGGGGACTTGTTGGGCACATGCCAGATGCCCAGGTCCTTGGCCTGGATGTCGTAGTAGCCAGGGTTCTGGAAAGCAACAGACACTGAGCCTGACTGGGCCAGGAGGTACCAGGAGGCAGAAGGTCCACATGTGCAGCCTCAGCTGGGCTGAGAGCTCTGGGATCAGTAGGCAGATGGCCAGCCACGCTCAGACACCCCACTCCCAGCTGATGATCCCACCACCACCCAGGGCCCTAACAGCCTTGTTGAGAGGAAGTTGTGATTCAAGTCCTGTATTTCTCTCTTCTTCTCCAGCCCTTCCCCATATCCCCACCTTCCAGCCCTCCCTCCTGCAGGCTGGTGGCCAGCCACACTCCACACCTCACCCTCACCCAAGTAGGAGAGAAGTGGCACCAACCTTGTAGTCATCGCTCGTGGCCGCCTCTGCAGATCCAAAGGTGTTGTAGTTGGCCCAGTTGCCATCCCCCTCTGGGTAGTCTGCTTTGTTGCCCTGCTGACTGGACCAGCGATCACCCACCGTGCACTTCCCACGCATGTCATTCTCGTGCACGCTGGCCACCAGGGTCCAGCCGCCACCCCCAGAAGTCATGTCACAGAAGGTCTGGTAGACAACACCATTCTTGGTGCGGAGAAAATACAGGCCATCTGTAGAGAGAACCAGCCCAGAGCCTCCCTGTCTGAGAGCTCAGGGTTCATCTCAGCTCCGTGAATAGAAAAGCCCTAGGAAGTCAAAAGCACACTCAGAAGACTCCAACACATACTTGCTGGAAGACGATGCTCCATGCATCTTGTGTTCTGCTCACCTATGAGCAGAGGCACTGACTGTCTTGGCTTCACACTATCTTTTCAAAGAGTTTGTAGAGCAAATAGTCTTAGAAGAGACAGAGATGGTATCTCCCTCTCGACAGTGCCACCCTGTGGCCAGGAGAGGCCAGAAATCAGCACACGCCACATCTGATTCTACAGCAGGATAGGGCCTCTGTGCAGCTCAGAGCAAAGGTTGTGCCCACTTCATAAGATTCAGCTTCCCTAAGCTCAGAGTTCCCCTCCTGTTCACAAGCTTGCAGGAGACTGGCTCCACGGTGGCATCCTGGTGACCTTGCACATTTGCGCATAGGCCACATAGGGACAGCTGACCTAAGTCTTGGCAGAAAGCCTGTGGTCTTCCCCAAACATGGAAAGATGGGAACCTTGTGAGGAGCTGCAACAAGGTCACTTCTCACCCCCCTTCCCATCTTTCGTGGAGGCTGTCATGAGACAGCTGTCATAACTGTGTCATCATCTCCTGGGTTCTGAAGAGGTATGAGGCTTTTTGCCTCACTCACCCCCACCCCGTAGGGTACACAGGCTATGAAACAGCTATGGCAGCATGGACTGGCTCCTCAGCCACTGCCCATGTTGTGTTGTCACTCGCCCTCTTTTCTGTGCTGTCTTGTGGGGCAAGGGATGGGAAAAGCTGACACTTTTGCCGATCTTGAACTTGCTAGCTATGTGAGTAATAAACTCTCTGGCTCTAAAAAGGGTTTGTTGTTTCCTTGCCAGCCACATTTGTCAGCCAGCTTGACAAACCCACTACTTGGGCAGATGTCACCTGGCCCAGTACAAGAAAATGCTGATGCTCTGGCTACTGCTATTTCTGTGATTAATAAAGCTCTTTGTCTCTGGCTCGGGAGTTTCAGGTTTTCTGCCAGCATCTATAAACCTGGGGCAAGTAGGGGCAAATCTCAGACGCATCACAGTTCTTGCCACCACCATAAGCATCACCAGGAACACTGCATTCTCTCTGTGTTCAGAAGACTTTGTGACTGGAATGGGACACAAAAGCCTCAAAATTCCCACTAGAAACCTCCTTGAGTAGGAGCTGGGGGCAGAACAGGCTCCATATGGATATGTCCCTCCTGATTTCCATGACTGGGCTCTGTTGAGCTAAAAAGTGGCTTCAAAGAGAGAATGCTGAGTTGGTTCATTACTCACCACCTGCACTATGGCAGCGTTCCTTGATTTCTTTGCAGCTTCTAGGCAGGGAAGAAAAGGAGAAGGCACAGGTTTCGAATTCCCTCGAGAGCATCTCAAGAGAAGAGGCTGCTGCTAGAAAATGTGAGAATGAGTCTCATTAGAAGTCTGACCACTGAGGCCATCTTTCCTGGCCAATCTCTGCCCCTGTATCAACTCATCACTCTG
Source organism: Homo sapiens (assembly GCF_000001405.40). Classification (NCBI taxonomy): domain Eukaryota; kingdom Metazoa; phylum Chordata; class Mammalia; order Primates; family Hominidae; genus Homo; species Homo sapiens. The sequence goes on from NC_000001.11 coordinate 160,952,827, forward strand.
CTCTGAAGTCCCAGGAGGTCAGGGATTCCCTATGCTAAGACGGTCTGATCCAACAGCTGGTATAGGTTAAACACCTGGAATCTTCCACTCGACTAATTTTAATTAAATACCTACTGTGTGAACTACCTAGACACCGGACAAAGACAATTTGACACATTTCTTCAAGAGACTACATTCTACAAGGAAGGAGCACATGGAAAGGGACCCAACTGAGATGGGAGGGCAAACCCACTAACGGGGGTGAGGCCTGGGAACTGCTGGGGAAGGGACCAGCTGTAACTCAGAGCAGGCTGATTTTGATGGGAGAATGGGAGCTGGCTACAGGACAGGAAGGAAAGGGGAGAGTACACCCCAGGAAGAGAAGAAAGCACATGAGATGGCCTGAAGCAATAACAGAGCCCAGCCCAGCCCAGCCTGCCAAAAACTACAGGTCAGTCGCTTATTGTGGCTGGAACATATGTTGTAATACAAAGAAGTCTGGAAACCAAAGCTGAAAAATTAACAGAGGCCAGTGGATGAAGGGCCATGTATATAAGTCTAAAAGCCTAGAAATCATTCCAAAAGCCTGGCAGAGCGGGAAAAAGTGTAAAATTACAGGACTCAGGCCAGGCACAGTGGCTCATGCCGGTAATCCCAGCACTTTCGGAGGCCGAGGAGGGTGGATCACAAGATCAGGAGTTCAAGAACAGCCTGGTCAATATGGTGAAACCCCATCTCTACTAAAAATACAAAAATTAGCTGGGGTGTGGTGGTGCACACCTGTAATCCCAGCTACTGGGGAGGCTGAGGCAGGAGAAGCTCTTTAACCCAGGAGACGGAGGTTGCAGTGAGCCGACATCACGCCACCGCACTCCAACCTGGGCAACAGAGCAAGACTCCGTCTAAAAAAAAAAAAATTACAGGACTCAAGGTAAAATCCAGACAAACCCTGATGACAGTGCCTCCTTGAGCAGACACTTAACATCTCTGATCCTTTTTCTTCATCTTTAAGATGTCATTAATAACTTCTTTATACGCATGGAGATCAAATGAGATGACATATGTAAATGTGCTTTTTTTAACTGATGGATTGAAATAAACAATAAACCCAGTATCAATGAAAAAATATCACTATTGTGCCTACTGGAAGAATAGAATTGTGAGGATTCTATTCTCACAATATCCTCCTCTGCGACTAGAGGAGGGTGTACCCTGGACACAGCACTGATCACCCAGCTGCCTCTGGAGATCCCAAGGCCAAGGCCACAAGAGCAGCTGAGCAGGGACACAGTTCTTACTCTCTCACCCCATGAACCCCTCACAGCCACAGAAGCAGAGAATCAAGCCCTAGGAAATACCTGAGCTAACACCCTGACTGCTTCAGACCAGACCCCAGGAGAGGCCAGAAATCAGCACCCAGTCCACACCTCAAGTTGGCTGCCTAGCCTGGGTTCCCTGCCTCTCCAGAACTTCCCCTTTGACCCTTGACTTCAGAGCCCTGCCCAGCTCTACTCCCTCCAGGCCCTGCACAGCAGAGGGGAGCCCAGGAAACTGCAGCTCCTACTCTCAGAAGCCATTTACCTGCACTGCACCCACTGGTGGCCACAGAGAAGAATAACAGGAAGCAGAGTCTGGTCATTGTCCTCTAAGGAAAAACAAGATGCACAAGGTCACTGGCTGGCCCTTCCTTTGTCATCCTCTCGTTCTTACTTCCTAACCTTTCTGAGTCAGGAATCCTCAAATGGAAAGTGATGGGCTCATGAGCATTCTAAAACCTCCTGGAATATGCCCCACGGCTGTCCAACACTACAAATACCCAAGGGGCCATGGGCTCATTTCCCTGAAACTCTAAATCTCTAAAACTGAGACCTGAGCTGGCATCATTGCTCCCACACACATGGATCAAAAACATTTTTCTCACCAGCATGGACAGCATCCTTACAGATGCCAGGAGCTGATAGTTCCCTTCCTGTGGACACTCGGAGCTCCCCTGCAGAGGATCCTGATGAAGGGTGAAGTGCTGGTCCCTTTATGTGGAGAGCTGTGGAGAGCCAAACCACCTGAGCCCTGCCCAGCCCAACCCTGAGCAGCCTAGGCTGCTAGCCCCTCCCTCTGAAGCCCTTCCCTCTGAGGGTACCTGAGCCTGGGACCGTGGAAATGAGAAAGGACGTGCGACTGGCTGGAGGAGCAGGGAGCTGTGTTCCTGGCCACACAGGTGACTGTCGCCATCTGAGGAGGGGCATCCTGCTTTGCCAAGGCAGGCCATACAATGTAGCAGTATCTAATCAGATTCGTGGATAGGTCACAATCCTCCCCTGCGTTCTCCCTCTCCCACCTCCCCCAGATGCCCTGGCCCCCTAGACACAACTCTGTCAAGAAATCATCCTTTTAGACTGAGGTGACACCTCATGAAAAATAAATTAATTAATTAAGAATAATAATTGGCCAGGCACAGTGGCTCACACCTATAATCATAGCGCTTTGGGAGGCCGAGGTGGGCGGATTACCTGAGGTCAGGAGTTCAAGACCAGCCAACATGGTGCAACCCTGTCTCTACTAAAAATACAAAAATTTAGCTGGGTGCAGTGGCGTGCACCCGTAATCCCAGCTACTCTGGAGGCTGAGACAGGAGAACTGCTTGAACCCAGGAGGTGGAGGTTGCAGTGAGCCAAGACTGCTCCACTGCACTCCAGCCTGGGCAACAGAGCAAGACTTCACCTCAAAATAATAATAATAATAATAATAATAAATAAATGGGAAAAGAAGACATCATCCTTCCAATCTTTCCTCCAATTTCTCTATGAGGCCTTCCCTGACACCCCCATCACCAGACAAAGCTGATGGATCCTTCCTTTGTCCCACTATACACTGTCCAAACACTAATTATTGCATGTATCCTGCTGTAATTTTATTGTTTTATTAACTCTGTTTAGAAACAATTTGAAATTTATTAAATGTTGCAAAAATAACAATAATATAAAGCCACATATATGCCCTTTACCTAGATTCAACTATTGTTAATATTTCACCCCATTTGCTTTATCTTTCGTGTTCTCTCTCTCTCTCTCTATATATATATAGATATATGTATATAAAATACACCCACACACACAAAATTTTTTTCTGAACCATTTGAAGGTAAGGTACATACATCATGGGCTTTTACCTTTAAATAAATGCGTATGGGTTTTTTTTATTTTGTTTTGTTTTTTGACACAGAGCCTCACTCTGTCACCCAGGTTGGAGTGCAATGGCATGGTCTCAGCTTACTGCAACCCCCGCCTCCCAGGTTCAAGTGATTCTCCTGTCTCAGCCTCCCGAGTAACTGGGATTACAGGCACCCACCACCACGCCCAGCTAATTTTTGTATTTTTAGTAGATACGGGGTTTTGCCATCTTGGCCAGGCTGGTCTTGAACTCGTGACCTCGTGATCCACCTGCCTCGGCCTCCCAAGTGCTGGGATTATAGGTGTAAGCCACCATGCCTGGCCAACTGTGTGTTTTCTAATAATAGGAATATGTCATGTATAACCACAGTACAATTATCAACATCATATTATTAAAAACTCTTTTTTTGGGCTGGGCGCGGTGGCTCACGCCTGTAATCCCAGCACTTTGGGAGGCCGAGGTGGGTGGATCATCTGAGGTCAAAAGATCGAGACCAGCCTGACCAACATGGAGAAACCCGGTCTCTACTAAAAATACAAAATTAGCCGGTCGTGGTGGTGCATGCCTGTAATCCCAGCTACTCAGGAGGCTGAGGCAGGAGAATCACCTGAATCCAGGAGGCGGAGGTTGCAGTGAGCCGAGATCACACCATTGCACTCCAGCCTGGGCAACAAGAGTGAAACTCCATCTCAAAAAAAACAAAAAACAAAAAAAACTCTTTTCTTTTCTGTAGAAACGGGGTCTCCCCATGTTACCCAGGCTACTCCAGAACTCCTGACCTTGATCCTCCTGCCTCAGCTTGCCCAAGTGCTAGGATTACGGGCGTGAACCACCGAGCCAGCCTGTTAACTCTTTTTAACATAACTGATACTTCCCTAGAGTATCATCAGCCCAGGGGTCATGGTGAGTTAGCATTAATGAGACAGGAATTTCTCTGGCTTTCATGCCCTCCCATTGTAAGGAGACTTCTGGTCCCCTTTTAAGTCCATAATCCCAAGGGGCATCTTGTGTGTGCTAACAAACATTTCTCCATTCCACACATACTCCCAGCCCACCCTGACTCCTTTCAGCACTGCCTACTGAAACCACAGTAGGCACACACCACAGCTGAACACCAACCGTATGATTTGGCATCCCTGCTGCCTCTGATGCTGGATCTGGTGTCGGGACAAGTTGCTGGTGTTTAAGGCACTGCTTCCTCTCACTCCCAGGCCTCCGGCACATCTCTTGCTATTCAAGGCATGGAAGTCATCCACCTCATAGGGTGCTGGAGAAGGGAAACGCCTCACTGCTCCCATGATGGGCACCAGACCAGGACATGTCTCCAGGTGTCTCAGTGACCTCAGTGACACTGTTCTTTCAGTGTCTCTTGCAGTCTGTCTCTCTCTTGGACTCAGACAGGAATCTAAGGAGACGAGGATAGAGGACAAACCTGGAAGATGTCATACTACTCTGATGGACCTTTGTCTCTGAATACTAAGATACTATTATTGGAAAGATTTTGTAAGCTCCTTCTCCTGAAACTTTTGAATTTTTTTATTTGAGTATTTATATAGGTATTTGCTTAATACCTGTCTCCTTCTTTATAGAGACAGAATCTATGTCTGTGGTTGTCCACCAGATGTCCAGGCCTATGCACAATGCCTGGCACACAGTGGGCCTTCAATATGCATTAGTTGAATGAAAGAAATTGACTCCAGGTGGTACTAAAAAACACACATGAACGCTTCCTCCAATCCAAAAAAATTTTAGGAATGAAAATGGCCAATGCAAAATTTTACAGTTTTCTCCCCTTTGTTGTAATTACTCTAAGCCATGTTTCCACCATCAAATACTCAATAAAAGTTAGAATGCATGCAACAGCTTGGTGTTTACCAATGCTTTGGAGGAAAAAAGGAAGAGATGTGGTGTCCTGTTTGGGAAAGAACAACAGGACAAAGGAAACCAGACAAAAACAATGGCATCCCCAAACAGATGGATGATAAGGAATAGATGAGAGCCCAGGAACTGGCTGAAATGCAGAAACACACAGGAGAAAAATAGGTCTCCTTGGCACTCTTCAGTTGAATTGGGTAATTTTCTACAGTAGATTTTTCCCGCAGTACCAGAACTACTGGGAATGGCAATGAAAACGTAGCTGGAAGAAAGGGGACCTGAGGCTTCCATTACATATTCATAAATGTTTATTATCCACTTAGTACCTTTCTTTGTAAATTCTGGATTTTTTTTTTAAGACAAAGTCTCACTCTGTTGCCCAAGCTGGAGTGCAGTGGCATGATCTTGGCTTACTGCTACCTCCACCTCCCGAGTTCAAACGATTCTCCTGCCTCAGCCTCCTGAGTAGCTAGGACTACAGGCACGCACCACCATGCCCAGCTAATTTTTGTATTTTTAGTAGAGACGGGGTTTCACTATGTTGGCCAGGCTGGTCTTGAACTCCTGACCTCATGATCCACCTGCCTCAGCCTCCCAAAGTGCTGGCATTACAGGCATGAGCCACCAAGCCCGGCCAATTCTGGATATTTTAAATTTCATTTTTAATACCTCTGGCATTAATTTTCATGTAAATCTGAGGTGAACATCTAAATTGATCTTTCTTCATCTTGCAAATTTTTTTTTCCCAACATTGTTTATGGATTGTTTTCCATCATAATTTTTTTTTTTTTTTGAGATGGAGTTTCGCTCTGGTTGCCCGGACTAGAGTGCAATGTAACGATCTCCGCTCACTGCAACCTCTGCTTCCCAGGTTCAAGCGATTCTCCTGCCTCAGCCTCCCAAGTAGCTGGGATTACAGGTATGTGCCACCACGCCTGGCTAATTTTGTATTTTTAGTAGAGACAGGGTTTCACTATTTTGGTCAGGCTGACCTCAAACTCCTGACCTCAGGTGACCCACCCACCTCAGCCTCCCAAAGTGCTGGGATTACAGGGATGAGCCACTCCACCCCGCCTTTCATCACAATTAGTGCCTTTAGTAGGCATTAAATGAGTTCTTACTTAGGGTCGATTCATCTATTTTTGTACGAGTACTATGTCGTTTAAATTATTACAGCTTAACAACATATTGTGATTCCAAGAAGGCTAATGCCTACATTTACACGTACATATAAAATAGTTGTTTATCAAATGCAAAACCTTATTAAGTGTTTCTTTGGGCCAGGCGCAGTGGCTCACAACTGTAATCCCAGCACTTTGAGAAGCTGAGGTAGGAGGATGACTTGAGCCCAGGAGTTCCAGAACAGCCTGGGCAGCATAGTGAAACCCTGTCTCTAAAAAAAAAAAAAATTAGCCAGGTGTGGAGATTTGCACCTGTAGGCCCAACTACTCAAGAGACTGAGGCAGGAAGATCACTTGAGCCCAGAAGGTTTAGGTGGCAGTGAGTAATGATTGTGCCACCAAACTCCAGCCTGGGCCACAGAAAAAAAAAAAAGTTTATTTTTTATTCTTCCTTGTATATTTATTTCAGACTAACTTTAAAAATCAAAGACCAGGCCAGGCGTGGTGGCTCACACCTGTAATCCCAGCACTTTGGGAGGCCAAGGTGAGTAGATTCACTTGAGTTCAGGAGTTCAAGACCAGCCTGGGCAATATGGCAAAACCCCATCTCTACAAAAAATATAAAAATTATCCAGGAGTGGTGGCACACGCCTGTAGTCCCAGCTACTCAGAGGCTGAAGCAGGAGAATTGCTTGAACCTGGGAGGCAGAGGTTGCAGTGAGCCAAGATTACACCACTGCACTCCAGCCTGAGTGACAGAGCAAGACTCCGTCCCAAAAAAAAAATTATAATAATAATAATAACCCTTTTTAATATATAGTTCAGAGCTAGTTATTTCCTTATATGTCTAATTTCCTCATTTGCTCATCTTGGACAAGCATCAGCAACCTTTTTTCTGTAAAGGACCAGATAACAAATACAATAGACTTTATGGCCACATAAGTCTTTGTTGCATATTCTTCTTTCTTTTTTGTTTGCTTGCTTGCTTATTTTTAACAATTTTTATGTGAAACCCTTCTTAGCTCACTGGCCATGCAAGACCAGGCCATGGTCTAGAGTTCGCCAACCCCTGATCTTGAAGACAAGCAAAGGGTATCAATGTTATTCTCTTCTGTTTTTCCACCCACCCACCTCCTCCTGGAATCTATCACAAGACCTGGTCTGCAGTAGAATCTTTGTATAAATTTGTTTAAAAAAATAAATCTGGCCAGGCATGGTGGCTCACGCCTATAATCCCATCCCTTTGGGAGGCCAAGGTGGGTGGATCACTTGAAGTCAGGAGTTGGAGACCAGCCTGGCCAAAATGATAAAACCCCATCTCTACTGAAAGTACAAAAATTAGCCAGGCATGATGGCTTGTGCTGGTAGTCCCAGCTACTCGGGAAGCTGAGACACAAGAATCACATGAACCTGGGAGGTGAGGTTGCAGTGAGTGAAAATCATGCTACTGCACTTCAGCCTGAGTGACAGAGGGAGACTGTCTCAAAAAAAAAAAAAAAAAAAACATGTGCACACACACACACACACACACACACACACACAAATTAGCCAGGCATGGTGGTGCATACCTGTAGTCCCAGCTCTTCAGGAGGCCAAGGCGGGAGAATCACTTGAGCCTGGGAGGTCAAGGCTGCAGTGAGCCGTGAGCATGCTACTGCACTCCAGCCTGGGCAACAGAGCAAAACCCTGTCTCAAAATAAATAAATAAAGAAAATAATCTGCCTCCTGAGACTAATTATTCCATTTGGGACTGCTTTTTGATTGTAAAAATAAATCTTATGTTCTTTTGTGCTAAATATCTCCTCCATTGGTGGTGTTTCAATTGTCTGGTAAGAGAAATGCAAAATTCCTAGGAAAAGCCCACACCTGCAGATGCAGGCCATTCCTGCTGGAAATCGTATCGTTGGAGAGGCTAGGAGATGGAGTAACCCATGAGTGCCTAAACTACAGGCACCTTGGTCTTTAGAGGCTGTGTTAGACCAGGAGAGAAAGAGTGAGGCAGGGTGTACAGAAGTTACCCTCACCTGGAACCTTCACAACCTTCACTACCACCTACTTACAATTCATCATCCCCACTCTGCCCAAGAGTCCTAGGGGGAAGGCTGTCCCTTCAAGAAGTCTGTGTTTCCTCATAGGTAAAATAGGGGTAGCAATTCAGGTCCACATTTCCTTGTCCAAAACTCTGCACCAGGTGAGTTTTAGAATTCAAAAAGTTAAAGATTTGCAAAAGAAACAGTTCATATATACCATATATACATACCATATATAGCTACCATATATGGCTAACATACCATATATACCATATATAGCTAACATCTCCAAGAGAATCTAACGCAACCCTTGTAATAGAATATGGTATAGCTTTTTTGGAATTTTAGAATTGTGGGTAAGGAATTGTGGACTTGTACTGACCTTATAGAACTGTTGCAAGGTTCAAATAACCATGCACTTTGTACACTATAAAACATTAAGAAAACATTAGATCATATTAATTTCTTTATCATTGTTGGGCTCACCTTCTGCTCCCTAAGGCCTGCTCCCCAGATACTGTGGCATCAAAGGGAAGCCCTCCTGAATATGCCTTTTGTGTCAAATGGCTGTGGGTTTGGGATGAAGGAAGGGTCAAATTACAGTAGGATCTGGGGAAAACACCGCTGGCCCAAAGTTTACTCTGCAAGTCACAAAATGCTCTGTTTCCAGGAATGATCAATTGTTCCCTAAGTTCTTGAGGTCAATGCCTTCCCATTACTGTAAATTATCATGGTGATGTCAGTCCAAATTTCTAAATATTTCCCTGGCAATAAAACAAATTTCTATAGTTTTTTTCTGCAATATAAAATACTTCTAGGTCAGGTAAGGTGGCTCACGTCTGTAATCCCAGCACTTTGGGAGGTCAAAGCGGGCAGATCACCTGGGGTCAGGAGTTCAAGACCAGCCTGGCCAACATGGTGAAACTCCATCTCTACTAAAAATACAAAAATTAGCTGGGCGTGGTGGTGGGCATCTGCAATCCCAGGTACTCAGGAGGCTGAGGCAGGAGAATCGCTTGAACCTGGGAGGCAGAGGTTTCAGTGAGCTGAGACGGCGCCATTGCACTTTAGCCTGGGCAGTAAGAGCAAAACTCCATCTAAAAAAAAACAACTTCTAAAAAGTAAAGTGATGGCCAGGATGGTGGCTCACACCTGTAATCCCAGCACTTTGGGAGGCTGAGGTAGGAGGGCTGCTTGAAGCCAGGAGCAGAACTTGAGACCAGCCTGGGAAACATAGTGGGACCCCATTTCTATAAAAAAAAAAATTAGCCAGGCATAGTGGTGCATGTCTGTGGTCCCAGCTACTTGGGAGGCTAAGGTGGGAGAACTGCTTGAGCCCAAGAGGTTTAGGCTACAGTGAACCAGTGCATTCCAGCCTGGACGACAGAGCAAGACTCTGTCTCAAAAACAACAACAACAAAAAAAAACACTAAGTGATAACAACTGCATGAAAAATAAGTAAAAATTATTACAGCAAGCAAAAAGGATTCAATGAAGTATATTTATTATTAAATGTGTTTCAATATCACCCCAATATTATTGATTTATTTATTTAGCTGTGATAAAACTGGGAAATCCTAATTGTTGTACTAAATTACAAAATGTGCCCTGAAAATTCAGGAAATGGAACCCATTCTATTTCTCCTGGAAAACAAATCACCATGAAATCTTATTCTACTTGTAATTTTTGTGCATTTCCACTGGTGGTTGAAATGGAAAGAGGAGCCTGAGAAAAAGATTTATACCTCCTTCTGGTCAATCGTATGAATTCAGACTGGTCTCTTTACTTCTCCAGGAGTTACTATTCTCACCTGTTAAGTAGAGATAAGGGGTTTGCTGAAAACCAAAGTGAGATGAGGAAACCTTTAAGGATAAGATAGGGAATGCAGGGATTTGACAGTGTGTTCTCAGTGTTATTCCAAAAATACTTATTACTCTTTTCTCTGTTTTTTGTTTGTTTGTTTTTGTTTGTTTGTTTGTTTATTTGTTTTTTGTCTTGCTCTGTCGCCCAGGCTGGAGTGCAGTGGTGTGATCTCGACTCACTGCAACCTCTGTCTCCTGGGCTCAAGCGATTCTCCTGCCTCAGCCTCCTGAGTAGCTGGGATTATAGGTGCCCACCACCATGCCCAGCTAATTTTTTGTATTTTTAGTAGAGGCGGGTTTTCTCCATGTTACCCAGGCTGGTCTCGAACTCCCCACTTCAAGTGATCCGCCCGCCTTGGCCTCCCACAGTGCTGGGATTACAGGTGTGAGCCACTGCGCCCGGCCTTCTTATCACTCTTACTCAAGCAACATCATAGTGCATTTGGGAGACACGTTTTCCATTTTTACTCCAAGTTGGAAGAAACTTTTCTCAGCCAAAGACCTTTAAAATTCATCGTATCCACAGAGCACAGTGAAGCCTGCAGCCTTCTGGCAAAGGAAATTGATCCAGCACCAGGGGAAGAATGATAGAGCTGAAACACCCATTCCTGGGCTCACAAGCAAAGGAAGGCCCAGATCCAAGAGAGTCCTCTGAGCACACACCCAAACAAGGATAAAGACCCAGAAATAAAGGCCCAGGAGTAAAAAGTGGACCAAGACAGTACGGCAGCATGATTAGGAAAGCAAACACTTACCATTCCCTTGGGGAAGCTCCATTTCCCCAGTCGTAAAGTGAAGATATTAAGGCCTCTCACGGGGTTATTATGAGCATAAAATGGAATGACATGTGTTAACACTTTAGAGCCTATAAAACACCGCACAAATACTAGATAACATTAAACTGCTTTGGAGTTGTGGAACATACCATCTGCTCCTTCATGTCTGCTCCCCAGATAATGTGGCATCAAAGGGAATCCTCAGCCAACCCAAACTCACCTGAATGAGCCTTGCTTTGTCAAATGGGCTGTAGTTTTGGGAGGAAGGAGAGGGAGGGAAAGGGCACAGGCGATAAGCTGGACCTGTGCAGGTGTCCTGCTGGCCTAGGTTCTCCTGCTCTCCTTTGAAGTTCAGAAAAGTCCTGTTTCCAGCAATCACTTATTGATCCTTGTGTTTGCTAATTAATGCCAGATCTTCAGCAAGACTGGGTTTGGTGTAAAAATAGTTCAGTATCTTGTTAGTAATAAACTGTTTTAATTAGCGAGGCATGGTGTGGGACACCTGTAATCCCAGCTACTCAGGAGGCTGAGGGAGGAGAATCGCTTGAACCCAGGAGGTGGAGGTTGCAGTAAGCCAAGATGGTGCCACTGCACTCCAGCCTCAGTCACAGAGCAAGACTCTGTCTCAAAAAAAAAAAAAAATTTTTTTTAATGTTTTGACTGTATCAGGAGCGGTGACTCACGCCTGTAATCCCAACACTTTGGAAGGCTGAGGCAGGTGGATCAAAAGGTCAGGAGTTCAAGACCAACCTCTCCAAGATGGTGAAACCCCATCTCTATTAAAAATAAAAAAAAATTAGACGGGCATGCTGACGTGCATCTGTAATCTCAGCTACTCGGGAGGCTGAGGCAGAGAATTGCTCGAACCTGGGAGGTGGAGGTTGCAGTGAGCCAAGATCGCGCCATTGCACTCCAGCCTGGGCGACAGAGCAAGACTCCATCTCAAAAGAAAAAAGGGCCGGACGCAGTAGCTCACACCTGTAATCCCAGCACTTTGGGAGGCCAAGGCAGGTGGATCACGAGGTCAGGAGTTTGAGACCAGCCTGGCCAATATGGTGAAACCCCATCTCTACTAAAAATACGAAAAAAATTAGCTGGGTGTGGTGATGAGCGCCTGTAGTCCCAGCTACTCGGGAGGCTGAGGCAGAAGAATCCTTGAACCCGGGAGGCAAAGGTTGCAGTGAGCCGAGATCGTGCCACTGCACTCCAGCCTGGGCAACAGAGGGAGACTCCATCTCAAACAGAAAAAAAAACAAAAATGTTTTGACTGCAGTTCAAAAATTGTTTCAAAACTTTGTTGCAATTTTAAAAATATTTCTCAAAATTAAAATGTTTGGAAGACTGCCCAAACAATATAAACAAATTCAATTGAAACATGCATTTAACTTTTATAAACTTATATTTATGACTCAACGACAAAAAAGCAAGCAACCCAATTAAAAATTTGGGCAAAGTAGGACTTACAGTATGATGTTGGGAAAAAAAACTGGACAAAGGACTTGGATAGACATTTCTTCAAAGAAGGTATACGAATGGGCAACAAGCACATGAAAAGATATTCAACACCACTCATCATTAGGGAAATGCAAATCAAAACTACAGTGAAAGGCCGGGCGCGGTGGCTCACGCCTGTAATCCCAGCACTTTGGGAGGCCGAGGTGGGCGGATCACGAGGTCAGGAGATCGAGACCATCCCGGCTAAAACGGTGAAACCCCGTCTCTACTAAAAATACAAAAAATTAGCCGGGCGTAGTGGCGGGCGCCTGTAGTCCCAGCTACTTGGGAGGCTGAGGCAGGAGAATGGCGTGAACCCGGGAGGCGGAGCTTGCAGTGAGCCGAGATCGCGCCACTGCACTCCAGCCTGGGCGACAGAGCGAGACTCCGTCTCAAAAAAAAAAAAAAAAAAAAAAAACTACAGTGAAATACCACTTCACACCCTTTAGTATGGTTATTACCACGGGGACCGAGGGAGGTGAACAGAAAACAAGAAATGTTGATATGAATGGGCCGGGCACGATGGCTCATGCCTGTAATCCCAACACTTTAGGAGGCCGAAGTGGGTGGATCACTTGAGGTCAGGAGTTCGAGACCAGCCTGGCCAATATGTTGAAACCCCGTCTCTACTAAAAACACACAAAAATGTGCTGGGTATGGTGGTGTGCACCTGTAATCTCAGCTACTCGGGAGTCTGAGGCAGAAGAATCGCTTGAACCCAGGAGGCAGAGGTTGCAGTGAGCCAAGATCACACCATTGCACTCCAGCCTGTGCGACAAGAGCAAAACTCCATCTCAAAAAAAAAAAAAAAAAAGAAATGTTGGTATGAAGGTAGAGAAATTGGAACCCTTATGAATTGCTGGTGGGAATGTAAAATGGTGCAACCTCTGCAGAAAACAATATGGCAGGTCCTCAAAAAAGTAAACAGAATTCAGCTGGGCACAATGGCCCATGCCCATAATTCCAGCTCTTTGGGAGGCCAATGCAAGAGACTCGTTTGAGGTCAGGAGTTGGAGTCCAGCCTGGGAAATGTAGTGGGATCCCTATTACTATTTTAAAACATTTTTTTAAGAAAAAAATTAGCCAGGTGTGGTGGCACATGCCTATAGTCCTAGCTACTCAGGAGCCTGAGGGTGGAAGGATCACCTGAGCCCAGGAGCTTTAGGTTACAGTGAGCTCTGATGGTGCCACTGCACTCCAGGTTGAGCAACAGAACAAGACCCTGTCCCAAAAACAAAAATAATAATAATAAACAGAATTACCACATCATCCAGCAATCCTACTTTTGGGTATATACTAAAAGAATTAAAAGCAAGGGCTTTCAATTTTACAGATATTTGTACACCCATGTTCATAGCAGCATTTTCCACAATAGCCAAAAAGTATAAACAACCCAAACGTTCAACAACAGATGAATGGATAACAAAACATGGTATTAGGAGTCTCTCTGAACATATTCTGGTTCTGGAGGCTGCTTGATTCACAAATTACAGAAAATAAATATAAATATAAATATGCTTTTTTAAAGAGATGGGGTTCCGCCATGTTGCCCAGGCCAGCCTCAAACTCCTGAGATCAAGCAATCTGCCAGCCTCAGGCTCCCAAAGTGCTGGGATTACAGGCGTATGCCAATATGCCCAACCAAAAATAATTTTTTTTAAATGTGGCATGTACAGCCAATGAAGGAAGGAAAGTCTGACAGATGGTACAACATGAATGAACCTTGAAGATTATGCTAAGTGAAATAAGTCAGAAACAAAAAGATAAATACTGAATGATTCCACTTATAGGAGGTACCTATAAAAATCAAATACACAAAGACAGAAAGTAGAACAGTGATTACCAGGGGCTGGAATTGGCAGGCAGGAATGGGGAGGCGTGGGGTTTTTCTTCAATTTCAACGGCTTTAGAGGTACAAGTGGTTTTTTATTACAGGGATGAATTGTACAGTGGTGAAGTCTGGGATTTTAATGTACCCATCACCTGAGTAGTGTACATTGTACCCAATAGGTGGTTTTTCATCCCTCACCCCCTCTCACTCTCTACACTTCTGAGTCTCCAATGTCCATTATACCCCTCTGTATGCTTTTGTGTACCCATGGCTTGGCTCCCACTCATAAGTGAGAACATGCACTATTTGGTTTTCGATTCCTGAGTTATTTCACTTACAATAATGGCATCTAGCCCCCTCCAAGTTGCTGCAAAAGACATTGTTTTATTCTATTTTATGGCTGAGTGGTATTCCACGGTGTATATGTATATATGTTATATACATATACCATATTTTCTTTTTTTTTCGCTTTTTGAAACAGAGTTTTGCTCTTGTCACCCAGGCTGGAGTGCAATGGCATGATCTTGGCTCACTGCAACCTCCACCTCCCAGATTCAAGCGATTCTCCTGCTTCAGCCTCCCGAGTAGCTGGGACTACAGGTGTCTGCCACCACGCCTGGCTAATTTTTGTATTTTTGGTAGAGATGGGATTTCACCATGTTGGTCAGGCTGGTCTCATACTCCTGATCTCAGGTGATCCACCCACCTCAGCCTCCCAAAGTGCTGGGATTACAGGCGTGAGCCACTGCGCCCGGCCCATATACCATATTTTCTTTATCCATTCATCAGTTGATGGGCACTTAGGTTAATTCCATGTCTTTGCAATTTTGAATTGTGCAATAAGCATACACGTGCAGATGTCTTTTTGATAGCATGACTTCTTTTCCTTTGGGTAGATACCTAGTAATGGGACTGTTGGAGAAATAGGAGGTTATTGATTAAAGGCTATAGTATGATTGGAAGTAAAATACACCCAGTTTTTCAAAAAATAGGTATAGTATGAGATGATGAAAAGCTCTGGAGATAAATAGTGGTAATTATTGCTCAACAATGTAAATGTACTCAATGCCATAGAACTCTATACTTTTTTTTTTTTTTTTTTTTTGAGACAGAGTCTCAGTCTGTCACCCAGGCTGGAGTGCACTGGTGTGATCTTGGCTCACTGCAACTTCTGCCTCCCAGATTCAAGCGACAGAACTCTACACTTAAGACACTTAAAACAGTGGCTCATGTCTGTAATCCCAGTACTTTGGGAGGCTGAGGCAGGTGGATCACTTGAAGCCAGGAGTTCAAGACCAGCCTGGCCAACATGGCAAGACCCTGTCTGTACTAAAATACAAAAATTAGCCAGGCGTGGTGGCGCATGCCTGCAATCCCAGCTACTTGGAAGGCTGAGGCACGAGAATCGCTTGAACCCAGGAGGCAGAGGTTGCACTGCACTGAGATCATGCCACTGCACTCCAGCCTGGGCAACAGAGTGAGACTCTACCAAAAAAAAAAAAAAAAAAAACAAAACCTCTACACTTAAATATGGCAATGATAATAAATTTTGTTATGTATTTTTTACCACAATAAAAAGTTCTTATTGAAAATAATTTATGTTTGGCTGGGCGCAGTGGCTCATGCCTGTAATCTCAGCACTTTGGGAAGCTGAGGCAGGCAGATCACCTGAGGTTAGGAGTTCGAGACCAGCCTGGCCAACATGGTGAAACCCTGTCTCTACTAAAAATACAAAAAAAACTAGCTGGGCATGGTGGTGGGTGCCTGTAATCCCAGCTACTTGGGAAGCTGAAGCAGGAGAATTGCTTGAACTCGGGCAGCAGAGGTTTCAGTGAGCTGAGATCACACCATTGCGCTCCAACCTGGGCAAAAAGAGTGAAACTCCGTTTCAAAAAATAAATAAATAAATAATGAAAATAATTTATGTTTATGATTATGTATTTTTTTAAACAGGGTCTTTCCTGTCACCCAGTCTGGAGTACAGTGGTGCGAATATGGTTCACTGCAGCTTCAACCTCCCAGGCTCAAGTGATCCTTCCACCTCAGTCTCAGCCTCCCAAGTAGCTAGGACTACAAGCATGCACCACCATACCTGGCTAATTTTTTTTTTTTCTGTAGACAGAGAACCTCACTGTGTTGCCTAGGCTAGAATTTTGCATTTCTGATGACCAGATGGTCCCACCTGGACTCATGACTCTTGACTCAACTGGTCCTATAGCCCCCACCCAGAAGCAGACTCAGTGCATGAACCATTTTCCACATGGCATCCCCAACCAATCAGCAGCACCCACCCATACCCTAGCCCCTGCCCACCAAACTACCTTTGAAAAACCCGCCAGGCGCGGTGGCTCACGCCTGTAATCCCAGCACTTTGGGAGGCTGAGGCGGGTGGATCATGAGGTCAGGAGATCGAGACCATCCTGGCTAACACGGTGAAACCCAGTCTCTACAAAAAATACAAAAAATTAGCCGGGCATGGTGGTGGGCGCCTGTAGTCCCAGCTACTCGGGAGGCTGAGGCAGGAGAATGGCATGAACCTGGGAGGCAGGGCCTGCAGTGAACCGAGATCGCGCCACTGCACTCCAGCCTGGGCGACAGAGGGAGACTCCATCTCAAAAAAAAAAAAAAAAAAGAAAGAAAGAAAAAGAAAAACCTTAGCCTCCAAATTTTGGGGGAGATTGATGTGAGTAATAACTCCATCTCCCATGTGGCATGGCCGGCTTTGTATCAATTAAACTCTTTCTTTACTGCAATGCTGTGGTCCCAGTGAATTGATTTTGTCTGTGCAGTGGACAGGATGAACCCACTGAATGATTATGTAGTCAGGAAATTTTCATCAAAGGTACAGGTGCTCCTCAACTTACCATGGGGCTCCATCCCAATAAAGCCATTGGAAGTTGAAAATATTGTAAGTCAGCTGGGCGCGGTGGCTCATGCCTGTAATCCCAGCACTTTGGGAGGCCAAGGTGAGTGGATCACCTGAGGTCGGGAGTTCGAGACCAGCCTGACTAACATGGAGAAACCCCATCTCTACTAAAAATGCAAAATTAGCCGGGCATGGTGGCACATGCCTGTAATCCCAGCTACTTGGGAGGTTGAGGCAGGAGAATCGCTTGAACCTGGGAGGTGGAGGTTGCGGTGAGCCAAGATCACACCATTGCACTCCAGCCTGGGCAAGAAGAGCGAAACTCCATCTCAAAAAAAAAAAAAAAAAAAAATTACGAGTCAAAGGAGTGTTTTAGACTTATGATATTTTCAACTTATAATGAGTTTATTTAAACAGAGCTCCACTGTAAGTCCAGGAATATTCTGAATTCATGTTGCTTTCAGAACATCATAAAGTCAAAAAATCATAGGTTGAACCACTGGAGACATCTGTAATATAAATCTATGTCAACCCACCATAGACAAAAATGGCACAATTAATTAGCTATGTAACTGAGCATTCTGGTGATAAAGTCAGGGTGTGATGGGATAAGTACAAGACTCAGATGAGATCATCAGGCCCCTCCATCTCCAGCTCTTCTTTTTGCGTATCTTGTCCATTCTTTACTTCTGCAGGCAGGCTGTCTCCAGGTGGCAGAGAAGATACACCTGGATGCACTCCTCACTCTATGAAAAGGGGCTTGGCCAGGGACACTAGAGCAGTGCCCTCTAAAGCACAGGACCCAAATCAGGTGCCCTTTTTGTCTGGGCCTAAGAATAGTACTACCACTGGCTGGGTGCAGTGTCTCACGCCTGTAATCCCAGCACTTTGGGAGGCCGAAGTGGGAGAATCACGAGGTCAGGAGATTGAGACCATCCTGGCTAACACGGTGAAACCCCGTCTCTACTAAAAATACAAAAAAAATTTAGCCTGGTGTGGTGGCGGGCTCCTGTAGTCCCAGCTACTCAGGAGGCTGAGGCAGGAGAAAGGCGTGAACCCAGGAGGCAGAGCTTGCAGTGAGCCGAGATTGCGCCACTGCACGCCAGCCTGGGCCACAGAGCAAGACCGTCTCAAAAAAAAAAAAAAAAAAAAGAATAGTACTGACCACCAGTTCAAGCTATGAGTTGGAAGGCTCAGGTTCAAATCCTGTTGGTTCTGCTTCCCACATATCACTTAAAGTCTTAAACCTTCCCCTCTTGGCTGGGCTCGGTGGCTCACGCCTGTAATCCCAGCACTTTGGGAGGGCGAGGTGGGCGGACCACTTGAGGTCAAGAGATAGAGACCATCCTGGCCAACATGGTGAAACCCCGTCTCTATTAAAAATATAAAAAATTAGCTGGGCATGGTGGCACATGCCTGTAGTCCCAGCTACTCAGGAGACTGAGACAGGAGAATCGCTTGAACCCGGGTGGTGGAGGTTGCAGTGAGCCAAGATCCCGCCACTGCACTCAGTTCACTGCAACCTCTGACTCCCTGGTTCAAGCGATTCTCTTGCCTCAGCCTCCTGAGTAGATGGGACTACAGGCACGCGCCACCACACCCAGGGAATTTTTGTATTTTTAGTAGAGACCCTGTGTCACCATGTTGGCCAGGATGGTCTCGATCCCCTGACCACGTGATCCAACCACTTCGGCTTCCCTCAGTGCTGGTATTACAGGCATGAGCCAGGGCACCTGGCCAAGTTGTGTTAAAATATAGGTTTTTATGATAATTTAGGTATGGAAAGATAAATAGATCAGGAGACAACTGCAGTTTGAAAGATAGAGTGTCATACTCACAGTTCCCAAGGGAAGGGGCCATGCCACGCAAATGGCAGGAGGCAGAGCTACATGGGAAACACCGGGGTGAGTCAGGAGGCAGTGAAAGCAAGGGGGGAAAGTGGGCTAGAGCCTTTATTGTGGTTTTCACAAGAAGAAAGGAATAGGCAAGGGAGGGTGAGCAAGTTTAGGCCTGGCTAGTTTGAATAATTTCATCAGGCTCTGGGGCACAGGGGCTGTCCCTCGTTGTCTGGTATCTGGCACTGGATGATTAGGGCAGATGCATAGCAACCCAGAATACGAGCCTCGCTGGAGGAGTTGGTTGCATGGGCTCTGGATTGGTCGTTTTGCATATGAAAGGCATGCTCACAGGCAAGTTGTTTGCTATCTCTAAGAATCAGCCAAACCTAGGAGAGATTGTCTGTCCAGGGTCAGCAAGGTTTAAGGTGAAGATGTCAAAGTATCAGAAAATAAAAGGAATGGCTAATACAGCCTCACCCCCATAGACTGAGGTAGACACACCCTAAATATATTTCCATCACCAGATTTATTAAACTCCATTGTAAGAATTGTTTTGTTGGTCTTTTCCTGTTGGACTTAATTCTGCTGGATAGGGATTTTGTCTCCTTCATCTTTGTGCTCTCAGTTCAGAGTACAGTGTCTAGCCCAGAGCTTCTGAGCTCATGTATCATAGCACCCTGGTATGGCATAAACAGGTTACAGGTGTCCCGGGAGATGCTGATGATTGTAAATTTTTTATAGTGATACAGAATCTAAAATTGTGTTTTCATAGGCATTTAGATTTTTACTCCAGTTAAAATTATATTTAAACATTATTTGTGTGGCTCTTTCTGTATACTTAAATTCAGTTCTTATTATCTTGGCAAAAGACTTTAGGCATAACACCCACCATCCGAGAGTGTTCTCTATGGGCTACACCAAAGAGCATGTGCCCTGGAAATACCAGGCAAAGAGTATCCTCCTGTGTGTCCCATGATGCAAAGGCTTGGGAGCTCTAGTCTAGCAGGATTCAAAAAAGGGATGTTAATTAAATCAAATAAGATTGCATAAATGAATTGATGAGTGTAATCAAAGTACTTGTTTTGCCTCTTACATACTGCAAAACACTAGCCTCTCTAACCCTTGACTTTCAAGCTACAAAGAGAGAATAATGCTTATCTTATAGGACTATGAAGATAAACAAGGAATGTTATAAGTGAAAATTTAGATAAAAAGCATTATGCAAATCTAATTATTACCACATTTGGCGTGAACCTACTGATAATTCTTCAACTTTGCCAGTCTGCCATAGATCCTGCTCTCATTAGCAAATTATTCTTCAAACTCTTTTCTACCTCAAATCCCTCTTCAAATTAAAAAAAACTTCGCGGCATCCCTTTGCCTACTCAGCCACAAGAACCTTCAACTACCTGGCTGCAACTTCCCTCTGTTCTCTGTGACAGGTCCTGGGGAGAATCCAGGGCCAACCTGGCAGGTACACCAACCACCAGGGGTGTAAAGTCCCAGGACCAAGCTGTATTAGGCAAAAGTTCACCCAGAGAAGTCGGAAGCAACAGTATAAAGGGGCAACAGATGAGGCAAGGAGCCAAACTGTAGAGCTGTAGGAGCATCAATGTCAGGGTTAGAGGCAAAGTAAGGACATAAGTCATGTGTTTTCATCAAGATGGGCTCTGTGCAGCCGGGCACGATGGCTCACACCTGTTATCCTAGCACTTTGGGAGGCCGGGGCAAGTGGATCACCTGATGTCGGGAGTTCGAGACCAGCCTGACCAATATAGAGAAACCCGTCTCATCTAAAAATACAAAATTAGCTGGGCATGGTGGCGCATGCCTGTAATCCCAGCTACTCAGGAGGCTGAGGCAGGAGAAGCGCTTGAACCCAGGAGGCAGAGGTTGTGGTGAGGCAAGATTGCGCCATTGCACTCCAGCCTGGGCAACAAGAGTGAAACTCAGTCTCAAAAAAAAAAAATGGGCTCTGTGATGCTGCCCTAGCCAACAACTTCAAAACTCCAGTAGCTTAACATAACAGAGGTTTATTGGTTGCTTATGCAAACTCTGCTGCCCGTCTGAGTGACTCCCAGGGTAACTATCTCCCATGGAGCAGCTCAGTAACTTTACCATCAAACCTTTTTGATTTCAGAAGGAGATAATAGATCTGGAAGATTGTGCAGGCCTTTTTTTTTTTTTTTTTTTTTTTTGCTTCAGCTTGGAAATGAAATATGTCGCTTTTGCTCACAGCCCCTTGTCCAAAACTAGTGAAAGTCCCTGCCTAATTGCAGGAGGAAAGGTAAATGTGGATGTAGTAGACAGAATCCAAAGATGTCACCCACAATCTCTCCCCTCCCTATACACACATAACACTCCTCCCTCGCATCGAGAAGAATCCTGGCCAGTGCCCTAGCTCACGTCTGTAATCCCAACACTTTTGGAGGCTGAGGTGAAAGAATTGATTGAGGACAGGAGTTCAAGACCAACCTGAGCAACATAGTGAGACCCTGACTCTACAAAAAATAAAAATAAACATTAACTGGGCATGGTGGTGCATGCCGGTAGTTCCAGGTACTCAAGAAGCTAAGGCAGGAGGATTGCTTGAGCCCAGGTGGTTGAGGCTGTAGCCTGAGTGACAGAGTGAGACCTTCTCTTTAAAAAAAAAAAAAAAAAAAAAATTAAAGAAATGGAGTCCATGCTGGGTGTGGTGGTTCACGCCTGTAATCCCAGAACTTTGGGAGTCCGAGGCAGGTGGATCCCCTGAGGTCAGGAGTTTGAGACCAGCCTGGCCAACATGGCAAAATCCTGTCTCTATTAAAAATACAAAAATTAGCCAGGCCTGGTGACAGGCGCCTGTAATCCCAGCTATTTGGGAGGCTGGGGCAGGAGAATCGCTTGAACCCAGGAGGTGGAGGTTGCAGCGAGCTGAGATCCTGCCATTGCAATCCAGCCTGGGCAACAAGAGTGAGACTCCATCTCAAAAAGGAAAAGAAGTGGAGTCCTTTTCCCTCTCCCTAAATATGGGCTGACATTGTGATCTTCTTTGACCAATAGAATGTCATGGCAATAATGAAGGTGCAGTTTAGCCCATAAGAAGTGGTACCTTCTGTTTGGCTCTCTTGGAACCCAGCCTCCATGTTGTAAGGAAGTCCAAGGTATATTGCTGAAAAAAGAGGGGCCATGTAATGAGGCCCTGGAGGATGAGACACCGTATGGACAGAGGCATGTGGTGGAGAGCTGAGGAACCCCCGCCCAGTTTCCAGCTGAATGCAGCCACATGAGTGACCCCAGCTGAGAATGTGTGTTAGTCAATATACAGAATCTGGAGAAATAACACACATGTCCATCAACCGATGAACAGATACATAAAATACGGCAAATCTATATAATTATTATTTGGAAATTAAGCACTGATACATGCTACAAAACAGACTAAACACTCATGTGAAAGTCCAGAATAGACAAATAGACAAATCATAGAGACAGAAAGTAAGAAGATTAGTAGTTGCCTAGGACTATGGTGGAGAGAAGAGAAATGGAGCGTGACAGCTAATGGGGAGGTGGTTTCTGTTTAGGGTGATGAAAATGTTCTAAAATTGATTGTGGTAATGGTCACACAACTCTGTAAATACACTTAAAAGCATTCAATTGTAACTTACAATGGGTGCTTTATATGGTATGGGAATTATATCCCAATAGTATTTTTTTTTAATCAAGGTAAACAATATACCCTCAGAACTCTTAGAAAAAATTATCCTAAACTTGGAAAAAAGGCAAAGGGATAAATGAATGTTGTTTCAATGTCGTACAGAAGTGTGGTCCCAGAGACGCCCACGGATTATGGAATTCTCTAGTTCTACACTGTCTGATTCTGTAGTCACAAGCCACTTGTGATTATTGAGCACGTGAAATGTGGATAAGGCACCAAATATTTTATTTTAAGAACCAATACTCTGTTCAGTTATTGGAAAAGTTTTAAGTATGTTTTTACTTTTATTTGGAACAACTTTTTCAACTGTAAATTTTATGAAACCTAAATGTAGATCAATTATTGAAGCAGTCCCGTTCGTCTGGGGTAATACCCGAGGATTGTTGCCTCATGCCAAGGAGATCAAGGACACGGACACGTGTGGAGTGAGCTTAAGAGTAGAGGTTTAATAGGCGGAAGAAAGAGAAAAGAGAATGGGTCTTGGGGCGCCTGGCTGGGTCTTCTGGTTTCCTGGAGAAATGCACAGGTTTTACAGACGAGCTTGAGGAGGAGGGCCCAAAGATTGGTTGGACCAGGTGTGATGTTTACATAGCCCCGGAAGAGCTGGCCAAGCCATCCTAATCTTTTTTTTGGAGACGGAGTTTCCCTCTTGCTGCCCAGGCTGGAGTGCAATGGCGCAATCTCAGCTCACTGCAACCTCTGCCTCCAGAGTTCAAGCAATTCTCCTGCCTCATCCTCCCGAGTAGCTAGGATTACAGGCTTGCGCCACAACACCCAGCTAATTTTGTATTTTTAGTAGAGACTGGGTTTCTCCATGTTGGTCAGGCTGGTCTCGAACTCCTGACCTCAGGTGATCCGCCCGCCTCAGCCTCCCAAAGTGCTGGGATTACAGGCGTGAGCCACCGCGCCCAGCCTCACCCTAACATTTTTATTATGCAAATGGATTTTCTACCTGGCCGGTGCCATGTTGTCTGCTCCTTATCGTACACGTTGTTGACAAGAAAAGGGAAGATGGAGCCTCCATGTTGAACAAGCCTGGCCCCCAGGTAGCCTTTTCCTATTGGCACAGCTGCCAACATTCACCCGTGCAAGCTTCCAGCTTGCTTATCTGTGTCTGCAGCTCGATTTTACAGGCGGCTCTTTGTTCGTAAAGAAATGATTTAGAGGCTGCTTTTAATTAAAAGGAACCCTTATCCAGGACTTCCTTACCCTCACTATCGGCCTGAATAATTTCTTTTCAACTCCTATATCACTATTTCTGATGGAAGTTTAGGATACAAATTTAGATGAGCTGTGAGTGTTAAATATACACTGGATTTTGAAGACTTAGAAAAAAAGGAATGCTGTGATATAAACTTAATATGTTTATATGTATATTTAAGTATATATATATATATACATATATATATACACATATATATATATACATATATATATACACATATATATATACATATATATATATATATATATATATATACATATATATATATTTTTTTTTTTTTGAGACACGGTCTCGCTCTGTCACTCGGGCTACAGTGCAGCTCTGTCTCAGCTCACTGCAGCCTGGACCTCCCAGGCTCAAGCAATCCTCCTACCTCAGCCTCCAAAGTAACTGGGATTACAGGCACTTACCACCACGCCTGGCTAATTTTTGTATTTTTAGTAGAGACGGCGTTTCAGCATGTCGCCCAGGCTAGTCTCAAACTCCTGACCTCAATCGATGCACCCACCTCAGCCTCCCAAAGTGCTGGGATTACAGGCATGAGCCACCACGCCCAGCCTTAAGGTATATATTTTTTATTTGCTATTTACTATTAATTATGGCCTACACTCTGAAATTGCATATTAACTTGTAAATTTTAACCTAATAGAAATACAAATAGTTGGGGCGAGTGCGGTGGCTCACACCTGTAACCCCAGCACTTTGGGAGGCCAAGGCAGGCAGATCGCTTCAGGTCCAGAGTTTGAGACCAGCCTGGGCAACATAGTGAAACTCATCTCTAATAAAAAATATATTAAAAAATAGTTAGGCATGGCAGTGTGTACCTGTGGTTCCAGCTACTCGAGAGGCTGAGGTAGAAGAATCACTTCAGCCTGGGAGCAGAGGTTGCAGAGAGCTGAGATCACACCACTGCACTCTAGCCTGGTGACAGGGCGACTCCATCTGAAAAAAAAAAAAAAAAAAAGGCTGGGCGCGGTGGCTCATGCCTGTAATCCCTGCACTTTGGGAGGCTGAGGTGGGCGGATCACCGAGGTCAGGAGCTCAAGACCAGCCTGGCCAACATGGTGAAACCTCGTCTCTACTAAAAATACAAAACTTAGCCAAGCATGGTGGCAGGCACCTGTAATCCCAGCTACTCAGGAGGGTGAGACAGGAGAATAGCTTGAATCCAGGAGGCGGGGGTTGCAGTGAGCCGAGATCGCACCATTGCACTCCAGCCTGGGGGACAAGAGGAAGACTTTGTCTCAAAAAAAAAAAAAAAGTGTAAGTTTCCCCTTAAGTAAGAGAAATTTACATTTGAAAAGAAAATTTCCAGCCAGCTGTGGTGGCTCAAGCCTGTAATCCCAGCACTTTGGGAGGCCAAGGCAGGAGGATCGCTTAAGGCCAGGAGTTCAAGACTAGACCCTGGGCAAGAAAAGAAATGTCCATTAATAAAAGTATCTGTATCAGGAAGAGAGCTAATCTGACACAACTTTAATCACCTGAGAGACTTCTATCTGCATAATCAAGCAACTTTTACTCACCATACATTTCCTCTCCTCACCCTCCTATAATTTGCCTCCACCACCCTATAGAAGCCCCAAGCCCGTATATCTTTCTGTAGCTCAGGATGGCATGTAAACCTCAATCATCTGGCTACTTTGAATCTCTTTTTATTTTATTTTATTTTTTTTGAGAAGGAGCCTTGCTCTGTTGCCCAGGCTGGAGTACAGTGGCAAGATCTTGGCTCACTGCAACCTCCACCTCCCAGGTTGAAGCAATTCTCCTGCCTCAGCCTCCAGAGTAGCTGGGGACTACAGGCATGTGCTGCCATGCTCAGCTAATTTTTTTCTATTATTTTTAGTAGAGATGGGGTTTCCCCATATTGGCCAGGCTGATCTCGAACTCCTGACCTCAAGTGATCCACCCGCCTCAGCCTCCCAAAGTGCTGGGATTACACAGGTGTGAGCCGCCGCGCCTGGCCTTTCATATTTTTGTCAGACTCCCACTTATATATATGTAACTAAGAGAGAAGATTATTTTTCCTCCCCTACGATTGTTTTTTTAGGCTGGGTGCCATGGCTCACAGGCGTATTTGTTCACGCCTGTAATCTCGGCACTTTGGGAGGCTGAGGAGGAGGGAGGATCGCTTCATCTCAGAAGTTCAAGGCCAGTCTGGGCAACATGCCAAAACTCCATCTCTACAAAAATACAAAACTTAGCCAGGCATCGTGGCACATACCTGTAGTCCCAGCTCCCTGGGAGGCTGAGGTGGGAGGATCACTTGAGCCCCGGGGGGTGAGGCTGCAGTGAGCCGAGATCCCACCACTGCACTCCAGCCTGGGCAAAGAGAGAGATGCTGTCTCGAAAAAAAAATAAATAAATAAGATTGTTTTTCTTCTGTTAATCTTATATTAGTTTAATTCTTAGACCAGCTACAGAATCTAGAGGGGTGAAGAAGGCATTTTTCCTTCCCTACACTTAGTTGACATTTCAGCATGCCATTTCTGACTATATAAACCTCTATTCTCAGGAGGAGATGAAAATCTCATGGAGGAGATGAAAATATGCCACCCCAAAATATGACTGTAGGACACCTGAGTATGCCACCCAAAACATGCCTTTTGGGCATAAGGATTATTTTGAGCTGATTATTTTGAGAACTGCAAACATAGAAGTTACCCTTTTGTATGTGAAATCTATATCTCAATAAAGGAAATCTTCCTTTGTAAGAATGATTCCTAAAGCAGAACTACTACATGACTCTCAACTGCATGAGACCAACCTAGTAGAAATGTGAGCTGCAGATTTTGACTTGGAAAAAAAGAACTTTAGGCCAGACAGTGGCTCATGCCTATGATTTCAGCACTTTGGGAGGCCAAGGTGGGAGGATTGCTTGAGCCGAAAAATTCCAGACCAGCCTAGGCAACATAGCTAGCGAGACTCCATCTCTACAAAAAACTAAAAAATTAGCCAGCTGTGGTAGCATGTGCCTGTACTACCAGCTACTCAGGAGGATGAGGTGGGAGGATCATCTGAGCCCTGAAGGTGCAGCAAGCCATGATTGCACCACTGAACTGCAGCCTGGGTAACAAAGCAAGATCCTGTCTCTCAAAAAAAAAAGAACTTTATAGTCCTTGAGAAAAGTACGACCCCAGGCTGGGTGTGTTGGCTCACGCCTATAATCCCAAAACTTTGGGAGGATGAGGCGGGTGAATTGCTTGAGCCCAGGAGTTCAAGACCAGCCTGGCCAACATGGTAAAACCCCGTCTCTACTAAAAATACCAAAAAAAAAAAAAAAAAAATTAGCCAGGCTTGGTGGTGGTCACCTGTAGTCCCAGCTACTCAGGAGGCTGAGGCAGGAGAATTGCTTGAACCCAGGAGGCTGAGGTTGCAGTGAGCTGAGATCGCACTGCTGCACTCCAGCGTGGGCAACAGAGCGAGACTCCGTCTCAAAAAAATAAATAAAAGAAAAAAGAAAAGAAAATTATGAGACCCAGTAGGTTCTGACTCCAAGACAAGATTCAGAAATCCAAAGGGGCACGAGACTGTCGGTAAAGTAAGACTGAGTTATGAGTAAAACTGTCAAGTATTAATGGAAATATGGAGTAATGCTTAGATTATATTTCCTATACAAATTAAAAGCATACTCAACCAGACTGGGCGCCATGGCTCAGGCCTATAATCCCAGCACTTTGGGAGGCCAAGACAGGCAGATCACCTGAGGTCAGGAGTTCAAGATCAGCCTGGCCAACATAGTGAAAACCATCTCTACTAAAAATACAAAAATTAGCCTGGCGTGGTGGCCCATGCCTGTAATCCCAGCTATTTGGGAGGCTGAGGCAGGAGAATTGCTTGAACCCAGGAGTCAGGGGTTGCAGTAAGCGGAGATGGGGCCACTGCACTCTCGCCTGGGAGACAGGGCAAAATTATGTCTCTAAATCAATTAATTAATTAAAATAAATAAAAGCATACTCAGCCAGGCAGTGGGATTACTCCTGTAATCCCAGCATTTTGGGAGGCTGAGGCAGGATTGTTTGAGCCCAGGAATTTGAGACTGGCCTGGACAACATAGTGAGACCCTGTCTCTATTTTTTTGAGAAATTAAAAAAAAAAATTAAAAGTCTATTCAATAGGCATCATCCTTAAGTACAGCTGTATCAGTTCGTAACACAACCACAGACTGAGTGGCTTAAATAACAGAAATTTATTGTCTCACAGTTCTGGGGGCTAGAAATCCAAGATCAAGGTGTCAGCATGTTTGGTTTCTTCTGAGGCCTCTCTCCTTGGCCTGCAGATGGCCATCCTCTTGCTATTCCTCATGCAGTCGACCCTTGGTCTGTATTAGTGTCTTAATCTCTTATAAGAACACCAGTCACATTGGATTCGAGCCCACCCTAATGACCTCATTTAACCTTAATAACCTCTTTAAAGGCCCCATGTCCAAATACAGTCACACTCTCAAAGGTACTGAAGGTTAGAACTTGAACCTAAGGGTTTGAGGGGACAAAATTCAGCCCAAAACACCAGTGTTAGTGATAATATTTGTTACAATTTTTGACATTAAAGTGTAAAAGTCTCCTGGAGGGATCCTATTGGGAAAATCATGTTCCAAATAAGCACAAAATAATTAGAGGGAAAAAGCCCTCTTTACACTGCCTCCCAAAAGACATTGAAAGGGGATAAATCCTTAATCTCAGTAATACTTTTTTTTATTTTTCTTATTTTTTTGAGACGGAGTCTCACATTGTCGCCCAGGCTGGAGTGCAGTGGCCGATCTCGGCTCACTGCAAACTCCGCCTCCCAGGTTCACGCCATTCTCCTGCCTCAGCCGCCCGCCACCTTGCCCGGTTAATTTTTTTGTATTTTTAGTAGAGACGGGGTTTCACTGTGGTAGCCAGGATGGTCTCGATCCCCTGACCTCGTGATCCCCCCGCCTCGGCCTCCCAAAGTGCTAGGATTACAGGCGTGAGCCACCGCGCCCAGCCAGTAATACTTTTTATAATCCCCTTTCTCTTCTCCCTCATTTTCTCCAATCCCGCTCCCCTAACCCACAGAATCCAGTTGCGCACCCTAGTTCCCAGGGCGGGTCCCCAGCCCTCGGCTCTTTGCAATGTAAATTAAGTCAGCTTCCCCGTAAATACCTTGCGCTGGCCTCTCCCAGGCTTTTCAGTTCTGCCCTTTCTATAATTCTGCATCACAAAAGTTCAGAACCAGTCTGGCCAGGATCTACTCTCCCAGAGATGGGAAGTGGGACGCAGTCGCTGCAAGGTATCAGAAATGGGGTCGGGACAGGAGGCGCAGCTTGCAGTGAGCCGAGATAGCGCCACTGCACTCCAGCCTGGGCGAAAAAGCGAGACTCCATTTCAAAAAAAAGAAAAGAAAAGAAAAAAAAAGAAATGGGGTCGGGAAGCCTGGAGGAGGGGACGCGGCGGCGCCCCTGCACTCACCCACACCTCCAAACCCTGCGCAGGGAACATCCCCGCGCGTCCCCGCTGCCCCGCTTCAAGCCTAGCGCATGGCTCCTCCCCGTGCCTTGAAGATGCCACGGGGCTGAGCCACCTTGCACAAAAAGATTTGGAACCCACACCTTCTTAGAATCAAGGCCTGGGGATTAAAGCCCCTCCACGATTAGGTCTTCCGCCCCAAGGGAGAGCAAGAAGACGAGCGGCCACTCGGTGTCCCCCTGAGCCGTATCCAGGGCCACTCGGGGCTCAGCCAGACCGCGAGGTCTTGGTGTTCGTTCCTCCCTAACTTGGCCGTGGGGCGGCACAGCAGGCTTCCTGGCCCCAGCGCTTCCCCTTAGGGCCAGATTGGCCTCCGAGTGTAGCAGGACTAGCCACAGACAAAACTCCTCAGACACCGAGTTAAAGAAGGAAGGGGTTTATTCAGCGAGGGCCATTGGCAAGACTCCTGTCTCAAGAGCCGAGATCCCCAAGTGAGCAATTCCTGTCCTTTTTAAGGGCTCACAACTCTAAGGGGGTGCGTGTGAGAGGGTGGTGATTGATTGAGCAAGCAGGGGGTACATGACCGGGGGCTGCACGCACTGGTAATTAGATCAGAACAAAACAGGATAGCGATTTTCACAATGCATTTCTATACAATGTCTGTAATCTATAGATAACATAACCGATTAGGTCAGGGGTCGATCTTTAACTACCAGGCCCAGGGTGCGGCCTGGGCTGTCGGCCTGTGGATTTCATTTCTGCCTTTTAGTTTTTACTTCTTTTTTTTGGAGGCAGAAATTGGGCATAAGACGATATGAGGGGTGGTCTCCTCCCTTAGGAGGAAGCGAATTAGCTGACGTAGTCTCCAGCCAGAGGCTCGGCTAGCTCCGTGAGAAGCGATCCCCGTGGGATCTTAAGAACACCCTCGAGGCCGGGCGTGGTGGCACGCCCCTGTAATCCCAGCACTTTGGGAGGCCGAGGCGGCGGATCACGAGATAGGAGATCGAGATCTGGCTAACATGGTGAAACCCCGTCTCTACTAAAAATACAAAAAATTAGCCGGGCGCGGGGGCACCCGCCTGTAGTCCCAGCTGGGAGGCTGAGGCAGGAGAATGGCGTGAACCCGGGAGGCGGAGGTTTCAGTGAGCCAACATCGCGCCACTGCACTTCAGCCTGGGCAACAGAGCGAGACTCCGTCTCAAAAAAATAAAAAAGAACGGCCTCGAATCTACTCGCAGGGACCTCAGGTATGGAAGTTTCTTCTGTCTTTTGGGAATCCAGCCAGGTCAGGCCTGAGTCCCAGATCCCAAAGACACCCACAACCCTGGGGTACCGGGGACAGTCTCAAGCTGAAGTAGAAAAGAATCTGCATTTCAATGCATTGTATACATCCTTCCAGGTTCCTTCTTTGAGGTACTGCATTTTAAGTCGTAGGTAATTGATAGTAAATTCTGTGACTTACCTAATTTGTATTACTTCCTTTCCCACGCCCCCAACGAATTTTTGCGTCCATTTGCATTTCAACATTATTTTACTCTCCGTATAAATTTGTGTTTTTTCTATTCTCCCTTGAATCGGTTATAACATTTACCTGGCTATCTCATACAAGTAAAATAAGGTCCTTCACCTGCGTTCATTTTTATATCGCTATATCACTTTTATTCATGATTTGACTTTTTTCTGAAAATTACTTTTTTAACAATGATTAGAGGCAGAATACGATTTTTTTTCCCTTTTTTTTTTTTTAATGTAGAGTGTCTCGCTCTATCGCCCGGTGGTGCAGTGCCAAAGATCATAACTCACGGCAGGCTCAAACTCCTGGGCTCCAGCGGGTCTCCCACTTCGGCCTACCAAAGTGCTGGGATTACAGTGCGAACCACGGCTCCAGGGACAATAACTGCAATATTAAAGTAACTGAAGCTTCAGGCCCCCGTCCAAGGTCCTGTACCCAATTTTGTATTTTTTCTTAAAGAGATCCTCAATCGGTGCCGGGCTCAGTGACTCACGCCTGTAATCCCAGCACTTGGGGAGGCCGAGGTGGGCAGATCACTTAAGGTCAGGAGTTCGAGACCAGCCTGGCCAACATGATGAAACCCTGTCTCTACTAAAAATACAAAAATTAGCTGGGCGTGGTGGCGCATGCCTGTAGTTCCAGCTACTCGAGAAGTAGACAGGAGAAGTGAGACAGGAGAATCACTTGAACCTGGGAGGCAGAGTTTGCAGTGAGTGGAGATCACACCACTGCACTCCAGCCTGTGCAACAGAGCTAGATGCTGTCTATATATATATTATATATATATTACATATATAAATAATATATATTATATATAATATATATTATATATAATATAAATAATATATATTATATATAATATATAAATAATATATAATATATAAATAATATATAATATATAATATATAAATAATATATAATATATAACATATAAATAATATATATAATATATAAATAATATATATAATATATAAATAATATATATAATATATAAAAATATATAATATATAATACATATATAAATAATATATTATATTATATATGATACATAATATATTATATATAATATATTATATGATACATAATATATTATATAGAATATATTATATGATACATAATATATTATATAGAATATATTATATGATACATAATATATTATATGATACATAATATATTATATATAATATATTATATGATACATAATATATTATATATAATATATTATATGATACATAATATATTATATATATAAATAAATCCTCAATCAAATGAACTTCAGGCCAGCCAAACCTGTCTTCTGCCCTGCTGCTGACTGCTAGCTCTGACAGCTTCCATTAGGTAGTTGAAAGATAATTTAAGGTATATTATTCTCACCACAAAGAAATAATATTTGCTGTGATGTATATGTTAATTAGCTTGATTTGATCATTCCACAATGTATACAAGTATCAACATATCACTTGTACCTCATAAATATATGCAATTAGTATTTGTCAATTAAAAATAAAAGTTGGCTGGCTGCGGTGGCTCACGCCTGTAATCCCAGCACTTTGGGAGGCAGAGGCGGGTAGATCACCTGAGGTCAGGAGTTCAAGACCAGCCTGGCCAACATGGAGAAACCCCATCTCTACTAAAAATACAAAAATTAGCTGGACGTGGTGATGTGCGCCTGTAGTCCCAGCTACTCGGGAGGCTGAGGCAGGAGAATTGCTTGAACCCAGGAGGCAGAGGTTGCAGTGAGCCAAGATCGCACCATTGCACTCCAGCCTAGGCAACAAGAGACTCCATCTCAAACAAATAAAAAAATAAAAAATAAAAGTTTCGGCTGGGCGTGGTGGCTCACACCTGTAATCCAGCACTTTGAGAGGCCAAGGCGGGTGGATCACCTGAGGTCAAGAGTTCGAGACCAGCCTGGCTAACATGGTGAAACCCCGTTTCTACTAAAAATACAAAAAATTAGCCAGGCGTGGTGGTGCACGCTTGTAGTCCCAGGTACTTGGGAGGCTGATGCAGGAGAACTGCTTGAACCCAGGAGGCAGAGGTTGCAGCAAGCCAAGATCACGCCATTGCACTCCAGCTTGGGCAACAAGAGCAAAACTCTGTCTCTTTTTATTATTACTTTTTTAATAATAATAATAATAAAAGTGTTATGCGTGTCCACATAAGAGACCACCTGAACAGGCTTAGTGTGAGCAACATGGCTGTTTATTCACTTGTGTGTGAGTGGGCTGAGTCCGAGAAAGGGGTCAGCAAAAGGTGGTGGGATTATCATTGGTTCTTATAGGTTTGGGATAGGCGGTGTAGTCAGGAGCAATTTTTTACAGGCAGGGGATGGATATTACAAAGTACATTCTCAAGGGTGGGGAGGATGTTACAAAGTACATTCACAAGGGCAGGGAGGGTGTATTGTCACAAGGGCAGGGAGGATGTATTGTCACAAGGGTGGGGAGGAATGTTACAAAGTACATTCACAAGGACAGGAGTATCACAAAGTACATTATCACAAGGGTGGGGGAATGTCACCGTGGCTTGACCATAGTGCAGCCAGCTCAGAGGACCTTACAAAAAGTTTCATACTTGCACGTGTTTTCTTGTGGCAAAAATATAAAACATTTAATTTCTGGGATTCTTTTTTTTTTTTTTTTTTTTTTGAGATGTAATCTCACTCTGTTGCCCAAGCTGGAATGCAATGGCGAGGACTCAGCTCACTGCAAACTCCGCCTCCCAGATTCAAGCAATTCTCCTGCCTCACCCTCCAGAGTAGCTGGGATTACAGGCGCCCACCACCACGCCTGGCTAATTTTTGTATTTTTAGTAGAGACAGGGTTTCACCATATTGGCCAGGCTGGTCTCGAACTCCTGACCTTGTGATTTGCCTGTCTCGGCCTCCCAAAGTGCTGGAATTGCAGGGTGAGCCACCACGCCTGGCTGGGATCATCTTTTTTTCTACAGAGAGAAAATCAATTGTATCTCTACCAGGCAAACAATTTGCATTTGTATTAATATGAACAGGGATCATTTGTATCACTGTCAGGCTTCTACATATTTAACTTTTCTTTCTAGAGTTGCAAAACAGTACAAGACAAGGAAGGATACTGACCTGTAGAGAATCAGAAAACCCCCAGAAGCATCCTGTCCTCTAGTCTAGACAAATCCTAGTAATCCACTGGAAGGATGCCTGTATTTGTCCATTTCAGAAACTGTCACAATTTTTCCTTAACTAACAGCAGGAATTTTGATAGCCAAAAGTCATATTGTTTATTATCACTGTGGGAGCCAAGGCCTTTGGCTCCCTGAAGTTTGCTGAAAATCACTGACGCAAGGCAGATTAATAGGAAAAAAGGCATACAAACTTATTTAATATGTATACATAGAAGCCTTCAGAATGAAGACCCAACCTCCCAGTGAGGTGCAAAAGCTTATACGCCATCATGAGGTTACAGAAAGAATGAGTTTGGATCCTGCGGGAGAAAAGGAATTCTGTTGATGGGCAATAAATGATTACTAAAGAGAATGATTTGATCAGGAAACAAATTAACTTGTAAATAGTTTTCTTTGGAATTTAGATGACCATGAGAAGCAGGCATTAACTCATGAAAAGGTCTGTTCAGGTGTGGTTACATTTTTGGTCTTACAGGAGGAAAAGAAACCTACTGTTCTCCTTGGAGGGTCTGGATCTTAGGCAAATAAAGGAACTTCAGCTTTTTGGGAGAGACCGTGTGGAGCGGGGAAGGTCAGAGAGATCTTCAGGTTGCTTCTTCGGTTCAGTACTATATTTGGGGGTATCGATTTATAAACCCCAACATTACCTAATGTATTGTTCCCGATGAGCCTCCCTCCAATCCCTTTTCCCCTGTATCCCAATGGCCGGAAACTTGTGGAAATTCTTCCCAAGGCCTCTAAAAGCAGCACTTGCTTTTGCCTGGTTGCTAATGCAAGTTGTGAATTGCGCACGTGAATCACTATCACTGTCCATCCACCACTCTCTTGCTCTAAGGCATTGAAACGGCACTGCAGAGAGACGCCAGGTAACAAAGACTCTCCTTAACCAAGCTCTAGCATGGCTTCTAGCAACTTAAGGCCTTGTCCCTAGGAGGACCTCAGCCCCCCGCTTAAAATGCCTGCCTGAAAAAGCTCATCGCTGTCAGAAAAATTTACTGTGCATCCCAGCCCAAACCTAGCAATAGACACAGGCCCCTGAACTTCATCTTAGTGCAATTACTTAGAAAGAAAGCTTGCAATTAAAACATCTTTCTCTGCCTCTTTGAGATGTAAATCTTCTACCCAGAGCTATTTTCACTGGGACCTGAGAGTTTCTTTGAAATGCAAACATTTGAGGAAATAAATCTTGCTCCAGCTCCCAACCAGGTGGGTGCCTTGCTCTAACTTGCACTACTAGCTCCTGTCGTAAAAATAGGTGCTTATTTCTCTTCTGGACAAGAGCCAATTCACAAATCCAGATTGTCTAGTCACATGGAGCAATTCTCCTTAATATCTTCATGCCTATCCCTTAGCACATCCCAGCCTTCAAAAGGCCTCCTGCATTTTTTTTTTTTTTAAGGAAGTTAAGTTCAGTTCACCTTGGGCCCTCTTCCCTACTGCAATAGTTACTACTTAAAAAAACCTATCCTAGGCCGGGTGCAGTGGCTCACGCCTGTAATCCCAACACTTTGGGAGGCCGAGGTGGGCAGATCACCTGGGGTCAAAAGTTCAAAACCAGCCTGACCAACATGGAGAAACGCTGTCTCCACTAAAAATACAAAAAAATTAGCCGGGCGTGGTGGTGCATGCCTGTAATCCCAGCTATTCAGGAGGCTGAGGCAGGAGAATCGCTTGAACCCCGGACACGGAGGTTGCGGTGAGCCAAGATCGCGCCATTACCCTCCAGCCTGGGCGACAAGAGTGAAACTCCATCTCAAATAAATAAATAAATACCTATCCTTACTTCTTGTCTAAACTATTGTCTGGCTTTGTTTAGCTTTGACACAGGCTTTATAAGCCCACAAGTAACTTTAAGGCAAAGCCTTATAAATTCATCCAAGGCACTGACATTGAAGAATGTCTAACATTTCTGTGATATGCTTCAATCTCACTTCCAGCCTGTTCCAAACCTTCTTTTTAGTTTTCTACTTCCAGAGACTTTTTCCTTTGGTTAATCACCTTGTAATTCTTAGGTCTGATTCTCGAGCTAGCACATTTCAGCCCCTACAAATAAATGCCTTCTCCCAAAATGTGCAGCTCTTTTGCCATGCTACATTCTATTTGTCTTTCTAGTACTATTTTAATAAGTATCATAGCTCAAGCATGATCAACCCTCAGCTTCTTTATATGGTTATAGGAGTCTCTGACAAGCCTGAGGACAAGCATGTTCTGCATATTTTTTCTTGTCAACTTTTTTTAATGTGCAAAACATTAACATGGATCCAGAAGTCAAAACTAGACAAAATGGTAAATAAACTCAGAGAAGTAATACTCCATCATGTATCTATTTTTATTTTTATTTTTTTGAGACAGAGTCTCGCTCTGTCGCCCAGGCTAGAGTGCAGTGGCGCGATCTGGGCTCACTGCAAGCTCCGCCTCTGGGGTTCACACCATTCTCCTGCCTCAGCCTCCCAAGTCGCTGGGACTACAGGTGCCCACCACCACGCCCGGCCAATTTTTTGTATTTTCAGTAGAGACTGGGTTTCACCGTGTTAGCCAGGATGGTC
This sequence comes from Homo sapiens, assembly GCF_000001405.40. NCBI lineage: Eukaryota > Metazoa > Chordata > Mammalia > Primates > Hominidae > Homo > Homo sapiens. The sequence continues at coordinate 160,989,237 of NC_000001.11, forward strand.
TCGATCTCCTGACCTCGTGATCCGCCCGCCTCAGTCTCCCAAAGTCCTGGGATTACAGGTGTGAGCCACCGCGCCCGGCCGATCATGTATCTATTTCATCTAGACCTTATCTACCTCTTGAAATAACCAATTTAGTTTATTTTCCTTCCTGTGTTTGTTTCTGCAAAAATAAGCAAATATAGTATGCTTTCTTATTTCCCCTCCTTTCGTATCAAAAAGGTGGCCTTTTTTTTTTTAATTTTCTCATAGAGACAGGGTCTCACTTTGTTGCCCAGGCTAGTCTCAAACTCTTGGCCCCAAGCAATCCTTCCACCTCAGCCTTCCAAAGTGCTTGGATTATAGGTGTGAGCCACCATGCCCAGCCATTTGTCTTTTATTTTCCTTTTTTTTTTTTTTTTTTTTTTTGAGACGGAGACTTGCTCTGTTGCCCAGGCTGGAGTGCAGTGGCGTGATCTCGGCTCACTGAAACCTCCGCCTCCTGGGTTCACGCGATTGTCCTGCCTCAGCCTCCTCAGTAGCTGGGATTACAGGCGCGTGCCACCACGCCCAGCTAATTTTTGTATTTTTGGTAGAAACGGGGTTTTACCATGTTGGTCAGGCTGGTCTTGAACTCCTAACCTCGTGATCCACCTGCCTCGGCCTCCCAAAGTGCTGAGATTACAGGCGTGAGCCGCCGCACCAGGCGCCATTGTTTTTTTTAAATTGGGCAGCTTCCAGAACCTGCCCAGGCTCAGATAGACTCCCTATCAAGCTTTTGAATTTTTGCCAATCAGATAGGTAAGGTTAACTATTTTTATCCCCTCTTACTTATCTCCAGCGAACCAGGCCTGTTACGTAGCATCACTGTTTAGAAGTTCCATGTCAGACTGGGCGTGGTGGCTCACGCCTGTAATCCTAGCACTTTGGAAGGCCGACGCGGGCGGATCACTTGAGGTCAGGAGTTCAAAACCAGCCTGGCCAACATGGTGAAACCCCGTCTCTACTAAAACTACAAAAAAATTTAGCCAGGTGTGGTGGCGGGCGCGTGTAATTCCAGCTACTCGAGAGGCTGAGGCAGAAGAATTGTTTGAACTCGGGAGGTGGAGGTTGCAGTGAGCCGAGATCGCGCCACAGCACTCCAGCCTGGGCGACAAGGGCGAGACTCCGTGTCAAAAAAAAAAAAAAAAAAAAGTTCCATGCCAGGAGAGTCTGGCTCCACCTAGTGGTAGCATATCTAGTTGCAGAAAAAGTACCTTTTCTTCGTAGCTGTGCCTTTGTACTTACTTTTACTTACCTACTAAATTTCCTGCTCCTTCCTCCCTAAATGGAAAAAAAACCTGCATTCTAATCCCTTTCCTATGGGTTGCAGCATGTGCCACACTCTTTGAGGGAGGCTTCCATGTGGTCCTTATTGGGCACTTCAACATCTTAAATCATGAGTTGGGCTCAAAGGTAGGAGGAGTGGTACTGAACTCTAGGGTCCACTTTCTCAACATACCAGAGACAAGGAAATGAGGCTGGTTTGTTGGTTTGTTTGTTTGCTTGCTTGCTTGTTTGTTTTTTGGCCCTTCAACCTGCTCTACTGTCCACACACTAAGAACAAAGTGTTGGTGGTGGCAACTTTGAAAAATTCAGGGCCGGCCTGAATGACTCATGCCTGTAATCCCAGCACTTTAGGAGGCCAAGGCAGGTGGATCACTTGAGGCCAGGAGTTCGAGACCAGCCTGGCCAACATGGTGAAACCCTGTGCTAAAAATACAAAAATTAGCTGGGCAGTAGTAGCACGTGCCTGTAATCCCAGCTACTCGGGAGGCTGAGGCAAGAGAATCGCTTGAGCCTGGGAGGCAGAGGTTGTGGTGAGCCGAGGTCTGGCCACTGCACTCCAGTCTGGGCAAGAGAGTGAGACCCTGTCTCAAAAAAAAAAAAAAAAAAGTTGTTCTAAAATGGGTATGGGTATCCCCACCAGTTACATGGCATCTCCCAACACTTCTCATTGGTTTCTCATTCACCCCTTTTTCTTCATTCCTCATTCTTTTGTGGCTGCTCCTAACCACTCTGCCTTCTGCATTCCTTTCTCCCTGGGGATGTTACAGACCACGACCAAAGTAATCTGCATTTTATAAGTCTGCGTTGAAAAACAAATGACGCGGCGGGTGTGGTGGCACACACCTGTAATCCCAGCACTTTGGGAAGCCGAGGCGGGTGGATCACGAGGTCAGGAGATCGAGACTATCCTGGCTAACACGGTGAAACCCCGTCTCTACTAAAAATACAAAAAATCAGCCGGGCATGGTGGCGGGCGCCTGTGGTCCCAGCTACTCGGGAGGCTGAGGCAGGAGAATGGCGTGAACCCAGAAGGCGGAGCTTGCAGTGAGCCCAGTTCGCACCACTGCACTCCAGCCTGGGTGACAGAGTGAGACTTTGTCTCAAAAAAAAAAAAAAAAGAAAGAAAGAAAAACAAATGAGGCTAGCTACTTTTTTTTTTTTTTTTTTTTGAGACGGAGTCAACACAGATTTTCAGGCTGGGCACAGTGGCTCACGCCTGTAATCCCAGCACTTTGGGAGGCTGAGGCGGGTGGATCACCTAAGGTCAGGAGTTCAAGACCAGCCTGACCACATGGAGAAACCCCATCTCTACTAAAAATACAAAACATTAGCCTGGCGTGGTGGCGGGCACCTGTAGTCCCAGCTACTCGGGAGGCTGAGGCAGGAGAATGGCGTGAATCCAGGAGGCGGAGCTTGCAGTGAGTCGAGATTCTGTCACTGCACTCCAGCCTGGGCGAGAGCCAGACTCCATTAAAAAAAAAAAAAAAAGATTTTCAATCTTGGTTAATTGCCAATTACCAACCCATCACCTGTTTTTGCACAGCCTCATATATAAACATCGTTTTTACTTTTTTTTTTTTTTGAACTGGAGTCTCACTCTGTCTCCCAGTGGCGCAATCTCAGTTCACTGCAACCTCCGCCTCTCAGGTTCAAGTGACTCTCCTATCTCAGCCTCCCAAGTAGCTAGGATTACAGTCACCTGTCACCACACCTGGCTAATTTTTTGTATTTTTAGTAGAGACAGGGAGACAGGGTTTCACCATGTTGGCCAGGCTGGTCTTGAACTCCTGACCTCAGGTGATTCACCTGCCTTGGCCTCCCAGAGTGCTAGGATTACAAGCATGAGCCACCACGCCCAGCTGTTTTTACATTTTTAAATGCTTGAAAAAGATTTGATAATTATTTCACAACACACAAAAATTATATAAAATTCACATTTTAGTGTCCACAAAAGAAGGTTCATTGGAACACAGCCATGATCATTGTCTATGGATGCTTTCCCAATAGAACTGGAGTGGTATCATTGTATAGAGACCTGCAGAACCTGAAAAATTTATTCTCTAGCCCTTTACAGAAAGTATGCCAACCCTTGAGCCGGGCACGGTGGCTCACACCTGTAATCCCAGCACTTTGAGAGGCTGAGGCAGGTGGATCATGAGGTCAGGAGTTCGAGACCAGCCTGACCAACATAGTGAAACCCCATCTCTACTAAAAATACAAAAATTAGCCGGGCGTGGTGCTGTGTGCCTGTAATCCCAGCTACTCGGGAGGCTGAGGCAGGAGAATTGTTTGAACCCGGGAGGTGGAGGTTGCAGTGAGCCGAGATTGCGCCACTGCACTCTAGCCTAGGCAACAGAGTGAGACTCTGCCTCAAAAGAAAAGAAAAAGAAAGAAAGAAAGTATGCCAAACCTGACCTAGAATACCCAATTTAAAATCAACCATAGACGCTCTTAGGTGAGGTGCTGCAAAGTGATTTACAGACCTTGCTACATTACGTTTCCAAACTTTGCAGAATACATATTACTACAATTTTTAAGTGAGAAAACTAAGACTGACATAAAACTTTGTCAAGAGTCTGGAATTAAACAAGGTCTGCCTGACTTGGAAACCAGTATTTTTTTCCAGTGCACAACACCCCTTCCTTAAATCTCTGAGGGATACTACATTCTGAATTAATACAAGCAGTATCCATCCACTGGCCCTAATTTTCTCCCTTCAGTCCATTAATACAGTATATCTAGACTATAATTTTGTTTTCCCTGAGTCTTTATTATCTGGGCTTAATGCTGATTCTTCAGAAGTTTCTACATGACAAAATTTTAGGTCCCTTCACCCTCCAGATCACTCCTCTGAATATATTCATTTGTTGATAATGCCCTTAAAGTTTGGCACTTAAGACAGAACTTGATGCAGGGGAAGGGTGCTGTCAGCAGAGTGCCTCCCTAGTTCTAAAAATTCTACATCTTTCCTACTTTATCTATGAAGAGTTGACTTTTTGAACCCAAAGGCAGAATCTGACTTATTACTATTGAATTTCAATTCAATAAAATTTAATAAGCTGGAGTTTACCATTCCTGACTATTTGAATCCTCATTCTGCACACTGAGAATGTTGCAATTCCTACTAACTCCTTGCCGTCCACAAATATGATATGCATGCCTTCTGTTTTTCATCCCGGTCACTGGCAAAATTGCATTAAGTTTTATCCTTTACTCCAGAAGGTGGCACTCATAGGCCCTCCATTTCATAAAGAGCCTCATACTTAATATGCCTCACTCTGTCCAGAGTCTGTCTGTTGGGATAGCAGACTCAAGTGAGATTTTGTCACACTTCAGGGGAAACCGTAGGTCAAACATCATCACTTTTTTTTTTTTTTTTTTTTTTTGAGACTCAGTCTCACTGTCACCCAGGCGAGAGTGCAGTGGCGCCGTCTCGGCTCACTGTGATGTCTGCCTCTCAGGTTCAAGCAATTCTCGTGCCTCAGCCTCTCGTGTAGCTGCAGTTACAGGCACACACCACCACCCCACCCAGCTAATTTTTGGTTTTTTGTTTTTTTGTTTTTTGAGATGGAGTTTTGCTCTTGTTGCCCAGGCTGGAGTGCAATGGCGTGATCTCGGCTCACGCAACCTCTGCCTCCCGGGTTCAAGCGATTCTCCCGCCTCAGCCTCCTGAGTAGCTGGGATTATAGGCATGCACCACCATGCCCGGCTAATTTTTGTATTTTTAGTAGAGACAGGGTTTCTCCATGTTGGTCAGGCTGGTCTTGAACTCCCAACCTCAGGTGATCCGCCCCCCTCGGCCTCCCAAAGTGCTGGGATTACAAGCGTGAGCCACCACAACTGGCAATTTTTGTATTTTTCATAGAGACAGGGTTTCACCATGTTGGCCAGGCTGGTCTTGAACTCCTGACCTCAAGTGATCTGCCTGCCTCAGACTCCCAAAGTGCTGGGATTATAGGTATGAGCCACCGCGCCCGGCCCCAGCATTACTTTTAATGTTCTCTCTCCTCAAACCCAGATACCCACCTCTACAAAAAAAAAGTTAACTTCTGTTTCCACTCCTCCTCCTTCATTCTTTTCCATTCTGGGTCACTGAGCAGGATATAGGTTACCCAACCTCCCCTCCCCAGGATCTTAATCCCGGACCTACCATTTGCCTAGTACTGGTTGTGTGAACTTGGGCAAATTCCTTAGCATTTCTCTGCCTCTCTTCCCCATCTGAGAAACAGAGATAGTAATAGTACCCAGTAAATAAGTTAATGGATGATAGTAGTAAGAAAAAATGGGCTAGGCACGGTGGCTCACACCTGTAATCCCAGCACTTTGGGAGGCCAAGGTGGGTGGATCACGAGATCAGGAGTTTAAAACCAGCCTGGCCAAGCTGGTGAAACCCTGTCTCCACTAAAACTATTAAAAAAAAAATTATCCGGGTGCAGTGGCAGGCGCCTGTAATCCCAGCTGCTCGGGAGGCTGAGGCAGGAGAATCGCTTGAACTCAGAGGGAGAAGTTGCAGTGAGCTGAGATCGCTCCACTGCACTCCAGCCTGGGTGATAGAGTAAGACTCAGTCTCAAAAAAAAAAAAAAAGAAAGAAAAGAAAAGAAAAAATGTTCCGTTTCATATCAGATTTTCATAGCTAGTACCAGAGAAGGGGTAATAAGCTGGAAAAGCTAAAGAATTGGATATTTTTTAATGCAAATTGTTGTTTTTCTTCATTTGTCTACTTTATTAAGCTGTCCTCAGGCCCCAAGAAACATACTGTCCCCTCATTTAGAAACAGACTAACTCCGTTTTCCTCCACTATCCCCTCCCCTGTCCTTGATCTGTAGATCCTGTTAAGACAGGAAAAACAGTGTTGGTCAAAGGGTACACGCTTTCAGTTACAAGATGAACAAGTTCTGAATACGTAAGATAGAACATGGGAGGTGATGTGGCCGGGTGCAGTGACTCACGCCTGTAATCCCAGCACTTTGGGAGGCCGAGGTGGGCGGATCATGAGGTCAAGGGATCGAGATCATCCTGGCCAACATGGTGAAACCCCGTCTCTACTAAAAATACAAAAATTAGCTGGGCATGGTGGCACACGCCTATAGTCCCAGCTACTTAGGAGGCTGAGGCAAGAGAATTGCTTGAACCCAGGAGGTGGAGGTTGCAGTGAGCCAAGGTTGTACCATTGCACTCCAGCCTGGCAACGGAGCAAGACTCCCTCACACACACACACACACACACACACAAAAATGGTGATGTGTTAATTGACCATGGCAATCATTACACAAATGTATGTGCATATCAAACCATGTTGTATACTTTGAAGAAAATAAAAAAACGACAGGAACAACAAACACATCCTTAACACTCAATCATTTTATCCCAGATTATGCTGAGTTCATGTCTCAGGGGAAACACCAAAATCCATGGAACTGCTCTCATTTTTTATCCCCTAAATGTCACTTTAACATAGGAAATGTCCATTGTGGGGTTATTTGCATTTAAACACAGGCCAATGAAAAAAGCTAAATTAAAACGTAATTATCAAGGTAATGGAAAGATATCCTAATCTCTTAATTAACAAGACTATCAGGAATATTTTGAATGTCCAATCACTCTAGGAGTCCCAATTCTCTTAAGGTAAGAACTTCAGGATTTAAACAAACTCAATGTGAAAATAAACATTTATTATAAAAATTAGTTTTGACATTTTAAAGTGAATGCAGACAAGGTGTTTTCCAGTTCAAAAGGTCCATTGTAAGCTAGAGAAGTAAATTCCAAGGCTGGCAATAACTGACTCATATTCTTCACAAGTGGCCTAGACAATAAGGAACCATTCACCTCAAATTCACAGAGCCATGAATCACCTCTGCTTCCCCATGACCTTTTCCATATCCTTCCTACTCTGTCTTCCAACCATGACACAGAACTGAAACATACTTTAAAAATCTCATCCTTGGCTAGGCACGGTGGCTCACATCTGTAATCCCATCACTTTGGGAGGCCAAGGCAGGCGGATCAAGAGGTCAGGAGTTTGAGACCAGCCCGACCAACATGGTGAAACCCTGTCTCTACTAAAAACACAAAAATTAGCCAGGCATGGTGGCACGCACCCGTAATCCCAGCTACTCAGGAGACTGAGGCAGGAGAATGGCTTGAACCCGGGAGGCGGAGGTTACAGTGAGCCAAGATCATACCACTGCACTCCAGCCTGGGTGACAGAGCGAGACTCCGTCTTTAAAAAAACAAAACAAAACAAAACAAAAAACAACAAACTCATCTTTACTGAACCATTTCATAAGCTCTACTTTATTTGTCTAGTTGGATTTCATTTCTTCTGGAAAATTTATTGTTTATTGGCATGTGACCCTTGACTGATGGCTTCATTAGCATTTTGTTTTTCTTTTTGGATCCTTAATAGAAAACTCAATTCTGTTAGGGATTTCCAAATAGGATAGGGCAAAGTCGCACTTAGTATATCCTCCACAGAAAGAAAGAAGCAAAATCAAGCCAAGAGGGCCCTTTACTTGTCCTCTTGCTAAGTTAATAAATAGACTGGTGGATGGTGGTAGATGGAGAAACAAAAATGTAAGGGCAGAGAAGGGTCCAAATGGGGAGGAAGAAAGCAATGACAGCCAGGCTGTCCGGCTCATTCCTGTTCATTCACATGCAGACCACCCATGATCTGGTCTTCAAATTTCTTCTGAATTCCACCCCACTAAATACAGTAGCAGTTACTACTTTAAACTACTACTAAAGCACTTGTTCTCCAAATGACCTGAGAAATCCCCTTGCCTCAGCTCTGGGACAGTAGTTCCTACAGCTGTAGGGAGGTCTGTTAATGCACCTGGCTGAACAGGAGGTACAAGAGTAAGTACCTTCTCTCACTTGGTGGAACAGGCCAAGGAGATCCCCCAAGTACAGCATCAGCTTCACCCTGTGTACCTTCCTCCAGCAAAGGAAGGCCTGGCCACAAGAGGGCTCTGGAATGAAGGCCTGAAATTCAGAAGCTCTGCCTTGAGATAAGAACCAGGAAGGGGCAGGACCAGGCACTGGGAACCAGCCCCAGGTTGCTGGGAAGCAAGGCTTTGAGGCATTTTCCTGTTGTACAAAGGAGCCTAGGAACCCTCAAAGACCTTTTCCCCTACTTACTTCCCACAAAAAAGAGCCTTGACAAACCAAGGTTTTATTTCCAGCAACATTCAGCTGATACAAACACATAGAAATACAATCTCACCAAAGAGCTAAGAAGCCCTCCAACACACGCCCAATTTCAGCATACAGCTAAGACTACACAACACACACACAAGCTCAACAAAGAGCTAAGACCACTACACACATCTCCACAGCACCACAGGCACATCTCAAAAGGGTCTGTCCAGTAGTTCCAGCCAAGGGAAGGGTGATGGCCTAAGCCACCAGCTCCAGCTTTCTTTTCTTTCTTTTTTTTTTTGAGCTGGAGTTTTGCTCTTGTTGCCAGGCTCCTGAGCAGCTGGGATTACAGGCATGCACCACTATGCCTGGCTAACTTTGTATTTTTAGTAGGGTTTCTCCATGTTGGTCAGGCTGATCTTGAACTCCTGACCTCAGGTGATCCGCCTGCCTCAGCCTCTGGGATTATAGGCGTGAGCCACTGCGCCCAGCCTCCAGTTTTCTTTTCTTTAGAGCAGCGGTTTTAAATCCTTTTGGCTTCAAGTTCTCTGAAAATTTACTATGCTCTCCACAACAAGAGCTCCCATTTTCCACAGACACAGTCAATGTCAGTCAGCTTGTATTCAGGAGGACAGGGCAGAGGGATCCCAGTGGCACTTCCCATGGGAAGACAGAAGAGAGTGGGCCCCAGAGATGGAAGGACCCCAGTGTCATCACCAAACAACCATTTCAGCCGCTCTAGCCTCTAATTCCCGCTCTAGAACAGCTGGCCCTGGTCGTCAGTACACAAGGAAAGAGCCCAGAACCAAGCTCAAGATACCTATTCAAAGATCCCTGCCAGCCAGGTGGGCAGTTGAGTGCAGATTCCTGCGACCCCCGCCATTTTTGCTGTCTACTTAGAAGGGAAGTCAATGGCATACCCAGGATTCCTTCCTGATCCCTCAAAGAAATGGGGAATAAACACTTTAAACAAGTTCCAGGCCACTCAGCAGTGGTAGGAAAGGGAGGGAGGGCATGAAGGAGGATGGGGCACATAGCTGACATTATTAAAAACACATCCGAAGAAGTAGGGGGCCCTGTGGGGTGTAGAAGACAAATAAGGCATCCTGTGAAACTACAGACATCAGGGGCCAGAGTCCGGTAGCACCTGAGTAAGGCAAATGCAGATGATAGGCGGTGAGCCGACCAGGCTCACACCAGGAATGACGAGGTCTGTTTGAATTCTCCCTGCAGAAATAAAACATCCAGTCAACTCTCAATAGTCTTCTTTAGCTGATAATCCCCAAAACACATAAACATGGGCTAGAAATCTCCTCACTCCAGCCCCAGGTGGCCCACCCCTGCCCAGGGGAGGCATACTCACTTCACTTCGGGCACTAGGCTGGCTGTAAATCACCTTCTTACTCGAAGTCCTGTGAACAAGCCAGAAGACAGAGACACTCAGCCACCTAGGTGCTTATTAACCTCCCCTTGCCAACTTTAAAGGCCAGAAGCGAGAATGCTACAGAAGCACAGAGTGCGCAGCAGACAGGTATGGGTGGGGTAACAGGACAGACCCAGGGCCAAGGCCACAGAGAAAGGGCTGGATATCCAAATGCCTTCCCTCCAAACTGGTTGCTTCTGCCTTCAACCCATTCCCCTAGGCCCACTTCAGCTTCAAACCACATGCATCCATGCTCTCAAACTTGGAGAACCCCAGGACAGCACCTCACTCACCCTTTCTTTGTTCCTGAAAGAGAAGAAATGGGATCATGAGTGTCAGCAGGACAGAAGACAGCATGGCTTGGGAAGATGGAGGGGCAGGCCCCCAGCTCTTGGTGTTAGATGGGTGATCAGTGTTCCCCAGGGGACAACACCCACACACATGAGCACAGTATCAGGGTCAGTACTCAGATGACACCCATGCCAGGCCCTGGGATGGGGGCAGTACAAAGGAGAGCCTCTGGGGGCAGATACTTACTGTCAAAGTGGCCTCGGCTATAGGCAAACCAGATGCCAAAAACCAAGATTCCCAGGAGAATCAGGGTTACAAGGACGGCTGCCACGATGACCCCCACATTCCGCTCCACTGCGAGACACAAATAAGAAGTCAGGCACGGGGATACTCACTCACGGCACCTACAGTATCACCAATGGCAGGATGAAAAGCAGACCCCAATCCCCACCCCAGGTCTGGGCTCAAGCCCTAACTCTCACCAGCTTCCATGCGCACAGCATTTGAAGTCATGGGTGTCCCATACCCATTCCGTGCCTCACAGCTGTATTCTCCAGTATCAGAGGCTGACAGGGGATCAAAGACCTGAGGAAGGAAAACAAATTGGCTTCCTGCTGAAGAAGCAAAATAGACATTTTTTAATGTCTCTTGACCCCAGTTCCAAGTTCACCCTGTTGCCTGTTCTTCCTCCCACCTTTTGGGGTTCTATAACTGCATCCCCCACACATCTTTCACCACCACCCCATACATACCAGCTCTCCTGTTGTGGGATTCAGGACATAGGAAGAGTTGCTGAAGGCACGGGTGCTTTTGGGATTCGTAGGCATCACTATCCCATCTTTGAACCAGGTGTATTCAGAAGGTGGGGAACCATCTTGTTCTGAGCATGTCAGCACTGCCCGGTTCCCAATGGTGGCAGAGGAGGGGATGTTAACTGTAGGCTTGGATGGAGGCACTGTGGAAGAGAAAGACAGAAGGTGCTGAGTACAGGGTGGGGGCTGCTTGAGTCTAAGTAACCAACTACAATGGTACCCCCAACTACTCAGCTCAAGCCTCCTACTCTCACCATGCCCCTGGCTGCCACCTAACCAGGGGCTCATCTCCCTCTCTGGCAGCTCCAGGACTCTGAATAGCCCACCTGTGGGTATTCTCACCATCAAAGAGCTCCAAAGTGCAGCAGAGCCTGCTATGAGAAGTAACTAACTCCAGGCCCACCCAGAAGACATGGGGCACGTACCAAGCACGATGAGCTTGACCTTGACCTCCCCATAGCTGTTGCCGCCTTCCTCAGAGACCATACAAGTGTATGTCCCAGTGTCTTCCCGTGTCACGGACTTGAAGGTGATACCAGTTGGCAAGAAGGTCACCCGGTCCTCATAGGAAGCTACCACAAGAGGAGGCAAGAGCAAGGACAGAGTGAACTGGAGAGCTAAGGGAGGCTGATGAAGGGGGCATCCAAGGTACGCAAGTGCTCTCCTCTTCCCCCAGAAAGGGGGGTAGGAAGGCCATGAGGACTTCAGCCCCAGGGTGTGCCCTGGGATAAGGGCACAAAGTCTGGATCGTAGAATCCAGGCATGATAATCCCTCCACAACCTAGGCAATCAGGAAGGAGGAGAAGCAACTCACCTGTGATCTTGTTATTATAGCAAACGAGTCTGGTGGTGTCTCCTTGGTCAAACTTCCACTCCACACGGGGAGAAGAAAAGCCCGAGTAGGCACAGGACAACTTCACAGCTGCAGACAGGGTCAAAATGAGCCGAAGGAAGAAGCAGCAGCAAATACACGAGATGGGGAACAGCCCCAAACTGCAGGCTGGGCTGGGTGCTCTCTAGATCCCCAGGCGGCCGGCAACTGCTCACCCTCACACCCTCCATGGCCCCTCCCAACTCACGATTATTCTCAGGAATTCTGACTTCAGGTTCAGAAGAGTGCACTGTAACACTGCCCAATGCCAGGGAGCCTAAGGAGAAAGAAAGAGGTGGGCCCTGTCAGGAGTGGACAGAGAAATGCCAGGAAGAAGGAGTCACAGACCCAGTGGACAGGGCTTCTCCATTCACAGACCCTAAGAGGAAGGGATTCCAGACTTATGCTCCCTCTGGCTCTCACACTTTGTCACCATGATCCTAAATGTCTTCTTTAAGTGCTTTTTGCTACAATTGCCAGCTAATACTTCTTTTATCCATGGGAATGCAGTTTCTTTTGCTTCTAATTTTTCTCTCTGTGACTCCCAATAATCTAATTAGATTTCTACTAGTCCAAGGGCAGCTTCCAGAATGACATTTCACTGTTCAGAGAAAGCTTCTCAACAAATGATTGCAGCCACTTGTCAGGACAATCCTGGAAGGAAGCCAGCAGGGCTGGAGGCAAGGGATGGAAGGGAAGGGCAGAGCCATGATGAGGATAATAATAATACTCGACATTTGTGGAGCATGTGGTGCTTTTAAAAGTGTTTTCGTGTACATTATGACACGTTGCATCATTTGATCCTGGACACAAGCATGACAGATCGGCAAGACGTATATTATTATCCCGAGTTTACATGAGGAACTGAGAGTACAAGAAGTAAATGTGCCTAAGATCACACAGCTGGGGCCAGGTGCGGTGGCTCAGGCCTGTAAACCCAGCACTTTGGGAGGCCGAGGTGGGGAGGTCATGAGGTCAGGAGTTCAAGACCAGCCTGGCCAATATGGTGAAACCCCATCTCTACTAATAATACAAAAATTAGCCAGGCATGGTGGCACACCTGTAGTCCCAGCTACTTGGGAGGCTGAGGCAGAAGAGTCGCTTGAACCCGGGAGGCGGAGATTGCAGTGAGCCGAGATCGCGCCACTGCCCTCCAGCCTGGGCGACAGAGCAAGACTCAATCTCAAAAAAAAAAAAAAAAAAAAAACACACAACTGGTTCTGAGGTGAAGTTTGCACTAGAAGTGGGTTCAGATCACCTCATTAGAATATTCTACTTGCCAAATGGAGAAAGAAAAGAAAAGATAGTGTGTGCTGGGTGGAGGGAGGGAGAAGCAACAAGGCTAATTAAATAATATGGGGGAGGTGCATCAGGGTTCATAGGAGGGACCCACAAAGGTCAAATTAAGAACCAGTGACCAGGGATTCTGGGATCACATGATGCAGCTACAAACCTGCACTTACACAATTATTCTCATCCATGTTTTCAAAGTCAAATTCATGAAATATCCTTTTATTTGTAGCTTCAAGTCAGGACCCTGTCTTAGATAAATGTTTGTAGAAGTCAAGCACATCTGTTAAATTCAAGTACATTTTTCTTTTACTTAATTATGCACATAACTGAATATGGTCTCTTGACCTCTGAGACTCCCCTTCCTCTCTGAAATATGAAATAGATGTGCTCTAAAGTCCTTTAGGTTCTTTTTTTTAAATTTTGGCATTAATGTTTAGATAATATTTGTATACCTGTATTTCAATCTGATATAATAACACTATGAATTAGTCCAGATAAGTATTCTCTCTCCCATTTTATAGATAAGAGACTAAAGATATAGGTTACTCCTATATCCTTTTTCTCTTATTATACTCTCTATTTATTTGTTTTTTTTTTTTTTGAGACGGAGTTTCACTCCTGTTGCCCAGGCTGGAGTGCAATGGCGCTATCTCAGCTCACTGCAGCCTCTGCCTCCCAGGTTCAAGTGATTCTCTTCAGCCTTCCAAACAGCTGGGATTACAGGCGCTTACCACCATGCCGGCTAATTTTTGTATTTTTTTTTTTTTTTTTGAGACAGAGTTTCGCTCTTGTTGCCCAGGCTGGAGTGCAATGGCGCAATCTCGGCTCACCGCAACCTCCACCTTCCGGGTTCAAGGGATTCTCCTGCCTCAGCCTCCCAAGTAGCTGGGATTACAGGCATGTGCCACCATGCCCGGCTAATTTTGTATTTTTAGTAGAGACAGGGTTTCTCCATGTTAATCAGGCTGGTCTCGAACTCCCGACTTCAGGTGATCCGCCCGCCTCAGCCTCCCAAAGTGCTGGGATTACAGGCGTGATTAAGCCACTGCACCTGGCCTAATTTTTGCATTTTTAGTAGAGATGGGGTTTCACCACGTTGGCCAGGCTGGTCTCAAACTCCTGACCTAAAGTGATCTGCCCGCTGCAGCCGCCCAAAGTGCTGGAATTATAGGCGTGAGCCACGGCGACCGGCCTAATTTTCTTTTTTTTCTTTTGTTTTTTTGTTGAGACAGAGTCTCACTCTGTCGCCCTGGCTAGAGTGCAGTGGTGTGATCTCGGCTCACTGCAACCTCTGCCTCCCACATTCAAGAGATTCTCCTGCCCCAGCCTCCTGAGTAGCTGGGATTACAGGCGCCCGCCACTACGCCTAGCTAGTTCTAACTAGTTTTTTGTATTATTATTATTATTTTTTTAAGATGGAGTTTTGTTCTAGTTGCCCAGACTGGAGTGCAGTGGCGCAATCTAGACTCACCACAACCTCCGCCTCCCAGGTTCAGGAGATTCTCCTGCCTCGGCCTCCCTAGTAGCTAGGATTACAGGCAGGCGCCACCATGCCCGGCTAATTTTGTATTTTTAGTAGAGATGGGGTTTCTCCATGTTGGTCAGGCTGGTCTCGAACTCCTGATCTCAGGTGATCCACCCGCCCTGGCCTCCCAAAATGCTGGGATTACAAGCGTGAGCCACCGCGCCCGGCAATTTTTTGTATTTTTAGTAGACAGGGTTTCACCATGTTGTCCAGGCTGGAATTTCTTTTTTTTAAAGAGCTGGGTTCTTGCTACATTGCCCAGGCTGGTCTAGAACTCCTGGTCTCAAGCAGTTCTCCTGCCTTGGCCTCCCAAAGTGCTGGGATTACAGATGTGAACCATCACGCCTGGCCATATAGCATGGTTTTCAAAAAAGAAGGGTATAGGCTGGGCACGGTAGGTCACACCTATAACCCCAGCACTTTGGGAGGCCAAAGAGGGCAGATCACTTGAGGTCAAGAGTTTGAGACCAGCCTGGCCAACGTGGCGAAACCTTATCGCTACTAAAAATACAAAAATTAGCCAGGCGTGGTGGCGCGTGCTACCTGGAAGGCTGAGCAAAGAGAATCACTTGAACCCGGGAGGCAGAGGTTGCAGTGAGCTGAGATTGTGACACTACATTCCAGCTTGGGCAACAAAGTGAGACTCCGTCTCAAAAAAAAAAAAAATTAACCAGGCATGGTGACACATGCCTGTAGCCCAGTAACTTGGGAGACTGAGGCAAAAGGACTACTTAAGCCAAAGAGTGGGAGGTTACAGTGAGCTACAATCACACCAATGCATTCCAGCCTGGGTGCCTGGGTGACAGAGCAAGACCCTGTCTCTAAAAAACATAAGAAAAGAAAACCGAGCTGTTTCTTAGAAAAACCATAGGTTTAATGAAAAAAAAACTAATAAAAATATTTCTAATGATATTATTTTATTTATATATTTGCCATTACATTTTTAATGTCAAATTTATGCTCAAATGTAATAATAGATATGGAGGCTGAGCACGGTAGCTCACACCTGTAATTCCAGCACTTTGGGAGGCCGAGGTGGGGAGACTGCTTGAGGGCAGGAGTTCGAGACCAGCTTGGCCAACGTGGCGAAATCTCGTCTCTAGTAAAAGTACAAAAACCAGCCAGGGGTGGTGGCACTAGCCTGTAATCCCAGCTACTCGGGAGGCTGAGGCAGGAGAATCACTGAACCCAGGAGGTGGAGGCTGAAGTGAGCCTAGATAGTGCCACTGCACTCCAGCCTGGGTGACAGAGCAAGACTCTGTCTCAAAAATAAAATAATAATAATAATAATAATAATAATAATAATAGATATGGAAATTAAACCAAATAGCTTTTATTAAATTGAAAATTCTTCCTGAGGACACATAAGTCTCCTCCCTTCCTCCCTCCTTCCTCCTTCCCCTCCCTCCCCTACCTCCCCTATCTCCTCCCTCCTTTCTCACTCTGTTGCCCCGGCTAGAGTTCAGTGGCACCATTATGGCTTACTGCTTAGGGCCCAGTGTTGGCCTGCTGGGCTCAAGTGACCCACCTCAGCCTCCTAAGTAGTTGGGACTACAGGCCTCTGTCTCCCGGGTTCCAGCAATTCTCCTGCCTCAGCCTCCTGAGTAGCTGGGATTACAAGCACGAGCCACCATGCCTGGCTAATTTTTTGTATTTTTAGCAGAAACAAGGTTTCATCATGTTGGCCAGGCTGGTCTCAAACTCCTGACCTCAAGTGATCCACCCGCTTCGGCCTCCCAAAGTGCTGGGATTATAGGCCTGAGCTACCGCACCTGGCCTGCCCAGCTAACTTTTACAATTTTTTTGTAGAGACCAGGTCCCACTATGTTACCCAGGCTGGTCTCAAATTCCTGAGCTCAAGCAATTCTCCTGCCTTGGCCTCCCAAAGTGCTAGGATTACAGGCGTGAGCCACCATGGCTGTGGAAGTCTCTTACTCAACTCTCATTAAGAATGCTAATAGGCTGGGCATGGCAGCTCAACAGCCTGTAATCCCAGCACTTTGGGAGGCTGAGGCGGGCAGGTCACCTGAGGTCAGGAGTTTGAAACCAGCCTGGCCAATATGGCGAAACCCCATCTCTACTAAAATACAAAAATTAGCCGGGCATGGTGGCGGGCAACGGTAATCCCAACTACTTGGGAGGCTGAGGCAGGACAATCACTTGAACCCGGGAGGCGAAGGTTGCCGTGAGCCAAGATCGCACCACTGCACTCCAGCCTGGGTAACACAGTGAGACTCCATCTCAAAAAAAAAAGGGGGGGGGCACTTCTGTTCCAAAGTGTTCCAAAGCTGTCTGTGGGATAGGCTGAGGCCTCACCAAGACTATAACGCAAACTTGGCCTCTCCCTCTGTCCAACTTTGCTTCCTTCCCCTCCTTTCCACGGGCGTGGATCCCAAGTGCACTCCCTAATAAATGTCTTGTATGATTATTGACATCTCAGAGTCAGCTTCCCAAGAACCCAACCTATGGCACCACCCAAATGAACAGCAGCATCTAATTAGACTAAAAACTAGCCTTTGAAATAAACACACATATACACACAAATCACAACATGTGAATTTGATGGTTGTTCCTCCACCACTTCTGGTTTAGCTAAAGTTCTTTGTTGAGTCCTCTCAGATCATCACATTCACACCACACATATACAAACACGTTGGGCTACAGGCATATTACCCTTTTCTTCATTAATCCGCACTGCCATCACCTGGTCTGGGCTTCTGTTATTTTGTTTCAAATACACGAACCTCCGCCTTAGTGTCCTCCCACCCACCTCTGTTGCAGGATTAACTACGTCTGCCTGTGACCTGACTGTGCCAATACTCCCAAGGTGTATTGTGATTGCCTATCACATCATGAGTCAAGGCCAGCCTTATCACCATGTCCTTCCCATTCACCACAGGACACCTCAGCCATCCTGGTCCACATTCCCCTTCTCATTCTTGAACAGGCCCCTGGAACCAGACTGCCTGCGTTCAAATCCCAGCTCTAGGCTGGGTGCGGTGGCTCATGCCTGTAATCCCAGCACTTTAGGAGGCGAAGCAGGTGGATCACCTGAGATCAGGAGTTCGAGACCAGTCTGGCCAACGTGGCAAAAATCCGTCTCTACTAAAAAATATATATATAAAAATTAGCCGGGTGTGGTGGCACATGCCTGCAATCCCAGCTACTTGGGAGGCTGAGGCAGGAGAATCGCTTGAACCTGGGAAGCAGAGGTTGCAGTGAGCTGAGATCGTGCCATTGCACTCCAGCCTGGGCAACAAGAAACTCCGTCTCAAAAAAAAAAAAAAAATGCTGGGCGCAGTGGCTCATGCCTGTAATCCCAGCACTTTGGGAGGCCAAGGCGGGCAGATCACCTGAGGTGGGGAGTTCGAGACCAGCTTGACCAACATGGAGAAACCTCGTCTCTACTAAAAATACAAAATTAACCAGGCGTGGTGGTGCATGCCTGTAATCCCAGCTACTCAGGAGGCTGAGGCAGGAGAATTGCTTGAACCTGGGAGGCAGAGGTTGCAGTGAGCCAAGATCGTGCCATTGCACTCCAGCCTGGCCAACAAGGGAGAAACTCTGTCTCAGAAAAGAAAAAAAAAAAAAAATCCCAGCTCTGTTACTTACTAGGCTATGTGACCTGGACAAGCCACTTGGCCTCCTCAAATCTGAGTTTACGCATCTGTAAAATGGGGATAATAACAGTTTCTACATCAAAGGGCTGTTCTGAAGGCTAAACAAGCTAATACTGTACAAATAAAGTGCTTAGAGCAGTGTCTGAACAGGAAACCCCAAATAAGTATTATATTTTATGATTATCATCATCTGTTCATAGGCCCTTCTGTACACATACTTCTTTCTGACTTCAATGTTTTCTTCAACAAGACATATAAATAAAGCCTGAAAAGTGCCTACTCCAGCCTACCAAACCATATCTCCCCTGTCATTGCAGCTGCCTTGGGAAGGCGGCCCCTTCTCTAGAACCTTCACAGCTGTACCAGCAGAGCTAGGAACTTGCTCTCACTGAATCCAATCTACATCAGGACACTCACAGTTTCCCTGTCCATCCTCCTCATCTATTTCATATTTTCCCGTGCCTCTTCACAGCCCCCCTTTTGCACTTAACCTTGGGCCCATACATACCATACTGTACACACACATGCAAATGTCCTACTGATGTACGTGGTAAACGAATAATAGAAGGAAATTCCATCCTTTCCATTGTCAAGTTTAATTTTCTCTAAGTTCACAACAAGAAAAGCCACAAAGTTAAAGGCATCAATAGATTTTGGCCTGCTTAGGTTTTGGGCCCATGTATAGAAAGTCCATTCTCCAGCCAGGCACGGTGACTCACGCCTGTAATCCCAGCACTTTGGGAGGCTGAGGCAGGCGGATCTCGAGATCAGGAGATCAAGACCATCTTGGCTAACACGGTGAAACCCCATCTCTACTAAAAATACAAAAAATTAGCCGGGCGTGGTCGCAGGCACCTGTAGTCCCTAGTCCCAGCTACTCCGGAGGCTGAAGCAGTAGAATGGCGTGAACCCGGGAGGTGGAGCTTGCAGTAAGCTGAGATGGCACCACTGCACTTCAGCCTGGGTGACAGAGCGAGACCCCGTCTCAAAAAAAAAAAAGAAAGTCCATTCTCCATTCCACTACTGGATGAAGTGCTAGCATTTATTGAGCACATACTATATTTGAGGCACTGTTGTAAGCATATTATATGTAATATCATTTAATCCCTGCAACAGCCTTTAGAGTTGGGTGATTCTATCGTTATCACCCATATTTACATGGGGAAACTGAGGCCCAGAGTAGTTAAGTAACTTGGCTAAGGCCACACAGTGAGTGGTAGTGCAGATTCACACCAATGCAGTCCAACTGCAGAGGCTATACAATGCTACACTATACTATACAGCCTTCCTAAAAATGCAAATCTGATACCTCCTTTAAGCTTTTGATGATTCTACATTGCTTATATGATAAAATCCAAATTTTTCTGCAAGCTAAGAAAGTTCCAATAATCCCTATACTCTGCCAAACGCCCACCTCCCTCTCTCCCACCAGGAAGTGCTGGAAGAAAGTTCCAGCACTATCTGACCCCTTGATAAGGTTATCATCTTCATCACCCACTCTACTGTTGCAATTTACCCTCTAGCAATACAAAACTACTTAAAATTCCTAGCAAAGTCTGGGCTGTTTCACAATCTCTGCCTTTGCTCATGCTATTTCTGCTATGTAGAACACCCTTTTCCCCCTCTTTATCTGGGCAGCAGTATTCATCCACATTATTTTCTGGAAAACGACCTCCCACATGCCCAGTCCTCACCATAGCCTCACCTAAGCCTCTTTCCTAGGCTTTAATTATCCCATGCAAAACACTGTCAAAGCAATTCCCACATTATAATGACATCATCTGTGTACAAGCATGTCTCCCATGGTAAACCCCAAGTGAAAAGGGACCATGTGTTATTTAATATTCTGAGTATCCCACACTTAGCATAATAAAACTGGTACAAGTTGACATTCAATAAATGTTTTCTCAGCCTGGGCAACACAGTGAGACCCCCATCTGTACCAAAAAAAAAAAAAAATTAATCAGCTGCAGTCATGCACGCCCATGAACGCCTATAACACTGAGGATGTAATTCCTGGAAATTACTACGTACCTGAATAATAATAATGAAACAACTGTGGCAAATAGTATTTTCCAAAACAGCCACATCTATCTATATATTTATCTCCTCCCCCATGCTCTACTTACATTGTGACTGAGGTGGAGTCTAAGTTAAGTTTCCTCCCCATGGGCCGGGTGCGGTGGCTCACGCCTATAATCCCAGCACTTTGGGAGGCCGATGTGGGTGGATTGCTTGAGGTCAGAAGTTTAAGACCAGCCGGGCCAACATGATAAAAATTACAAAAATTAGCCAGGCATGGTGCATACCTGTAGTCCCAGCTACTTGGGAGGCTGGAGAACCACTTGAGCCCAGGAGGTGGAGGCTGCAGTGAGCTGATATGGTGCCACTGTACTTAGTCTGGATGACAGAGCAAGACTCTGTCTCAAAAAAAAAGTTTCCTCCCCATGAATCTGGGAGGGTCTTATGATTGACAATGGCATAATGGTAGAAGTGGCATATTATTAATGTTAGGCCTTATATGCATTTTCTCACTAAACTCTTAAAAAAAAAAAAAACCTATGAGACAAGTACCATTGAAGATTGAAGTACTACCGTTACCATTTCATTTTACAGATGAAAAAACTGAGGCTTAGAACAGTTGACCCAGGCCAGGCATAGTGGCTCACACGTGTAATCCCAGAACTTTGAGAGTCCGAAGCAAGCGGATCACAAGGTCAGGAGTTCGAGACTAGCCTGGCCAACGTGGTGAAACCCCGTCTCTACTAAAAATACAAAAATTAGCTGGGCATGGTGGCAGGCGCCTGTAATCCCAGCGACTCAGGAGGCTAAGGCAGGAGAATTGCTTGAAGCCGAGAGGGGGAGGTTGCATTGAGCTGAGATTAAGCCACTGCACTCCAGCCTGGGTGACAGAGCGAGACTCCATCAAAAAAAAAAAAAAAACAGTTGATCCAAACCATATGGCTACAAATAGCAAGGTAGGAATCTTAACTCTGCCTGATTTTGAGGCTCTAAAACTATTATGCTATATGTAGCTTTATTGGACAAGCAAGGAAATCCCATGTATCTTTCAAGATCCTGTTCAAATGTCTATTGATCTCTTATACCTTTCCTCAGTCAAAATTAATCTCACCCCAATTTCTAGGAATATAGCCTAAGAAAGCAATCAAAGATAAGTTTAAATATTTTGGCTGGGTGCAGTGGCTCACGCCTGTAATCCCAGCACTTCGGGAGGCTGAGGCGGACGGATCACTTGAGGCCAGGAGTTTGAGACCAACCTGACCAAAATGGTGAAACCCCATCTGTACCAAAAATATAAAAATTAGCTGGGCGTGGTGGCAGGCACCTGAATCCCAGCTACTTGGTAGGCTGAGGCTTGAACCTGGGAGGTGGAGGTTGCAGTGAGCTGAGATTACGCCACTGCACTCCAGTCTGGGCGATAGAGTGGGACTCCATCTTAAAAAAAAAAAAAAAAAAAAAAATTCATGTACAAGAACAATTTAACGTTATTTAGGTTTCATTGTTCGTTTTTTTTGGAAACTGAGTCTTGCTCTGTCGCCCAGGCTGGAGTGCAGTGGCGCGATTGTGGCTCATGGCAACTTCCACCTCCCAGGTTCAAGAGATTCTCCTGCCTCAGCCTCTCCAGTAGCTGGGATTACAGGCACACACCACCATACCCAGCTAATTTTTGTACTTTTGATAGACACGGGGTTTCACCACATTGGCCAGGCTGGTCTCAAACTCCTGGCCTCAAGTGATCCGTCCGCCCCAGCCTCCCAAAGTGCTGGGATTACAGGCATGAACCACCATGCCCAGCCAATTTAATGTTATTTAGTATAACAAAGAAAAAAAAGAAATCTAAATGCCCAACAAAAGGTGAATAAGTAAATTATGATATAGCCATACTTTAGGAATAATGTAGAAAGGACCTTAAAGTATATTTTGGGCCAGGCGCGGTGGCTCACACCTGTAATCTCAACACTGAGAGGCCGAGACAGGTGGTCAGGAGTTCAGGACCAGCCTGGCCAAGATGGTGAAACCCCATCTCTACTAAAAATACAAAAAAATTAGCCAGGCGTAGTGGTGGGCACCTGTAATCCCAGCTACTTGGGAGGCTGAGGCAGAGAATTGCTGGAGCCCAGGAAGTGGAGGTTGCAGTGAGCTGAGATTGTGCCACTGCACTCCAACCTGGGTGACAGAGCGAGATTCCACCTCAAAAAAAAAAAAAAAGTATATTTTGTAGGAAATATAGACGTATCTCACACATTAATTCATAAAGACTAGAATGAAACACCAGTAATAAGTGTTTATCTCTAGATAATAGAATTACATGTGATTTTATTTTCTCCATAGTCCTTTGCATTTTCCTATTTTTCTACATGGAGCATGTATCACTTTTTTTAATAAAACAAAAAGCTTATATCTTTAAAAAGTTACTCTCTTCTCGTCTATGCTCCTAAAACATTTTGTACTTTGTTGACAGCCCCTGGCACACGCTGCTCTGTACTCTACCTAGTCAATACGTGTCTGCAGTTTCTTGAGTTCTGCTTGTATCCTTCCCCAGCTCCCAGCACTACACTTTGCACAGAGGAGGTGCTCGATGAACTGCACCAAAGCACTGCTGGGGTGAGAAGATGGTCACAGAAGGCAGAGGCCTCCAGACTCTTAACAGAACCCACCAACAACCATCCCTTGTACGTGAAGGGTCAGGTCAGACCCATAACAGAAAAGGACCTACTTCCTTCTACTACTTTGCTAAGAAACCTTTAGTTTTTTCTAGATATCCTGTTAATTATTAGAATTTTCTGGCCAGGTGCAGTGCAGCAGCTTAGGCTTATAATCGCAGCATTTTGGAAGGCCAAGATGGGAGAATCACTTGAGCCCAGGAGTTCAAGACCAGCCTGGGCAACATAGAAAGATCCCATCTCTATGCCTCAGGGATATCAATAACAAAACATAAAAGAAGAAATACAACATAAAAAAGAATATAACAAATTTTAAAAAGAGAGAGGCTCTGATCTCTATAAAAATAAAAGAAAAAAAGAATTTTCCTTGAGTTGCTTTTGTGTCGTTTGAATTAATTAATTTTATTTATTTATTTATTTATTTATTTATTTATTTATTTTGAGACAGAGTTTTTGCTCTCGTCACCCAGGGTGGAAAGCAATGGCATGATCTCAGCTCACTGGAATCTCTGCCTTCTGGGTTCAAGCAATTCTCCTGCCTCAGCCTCCCAAGTAGCTAGAATTATAGGCACCCACCACCATGCCCGGCTAATTTTTGTATTTTTGGTAGAAACAGGGTTTCACCATGTTGGCCAGGCTGGTCTTGAACTCCTGACCTCAGGTGATCCACCCGCCTCAGCCTCCCAAAGTGCTGGGATTATAGGCGTAAGCCACTGCACCCGGCCGATTTATTTATTTTTAACTTTAATTTTAGGCTCAGGGGTACATATGCAGGTTTGTTATATAGATGAATTACATGTCGTCGGGGTTTGGTGTAAAGATTATTTCATTACCCTGCTAATAAGCAAAGTACCCAAAAGGTAGTTTTTCTATCCTCACCCTCCTCCCATCCTCTAAACTCAAGTAGGCCCTGGTGTCTGTTGTTCATTTAGGGAAAAAAAAAAAAAAGAAGAAAGAGGAGGAGGGGGAAAAGGAGGGAAAACAGTCAACCAGTCTCTCTCTGGTTTTCTCTAAGAATTCATCCAAACTTCCCTCTGGGCATATGAGACTCACAAGACCCCCCAGTTGCCAGGGAGCTGGAGCCCTGCAATAGGAAGGATGAGTCAGGGCCTCCTCACCCCACCAGCTACAGCATACCCAGTTTAACTTCATGTTTTCCCCCTAATCTCTAGCACAGTGCTCAGAACATAGTAAACACCAATGTTTGTTGGATTAACAAGTGAATTTCACACTGCAATACAATTAGAACCTGGACCTAGAGCTTCCACTCTGGTTTTCCCCTTCCTCCCCACCACTCACCCTGTAGAGATTGAAGTAACTCCCATAAGGGTTGGCCTCCTCGTAAAGATCAAGAGGCTCCATGGGCCAGGGAAGTTCCACAGGGAAGGGCCTTTCCGGGGTTTGGGGTAGAACAGTTTAGAAATGTGTGAGCAAGAGGAAGGCTCTGTGAGGCCAACAACAGGCTGGGCTATGTCTAAATAGCCATCCTTGGCTGCACTTTCAGTGATGTCGATCAGCTGGCTCGGGTCCTCTGAGGATGGCAGAAAGTGGTAATGGCAGGGTAAGACAGGCTCGCTTTCACTCCCTGGCTCCCTCCCGCCCTCTCTGCAGAATTTCCGGTTCTACCTGCTCAGCTCCCCCGCCACCCCATCTTCCCAGTGCAAGGGAAGGTCGAGCCTTCCAGCGCAGGACTTACTTCAGGGGCCCAGCACCCACTTCCTGCCAGCCAGCTGCTTCCTCCTGTTCCGCCCCTACATTGTGAAACAAATGACGCAGCCGGACTTTAGACAGAAACCCTGCTTATCAGGGAGTCCAGGCAGATGAACTCTGGGTTCTCAATGCCAGGAAAACCCTAGTGTGTATCCACTCTCACAGTATGTGTTCACTCATACTGCTTTCCACAACCGTCACACAATAGTGAAACCTCATCCTCAATTATGTTGGACGCAAGGTCATCCAGGTCTTTCCTGAATCTCTGAAACAGAAACTGGTTTGAGTTTAGAGATCTCCAGGGTCTCTAGTCAAACCTAACAGATGTGATAAACAAGTCTCATTATTATCACATAAAATGTGCATGGCATTTAAATCTATTTTTGGGTGTGGTGGAAACGTGTGTTGCCCATTTATGTGTCCACAGAACAAGTGCAAATTGAACTCAGCTGACTTGGAGGGGGGTGGGATGTATCCTAACAGCCAAGGCCACAATCCCTAGAAACCAATATGGGCCAGGTGTAGTGACTCATACCTGTCATTCAGCATTTTGAAAGGCCAAGGCAAAAGGATCCCTTAAAGCCAAGAATTCAAGACCAGCCTGTACAACAGATGAGACCCTGTCTGTACTAAAAAAATAAAAAATTAGCCAGGTATGGCTCACCACTCACACTTGCCTATAGCCTCAGCTATTCAGGAGGCTAAGACTGGAGGATTGCTTGAACCCAGGAGGTCAAGGCTGCAGTGAGGCCAGGCACGGTGGCTCATGCCTGTAATCCCAGCACTTTGGGAGGCCAAGGCAGGCGGATCACTTGAAGTCAGGAATTCAAGACCAGCTTGGCCAACATGGTGAAACCCTATCTCTACTAAAAATACAAAAATTAGCCGGGCAGCTCACACCTGTAATCCCAGCACTTTGGGAGGCCAATGGGGGCAGATCACAAGGCCAGGAGATCAAGACCATCCTGGCTAACATGGTGAAATCCCATCTCTACTAAAAATACAAAAAAAAAAAAAAATTAGCAGGGAATGGTGGCGGGTGCCTGTAGTCCCAGCTACTTGGGAGGCTGAGGCAGGAGAATGGCGTGAACCCGGGAGGCAGAGCTTGCAGTGAGCCGAGATCACGCCACTGCACTCCAGCCTGGGTAACAGAGCAAGACTCCATCTCAAAAAAAAAAAATTAAATTAAAAAAATATGTACAAAAGGCTGGGCACAGTGGCTCATGCCTGTAATCCCAGCATTTTGGGAGGCCGAGGCAGGCAGATCACGAGGTCAGCAGATCGAGACCATCCTGGCTAACACGGTGAAACCCCGTCTCTACTAAAAAAAATACAAAAAATCAGCCGGAGTGGTGGCGGGCCCCTGTAGTCCCAGCTACTCGGGAGGCTGAGGCAGGAGAATGGCGTGAACCCGCGAGGCGGAGCTTGCAGTGAGCCGAGATTGCTCCAGTGCACTCCAGCCTGGGTGACAGAGCCAGACTCCATCTCAAAAAAAAAAATATATATATATATATATATACACACACACAAAAATTAGCCAAGAATGGTGGTGCACGCTTGTGTCCCAGCTACTCGGGAGGCTGAGGCAGGAGAATCACTTGAACCTGGGAGGCAGAGTCTGCAGTGAGACAAGATCACGCCACTGGACTCCTCCCTGGGCAACACAGCAAGACTTTGTCTCAAAAAAAAAAAAAAAGGCTGCAGTGAGCTATGATCATGCCATTGTACTCCAGCCTGGGCAACAGAGTGAGACCCTGTTTCAAAAACAACAACAACAACAACAAAACTCCATGATATATATATATAAGCAAGATGTAGAATATATGTAGTATGCCTCTTTTTGTGTCAGAAAGGGGAGAAAAAACAAGTATTATTTATATATACTTGTATCTGTAAAATGAAACACTGAAGAGACATTAGAAACTATTGGGGTTTGGGGTGAACAGGAGCAACATGGGAATGAGATACCCCACCCCTTTGATATCATTTTAATTATAAAACCATGTCAATTAACCTATTCTAATTAAATTTTTTTAAAAAAAATCACAGTAGCTCTATCTTGAATCGGAACTGGGCTGGAGACTCCACAAGACATGATCACAAAGGAACTGAAGAGCAACATGGTGAGGTAAAAGTGGTCTGGAGTGGCCAGGTGCAGGGGTTCACGCCTGTAATCCCAGCACTTTGGAAAGCCTAGGCAAGAGGATTACTTGAAGTCAGGAGTTCGAGACCAGCCTGGCCAACATGGTGAAAACCCGTCTCTACTAAAAATACAAAAAATTAGGGGCCGGGCGCGGTGGCTCACGCCTGTAATCCCAGCACTTTTGGAGGCCGTGGCGGGCAGATCATGAGGTCAGGAGATCAAGACCATCCTGGCTAACACAGTGAAACCTCGTCTCAACTAAAAATAGAAAAAATTAGCCAGGCATGGTGGCGGGCGCCTGTAGTCCCAGCTACTCAGGAGGCTGAGGCAGGAGAATGGCATGAACCCGGGAGGTGGAGTTTGCAGTGAGCCGAGATCGTGCCACTGTACTCCAGCCTGGCGACAGAGAGAGACTCTGTCTCAAAAACAAATAAATAAATAAATAATACAAAAAATTAGCCGGGCGTGGTGGCGCGTGCCTGTAGTCCCAGCTGCTGGGGAGGCTAAGGCAGGAGAATCGCTTGAAGCCGGGAGGTGGAGGTTGCAGTGAGCCAAGATCATGCTACTGCATTCCAGCCTGGGTAACAGAATGAGACTCCGTCTCAAAAAAAAAAAAAGTGATCTGGAGCCAGAAGGCAAAGACTAAAGGACACTGAAATTCCACTGCCACTCGTTTCCTAGTTCCAGGTAGAACTAGGAAGTGCCAGTCACCAGTTTCTAGTTTGGAGGGAACAATTCACTCCTGGGAGTAGAGGGAGAGGAAAGGAGGAGTGACTCACCAGTGTGGGGAAAAGCAAGAGAGATCAGATTGTTACTGTGTCTGTGTAGAAAGAAGTAGACATAGGAGACTCCATTTTGTTCTGTACTAAGAAAAATTCTTCTGCCTTGGGATGCTGTTAATCTATGGCCTTACCCCCAACCCCTTGCTCTCTGAAACATGTGCTGTGTCAAACTCAGGGTTAAATGGATTAAGGGTTGTGCAAGATGTGCTTTGTTAAACAAATGCTTGAAGGCAGCATGCTCCTTAAGAGTCATCACCACTCCCTAATCTCAAGTACCCAGGGACAAAAACACTGCGGAAGGCCGCAGGGACCTCTGCCTAGGAAAGCCAGGTATTGTCCAAGGTTTCTCCCCATGTGATAGTCTGAAATATGGCCTCGTGGGAAGGGAAAGACCTGACTGTCCCCCAGCCCAACACCTGTAAAGGGTCTGTGCTGAGGAGGATTAGTATAAGAGGAAGGCATGCCTCTTGCAGTTGAGACAAGAGAAAGGCATCTGTCTCCTGCCCGTCCCTGGGCAATGGAATGTCTCGGTATAAAACCAAGACATTGTACGTTCCATCTACTGAGATAGGGAAAAACCGCCTTAAGGCTGGAGGTGGGACATGCGGGCAGCAATATTGCTTTGTAAAGCATTGAGATGTTTATGTGTATGCATATCTAAAAGCACAGCACTTGATTCTTTACCTTGTCTATGATGCAAAGACCTTTGTTCACGTGTTTGTCTACTGACCCTCTCCCCACAATTGTCTTGTGACCCTGACACATCCCCCTCTCAGAGAAACACCCACGAATGATCAATAAATACTAAGGGAACTCAGAGGCTGGCGGGATCCTCCATGTGCTGAACGCTGGTTCCCCGGGTCTCCTTATTTCTTTCTCTATAGTTTGTCTCTGTGTCTTTTTCTTTTCCAAGTCTCGTTCCACCTTACGAGAAACACCCACAGGTGTGGAGGGGCAACCCACACCTTCACACCAGTCTACGGTTTTGAGGTATGCCTGCCCCTGAAAGGGCAAAGCTAGAAGGGCTTGAGTCAGAAACATCAATAGTAAACACTGGGACTCAGAGAATGACCCAGAAGCAGGGCAGCAGTTCTGCCCTGCCCACGCGGAACTCTTCAGTGATGATACCACACTCAAGGAAGGGCAGGGGAGCAAATGCCAGCATTCCAACCCAGGTTTCCCTCTCTCCCCTGTGGTTACACTGTAAGTTGACCTATCCACACTCACCTCTACTGTGTCTCTCCCTACCTGGTAGACAGCTGAACCTTTTCTAAGGGACAGGTTCCCTAGGGAAAGGGAGGCTAGTACTCTGGGTCATCAGTTTTACTTTTCCCAAGTCCAGCTCTCCCAGTGTCTACCCTCTGGATCTCTGCCCCACAGGGTCAGGGTTTCCCCTCCATTAGGTTCCCCAAGCTGGGGCCAGGCCTTTGCCTGACTTGTCAGTCCTATCTTGCCTTTTCTACTTCCTCCCTGACAGCAGAGCCCACAATGAAGAACAGGGAGAACATATGGGCAACCTATCCACGCCTCTCAGGGACAGTGGACAAGCTAGACACCCAAGAAAAAGCTCCTGCTTTTTGATTTCTGACTCTAGCCATTTGGGATCTCCCTGCTTCCTTTTTTACCTACTCAGCTAGGGACAGCATTCTGGCATTCTTCCATCCTCACAAAATCCACAGGGGATAACAGCTGCCCAAAAATAATCCCTTCATGTATATGTAATGTAACTATTATGCTGGTTGATCCTCCTGACAAAGGTGGGACAAGTATTACTGCTATTTTACAGATGAAAAGACTGAGCTACTGCCTAAGATCACAAACAAGGCAGAGAGAAAGCCAAGCTAGAATGCAGGTATGGTGGCCCAGCTCCCATTTCCATCCTCATTTGCACTAACCAAATCACTCCCCTCCCCCAACCCAACCCCAGATCTAGCCTGATTTAAAAGTTACAAGGTCAGTTCCTCCATCCCCTGGACAAGTCACTTCCCAGGACCCACTGTCCTAACAGGCTAATGCGACATCATCTCAGGTTCCCTCTGCACTACTGTGGCTTGGTTCCCTGAAGACACCTCCAAGCTCAAAATGGTGTTATCATGACCTTCCAGTGCCAGTATATGATTATTTTAGGATTATCATAAATAATATAGGAAATTAGAGGGAGAAAAAAGAAAGGAAGCAGTGGCAAAGGATAGGGAGTAAGCAGCTCCAGGAAGCTTTTAAGCCTGACAAATACTGTCACAGACAAACACTGTTACAAATACAGTCACTCACACAGAAGAAACTTCTGGGCTTAGGGGAAAAATACTGGCACAGTACAAAGGTTGGAAAAACCTTTAGTACCAGAACCACATAACCAAAAATTGACTATGGGTGTCACTAGCAGTTCTAAAATACAGGCAGAAGTAAAATAGGCAAGGGGTAGGGAAAAAAGGGAAATTAAAGAAAAGGGAACTCAAAGAGTAGAAAAAAAGGAAGACATGGCCAGCCGCGGTGGCTCACACCTGTAATCCCAGCACGTTGGGAGGCCGAGGCGGGTGGATCACCTGAGAGCAGGAATTCAAGACCAGCCCGACCAACATGGTGAAACCCCATCTCTACTAAAAACAAAAAATTAGCCGGGCGTGATGGTGCATGCCTGTAATTCCAGCTACTCGGGAGGCTGAGGCAGGAGAATCGCTTAAACCCGGAAGGCGGAGGTTGCGGTGGGCCAAGATGGCACCATTGCACTCGAGCCTGGGCAACAAGCGAAACTCTAACTCAAAAAAAAAAAAAAAAAAAGAGGGAGACATGAATGAAGAAGCTAGTGGGAAAGTAAGTTTAAAGGTAAGTAAGACAGTAGATTCTGAAGCAGTATCCCAAACAGTTCTTGTGCTATAGGGTGCCTGAGATGCTGGATCAAAGAATGGAAAAAGGAAAAGCAAGTCAAGAGGGTTTGGTTCCATTCCCAGGTTCCACCCCTAACTCTATTGTCATTGAAGTCATTTCCCCTTTTGGACTTGTTTCCTTATCAGTAAAATAGAAAGAGGATGATATATGCCTCTGGTCCAATCTCTCCCAAGGGTTTATGTTGTGATAAGGTAGAAATGAGCAGTCAATCCATCTAAGGGCAGGGAATCTACATACACCAAACTGATTGTAATCATTCATTTAACACTTTCTAAAACAAGAACCTTGGGGGTGGGGGGAGACTCATGTAGAACACATACTGACACAACTACTCACACAACGACACGCACACTCAAGAATCAGATAAACACACAGGTACTGCCACAGGTTGACTAACGCACAAACCAACCGACTAAACGCTCAGCCCCACACAAACACATCTAGAGACAGAGGCATGCCCTAGCAAGTGAGCCTCATTGTTCCTCAGGAAAGGGAGTTTACAAAGGAAACAAAAACTCTCATACACAGCCAGAGGGAGGGCAGAGCTCTGGCTCTGATGAGAATCCAGCCAACCAACAGATACACTCTCCCCCTGGGAAGAGTCACTCAATCAACAACACGTATTAAGGACTCCTGAGGTAGTTATTCCATAAAGGAACTTCGCTGGAACCTCTGCTGCGCTTAGAGAAATTTCAGGTTTCTATTGCATTTCCTCTTTAGACTGTGCACCCAGACATTTTCCCAGAGCAACCGCCGCAATTCAAAGATTCAGAAGAGCCAGAGACTCCTTCAGCAAAAGCTAGGGGAAGAGACTTCCACCCCAGACCACCTCCATTTGATTTTCTTCGAAGACCGTTAAAGGAGCCAAGGCTCCCGGCTGCGCAGCGGGGTTCGTGGATGCTGGGTGGCCGTTGG
Organism: Homo sapiens; assembly: GCF_000001405.40. Taxonomy (NCBI): domain Eukaryota; kingdom Metazoa; phylum Chordata; class Mammalia; order Primates; family Hominidae; genus Homo; species Homo sapiens. The sequence goes on from NC_000001.11 coordinate 161,020,636, forward strand.
AGGGGCAGGCTGGCCCTTCCCAGGTGCGTGTGGAGCGCGCGCTGGGTAGATGAGTGTGGAAGGGTCCTTGGCCCGACGGCCCTCTCCAGTGAGGACGAGGAGTGTACCTCTGGTGTGTGCAGATGGGTCAGCTCCCTCCTGGTGGCCGTGAGGGGTGCGGTCACAACTCACCAGTGTGGGGGAGGGGAGCCAGCCACTCACCCAGCTGTGAGAGTGGTGAAAGAGGGACCAGCCAGGGGTGGAAAAGATAATTCGCAGAACGATATAGGAAGGTTTCTGAGCTCCTCCCCTCCCGCGGGCTAGGGGCGTGGGGAGAGCCTTCCTCCAACCTCTGACCCGACCAACCGATTCCTCCCGAAACTCTGGGAACTTACACAACAGGATCGCCAATATGAAGAGGCACAACAGTTTCCTCTCGACTTGCGCCTTTGTCCCCATCGCGATCAGGCTCCCGACACAACAGCCGCCGAAGGACTCCTGGGAACAGACACAGCTCCGCGACTACAGCGAGGGGACTGAGAGCCAGCCGCCAGGTGGAACCCCGCCCGGCCCCGCCCTCCGCGCCTGATTGGCCAGCTCCCCACCCCTGCACGTTCCGATTGGTGTAAGGAACCGCTGCTCTTCAGAACGAGTCACCTCGGCCAGGTGTTACCCCGCCGCCACTCCCCGCCTCGGCGCACTGGCGCCTTTCCCCACAGGAGCTGCCTCAGATTGGCCCAGGAGACTGTCGCGTCAGGAGACGAATTCCGCACCTTCAGCAGGTGACGGCCCCCTGATTGGTTGGTGTTCCCGAAGTAGCGACTTCCTGACTGGCTGGGTTCTCAGTTGGAGCTAGAGGGCTGAGAAGTACCTCTAAGGAGGAAGTAGGAAAGGCAGTCGTGGTGTGGGATTTACGGAGACCGGCTTGGCTTGGGGTTTTGTGTTTGTTTGAATGTAAGTTGCTTGGTGCAACTGCACCTGCAGTTTGGTCCTGCAGAAACTTTGGTCCTGCCTCTTGGCAAGTAAAAAACAAATATTAATATGGGAGGGTAGGGGAGAAGACCCGGAGAGAAATGGAATGTTACTTTGGCACCACCTCCAAACTGTTCCTCTGTCCACCCCACCGGCTTTGAGAGATGAGCTACGCTGGGAGGAAGAAAGGGGAAAAAAAAGGGAAAGGGAGCACTCAACTGGAAAATGGGAGCCTGGGCAGTATAGTCCCAGCTACTTGGGAGGCTGAGGTGGGAGGATGGCTTGAGCCCGGAGGCGGAGGTTGCAGTGAGCCTAGATCGCGCCACTGAACTACAGCCTGGGCGACAGAGCCAGACCCTGTCTCAAAAAACAAACAACAACAACAAAAATTTAAAAACCCACAACAACACAACTTGGGAAGAGCAGAATTACGTTATCTCAAGAAGAAAGTTAAACAGATGTACACAAAACACACCCAGATGATACAAACTGAGCTGAACATGCTCTAGAAACATCTCTGGGTGACTGGATATGTCCTTTACACATATTTGATCTGTGAACAGGTCCCTACATTTCAGAATTGTTTGTTTTCTCACTGTGACTAATAGTTGTGTGCTGACTAAGCCACCTTTTTTCTATAGACAATGTTGATACTCAAACTTTCTGTTAATATTTATATTGCTACATCATTTTTAATTGAAATTCATGCTCAACACCTTTGCTAGTTGTAGTTTCTATTTTACGATGATTTAATTTTAACTGTACTAAGCATATGCAGACTGTGGGGAAAAAACTTCCTTAGCATTACCTCATTGCAAGGGAAAAGACCACATTTTTATCCAAAAGAATGATATTGTTTGACATTTTGCCTTTTTCACCTTTGCTCTCATTCCTTTGTCCCCATCTCTTTGGCCAAAGTTCTGCTTCTGGTTCCATTCAATTTAAACCACCTACTGGGTGCTTAATAGTCTTGGCCGGGTGCGTGGCACACGCCTATAATCCCAGCACTTTGGGAGGCCGAGGTGGGTGGATCACCTGAGGTCAGTCTGACTAACGTGGTGAAACCCTGTCTCTACTAAATACAAAAAAAATTAGCCGGGCGTGGTGGCACATGCCTGTAATCTGAGCTACTTGGGAGGCTGAGACAGGAAAATCGCTTGTACCTGGGAGGAGGAGGTTGCAGTGAGCTGAAATCGCGCCATTGCACTCCAGCCTGCTGGGCATCAAGAGCGAAACTCCGTCTCAAAAAAAAAAGAAAAGAAAAGAAAGAAATTTAAAGTCTTGGAGAAAGGTATATACACTGACAGCTGGGCTCTGTGACGTGTGCCTGTAATCCCAGCTACTCAGGAGGCTGAGGCAGGAGGGGAGGATCACTTAAGGCCAGGAGTTTGAAACCAACCAGGGCAACATAGGGAAAAGACTCTGTGTCTAAGAAATTTTATTTATTTATTTATTTTTGAGACGGAGTCTTGCTCTGTCGCCCAGGCTGTAGTGCAGTGGCGCGATCTCTGCTCACTGCAAGCTCCGCCTCCCGGGTTCACGCCATTCTCCTGCCTCAGCCTCCGGAGTAGCTGGGACTACAGGCGCCCGCCACCATGCCTGGCTAATTTTTTTTTGTATTTTTAGTAAGACGGGATTTCACCGTGTTAGCCAGGATGGTCTCAATCTCCTGACCTTGTGATCCGCCCGCCTCGGCCTCCCAAAGTGCTGGGATTACAGGCGTGAGCCACCGCGCCCAGCCTATTTATTTATTTTTATTTTTATTTATTTATTTGTTTTTTGAGACGGAGTTTCACTCTTGTTGCCCAGGCTGGAGTGCAATGGCGCGATCTCGGCTCACCGCAACCTCCGCCTCCCGAGTTCAAGCGATTCTCCTGCCTCAGCCTCCCTAGTAGCTGGGATTACAGGCATGTGCCACCACGCCTGCTAATTTTGTATTTTTAGTAGAGACGGGGTTTCTCCATATTGGTCAGGCTGGTCTCAAACTCCCGACCTCAGGTGATCCGCCCACCTCGGCCTCCCAAAGTGCTGGGGTTACAGGCATGAGCCACCGTGCCCGGCCTTTATTTATTTATTTTATTTTTGAAACAGGGTCTTGCTCTGTTGCCCAGGCTAGAGTGCAGTGGTGCAATCATGGCTCACTGCAACCTCCACCTCCTGGGCTCAAGCAATCCTCCCACCTCAGTCTCCTGAGTAGATGGGACCACAGGCGTTGCCACATCCTGCTAATTTTTTCTTTCTTTCTTTCTTTTCCTTCCTTCCTTTCTTCCTTCCTTCCTCTCTCTCTCTCTTTTCTTTGTTTTTGTTGTTTTGTTCTGTATACACGATGTCTTGCTATGTAGCCCAGGCTAGTCTTGAACTCCTGAGCTCAAGTGATCCTCCCACCTCAGCCTTCCAAAGTGCTGGGATTATAGGCGTGAACCACCATGCCCCGCCAGAAAATTAAATTTAAAATTTTTTTTAATAAAAAATTAGCTGGGTATGGTGGTGTAACCTGTAATCCTGTACTCCGGAGGCTGAGACAAGAGAATCACTTGTGCCCAGGAATTCGAACCTGCAGTAAGCTATGATTGCACCACTGCACTCCTGCCTGGGCAAAGGAACAAGAAAGATCCTGCCTCTTAAAAATATAAAAATAAATAAAAATAAATTTAAAAAGCATGCATTCACAAATATAATAATAGCCATGTTACACTATTGAGTTATATTCAATTTACAGCATACTAAAATGGGTAAGCCCTTTATTTTCACTTGAACTACTGTTAAATTGGGTCTCCCACATCCTATACTTATGCATTTTTTTTTTCAGATGGAGTATTGCTCTTGTTGCCCAGGCTGGAGTGCAATGGCGCGATCTTGGCTCACTGCAACCTCCGCCTCCCAGGTTCAACCGATTCTCTTGCCTCAGCCTCCCAAGTAGCTGGGATTATAGGCCACCACGCCTGGCTAATTTTGTATTTTTAGTACGCGGGGTTTTTCCATGTTGGTCAGGCTGGTCTCGAACTCCCGACCTCAGGTGATCCGCCCAACTCGGCCTCCCAAAGTGTTGGGATTACAGGTGTAAGCCACTGCGCCCAGCCGCATTTCTTTCTTAACCAAAGTACATTTTGCATTGATCTCTATTCAATTTTATATTTTCTGTTTTGAAAATATTAATAATGGACAAGTATACATGAAATATTGTTAATAACTAAAATGAAAAAAGTAAATACAAACAGTGTGCACCTCAGTTATTACTATATAAAACATCTGCATATACAGTTACAAAGCATGAAGGTATTTTAGAGCATGCAAGTAATTTGATGTTCATCAGATTCTTTTTCCCATAAAGTTGCTTAAATGTATAATAAATGTTAAAATTTCATTGTCATTGACATTTGTTTTCCATAGTCCTTCAAAACAGATTTGTAAACTACAGACTGATTAGTTTGTCTGTAAAGTAGAAAATTATGGAAGGAATTATTCAACAGCCCCACGCACACACAAAAAAATAGACTGTGACTATAGACAGTTCAATTGAAATTCTGCAGAGAAGGCCAGCAGAGAAAAGGAGCAACAGCTGTAAGGGATGTTGAATAAACGCAGAGTAGGTATTTTGTTTAGATGGAAATACTTGTGTGCTAATAGCAATGATCCAGTAAAGAGCAAGAAATTAATCGTGTGGAAAAGAGAGGCCAGGCACAGTGGCTCATGCCTACAATCCCAGCACTTTGGGAGGCCAAGGCAGGAGTATTGCTTGAGCCCAGGAGTTCCAGACCGGCCTGGGGAACAGAGAGAGACAAAAAATAAAAAATAAAAAAAAATTAAAAAATTAGCCGGGCATGGCAGTGCCTGTGGTTCCAGCTACTCCAGAGGTTGAGGTGGGAGGATCCTTTGAGCCTGGGAGGTGGAGGCTGCAGTGAGCCATGCTCATGCCACTGCATTCCAGCCTGGGTGACAAAGCAAGACCTTCTCTCAAAAAGGGGGTGGGGGAAGAACAGTTATGGTATCAAGTAATAGAGGAGAGAAGAGATGGCATCCTGAGCTCAAGTTGAGGGTTAAAAGAAAGCAGAGAAAACTAGCCACCACAACGAGAGAAGCATGTGGTACAGCTTGTAGATTTGTTGGTGAGAAGATAATGGCAATTTCTTTGATTTCTTCAGAGGTAAACTCATTAGCTTAGAGTGCAGAGGAAAAAGGAAGTTTAGGAAATCTAGAGAGTAGGGAGAAGTGGAGACTGAAAAGGTACACACTAGTGACTGGGCTCAGTGGCTCACACCTATAATCCCAGCATTTTGGGAGGCCAGGCCAGGCGGATCACTTGAATTCAAGACCGGCCTGACCAACAAGGCAAAACCCTGTCTCTACTAAAAATATAAAAATTAGCTGGGCGTGGTAGCTCACGCCTGTAATCTCAGCTACTCGGGAGGCTGAGGCACAAGAATCACTTGAACCCAGGAGACAGAGGTTACAGTAAGCAGAGATAGCACCACTACACTCCAGCCTGGGTTACAGAGTGACACTCTGTCTCATAAAAAAAGGATACACACTAGAGAAGGGTGTTAGAAGCTGGGCGTGGTGGCTCACATCTGTAATCCCAGCACTTTGGGAGGCCAAGGCAGGTGAATCACGTCAGGAGTTCGAGACCAGCCTGGCCAATATGGTAAAACCCCCGTCTCTACTAAAAATACAAAAATTAGCCAGTCGTAGTGGCGGGCGCCCGTAGTCCCAGCTACTTGGGAGGCTGAGACAGAAGAATCACTTGAACCCAGGAGGCGGAGGTTGCAGTGAGCCAAGATCGTGCCACTGCACTCCAGCCTGGGTGACAGAGGGAGACTCCGTCTCAAAAAAAAAAAAACAGAAAAAAAAAAATTGCATATCTCTTATTACAAGTGACCTGAGCATCTCCCTGGATTAAGAGCCAGTTGTGTCTGGGTGCAGTGGCTCACGACTATAATCCCAGCACTTTGGGAGGCCGAGGCAGATGGATCACCTGAGGTCAGGAGTTCAAGACCAGCCTGGCCAACATATAGTAAAACCCTGTCTCTACTAAAAATACAAAAATTAGCTGGGCATGATGGTGCATGCCTGTAGTCCCAGCTACTTGAGAAGCTGAGGCAGGAGAATCACTTGAACCCGGGAGGTGGAGGTTGCAGTGAGCCGAGATCATGCCACTGCACTCCAGCCTGGGTGACAGAGCAAGACTGTCTCTCCAAAAAAAAAAAAAAAAAGAGCCAGTGGTATTCTGTGAATTGTCCCTTCATATGCTTTGCTCATTTTTTAATTAGGATAGTTGTTTTTTCTGATCCATTTGTACATGTTCTTTATATATCCAAGGAATTAGCTATTTGCATATGCTCTGAATTGATTTCCCCAGTTTGCTGTTTCTCTTTTGGCTTGACTTCTGCAGATGTGTTTGTTTCCCATGCAGAAGGCTTTGGCTTGTTTGTTTTGTTCTTTATCAGCCTTTTATGGCTTCTAAATTTTGAGTCATAGTTAGAAATATTTTCACCACTTTAAGGTAATGAAAGAGTTTGTACTAGTTTGTTCTCATGCTGCTAATAAAGACATACGTGAGACTGAGTAATTTATAAAGGAAAGAGGTTTAATTGACTCACAGTTCCACATGGCTGGGGATGTCTCACAATCATGGCAGAAGGCAAATGAGGAGCAAAGTCATGTCTTACATGGCAGCAGGCAAGAGAGCTTGTGTAGGGGAACTCCCCTTTATAAAACCATCAGTTCTTGTAAGATGTATTCACTATCATGAGAATAGCATAGGAAAGACCTGTCCCCATGATTCAATTATCTCCCACCGGGTCCATCCTACAACATGTGGTAATTATGGGAGCTACAATTCAACATGAGATTTTGGTGGCGACACAGCCAAACCATACCAGAGGTCTTCTTCTTAATAGTTTACATTTTTGCCTTCTCTTTTTTTTTTTTTTTTTTTTAGACGGAGTCTCATTCTGTCACCCAGGCTGGAGTACAGTGGCGCGATCTCTGCTCACTGCAAGCTCCGCCTCCCGGGTTCATGCCATTCTCCTGCCTCAGCCTCCCAAGTAGCTGGGACTACAGGTGCCTGTCACCATGCCTGGCTAATTTTTTTTTTTTTTTTTTTTTTTTGAGACAGAGTCTCACTCTGTCACCCAGGCTGGAGTGCAGTGGTGGGATCTCGGCTCACTGCAACCTCCACCTCCCGGGTTCCAGCAATTCTCCTGCCTCAGGCTCCCAAGTAGCTAGGATTACAGGCGTGCACCACCACGCTTGGCTAATTTTTGTATTTTTAGTATAGATGGGGTTTCACCATGTTGTCCAGGATAGTCTCGATCTCCTGACCTCGTGATCCACCTGCCTCGGCCTCCCAAAGTGCAGGGATTACAGGTGTGAGCCACCACAATCGGCCTTTTTTTTTTTTTTTTTTTTTTGAGATGAAGTTTCATTCTTGTTGCCCAGGCTGGAGTGAAATGGCGCAATCTCGGCCCACCCTTCCACCTCCTGGGTTCAAGCAATTCTCCTGCTTCAACTTCCTGAGTAGACGGGATTATAGGCATGCGCCACCACGCCCAGCTAATTTTGTATTTTTTTAGTAGAGACAAAGTTTCTCCATGTTGGTCAGGCTGGTTTCGAACTCCCGACCTCAGTGATCTGCCCGCCTCATCCTCCCAAAGTGCTGGGATTACAGGCATGAGCCACCATGCCCAGCCGACATTTTTTACTTTCAATCTTTCATCCATTTGAAATTTATCTTAGTATAGCGTATGGGTTACAAAACCCATCTGTATATCCATTCACGTTGTTTTAATTACTAAGAATTTATTTCATTTCATTTCATTCATTTATTTATTTAGAGGCAGGGGTCTCACTATGTTGTCCAGGCTAGCCTCAAACTCCCGGTCCCAAGCAATCCTCCCACCTCAGCCTTCTGAGTAGCTGGGACTAGAGTTATGTACCACCAAGCCCAGCTAATGAATCATATATTCAGGGGAGTCAAATCTTTTGGCTTCCCTGGGCCACACTGGAAGAAGAATTGTCTTGGGCTACACATAAAATACACTAACACTGGCTGAGTGCAGTGGCTCACACCTGTAATCCCAGCATTCTGGGAGGCCAAGGCGGGTGGATTATTTGAGGTCAGGAGTTTGAGACCAGTCTGGCCAAAATGGGGAAACGGTGTCCCTACTAAAAATACAAAAATTAGGTGGGCATTGTGGCAAGTGCCTGGAGTCCCAGCTACTCGAGAGGCTGAAGCAGGAGAATCACTTGAACCCAGGAAGCAGAGGTTGCAGTGAGCCAAGATTGTGCCACTGCACTCCAGACTCACACACACACACACACACACACACACACAAATCTTATAATGTTTTAAGAAAGTTTCTGCCTCTGCCTCTGCCTCTGCCCTTTGCACGGTCCTCATCTCCCCTTTGCACGGTCTCCCTCTGATGCCGAGCCGAGGCTGGACTGTACTGCCGCCATCTCGGCTCACTGCAGCCTCCCTGCCTGATTCTCCTGCCTCAGCCTGCTGAGTGCCTGGGATTGCAGGCGCGCCGCCACACCTGACTGGTTTTCGTATTTTTTGGTGGAGACGGGATTTCGCCGTGTTGGCCGGGCTGGTCTCCAGCTCCTGACCACGAGTGGTCTGCCAGCCTCGGCCTCCCGAGGTGCCGGGATTGCAAACGGAGTCTCGCTCACTCAGTGCTCAATGTTGCCCAGGCTGGAGTGCAGTGGCGTGATCTCGGATCGCTACAACCTCCACCTCCCAGCCGCCTGCCTTGGCCTCCCAAAGTGCCGAGATTGCAGCCTCTGTCCCGCCGCCACCCCGTCTAGGAAGTGAGGAGCGTCTCTGCCTGGCCGCCCTTCGTCTGGGATGTGAAGAGCCCCTCTGCCCGGCCGCCCAGTCTGGGAAGTGAGGAGAGCCTCTTCCCGGCCGTCATCCCGTCTAGGAAGTGAGGAGCGTCTCTGCCTGGCCGCCCATCATCTGGGATGTGGGGAGCGCCTCTGCCCCGCCGCCCCTTCTGAGATGTGAAGAAAGCCTCTGCTCGGCCGCGACCCCGTCTGGGAACTGAGGAGTGTCTCTGCCCCGCCGCCACCCCGTCTGGGAGGTGAGGAGCGTCTCTGACAGGCCGCCCTGAGAAGTGAGGAGCCCCTCTGCCCGGCAGCCGCCCCGTCTGGGAAGTGGGGAGCCCCTCCACCCGGCAGCCGCCCCATCCGGGAGGTGGGGGGCAGCCCCCGCCCGGCCAGCCGCCCCGTCCGGGAGGTGGGGGGCAGCCCCCGCCCGGCCAGCCACCCCGTCCGGGAGGTGGGGGGCGCCTCTGCCCGGCAGCCCCGTCTGGGAAGTGAGGAGCCCCTCTGCCCGGCCGCCACCCCGTCTGGGACGTGTACCCAACAGCTCATTGAGAACGGGCCATGATGACAATGGCGGTTTTGTCGAATAGAAAAGGGGGAAATGTGGGGAAAAGAAAGAGAGATCAGATTGTTACTGTGTCTGTGTAGAAAGCAGTAGACATAGGAGACTCCATTTTGTTCTGCACTAGGAAAAATTCTTCTGCCTTGGGATGCTGTTAATCTATAGCCTTACCCCCAACCCCGTGCTCTCTGAAACATGTGCTGTGTCCACTAAGGGTTAAATGGATTAAGGGTAGTGCAAGATGTGCTTTGTTAAATAGGTGCTTGAAGGCAGCATACGCGTTAAGAGTCATCACCACTCCCTAATCTCAACTACCCAAGGACACAAACACTGCAGAAGGCAGCAGGACCCTCTGCCTAGGAAAACCAGAGACCTTTGTTCACATGTTTATCTGCTGACCTTCCCTCCACTATTGTCCTATGACCCTGCCAAATCCCCCTCTCCGAGAAACACCCAGGAGTGATCAATAAATACTAAATAAATAAATAAAGTTTATGAATTTGTGTTGGGCTGTATTCAAAGCTGTCCTGGGCCATGTGTGGCCCACAGGCCGTGGGTTGGACAAGCTTGATATATATGAATAGCTGGTGGGGCTTGATGCCCCTCATTGATGTTCTTTTTCAAGCTTTTCTGGTTATTCTTGTTTTCAACTAAACATCATGATATATTTACAAAGTTGAGTCTTCCTATCCAAGAACCTTTTAAGTCTTTTCTTTTTTTTTTTTTTTTTTTTTTTTGAGACAGAGTCTCGCTCTGTTGCCCAGGCTGGAATGTAGTGGCACGATCTCAGCTCACTGCAACCTCCACCTCCTGGGTTCAAGCGATTCTCTTGCCTCAGCCTCCCTAGTAGCTAGGATTACAGGCATGCACCACTACGCCTGGCCAATTTTTGTATTTTCAGTAGAGACAGGGTTTCACCATGTTGGCCAGGCTGGTCTTGAACTCCTGACCTCAAGTGATCCACCCACCTCGGCCTCCCAGAGTGCTAGGATTCCAGGCGTGAGCCACCGCACCCAGCCCAGTCTTTTCATTTTTACAAGTCTAATTTTAGGTCTTTTTATTGTATTTTTACCACTTTCTTCATACAGGTCTTGAACTTTCTTAATAAGTATATTCCTAGTTATGCAAAGGAATGATGACAATTACGAATCATGTATAGAATCTAAACTCAATTAGGAGGAAAATATGGGCATGAGGAAAGTTGTAAAAATTTGGTAAGGTCAATTAATTGAAGGATTTGATAGGTTCAAGCATATGATTAGGAATGGAAATGCTAGTAGAATGAGCTGGAAGGATTTCTTATTGGGAAATACCATCAGGCCTCGTTTCTTAGGATTTTCCATTTTCTTGGCTTATCTTCACTTTAAAGTCTCTGGCCATGAGCTCAACATGTATTTTCTTTGAATTTTAAAAATCTGTTTTGCTGTAGTCTATTTCTTGTGTCTAACTGTGCTTAGTGGTTTTTTTTTCCTTTGGTTAATATGAATTTCAGGAGGCATGATCTATTACTTCTCATGTAAATACTAACCAAAATCGAAGTGGTATAGTTGTACTAATAGCAGATAAAATGGATTTGAAGGTAGGAAGCATCCCCAGGGATAAAGAGGGACACAGTGAGAAAGGGATCAATCCAGGAGGGAAGCATAACAATTCTAAATTTGTATACATCAAATAACATAGCCTCCAAAATATATAAAGTAAAACTGAACAGAACTAAAAAGAAAAATGGTCAAATCCAAATCATAGTGAGATATTTAAATACACCTCTGTAAGTAACTGGTAGAACAAGCAGAAAAAAACAATCAGTAGAGAGATAGACTTGGGCCAGGTTCAGTGGCTCATGCCTGTAATCCCAACACCTTGGGAGGCTGTGGTGGGAGGACTGCTTGAGCCCAGGAGTTCAAGACCAGCCTGGGCAACATAGCAGGACCTTGTCTCAAAAAAAAAAACGAGAGAGAGAGAAAGAAAGAAAAAGGGAAGGAAAAGGAAGGGGAGGGGAGGGGAGGGAAGGGAGAAGGAAGGCCAAAAAAAAAAGAGATAGATTTGAACAACATAATTTAGTAAATTGGACCTAACCGACATATATAGAACACTGCACCCAAAAGCTGCAGAATACACCTTCTTTTCAAGTGTTCAGTGACCATTTACAAAAACTGGCCATAAAGCAAATCTCAACACTTTTTAAATGATTCATATCATACAGTATATATTTTCCTACTGAGTACCTCTCATATGCCAGGTTATAGTTTTACTGTTGGCCATACAATAATAAAATAAAGTCCCTCCTCTTAGAGAGCTCAGGCTATTTTGCTCCCCCTCACCCCCACCCACTTCAATAAGCTGGTCTAGAAAGCTCAGTCTAAAGTGGGAAGAACCATGCAATGTGATAAGTGCTACAATAGAGGTACATACTTTATCCATTTTTCCCATGTCTTATGTCCTTCATGGAATTCAGCTATATAATTTTATCTGGTTATTTTTCTCCCCTCTCCTTCAGTTTAAAAGCCATCTTGATGAAAACAACAAGTCTCATGCCAAAAAAATTCTGCTAATTCTTGTGAAATTCAGAGTGGTACAAAGGAGACTGGAAACTTCCCAAACAGGGAAAATGGCAAGTAAAGGCCAGGGTCAGGAAGGAGTAGGGCCTACTTAGGACACGAAGAAAACCAGCTTGTGGGGAGCAGCCACTGGAAGATAAATTTGGAAAGGCAAGGTGACACCAGATCTAGACTACAGATTGCTCAAAAGGCCAGGCTGAGACAAGTGCTTGAGCCACTAGACAACAAGGACCTATTATAAATTATCAATTCTGACTAAGATAAAAATGTTATTTTAAGATCAGGCAGGCAGTGATTCTTCAGAAAGGCTGAAATTAGAAGATTCTGAAGGTCGGAAGGCTAGTGAGGCTCAGCAGACACCTACTGAGAAGTCATGTTTGAGGCACTGGAGGTAAGAAAGTGAAAGCCAGTCCCTCCCTTTGAGAAACTCACAATCAATTAGGAGAGACAAACAAATGAACAAGAAAAATGTGGTGTAATAGAAATGATGACACACATTTGTGGTAAATATAAACGTGGGAGAGATACAGGATGAAAGGGCAGAGTTTAATTTAGTATGAAAAGGAAGGTGTAAGGCAAGAGAAGTGCATATAGCTGGTAAACTCCAAGACTTCAACCTCACCTGCTGAAATAGTTGTGAGGAAAGGGAAAGAGAATTTTAAAAGGCAAGATAATGGCTTGGAACAGCCTATCGGGGTTATGAACCAAACAGCTAATGAAGGAGAAAGAGGAATGTTCTCTTAATGTTGATCAAGCCAGAGGGCATGGTTATGTAATGAGCCAGGTCCGTTTACTTCCAGGATTCTCTCTAAACCTCATCAGTTATAAAACTGAAGAAAGCAGCTGGGCGTGGTGGCTCACACCTGTAATCCCAGCACTTTGGGAGGCAGGTGGATCACAAGGTCAGGAGTTCGAGACCAGCCTGGCCAATATGGTGAAACCCCATCTCTACTAAAAATACAAAAATTAGCTGGGCGTGGTGGTGGGCGCCTGTAGTCCCAGGTACTTGGGAGGCTGAGGCAGGAGAATAACTTGAACCCGGGAGGTGGAGCTTACAGTGAGCCAAGATTGCACCACTGCACTCCAGCCTGGGTGACAGAGCCAGACTCCATCTCAAAAAAACACCTGAAGAAAGCAAATGGCTACTTTTTTTTTTTTTTTTTTTTTTTTTTTTTTGAGACAGGGTCTCACTCTGTCACACAAACTGGAGTGCAGTGCATAATCATGGCTCACTGCAGTCTCAACCTCCTGGTCTCAAGCAATCCTCCTGCCTCAGCCTCCTAAGTAGCTGGGACTACAGGCGTGCACCACCATACCCAGCTAATTTTTTGCAGAGATGAGGTCACACTATGTTGCCCAGGCTGGTCTTGAACTATTTGCCTCAGGCAATCCTCTTGCATCAGCCTCCCAAAGTGCTGGTATTATAGGCGTGAGTCACCACACCTGGCTAAAAACTACTTTATGGTGATAAAAGATAAAGCGGTTACCTAGAAAGGGGGTAGGGTGGGATTGACTAGAAAAGGCCACCTAGAGATATTCTGGGGATTTCCATGTTCAAGATTGTGTTTAGGATGGTGGTTACAAGTGAGTATATTCAAAATTCAGTGAATTGAATGCTTAAGAATTGTGCATTTTGGCCAGGCACGGTGGCTCACGCCTGTAATCCCAGCACTTTGGGAGGCCAAGGTGGGCGGATCACCTGAGGTCGGGAGTTCGAGACCAGCCTGACCAACATGGAGAAAACCCGTCTCTATTAAAAATACAAAATTAGCTGGGCGTGGTGACGCATGCCTATAATCCCAGCTACTCAGGAGGCTGAGGCAGGAGAATCACTTGAACCCAGGAGGCGGAGGTTGTGGTGAGCCAAGATCGCACCCTTGCACTCCAGCCTGGGCAACAAGAGTGAAACTCTGTCTCATAAATAAATAAATAAATAAATAAATAAATAAATAAATAAATAAAATAAAGACTATTCTAGTCGAGTGCGGTGGCTCACGCCTGTAATCCCAGCACTTTGAGAGGCTGAGGTGGGCGGATTACCTGAGGGTGGGAGTTTGAGACTGGGCGGATTACCTGAGGGTGGGAGTTTGAGACGAGCCTGACCAACATGGAGAAATCCCATCTCTACTAAAAATACAAAATTAGCCAGGCATGGTGGCACATGTCTGTAATCCCAGCTACTCGGGAGGCTGAGGCAGGACAATCACTTGAACCCCGGAGGCAGAGGTTGCAGTGAGCTGAGATCGCCCCATTGCACTCCAGCCTGGGCAACAAGAGCGAAACTGTGTCTCAAAAACAAAAAAGACTATTCCAACTGGCCCACTATCCTCAATGGATACCTCAATGGCGAGTTTGTGGGGGGCTGTGACATTCTTATGCATATGTACTAGAATGGGTACCTGGTGAAAGAACTGAAAAAGCTGGGGCTCTGTTCTGCCCTTTTAGATTAAAAGAAAGACCAAGACTCCAAGTGAGGGCGCCTGGGCCTCAATGAACAGAGAGGGGGCCGTTCATGTCAGAGACTCCCTGCCAGAAAAGCCTTTCCAATTTTGGTTTTCATTACTGAGACAACAACTGCTTGCACTGATCATTTCAGTTCATGAGCAGTCTAGTGATTTTAGTTTGTCTGGTGTTTGGGTTAAGAATATTTTATTGTGAACTTAATTACAACCACTGCACTGTAATAATTAATGCTATATTATGATATTGTTGCAAACAAAATTCATTCTTATATTGTCATTTATTCTTTGCCCAATTCAGGAGTTAAAGTAGGGGCTTTGAAATCATTATTATTCATGACCCCTCTTGCAGACTGTGTCAGTCTGCAAGGACAGTATCTTCCTCCAAATTTTGTGTAGCTTCTTTTGTTATGGAAAATGGACTAAAAAGAAACTGTGATAACTGGGGCGTTGTTTTTTTAAAATAAACTGCCAACCACAGGGTAAAAAAAGAAAATGGTGCATTTTTTTTTTTTTTTTTGAGACAGAGTCTCGCTCTGTCGCCCAGGCTGGAGTACAGTCTCGTGACCTCGGCTCACTGCAACCTCTGCCTCCTGGGTTCAAGCAATTCTCATGCCTATGCCTCAGCCACCAGAGTAGCTGGGACTACAAGCGAGCACCACCAGGCCTAGCTAATTTTTGTATTTTTAGTAGAGACAGGGTTTCACCATGTTGACCAGGCTGATCTTGAACTCCTGGCCTCAAGAGATCCGCCCGCCTCGGCTTCCCAAAGTGCTAGGATTACAGGCATGAACCACCATACTGGGCCAAGAATTGTGCGTTTTATTGTTAAGTAAATTATGCCAATAATAATAATAAAATGCTATAACCAAATTATAATAAAGACCTGTGGAGGGGAAAACTCGTCTCTACTAAAAACACAAAATTAGCTGGGTATGGTGGCGCATATCTGTAATCCCAGCTACTCGGGAGGCTGAGGCAGGAGAATTGCTTGAACCCGGGAGGCAGAGGCTGCGGTGAGCTGAGATCACGCCATTGCACTCCAGCCTGGGCAACAAGAGCAAAACTCCGTCTCAAAAATAAATAAATGAATGAATGAATGTAGGAGGGCTGGGTATAGTAGAGAAGGCAGAAGGGAAGAAAAGGAGGTGAGAGACAGGCAAGGAATGCAGGAAATGCCTGAAAGAAGTTCTTCAGAGGCATGAAAAATCAGAAAACTGGATTCATTTCTGACTCAATCTTCTCTTCCACAGATTAAGGAATACATTTTCCAAAAATCAAACTTAAGAAGTAAAAACTCTGCCATGAAAATATTTAAAATGTATTATGCATCAAACTATACACTATACTAGAGGGAAGTCATATACCTACTGTGTAGTGCTGAATTTTGTTTCAGTAAGCATGTGTAATTTCATCTTTTTAACCAATTAAATTTTGGTTTTTTTGAGACTGAGTCTCTCTCTGTCACCCAGGCTGGAGTGCAGTGGCACTATCTCAGCTCACTGCAATATCTGCCTCCTGGGTTCAGGCAATTTTCCTGCCTCAGCCTCCCAAGTAGCTGGGACTACAGGTGTGCACCACCACACCTGGCTAATTTTTTTATTTTTGGTAGACATGGGGTTTCACCATGCTGGGCAGGCTGGTCTCAAACTCCTGACCTCAGGTGATCCGCTGCCTTGGCCTCCTAAAGTGCTGGGATTACAGGCATGAGCCACCGTGCCTGGCCAACCAATTAAATTTGTTAAATCCAGTATAAGAGATCAGTGTTGATAAAAACAGAAACCTGAGGCCGGGCGCAGTGGCTCACGCCTGTAATCCCAGCACTTTGGGAGGCCGAGGTGGGCGGATCATGAGGTCAGGAGATCGAGACCATCCTGGCTAACACGGTGAAACCCCGTCTCTACTAAAAAAAAATACAAAAAATTAGCTGGGCGTGGTGGCGGGCACCTGTAGTCCCAGCTACTCAGGAGCCTGAGGCAGGAGAATGGCGTGAACCCGGGAGACTGAGCTTGCAGTGAGCCGAGATCGTGCCACTGCACTCCAGCCTGGGTGACAGAGCAAGACTCTGTCTCAAAAAAAAAAAAAAAACGAAACCTGGTTTTGGTGGCACAGGAAAGGCTCCTCACACCTGTAATCTGTGCATGACACATCAGTAGGGATGAAGGGTTCCATCCATTCCCTCACCCAAAGGCCTGGGATTGCCCTTTCACCTCCTCAATCCATGGACAAAGCAGCCATAGACAATAACCAAAGTTCACAGCAGCACAGCCAGTTGGGGCCATAGTTTGCTGACCTCTGGTCTACAGCAGTGGTACCTGCTTCTGGCTGTATATGAGAATCACCCCAGGGGCCCATAAAGCCACTAATGCTCAGGCTCCACCCTCCATATTCTGAATTAAAAAATAAAACAAACAAAAAAACCTACTAGGTGATTCTGATGTGCATTCTGGGCTGAAAACAGCTATTCTAGAAGAACTGTACATTGTAGCCTCTCAGGAAACTGCTAGAATGTTGCATGTGGGGAGTGCTAGGGGGAAGCAGATGAATGCTGCGAAATGATGATCCAGGGCTGAATTGAGGTCTAGATAAAGATTAGAACTGTTTTCAGTCCACCTGACACATTAAGTGCTTCCAATACTTTGATTAAATGTTCTTTATTTGATGCTTTTGTGTGCACAACACTATAAGGAGTTGCCCAATTCACCAAGTCAGCCCGTTCACACCCTTAGTTAAGGTGGCCATTAAGGGGCCAGGGGGTGGCAATCAGTAAGCTGCCTCCTGCCTAACTCTCTTTCTCCAACCATTCTCTATAGGCTCCAGCGTAGTTGCGAGCCCTGTGGAGACAAAGAAGCGTGAGAGACTGACAGGAATGACAGGCAGTCCCCATCACCTCCCAGCTAGCAGCCACACCTCCCCGTACCCAGTGTATCCAAGACTCCGGGCCAGCTGCGTGGCCTGGAGGCCCCGCTTGCCCATCTGACAGAAGAAAACGAGATGCTCATCTTCCAGCTTTGGCTTCTCAGCAGAATATAAAGCCTGGAAGGCAGCTGGCTCCATCTGCAGAGCACTCTCCAACTCGGACACTGGAGGAGTGGAGAGGGTAGAAGGGAAAGCCAGCAATTTGGCACTCAGGTTCGGAAGCTGGGCCTGGAAGGGCTGGGTCCTGGGGGCCCCCAAACAACATATGATAACCATCCCCTACCCCCACCCCAATTTCAAGGAACAGAAACCGACAACTTTTGAATGCAAGCCACTCCCTAAGCTGTGAGGAGGCGGGGCGGGATGCCCCCTCAGGCGTCCAGATTTGGGGAGGTCAAGAGAAGCTGGTCTGCCCCTCTCCTCTCCGCCTGCTGTCTTCTCAAACTGGATGGGCCAGTTCCGATGCCAAGATCCGCCCCCCATCAGTCCTTCCTACGGAAGCTGAGGGCTGGCTCCCGGGAATGCAGGACCCCCATAATCAGTGCCTTCCCCATTCCATCCTAAATGAGGTCCCATTGGCAAAGAACCTCCTGAACGGTCTCTATTCCACCACCTGGGCGTCCCCTCTCCACCCTATACCCGGGATGTTGAGCGCCCCTGGGATGGTCCCAGCTGCCGCCTCCTCGCGAGAGCGCACGTCGAAGAGCCGGGCCCGTCCGGAGGCTAGGAGTGAACGGAGTTCAGGAAGCGAGACCGTGGGCGCTGAGGAAGGGGCGCGACAGCCTTCAGGAAGAGGGGGCCTAGGAGTCACGGCCGCCATGGCATCCCCTCACCTGGCAGCGCCCCTCCCGGTAGGGTGTGCACGAAGACCCCTCAGCCACGCCCCTTCGCTCCGCCACCCCACTCCCTGCCACGCCTCAACCCAGAGGACCAAGAGAACCGCGGCCCCAGGAATCCCCCGCAGGTACCTCCAGCCATGGTGCGCGTAGCAACCGCGAGTCTCCGGAGTGCGGCCCTGGCCCGCCCTCTCGGCGCCTGCAACATCTCCCGTTCCCTCCCAGAGCTGAGACCGGATCCGGAAGCAAGGGCACCGCCTCCCGCGCCGCCCCCGCAGCACCTGTTCGCGGCGCCTCTAGCACCAACCCACCGCAGAAGCCCTTAACATTCTCTAGCTTGGGCCAAAAACGACACACCGGTCTGGCCCAGGAACCAGGACTCCGGGTAATAAATGCAGGAGCAGCACCCCACCCTGAACTTGGCACAGCCCTTACTGGTCGAAGAGCAATGTGCCCCTCCCTTCCAGCCCGTGGCCCACAAAAGGAAGAAAAACAGACAACTGTGGCTTTGAACAATTTTATCTTAAAAAAAAAAAAAAAAAAAAAAAAAAAAGAAAAGAAAAAAAAAAAACGACCCCCACAAGGGGGAAGGCCCCAAGTGGGCCCCTGCCTGTTGTTCTCTCTGGCTCCAGAGATGTCTGCATAGGCCTCAGCTTCTCACTGGCCAATCTCCTCTTCATGGGCACCAGCCACTGCTAAACATCCTTCCCTCACTTCTTGTGTAAGCTTGCTCCCCTGAGCCACAGGTTGCACATCTAAACCTCAGCTCCAGGGAAAGGAAGAACCAATGGAAGTGCCAGAGTCCTGGGGCAAGCCAGAGCATCACCTGTCAGCAAACCTCTGCTGGGCACTCTAAGCAAGCACAGGACAAGCCCCAGAGTTTAGTGTGTCCAGTATCCAGCATGGAGACAGCACATGCATTGTGCGAGAGGAGCACAAGGGCCCAGGGGCTGCATGGTGGGGGTGGGCAAGGCTGTCAGTGCACGTCCACATTGTGTGTTTCACACCACTGCAGGCCGCCATATCACAGGGCCTCAGTTCAAGGACACACCTTCTGAACTTCCCCCTGTCCCATGCCAGAAGTGGGGCAGTGAAGGAAAGGGGCACGGGATTAGGCTGTTGCTCCTGGGCTATCTGCAGTTCTTGGGCCCAAAGCCCCTGAATCCCCATAGTTAGTTGCTGTCATTCTTGATGACGACCTCTAATCCGTGGTGCCGCAACTGAGCTCGAAGCAGCAGATTCTTGTTTTTAAGATCTTCCACCTGACATGGGAAGGAGGCAGTAAAGGGAATGGGTAGTAAAGCTGGCACTTCCAAGCCCCTGAATGTATTCAGACATCCACTGGTGAGGGGGAAAAGATGAAGCCTTCTCCATGGAGAACAAAGTAGAGGGTGTCAAACTGGGTCAGTGGCTAGCAGAACTGAGAAGGGCTGCACTGGGGGTAGGAGTCTGACCTGTTGTCGAAGCACGTCATTGTCCAGCTGCAGTTGGTCAAGTCCCTGCAGTTCTTCAGACAAGCGGTGGTTACTCTGCCGAAGCTCCTGGATATAATCACAAGCTTTGGATAGAATCCCACCTTTACTCTGCAAGATAAGGTCAACAAAATGAGAACTAGGATTTCAGATACCCAGCTTGCTTTCCAAAAGTAGGTTCACACTTTGGACCTCATTTTCATCTAAGGAAGGTGGTATAATATCTCCCAGGGATACAGGAACCTCAGGGAGAGATAAGACTACTGTCATGTGTGCCCCTCTCTCTACCATTTCTGGAAACAATACCAGGAGGCAGAATTCAGGCATCCTGCCCACTACCAGGGTCTTTCCATGACCTGGCCAGACTTGGTGCTCTCCATAGAGCAGTCTGGGATTATCTTGGAGAGCTGCACGATCCAGTTGTTGATCTTGTCTCGGCGGCGACGCTCCACTGTGGGGCAAAGTGGAGGACAAGGTGACTCAGTGAAAACTCGCCACAAGTCCCAGGGTAAAATTACCTAATCCCTCCTCCCCTCAGACATCACTGCTGAGATCACACCAGACAGCTTCTAGCTCCACCCAGATCATACCTACCTTCATTATGCTGAGCCCTGCGTTTCTCATCCCGAGTCGTCCGGGGAGCTTCTGACTTCCTGACAACAGAGCCCAGGGTGGCCAGAGTAAGAAGACAAAATACATGATTGAAGTTTGGGGTTAAGGAATTATACAAGATTTAGCAGGTATTAGGACCACTTATGGTAGCTAGGTGTGGTGTCTCACACCTGTAATCCCAGCACTTTGGGAGGCCGAGGCAGGCGGATCACTTGAGGTCAGGAGTTCGAGACCAGCCTGGCCAACATGGTGAAACCCTGTCTCTACTAAAGATACAAAAATTAGCCAGGGGTGGTGGTACATGTCTGTAGTTCCAGCTACTCAGGAGGCTGAGGCATGAGAAACGCTTGAACCCTGGAAGCAGAGGTTGCAGTGAGCTGAGATCATGCCACTGCACTCCAGCCTGGGTGACAGAGCAAGACTCTGTCTCAAAAAAAAAAAAAAAAAAAAAAAACCACTTACGGAATCTGAGAAGAAACAAGGGTCACTCACGGGGAATAAGGGTGAGTCCTAGGGGCAATTGAGCGCTGGCTTCCTCCCTGCAGTACTTCTTGTGGTGACATCATCACAAAGAATTGACCTGTGAAGATGCAGGGTAGGTTCTGTCAGGACATGGGTAGGAACCTCACCAAGCCCTGAGGTGAAGACCCTGGTCCCCTCCTCTAAAAAGAACATGCTAATAGAAGAGCAGCCCCAGACTCACTGCCTGTCCAGGTCTTAATGATCACTAAGAGTCATGAGTGAAGGCTCACTGCCTACCAGTCATGTCCCACAGCCTATTCTAGCCCTTTCAGCCAGCATCCTCATGCAATATCTCACCAGTGCCAGGAGGGGTCGCCTGCCCCAGCAGTGCCTCTGAGCCCTGGGTAGTAACAACAGCAGCTGTACTCCCCGATGTGGTACCCCCTGCCCCATCTCCCACTGCCGTGCTGGGGAAGTAAGTATAGTGCGTCTCAGCAGCTGTCCCCTCCGTGTCAACTGCATCATCACTGGTGAAAGCACCCTGGATCACCGCCTGGGAAGGGGAGCAAGAAAACTGATTCTGGTAACAGTCAAAAACTTCTTCCCACTACACCACTCTGCAGCTTCTATCCGTTGGGGTGGTAGGTAGGGTGGAGAGAGAGAGAGAGAGAGAGAGAAACATCCAGAAAAGGAGAGCCTAGTGCTTTGGGACAAGGCAGCCTTAGATGCCTCACTGTTCCTAGCTTCACCCCCATCCTACTGATTCCCTTCTTCATCTTACTTCTCAGAACTCTAGTGACCTCCCCAGCCCATACCCTGTACCTGGGTCATGGATTGAGTGGCAGGGTAGCCACTGATGGCGCCAGTTCCCTCAGTTTGGCCATCCAGCTGCCCCTCAGACACCTGGATCACCCTGTACATCACCTAGAAGTGTAGAGGAAGGCAGAGGGAGTGAAGAGAGAAGAAAAGATTAAGTGTTGGGAATCCTAGGGCCCCTCATAAAGCTTCCCTTGGATAGGGCCCCAAAACAAAGTCCTTCAGAGACATGGATTCAGCCATTCTCCCTTCTTTCCCCACACAGAGGTTTCAGCATACATCTAACCTCACACCAGTCTCTACTCCAGTATTAGCACCTCCCTCCCCTGCAACAGTCCACTCTTTCAACTCATCCTCCAAGCCAGGTCTCCCCAAGACATGTTCAATTACCTCCCTCAATCCCAACCCCAGATAACACCTGCAGCCACCTGGCCCCCTCCCTTACCTGGCCCCCATTCTCAGTTCGGAAGACGTACTTGACGTTGGGGTCAGGGAAGGTGGCAGCTGACTGGATGCTGGCAATAGCCACACTGGTTGGGTCTTCCCCAGTAGCCACTGCACCTGAATTAAAAGAACAAAGGAAAAGTCTGTGAGTTAACTGCCTTTCTACCCCCGTTCCATTTGCATGTCACGGAAGGAGGAGGATGCACAGGAGATGGTCTGGTGGGGAAGGAAGGGAGGCCATGATGGGTTCTTAGTCTTGGTTCTGTTTCTAGCACTCACCTTCCTGAATCTGCACTGTCCCCTCTTCCGTTTCAGCTGTTTTCTGCTGCCTGTTTGTGGTGAAAGGACAAAAGGAAGAGTATGAGAAGAAGTCAATGAGAAGCTCACTGGCCCAGTAACATATGGCTGCAAACTCATTGGCATTCCCAACAGAAGCTGGGTTAGGTTAGAATAACAACTAGTGTTTACTGTTTACTATGTACATAAGCACTAAGCTAAGTACATTACATGTAATCTTATTTAGTACTAAAAACAGCACCACGAGATAGATAGCACTACTTCCATTTTATAGATAGAGAAACCAAATCACACAGTAAGTGATAGAGTAGAACCTGAATCCAGGTCTGCCTGACTCCAGAGGCAGTGCTCTTGGTCATTTTGCATTCTTCCAGGCCACCCATCTTTCATCCCAGACCCTACCTCTTCTTCACTCACCCCTTCATCTCTCTGTGAGGGGGCACATCCGAGGAACTGGTCCTTTTTTGGAGGTCTTTGTATCTCCTGATTCACAGGCCTGAGTGCTAAGTCCTGGTAGAAATCATGAAGTTTGCAATGAGTTTAGGAAACAGAACAGTATCTCTGGTTCTAGAACTTAGGTTCCATGAACACATAGCCAGGAAAATAACCCAGTCATCTGCAGGGGACAATCAGCCTCCACCATACTGATGTTGAGGACTGGCCTACAGTGATTGAAAAAGCAAGGCTACAAATAGTGTTCCCCATCCCTCCATTATCACTCCAACTCCTGGTGGAGAGTGGATAATTATACTGGAAGACAGAAACAACACTTTTTTTTTTTTTTTTTTTTTGAGACAGAGTCTCTCTCTGTCACCCAGGCTGGAGTGCAGTGGCGCGATCTCAGCTCACTGCAACCTCTGCCTCCCAGGTTCAAGTGATTCTCCTGCCTCAGCCTCCGGAGTAGCTGGGATTACAGGTGCACACCACCACGCCTGGCTAATTTTTGTATTTTTAGTAGAGACGGGGTTTCACCATGTTGGCCCGGCTGGTCTCGAACTCCTGAGAGCATGATCTGTCCACCTCGGCAGCCTCCCAAAGTGCTGGGATTACAGGTGTGAGCCACTGCACCTGGCCGAAACAACACATTTCTTTCTTTTTTTTTTTTTTTTTTCTGAGACAGAATCTTGCTCTGTCACCCAGGCTGGAGTGCAGTGGCACAATCTCGGCTTACAACCTCCATCTCCTGGGTTCAAGTGATTCTCCTGCCTCAGCCTCCTGAATAGCTGGGATTATAGGTGCCCACCACCACGCCCAGCTAATTTTTGTATTTTCAGTAGAGATGGGGTTTTACCATATTGGCCAGGCTGGTCTGGAACTCCTGACCTCAGGTGATCCGCCTGCCTCGGCCTCCCAAAGTGCTTGGATTACAGGCATGAGCCACCGCACCCAGCCAACAACACATCTCTAAATGGATCATTAAAGCTATTATGACCTGCCATGATGGCAGCTTCATGGGAATCAGGAAGGGCCATGTATTGGCCCCACCATCAAAAAATACAGTGTCATGGACACTGATGCTTCTTCCAGTTTCTCAGCCACATGTTGTCCATCAAGACATTTCTGTTTTCAAACCTAGGAAGAGGAAATCTGAAGCCCACTACCACTGGAAGAATATCCCTGACCACAAAGACTAGACTTGGCATTTGGGCCCCATTCTACTGACAGGACTCTTGTTTTGGGGTATCCAGATTTATATAATCTGTTAGAAACCCTAAAGCCCAAGTGGATCCTCTTCAAGCATTCTCTATTTTATTCATCAAGCCTTCCTGCAGAACAACACTGTTGCTAAAATGTTGCTATGACAACTCCAAATCAACTAAGCCTGAGCAAGAAGGGGTAAAAAAAAAAAAAACAGGGTTCTGAAGAAGAGACAAAGGGGGAAGAATCCACCTACAAGCTCTGCCTTAGGACCCTGACACCCAGCCAGAGGGCAGGAAAAACAAAGAGCTGGGCAGACATGCCTCCAGAAAGAAACAGCTACACAGTACAAAGCAATAAGATAATCCCAACACAAAAGGGGCAAGATTTTTGGAAATTCTCTACCCATAAGGTCCTCCAAACCTTTCCTATCCAAGGAAAATTTTCAATGGATAAGCCTCGGAAAGACCGCGTCCGAGGAAAATGTTGAAAAAGGAACTGAAAGTGAAACCGTACAGACGAAGTAACGCTGCAAGGAGATCCCAGTCGATAAGGGGAAGTAGCACTAGTGTTTTGGGACCACCTACATTTCCATCTTCAAACCTGAAGAGGAAATGCCCTGCGAAGCTTGCCGCGCTGACTGCAGGGGAAGGCAATGAAATAGAGGGCCCGGCACAGGAGGCATCTCTATTGGCCACAGCTGTCAGCCGGGGCAGTCTCTGAGGACACCCAGCAACGGGGTCAGGGTACTTATTCAAATCTTAGTTGGACATCCGGAAGCATTTCCTAGGCATTAGGGATCGGTGACACGGAAACAGGGATGGGACGTTGTGGTGTGCACGCTCAGGCCAGAAGGGCCCAGTAAGAGCCCTTGCTAAGTCTGGACACAAAGGGAAAAAAAATCAACTCCCGAAAGAAGTCAGGCACCTAGACCTTGCCTTAGAATGAGGCGTCTCCCTGCAGGCTCACCAACCAGAAGGCGCTTACGGAGCTGAGCGCCCGCCAGGCGCGAGCCCGGGAGCCTGCGCCGTGACCCCGCAGCCCCGCAGTCTTAGCCCCGCGCCCCAGCTGCTCCGCGGAGGAGGCAGGAAAGGGCCTCGGGGACTAGGGAGCTCAAGCGCCCGGTGCCGGCGGCTGCGGCGCGCAGCTGGACAGCGCAGGAGGGCTGGGACGCTCGCGCTCTGGGGAAGGGAGAGAGTTTGGCCCACAAAGCAGGGTATGAGATAAAGAACCAGCACAGCCCCCTCCCCCAAAACAAAGGCTTCCTCCCCAGCAGTGTTCTCTAACTTGAAAAACGGAAACAAAATCAAAGCTGCCCTGCCTTGCCAGTCCACCCAGTTTCCAGACTTCTGCCCGGTCCTACACTCACCGGCCAAGGCCGTCTCAGCTGCCGATTTTCTCCAACTGTGTTCTCCCTCTCCCGGCCTAGGTATCTCCATAGACAGCTGCTCATGCGCACTTCCAGCCCGCGGCCATGTTGGTGAGGGGCGGAAGTGTCGCTCTCGCCCCGCCCATAAACTCAAACTCAGAACTGCCCCACTTCCGCTCACTCCATCTTGATGAGAGTTGGTGTTTGTGGGTTATTTGTGAAGCCGGAAAGAAGCCGTGTCCTGGAGAATGTAGCTGAAGGCCTGGCCACTTTCGACAAGAACGGGAAAGAGACGACTAACTTGTACTAATATCTTAGTGCTTGGCAGGGCATTTTTTCATTCCAGGAAAGAAGAGAATCCAGCTGAGATCAAGGGAGGGACGTCCGACGGAGGCGCCATCTTTAACAAGGGCTATTTGGGAGGCCATCTTGGCGCAGGGCGTCTTTTTGAAAGGTTACCTGCTAGAGATTACGACCTATCGGGGCATGCATAGAATTGGATATGTTCCTTGTTATTCGCGTCAGCAGTCACTCATCCAAAGACCCCAAAGCTTCTAGTGTTCTAAAGGCTCACACCTTCTGTGACAGGAATCTTGATTCCCATTCTTCTCAATCAAGACCTACCCTGAATGGATTTGGAGTAGTGTGGTATAATGGGAAAAATTCAAGCTTGGGGGCCAGGCAGATCCAGGTTTCAAACCCATCTCTGCCACTTCTTACCTCTGAGACCTTTGGCAAACATTTTGACTTAATTGAGCCTTAGTTTCCTCATCTATAAACTGGAGATACTAGCACCAACCTTCCAGAATTGTGTGGATTAAATAAAATCAAGGACATAGATTTTGTGAGCACAGGATACTTAGTCCAGTTCCTGGCACATAATGAACGCATTATGTAAATATAAGTTTCTCTTCCTTATTTCCTGACCACCATGAACCTAGCTCTAGTTTCTGGCCACTAGTCTCCATGACAACAACTGAGGAAGAGCACCCAAACAAGAAGAAGAAAAAGAATGTTTTGCCAAATATGTGAAGATATAATACCTATCACCAAAGACTTTAATAAGAATAATGAGACTCCACACTATGTGTAAAAATACAGCTTTTATTCTGAGACATTGACCTTCACTAGAGTGGGACCTGTGGCCCCAGCCTGGCTGGAGAAGCAGTCCCAGGGCCTGAGTGACACCATTTCCCTTTCCTGAAATAGGAACAAGTTATTCCAAAGGAGAAAGGAGAGCCCAGAGAGATCTGTACAGGACCTCTCTTGCACATGGTGACTGGAGGCAGAGGGTGGGGAGCTGGAGAGGAGTCCAGTCCCTCCAACAAATATTGAGGGCTTCAAAGAGCTCTTCCTGGACGTTTCTCTTAATCTGGATTTAAAAGGGACAGGAGGTATCTTAGGGTCCAAGAACATAACAGGAATGGGCAACTCTAGAAGTGTTTGTGTGTGGAAGGCCCTAACCTGGCCCTGTCCTCCCTGTCTCTACCTTTGGCTTTCATGAAGAGAGATTCACAGCTCAGAGGAAGGGAGGAATTTCTCCAGTCTTCACTTTAACAAACTCTTTTAAGTTTTCTGCCTACCTTATGTTCCCTTTGGCCAATGACCCACTCCCTGGGAACAAGATCTTGTTGACTTTCTTGGGAATCTCCTAAGAGATAAGTGCTTTGTGTCGGAGACAAGTTCAGGTAAACCAACCAAGGCAGTGCCTCCCACAGTCAAAGAGAGAAGCTGGAGGGCCAAAGCCTATAGAGTTGGGCACTACAGCTGCTCATGCTGCAGAGGAGACAGCTAGTCAGGAACCCTGGAGATTCAAGACAACTTGCTGGTCCCCTTTGCCCAGGGCTGTGGTCCTAATCACAGTCCTTCACCTTTCCCAGGGTTAGCCTGTGTTTCAAATGCATATGACCTGCGCTGAGAGGACAACAGGGGGTCAGGAACCTGGGGTTCTCTGGGGGGCAGACTAAGACGACTCCGGGATCCAGACCCTTCTGCACCTTCAGATGGGAGCTCCAGGCAGCTAAGGGGCCGAGGAGAATGGGCAGAGATCATGCTACAAGGGGAGGTTCTGGGGATGAGGCAGTAATCCCCACCCTCAGTACAGGTCTGGGTTCGCCGAACTCCTTGAGCCTCAGTCCTTTGGCGGTCCCGGGCTAGGGCCACAGCAGCATCAAAGGAAAGACTACCCCCATTCCTCCAAGAGGATCGAGAAGCTCGGGACCCCCAAGCCCTTTCTCCAGGAGTCCCATCAAGCCGGCCAGGCCTCGGGCATGGATTTGCAGGTGCCACATGAATCTTGCTACACATTGCACTGGGCATCTTGGCAAACTGTGGCTTGGGGGGCACCACAGGCACAGAGCGGACCTGTTGGACCTGAACCAGAGTGGAAGCTAGACGCATGCCCACGCCACCCAGGCCAAGAGAACAGGGGCATAGACAGCCGTCTGGACTGGGCTGCCCCTCAGGCTCCATCTCCTCTGGCTGAGGTGGCTGTGGGGCTACCTCTTCCATCTCAGAAGAGTGAGGATTGCCCTCTTTGGCACAGTCAACCTCCAGGGACGCTACACCTGAACCTTCAGAGAGGGTGTCCTCTTCTAAATAGTACCCTCCAGCCCTCTGGTCTCCCTCAGCCTCTCCATCCCCACTCTCCCGTTCCTTGCTGACCTCCCCTGCTCCTCCTTCAGTTGCTGCTTCTGGGCTTCTGCTGTCTTCACCATCTCCTTGGTCTTTTCTTGCTTCATGGTACCCCTTCTCCCTCTGTCCTTTGTCCTCATCCTCTCTGACTCCCTCAGCCTCTTGTTTCTGTACAACTTCCCATTTCTCCTCAGCAACTTGATCTTCCTGGGCCCCTTGCTCTAGGTCCCTTCCAGCTTCTACCTGGGCTTCCTCTCTTTGTTCATCCTCTTCTCTCTCAATTTCTTTTTCCTTCTCATCTGTATACTCATCTCCTCCTGGTTCCTCCACACCTTTAGCCTCCATACTGTCAGCCTTCTTCTGACCTTTGGACTTCTCTTCCTTGGCCTCTGTCTCTTCCCTACTCCCTTCTCTCAATCTGACTTTTGTCTCTTGGCTTCCCCCAGCCTCCCCTCTATCCTCACTGGCCTTTCCAGCCTCCACCTTGGTCTCTGGACTTCCCTCTGCCTCTTCCCTGATGTCTAGCCTGCCTCCAGGCTCAGCCTGCTTGTCCTCCCCAACTTCCCAGCATGCCTGCTCTTCCCCACCCTGTCCCAGAGCCTGCCTTCCACATCCTGCTGCCTCTCCCTCCAGACTCCCTGAACCCTTCCAGATTGGGGGTTTAGGTCCCAGAAGGGGACTTAGGTCATCATAGGCACTCAGGAAAACTTCCTCCCCATTTTCCTCCTCAACTTCAGGCCTGGGGCCAGCGGAGTCCAGGGAACAGCAGCTGGGGGCCAAGACAAACTGTGCCTCATCCAGAGACAGGTCATCCAGGGGTGGCTCCACAGAGAACTCCTCCACCTGTAGGCACAGCATTGTGACTCAGGACCAGGAGGCCCTGTCCACCCTTGACTCCATGCCACCCCCAAACCCAGCACGGCTCTCCTTACCTGAGGCCCAACTCCCAGGAGCTCCTCCAGGTAGCCCATCCCAGGGTCGTCCTCCCCAGGGGAGAAGGCTGCTCCTGCTGCTTCTGCCTGGGCCACCTCCCCATCCTCTGCCCCCACCCACTCAGGTTCTGAGCTGCTTGAGTCCTCTAGGAAGGAGAAGGAGTCCTGCACCTCCTGGGACAGCGAGTCCTCCAGGGCAGGAGCCAAGTCGTCTGGGCCTGAGTCTGCCAGGGGACTTGAGGCTGGACTTGCTTCCAACTTTTCATCTGTTGGGGGAGAAGTAGTCCCAGGAATACAAAGGTCAAGCCCTGACCCTTTTCAGTGTGAGTCCTCCTAGCATTGATATAGCAGGGGCCCAGCACTCCCAGCATTGCTACTCTGCATGACTGATCCTTTCAGACCAATGTCCCTAGTTATTGGCTTGCTACCTTAATTGAGACCCTACCAGGTGCCAAGCACTGTGCTATGTATTTTACAATGCATTGGCATTTTTTCCTCCAAACTATTATGTGGGGTATTGTCCTCATTTTACATATGAGGAAACTGAGGCTCAGAGAGATTAAGCAATTTGTCTAAGGTCATGTAATGAATAAGCAGTACAGCCAAAATTTGAACCCAAGTCTACTTAACTCTATAGCCCATGTTCTTACCCACTATCCTATCCTGCCTCAGGACTTCTCATGAGTGACACTTCAGGAACTGGAGTCAGAGCAAGGATCAGATCCTAGCTCTGCTACTTCTACCTAAATCAATTGCAAATTGATTAACCTAAGTCTCAGTTTCCACTGCTGTAACATAAGGCTAACAATACCTATGTCATAAGATTATGAGAAAATGAAACAAACCAATCCTGCAATCACAGCACTTGGACCTTTTTTTTTTTTTTTTTTTTTGAGACGGAGTCTTGCTATGTCTCCCAGGCTGGAGTGCAGTGGCGCAATCTCAGCTCACTGCAACCTCCACCTCCTGGGTTGAACCAATTCTCCTGCCTCAGCCTTCTGAGTCTCTGGGATTACAGGCATGCCTCACCACGCACGCCTGGCTAATTTTTTTTTAATTTTTTTTAGTAGAGACGGGGTTTCACCATGTTGACCAGGCTGGTCTCGAACTCCTGACCTCCAGTGATCCACCCTCCTCAGCTTCCCAAAGTGTTGGGATTACAGGTGTGAGCCACCGTGCCTGGCCTAGCACTTGGTACTTAATAAACTGTTTTTTGTTTTTTTTTTTTTAATTTGAGACAGAGTTTTGCTCTTGTCGCCCAGGCTAGAGTGCAGTGGCGTGATCTCGGCTCGCTGCAGCCTCTGCCTCCTGGGTTCAAGCGATTCTCCTGCCTCAGCCTCCCAAGGAGCTGGGACCGCAGGCATCTGCCACCACACCTGGCCAGTTTTTTGCATTTTTAGTAGAGATGGGGTTTCGCCATGTTGGGCAGGCTGGTCTTGAACTCCTGACCTCAGGTGATCTGCCTGCCTAGGCATCCCAAAGTGCTGGGTTTACAGGCATGAGCCACGGCGCCTGGCTGGTACTTAATAAACTCTTGCTAAATGTTAGCTGATAGTATTGATGTTACTATTATTGTTACCCATCCATCTATTATATATTCCCACATTTGTCCTTAGTAATCCCTGCTGTATGTTTCTGACACAGGCCCCTATTCTTGGGTACATCAATGTTCTGAAGGCTGCTAGAGATCTCCTCTCCATAGATTTCACATAGCCTGATAATATTACTGGATTTCCCTAATCCTGAATCTAGGGAGGCAGCTAAAGGTAACCACCCCAAAGCCCAAGGGCTGAGGCCTCTGCCCTTCCTAGGGTGGATCTTCCAGCATCAGAGCTTCAGCCTAGAGTTCCAGTCCCCTTTCCTAGTCTTGGTCAATCAATGGGTCCTCACCTGGGGGGCCAGGGCCAAGGCCAGGGCCAGGGCCAGGGCCAGAGGCAGGGCTTGGCCGGTGCTGTAGAGCAGGGCACTCAAGGCCACGGGTGAGCCTGGCCAAGGAAACGTTAGAGATGATGTTCGGGGGCACACTGAGGATAGAGGTGATGTGTAGCGGGAGGTTGACATTGTAGGGGTCTGAGATGTGGACACCAGCACAGCGTTCTGCACGGCTGCTGCCCCCAGCCCGGATGGCTGACCGCCCAGCTCGTGGTGTGCCTGGTTCAGAGTTTGTGCCACCCAGTGCTTCTGCCTCAGGCTCCTGTTCACCCTCTGCTGCCTCTATAGAATCGTTCTCCAAGCTCTCAGGCAGCAATGGGCTTGGCCGGGGGCTGCTGGGCCCCACCAGCCCCTCTGGCTCTGTGGAGGAAAAAGAGGGCCAGGTAGGCAATAGCCTAAACTCCAAGGGGCCTAGACATCTCAAGAAGGCTCTGGAGAATGCTCTCTGCTTTCTCAGGCTTGAAAGCAACGATAGCCTGGAAGGCACCAGGCCCAGCTTCTTTTGATCACTACTGCAAACTTTTCACCCAGCCAGTAGGTCAAAGATCACCTCACCTTCACATACCTAGGGAACTCCCTTCCTTCCCTGCAGATACAGTCACTGGCCGTTGTCACCACCACCACCACCACCACCACCACCACCACCACCACCACCACCACCACCACCACCACCACCACCACCACCACCACCACCACCACCACCACATACCCATGCTGTCCCATCCCATACGAACACTCATCAACAAAGTCATAGATTAGACAATCAACTCACCGTAGCATTCAGCTACATTTACAATGTGGCTGGTATATAATAGGCACTCATTAAATATTTTTTGAAATTATTGAACACAGTTGGCTGCATGTACACACAAGCCCACGCTGGTCACATAGCACACACACATACACACAGAAATGCACCCCTATACTCACCATCACTGGCCCCAGCTGCAGCACTCAGTGAGTCCATGCTTTTGGCTGGCCGCAGTGTCCCCTTGTTGGATTTATCCTCTGTAAGACAGGGATGTGTGTAGAGCCAGGGCCTTGTGCACCCTCAGCAGAGCTCCCCCCATCTCCCCAGACTTACCCCTGTCCTCAGCCCCCCGTGGAAGTTTACGCTTAGTCTCATGGCCAGAGCGACCTAAATTGAAGATAGACCTCCACTTCCTGACCTTCAAAGACCCCTTCCTCCTACAAAGAATGGAGGGGCATAATTGGAGGTTGGAACATGAAGGTCGGTGCAGGGGAGGAAGGCCCAGGAAGGAGGCCTTACTTGTGCTCTGCAATCTCGATGATAGTATGGTAGGGCCGCATCTGTGGGGGTCCATCGCCAGCCTGCAGTATGCTAGGCAGGTGATAAGGCAGTGGCCTGGGCATAAGGTCCTCGGGGCTGCCTGATGCCCGGGTCCCTGGAAGCGATCGCCACCCACTCTCCACCTCACCACCTGGGAAAAGAAAAGGAATTGGCCAGCCAGGAACAGAGCCAAGAGAGGGACCTCAGGCACCCAATCCTTCATCACCCCTCGCCAACTACCAGGTTAGGGATATATTCAGAAGCCCCTGAAGACAGTGCCTCCATGTCCATCACCTCAAAAGAGTGCCCTCATGGACAAAGAGGGCTGGGAGATCCGAGAACGTTGGCCTGGTGGGCTGGGGGTGGATATGAGCCATCACTAGCCTTGGGAGCCAGGATGGTGACTCAGAGGTCAAGCCATGCCCTAGACTGACAGCAGAAGAAGTCTTCTCAAGTCCTGACTGCACAATTATCTCCCCAGGGTTCTCTCCATGTGGCCACTACCAACATCCCTGTATGAGACTCAGCTGAAGTAGGTGATCTTCAAGGCTCTCTGTAACTAACTTGACTCCCCAACAGTGGGATATGTGGAGGGCAGGAAGGACACTGACCAGAGAGGGCAGCACCCCCAAAGAGCTGGTCCACGTGTGTGAGGATGAACTCCACGACGATGGATTGTACCCGCACCTCCATGAAGGCCGCTGTCCCATTGAAGCCTGAGGCCTCTATGTCCTTAGACCTGTGGAGATGTGGAATTATTCTCCCCCTCAGCCCCACCAAACTTCCCAATCCAGA
The DNA here is from genome assembly GCF_000001405.40 of Homo sapiens. Lineage (NCBI taxonomy): Eukaryota > Metazoa > Chordata > Mammalia > Primates > Hominidae > Homo > Homo sapiens. Next base: position 161,053,442 of record NC_000001.11, read on the forward strand.
TTCTCCCTGAAAATACCTTATTCTCTCTCTCTCTCTCTCTCTCTCTCTCTCTCTCTCTCTCTCTCGAATGACCTTAACCCCTTCTCTACCTCTTAAATTGTATGCATAATTCTTCCAATTCTCAAATGCCACTTGAAGACTTCTAGGAAGGAAGCCTTCTTGGACACCCGCCTCAGGATTAATCTCTATTTCCTTTGCACACCAGGGTGTCTAGTTTATAATGAATTTTATAATGAATTACAGGACTTCTCATAGTCTGTCTTGGACCACAGTGAGTGATATGCACAGTGAGCACAGCCAACAGACTGCAAGACGTTTTGCTCAACAAACATTTGGCGTGAGGCCGGACAGAGTGGCTCACACCTGTAATCCTAGCACTTGCACAGGGAGGAGGTGGGTGGATCACCTGAGGTCAGGAGTTCAAGATCAGCCTGACCAACATGGTGAAACCCCTTCTCTCTACTAAAAATACAAAAATTAGCCAGGCATGGTGGCTCATGCCTGTAATCCCAGCTACTCAGGAGGCTGAGGCACGAGAATCCCTTGAACCCAGGAAGCGGAGTTTGCAGTGAGTTGAGATCGCACCGCTGCTCTCCAGCCTGGGCAACAGAGCAAGACTCTGTCTCAAAAACAAACAAAAAATTGATATGGAACTGTTATGTTCCAGTCCCTGAGCTCAGTGACACACTGTAGGAAAACACAAAAGTCCTGCCTTTTAGGGACTTTATTTGATCACAGAGAAGGGACTAAAATAGATGGGGCCCATCCGACCCACCATGATCTTGAACCTTCTTTTCTCACTGGGCTTTGTGAGCCCTACACCCTTCTCCAGTGTACCCACACAGTCACACCTCATCCTGGGAGCAGCCTCCCAAAGGCCAGTGTCTCACAGGATCCCCATACACTGCTCACACAGGCACCTACCTCAGCAGGTTGGGAGCCCACACGATGGCCAGGTTGCGAGCATGCATGTTGGTCTGGGCACTGAATGAGGCCATGTGTACCAAGTGCCTCATGAGGAACTCCAGGGTCCTGCAGAAAGCGGGGGCAGGGATCACACAGGGAATGCCCAGGGCAGGCATTAGGGCTGGGACCTGGGAGCAGTAGGACCCAGTTAAGGCTCCAGGCAGCGAGTGAATGAGTTGTCTCAGGTTGCTGGGCAGATATGGAGTGTCACATACCTGTAGTTTGGGACAGGGAGTTCCCGAAGCACCTCTAGGATCTTGACCAAGCGCTCAGGTTCCAATTGCACTCCTACAGCCTCCTGATTGAGAAGAGTGCAAGAAGCAGGAATCAGTGACCCAGCAATGCCCCTGCTTACTCCCCAGAGCTTGTAACCAAGTTCTCAGGAACAATGTGCACTGGACTCTGTGCTACCCCATCCTACATCATCTGCGGTGCACTGACTTGGTAGAGAGAGCTCAGAATTGGGGTCCACGAAGATGGCAGCTGAATTTTGGTTATGCCACTTAATAGCTTTTGTGAACTTGGCAACTCGCTGCCTTACCATCCTCCATCCGTAGAGCTCTGGTACTGGGATACTTCAGTGGCGCCACCCTGTGGGTGCCCCAGGGACCACAGAGTTATTTCAGTGTGTCCAGGAAAGCTGTCCCCCACCCCAACCTAGCCGGTGTGGACTGAGCAGGGTGCTGCTAGGATTTAGGGTCTCTCAGTGCTCTTATGCTCAATAAAGTGCAACTTATTTTTAAAGTGTTACTCAATTCAAAATAGCATATTTTTCATGTGTTTTCGCATTTAAAAGATGTTCAGGCTGGGCACAGTGACTCACACCTGTAACACCAGCACTTTGGGAGCTGAGTTGGGAGGATTTCTTAAGCTTAGGAGCTTGAGACCAGCGTGGGCAACACAGCAAGACCTTGTCTCTACTAAAAATTTTAAAAATCAGCCAGGCATGGTGGTGCACGCCTGTAGTCCCATCTACTCAGGAGGCTGAGGTAGGAGGATCACTTGAGCCTGGGAGATTGAGGTTGCAGTGAGCTGTGATCACACCACTGCACTCCGGCCTGGGTGACCGAAGGAGACCCTGTCTCAAAAAACAAAAAACAGGCTGGGCGCAGGGGCTCATGCCTGTAATTCCAACACTTTGGGAGGCTGAGGTGGGTGAATCACTTGAGGTCAGGGATTCAAGACCAGCCTGGCCAACATGGTGAAACCCTGTCTCTACCAAAAATACAAAAAATTAGCCAGGCATTGTGGCGGGCTCTCCAGCTACTCGGGAGGCTGAGGCAGGAGAATCACTTGAACCTGGGAGGCGGAGGTTGCAGTGAGCCAAGATTGCACCACTATACTCCAGCCTGGGCAACAGAGTGAGACTCCATCTTAAAATTAAAATAAAATAAAATAATAAAATAAAATAAAATAAAATAAAATAAAATAAAATAAATAAAATAAAATAAATAAAATAAAATAAAATAAAATAAAAATAAATAAAATAAAATAAAATAAAATAAAATAAAATAAAATAAAATAAAATAAATATAAAATAAAATAAAATACCAAAGATGTTCAACGCATAATTAGAGTGAATGGAGAGGCATCCTTGAAAAAATTTTACTTCTAAAAAGTATTCTGATTCTCTTAAGTGTAGGGAAGCTCTGGTCTACATGCTTTCCAAGGCCCTTCCAGCTACAACAATCTGACCTCTACCTCCCCAAGTCTCACCACTGTGCTGTGTGCAATCTTCAGGCCTTAGGGAGAAAGAAGGACATAGCAGAGAGAGAGTGAAGAGAAAAGGAATGGGGGAGGACAAAGGTAGTAGGGGCTAGGAGATTTGGGGAGGAGGGGTCTTTTCCCCGGTAAGTTTTTCTGTGGTCTCTGTCATTCAGGATCGCTAGGACTCTGGCTAGTATGTGGCACACTTGGGATGTCAAAACCAGGCTGTCCACCCCTGAGCCCTGTCTTCCACCCCTCGGCCTCTCAACTCACAGCAAACTTGTCATAGAGCCGGTAAGTGAGCAGGGGATCCGGCAGTTCTCTGAAATAGGCCTTGCACAGGGAGGAGACGCAGTGAATGTCTTGGAGGTAAACATCCCGACGCAGGTCTGGCTTCCGCTCTGACTCAAATTCCTGCCTGGGGAGGCGCGGTGTGGTCAGGAGTGGTAGGGGTTGGGGTGATGTGGGGAGAGGTGGGTCCCTATAGAGATGGGTCCCGGCATGGTCGTGGGTCAACATGTGTTGGACTTGGAAGGAGAATGTTGGGACACGTACACATGTAAGCCAGTAAGTATAAGATATTGCATATGTTGACATGTAGATGTGAATGTGAGGATGGGTACATGTACAGGTAAGTGGATCTATGCGTGAACAGGGATATGTTAGGGATGTAGCTGTAGATATGTGTAGCAGTACAAGGGTCTGTAAGAGTCAGTAGGGTATGGTCCTAAATCTGTGCCACTGGGTACATGTAAAAATGGATGGGTATAACTCTTAGAAAGAAACGTTAAGTGTAAATCTTTATGTCCTAGGATTAGGCAACAGTTTCTTAGATATGATACTAAAAGCACAAGCAAACAAAGAAATGGATACATTGAACATCAAAATTAAAAACATTTGTAGCCAAAAGTCACCATTAAAAAAGTGAAGACAACCCACAAAATGGGAGTAATATTTGCAAACAATATATCTGATTGAGGGTCTAGCATTCCAAACATATAAAGAACTCTTGTAATTCAATGACTAGAAAGACAAATAAGCTAATTTTTTTTTTTTTTGAGACAGAGTCTCACTCTGTCGCCCAGACTGGCATGCAGTGGCACGATCTCTGCTCACTGCAGCCTCCGCCTCCCAGGTTCGAGTGATTCTCCTGCCTCAGCCTCCTGAGTAGCTGGACTACAGGCACCCACCACCATGCCCGGCTAAACAAATAAGCCAAATTTTTAAACAGGCAAAGTCAGCACCATAGGAAAGGGGGAAAAAATGGGCAAAGGGTTTGAATAAACATGGTATTGCTCCAAAGAAGATATGCAAGTAGACAATAAGCACAGGAAAAGATGTTCAACATCATTACCTATTACAGAAATGCAAATATAGGCCAGGGGAGGCGGCTCATGCCTGTAATCCCCACTACTCAGAAGGCTGAGGTAGGAGGATCGCTTGAGCCTAGGAGGTAGAGGCTGCAGTGAGCCATGACCATGCCACTGCACTCTAGCTTGGGTGACAGAGTGAGACCCAGTCTCAAAAAAAGAACAGAAAAAGAACAAAAGTAACTCAAATATAAATCACTTTGAAATATCAGTTTACATTTACAGGGATGGCTATAATAAAAAAGGTAGGCCGGGCGCAGTGGCTCATGCCTGTAATCCCAACACGTTGGGAGGCTGAGCCAGGTGGATCACCTGAGGTCTGGAGTTCGAGACCAGCCTGACCAACATGGTGAAACCCTGTCTCCACTAAAAATACAAAACTGTGGGCTGAGCATGGTGGCTCACACCTGTAATCCCAGCACTTCTGGAGGCCAAGGCAGGCAGATCACCTGAGGTCGAGAGTTCAAGACCAGCCTGACCAACATGGAGGAACCCCGTCTCTACTAAAAATACAAAATTAGCCAGGCATGGTGGCGCTCGCCTGTAATCCCAGCTATTCAGGAGGCTGAGGCAGGAGAATCGCTTGAACCCGCAAGGTGGAGGTTGTGGTGAGCCAAGATCGCGACACTGCACTCCAGCCTGGGCAACAAGAGTGAAACTCCATCTCAAAAAAAAAAATTAACCGGGAGTGGTGACATGTGCCTGTAATCCCAGCTACTCGGGAGGCTGAGGCAGGAGAATTGCTTGAACCTAGGAGTCAGAGGCTGCAGTGAGCTCAGATCACGCCACTGCACTACAGCCTGGGCAGCAGAGCAAAACTCCATCCCAAAAAATAAATAAATAAATAAATAAATACACAGGCCAGGGCATGGTGGCTCATGCCTGTAATCCCAACACTTTGAGAGGCTAAGGCAGGCAGATCACTTGAGGTCAGGAGTTCAAGAGCAGCCTGGCTAACATAGTGAAACCCCATCTCTACTAAAGATACAAAAATTAGCTGGGTGTGGTGGTGCATGCCTGTAGTCCCAGCTACTCGGGAGGCTGAGGCAGGAGAATCACTTGAACCCAGGAGGCAGAGGTTGCAATGAGCCAAGATCACGACACTGCACTCCACCCTGGGCAACAGAGGGAGACTCTGTCTCAAAAAAAAAAAAAAATTGAAAAAAAAAATATTAAGACCAGCCTGGCCGACATAGTGAAACCCCATTTCTACTAAAAATACAAAAATTAGCCAGGCGTGGTGGTGTGCATCTGTAGTCCCAGCTACTCAGGAGGCCGAGGCAGGAGAATCACTTGAACCCAGGAGGCAGAGGTTGCAATGAGCCAAGATTGCGCCACTGCACTCCAGCCTGGGCAACAGAGTGAGACTCTATCTCAAAAAAAAAAAAAAGAAAGAAATGTCCTGGAATTAGATAGTGATGATTATTGTACTTCATCACTATCTAAAGTAAATATACCATGTGAATAGTATGTGAATACACTAAAAACAACGGAGTTATACATTTTTAAATGGTGAATTTTTTGATATGTAAATTATATCTAAGTTTTTTGTTTTTTGTTTTGAAATGGAGTCTCACTCTGTCACCCAGGCTGGAGTGCAGTGGCGCAATCTTGGCTCACTGCAACCTCTGCCTCCTGGGTTGGAGCAATTCTCCTGCCTCAGCCTCCCAAGGAGCTGGGATTACAGGTGTGTGCCACCACACCCAGCTAATTTTTGTATTTTTAGTAGAGACGGGGTTTCACCACGTTGGCCAGGCTGGTCTTGAACTCCTGACCTCAGGTGATCCACCCACTTCAGCCTCCCAGAGTGCTGAGATTACAAGCGTGAGCCACCGCGCCTGGCTCAAGTTTTTTTTTTTTTTTTTTTTTAAGCCGGGTGTGTGTGTGGGAATGGTGTATGTGAGAGTGGAGTTTGTGTGTGTGTGTGTGCTAAGTTGGGGGAGGGACCATGGTCTCCACCTTCCCTGAGGAGTTGTTAGAGCACCTCCCTAGGACCTTACCTAGTATCTGTGTTTCCTTCTCCCCACTGCCTCTCACTCCCCATCTCTGCTGTCCTCAGCAACTCTTACTGTGACCTTCTGGCTCCCTGGCCTCCTGGTCACAGAGCCCTCCCACTCTGTTTGACTCACCGAAGCTTCTGGATGTTGGAGGAGACCCCTGAGAGGCGGTAGATCCCATCCACCACTCCATACTCCTCCACAAATTCTGCACAGCTCTTTAGCACCTGGGGCACTGGGGACACAGACGGGGCAGAGACATAGAAATCAGAGGATCTGGGTGGTCAAAGACTGCACTGGGTCTGAGAAATGGAATTTGGGGAGACCACGACGAGCAAAGCTCATGGAATAAAAACTTGTCAGAACAATTCTTACAGATCATCAGCTTCAACCTGCCAACCCCTCTACAGTATCTCTGCTTAGTGGGTCCTAAAGGTCCTGGGAGCTCACTGCCTCTCCAAACTACCCAATCAGCTCTTTGTTAGAAAGTTCTGCCTTTGTTAAAGTGAAATTTGTCAGGCTGGGTGCAGTGGCTCACCCCTGTAAGCCAGCACCTTGAGAGGCCAAGGCGGGTGAGTTGCTTGAGCCCAGGAGTTCAAGATCAGACTGAGTAACATGCTGAAACTCTGTCTCTACAAAAAATACAAACACAAATGGGGTGTGGTGGTACATGCCTGTAGTTTCAGCTACTCAGGAGGCTGATATGGGAGGATCACCTGAGCCCAGGAGGCAAGGGCTGCAGGAAGCCGCACTCTGGCCTGCTGGGTAACAGAGTGAGACCCTGTTTCAAAAAAAAAAAAAGAAAGAGAAAGAAAGAAATTTATCTCTCTTGGGCCAGGTGCGGTGTCTCATGCCTGTAATCCCAACACTTTGGGAGGCTGAGGTGGGTGAATTGCCTGAGGTCAGGAGTTTGAGACCAGCCTGACCAACATGGTGAAACCCCATCTCTACTAAAAACTACAAAAACTACCTGGGCATGGTGGCACATGCCTGTAATCCCAGCTACTTGGGAGGCTGAGGCAAGAGAATCACTTGAACCAGGAGGTGGAGGTTTCAGTGAGCTGAGATCACGCCACTGCACTCTAATCTGGGTAACAAGAGTGAAACTCCATCTCAAAAAAAAAAAAAAAAAGGAAAGGAAAGAAACTTGTCTGTAATTACTAGTTATTTTTAAAGGGGCAACAATCTGGTTGGTAGGGGAGGCAGAGTCAAGGACTTTTTTTTTTTTTTTTTTTTTTGAGACGGAGTCTCACTCTGTTGCCCAGGCTGGAGTGCAGTGGCGCGATCTTTCCTTACTGCAACCTCCGCCTCCCGGGTTCAAGCGAGTCTCCTGCCTCAGCCTCTCAAGTAGCTAGAATTACAGACGCCCGCCGCTACGTCTCCAGCTAACTTTTTTGTATTTTTAGTAGAGGCAGGGTTTCACCATGTTGGCCAGGCTGGTCTTGAACTCCTGACCTCATATTTCGCCCGCCTCGGCCTCCCAAAGTGCTGGGATTACAGGCGTGAGCCACCGAGCCTGGCCAAGGACTTATCTTAAAAGTGCATTTACTTAACACTCTACATAAGGTGAAGGAACATTAGTTGTCCCAACCCAAATGGAACAGGACTGTTGGGGATTATTTGAAGCACACCCTCTGGTAAGAAAGCTCATGGCTATTAGTTCTTTGTTGTTGTTGGGTTCTGTTTGTTTGTTTGTTTTTTTTAGATGGAGTCTCACTCTGTTTCCCAGACTGGAGTGCAGTGGCACAGTCTTGGCTCACTGCAACCTCCACCTCCCAGGTTCAAGCAATTTTCCTGCCTCAGCCTCCCAAGTAGCTGGAATTACAGACACGCGCCACCACGCCCAGCTAATTTTTGTATTTTTAGTAGAGACCGGGTTTCACCATGTTGGCCAGGCTGGTCTCGTACTCCTGACCTCAGGTGAGCCTCCCAAAGTGCTGGGATTACAGGCGTGAGCCACCGCGCCTGACCTGCTTTATATATGTTCTATCATTTAATCTTAAAAATTAGATATTCTGAATGACAGACCTTTGGCAATCAAATACAAGAATATCTGAAAAAAAAAACTTTAAAAATTAGATATTCTAGTACCCATTTTACAGATAAGAAAACTGAGGGTCAAAGAAGTACTGAGTGCCCAGCAGCACCCAGCTAGAGCCATGACTCAAATCAAGGGTGCAAAACCTGTACTATCTTTCCCAACCCTAGGCCCCCTCCTGTTACTAGACTGTAAGCTTTTTAAGGACAAAATCTAAGTGTGATCCATCTTGGTATTCCTTATATTATCTGACATGGTGTCTCATACATGATAGATCCTCAAAAATGGCCAGGCGTGGTGGCTCACGCCTGTAATCCCAGCACTTTGGGAGGCCAAAGTGGGTGGATCATCTGAGGTCAGGAGTTCGAGACCAGCCTGGCCAACATGCTGAAACCCCGTCTCTACTAAAAATACAAAAATTAGCCGGGCGTGGCAGCGCACGCCTATAATTCCAGCTACTTGGGAGGCTGAGGCAGGAGAATTGCTTGAACCCGGGAGGTGGAGGTTGCAATGAGCCAAGACTGTGCCACTGTACTCCAGCTTTAATGACAGAGCAAGACTCGGTCTTTAAAAACAACAACAACAAAAAAAAACCATGTATTGAAACCCATCTCCACCAGGCCACGTAGTTATCTTTCCAAAGCACTTCCCTACTTTAGATCCTTTGCCTCGCATACACCCCACTCTGCCCCACTTTAATCCCCATTGCTTACCTTACAAATACGAAATAAAATATAAACTCCTCAACCTGGTATATAAGACCCTTCACAAATCAGGTCCAGACACCATTTCAGCCACAGCTCCAGACAATTCCTTGACAAATCCTATGAGCCTTGGTAGCATCACTCATATTATTCCCGTGCCTGGAATTACCCTCCCTCTGACTCTGCCTGGTGAACTTCTATGCATTCCTTAAGACACATCTTAGGCCAGGTGCGGTGGCTCACACCTGTAATCCCACCACTTTGGTAGGCCGAGGTGGGCAGATCACTTGAGGTTTAGAGTTTGAGACCAGCCTGGCCAACATAGCAAAACCCCGTCTCTACTAAAAATATAAAAATTAGCCTGATGTGGTGGCATGTGTCTGTAGTCCCAGCTACTTGGGTGGCTGAGGCAGAAGAATTGCTTGAATCTGGGAGGTAGTTGTTGCAGTGAGCTGAGATTGCACCACTGCACTCCAGCCTGGGGGACAGAGTGAGATTCCGTGTCAAAAAAAAAAGAAAAAAAGCACATCTTAAACATAACCTCCAATTCCAAACCTTTTTCTTATATCTATATTATAATTCGCCACAGTCTTTGTTCTTTTTTTTTTGAGACGGAGTTTCGCTCTTGTTGCCCAGGCTGGAGTGCAGTGGCACAATCTCGGCTCACCACAACCTCCGCCTCCCAGGTTCAAGCGATTCTCCTGCCTCAGCCTCCCTAGTAGCTGGGATTACAGGCATGTGCCACCGTGCCCAGCTAATTTTGTATTTTTAGTAGAGTCGGTGTTTCCCCATGTTGGTCAGGCTGTCTCGAACTCCCGACCTCAGGTGATCTGCCCACCTCAGCCTCTCAAAGTGCTGGGATTACAGGCGTGAGCCACTGCGCCCAGCCATTCATGTTTGTATTATAGCACTTCTTGCAGTTTGTTATGATTAGTTTATTTTGTATTGATACCTCCTGACATATAATAACATCCTCCCAGCATCTGGCACAATGTTGAAACAGAGCAGATGCTCAATGAATGTTTGTGAAATTGTTGTGGGAAGTCAGGGACCCCAAATGGAGGGACCGGCTGAAGCCATGGCAGAAGAACGTGGATTGTGAAGATTTTATGGACATTTATTAGTTCCCCAAATTAATACTTTTGTAATTTCTTATGCCTGTCTTTACTGCAATCTCTAAACATAAATTGTAAAGATTTCATGGACACTTATCACTTCCCCAATCAATACCCTTGTGATTTCCTATGCCTGTCTTTACTTTAGTCTCTTAATCCTGTCAGCCAAGAAGGATGTATATCGTCTCAGGACCCCGTAATAATTGCGTTAACTACACAAATTGTACAGCATGTGTTTTTGAGCAATATGAAATGTGGGCACCCTGAAAAAAGAACAGGATAACATCAATTGTTCAGGGAATAAGAGAGATAACCTTAAACTCTGACTGCCGGTGAACCGGGCAGAACAGAGCCATATTTCTCTTCTTTCAAAAGCAAATGGGAGAAATATCGCTGAATTCTTTTTCTCAGCATGGGATATCCCTGAGAAAGAGAATGCGCACCTAGGGGTAGGTCTCTGAACGCCCCCCCCACCGGGGCGTACCTGTCTCTTATGGTCCAGATTGCAGAGGTGAAATAAACTCCAGTCTCCCATAGCACTCCCAGGCTTATTAGGAAGAGGAAACTCTCGCCTAATAAATTTTGGTCAGACCGGTTGATCTCAAAACCTGTCTCCTGATAAGATGTTATCAATGACAGTGGTGCCCAAAACTTCATTAGCAATTTTAATTTCGCTTTGGTCCTTTGGTCCTGTGATCTCACCCTGCCTCCACTTGCCTTGTGATATTCTGTTACCCTGTTAAGTACTTGATGTCTGTCACCCATACCTATTTGTATACTCCCTCCCCTTTTGAAACTCTCTAATAAAAACTTGCTGGTTTTTGTGGCTTGTGGGGCATCACGGATCCTACCAATGTGTGATGTCTCCCCTGGATGCCCAGGTTTAACATTTCTCTCTTTTGTACTCTGTCCTTTTATTTCTCAAGCCAGCCGACGCTTAGGAAAATAGGAAAGAACCTACATGATTATCGGGGCAGTTCCCCCGGTATGAAATGACTCAGTGAATTAATCAATTATGAGAATCAATAACATCCCTTGGAGATTTAACAGAGAATATTGCCAGTGACAGAATACTGGGTTCTATTAACTAGGACTCATCAGAGCAATTCGTCTCACATATCAGTGTCAGAAAAAGCTGTGTTTGGCATGGCAGCTCATGCCTGTAATCCCAACAGTTTGGGAGGTCAAGGCAGGTAGATCACTTGAGATCAGGAGTTCAAGAACAGCCTGGGTAGCATAGCAAGACCTCATCTCTACAAAAAACAAAAAATTAGCAGGGCATGGTGGCTCACACCTGTAGTCCCAGCTACTCAGGAGGCTAAAGCAGGAGATTGCTTGAGCCCAGGAGTTTGAGGCTGCAGTGAGTGATGATGGCACCATTGCACACCAGCCTCGGCAACAGAGTAAGACAAGAAAGAAAGAGAAAGAAAGAAAGAAAGAAAAAGAAAGAAAGAAAGAAAGAAAGAAAGAAAGAAAGAAAGAAAGAAAGAAAGAGAAAGAAAGAAAGAAAGGAAAGGAAGGAGAGGAAGGAGAGGAAGGAGAGAAAAGAGAGAGGAAGGAAGGGAGGGAGGGAAGGAAGAGAAAAGGAAAGGAAGGGAAGGGAAGGGAAGAAGGGAAGGGAAGGGGGAAAAAGCTGTGGTTCTCCTAAACCATCTAACTTTTTTTCCTTATGGGCCCATGAGTCTTGCACTTGATTATGTTTATTTATTTATTTATTTTGAGTTGGGGTGCATTCAAGCAGTTCTGGTGCCTCAGCCTCCTGAGTAGCCAGGACTACAGGTGCACGCCACCATGCCCTGCTAATTTTTATGTTATTTAGTAGGGATGGGGTCTCACCATGTTGGCCAGGCTGGCCTCGAACTCCTGACCACAAGTGATCTGCCTGCCTCGGCCTCCTAAAGTGCTGGGATTACAGGCGTGAGCCACTGGGCCTGGCCTATGTTTACCTCTTTAACCACTAGGAAGCTCAGAGCCCACCTCTAAGAACCATACAGAACAATGTAATATGCATTTCTGGGTGCTGATCTTTCTCTTCCTCTTGTTTTTCCTTCAACCCAATTCCTTCAATCATTTATTCTAATTTTTTGTAAAGTTTTAGGTTTTGAAAGTCATTCCAAGCTCTTTGTTGAATAAAGTATGACAGAAATATGGAATGAAGAAAATAATCAATAAATTCATCAATCCCAATCTTTCCTTTTTCTTTTTTCTTTTTCTTTTTTCTTTTTTCTTTTCTTTTTTTTTCTGAGACGGAGTTTCACTCTTGTTGCCCAGGCTGGAGAGTGCAATGGCGCGATCTCAGTTCACTGCAACCTCCGCCTCCCAGATTCAAGAGATTCTCCTGCCTCAGCCTCCCAAGTAGCTAGGATTACAGGCACCCACCACTCTGCCCGGCTAATTTTTATATTTCTAGTAGAGACAGAGTTTCTCCATGTTGGTCAGGCTGGTCTCAAACTCCCGACCTCAGGTGATCCACCCACCTTGGCTTCCCAAAGTGTTGGGATTACAGGCGTGAGCCACTGCACCCGGCCCCTTATTTATTTATTTATTTATTTATTTATTTATTTATTTATTTATTTGAGACAGAGTCTCACTTTGTTGCCCAGGCTGGAGTGCAGTGGTGCAGTCTTGGCTCACTGAAGCCTCAGCCTCCCGAGTAGCTGGGACTACAGGCGCACACCACCATGTCCAGCTAATTTTTGTATTTTTAGTAGAGACGGAATCTCACCATGTTGGCCAGGCTGGCCTCAAACTCCTGACCTCAAGTGATCCACCCGCCTTGGCCTCCCAAAGTGCTGGGATTACAGGCGTGAGCCACCATGCTCAGCCAACCAAAATCTTTCAACTCTCCTCATACGACCTGGCTTTCAGACCCTTCATCCTCCTGCACACCACAGCCAGGAGTTGGGTGGGATTAGGGAAGCATCTAGTGTGCAAAATTTAAGGAAGCACTTATTCTCAGGGCCATGGAGATGCCAACCATGCCCATGCACGGTCTTGAGTACCTCCTTGAGAATGAGGCATCTAGGGGCCTGGTGTGGTGGCTCACACCTGTAATCCCAGCACTTTGGGAGGCCGAGGCGAGTGGATCACCTGAGCTCAGGAGTTCAAGACTAGCCTGGCCAACATGGCAAAACCCCGTCTCCACTAAAAAGTACAAAAATTAGCCAGGCGTGGTGGTGCCTGTAGTCCCAGCTACTCGAGAGGCTGAGGCAGGGAGAATTGCTTGAACCCTGGAGGTCGAGGTTGCAGTAAGCCAAGATGGTTGTGCTGCACTCCAGCCTGGGTGACAGAGCAAGACTGCATCTCAAAAAAAAAAAAAAAAAAAAAAAAAAAAGGCACCTAGGGCAATTGTACGACACTGAAAGTGAGTGCTTCCTTAAATTTTGCACCCTAGTCATGTCTCTTGCCTCGTCTTAGTCTCAGTCCTACAGTTCACCATCCATCGTTTCAGTACCTACTCCCATTTTCTAGGATCCCACTGACCTCAGGTTCCCAGCATTGAATGCAGAGATAGGGCAGGCCCCTCCTTGTCTGAGCTGCTGCTGTACTCTCGGGTGCCTAATGCTAAGCCAACTCTTTTGACTCATAAATAGTCTGCTGTCACCTAAACCACCAGGTTTTTGTCACATGAGCAGCATACAAACCAGGTCTTCTCTATCCTATCCTTCTCTGCTGATTTTGAACCTCCAGAGTCCTTTAAAGGGGACACTCAAAAGCCTAAGGAGTCACAGCCATAGAAGAACTGGGTCAAGGAGATGGGGGAAGAGACAACAGGGTCACAGAGATGGGGGAGTTAGGGAGATAGAGATCAGAGAGATGAGATCAGAGATAAAACCTACAGACAGGATTGGAGCGATGAAGTCAAAGGGATGGAGACATCGAGGAAATAAGAGTAGGGTCAGGGAGGAAGGCCAAAAGCTTAGGGACCTGAGAATTAGAAACCTGAACAATCGGCCAGGTGCGGTGGCTCACGCCTGTAATCCCAGCACTTTGGGAGGCCGAGGCGGGTGGATCATGAGGTCAGTGTTCGAGACCAGCCTGGCCAACATGGTGAAACCCTGTCTCTACTAAAAATACAAAAATTAGCTGGGTGTGGTGGTGCCTGCCTGTAATCCCAGCTACTCTGGAGGCTGAGGCAGGAGAACTGCTTGAACCTGGGAGGCAGAGGTTGCAGTGAGCCGAGATCACCCCACTACACTCCAGCCTGGGACAGAGCAAGACTCCATCTCAAAAAAGAAAGAAAGAAAGAAAGAAAGAAACCTGAACAATCTATCAAAGATTAGGAAAAGAAAGAATTCAGTATATACAGGGCTTAAGGAAGGAAGAGACCCATGTGGGGGCAAAGAGCTGGAGAGAGGGCTGAGATGGAGCAAGGCTGTGGGGATGGGGGAGACCAACGTGATCAGGGAGGATAAATTAAGCGAAAACAAAGATCTCTCTGCTCTCATTTTTTTGTGGATGTTGGATTAAAGAGAGGAACCATCACCAGCCTCTCTCTGTCCTTCCTTCCACTTTCCACCTCTCTGTACCAGGAAGACCTGAGGGATAGGGAAGGAGCCACCACTGCTACTCTGGTGCCCAAGATCAACCCACCCTTGGGTTCTGTGAGGTTCTGGTCTCCTGCTCTCGGATTCACCTAGGATCAGGATTCAGCAATCAGATCTGTCTGTCCCCTCTAGAGAGTGTGCCCCTTCCCTGCTAGGAATCCAGGAAGAGGCCGGGAGGGTTATAGGAGCAGGGTCTGGGCTGGCTGTGGGTTCAGTGTTTCAAGATAAAATTGGTTGGTGGACCACAAAAAAGGGCAGTACCAGGAAAGGCTGAACTGAGGGTTTGCATTGAGCTGGGAGGAGCACATCATCCCCAATTAAATCTCATAATCCTTGGCTAAGAATCATAGCTCTTGAGAGGAGTCCCTTAGAAAGGAGTAAGCCCTGCACTGATGGCTGTGCCACCTCCACTCTGCCCAGTGAGAAGAGGAAGGCTCAAATAAGCTCGCTTCAGCTGTTTAACACTCTTCCTTGGGGTCTGGGCTTTCCCTTAACCAAGGGCAATGGGGATAGGGGTCCTCTCACTGGAGGAGAAAAGGGGAAGGAGGTGTCTGGGGACGCAGGGGCGGGGCTAAGAGCAGGAAATGATCTGGGAACCACCATCACCCTCCCTCCGCTGCAAGCACCACAGCCCAGAGCAGAGGAGGGGACAAAGAGGAAATGACAGATTGGGGTGGGGTGGAATGGGGTGGAGTGGGGAAAGAATTATGCCTTTCTCTAGGAGGAGCTTGAAGTGCCAAAAACAAGCTGGGCTGGGCAGCCAGGGTGCCTGGGTTCAATTTCAAATTGAATCAAGAAATGATTTTGAGTGGCTGCTCCATGCCAGGCCCCGTTGTGAACCTGATATTGTCCCTGGTCCTTCTGGCTTCAAAGCCCACTCTAAGGTAACCCAGGGAGGGAGCTGGGTGAGCTCCACAGACAGCTCCACACCCACCCTCCTTTGCACCCTCCACCTCCAGCTTCAAGCCAGGCCTCACACCCTCTCTTTCATTCTTCCCCATTTCAGCAGCTTCTCCCCTTGCCCCCCACTTTGAACCTGTTTCTCTTTTGCACAGGGACAACAAGAGAATCACAAAGACTAGGGGCAGAGGTTGTTTCCAGCCCGACATCATCCCCTGCGGCCCAGCAAGGCTGCAGTGGGAACAGAGCCCATGACCTTGTCCTTGGGTGTTCTCCAGCCAGGAAACCACCCGCCTCAAGGGCCATCTTGAGACCCTTCTGGGGCCATTTCCCTGTCTCCTTTCATTCAGACCTAAGGATAATCATTTCCCCTTCAGCCACTCCTCTCCTGACCCTGTCGCCTCACCCTCCCTCTCCTGTTCCCAGTCACCTGCCCGCTGTTTCATCCACTCCTCCTCGGTTTCCAGTCTCTCCATCCTCCCCCTCACTGCTACCTGGGTACTCACATTCTCATCCCCTCAGCCACCCCATCCCCAGAAAGTTACACAAGGGAGCCGCCCTGCCTTCTTCACTGAGCCACATTTCCTGTCTTGCCCACTTACAGTTCTCTTGAATGGTGACCCCAGGCCACTGCCCCTTCCCCAGGAGCACCGGAAACTGCTTCTGCCCTTCAGGCTGGATCGGGCTGCAGATGCCCAGTGCCTCCCCACCCACCCTGCAGAAGCTGAGCCGGCCTCCTTACCCTCCTGGCCTGAGTGCTGCAGGTGCTCCTGCAAGTCGCACCCAAAAACCCGCTCCTTTGCGCTGCCCTTCTTCTTTCCTTTCTGCCGAGACTTCATGGCCAGAGCCCCAGGGCACTGGCCCGGTCACCTCTATCCCCCAAGACCTGTGCCCTACCAGTCCCCCATGGGATCCCAGCCAGCTGCTGGGCTTGGCCCGGCCCCAGGGGGGCAGGGCTCCCAATTGGGGGTGGAGGGTGGCCTGGGCAACGGGCAGCAGCTCCTGCCCCTGGGGCCCCGGCCACACGGAAGTGGCTGTTGAAGAGGAAGCTACCAGGACCCTGGCAAGAAATTGTGTCCTGTGTCTCGTGGCCCAGCCTGGCACTCGCCCTCCTCGCCCCGCTCAGCTTTAGGGGGCAGGAAGCAGTGCAGCTCCTTAACCCACTTCCTGTTAGAGCATCTTTGCAACCACAGGGCCTAGGGTGGGGGAGGTAGCTGACATTCACATCCTCACCCTTTGCTTGGACTTCATTCATTGGTCAGGGGAGGTGATGTCAGAGCCCTGGGGTGGGGTGATGGCGTCTGTGGTGTGAGCAGGTGACCAACTCCCTTAGAGACCAGAATTCTTGGGTCCAAGGTAGAGACCTGGGGCTTGCCTGGGAGCAAGTTGACACAGGGCTGTAAAAAGCACACTCACAAGGGAGGATGCCTGGGTTCTGCCTCTGATGGATCTAGCACCTCAGTCAAATCGCATTACTTCACTGAGCCTCAGTTTCCAAACCTAGGAAAATGAAGGGAGCAGACTAGAGGACCTTTAAATCCTCCCACCTCTAAGAGTCTGTAAAACTCATTTAACTTGAGTTTCAGTTTCTTTACCTGTAAAAAAGGGTACACTGCTGCCTATTTCACATAGCTGTTGTTGAGTCTCCAGTACAATAAGGAATTCAGGCTGGGCGCAGTGGCTCACGCCTGTAATCCCAGCACTTTGGGAGGCTGAGGCGGGTGAATCACCTGAGGTCAGGAGTTCGAGACCAGCTTGGCCAACATGGTGAAACCCTGTCTCTACTAAAAATACAAAAACTAACTGAGCATGGTGACGGGTGCCTGTAATCCCAGCTATACGGGAGGCTGAGGTGAGAGAATCGCTTGAACCTGGGAGTCGGAGGTTGCAGTGAGCTGAGATAGTGCCACTGCACTCCAGCCTGGGTGACAAAGTGAGACTTCATCTCAAAAAAAAAAAAAAAAGGAATTTAAAACACTTTGCAAACTAAGGTACTGGCCATCCTCGAAAGGGTTCTTAGCTTCACTTTCCTACCAGGGGACTCTCAGAGATGGCCAAAGGCCTTGTGGAGGCCAATTCTTTCCCTTCCCTCCCAGCTACAGGCATCCTAAGTCTTCCCCTACTTGGGACTACAGGAAGGATGGTACCGAGACAGAGAGTATGTGACTCAGAGCTTACACAGTTCAAGGGGCAAGACAGGAGCCAGACAGAACAAGTTTTGTCTGTTTATTTAAAAACAGAATATCATTTTATGTACAAATATGCACATATTTACATAAAATGTACATGTTAGGATCTTAGATCTTCAGGCTCCACATTCGAAGTCCTAGGCTGGCTGGGGAACGAAGGATGGGAGCCTCTCCCTTAGGCCAGAAATCCAGCAGATTTCAGACTAAGAAGAGTTTGGGTACTAAATCTAGGTATTCTGGCTGAGTGTATCTGGGTGGGCCAGCTAAAAATAAACCTCATTGAACTCCAGCCCCAACCCAGAGAAACATCCAGAAGAGCCTTGAATTAGTGATCCAAAACCCAGGGGGAAAGGCGACATTCTCACCCCCAGCACCTCCTTCACCTCACCTCAACTCCTACTCTCTCGGTCTATAATCACTGCTCTCTCTCTCCCCAACACCACTATTGAACAGGAGCCCTTGTCACCAGGTCCAAGCAATTCCCTAAGGTATCACAAACAATGGTGGATGCAATTTTACCTTACTCAGTAACCACGAGGCTCACATCCCTAATTTCAGACTCTACCAGCTCTCAGGTGCCCTCCCAAGGGGCTGCCTGCATGAAGATGCCTTGGAAGTAGCCCCTTTCACAATCACAGGAATTAACCCCCTGGTGTTGGAGGGGCCTCACTTTAAGCAATCCCAGTAGTAAACATTGGATAAATCTAAAGGCTTTCTTTAATTTTTTTTTTCTCTTCGTAAAGGATTCAAAGCAGGCACAGTGGTGTACACTTAAAGTCCCAGCTACTAGGGAGGCTGAGGCAGGAGGATTGCTTGAGCCCAGGAGTTCAAGGCCAGCCTGAGCAACATAGTGAGACTCCATCTCTAAAAAAAAATAAAAATAAAAATAAATAAAAAATACAACTAATGGAAAGGGCAAGAAAAAAAAAAGAAAAAAATTAAAAGTGATTCGGAGCAGTATTCCTGCAAGAAGCTCCCGGCGCATGTATATTTACAGAAAATATGTACATGCAGCAGGCCCAGAGGCCACCAGAGGGCAGAGGGCTTCTGTAACAGTTCAAGCCTCTGGCTGACCCAGGGACTGGCTGCTTCACACTTGCCCCCATGGCTCCGAAGTGGTAGGAGACAGGTTCCCTCACACCGGAGGCAGATTCCAGCTCCAGCTATGCCCGCACACCTGGGTCTGAGCCACAGTCTCCACCTCTCTCCTCCAACCTCTGCATCATTAATACTGCTCTGGGGTCTGAGAAAATACCTGCTTTTTCAGGCAGAGGTCACACACAGCCACATGACACACACGCCAAACCCTGACAGTGTTGCCCACGCAACCACTCAAATCCCGTGGCACATACACCACAGTTCACTTGACTCTGATATGACAGCATAATACACACCACGGACACAGTCACCCCTCCACGGACAGTCACCCCTCCACACACACACAGTCAGTCAACACTCACACAGGCACACATGCACACACACAGTGACCTGCATGCATGGTGGGAGAGACTCAATTGGTGGAGCCCTCCCGATGAACAGAAGGGTTGGAGGTAAAGGTCAAGCAGTCAGTGGGATGGGGAGCATCTTCCGCAAGAAATGGGGGTGTTTAAGGAGGCCCCCAAGATGAGCTAAAATCTCCCATGTCAACAGAAGGAGCCAGGCCTAGGGAAGGGAGGCAGGCCTGGGTCAGACCAGGTGTCCCCGCCCATTGATGTAGATGCCATTGCCCGTGGGCTTGGCCCGTAGGGTCCCATTCTCCTGAACAAAATGGTTCATGGCCTGTTTGATGCCTTCATCCTGATCTTCCTCCTCCTCGGCCCGCCCAGAGCCTGGAGACAGCAGTTCAGTCTGTGTTTCTATCTCCCTCACCGTGGTCAGCGTGGAGTAACTGCGGCCCTCGGGCTCTTCACTCTGGAGACCAAGGGCAAAGGGCAAGTCAGGAACAAAGGCAGGGCAGCTGCACATGGTGGGGCATGGCTGGGTCATGGTGGGATCAGAGGCCAGGCGTAAGCAGGGGTAACGGTTGCCTCAGAAGCATAGGGGCCCAGAGATCGGGGACCAGGAACAAGTGTTAGGCATGGGGAGAGGGAGACGGGAGAACAAAGACGTAGCAGAGATGCGGTGCTGGGCTGCATGAGCCAGGGCTAAGGAAAGAGGGACTGGTAAGGGGGCTGCTGACGCACCATATCTGGGACCAGGACAGGGGCCCGAGGAGAGTGGTGGGGACACCGGTGGGGCCGGGGGCCTCACCATCACAGAGCAGCTACTGTTGTCCTTGAGACTATCAGGGTGGCCCTCGGCTCTCAGCCCTACACTCTCCTCCGGCTGCAGGGCCCAGACACGGGGCAGTTAGAACAGGGCTCAGCCTCCTCCCCTCAGCCTCTTCCCCTCTTGTCCTCCACCAGCCTCCTCCCTACTTGCCTGTCCCCCAACCCAACAGGTCCATTCTCTCCTGGAAACAAACATCCTCATTTCCCCACTGCGACCACAAACCCACCCTGGAAGCAGAACTGATGGTGGCTTCCCAGAAAAGGCCCTAGGCCAATGCTGAAGGGGGCCTTCTGGAGCAGCCCTAGCAGACCCAAAGCAGCTACACCCTCTCAACTCTACCCCGGCCAACCCCAGCTGTGAGTCAGTGGCTGACCCAGCAGAGAGCTGTGCTCCTGGTCTGCAGAGGGGCCCAGGCACAAGCAGACCCCAATGCGACCACACCCCTGCATGCATACACCCAACCTTGGCACACACCTGGCTCCTGGGGTCCGTGTGATGGGAATGCAGCCTCCGGATGGAGTTCTCCCTGGTCAGGGTCAGCTCCTCCTCACTGGGAAAGACACACCCTTGTCAGGAGCTGAGGGTAGTGGCAGCCTCCCAAGGTGAGCCTATCCTGGCTGAGCCTAGTGAGACAGGCCCGGAGGGTGTGGGTGCCGTGCTGGCCCTGCAAGTGTGAGTGTGTGGCTGCAGGTGGCAGTGAGGCTGAAGAGCATGTGTGTGCTGTGTGCGTGTGCATACTTGGCAACATCCAGGCACATGGATCTGAGCCTCACTAAGGTGGAAGGATTGAGTGCTCCATCTGTGCTCCAGACCCTTAGCTCCTCCTCAGCCCTAGAAACACCCTGCCCACCTCTAGTCTGAAACTCCTCAGTTTTCAGCCTACCCAGTCTCCTCGGTCCTGGCCCACCTCCTGCTATCCTCTTCTTTGTTCTCAGCTTAGTTCTACCCACCCAGGAGTGCCCAGTACTCACTATTTCTGGGTCATCTGCTGGGCCTTGCGCCGATGGTATCGGGACATGAGCACCACCACCACCACCAGAAGGCAGAACAAGAGTGCGGCGATCACACCCACCACCACCACCGAGGCTGACACTAGGTCCACCTGCTTCCCAGAGTCTTCCTGGGGGTCTGCTGGAGACAGGCCACTGTCTGAGGTGGAAGCCTGCAGCCACAACCCACCCCAGACCTCACAGCTCCCCCGCAAAACATCTAAAACCACACCTCAGTTTGATTCTCTGCAAGACACACAGCCCAGCCCCCTCTGAATAAACACTTTCCCAATTCACTGTCTCTGTCTTGCTTCCTGCTGCCCCCACCAAGCCCTTGGCCCAGGTCCTTACCAAGGACTTCTGCTCCAGTGCTTACCAAGAACATCCACAGTGACCTGAGAATCCCTTGAGGAGAACTCATTGCTGACATGGCAGACGTAGATGCCGCTGTGCTCAGTGGTCAGTGGGGGAAAGCCCAAAGTGTCCCCATCCACTCGTACCCCACTGGGCAGAGGCCCATCCAGCCTGGAAGACAGGGAAGCTGAAGGGTGCCAGCCGGGAAGGGCTGAAGCCACCACCACCCAACGTGTCCAGACAGCTCTCCACCCTCCACCCCCATGACGTCACCCAGAGCCGCAGGCTGTTCCCACGGTGCCCCTCCCTCCACCAGGCAGGTCTAGGCAGAGGTCCTTTCTCCCTGCTGCCCAGCCTGACCTGGGCACCCCCCACACACACCCGGGGAAGATCCACACGTGTGCCATCCCACATGCTTCCACAGGCATCACGTCATCCAACACTGGGTACCAGGTACACATGTTATAAAGTCCACACAACAGGACACTCCACTCCTAGCTGGGTGTAGAGGTAATTGGAAAATGTGACTGCCTGCTCCAACACCCGTGATGTTGCATGGCAGGATACACAAACATAGCCCCAGGCACAAGGCCACATGCATCGCTCATATGCTCACATGTGAGAACATGCCCATGATGTGCTCACACACATGTGTACCCAACCTCTCCCTGACTCTCTAGATATTTCAGATCTTGGAAAAAGGCCAAGGATGCCTTGAGGGAACTGGAGGTAGTGGGTGTTTTTGAGGTGCTAGCAATATTGTGGTGGTTATAGGAGTGTTGGCTTAACAACAATTAGAAAAAGACACAGCTGTCTTGTCCATTTTATGCACTCACATAAATATATAAAATATTAATATCGAAATATTGTGTTATATTTCACAATTTAAAAGTTAGACAAGGCCGGGCATGGTGGCTCACGCCTATAATTCCAGCACTTTGGGAGGCCGAGGCTGGCGGATCACCCGAGGTCAGCAGTTCGAGACCAGCGTGGTCAACATGGTGAAAGCCCATCTCTACTAAAAATACAAAAAACTAGCTGGGCATGCTGGCACACACCTGTAATCCCAGCTACTTGGGAGGCTGAGGCAGGAGAATCTCTTGAACCTGGCAGGCAGAGGTTGCAGTGAGCCAAGATCGCACCACTGCACTCCAGCCTGGGCAACAGAGTGAAACTCCATCTCAAAAAAATAAAAATAAAAGACAAGGGCTGGGCGTGGTGGCTCACGCCTGTAATCACAGTACTTTGGAAGGCCAACGTGGGCAGATCACAAGGTCTAGAGATCGAGACCAGCCTGGCCAACATGGTAAAACCCCATCTCTACTAAAAATACAAAAATTAGCTGGGGTTGGTGGCGCGCACCTGTAATCCCAGCTACTCAGGAGGCTGAGGCAGGAGAACTGCTTGAACCCAGGAGGCGGAGGTTTCAGTGAGCCGAGATCATGCCACTGCACTCCAGCCTGGCGACAGAGCAAGACTCCGTCTCAAAACTAAAATAAATAAAATAAAAGACAAAAAATTTAAGGGCTTATCCATTTATTCCCTACTAATGACCATGTATCTTAGATTCCCTGGGCAAGCCAATAATATTTGGTGACCATACATATTCTTGTATGATGAGTATAATAATACAAGAGATCTGAACACATACCCCAATTTATTTGGGGGCTCAGAATATGTTGTCCCATTCCATAGTGGTATATCCTGGCCCTGAGAGGGGAGGAACCTAGTCTCAAGTTAGGCCTTCCTCAGGCTCGGGCCCTTACCGTGTCCAGTTGTATGAGGGAGGGGGCTGCCCTTCACTCAGGCACTTGAGCATAGCTCCTTCTCTGCCAATGTGCCACAGATTTTGGTCTTCAAGGCCCCTCACAGAGGCCTCAGCAAGGACTGGAATGGGAAGTGGGAGGAGAAAGAATGGGAATGATGCCTTTGATCATGTGGTACCTCAAAGGGCCCTGCCCCCACCCCACCCTGCCTGAAACACCCTCCCCTTGCCCTTCTCCATCCTACTCATCTGCTGCCAAACCTAGCTCAGCCCCACCCTGCTGACAGCTCCTGGCCACACTGTTCCCTCCCCTCTCTAAGCTCAGAGAGTCTGTATTGGTTTACCTGTACAATGAGACCATAAGTCCCTCAAGGTAGTGATCCATCACACATTTTCTGGATGTCCTGTGTTGCCTAGCATAGTGCTAGTCATAGAACAGGTGCTGAATAAATGTTGCCTGATTTTTCAAAGGTGTAACAATCCTACTAGTTCATTCATTTCTTCAACAAACATTTGTTGAGGACCTGCTTTGAGCCAAATGCTGACAGTCTTATCCCCTCCAGAGGCTTGAAATCTAGCACTGGGAAAACAATATCTACCATTTACCAAGCGCCTTCCATGCGCTAAGCACTGTGTGAGTTGCTCTGCATTCATAGTTTCTAATTCCCATCAAAACCCTCTAAAGTTGGTATGAGTTATATATAATTATACCCATTTTGCTGATGAAGAAAATGAAGCCTAACAAGAATGAATAACAGCTGGTAAGTAGAACTAGGGCTTGTCTAAGTTTATCTATTTCCAAATCCTAAACTAATATTTTAGAAAGTGCTTTCAATTCCATGTTTCTAATTGATTCTCCCAACAACCCTGTGAAACAAGGCAATCTCCTTTGTAAAGATAAGGACACAGAAGCTCAGAGAGGTCTATCCTCTGGGATCGGGCTCCAGGTCTTCCACATTTGGACTAGTGCTCTGTCACATACTATATATAGCCTCCAGGACCCAGGCTGGCCAGCCTGGCATGGCTCAGGGACCTGTGGCATCTCACCAATCTGCTGAGAACCCCTTGGGCCTCCCTACCCAAGCATCCAAGTACTTACAGGACACGTGGAGGATGTGGGTGATCCTTTGGTCCTGGAGCAGGCCAGGATGGGACACCACACAAGTCAGTGGCTGCCCATTCATGCTGCGGCTAGGCACCAAGTGGAACTCTGAGGTGACGGCAGCAGAGCGGGAGTGCTTGAAGGAACGGCTGGACGTTGTGCCTTTGACCTCCGTGTCCCAGGTCACGCTGGGGGCTGGGCTGCCCTCAGCTGTGCAGGAGGCTGCCAGGGTCAGGCCCTGGCCCTCTTCTAGTGCTGGACCAGGATTCAGTGAGGGCAGGGGAGGCACTGCAAATGGGGAAAGGCAGGGGTCACAGGTCTACACAATCCCTGTCAGGAGGCCCCCACTCATCGCATTTCAGTCTTGCACAAGTACAAACTTTCAGGCCCCCTTTCCTTCTCTTATTTCATGGAGACGCAGATGAATGGTAGAAATTCAGGTGACTTTGTATCCTTCTCTACTGTGCGAATTTTTTACAATGAACGTAGGTTATTTTAAAAAATAAAATAATGAAGTAATTAAAAAACTAACCAGATATCATCTACCTAATAATAATAACCACCATCTAGTAAGCATTTACTATGTGTCAACTATTATGCTAAATACCTTATAAATGTTATCTCAAATTCTGTCAACAAACAGTGAGTTAGGTATTATTATCTCTATTTTCCAGATGAGGAAACCAAAGCACAAGGAAGTTAAGTGACTATCCCAAGTCATCAGCTATTAGGTGACAAAGCCTAGATTTACACTTGGGTTTTTATTTTTACTCCAAGGCTGATGTTATTAACTTATATGTGAATAAAGGGAAACTATAAAAACCTTTATTTTATGTATTTATTTATTTATTTATTTATTTATCTACTTGTGAGACTGAGTCTCCGTCTGTTGCCCAGGCTGGAGTGCAGTGGCATGATCTCGGCTCACTGCAATCTCCGCCTCCTGGGTTCAAGCAATTCTCCTGCCTCAGCCTCCTGAGTAGCTGGGATTACAGGTGCGCACCACCACACCCAGCTGATTTTTGTATTTTTAGTAGAGATGGGGTTTCACCATGTTGGCCAGGCTGGTCTCGAACTCCTGACCTCAGGTGGTCTGCCCACCTCAGCCTCCCAAAGTGCTGGGATTACAGGGCATGAGCCACCTCACCCAGCCAAAAACCTTTATTTTTACCTTCAAAATATTAACACAGAATGGAAAAGACTTAACTTGACCGTAAGTCCAGAGTTCACCACAAGTGCCCACAATATAAAGTGATGGTTTAAAAAGTGATTGTGGCTGGGCGCGGTGGCTCACGCCTGTAATCCCAGCACTTTGGGAGGCCAAGACGAGCGGATCACGAGGTCAGGAGATCGAGACCATCCTGGCTAACACGGTGAAACCTTGTCTCTACTAAAAATACACAAAAATTAACTGGGCGTGGTGGTGGGCGCCTGTAGACCCAGCTACTCGGGAGGCTGAGGCAGGAGAATGGCGTGAACCCGGGAGGCGGAGCTTGCAGTGAGCCGAGATCGCGCCAATGCACTCCAGCCTGGGCGACAGAGCGAGACTCTGTCTCAAAAAATAAAAAAAGCGATTGTGATCTCAGACCACATTCACTGAAGGTCCATATCAAGGAAGGTATTAGCTCCTCTGATCGTGTATGGCCACACCATTGCTGGGCCTGTGTTCACATTCAGGACCCACATTGTAAAAAATACCATGGAGCACAGGATGGTGAGAGAGGCTTTGAAATTGTCTTTGGTGGAACTGTGTCAGGAACCAGTAAGTTTAGCTTGGAGAAGAGTAGATTTGGGTGGGGCACGACAAAGGGCCTCTGCTTTTGGAAAGGTTGTTGTGCAGAAAAGAGAATAAGCCAGTGCCATATTGCCACAGGGCAAAAGTAACAGAGGGAGTTTCATGTCGTCGGAAGGAAGAACTTCCTAATAAATGGATTCTTCCCCAGCTTTTGGGGTTACTTGGAGAGAATTTCTGGATTGGGTGCGAGGATAGCTAGCTGGATGAAGCTCCCTCACCTGAACATGACCCCACTTTTTATTCCTGTTCTACCTCTGCCCCATCCATCTCTGCAGTCCCCATCTCTGCTTCCCCCTGCATCCACAGCGGCTCAGACCGTACCCAGAGATCCCCGCTTACCCAGCACTCGGAGCCGCAGCCGCGCCTGGAAGCTGCCGGCGGGGAAGGTGCTGACCCGGCACTCGTACTCGCCCTCATCCGCCTGCACTGCGTTGCGCAGGAGCACTGAGCCGTCCAGGGGGTTGCGTGGGGGCGGCGGCTGCTCCACGCGGCCCTCGTAAGCCGGGCTCACATGAAGCCCGTATTTGGAGTGCAGTAGCGCTAGTTCCTGGGCGCCTTCGCCCGCGTCCACCCGAGCCCATGCCACTTGCCCCACTTGCTCGCCGGAGTCCCCTCGGTAGAAGCAGGGCAGTTTTGCGTCCTGGCCCAGCACCACAGTTACCACGTCTGAGGTCTCCAGCTCACCCGCGGGGCACCGGCCTGCAGGGGGCAGAGAGGGACAGCCACCATTAGGGGTGCTGCCAGAGCTGGGGGAGCACAGTCATAATGATAATGACAGCAAAGGTGACCGGAACTCCTGGAGCATTTGGGCTTGCAAAGCACATTCAGTTCATTACCTTATTAAATCTACAAAACGCCTTCCCAAGAGGTAGGCGTTATTATCACCGTTTAACAGATGAGGAAACTGAGACCCAGAGAGAGGAAGTGGCTTGCCTAAGGCCACACAGACGATTTATGGAAGGCTCACACCCTCTTGCAGCCTAGGATTGTATCCTGAGCAGTTGCAAGGTGGGAGGCTGTAACAGAACAGGAGACCCAGCCTCTGCCCTCAGGGAGCTCACAGTCATCAGGGAAAATAGAATTTATGCACAAAGAAACAGGGAAAGCCATGAACAAACTTTCAGAAGAGGTTCAACCCACCAACCGGGAAAAAGTGGATAGTTTCAGAAAGTGTGGCCGGGAGCCACGGCAAGAATCCAAAACTGTTGGTGTCTGGAATGGGGCACATAGGGTAGGAAGGGTCTATTCAGTAGGCCCTTTGGAACATTCTTTTCATGGCTTGAAGATGAGAGACCTGGATTCCTATAGCGCAGGAAATGTTCCATGTGGGAGGAAAGGCATGAACCAAGGCTCAGAGGCAGGAATGAGCAAGCCACTAAAGACAGAAAGGGCCCAGGTCAGAGGCCCAGAGAGATGAGATCAGGGCAGACACACAACAACCGGGTCAGAATTGTAAGCTGGAATCGGAGGACAAGGGACAAAGGGCTAGTACAAAGGGCTAGTATTTAGCATATTAATGAAGCCCTCAGGGATTCTGGAATCAGAGCTATCCATCATGTCACCTTATCTGCAAATAAGGATCCACTCCCTGCTCTCATGGGACTTGAGTTCTGCTCAGGAGCAAGAGATACATATGGAGACACATATGGAAACATGTGATGATGGTTTCTGATTTAGTGCTCAGGGGTGTGTTACAGGCCAACTGTGGGATGGGGCAATCACTATGGGACTGAATCATTTGGGAGGGCCCCATGCATGAGTTGGGTAGGATTAGGAGGGAGAGAGGCCTAGAAAGGCATTCTAAATCAGGAACCACGGTGAGCAAACACCAAGGAGATGGAGAAGGTGGCTTGTTTAGGAAGCAAAGAGGAGAGGACCCAGCCTAAGACAGGGTGTGTGTGTTGAGCAGGAGTGGAAAATATGGTTGGGACAGGGTGGGGCCAAATCACCGGGGAACTTCCATACCAGCAAAGGAATTCATACTTGGTCAAGAGGAAATGGGGAGTCACTAAAGGTTCCTTAGCCAGGGAGTGCCATGAGCAAGTGGTGAGGGGCAGTCACTGAAGGCTGCAGCTGCAGCCTGGGTGCAGTAGTGCTAGGGTGGAGAGGAGGGGACAGTTCTGGGGGGAGATTTGACAGGGATTTGGTCACTGACCAGAAAGAGAGATGAAGGAGAGGAAAGACTCAAAGGCAGCTCCTAAATTTCTAGGATGAGTAACTTATGAGGGAGACAGGGCCTGAGGATGTTCATTTTTGGGAAGAAATAAATTTGGAGTCATGGAATCAAAAGTGAAATATGGGGATTGGGGCCTGGGGGCAGAGCAAAGGAACATGCTGGGATGGCAGGAGCTCCTTGCCTTGGAACGCGTGCCCCAGCAACCCCCAACAGTGTGTTGTCCCTGCCTCTGCCCAGCAAGCCACACACCTTGTTGTTCCTCACCTCTGCTCACACCGTACCCGCTGCCTGGAATGCCCTCCTCCCTATATCTGGTAGCACCTACTCATCATTTAAGACTCCGCTTAGACATCATTTCCAGCAGGAGTCCTCCCTCCTCCCACCCCCACCCCAGGCAGCATTAGGTGCCCTTCCTCTGTGCTCCCCAGCACCCTGCTTTCATTCCCATCACAGCACTTTATCCCTATTTTCTGGGCCTCACATCACCATTGGAACCATTGTTTCTGATTTAGTGCTCAGTGGTATGTGGGTTCCGTCAACATTTATTGACCAAGTGAATGAATGAACAGGTGAATTAATAAATGAGAGAGACAGAAGGAAAGTGTAGAATGAGGAGGAACAGGCTGGGCACAGTGGCTCACACCCTAATCCCAGCACTTTGGGAAGCTGAGGCAGGCAGATCACCTGAGGTCAGGAGTTTGAGACCAGCCTGGCCAAAATGGTGAAACCCTGTCTCTACTAAAAATAAAAAAATTAGATGGGCGTGGTGGCGGGCGCCTGTAGTCCCAGCTACTCGGGAGGCTGAGGTAGGAGAACTGGTGAACCCAGGAGGTGGAGGTTGCAGTGAGCTAAGATCATGCCACTGACCTCCAGCTTGGGCAACAAAGCAAGACACCATCCCCCCGCCACCAAAAAAAATGAGGAGGAACAAGCATTGGGCTGGCCAGGGAGGAACATTACATGGTAACCTTGGGGTGGAGGCAGGATAGGCTGGGCTAGCTAATTGGGTTCACTGCCAAAGGGAGCACCTCCAGACTGGACAGAGGAAAAAAATAGGGATGGAAGGAGGCAGGCATGGAGGGAGGAAATGAAGCCCCACCAGAATGGATCAGAGAGTTTTAGTGAGGCAGCACATAGAGCACAGGAAGGGGTTCCTGTGGCCCTGCTACCAGAAGGAGAGGGAAGAAGGATGCTGAGAGGGCCCAGATGGGACAGGATAGACCTGCAGGGCCAGATACCAGAGCCCTGACCTGCCTAAGCTAATGTTGGTCCCACCCAGCCCAGCCTGGGAGTCCAGCTAACCACCCGCACCCCTCCCAGGCTTTTTCTCCTCCTGGCACTGGAAAGAACAGGGCTGCCAAGGAAGGGCTGTGAGTGAGCTTGGGTAGGGGATCTCCAGCACAACATATCCTCTGCTTCAAACGCTGGTGTCTGTGAAGGTCACAGGGATCCCAAGACCTGCCCCATTAGGACACTCAAACCTTTCTAAAGACTATTTCTGAGACAATATCAGATGGCATATTTTCCATCCCTATTCCTATACTAGCCAACCACCTGCTGCCTCCCCACCACTAATCACCTATATTTCCCTTGGAAAATACCTTCTTAGGGTACAGCAGGCATTAGATACCCAGCGCATGCCTGAATGTCAATCCTCCATGTTCTCACCTGTGAGTCCACGATCCCCACCCCTAGGGGACACACTGAAGCTTCACAGACCGAGGAACCCAGTAAAACAGGAAATTCCCTTCTGGATATCTCCCACAGATCCTCATTGTTCTAAATCCACTACTTAGTAGGAACATCTCAGCCTGAGGCAACACCCTCCTCCAGCTGCATACCCCCCTACCACCCTAGGGTACAAGAGAAGAGAAAATAGAATTTGGGCCCTAGAATCCCTGTCCTTGTCTAAACAGACCCAGAAGTCCAGGTTTCCAGGCCAGGGCAGGCCAGGACTGCCTCCTCCTTCTCTCCTCCACCCAGTGTCAGCCTGGCGTCAGCATGATGATGTCATCAGACCAAAGGAGACACATTGCCTGCCTGGTGAGGTCACCTTGAGGGCATGTGGTGGCCAGGCCAGGCCAAGCCCAGGGACCCTTCTGTTGCAAATTGTTTACTGAGGCTGGTGGACTCCGGCTGGTTAGACACTCCTCCCTCTGACCCTCCCACCCCTCCTCCCTGGAGTACCAGGACGCTGGTCAGGAGCCTTGGTGACTCAGAAGCTGCCTCACAGCAGCAAGCCTAGCCACAGCCACCACCACCTTGCGCAAGGGAGAGAACAGGCCCAACTGGCCAGACGGGATCCCTGCCCTTGGCCTCCCCCACCCTGGCCAGGCCCCCACGGGCCTCTTTGGAGCCCAGCCCTTTGTGTACCCCGCCCGCTCCCAGACAGGCCCTCCATTCCAGGTTTGGGCTGGCTGGCTCTTCCCCACCCTATGCCTGGGTCTCAACTTTCCTTCCTATGTGAGCCTGGCCTCTGATCTCAGGAGGGGAAACTGAGGCTGGCACTTGCTGACACCCAGCCATCAAGAGCATCTTTAAGGAAGTATCTTTTCTTTATGAGGGGCCTTTCTCCATCAGTATCCCCTGCTGGGACTTACAGATGTGAATGTAGGGGATCGTAGAGGTGGGTCTGTGAGAAGGAGGAAGGGAGTAAGTATGAGTTTTTTGTGTATGGGGAGCTGTGGCTGAGGGCCTGGCCAATCTTAGTGCTGGTTCAAACGCATGTGAGGCTATCTTCTTGCATAAACTGGTGGGTGTTTGGCACATATATGTGTTCATGTCTTATCTTAGGGGCATATACGTACTTACTTGTCTGTGTCCAGAGGGAAGAGCTGTGTATCAGTATGTGTGAATGTGTGTGCACACATGATTCCGTGTGCATGTCACACCCTCTGTATGCATGGAGTGCATTCTTGTCTCGCGGAACTCTGCACACATAGTAAATATTTTGCTGTCGGTTTATCTTGGCTTCCACATGTCTCTCTGTCTCAGCTGCCCTTGGTCTGTGGTATGTGGCTGTGAGCCTTTGCCTCTGCATCCTGCCTGGAATGTCACCCCCAGCATCCTTCCCCACCTTACCCCAAGACTTGAAGACATATTAATCTCAGGCTCAAGGTGGAAGTACCCAGAGATGAGGTCACTGTCCCTCCAGGTGATGGGAACTTGCCATTAAGGACTCCCCAGCAGAACAAAACAAATGTTCCCTCTCCCCTTGCTCCTCAGGTTCCTACTAAAAGGACTGCCAACCTTCTCACCACTACCCCCAGCCACTCCCCTGGGCCCCTCAGCAGCTCTGGCCCCCCAAGGAGGCCTCTCCCTGGGAATCTCTGTCAGGGCTCTGCTGCTGCCACCACCAGAAAAACCAGCTCTGGCTCCAGGCCTGGGTAAGGGTTGTCTGGTGTGGGTTTGGGGGGGTGAGGGGAATCCTGCCTGGGGCTAGGGGGAGGGGTCCAGGCTGTCTAGGGTCTCATGCTCCTTTGTTAACTCCTGCCTCCCCTTACCTGACAGCAACAATCTCCACCGAGAGCTGGAGTATGTGGGTGAGTCTGGGGTGAGAAAGGACCTAGGAGGGACGCACCGAAGCTCACCATCCAGGACAGGTGACACAAACAACCCAGCAAACCCCTTTCCATCCACTCTTTGCCCCATAACCTTGGCCTTGGAGTGCTAAGGAACTTTAAAAACCAGAAGATTCCCTCTCCGCCTTCATCCACCTCCCTCACTTACCCCCCATTGTACTAAGCCCCCCAGCTTAGTGAGAGCTTCCCAGCCTGGGCAAAACGCCCACCCACAGATTAGTGTCTGGGGAGGGGGGCCACACAATCACAAAGGGAGATGAGAACAATGGGGAGGACAGGCCTTGAGGCAGCCCCACTCTGGCCCAGACACAGCTCCCAGCACAGATAAGTCCCCTAAACCCCCCGGAGCCAGAGTCTGAGCCTGGCTGAGTCACCACAACAGCCACACTGTGGGTGGGAGAACCAGGATTCAGCTTCTCCCAAACTCCTGAGATCCTAACCCCTGCTCCACACTGCCCCTCCACCCACCATGGCCAGCTCTGCCCCATCCCAAATCACAGCCTCAACTCCAGCTCTCAGGACACACCAGATTTAGAGGGAAGGGGGTGGGGGTGGCCAGAAAACTATGAGAAAATCTCCTGAGGCCAGAGGCTGCCTGTTCCAGTGAAAGAGTGACCTCAGCCGCCTTCTCCACGGCCTTCCTTTAGGAGGCATGGCAGATGTCTCCCCAGTTCTGAACTTCGCCTCCTCTTTTTTTTTTTTTTTTTTTGACACAGAGTCTCACTCTGTCACCCAGGCTAGAGTGTAGTGGCGCGATCATGGCTCACTGCAACTTCAGTCTCCTTGGATTCAGGCAATCCTCCCAAGTAGCTGGGACCACAGGTATACTACCATGCCTGGCTAACTTTTGTATTTTTTGTAGAGACGGGATTTTGCCGTGTTGCCCAGGCTGGTCTCAAACTCCTGGCCTCAAGGGATTCACCTGCCTTGGCCTCCCAAAGTGCTGGGATTATAGGCGTGAGCCACCACGCCTGGCCCCCTCCTCATTTAGATTCTCTTCCCAAATTAAGACCCTAGGCTTCTCTACTCCCTTCCCTTCTGACTTCGTTCCCCACATCACCTCCATCCCTTCTCTCTGCCTAGACTTCGGTCAGAGCAAGGGCAAGTTTTTGGAGGCTAGAACATCCAATCATTCTCTCCTCACTGGGCCCCAAAGTAGCTAATCCCCATTCACTTTGCCTAGAGGACCCCCAGATCCTGAGGCTCTGGTCTGGCTGATGGAATCATGAACTCTAACCTCCTCATCTCTGTAGCTAGGCTCTCCTTGGCCCGGCCTCCTTAAACACTAGGGTGGGAACAAGGTCACTGGGGTCACAGGGCTTCCCTGGGATTCTCCCAGTTCTCACCACCTCCCTTGCTGGCTTCCCTGGGTTTGGGTAGGTCCTACAGGAAAGGGCCTGCCCCCCTCTGTAAACAGGAGTAGAAAAGTAAGGATGGGCCCCTCCCTTTCAAGGAAATTAACCTCAGACAGAAAGCTGATCCTAACCCCCAGAAGGCAGACCTCAGAATGCAGAGCACCACTTGCCCTTTGGTCCTGCAGGGCTCCTGAACCCGACAAAGAGCTAGGGACTAGGATCCTAATGGGGGGAGGGGTGTCTCGTGGATTTGGGTCCCTCAGCCCCAGGGCAAGAGATGGGGGAGGGAGAAGGGAGGAGACTTCACCCGGAAACTCAACCCATTAAGGAGAGACAAAGAGCTGTGGTGCTGAGGCGCCTCCCAAGCCTGGGCTCCTTTCCCTGTCAGGGGTGGGGCAGGGCCCTGGGGCTCAGAGCTCTAATGGCCCAGGATTTGGGTGGGGGGTGAATTTGCAGTAGGGCCAGGAAGGCCTGGGGAAAGGTACTCTGGTACCCTCTGAGAGATGCGACCAGAACGCTTTCCTCCTCCTATCTCCACAGCCAGACCCAGTGACCCTTCCAACACCCCAGCACCCCACTTCAGCCAGGCCTGGACCATCACAGAGTCATCGTATTTCAGAGCTGGAAGGTCAATAGAGATCATCTGGTCCTAGCTCTCGGTCTACTGAAGTCTGGTTTCATCGCTGCCCAAGGTTACCAAATAGATTAATAGCAGAAACGGGATCTGGACCAAGACTCCTGACTTCCCAGTCCAAGGATTTTTTCAGAGACATGAAACATTCCAGGTTCCTGGGAGCCATTAAGGAGAGTCTACACACAGAAGAGCCAGAATGGGGGTGGTAGTGGAGGTAGGACCATCTGATCCTCAGGCTAGGAGCCTCCAGCCCCCAGAGCAACCTCAGCTCTGTGCAGGTTGTAGCTGCTGCAGCAGCAGCAGAGTGGCCTCCTACCAGGTGCCAGCTTCCTGGGGCAATCTGGAGCCAGGCTTCCTCCCTTACTGCCAGGCATTGCATGAGGTCTAACTAGAAGGGGGTCTCCTGTCCCCTTCCCTGGGCTTCTCTTAGTAAGAACAGTTTTGCCATCATGGAAAAGAAAGGCAAGAACCATGTGATGCAGTCACCATTGCATCTCCAGCATCTAGTATCCAGGTTGTACCCAGTGTGCACTCAAATGTACTATTCTTCAATGAACTTAGAGTGAGAACACCAAGACACTAACCCTGGTTATGCTTCTAACACTGAGCAGAGGTAATCAGGGATTCCAGCCATAGTGACCGGGCCTGGGGGCTGGGAGGGAACATGAAAGGGAAGGGCTACACTGGCTCTTCTGGGGGTACTGCTGGAAGCTGGGGGTGGGAGAGAGAGATTGGCTCCTCAGTTCAGAGTCATAGGAAAGAGATGTTTGTGTGTGTGCGTGTGTGTCTACTCCTAACGTTGAGTAATCTTGCAGATCTCACTTGCCTATCTCTCTCAGTTTTTTCATCTGTAAAATGAGAGAGTTGGAGTGGTGATCTCTTTGATCTCTTCCAAGTCCTGAGATGGCATGACTCCACTCTTTAAGTGTGGGTAGATCCCACAGGAAAGTGACTGCTGGTTCCCCAACTCCAGCAACTAGGCTCCACCTTTTTGGCCTAAACAAGTGAGAAGGATTATCTGGAAGATGGGAATTAAAACACAGGTGGTAGGGGACTGTGAGGGGATGGCAGGGGTAGGAGCTCAGTATCCTACGACTGGAGGCTGGGCCCATGACCTATAATAAAATCAGAGTTGGAGCAGCCCATACCTCCACCAATCCACACATCTAGGCCTTATTTCCCTCCTCAAAGCTTTGGCTGGAGATGGAGGTAGGGGAATCACTGCCAGATCTTGCTGGGCAACAGAGGCTCCCTTGCTACTGCTCCTGGGCCTGAGAATCAAACTGTCCTGTCCAGATCAGGCCCTATCTTTTGAAGGAGAAATATTTCTGTTACTCATTACCCTAGGAACACCCTATGGAATCCCACTGAGGTCTCACTGTGCACACACACGCACACACACTCTCCTCTACTCTGAAGATTATACATTCCTATAATTCATATTTGCTCTATATGCATTAGACAGACAGGAGGTGAGAAGTAATACAAGGCATCTAGTTAAGAAAATGGGGGAACAGGAGATGAACAAATGGGGACCACACCCTATCTAGAAGGTTCCCTTCCTTAGACCCCCATCCATCTAAACCCCCTTATTACCACCCTGGCACCTAATATTGTGCCCAGGGAAAGGAAGGGGTCAGAGTGACGGGCATTCTCAGCTCTCCTATAGTCCCCAACAGGTGCCCCAGTCCTGGTGCTCTAGAACATCATGGAGAGAAAAGAAGGAAATAGAAATCCCCCATCCACTCTCTGGGCATCAGGCTTCCTGCACCCTGATGACTGCAGAAACCAGCTGAGCTCTGAGTCAGCCCCAGTTCCAGGCAGCCGTTCCAGAGCCCAGGGGGTAGGCCAAGGCACCTCTAGGAAACCCTGGGGTGAACAGGATCCTCACAAGTCCCACCTGCCTGCCCATCTACACTGGGTCACCACGTCTATTCCCCAAGACAGCTCAGGCCTAGGCAAGGCTTTGGCAGAGGTGTCAGGGATCCCAGACATAGTGACCTGGCCTGGGGGCTGGGAGGAAACAAGAAGGGGGAGGGCTATACTGGCTTTTCTGGGGGCACTGCTGGAAGCTGGGGGCAGGAGAGACTGGATCCTCAGTTCAGAGTCAAAGAAAGGAGGATATGTGTGTGCGTGCGTGTGTGTCTATGTGTTTGTGCATGTGTGTCAGTGCCAGGTTGGGCTCAGAAGCAAGTGTCCTGATGGTTCAGGCAAGTCCTACCTGTAAATGATGCCAGCAGTAGCAGCAGCAGCAGCCAGGCCTCAGGCCCCCACATCTCGGCTCCCAGGGACAGGGGCATGGTTGAAAGGCAGACTGCCCAGCGTTTCTGAAGTTCCACCGAGATCTCCCTGGGAGCCGGCTGCAGACTTGAATAAGGAACTGACCCAGAAGGCAGGAAGCTGCAGAGTTCTTGCCTCTCGCACTTGGGTCTCCACTAGGGGACCCAGCCCCAGCCCCGGCCCCGTTCTACACACCCAGCCGTAGCTACCCCCAAGAAGCCGTGATCGGGAGCTCCGAGCTCCCCCAGAGCTGCTTCCCACGCTGTGGCCAACAACGACGGCAGAAACCTGGGAACCTGCTCAGCAGGTCAGAACAGGTGCGTCTCTGGGGGCTGGGCCTGGCACGGAGACTCAGCAGCCACCGCCCCCATGGCCTGGGCTAGCTAATAGGCGCCAGGGAGGGAGGGAAGGAGGGAAGGACCTGGGTGGGGGCGGTGGGGTCCCATCCTCAGCTCCAGGCTTTACCTGCGAGTATGTGGAAGGGGCTATGAAGGGAGAGGCAAGGGTGGGGACTAAGGGAGGCCCAGGGCACCAGGCCAGGCCAGGATGAAAGGGGCAAGGCCCTTGTGGGTAGAAAGGAACCCAAGCGTCCCACACCCCAGCTAGCCTTGGTACCTCCTGGGGGCCTTGACAAGTTCCCGGATCTCCTGGAGGGTCTCAGCTTTGGAGCCACAGAATCGGAGAAGGCCAGAACTGAGGAGGAAGGAGTCTGTCAGTGCTGCGCTGTATACTTCATTCTTCAGAAGAGAAAACCAAGGCCCAGAGAAGGGGAGGGACTTGCCAGAGGACACACAACTTAGTCTCATGGTTTGCTCAGACACCTCTATCCCTGAAGTAGGGAAGTAGTTCAAAGACCCCTGAGAAAGAACTTACGTAACTCCTCTAACTCCACCTCCATATATAAGAGGCCAAGGAAGTGGCCAAGGAATTAGCCGTAGGGGTTCCTGGTTTCCCTATCAGGGCCCTCTCTCAGCTTCAACACCTTGTTACCTGGCCAGGAGTCCCAAAAGCGCAGCAGCACAACTTGAATGGAGAGAGGTTCCTCTCTACCCTCTCCATGGCCATTTTACCCAGTTTACTCCAAGGTCATTGGACAAGACCACATGTCTGGACTTTGCAAGGAGAATCTTAATTTCAAGTACTCTAGCCCTGTATTCCTATAAGTACATCCTTGTCAGACCATGTGTTTCCATTCTGAATGCATAAAAAGTGACCGCCAAATTACACAAAACCTTCCTGGCCTCCCTGGGATAGCCAGAGGAAGAGGGCATATTCTGAGCCCACTGAAAATTTAGTGAACGGGAGGGACAACATCACTTGCAGTCTAGGGCTAATACAAAAACCAGGTAAATACAGAGATAGACGTGGGAGAAGAAAAAAATATAGGTTAAAGTTTTGCCATAGGACCCTTCCATCTGGAGAAGGCAGAAAGGAGGAATAAAGAAGCCATAAGGAAGAGTTGTTCTGTGTAGATTTTCTACCACCACCATCCCCACCAACTCTACCTGTCAAACTCTTATTCATCTTTCAAAGCTGACCTCAAATGCCACATCTTCGTGAAGCCTTCTCTGCTCCTCCCACCCCAAATTAATCTTTCTTCTATTCTTCCTCAGCCTTTGCTAGTCCTTTTATTATAGCTTATGTGCTCATAATTTGTGCACATCTTATCTCCTTAACTAAATTGTAAGCTTCAAGTCAAAAAAACATCGATTGAGGCCTGCTGTGTGCCAGGAATTCAGTAAATGTATTAAATTGCGGGACAGGACAAGAGTTGTAGCCTGTGAACTCCTTGAAAGTTGGGCTTGTTTTATAATCTTGTCTCAGTCTTCCATGCTAGGACAGGCCACAGCATTTCATGGGAACTGACTACATTTTGGTGAAGCCATGAATTTCTGAATAAATGAGTTGTCCGGATGAAAAGGATGGTGAAGTCGGATCAGTAAAGCAGAGATCCCGACTGGCTGTGAGTTACTATCCTGAACTAGGGTTGTGACCTGGACTTTACTCCTGTCACTGGACTATGACCCCAACTCTGGCTCTAGATGCCAAATGACCACGGCAGTGACCTCTTCTTCAGGGGCTATTTCCTGCAGGTCAGAGGCCCTTAAAGGCCAGGCCGGTTGCCAGAATTCCCCAGTTTCTCTCCACCTCCAACCCCTTCTCTTTTTCAGGTCCCCACCTGTGCCAGGGGAACAGCCCCACCCAGATGCTGCTTTGAGATCCTCTGTGGCAGGGGTGGAGTAGGGCCAGCGGGAATGGGAGGGGGAGCATCCTGTGTTATAATTATAATTATCACACCTTGGATCCTATCGCATGCTTTCGGAGGAGCTGCTTTCCTTCCCACGGATTCACCCCTCCAGGTACAGGAAGCCACAGGAGAAACTGAGGCACAGGAGTGGAAAAGCAGTTAGTTCACAAGATGGATATCCAATCTCCTTCAGCCTATCCATTCACAGTATACCCCGTGAAAGTGCTACCAGTCAGGATGTCTCTGAACCCCTGGTTGGGCCCCTTAATCACTCACCCTGAACTCTAGCCATACGGAGCATGGAAAGGAGGCAGAACTGTCCAGAGGTGGAGTTAGGGTATGGCTATACTCATTTTTTCATGGGTATGATGCAGCCTTGAAGTAGGCTAAGGGCACCACAGGGCCTGAGAGGGAGCACTAGAGTCCAGCAGCCCACTCCAGGCCTTTGACAGAGTTAGGGATCTCTCTCCTCATTTCACAAATACCTATCTCAAGTCCCTCTGTCCCCTCCTTCCCCTCAGCCCTGTATGTCTCACAAGAGCCATGCTTTTGGAGAATATGCCCTCAAACTTAGGCCTTTCCTACCCTCTCCTAGGATGAAGGCTGGGGAAGGCATATTCTAGGATTGAGACTGGAAGGAAATATTGGATGAGGAAGATTTTCAAGACCAATGCCTGGTATCCTGGTTCGGTTCTCCCTTCCATATTGAATTCCCATTCCCCACATGCCTCACTCCTACCCTCCTCCTACCCACATTGTGGTCGCTAAGAATGAGAACAATTCAAGCCATGATAGTGTCTTTATCATGTGTGTTTGTCTGAGTGACATTGCTGCGTGCGCGCCTGCACCCATGCATTCCTTCAACAGACATTAAATGAGTGCCACTATGTGTCAGGCTCAAGGGAGGAGACCGAGACACATAACACATAGTCCCTGCCCTCAAGGAGCCTTCAATCAGGAGAGGCAGACACAGAAACAACTGTAACATGCTATATCCCACCATCATGTGTTCCCTACGTATCTCTGTACACATACATGCTATGCACATATGTGGGACTGTCTCTGTATGCACAGCAGCGGATGTTCTTCATGATCTGCATGCATCCAAGCATCCGCTTATACCTGTCTCTGTCCCCATGACAGGCTGCACGCCTCAGCCAAACCGGTTGGAGTGGGTTGTGCTGAAATTTTTGTTTGTGTCAATGGGACTTGAGGTGAGTCAGAGAGGGACAAGGATGGGTGGGGTGGTGTGGGGGAGAAGAAGAGTGAGAGTGAGGGTCAGATTGAGTGGGGGAGGGAAGGAGTGGGCCCAGGTTGGAAGGGGTGGGAGTGAGAGTGGGGTGCAGGAGGATGAGTTGGGGGTAGGAGTAGATGAGAGAGCTCCTTGGTGAGTAATATCCTGTCTGCCTGCAGTGAAGTCCCAGGTCAGAGAAGAGTCAGAGGCTGGGGGAGAGTCCCTTGTGCTTAGGGAGAGAGGAGGGTGAAAAATAAATCAGAGTGGAACTAGTTGGAAGCATGAGAGTGGATAAAATATTTGTGATCCATTTC
Source organism: Homo sapiens (assembly GCF_000001405.40). NCBI lineage: Eukaryota > Metazoa > Chordata > Mammalia > Primates > Hominidae > Homo > Homo sapiens. The sequence continues at coordinate 161,093,073 of NC_000001.11, forward strand.
TGTACAGCTTTGTCTCTGTGATAAGCTATTCCTGATCTGCTCATTGCAAACTTTCCGCAGTTTGTACAGAAAGGTGTTGGGGAGCTGATGACGTGGTGAAAGATTACCAATATGGGCCTTGATCTCACCCCCCAGGACCAAGGCTTCAAAGTCACTCCTCCTGCTCCTCCCTAGGATCACCCCTGCTCCATCCCGGGAGGTATGGGCATACCCCCATACAGAACACAGGGGCTCCAGCAGCTTTTCTTCCCCTAGAAAACACCTTTACTCCCCTCCTGATGGAACTTCACTATGCTCAATATTAGGATGGTGGCCTCCTGTTTTCTAGAAAATTACATCAAAACATTGCCATGTGCTATGTTGTTCTTTGCCTATCCTGCAGGCCCACCGATTCCCCAATACCCAGCCCCCAGCCCCATCCTTTAATGATAACCACATTTCTTGGTTGCCTAACAACCCTTGGAGATCAGGGGGCTGAATTTGCTTGTTCCTCGAGGGCCCTAAAGCTGGAGTGTGCCATCCAGGGGAGGAGGCAGCTAAATGCAAGACATGTTCAGGTCCCGTTTCTCGGTAGGTCCAGTTGTGTGCAGAGCCCCATCCTCCTTGCTCTCAACCCATGAACTTCGCAAGTTTCCATGAACACACTACCATGAAATCCAGGACCACAGTATGGGTTAAGGGACAAATATCTTTATTTTGACACTAAGACCCCACTGTGGGGAAATTCTACTCCCTGAAAAGGCCCTATGTATTGAAGCTCACTCAGGTCTTCATCAAAAATTGAGACCTTATGACTGTGCCCGGGGACCCCAAACTGGTGCTATAGTTCTAGAAAGCAGCCAAAGGGAAGAAGTCTGGCCACTTCTGGAAAGTTCTAAAGCTCCTTGCAGGAAAGTCAGATGGCTGGCTCTGGTCAGCAGGAAAAAAAGGGCAGTAACCCAGAGAGAAAAACACAAAAGTCGAAACAGTGAGAGACAGATCTCAAGGCACAGTGAGAAAAATGGAAACTTAAAGACAGAAAAATATACAAATGCTCCTTGACTTTTATGATGGGGTTATGTCCTGATAAGCCCATTGCAAACTGAACATATAAGTTGAAAATGCATTTAATATACCAGTCGCTAGCCCTAGAAAATATCAAAATTTAAAATTCAAGTATGGGTCCTACCGAACACGCTATCATTTTTGCATCACTGTAGTTTAAAAATTATAAGTTGGGTTGGGCATGGTGGCTCACACCTGTAATCCCAGCACTTTGGGAGGCTGAGGTGGGCGGATCATGAGGTCAAGAGATCGAGACCATCCTGGCCAACATGGTGAAACCCCGTCTCTACTAAAAACTCAAAAAATTAGCTGGGCTTGGTGGTGCGTGCCTATAGTCCCAGCTACTCAGGAGGCTGAGGCAGGAGAATCACTTGAACCCAGGAGGCGGAGGTTGCGGTGAGCCAAGATTGTGCCACTGCACTCCAGCCTGGTGACAGAGCAGGACTCCGTCTCAAAAAAAAAAAAAGAAAAAGAAAAAGAAAAATTGTAGGTTGAACCATTGTAAGTCAGGGATTGTATTGGAGACACACACACACACACACACACATGCGCGCGCGCGCCCGCGCGCGAGTTATTGAAGGGGGAGAATTCAAAGAGACAAAGTGGCTGAAGTGGCCAAGACAAAATCTGAAACAGAGACAGAAGGACCCGAAGAGAAATTTCTGGATGCCATGATTACTCAAAGTCCTTCTGTCTTCTGCCCTCAATTCCCACCGCTCAGCAATGACCCAATGATACTTTCCTACTCAACATTGCCTACTCCCTCAACAACATAAGCTTCTCCCCATCCTTATTCCACCTCTCCATCATTCTCTACCTTGGCTGATTACCACTCCCCTCCACCCTAAAGCCTGCTTACAATTTCACCTTTCTCTCAATCTCCTTCTAGCTCACATTCAGTCAAAGGAGCTCTCAAGATCTGACCTCATGCAGTCTCTTTGCCTGGTCATTTCTCTGTCCTTTTGTCCCTGTCTTTATTCTGGCTGAGCTGAGAGCAAAGAGTCAGAAATGGGGCCAGGATGGCATAGGGCCAGGAAGTCAAGCAGCTAGAATGAGCTGTGTGAGAAATAGAGAAGGGTCAGGGTACAGCAGAAGAAGAGTCAAAGAAAGGGCCTGAAGGATGGGGACAGCCTGGGAGACATGGGCAGAGGGAACTGTGGGAGTCTTGAGTGCGATTAAGACCGTTTGGTGCAATTGTTGGTCTTTCTTTCTTTCTTTCCTTCTTTCTTTCCTTCCTTCCTTCCTTCTTTCTTTCTTTCTTCTTTCTTTCTTTCCTTCCTTCCTTCTGTCTTTCTGTCTTTCTCTCTCTTTTCTTTCTCTCTCTCTCTTTTCTTTCTTGCTCTCTTTTCTTTCTCTCTCTCTTTTCTTTCTCGCTCTCTCTTTTCTTTCTCTCTCTCTTTCTTTTCTTTCTCTCTCTCTTTCTCTTTCTCTCTCAGTCACCCAGGCTGGAGTGCAATGGCACAATCGCGGCTCACTGCAACCTCAGCCTCCCAGGTTCAAGCGATTCTCTTGCCTCAGCCTCCAGAGTAGCTGGGACTACAGGCATGCACCACCACGGCTGGTGAATTTTTTATTTTTTATTTTTAGTAGAGATGGGGTTTCACCATGTTGGCCAGGCTGGTCTTGAACTCCTGGCCTCAAGTGATCCACCCACCTTGGCTTCCCAAAGTGTTGGGATTATAGGCGTGAGCCACCACACCCAGCCCAATTGTTGGTTTTCTGTATGTACCGAATAATGCTAAGAACCAGAGATGGTTCCAGGGTCAGAAAATGGGGTTAAGGAAGGGAGAAGATAGAGTAAGAGCTTTGTGAAAGTTTGAGGCAAGGGGGCGTAGATTTGGGGCTAGGATAGACATCTAAGGCTAGGTAGGAAGCTGGGTGCTTGCTTGCTAGAGATCATATAGACTCTTGGCCAACTGAGACAAAGCCAACATCAGGGGATCACATCAGGATTACGAGACTTTCAGGATATCCAGTCCCTGCTCTCATTTCTGGACAGAGGTTGTCCCTGGATATTATTAGCAGGTGAAAGCAGGTTCACAGCCCTGGCTGCCCTTTTCCCTGTCTCTCACAATTTTCTCTCAGTTCCCCCTTTCACTTATCTTAATGCCCTTTCAGTTTGTGTATCATTGACAAGGTCATTATAGACCACTGCAGATGCTGTCCTGCGGTGTGAAGCATGTGTCATACAAGTCCAGGTTGGCTGGTTTGCTTTCTTCCTCTCTCTGTTTCTCTCTTTCTGGCTTCTTTTCTCCCTCCTCCAAAATATGGATTTGGTTCAAACTAACCTAAGAAGGTAGGAGTCCTAGGCAGTTCCTCTCCCAGGGTCTTGGGATGGCAAAGCAATGGACAGATGCTTCCAGCTATTAGGAGGAACTGGAAGCATCTAGGTACAGAACTGGAGAGGGTACAGCCAAGGAGTATGTGAGGTTCAAGCTCTATGTCTAACTAAGATGCCTACTGCTAAGGACTCAGAGTCAGAGAGGAAGCTGGGAGAGAGGAGCTGGAAAGGCCCGTGGGGTGGGGAGTTCCCATTTCTATCCAGGAAAGGCAGAAAGTAAGTCTAACAGAACAGCCAAGACTTAGGCAAAAGCAAGAGCCTAAAATGGACATATAGGCCAATAAGGTTTAAGCAAAATTGCCCCACCCCTGAGGCAAGCCCTTGCCTAATCCTAGGAGTATGACAGATCTGAATCCAGCTGTTGGGAGGTTAGCCAGTGAGAAAGAAGCCTGAGGGAAAAGACTGACTTTTAAATTTCAGCCAAGGACAGTAAAAGTTAGTGATTTTTTAGAGATTCTTACCATGATTTTGGAAAACTGAGAATACTGCCTGTCATACTCAGGGAAAGCTATAGTTGGGAGGGCAGAGACTTTCAAAGCTATTGTTGAATCTTGGCTTTAAGGTACAGGTGGGGAACAGGTCCTGGTAATCTTCCAATCTCTGTAACTGTGCCTTTCCTGCCCATGCCATCCCCATGCTGTGTTCTCTGAGGACCAAGAGTTGGGAAGAGGAGGGGAAAGCCCTGCTGTGCTATCAGACCCTGCATTACATGCCCATCCTCACTGCAGCCCTGGCCACTGTCTCCTTTCTTCCTTTCTTTATTTCTTTTCTTTTTTTCTTTCTTTCTTTCGCCAGGGTCTCACTATGTTACCCAGGCTGGTCTTGAACTCCTGAACTCCTGGCCTCAAGTGATTCTCCTGCCTGGCCACTTTCTATGGTCTCAGTATCTCAGGTATGATGGGGAGCAAGGTGATGTGTAGAAACCAAAGGCCACAAGTAGCAGTCATCATTCCCACTTACAGCCCAGTCCCAGAGGACACAGATCCTGTTTTTGCCCCACACCAGCTGTGTTGGGAGGAAAATTCTGTCTGTATTTCCTCCTTCAGCTGAAAGCAGAAAGCTTGCATCTGGGCCTCTTCAGTTATCACTTGGTCCTGGGGGACAGAGTTAATATCTGGAAACTGGCTTAAATAAAAGATATCAGGGAAGGGTAGGAGTCTGTTTTTCTCATTTTCTCACTCTTCCCCCACTTCACCCTTCTAAGGCTGCGTGGGTTCTCTCTCTCTCTCTATCTCTCTCTCTCTCTCTCTCTCTCTCTCTCTCTCTCTCTCTCTCTCTCTGTGTGTGTGTGTGTGTGTGTGTGTGTGTGTGTGTGTGTGTCACCTGAGAGACTGGGTTCTGCTACCCTCTAGTGGCCAGAGCTGAAAGGACTCTCCCACCCAATCAATCGGGACCTTCAAGCCTTTGGGAATAAACGAACAGCCTATTTGATGAATGACAAAACTGAGAAGGCCTAGAGAGAAACAATGCCTTTGAGGGTCAGGGGCATAGTTGGGACTAGAACCCAGGTCTCCTGTCTCTCGGGCCAGTGGTCAGTCCACTTTCACTTCCCCACCCTCTGACTTTTGCTTCTCCTTCCTTGCTCATCCCTGGGGTGGTTAGCCCGAGTAAGAAACCCTGAAGCCAAATGATCCCTCCCGGCCCTAGTGGAGCAGCACCTGCACCTCAAATGTCAAAATCGCAAATCAGTTCACAGCGGAGATCACAGGGGTTTATTCTAAGGACCCGACTGTCCTCCGACTTTCTGAGGTTAACAATCTTGCAGGATTTTTATTGACCTGATACAGCTCCCGTAGCCTTGGTGGCACCACCATACGGTTCCCGATAGCCACCCAGGTGTCCTGTCTCCACGGTAACTGCTGCTTTGCGACCTTCGGTTTGCAGCGGTCGCGCTGCAGCCGCTGCAGTGGTTGCTGGGCGACCACGGAGAGAAAGCCGGGACTTGAGGTGGGAACCCCGGCTGGCGTCCGGTAGGGGGAGGTTCCCGGGGAAGCCCGCGGAAGGCGAGGTGCCTGGCCTGCCATGTAGGGGCTCGTTCCAAGCCGCAGACCCCACCGCCCTCCCTCTCCCCGGGGCCCATGGCGGTGGCCGTGCCCCCGGGTCGGGCCGCAGGCTCAGGCTGGGCCTGGAGGCCAGTGGCGCGGGACGCGCTTTTGGCTAGAGCTTTCCATTCATGCACCGAACTGCGGGGACGGTTCTATCTCGTAGGTGGTCTCCTAGCAGGAGGAGCGAGAGAGCCCAGCAGCGATACGGTGGTTTTCGACCCAGCTAGGGGCCAGGCCGTACGATTGGGAGCCCGGGGCAGCCCCCCGCGCAGTCACCACGACGCGGCACCCGTGGACGGGCGTTGGCTCTGCGTGGTGGGCGGCTGGGACGGGTCTCGCCGCTTGGCCACAGTGACCGCACTGGACACAGAGCGCGGTGTGTGGGAGGCGTGGACAGGGACCCCTGGTGACTGCCCCCCCGCCGGCCTCAGTAGTCACACCTGCACCCGAATCTCTGACCGAGAGCTGCAGGTGGCTGGCCGGGAGGGCGGTATCCACACTCAGCGACGCTATGGAAGCATCTACACATTAAGGCTGGACCCCAGCGCCCGCACCTATTGGTATGGCACCCTCCGCCCAAAACCTTTCACTCTCATCCACACTCTCGAAAAACAAAAGCCTAAGCAGATTTCTCAGGCAATTTATCCACCTCCTCACTCTAGCACCCTCCTTCCAGGGGAACCTACCATGTTTAAGCTAGCTGAGCTCTCTACAGTATTACCCTCCCTCTTATCCCACCTACCGCACTGCCCCATGCCTCTTCTCCATCCATCCTTGGCAAGGGCGGTGGCACTTACATTTTCCAGAAAACCCACTCAGCCCTGAATTTCTGCATGTCCACAGCTACAAGCAAGAAGGCTGCCACACAGCCTCACGCTCAGGTCACTGTGCGGCCCTGCTCCAAACTCCTGGACCCCATCCAGGTCATCAGCTATTGCTCTTTGGAGGTTGCAACTTAGCTGAACCAGAAGTAGCTGGGCATTGGAGTCATGGGAAAATTAAGGTATTAGCTCCTCACACATCTTGTTTAGGATGGGAAGAGGCTAAAATTGTGATGCCCAGGTCTCTTCGGACAGTCCTTTCTTTCTCCCCAAGGAGGAACCACCTGTTGCTCCTCATTTGATGGAACAGCTTGCAAGGCTTGTGAGCAGTGGGCAGGGGTCCCAGAAGGGGCCCCATGGACTACGGCATCACTCATGTTCTGTGGTCGGGCCCTTTGCTGTGCTGTTTGGTGGAGAAACTCTGACCAGAGCTAGAGACACCATCTGCAATGATCTCTACATCTATGATACTCGTGAGAGCCAGACTAATGGCTGAAGGGGGGGAAGGTGGGAAGATGGGGGAACCTGAAGACTACAGAAAGAGGATGGAGTGATGGGGTAGGGAGGAGGAAAAATTAGTTGACAGGAGTTAAAGGAGTACACAGAATATTAAGCATTTGAAGAGGCCTACAAATCAAGTGAGCAGAAAAACAATGGGCAAGCCCTTGGTCATGTTGAATTCTGTGAATGACAAAGTGCTACTGCCTCAATAACCACCCTCTGCCCGTATCCAACAGGCACATCTCCTCCTTTGTGGTTCCACTTCCCCTGTGCAGATCGTGGGATGAAACGCATGGGCCATCGCACCTGCCTTTGGAATGATCAGCTTTACCTGGTTGGGGGTTTTGGTGAGGATGGCAGGACAGCCAGTCCACAGGTTTGCATCCTGGACTTTATCTAAATAGTGCCAAGACACATCACTAAGCCTCGTTTTGTTTTGCTTTGTTGCAAACCTATAAAGCGTTATCACCAGAGCTATCTGCTTCACTTCAAATGCTTATTAAATTTCAATCTGAGACTCAAGATTTGTCTCTGAAATTTTTGGGGGGAGGGGGAAGGGCAGTAAATAAGTGGACATACCTTTATTTGCAAGGAAAGGATAAAATAAATATGGGTCCTACTCTCATATTATGAGTCATTAACCTGATGGAAACAAAAACCACACATCATATGCTGTTCCGTGTCTCAAAACAATTTCCACCCCCAAGTGGGAGAAAACTTCAGGCTACAGCTAAGATTCTGACCAAAACATTTAATTAACAAAAAAATATTACAATAGCAGAGAAAATAATAATAATAACAATAAAGAGAAATTAGAAGTGGGAGTCAGGGTAGAAAAAAATGCAAAGGCCTTGGTCCCTAGGAGACCAACACTCCAGCTGAGCTGGCCTTAGCCCCAGCCCCTTCTGAGTTTTCCTTGGCTGCTGGCTTCTCATCTTCTCCCATGAGACGAATGTTGTGCTTTTCCCGGAATTCATTTAGTTCTTTTCCCTTTGCCTGAAGCTGCTGTGTCAGTGTCTCAATGATCTTCTGTATCTAGAGGACAAGTGACAGGGATTATATAAGGAATTCAGGACTCCTTTCCCCCACCTGGAATGGACTATGGTTGGAGGAAGTGTTAACACATTTAACCTTACCTTTAACCAAGTAGAGGAGCCCAGACATTAAAATTATTCCTTTCTTGAACACAGTGGTTTATACACTTTAATGTACTTAGAATCACCTGGGCTGCTTATTTTTATTTTTTACAGAGACAAGTTCCTACTATGTTACCCAGGCTGGTCTCAAACTTCTGCCTCAAGCAGTCCTCCTGCCTCGGTCTCCCAAAGCGCTAGGAATACAGGCATGAGCTTATTTTTATTTTTTCATTTTTTATTTTTAATATTTTTTTTTTGAGTTGCAGCATCGCTGTGTCGCCCAGGCTGGAGTGCAGTGGTGCAATCTCAGCTCACTGCAAGCTCCGCCTCGCAGGTTCACGCCATTCTCCTGCCTTGCCCTCCCGAGTAGCTAGGACCACAGGCGCCCACCACAACGCCCAGCCAATTTTTCGTATTCTTAGTAGAGATGGGGTTTCACCATGCTAGCCAGGATGGTCTTGACCTCCTGACCTCGTGATCCGCCCGCCTCGGCCTCCCAAAGTGCTGGGATTACAGGTGTGAGTCACTGCAACCTGCCTAGCTTATTTTTAAAATGTCACTTCATGGCACTCCCAAAGGTTCTAATCCAGTGGGTCTGGGAAGCTGCATTTATAAATTAGTCCTTCAGGTGATTTTGATTCATGTATTCGTGAAACACACACTATGAGAAACATTACTCTAACCCCAATCCTCCCACCCCAATTCAGCCAAGTCACAGAGCCCACAGCAGTCAGCAATTCCTCTTGTCTAAGAGTTGCACTTAGCATAGCATAATGAGCATAGGCTATTTTATGCTGCCCTCCTTTTATCTGAGACAGGGTCTCACTCTGTCACCCAGGCTGGAGTGCAGTGAGGTGATCACAGCTCACTGAAGCCTCGACATTTTAGGCTCAGGTGAGTAGCTGGGACTACAGGCACATACCACCATACCCAGCTAATCTTTTGTATTTTTTGTAGTGATATGGTTTCACCATGTTGCCCAGGCTGGTCTCGAACTCCCGGACTCAAAGAGTCCACCTGCCTTGGCCTCCCAAAGTGCTGGGTTTACAGCCACTGTACCCGATCCTATTCAATGATTCTTGCTCACCTGCTCCTTGTTGTTCTCCAAAGCGGGCAGCACCTCTTTGACAGTTCGCTCCACCAGCACTCCTCCAACCATGCGGTAGCACTTACGAGTTTCATCTACCTCCTTCAGTGTATCGATCACTAGGCTGGGATAGGAGAACAAGGCAGGACCTGAGGATTCAGCCCCACTCTACTACAAATCCCCCTCACGGAGTAGCCCACACAACTGTCCTACTGTTTGCCTCTCCCTGACTTTCTCACCTGTGCTCATTCAACTCCATCTCCAACTCAGCTGCTTTGGATGCCAGGCCTCGCTGTTCCTGCCGAAGGCGGTTGAAGCCAGCAATCACCTAACAAGGTGAGAGAAGAGATGAAAGAGGGGATAGTGGAAATGGCAGAGGGTCCAGATAGCACATAGGGTGGCAGGCTTTACAAAGGTGCAGTAGTGGGCACCTACCTTGGAAAAGGAGTAGAACCACAAGTTTGCGATTTCTACCTAAAATTTTTCTGGAATTCCATTCACCAAACACGGAGGGCTTACTATTTTTGAGATATTTGAGGGCCCACTGAGGGATATCACAGAATAGATTTGGCCTCTGGCTTCTCCTGGCTCATAGTTTGGTGGGAAATAGGCATTTAATATAAGAATGGGGGCCAGGTGCGGTGGCTCACACCTGTAATCCCAGCACTTTGGGAGGCCAAGGCAGGCGGATCACAAGGTCAAGAAATTGAGACCATCCTGGCCAACATGGTGAAACTCTGTCGCTACTAAAAATAGAAAAATTAGTTGGGTATGGTGGTGTGCGCCTGTAGTCCCAGCTACTTGGGAGGCTGAGGCAGGAGAATCATTTGAACCCGGGAGGCAGAGGTTGCAGTGAGCCAAGATCGCACCACTGCACTCCAGCCTGGCGACAGAGCGAAACTCCGTCTCAAAAAAAAAAAAAAAAGAATGGGGTTGGAGAGCTACTGGAGTACCTACAGGGGAGCCTAGACTTGCAGTGAGGGCTGTCAGGAAGGGCTTTGTAATGAGTAACTTTTGTTTGGGTCTGCTCAGTATCCCATCCATTGGGGAACTGCCCCTCCTTAACTTGGTGTGGTTCTTTTGGGGCTACTAACCACATGACCCCTGACCCAGGGGCAGTGACCTATGGAATCTCTCTACAGGAATTGGAATTTTGCAGACAAATGGGTATAGAAGACAGCTGGAGTTAAGATTCCTATTGGTTCTGTAGAGATGACCTTCCATTCCTATTCCTAGATTCCCTAAAGCTGCCCCAGTTCTTGAACTTTGTTCAGTCTAGTTATTTAGCCTTCTTTTTCATTCTGTTCAATTCTGTGAAATACCCACTATTATTCAAAAATAGCCCTTTAAAAAAAAAAAGGGCCAGGCGTGGTGGCTCACGCCTGTAATCGCAGCACTTTGGGAGGCCGAGGTGGGCAGATCACCAGGTCAGGAGATCAAGATCATCCTGGCCAACATGGTGAAACCCCATCTCTACTAAAATACAAAAAAATTAGCCGGGCATGGTGGCATGTGCCTGTAGTCCCAGCTACTCAGCAGAGGCAGGGGAATTGCTTGAACCCAGGAGGCGGAGGTTGCAGTGAGCTGAGATCACGCTACCACACTACAGCCTGGCAACAGAGCAAGACTCCGTCTCAAAAAAAAAAAAAAAAAAAAAAAAAAAAAAAGAAAGTTGGTCAAAGTTGGTTTCTGTAGCCTATAAACCCTAACTGATACAGAATTGATACAGGCTTCCTGAGGGATAATGTAATGGTCTTAAATGAAACCTGAAAAATCAGAGTGTGGGGGGAAAAAATGAAAAATATGAGGCTCAGAGACAAAAGACCAGGTTTCAGGTTCTGCCTCTGCTACTTTATTGGCTCTATGGCCTGGCACAGACATTTAACCCTGTGGTTCTTAACCATGGCTATATGTTAGAATCACCTGAATCATTTTAAAAACATGAATACTGGACCCTCAGAACAACTACACAACTACTGGGGGTAAGGCTCAGGCCTCAGTATTTTTAAAAAGATCTCCCACATAATTCTAATGTGTAGTGTGAACTGAGAACCACTGGATTAACCCCTTTAAGCCTTAGTTTTCTTACCTGCAAAATGCAGATAATGATTCCTACTGCATAAGGTTGTTGTATCATGTGAACCAATGAGTGTGAAACATCTTTGTGAACAGTGAAGTACATTAATGCTATCATGGACTTCTCTCCAAGTCCAGAATTGCCCCTTTAGACTCTCCTGGTCATCTGACAACAGTGGACTCAATCCATTCAAACCATTACCAAATACGAGTGTATTTGCAAATATCATCTCCAGTCACACAGCCAGAAACTTTCCCCTAATAAAGATGATTAACCACTTCATCTTTACTAGGGCCCTATCTCTTTTTTTCTTTTTCTTTTTCTTTTTTTTTTTTTTTAAGAAAGGTCACACACTGTCACCCAGGCTGGAGTGCAGTGGCACAATCATAGCTCACTGCAGCCTCAATCTCCCTGGGCTCTAGTGATCTTCCTGCCTCAACCTCCCAAACAGCTGGGACTACAGGTGCACACCACCTAATATTTTTGTAGAGACAGGATCTTACTATGTTGCTCAGGCTGGTCTCAAACTCCTGGGCTCAAGTGCTCTGCCTGCCTCAGCCTCCCAAAGTGCTGGGATTACAGGCATGAGCCAACATGCCTGGCCTGGCCCCTTAGCTCTAGTTCGCCTTCTGCAAGGATCACATACAGCAAATATTATCCAAATGGCTGACCTGCACCACCCTTATGTCCCTTCTACTGCCAATAAACCAAGGAGTAATACTTCACCAAAAACTTGTCATTCCAGCAACCTCCTCCTTTCTCCCATCTATCACCCCTTCATCTCAAGCTACTTTAGCCATTCATTTCAACAAATGCCTTGGAAATCTAACTTATCTACAGATTGTTTTTCCTTAACCTTCATTGCCTGTCTCAAAACCATCCCATTTATATTAGCTTTTTCTCCACTGTTAATATTCTAGATCAAAATAATTCCATCTAAAAAAAAATTATGACTAAAGCAGATTCTAGATGTTCCCTCAGCACCCAAATGATCCACTTTTCTGGATGTATGTTGTTAAATACATCAAAGAAATCAGCTTAAGTGTCTAAAATTTCTGATGCCCCAACTTTTAACTCCTGGGCTCAAGTGATCCTTCTGCCTCAGCCTCCCAAGTAGCTGGGACTACAGACATGTGCCACCACGCAATTATTTTTATTTATTTTTATTTTTTGTAGAGACAGGGTCTCACCATGTTGCTCAGGCTGATCTTGAACTCCTGGCCTCAAGCAATCCTCCCACCCTGGCCTCCCAAAGAGCTGGGATTACACGCAGGAGCTACCATGCCCAGCAGAATTTATTTTCCTTAGTAATTAACAGGAATCTACTTTTCTTTTCTTTTCTTTTTTTTTCTGAGAGGAGTCTTGCTCTGTCGCCCAGGCTGGAGTGCAGTGGCGCGATCTCAGCTCATTGCAACCTCCGCCTCCCGGGTTCAAGCGATTCTCCTGCCTCAGCCTCCCAAGTAGCTGGGACTACATGTGCATACCACCACACCAAGGTAATTTTTATAATTTTAGTAGAGATGGGGGTTCCACCATATTGGTCAGGCTGGTCTTGAACTCCTGACCTCAGGTGATCCACCCACCTCAGACTCCCAAAGTGCTGGGATTACAGGCGTGAGCCACTGCACCCGCCTGAGATTTTTTTTTAATTCCAACTTTTCTTCAACATTCTTGCTAATAACTAATTTCCTCTTGTTCCATTTTATGAACTTTTAATCAAATACCAAACTAAAATCTACTTAAACATGTTGAGTTATCTACAGTTATTATGGAAAATTTCAGCCATAAGTGCACTTAAAGGAAATGAAATCTCTTAGCAGCTGATATAGTTTATGTGTCCCCTCTAAGTTTCATATTGAAATATAATCCCCAACTTTGGAGGTGGGGCCTGGTGGGAGGTGTTTGGATCATGGGGGTAGATCTCTCATGAATGACTTGGTTGCCATCCCCTTGATGATAAGTGAGTTATTGGTCTGAGTTCACACAAGATCTGGTTCTTTAAAAGTATGACACCTACCCCTCTTTATTCCTCCTGCTCCCACTATGCATAAGACACCTGTCCCCTCTTTGCCTTTCATCATGATTGGAAGCTTCCTGAGGCCACCCCAGAAGCAGATGCCATGCTTCCTGTACAGCCTACAGAACCATGAGCCAATTAAACCACTTTTCTTATAAATTACCCAGTCTCAGGTAATTATAGCAACACAAGAACGGCCTAATACAGCAGCTAACTGCAACTTAACTGTAGACTATATGTAAATAAGCCAATATTAAGCCATTTCTGGGGTCTGCCAGGTAATGAAAACAGAGAAGCTATCCTCTATTCCCACATTTTTCCTTTTAAAACATAACTTTTCTAATAGTCTTCTCCCCTATGGCTAGGACCTAATTATCCTTCCCTTTCCTTATTCCTTATTCTCTGTCTGCTGTAAGCACAGATTGACACATCAGTGTTGCGTCTCTCAACCCTATTAAATCATCATCTATGTACAAACAATTTTTTTCTTTTCTTCTTTAGACAGGGTCTTACTTGAACTCCTGATTCATCTGTTGCCCAGATGGAGTACAGTGGTGCAATCATGGCTCATTGCAGCCTTGAACTCCTGGGCTCAAGTGATCCTCCTGCCTCCACTTCTAGAGTAGTTAGGACTATATAGGCACCCATCACCACTCCTGGCTAGTTTTTTAAACTTTTTGTAGTGATGGGGTCTCACTCTGTTCCCTAGGCTGGGGTGCAGTGACACAATCATGGCTCAGTGCAGCCTTGAATTCCTGAGCTGAATGAAGCGATCCTCCTACCTCAGCCTCTTGAATGATGGGACCATTGGCATGTGCCACTATGCCCGGCTAATTTCTGTATTTTTTTGCAGAGACAGGGTTTTGCCATATTGCCCAGGCTGGTCTTGAACTCCTGGGCTCAAGTGATCCTCCCATCCTAGCCTCCCAAAGTGCTGGGATTACACGAATGAGCCACCAGGCCCATACCCTATTGATATATTTTTAAAAACTGCTTAACTAGGGCCGGGCATGATGGCTCACGCCTGTAATCCCAGCACTTTGGGAGGCTGAGGTAGATGGATCACGAGGTCAGGAGATCCAGACCATCCTGGCTAATATGGTGAAACCCGGTCTTTACTAATAATACAAAAAATTAGCCGGGTGTGGTGGCACATGCCTGTAGTCCCAGCTACTTGGGAGGCTGAGGCAGGAGAACTGCTTGAACCCAGGAGGCGGAGGTTGCAGTGAGCCGAGATCGTGCCACTGCACTCCATCCTGGCTGACAGAGCGAGACTCTGTCTCAAAAAAAAAAAAAAAAAAAAAAGCTTAACTAATCCTCTGCGTTAGAACATTTAGGTTGTTTCCAATTTTTCTGTAATAAATAGTACCAATATAAAATCTCTTTGGACAGGCCTGGCATGGTGGCTCATGCCTGTAATTCCAGCAGTTTGGTAGGCCAAGGCGGGCAGATTACTTGAGGTCAGGAGTTCACGACCAGCCTGGCCAACATGGTGAAACCCCATCTCTACTAAAAATACAAAAATTAGCCGGGCGTGGTGGTGCACACCTGTAGTCCCAGCAACTTGGGAGGCTGAGGCAGGAGAATCGCTTGAACTCGGGAGGTGAAGGTAGCAGTGAGCCTAAGATCATGCCACTGCACTCCAATCTGGGATACAGAGTGAGATTCTGTCTCAAAAAAACAAAACAAAGGCCAGGCGTGCTGGCTCACACCTGTAATCCCAGCACTTTGGGAGGCCAAAGCGGGCGGATCACCTGAGGTCAGGAGTTCGAGACCAGCCTGGCCAACATGGTGAAACCCCATCTCTACTAAAAATACAAAAAATTAGCTGGATGTGGTGGCGTGTGCCTGTAGTCCCAGCTACTTGGGAGGCTGAGGCAAAAGAATCGCTTGAACCCAGGAGGCAGACGTTGCAGTGAGCTGAGATCACACCACTGCACTCCAACCTAGGCAACAGAGCGAGACTCTGTCTCAAAAAAAAAAACAAAAACAAAAACAAAAATAAAAATTAAAAAAAAAAAAAAAACAAGGCTGGGTGTGGTGGCTCACCCCTATAATCCCACCACTTTGGGAGGCCAAGGCCAGCAGATCATTTGAGGTCAGGAGTTCAAGACCAGCCTGGCTGACATGGTGCAACCCTGTCTCTACTAAAAATAATACCAAAAAATTAACTGGGTATGGTGGCACATGTCTGTAATCCCAGCTACTCAGAAGGCTGAGGCAGGAGAATCGCTTGAACCTGGGCGACAGAGGTTGCGGTGAGCCAAGATCGCACCATTACACTCCAGCCTGGGCACAAGACCGAAACTCCGTCTCAAAAAAAAAAAAAAGGAGAATCACTTGAACCCAGGACATAGAGGATGCAGTGAGCTGAGACTGCGCCACTGCACTCCAGCCTGGGCAATAGAGTGAGACTCCATCTCAAAAAAAAAAACAAAAAACAAAAAAAACCTCTGGACAAATAATGCACGATTTACAGCCACTTTTCTTGAATTTCTTGAATCGTATTCCAAAGTAAGATCAATGAGTCAAAAAGGCATTAGCATTATTATAGCTTCCACTGCATGTCGCTAGAAAGCTCTCCAAGATGACCAGATTAATTTATACTGCTACCAGCAATATCATGATTATATCTCTTCTCTTTCCCCAGAGCCCTAATGGTAACTTTTATTATTTTTGTTACTTTAATAATTTTTAGAGTTGGAATGTAACTCCAGAAACCTTGGAATCATCCTTGATTCACTATCCACATCAAATTAATTACATGTGTACTACTTATTATACCCTCCTGATTTCTATACTGCCTCCTGATTTGCCCCCTTTAATCTACTCCCCACACTGCAGCATAAGTGACCAAAAATATAAATCTAACCAATTATTCCTTTGCCTAAAACCTTCTCAATGCTCACAGGATAAAATCTGAACTCCTCAAAAAGTCATATAAAGACCGGGTTCCAGTTTACCTCTCCCAATCAGTTGTTCCCTCCACATCTTAACTCAGCACTCAGTGTCCTAAGTCACTGGTAGTTTCCCTTAACAGCTGTCTTCAGGCATCTGCATAGAATCTTCACCCTACGTTTGGTATACTTTCCCAAACCTCTCTCATTCAGTTTTTCTCTGCTTAAGTCTAGTTCTTTCTTCAGGTTTCAACTTAGATTCTTCTGGGAAGCAGAAGAATCTGGCCATCTTCCATTCCCATATGTTAACCCTTTATATGTGCTCATATAAAAATGCATATTAGTTACTTAAATAATTTGACAAAATCTTTTCTATTTATATTGTGTTATTTTCCACCATGCAGACTGCCTTCTATTCTTTATCTTCTTTTAAAATTGTAAATATGCAAATGCAACCTATTTTAAAATATCTATTTCTTTCATAGTCCTACTATAATCTGCCTTCCACAGTCTCAAGAGTAAAGGAACACCTACTATATGCCAGGCACTGTGCTAGACTATCTCATTTAATTCTAAAAAACAAAAAAGACGGTAAGACCTGTACCTTCAATTTGTAAATAAGGAGACCAAGGCTGGTGGAGTGTTGTGTGGTGGTCAAAATAACATAGTGTGGATCCAGGCACGGTGGCTCACGCCTGTAATCCCAACACTTTGGGAGGCAGAGGTGGGCTGATCACTTCAGGCCAGGAGTTCGAGACCAGTCTGGCTAACATGGTGAAACCCTGCAGATCACTTGAGGCCAGGAGTTCCAGATCAGCCTGGCCAACACGGTGAAACCCCATCCCTAATAAAAATACAAAAATTAGCTGGGCGTGGTGGGGGGAGGGTGCCTGTAATCCCAGTTACTCGGGAGGCTGAGGCAGGAGAATCGCTTGAACCTGGGAGGCGGAAGTTGCAGTGAACCCAGATTGTGCCATTACACTCCAGCCTGGGTGACAGAGCAAGACTGTGTCTCACAAACACAAAACAAAATAGTGTGGGATGGGCGCAGTAGCTCACTCCTGTAATCCTATTACCTTGGCAGGCTGAGGCAGGCAGACCACTTGAGCTCAGGAGTTCGAGACCAGCCTGGCCAACATGGTGAAACCCCATCTCTACTAAAAATACAAAAAATTAGTCGGGTATGGTGGCTTATGCCTGTAGTCCCAGCTACTCGGGAGGCTGAGGCAAAAGAATTGCTTGCACCTGGGAGGCGGGGGTTGCAATGAGCCAACACCACACCACTGCACTCCAGCCTGGGTGACAGAGCAAGGCTCCGTCTCCAAAAATAAAAAATAAAATAACCTAGTGAAGTGCAGAAATCATACCTGTACCCAGGTTTGTCTTAACTCTAAAAATCTCTGTTAATATATTATTCCTGGCTTATCAAATATTAATTTCTTATCAAAGCAAATTTATATTCCTGTTTTCTTTTTTGTTTACCATATAGTTTTAATAATTTTAGGAAAAAATCTATAATCATTACCTTTCTCTCCAAAATGTCCTAGGGTCTTCTTACATGACATTTACTCTTACTGGTTTCAATAGAAGAATAGAAGAGGTAGAGAGTTATGATTGGATGAACCTGGAAAAGCATGATCTGGGATACTGCTCCACTAATTACCTTCTTTTCAGTTCAGTGCCCCCTTTTCTGAAGAACATACTCAACTCTCTGTCAAAGAAAACTTCTTTGACCTTATTACTCCATCAAATAATAGTACTCATCCCTTCTCTTCATGAAATTTTTTTTTTTTTTTTGTAGAGACTTTTTTTTTTTTTTGAGATGGAGTCTCGCTCTGTCGCCCAGGCTGGAGTGCAGTGGCATGATATCGGCTCACTGCAACCTGCACCTCCCAGGTTCAAGCAATTCTCCTGCCTCAGCCTCCCGAGTAGGTGGGACTACAGGCGCCCGCCAATGCGCCCGGCTAACTTTTTGTATTTTTTAGTAGAGATGTGGTTTCACCATGTTAGCCAGGATGGTCTCAATCTCCTGACCTTGTGATCCGCCCGCCTCAGCCTCCCAAAGTGCTGGGATTACAGGTGTTAGCCACTGCGCCCAGCCCGAGATGGGGGTCTTACTATGTTGCCCAGGCTGGTTTCAAACTCGTGGCTTCAAGAGATCCTCCTGCCTCAGCCTCCCCAAGTACTGGGATCCAAGTAGCAACATAGTAAAGTGGAAAGAACCCAAACTTCTTATTCTGACCTGGGTTGAAATCCCAGTTTTGCCATTTACTTGCTATATGACTGAGTCACTTAACTTTCCTTGTTTCCTCATTTATAAAATGGACTTAATATAATATACCACAGGGCAGGGTTTCTCAACATTGTCACTACTGACATGTTAGGCCAAATCATTCTTTGCTAGGAGGGCTGTCTCAGGCATTATAGGATGTTTAACAAATCCCTGGACTATACCCACTAAAAGTCAGTAGCAACCCCTTTGATTTGTGACAACCAAAAATGTCTCCAGACACTGCCAGATGTCTCCTAGGAAAAGATAATGCCAGTTGAGAATCACTGCTACAGGGTAACAATGAGAACTAACTGAGATAATAGGTCAAGTGCCCGATACAATGTAGATCTTCGACTCCCCTTTGGTTTCCAGGTCCCTTCAGTTCTCCTTCCTATCTCAAGCCTCCTTCTTTCTCCTTTCTGAAAGTTCTTCCTCTTTCACTCCCACAATGGCCACAGGATCTAAGATTCTATTCATAGCACTTCTTCATTACCTACATTATTTTTGAAATTATTTTTTATTGATTCATAATCATATTTTCATGGTATTGTGATAATTTGATATATTCATATAATCAAATCAGGGTAACCTATACTATTTCAAGTGGCATTCTTAGCTACTTCTATAGTTCCAGCAATTGCCTTTATTCTACTTGCCTGCAAAACCAGGCCTTTTCAGAAATTCTAGTCCCACATTTACAAGTTAGAGGAAGGAGCTTTTTTGTGCCTGACAGAAATGGCTTAACGTCAGACCATGACAAGTTACTTCTTTTCTGAATGTTTCTTCACCAATAAAATACAGATTAATACCTGTCTCACAGAATGCATAAGTATTAATTACTTCTTTTCTGATGTTTCTTCACCAATAAAATACAGATAATACCTGCCTCACAGAATGTTGTAAGGATTAAGTAATTACATCAAGAACTTAGGACAATATCTATCATATAACAAGTTTTCAATAAATAGTAGCTGCTATTATTACAGATCATCTCCACCTAAATGTCCCATGGATATCTTAAACTCATGTTGTTCAAAGCTGAAGTGATCTTATCTCTTCTATTTCTGCTACTGACATCACTCTAGGCCTCCTGGTAGGAAACCTTAGTTTCATCTTTTGTTTTGTTTTTAAAGATGGGGTCTCCCTATGCTGCTCAGACTGGTGAAAAGTGGTTATTCACAGGCACAATTATAGCACACTATAGCTTCAAACTCCCAGACTCAAGTGATCCTCCTGTCTCAGCTTCCTGAGTAGCTGGGACTACAGGCACTTGCCACCATACCCAGGTTCATCTTTGAACATACCATAATCCCATGAACTGCCAAATGTATTGCACTTAGTTTAGCAATTTCTCTTAGGCTCACTGACATAACCCTAGTTCAGATGTTCATTACATTCTTATCTGAATTACTGCAATAGTCTTCTAAATGATCCTATTTTTAGACTCCCCAAACCTACCCTACACACTGCTAATTTAATCTTCCTAACACTTAGATGACATAGAAAAATGTTCAACATATACTATTAGGCTTAAAAAACAGATTACAAACCAGTACATACTGTAGTATAATCCTAATTTTATAAAATATGTAAAAAAAAAAAAAAGCTCCCCCTTCCATCCACACATATATACACAAAAAGACAAAGGAGGGGGGAAAAAATCTCTCAAAGGATATACTCCTAAATGGCAAGAAAAGTTATCTCTGGATAGTTGGATTATGGGCAATTTATTTCCTGGTTTGAACTTTTTCCTTTGTTTTCTGCAGTTCCGACAATAAATGTATTATTTTATATAAGAGTTAAACAATTAATAATATAACATATATCCTTCTGTGACTTCCTCACTGCTTATGTTAAAAAGTCATAAATTCTTTGGCATGCACTCAAAGACCTCTATGGCCTTATTCAACTACTCTCCTCTTATCATATTCCCTACTTTCTATTCCCACTGCTACCTGTTCAAATCCATCCACTCCTTCAGGGTTCTGCTCAAATACCTCTAACATAATCATGGCATAAGTGAAAAAAATACCTGATTCTTAAGTCCCTCATTTAAAAATCCTGCTCTTCCAGTTACTGACCTTGGGCAAGTTAACTAAAGCCTCTGAAATTAAAATGTCCTCACCTATAAATGGAGGACAACACAACCTACTTCAAATGGCAGTAATTGAATAACAGAAGGTAGGCCTGAGCGGTGGCTCAGCTCATGCCTGTAATCCTAGCACTTTGGGAAGCCAAGGCAGGTGGACTGCTTGAGCCCAAGAGTTCAAGACCAGCCTGGGCAACATGGCAAAACTCCATCTCTACAAGAAATACAAAAATTAGCTGGGCAGGGTGGCACACGCATGTAGTCCCAGTAACTTGGGAGGCTGAGGTAGAAGGATCACCTGAGCCTTGGGAGGTTGAGGCTGCAGTGAGCCGTGATCGCACCACTGCACTCCAGCCTGGGCAACAGAATGAGACCCTGTCTCAGTCAGTAACAGAAGGTAAAACAAGTGTCTAACACAATGTGTTATTTGCTTCCATCTTGTTTGTAAGGGACATATGTGGCTCAAATTTGCAGCAGTGATAAATCTTGTAATGTTTTACCCAGTGTTCTCTCCAGAATAAACAAAGGCAAGAGAATGTTAATCAAGGAACAGCCTCAAAACTCACTTATCACACTTCCTCAGTTTCCTGAGGGAAGTTTGAGGGGTTCTCTTTAGCTCCCCTAAAACAGTGGTTCCACTCTTGTTCTACTTCTTTTTTCACTTTCTGTACAAACTATGGAAAGTGATCATTTTTATCCATAACCACGGCTTTATCATCCATAAACTCAATTCTCAAATCTGTATCTCCAACTCAGATTTCTTACTGTATCTCAAGATTTAAAAATCAAAGTGTCTACTGAATGTTTAACCTGGGTGTCCCACAAGAAACCTAAACTCAAAATCCTAAAATAAACTTACATTTCCCCCAAAATTGTCTGTCTTCCTACATTCCTTATGGCACCATTATCCACCAAAGACAGAAACCTGAGAGACATCTTATATTCCTCTTTTACCCCCTTTTCTCCATATTCAAGTTCTGTAATCCACCTCAAACATTAAGTCCCACCTGCATCCCAAACATGCCAGGCAGTTTCACGCCTTAGTGTTTTGGAACACATTTATTCCCTCTACCTAGAAAATCTTCCACTTCCTTCTTTGCTTGACTAACTTCTCTCATCCTTTAGAATTGAGCTGAAGGATTTTTCTCCTCTAGAAAACAAAAGCTAACTAGCATTTACTAAACACACACTATATTCTAATCACTGTGCAAAACACTTCGCATGCATTGTCTTGCCTAATACTCTAAATTCAGTGATGAGGTAGGTATTGTTATGTTTCTACAGATGGGGGAGGCCAAGATGTAACTCATGGGAGGTCATATATAAATAGTAAATAGTAGAAATGAAATTCAAACTTAGGTCTGACCCTAGTGCATAAGAATGCTCTTAGCCACCCTACTATACCACAGCTTCCCTTATCCAGCCCCTACCCCCACAATCCTACAACCTCGTGATTAGTTAGGGGTCTCTCCTCTGCTGCCATAATGAAGGGATTGTGCAGCACACTATAAATCTTTATTGTTTGGTTTGTCTTTTCTCAAATGAGTCTGAGTAAAGCAATTTGAAGACAAAGTCTGTTTCATGTACAATAGTCTCTCATTATCCAGAGTTATCCAATGTCTGAAAATAAATGGAAAATTCCAGAAATAAACAATTCATACTTTTTGTGTGTTTGTTTTTTGAGACAAGAGTCTCGCTCTTTGCCCAGGCTGGAGTGCAATGGCGTAATCTTGGCTCACTGCAACCTCTGCCTCCCGGATTCAAGCGATTCTCCCTGCCTCAGCCTCTTGGGTAGCTAGGATTACAGGTGCCCGCCACCACACCTGGCTAATTTTTTTATTTTTAGTAGCGATGGGGTTTCGCCATGTTGGCCAAGCTGGTCTCGAACTCCTGACCTCAGATGATCCACCCACCTCGGTATCCCAAAGTGCTGGGATTACAGGCGTGAGCCACGGCACCTGGCCAACAATTCATAAGTTTTAAGTTTCACACTGTTGTGAATAGCGTGATGAAATCTCTAGCCATCCCGCTCAGGATGTGAATCATCCTTTTGCCCAGCCTATCCATGCTGTATATGCTACCTGCCCTTTAGTCATCAACATCTGCTCAACATTGTCGTGGCTCAATGATCTGAGATCACCTAAAGCAGATGATTCTCCTTCTGACTTATCATCAATAGTGGCCTAAGGCTATATCACAATGCTGTCATTCACCTTACCTCATCAGGAAGGCAGTTTATCATCTCACATCATCACAAGAAGGGTGAGTACAGTACAATCAGATATTTTGAAAAAGAGAGACCACATTCATGTAACCTTTATTACATTGTCATAACTGTTCTATTAGTTACTGCACCTATTATATAAATTAGACTTTATCATAGGTATGAGAAAAAACATAGAGTTCAATACTATCCCAGGTTTCAGGCATCTACTGGGGTCTTGGAATATGTCCCCCTCAGATAAGGGGGAGCTACAGTATCTGTATCGCTGTACCCAGCAGAGTGCTTGGCCCATGGTAGCCTTAAAAATTATTAGGGGGAGCCAGGCAAGGTGGCTCACACCTGCAATCCCAACACTTTGGGAGACCAAGGCAGGTGGATCACCTGAGGCCAGGAGTTCAAGACCAGCCAGAGCAAGAAAGTGAGACTCCCATCTCTACCAAAAAAACAATTTTTAATTAGCCATTCAAATGGCTTATGCCTATAGTCCCAGCTACTCAGGAGGCTGAGTCAGGAGGATGGCTTGATCACCCAGGGATTTCAAGGCTGCAGCGGGCTATCATCACGCCATTGCACTCAGCCTGAGCAACGAAGTGAAACTCTGTCTCTAAAAAAAAAAGTACTGTGGCTCATGCCTGTAATCCCACCACTCTGGGAGGCCAAGGCAGGCGGATCACTTGAGGTCAGGAGTTCGAGACCAGCTTGGCCAACATGGTGAAACCCCGTCTCTACCAAAAAGACAACAATTAGCCAGGTATGGTGGTGCACCTGTAATCCCAGCTACTCGGGAGGCTGAGGCACCAGAATCTCTTGAACCTGGGAGGCAGAGGTTGCAGTCAGCCGAGATCACGCCACTGCACTCCAGCCTCGGCAACAGAGACTCCGTCTCAACAACAAAAAAGTATTAAAAAGCATTAGGTTCCTTTTCCCTTCCCCCACCCCAAGTCAGAAACCATATTCCATAGCACTTTATACTTCTCTTAGGACACTTATCTTCTGCCTCATATGAGCATTTTGCTTCTCTTATTTACCCCACTAGACTATGCTCTTCGAGACCAGCATGGGCAACATGGTGAAATCCTGCCTCTACAAAAATTAACTGGGCGTGGTGGTGCGGGCATGTAATCCCAGCTACTCGGGAGGCTAAGGCAGAAATGCTTGAACCCGGGAGGTGGAGGCTGTGGTGAGCCGACATCCCGCAACTGTACTCCAGCCTGGATGACAGAGCGAAACTCTGTCTCAAAAAACAATAAAAATAAAAATCTTTATGCTGATACATCTGCTTGTATTAATTGTTCAACAAAAACTGAACCTATAATTAAGACAGCTGTAGGCCGGGAGCGGTGGCTCACGCCTGTAATCCCAGTACTTTGGGAGGCCGAGGCGTGCGGATCATTAGGTCAGGAGTTGGAGACCAGCCTGGCCAATATGGTGAAACCCCGTCTCTACTAAAAATACAAAAATTAGCCAGGTGTGGCGGCGCGCGCCTGTAGTCCCAGCTACTCGGGAGGCTGAGGCAGAAGAATAGCTTGAATGAACCACGAGGCGGATTGCAGTAAGGCGAGATCGCGCCACTGCATGCACTCCAGCCTGGGCGACAGAGCGAGACTCCGTCTCAAAAAAAAACGATAATAATAAAGTAGCTGTTAACTGTTTTCATTTCTATTGTGTAGCTTTCCTCCCACTCCTATTTTTCCACTTAGCAAAACACGGTTCCCAAGCCACAAAGGGTTTTCTAATTAACTTATCAAACGCTTCCCGATGCTAGGCACTGGGGAAAATGCAAACTCGGATTAGAAAGGGGTTTCTGGTCTCTAAAGAAATTCGATCTAGTAATGAACTCCCGAATTAAAATAGTATATAGAACACTAGGCTGTTCGAGTATGAGAGTCACGTGGCTCTGCAGCGTGACGGCGATTGTCAACGTGGGTTCAGGATCACGTAACAGACTACACAGCCAGCCCGTTAACTAATTCTCTAGGGTTAGTTTCGAGCTGTCTTGCCCAGCCATAACCTGTTTGGAGAGGCTGAGGAGAGATAGAGAAAGCAGCAAACCATCTCCCCTCAGACCTGTGCATCTTCCCAGACCCTACATGTCAGGGCTTTCCCCTTGCTCAGGCTCACCCACCACCTCACGGAGGCGTGGCTCTCACCTACCCACCCGTCTACCTCTCCGAAGGGGTTCGGCTAGCTTTTCCGGGGACCCTTCCCTCTCTAGGTGCCACGCACATGTGGTGCTGGAGTAAAGGCCTGCACAAGCCACAGGCTCCCCCTTCTCGCTAGTATTCCAGACCCAGGTGGGTACCCTGCTTCGCGTTAGCCACTCCTCACCTGCTCTGCGGACACCGCCCCCTTCCCCGCGCCGCTCCCGCTGCTCTTGCCGGCGCGACCGCTGTTCTCCGCCATCTTCGCCGCCTGCTGGGTTTCCGGCCGGCGCAGCTCAGCCCCCGCCTTGCGTCACGTCCGGCCTGCGAGTTACCGCCCACTCGCTGCGGCGCTTCTGGCTCCAGACCGCCCTCCGGATCGGACCCTGCGAATGGTTTTGGCTATATCTTCATGTAGGACCTACTCCCTATCCCGTCGGCCGCGGTGAATCCCACCTGCGGTGCTTTAACTTGTGTAACAGAGATGCTGCCTCTGGGAGAGGCGGGGAGGGACGGGCCAACTGGAGCGGGCGGCGGGAGGGTGGAGGGCGGGGCGCGGCTTGGGGCCTGGGTTCCTTTGCCCCTTGCCCACCAGGGAGGGGTGGGAGACGAGAGAGGGTGAACTTTCCCCTGCGAGATTCTGGTGAAAGGGGAAATATGCTTCGAGTCAGTAAAGCTGCGCAAGTGCACAGTCAAGGAGAGAGTCTTGGGAAAACCAAGGATAGTTCCCGGAGATGACTTTTGGACTGCGGAAACGTTTGTCAGAGGAAAGAGGCTTCAGTTTAATGTGAGATCATTGGAAGTTGAACTATTCAGGCGGCGAGCAGAGCCCCTTTCTCCATCTTCCCACTGTATGGTCTTGTCCCTTAGCCTATAATTTCTTATAAAGAGCGTTTTGAAGACTAGGTTTTTACTGGCAGGGCCCTGATTCAGGCTCACAGTATAAAGAGAGAAGTCAGAGAATCCTAGAAATTTATTGCTTGAAGAAGGGGTTGGTGTCCTCATATCTCACCTTCCTCAGGCTGGGCTTCATCACCAGGCCTCCTCACAGATTCCTGTCCCTTCTGTGTCCTGGACTCCGGATACCTCAACTCTCAGTACTTTGTGCTCAGCCCAGGTAACACGTTTTGTTGTGTCCTCAGTGCCTGGCACTTAGATGCTCAGTTTGTTAAATGGATAGTGGGAGACACAGGAGTGTCAACTATCCACACATTTGATTGGTGAGCCCTACTAGCCCTGGGTCAACGTGCCCTGTAAGAGCATGATCAAAAGGAAGTCCAGCTTTCCTGCCTCTCCACTTGCACCCCTTAGCATTAAATTTGCTTCCCTGTGCTATGAAATCTGAGAATCCTGCCTATGCTGTTCACAGGCCCAGAGCCATGGCTATCTCCTCTTCCTCCTGCGAACTGCCCCTGGTGGCTGTGTGCCAGGTAACATCGACGCCAGACAAGCAACAGAACTTTAAAACATGTGCTGAGCTGGTTCGAGAGGCTGCCAGACTGGGTGCCTGCCTGGCTTTCCTGCCTGAGGCATTTGACTTCATTGCACGGGACCCTGCAGAGACGCTACACCTGTCTGAACCACTGGGTGGGAAACTTTTGGAAGAATACACCCAGCTTGCCAGGTATCAGGGAAATAGCGAGGGAGAGGTAGAATCTTTGTTGGACAGTGTCCCTGGGTTGCCAGATATGAGGGTAGAGCCTTGAGAAGTCAGTGAAGAGTTGTCAGTGTCCCTTCCCCCCAGGGAATGTGGACTCTGGCTGTCCTTGGGTGGTTTCCATGAGCGTGGCCAAGACTGGGAGCAGACTCAGAAAATCTACAATTGTCACGTGCTGCTGAACAGCAAAGGTGAGACTTTATAACCCTTTAGCCTGCCTCTTCCCATGCTCTTCTACCTAGATTCTCCAGAATTGTTTCTCAACTCTTATTTCCTTGACCCAAGGATTTAGGGGTGGTCCTACTTCAGTTCCTAGCCTATAAACTATCTCCTCCTTGGGAGGAGTAAGCAAGGCTTCTAGAACACCAGCACTGATATTCCTTCTTTCTTACTGTAGGGGCAGTAGTGGCCACTTACAGGAAGACACATCTGTGTGACGTAGAGATTCCAGGGCAGGGGCCTATGTGTGAAAGCAACTCTACCATGCCTGGGCCCAGTCTTGAGTCACCTGTCAGCACACCAGCAGGCAAGGTAGGAGTTGTGAAAGGATGAGGGAGGGGAACAGGAATACTTTGAACTGGCAGTAGAGGATAGAAAGCCCTAAGAGAGGGGGTAATGGAAATATGACTAGATGCTGTGACAAACAGAGCAGGAAGACTACTAAGTAGGCTGTTTTTCATTCCAGATTGGTCTAGCTGTCTGCTATGACATGCGGTTCCCTGAACTCTCTCTGGCATTGGCTCAAGCTGGAGCAGAGATACTTACCTATCCTTCAGCTTTTGGATCCATTACAGGCCCAGCCCACTGGGAGGTAAGATGATGCCTTTTTAAAACATAAGGGCCTTTTCTTAACCTCATCTTCCCCCCTTGGCCCTACCAGTTAAATTCCTTCCCCTTTCCACCTAATGGGAAAACTCATTCCCCAGATATTTCTCTCATGAATAGTTAAAATAGTAAATCATTCCTAGGCAATTACCAAAATAGTCACAATGGGTAGATTGGTCTGTAATGTCCCTCACCTGTCACTTCCCCACTATTTGCTACATGTACTTAAGTGAACACACATCTCATGCCCAGGTGTTGCTGCGGGCCCGTGCTATCGAAACCCAGTGCTATGTAGTGGCAGCAGCACAGTGTGGACGCCACCATGAGAAGAGAGCAAGTTATGGCCACAGCATGGTGGTAGACCCCTGGGGAACAGTGGTGGCCCGCTGCTCTGAGGGGCCAGGCCTCTGCCTTGCCCGAATAGACCTCAACTATCTGCGACAGTTGCGCCGACACCTGCCTGTGTTCCAGCACCGCAGGCCTGACCTCTATGGCAATCTGGGTCACCCACTGTCTTAAGACTTGACTTCTGTGAGTTTAGACCTGCCCCTCCCACCCCCACCCTGCCACTATGAGCTAGTGCTCATGTGACTTGGAGGCAGGATCCAGGCACAGCTCCCCTCACTTGGAGAACCTTGACTCTCTTGATGGAACACAGATGGGCTGCTTGGGAAAGAAACTTTCACCTGAGCTTCACCTGAGGTCAGACTGCAGTTTCAGAAAGGTGGAATTTTATATAGTCATTGTTTATTTCATGGAAACTGAAGTTCTGCTGAGGGCTGAGCAGCACTGGCATTGAAAAATATAATAATCATAAAGTCTGTGTCTGGACATCGCCTTTGGGAACTAGAAGGGGAGTTGGTATTGTACCAGCTGGACTAAGCTCCAGTTCTAGACCTCCTGGCTCATTCAACATGCCTCCCTACCTAAATAAAAGTGCAACACTCAGTGCATGTCCCAGCCCCATTCTCCCAAGCATGGGAGTGGGCGTAGGAGTGGAGGAGGGGGAAGGAAAAAGGAATTACTTCACTTACACCTATGATGCCCTTTGCCCAAGCCAGAAGAAAGCAAAGGGGAAAAGGGCTGCAGGGTACATTATTTATTTTCACTTGAACATGGAAAGAAAGTGTCACACTCCCCCTTCCCCTTTATAGGGGGAGTGTATTTTAATCAGCAACCTCTTCTCCATCCACCCTGTGTATGTGTGTACACATATACCACCACAGTTGGGAGGCATGACTAGGCTGACCCAGTCTTATCTGTTCCTCCTTTGAAGAGGGTTTGACAAATGGGAAAAAGGAAGGAGCCACATCAGGCAGAGGTTTCAAGCCATGGAATGGAGGAAAGGCGGCAGAGAGGAGCAGCACCAGAGGCCAGGAGAGAGTGGAAAGGGCCACAGCTTGTTTTTAAAAAATTCTATAATTTGGAAGAGGGTGGCGATTAATTTTCAAAATACACTTCAGAGTCCCACTTTCCACATAGCTCCCTTACTCACAGCCCTTTGGTTTTTTAGACAAAATTTAAGAGCTCTCATAAAGCCAGAAGTATTGATAACTCCTTAGTGCATCCAAAAAAAAGTGTTCACATCAATCCCTTACAAAGACTATGTGCTGTAGACTTTGCTTCTTCCTATACATTTGTCTTACGGCTCAGTGGTAAGGTAGCTGTAGAGACACATTACGGGGTAAATGGAAAAGGGAAATAAAGGGGAAGCCCAGGCACATGGGTGCAGGGAGGGGTGGGGAATACCACTTCCACTTTCTTTTGTCTTTTTCTTTAAAAAAAAAAAAAAAAAGGCAGGGGTGTGATTGGTTGGAAGGGTAGAGAACAAACCCCAGAACAGTGTAAGCTCCAGAGGTGGGTGATGGGAACAGTCCCCAAAGTGAGAAGAGGGAATAGGTCAGGGCAATGCTTGCAGCATCAAGTTCCTCAGGAGTTTCTGTCGGCCCAGCTCATAGTCCTCCTCGTCTACATTTACCAGCAGCTTGATGGCTTCATGGCCCACAGCTTGCTTGAGGGAGTCTGTGATGAAGACACCTTTAAGTGCCTCTAATAAAGAGCCATTGATGTAGTCACGCCAGAATGCATCGAGGTAGGTGAGCTCAGAGAACTTGATGTCACAGATGATGGAGCCCAGGTCCCGGGACTTGAGGATGGTGTTGGCCTGGTTAAAGCGCTCAAACTGGCGCTCAAGTGGGTCCTGCTTGTTAGAGAAGACATTGCCCTGCAGAGCAGTCTCATGCTGGCAGTATTCAGCCCGAACCCGCAGTCTGATGTCTGTTGGAAACAGAAGATACAGAGCAGAAGAGGTTACAGTAAGGGATGAGTTTACAAGCCAAGCTTGAAAACTGAAAAGCACAACAGAATAAAAAAGTAGGGAATATCACCTGACAGCTTCTCTACCTCTTCCCCAGGACTATTTCTATGTATCTCTGAAATCCTTGCCTGAATGCAGGAGGTTCCCTTAAACGGGACATGCCGAGGTCAGCACTGTTCCCATTACTCACAGGTAGCAACTTGTTTATAGGAGATATTTTCCTAATTACCAGGCATAGAAGTTCATTTTAATACTCGACTTGGCTCATCCTACAATAAGGATGTCATAACAACATCCCTGTGATGTAGTATTAACTAACAAGAGTTGAAATGTACCCTGCCACAATCATAAAGAGCAGTTCTTCCACCAGACACCAAACCATTCAGCCTCACTTTGCAATGGCAATCAAAGTGAATCTCACACTGAATAGCATAAACTGCCCAGTGTCCCAGCAGTTCTTTATATTCTCCTTCAAGTCTGCTCCATCTCTGGAACCCTTGAACTTCCTCACCACATGTCTGCTTCTCCTTGGGATCTGGTGTCACTGACTTCCGGCGTTTTCGCTGGCTCCCAAGTGTGGCTCTCCCTCGGGCTGGCCGCTTGCTACACATCTGAGGACCCGAAGTGGGGCAACACACCACAGGATAGTGGGGAGGCACTGACCAGAAAGTAAAAGGGAAGAAAACACAGTAGGGTAAAGGCAGAAATTCAAACACTTCTGTTGGAATGAGGAAGGAATCATTTAGACTTAGCACTAAAAGCAGTGGAAAAATGTGACTTGAAAAGACATGTGAGACCAGGTGCAGTGGCTCACGCCTGTAATCCCAGCACTTTGGGAGGCCAAGGCGGGTGGATCATGAGGTCAGGAGATCGAGACCATCCTGGCTAACACGGTGAAACCCCGTCTCTAAAAATACAAAAAATTAGCTGGGCGTGCTGGCGGGCGCCTGTAGTCCCAGCTACTCAGGAGGCTGAGGCAGGAGAATGGCGTGCACCTGGGAAGTGGGGCTTGCAGTGAACCGAGATTGCGCCACTGCACTCCAGCCTGGGCGACAGAGGGAGACTCTGTCTCAAAAAAAAAAAAAAAAAAGACAAGACATGTGAGAGCAAATACAGGACCTAGGAGAAATGTCACCTCGCCTGATTTTTTTTTTTTATGGGGCAAGATGTGGGCGCACAGCATCCTTTCATTTAAGCTGGCAAAGCCCAGAATGTGATGGGATCAGTGTCCTTTTACTTGATGATGGAAAGCAGGGGGAGTTAATGTCTTCTCACCTGTTTTAGAGGGCTGGGGAGGCCTTGGTTCTGGATCACTGAGGGCTCTGGGGGTCACATAGCGAATTGATGTCTCCTCCAGATACTTGTCTACAAGATCAGGGCACACTGTAGGAGGAGAAGTAATCATTCAGGAAAATATACACCCTTCCCTTCTGTCAGTCCAAACCCCCAGTGGGCCTCACAACTTACTCTAAGTACTCCCCAGGATCAATGTGTCCTCCCCTTTGGACGCCTATGCTGCTCCTTCCTGGCCTCCCACAACTCTTCCCTGATTCCAGCCCCTAATACTTCCTCACCAGCCCGTCTCCTCTTGAGGGTGACGTAGGGCAGCAGGTCGTGGCGAGTGATGATGCGCAGCAGCTGCAGCACCTGGCGAAAGTTACTTTCATCACAGCGGCCCTGGCGCTCCAGTGCCAATAAGAAGTCACGTCCATTTCGGATGAGTCCACGCTCGTGGTCATCAATGACATCAACAAAGAGGAAAGAAAGCACGCGCACATCTCTGTGTGTCAGATGAGTGCCCACGATGTCAAACATGCGGTGCAGGCTGTACAGCCCATGTTCCTGCTCACCATGCTCTTCTGGCCACACCTGGCTTGCCCGCCGCTTTAGGCCCGCCATGCTGGGGGCTCAGGTACGCAATGCTTTCCAGAATCCCTGCTCAGCAGCTGCAATCCCCACCGTACTGAAAGGGCAGGGAAAGAACCGATGAGACACTCAAGGGCAGGAACTAGTCTCATGCATTCCCATATTCCCAGTTGCTAACAATGCCTGGCACAGTATAGTGCTTTATACATGTTTATTAAATTTTTGAAGTGTTTGTTTAAAAATAAACACTGGCCAGGCACAGGGGCTCACACCTGTAATCCCAGCATTTTGGGAGGCCAAGGCAGGAGGATCACTTGAGCCCAGGCGTTTAAGACCAGCCTGGGCAACATAGGGAGACCCGTTTCTACAAAAAAAGAAAAAATTAGCTGGGCTTGGTGGTACACGCCTGTAGTCCCAGCTGCACAGGAGGCTGAGGTGGGAGGAAGGCTTGAGGCCAGGAGTTCAAGATCAGCCTGGTCAACATAGCAAGACCCCATCTCTACAAAAAAGAAAAAAATTAGCAAGGCATGGTGGCATGTGCCTGTAGTCCCTGCTACTCAGGAGGCTGAGGCAGGAGGATCACTTGAGCCCAGGAGTTCAAGGCTGCAGTGAGCCATAATCCTGCACTGTAGCCTGGGTGACAGAGTGAGTCCCCCATCTCGGAAAAAAAAGAACTAGTTTAAATTCTGACTGTATCACTGAAAGGCTGTGTAGCTGTGTGACCGTAAGCAAGTCACTTAACTCCAGATTCTCAGTGCTGTCATCTATAAACAGGGATGAATGAATATACACCTCAGAGTTGTTAAGAATCCAATGAGAAAATCACGGGTAACCCTTATATAAATGGTTGTGAAACATTTCAAAGATACAAGCATCCTTGGCCTTTGCAGCCCAGAATCATCCCTCCACATTTTTCCTACAATCCAACCACATCAAGAAATGATAACTGCTCAGAAAGTTTATCAATATTTACCAAAACTCATGGATTTAAAATAAACATTAAGTTTCTACAATAAGCATTC
The DNA here is from genome assembly GCF_000001405.40 of Homo sapiens. Classification (NCBI taxonomy): domain Eukaryota; kingdom Metazoa; phylum Chordata; class Mammalia; order Primates; family Hominidae; genus Homo; species Homo sapiens. Next base: position 161,125,452 of record NC_000001.11, read on the forward strand.
TTGTAATTCTATGCCATTTGTACTCCCTTGATCTTCACCCTATTTGGCAATATCAACTTTTTTTTTTTGAGATGGAGTCTCACTTTGTCACCCAGGCTGGAGTGCAGTGGTGCAATCTCGGCTCACTGCAACCTCCGCCTCCCAGGTTCAAGCAATTCTCGTGCCTCAGCCTCCCAAGTAGCTGGGATTACAGGCACGCACCACCACGTCTTGCTAATTTTTGTATTTTTAGTAGAGATGGGTTTTTACCATGATGGTCAGGCTGGTCTTGAACTCCTGACCTCAGGTGATCCACCCACCTCGGCCTCCCAAAGTGCTGGGATTACAGGCGTGAGCCACCGTACCTGGCCTTGGCAATACCACCTTCTAAGCTTTCCTCATGGATGTCATTTACCAATCCCCTATCAATGACCAATCACAGCTCCACATTCGTTATATAGTTTGGCTCTTGATTCACAAAGTTCCTCCATCGTTATGGGCTACAGGTAATACCAATGACGCAGCCATTAATCAATTCCCAAATTCAACAACTTTGACTCAAGTCACTCATACTTACTGCTCCACCAGACAGTACCATCCTATACTGTGCACTCTCTGGTCACACTCTCCAATCACACAATCAATCCTAAATTCCTGTTAATGCTACTTCTAGATATTTCTTAAATCTATCCTACCTTTCCACCTCCACTGCCATGGTTCAGATTACAATAATCTCTCACCTGGACTACTGTAACTTTAAAAGTTCTCTGCAACACCAATCTTAACCTACCTAAATCCATCCACTGCCACATCTAGTTCAGTTAGCTGTCTGAAGTCCACAACTGACCAAGTCACTTTCCTGCTTCAGACCCATTGATTGCCCCATCGTTATCTATAAGAACACTCCAAACTCTTTTTTTTTTTTTTTTTTTTGAGACAGAGTCACTCTGTCGCCCAGGCTGCAGTGCAGTGGCGCGATCTTGGCTCACTGCAACCTCCGCCTCCCAGGTTCAAGCGATTCTCCTGCCTCAGCTTCCCGAGTAGCTGGGACTACAGGCACCCACCACCACGCCCAGCTACTTTTTGTATTTTTAGTAGAGACGGGGTTTCACCATATTGGCCAGACTGGTCTCGAACTCCTGACCTTGTGATCCGCCTGCCTCGGCCTCCGAAAGTGCTGAGATTACAGGTGTGAGCCACCACGCCTGGCCGAACACTCCAAATTCTTTACACACACATCAAGCCTTCTAAGATCAGGCCTACCTTCCCAACCTCATTTCCCATCACATCCGCTTTTTATTCTCTAACATTATCAGTTTGTTTATAGTTCACATACATCATGCAATTTCTCTATACCTTCTTCAGGCTCTTCTCTTTGCCTGAATGCCCCTCTCCCTTCTCTATTCCACACCCCCATCATCACTCTTTTTCAGATGGCTAACTCCTACTCATTCTTTAAGAGTCAGCTCAGATGCCATCTTCAAAATGCATTTTCTACACCCCCATGCAGAGATAAGTAGTCCTCTTCTGTGCGCTTATGGAACACTATGCATATCTCCTTTACACCATTTATCACCATGTACTAAAATTATTTGTGTATTTATTATCCCATTAGATCCTACTCAACTCATGGAGAGATATATTCATCTTTATATCCCTAGTGCCTAGTAATGGACAGAGCCTCAAATATAGTGGGAGCAACCCACTGTTGAACTGAACTTAATCTCCAAGAGATCACCTCAAGCAATTCCAATTAAGAAACAAATTCACAAAAGTCCAAGAGAGGACCCCATTAAAAACAGATACAGGTAATTCAGTTACCATGCATATATTCTAACTAGCCATAGCCTCCTCTGCAATGTCCAGAACTACCCACACCATACCACACCACTCTACCCTACTCAACAATTAAACAGGTTGCTCTGTCCATTTTATACAAAAAGGAACTGAGGCTAGACTAGGAAACAATAAAATAATAAGCTTCTTTGGAAAAACAAAGCTGATAGAGAAAGCTGAAGAGTAAGTAGGAACTGGTCCTTTCTTCCTCAGATGAAAAACTAAAATGAAAGCACAGAGAAACTCATTCCCTTAAGAAAAGGGGAGGTACACTCTGGGATCACTTAACCCTATACCATGGGTTCTGATATGTAGACAGGAAATGTAATCCATATATAGTTTTGAGAGCCCAGATGCCCCACCCAAAGCATGGGAAATAGCTATTCAACTATAGACTGGTATTCCTTGCCTCTTCCTCTCGATTCACCTGTTGCTGTTACTGGGTACAAATGAAGGTGCTAAAGGAAAATAAGTTATTGCTCATAGCAGGCAACATGAGAAAACTGAGCCTCCTCAGAGCCCCTGCAACTTCTCTTTGTTCCCTATCCCACCTGTTCCCTTGGGCCAGCTGTTGATTGTGAGGCTCTCAGATAAAGCAGATTGGGTAGGTTTCACATTAAACCAACCAGAAGAGCTGGTTGCTCCACAGTTCCCTAATTTAAAGTGTGCTTAAACCCCAGGAAATGAAGAAACACTGTCCCCACATACCCTCGCAATGGAAAATAAGGCAAAATACAGGAAAGCACTGTGGTCCTAATTATGTATCAATGGATGTAATTCTATAAGCTTCAATCCTTTGAAGTTAACTCCCTACATTTGAGAGGAAACAAACACACTAGCCACCTTTAAGTCCTAGATCCCAGGCTAGATCATCAATGTACTAGGAATTATAATAGCTTTTAGGTCAGTGGTTCTGAACCAGGGGCAAATTTGACCCCTGGGGAATATGTGGCAATGTCTGGAGACATTTCTGATTATTATGCCTGGTGGGGAAGGGGACTGCCATCAGCATGTAATGAGTAGAAGCCAGGGATATTTAGAAACATCCTATAGGACAGGTGCAGTGGCTCCCGTCTGTAATCCCTGCACTTTGAGAGGCCAAGGTGGGAGGAACACTTGAGCCCAGGAGTTTGAGATCAGCTTGGACAACATGGTGAAACCCCATCTCTATGCAAAATATAAAAATTAGCCTGGCGTGGTGGCATGCACCTGTGATCCCAGCTACTTGGGAGGCTAAGGTAGAAGAATCGCTTGAGCCTGGGAGGTCGAAGCTGCAGTGGGATGTGATAGCGCCACTGCAGTCCAGCCCAGGTGACAGAGTGAAACCCTGTCTCAAAAGAAAAAAGAAACATCCTGTAATGCACAGAACAGTCTGCCACAACAAAGAATCATGCAGCACAAAATGTCAATAATGCCAAGGATGAGAAACCCTATTCTAGGTGGAGCATGGTAAAGGGTCAAAAGAATGCATGTCACTTTCCACACTAGATCTAGAAAAAGCCATCTGGTCCCTCCATCCAAACCCATCAAACAACATTCCAGAAGAAAAGAAAAGCCTGTCGGACATACATGTTCATTTAACTCCCAAGTCCAACTGCACTAAGGTGTTTCATGCCACTCCAACCTTGGGTCCTCTGTCACCTGCTGTTGCCATTCAGCTGAGGAACAGGTGGTAGTTCTACATCCACTTCTGCCCCATCCCAGGAGGTCTACTTTGACCTAGTTCAATCTGGAGTTCTATGGGGATATTAGAAATGTAATCCTCTGCAAGACAGACACAAAGGATCCTGCTCGTAAGCCTCAGGGTCATCTTTAAAGTCTTGGAACTGGATGAGCAGCAAATTCTCCTTGTGAGGTCACTAATCAGACTTATATTGCTTATTCAATGAAGCAAACATAGAAATATGTAAGTTCCTCAAGGCCATGTGCTTGGGAGAAATATGAGGATACTGTCATGCAGGTTAAGAGGCAGCCCTCTCCACTTAATGCAACCCAGATAAGGGTTCCAAGAATCTATCTAACTTTAACATTAAAAGAATGTGATGAGGCCTCGCATGGTGGCTCACACTTGTAATCTCAACACTTTGGGAGACCAAGGCAGGAGGACTGCTTGAGCCCAGGAGTTCGAGACCAGCCTGAGCAACATGACACAACTCCATCTCTACAAACAATAAACAAAAATTAGCTGGGCATAGTGGGACATACCTGTGGTCCCAGCTACTCTGATCGCACCACTGCACTCCAGCCTGGGGTACAGAGTGAGACCTTGCCTCAAAAAAAAAAAAAAAAAAAGTGATGAAAGTTCAGCTGATTAGTAAAATTAGAAAAGAAAACATGACCAATTTCCTCTAAAACCAAAATATACTCGTATTTCTGTGACAGTGAAGCAAGGGAGCTCAACTTAAAACATACAGAGATTCTAGATGACAGGTATCAGAATGGTGAGGAGAATGTAACCCTCTGAACAGAAAATTAGAACTAACTCAAGTCTTGGTATCTGAAACACTGCCAAATACCAAGAGACGAAACTCCAGCACACAGAAAGTCCTGATCCCACTGACTGGTCTGGCTGTATTTGAGATAGTAACACATGAATTCTCCCCTACAGTTTCCCAAGAATAATTGATTCTGAGGAATTGTTGTATTTCCTGGAGTTTTGCTTTTTTCTTTAGAGAAGTCCAAGTCAGCCAAGGGCCAACAGTCTATAGGTATCTTCAGGATTTCCTCCTGATTGGTCCTTCTCTACTATGTTTCTACTTCCAAGCAAAGTCTGGTCTCATCCCAACCAGGAATATCTGTAGTTTTTGAGGTACTTGGCTCTCTCAGAAGCCCTTAGGGGAAAGCGACATGAAAGAAATAAAAAAGAGTGCTGTCTTGAAATGAAAATGACAGTCATCTTTTCTGAACAGGGATGATATTTGTAATTTCATAGAATTAAGAGATATCTGACTCTCTCAGAAGTCCTCAGAGGAAAAGTCATGCAGAAGAACTACAAAAAAAAGTGGTATCTTGAAACTTAAATTAAAACTACATAGAAAATCTTAAAGATGGTTAAGAGTACATTCTTGCTGGTGGGATAGGAAATGTAATCAAATATCTGGAAGTCAGAATTACATAGTATGTTTTCAAAAGAAGGATGCCAGGAACCCCCCAACAGCTGAAAGAGAAAGTTAGAGGAAAAGTTTCCCACGGAAGGAAGGTGTCCCAGCAACCCTCCAAGGGCAACATTTAGTAGACAATGTACTAGAATACAGCCTTCCATATGTTAAAAAAAAAAAATGTTTCAGAGCTGACCAAGAAGACTAGACAATAACAAACCAAAGCTGGGGGATTGTCCCAAGACATCTAAATCTCCTTCTCTTTCACCTCCTATCTCCAATTAACTAAAGACAGTGATTACAACAGATCTCATGCACTCAGATGGATGAATGATAACTCATTTTCCCTGGCATTCTCCTCCTCATTAATGGACCCAACCTCAAAATAACTCCCATGCTATTTCCATTCCCTTCCATTGTTTGAAAACAATAAAAAAGTTCCAGACTTACCTCCGCAAGAAACTTAATTTCCCAGGTCTCTTCCTAGCACAAGTTTCACAGCCAGCAGCAAAACAAAAACAAATAAGGAGGGGAAAATAATTAATTTTCAAGTTTTACTTTGAAACCTCAGAGGCCCATAGAATTAGACAATCTCGTTGCAAAAGTACACAGACAAGCCTAAAACCATTTAGAGAACTCACCCCCAACAAGTCTCCAGGCTTCCCTAACTCTCTATTAGTCAATTTACAAAAACAATACCAACTCCAAGAATTTCCAGTCTCAATGGCTTGCGGCAAGACAGCTCCCAAATTTAAGAACTTCTGGGAAAACCAATTACCCTCTGGCAGCTTCTCATCTTCCTCCACAATTCCTTATTCCTATTTTGTTACAATATTAACGTTAACTTTCACCTTTAGAAAAAACTGGGAGGAAAGTGGTTACAGCAGACCAGCACTATCCTCCAAATTCTACATTTGGCCCTTTCCCTTAACTAGCACACAATGAGAACAAAATATCTAATGGCGCAGCATCCACTCATACGTCTATGTTTCACCAGGGAAAAGTTTTTCTACATACAGTATCCATGTTACCCCCTCCCTTCCAGACTTAAAACAGCAAAAGGGTCTGGAAACTACAGCACTCATTTAATTAACCTGTCTAGATGCCACTCTATCTTTTCTCTTTCCCTCCTCAGACTTCCAGAGCCTCCACCTTAGCATATAGGGTTCCAATATAGCCATGTCTGCTCCCCCACTCTTGTATTGCTAATGCTAAAAACTAGAAAAGTCCTTTGCTCCTCCACACTTGGGCGACACCGGCTTCCCCATTTTCCCAAGCAGGAAAAACAAGGGAACAGTAAGCTAGGGAGTCTTTTGGAAAACAAACCCAGTTGAATTCTCATCCAACCCCAATTCTGCAAACCCACATGACCATTCCCTTCTGCCCTTCCCACCCTCTTAAAAGCTAAGGGCCTGGCAATTAGAATTGGCTGCAACTGATGCTGCTTAACTCTGTTCTCTCCTCCTCTCCACCGGGGAAAGGGAAACCCCCGAACCTCTATCACCCGTGCAGCTCCACTGTCCTATCTCCCATTCCACTCCCCTTCCTCCCAAACTTTCTTCCTCCCAGTCTCTCACTTTCTCCATTACCTCCTCCCACCGACACTCTCTCCATTCCCCAAGCCTCCGTTCTCTCCTTTTCCACCCAAATTCTCCCCTAGGCCCTTCCCCCTCCCACCTCCAATTTAACACTTTCGAAGCCCCCCAGAAACGTCTTAACTCCAATTCTGACCTTTACCCACCTCCTCGCAACACCCCTCATCAGAGTCCAGTCCTCCCTCCAACCACATGCCACAGCCCCCTTCCCCTTCACACCCTCAGCCTCTCCCTCCTGCTCCTACCCCCTTCAATACGAGCGGATCGCAGCCCCACTCCCCACCTCGGCCTCTCTAATACCCCTGGCTGGGCCCAGTCTCAGCCCTTGTTTACGCCCCTCCCCATGCCCTCACTCCTCCGTCTCGACCCCTGCCCTCTCCCGCAGTTGCCATCTCCCCTGCACGCCCCCCTCGGCAGCTCCCCTCCCCCACCTCTCAGCGTCCCGTCACCTCCCTCTCTTGAGGTTCTCAGGCTGGACGTCGCCACCGCCTCCCCCTCCACTTTCCTTCCCCAAGCCCTTTGCGGCCCCGCCCGGCCCCGCCCCGTCCCGCTCGACTCCCTCTCCCCACTCCGGCCGCCCCTCCGCCTCACTCTCGGCTCAGGCTCGGCGCCGCCATGTTGGATCCATCCGCGCCGCTCTCCCGGGCCTGCCTCACGGCGCCGCATCCGGGCTCCAGCAGCCGCCGCCGCCGCCGCCGCCGCGGCCGTGGGGGAGGGGACAGGCGGGCGGGGGTGGCTGCATCCTGAACGGCGCCTCCCGGAACCCGGCCGGTTAGTGGCGGCTTCGAGGCCATAGTGAGACATGAGCCGGAGTAGCCATAGTAAGTGAGGGCAGCCTGGCAGCGGCATTAATCGGGGAGTGGATAGCTTCACTTCGGGAGGAGAGATAGAGATTGGCAGCCATCTTGCTTTGGGGCAAGCTGGCAACGCCGGTTTGTCTTGACGGCTGCTTAGGGCGGTAATAAGGGATCGAAGAGGATAGCATTCTTGAATGGGAAACATTGGTGGCGCCACAGCTGGCTGGTGGCGACTTCAAGACCCACTGGAAGGCTGGGATTGGCAGCCATGACTCATAAGGGCGGAATACCACGGGGATCGGTTTGTCTGGCGAACTTGAGTGAAGGGTCAAGATCTGGATTTCACCTTTCCTCTGAGCTTCCTGATAACCCGGACGTTCCGTAAACCCGGATCCGGAGCCGAAAGTGGTGCCCAGATCCCGTCTCGGAATTCATTTGTTCAGCATTTACCTTTTGAACGCCGGTTTCCTGTAGGAAGTGTCGCCTAGCTGATCCGTGTAGGGCTGTTGGGAATTGGGGGTGGGGAGGATGGTGCGGGTACGTTCTGGTGTGGCTTAAGAAAGTGGTAATAGATAGGGGAAGACCAGATTATGCGAAGCCTTGTAAATTAATTGATTTTTATCCTTAAGGCAATGAAAAGTCTTTGAAGAATCTCAGCAGAGGTGTGAACAATTTCATTTGCATTTTAGATCGCTGCGTGCAGTGTGAAGGATGAATGAATTGAGGAGAATCAAGGAGAGCAGTTGTGAGGCTCTTTTCCAGGCAAGGATGATGATGGTCTGCCTGTGGAAGGGAGAGTGCGGATGGGGAGATACAGATTGGTTTAAGAGGTACGAATGTTGTGACTTGGACAACTGGGGAATAATGATACCAGTTTCTTTCTCGTTTAGGGGGGAGATAATGAGTTTTAGGTGCCCCTGGGATATTAGCTAATGTGGGTTGGGAACTCAAAAGAAAGGTTTGAGGTGTGTGTGCGTGTGCATATAGATAGCTGTTGAAGCCATGAAGTGGGCTGGAGAGGATACCTGCATTTGCGGGATAGGATGAGGGAAGCCGAAAAGAACACTGAGAAGGGGCAAACCGAAAGGAAAGAAGAAAACCATAGAGAACTATCAAGGAAACTGGTGAAAGCGTTTAGTGTAACAGAGATATAGTAAAATGCTAACTAAAATATATACATCAGGGCCGGGCATGGTGACTCACACCTGTAATCCTAGCTTTGGGAGGCCGAGGCGGGTGGATCACTTGAGGCCAGGAGTTCGAGACCAGCCTGACCAACATGGTGAAACCCTGTCTCTTCTAAAAATACAAAAAAAATTAGATGGGTGTGGTTGCACATGCCGGTAATCCCAGCTACTTGGGAGGCTGAAGCATGAGAATTGCTTGAACCCAGGAGGCAGAGGTTGCAGTGAGCCGAGATCGCGCCACTGCATTTCAGCCTGGGCACCAGAGCAAGACCCTGTCTCAAAAAAAATGAAATAAATAGGCCGGGTGCTGTGGCTCACTCCTGTAATCCCAGCACTTTGGGAGGCCATGGCGGGCAGATCACCTGATGTCAGGAGCTGGAGACCAGCCTGGTCAACATGGTGAAACCCCGTCTCTACTAAAAATACAAAAATCAGCCAGGCATGGCAGTGCGCGCCTGTAGTCCCAGCTACTGGGGAGGCTGAGGCACAAGAATCGCTTGAACCCAGGAGGCAGAGGTTGCAGTGAGCTGAGGTCGTGCCACTGCACTCCAGCCTGGGTGACAGAGTGAGACTCTGTCTCCAAAAAAATAAAATAAAGTAAATAAAATGTATCTATCAGATATTGCAACAAGGGCCAGGCACAGTGGCTCACACCTGTAATCCCAGCACTTTGGGAAGCCTAGGCAGGTGAATCACTTAAGACCAGGAGCTGGAGACCAGTGTGGTCAACATGGCAAGACCCCATCTTTACAAAAAATACAAAAATTAGCTGGGCATGGTGGTGCGCACCTGTGATCGCAGGTACTCCAGAGGCTGAAACATGATAATCACTTGAACCCAGGAGGCGGAGGTTGCAGTGAGTCAAGATTGCACCACTGCACTCTCGGCAACAGAACAAGACTTTGGTTTTTTTGTAAATAAAACAAATAAATAAAAAGGCCAGGTGTGGTAGCTCACACCTGTAATCCCAGCACTTTGGGGACCGAGGTGGGCCGATCACCTGAGGTCAGGAGTTCGAGACCAGCCTGGACAACATGGTGGAACTCCCATCTCTACTAAAAATACACAAATTAGCCAGACATGGTGTCGGGCACCTGTAATCCCAGCTACTTGGGAGGCTGAGGTGGGAGAATCGCTTGAACCCAGGAGGCGGAGGTACAGTGAGCCGAAATTGCACAATTGCACTCCAGTGAGACTCTGTCCCCCCAAAAAAGATACTGCAACAAGGAGGTCATTTAGGAAATTTGGAGAAAGCTGTTTTGTAGTTATGGTGGATAGAAACCAGATTGAATTGAGAAGGCACAACGTATAAAGACAGTTTTTTCATGGTGTTGATGTAAAAAGGAGACTAGTGGTAGGGTGTTGCAGGAGGGAGAATTCCAAAGAAGGTGAAGAAGTTTTAGGTACCTGTGAGATAGCTAGATAGATATGTCCTAGTGGCATGTTTAATACACAGATCTAAAACTTAAGAGAAAAATATAAGTGGAGAAAAAAAGCAAGCACAGAATAAATATGACACATTTACACATGCATTAAAAAATTATGAAGAGTGGGCCTAGGAGGGATAAGACTTATACTTTTCATTTTACATCTATCTTTATTGCTTGAAATTATTTTATTATGCACATATTATTTTACAGAAAGCTACTTTTTTTTTTTCTTTTTTGAGACAGTCTCGCTCTGTCACCCAGGCTGGAGTGCAGTGGCACATCTCAGCTCATTGCAACCTCTGATTCCCAGGTTCAAGCAATTCTCCTGCCTCAGCCTCTTGAGTAGCTGGGACTACAGGTGCACGCCACCATGCCTGGCTAATTTTTTGTATTTTTAGTAGAGACGGGGTTTCGTTATGTTGGCCAGGCTGGTCTCAAACTCTTGACCTCGTGATCCACTCTCCTCGGCCTCCTAAAGTGCTGGGATTACAGGCGTGAGCCATGGTACCTGGCCAGAAAACTACTTTTTAGAAAGCCCTGTGATATATAGGCCAGAAATTCTGAAACATCAACATTTCGGTGGTAGTTGAAGCCATAGATTTGGATAAGCTCCCCAGAAAAGAGCAGAGGGCTAAGAAGAGTGCTCTCGGAAATTCCAACATTTAAGGCACAAGTAGAAAAAGAGCTCTTGGAGAATCTTTGAAAAGGAACAGCGAGTGAAGAAGAAGAAAACCTGGGAGATAATTGTCACAGAATCAAAGGGAAGAGTATTTCAAGGGGGTGGATGTTGAAAGTGTCAGATGTCCCCACAGAGGCAGCTGATAGGAAAGGTGCTCTTACCTCTGAACCTAGGTTTCTTGGAAGCTTGGCACAAGAGTCAAATCCAGATCTTGAACCTTTCCCCAAGTATCACTGGGCAGTACAACCCCCAGGCTATTCTGCCCTTATGCATCATGGCTGCCAGTCCCAGTCTTTCAGTGAGTCTTCAAGTCAACACCAGCCAGTGCTGGCACCATCAATCTTACTACACTTAATAATGATACCCTGGCTGGGTGTGGTGGCTCACACCTGTAATCCCAATACTTTGGCCAGGAGTTCAAGATCAGCCTGGGCAACATAGTGAGAGACCCCATTTCTACAAAATTTTTTTTTAATTAGGTGGGTGTGCACTTGCCTGTAGTCCCAGCTATTTGGGAGGCTGAGGTGGGAGGATCACCTGAGACTGAGGAGTTTGAGGTTGCAGTGAGTCCTGATGGCACCATTGCACTCCAACCTGAGTGACATAGCGAGACCCTGTTTCAAAAAAAAAGAAGAAGAATGCTACCCTCTCCCAGTCCTTACTATGGCCCTGAAGCTGCCATCAACAAAAACCTGTTTTTCTAGAAATGGTGAAATTAAGGAATTGAAAGTGGGAGTATTCGTTGGAGTTGGAGGTCAGGAACTAACTGTATTTTTCATGGGTTTTTGTAAAACCTCCCAGGATGATAGTAAGAGTTGGCACAAAAAGAGGTTAATAGGTGCTGAAGGCTGGGTTTGGAGGATCACTTGAGCCCAGGAGTTTGAGGCTGCAGTGAGCTATGATTATTGCCACTGCACTACAAAAAGAAAAAGAAAAAAAAAAGGTGTTAAAGGGCAGTAAAGCCAGATGGCATAAGCTTCAAAGGGAGAAGAATTTTTGCAAGAGGATGGAAGCACAGTGGTCTAAAAGTAGCAGTGGGTAGCAAAGAGAAAGCTGATACCTTGCCACGCCTTCCTACAGGAGCAAGAATAAACAGCCTGTAGAAGGTTGAAGGGAAAAGGTGTTCATTAATTGGGGAAAGTAAAAAATTTCTACCTCACCTCTGACCATTTTTTCCTCTATACCCACTGGAACACTTTTCTTTTGTAAACAATCTCCCTTATGTATTCATTGTCTTCGTAGATTGCTCCTTAGCTTTTCCTAGAGGAATAGCCATCAGGACAGAGGTAGCTGTGATGTGTGGAATGCAGATGTAATCCACATAAGCCCGCAAAAAAGACAGACACAGGCACTACTTCTTAAAGGAGAATAATATTCTCCCTCCGTATCCATATTCTGAAGTGGTTTGACACTCAGTAGTCTTGGCACCATGATGGTAATTCCTTTCCATGAACCCACCTCTCCTCTCCAAACCTAACCCAATTCCATTCAGAGGATTAGAGAAAGCTGAGGATTGCCTTTTCTAGTCATAGTATGATGTCCAGTCTGCTTATTGCAACCAATGGGGAAGAGAACAGATCACTTTCTTCACTGAGAATGGAAAGCTTAGCCAGGCACGGTGGCTCATGCCTGTAATCCCAGCACTTTGGGAGGCTGAGGCAGGAGGATCACTTGAGGTCAGGAGTTCGAGACCAGCCTGGCCAACATGTTGAAACGCCATCTCTACTAAAAAATAAACAAATTAGCTGGGTGTGGTGGCATGCACTTGTAATCCCAGCTACTCGGGAGTCTGAGGCAGGAGAATTGCTTGAACCTGAGAGGTGGAAGTTGCAGTAAGCCAAGATCACGCCACTGTACTCCAGCCTGGGCAACAGAATTGAACTCTGTCTCAAAAAAAAAGAATGGAAAGGTGAAGGAAGGGCTGAGATTTGCCTTCATTAGGCCTTCCAAAGTAATCTGTCTTCCCCTGCAGGACTCACAGAACTCAGTTCTTTTCCCTGGGGCCAGACTTCAATGACCAAATTTTCCAAATTCCAAACATTGGGACAGTTGCCTGGCCAGCTGTTCCTAAACTAGTCAGTTTATTTGGAGGGATATTTTCTGCTTGGGGAGCCCTGGAAGTTCACTCTTTCAACATGAAGTCCTAAGATCGTAACGCCAACAAAGAGAGCTGTGCAGATTTCCTGAGCTAAGCCAAAGGGACCTCCTGTGTAGAGATGGGCACCCTCATGTCCATCACTGAGAAAAAAATATTTCAAACAGTTTAGAGTTTTTTGTTAGCTATAGCTAGACTGCTGTTCCTCCTTAGCTTAAACTATACATCATCTGTACAGTTAAAACAAAAACTTCATCTCTTGCCTTATGAACCACCCTCTCCTTAATTCAACTAAAAACTTGGGGGAACTTCCTCTGAGAAGATTGAGAACCCTGTGTAGAATTCTCTTGCGGAAGTCCTCTGCTTGTTATGTTTCTTCCTTTACATTAGTTCCTGTCTCTTCCTCAGCTGAGAAAACATCCCTCCAGCTTTCAAAGACTGGCCCCTTCAGCTCTATCCTGATGCCCATCCTTTTCTACTTATCAAAACACTACTCCCACAGTTACCTCTTCCTTCACTGGAATCTGTAACCTGGAACCCTTCAGCTATCCACAGGCTCACATTTCCACTGTGTCCTTAACTGTAGTTTTCAACTCCCTGTAATTCTCAGTAATTAGAAAGGCCTTTTTACTATCCTTAGATAAATCTCTTTGTAACTTCCATGTATTGGTTCTGTTTTTTCTCTCTGGGTCAACACATCATAGCCACATGTCCCTACTAAATATTTTTTTACAAGTCAGTGGTAGTACCAGTTTAGAGTAAAGCAGATCTGTTCTCTTTCTTGATCTGAATACTCTATTAAGGCTGCTTGTCCTAGTCCATGTTCCTTCCCAGGTCTGCCAGATTAATCTTTTCAAACCAGATATTCCCTTAAGAAGTCTCTATCTTGCTAGCACTAGCCCCTTGTCACAAGTATCCTCTTGACTCTTCCAGGGCCACTCGGATCCCTGTGTCCCTACCAGGGCTTTACTCTTCTGCTTTACTCTGCAGGGACTTGCTGACCTGATGATCTGCTCTATTCTTGGTTTCCTATTAACTCTAAGCTGCCCCAGTTACTCATTTTCATCCAGGCATTATACTACTGGCTCCTCCTAATTTCAGTTCAGCTTGGAACCTAGCTCTAAGTCCAGAACTAGAATTTATTGCAGTTCTGGCTTCTATGGCTCCCGAATAAAAGAGTAGGGACCTCGGCCACACATGGTGGCTCATACCTGCAGTCCCAGGACTTTGAGAGGCTGAGGCGGGTGGATTGCTTGAGTCCAGGAGTTCAAGACCAGCCTGGGTAACATGGCCAAACCCTGTCTCTACAGAAAAAAATACAAAAATTAGGCATGGTGGCATGTGCTTATAGTTCCAGCTACTCAGAAGGCTGAGGTGGAAGGATCACTTGAGCCTGGAAAGCCGAGGTTGCAGTGAGCCAAGATCGCACCACTGCACTCCAACCTGGGTGACAGAGCCAGACCCTGCTGCCTCAAAAAAAAAAAAGAAAAAGAAAAAAGGAGTAGGGACCACAATCAGTTGCTGAATCCTAGTGATCTGCTGTTCAAGTCGCCTCAACCTGTTCCCTTTTCTTCATTCCCCAGCTCTGACCCTCACTAATATGACAGGCAAGTTCCTTAACTTCTCTAAACTTGTTTTCTTATCTGTGAAAGAAATATAACATCCACCTTACAGATCATTGTTTTAATGATTATATTAAATGATGTATAGAAAGTGTTGCACAGGGCCTAGTGCTGGATAAATGTTACCTAATATTTATTATTGTATTATATATAACAAGTTTCACCAGGTTTCAGAAATTCAGCAGGCTCTTTATCAATGACTCTTTGCTGCCCCCATGGGGATGACTTTTTCCAAGTCATTGGTTATTCCAAAGACCGTAACATAAAACAACCCTGTCTCACCAATCCCACCAGTTAATTAGAGAATTAACCAATTTTTCTTTGGGTGGTTGTTCAATTAAGTAAAAATGCTCTTATATTCCAGACCATTCTTTTTCAAATAACATAACAGGCTGGGCGTGGTGGTTCATGCCTATAATTGCAGCACTTTGGGAGGCCAAGGCAGGTGGATCTCTTGAGGTCAGGAGTTCGAGACCAGCCTGACCAACATGGTGAAACCCCGTCTCTACTAAAAATACAAAAATTAGCCGGGTGTGGTGGCCCGTGCCTGTAATCCTAGCTACTCAGGAGGCTGAGGCAGGAGAATCATTTGAACCCGGGAGGCAGAGGTTGCAGTGAGCTGAGATTGTGCCACCGCACTACAGCCTGGGTGATAGAGCGAGACTCCGTCTCAAAAAAAAATTTTTTTTTAAATAAATAAATAACAATAGGCCGGGCGCAGTGGCTAACGCCTGTAACCCCAGCACTTTGGGAGGCCGAGGCGGGCAGATCACGAGGTCAGGTGATCGAGACCATCCTGGCTAACAAGGTGAAACCCCATCTCTACTAAAAACACAAAAATTAGCGGGGCGTGGTGGCGGGCGCCTGTAGTCCCAGCTACTCAGGAGGCTGAGGCAGGAGAATGGCATGAACCCAGGAGGCAGAGCTTGCAGTGAGCCGAGATCGCACAACTGCACTCCAGCCTGGGCAACAGAGCAAGACTCTGTCTCAAAAATAAATAAATTAAATAAATAAATAAATAAACAATAATAAGGTTATCAAAAGGTTGAAAGTAAAATTATAGGAAAAGATAAGCTATGCAACATAAACCAAAAGAAGCTTATGTTAAAATCAGACACAGTTGACTTGAAGGCAAAAAGCATTACTAGAAATAAGGACATTTTATACCAATAAGTTTAATTCACCAGGAAGTTAAAAAATAAATTTATTTATTTATTTATTTATTTATTTATTTATTTATTTATTTTAGACAAACAGCTTTATTTGAAAGACGGGGGACAGCCAAGTCCCCCTGACCCTGCGGTCCTGGCAACGTCGGTCTCAGGCGTAGGAGGACCAGTGTCCTGCGGAGAGAAAAATAGGGTTAGGGGTCTGCAGCCGGGGTCAGGAGTCAGGGGTCAGACCACGCGAGCAGCCACACCCGGGGGGAGGCCGCGGCCCCTGTCGGGGCCTGGGTTTCACCGTCGCACATGGCGGCAGCACGCGGTGAGCTGAGGCCCCCGGAGGCTCTTGCGCGCCGAATTTCACCCGCGGCCACGGCCAAAACCGGGGGTGATTTTCAACCAACGCCGGAAAACATTTCTAAATTTGTATGCACTTAACAAAACCTCAAATAATATACAGCACCGAGCTACAAGGAAAAATAGACAAGTTCACAATCATCGTAGGAGATTTAGCACACCTCTCTCAATTAATAGAGTATACTTCTTTCAGAACTGATAGAAAAAGTCAGGGCCAGGTGCAGTAGCTGATGCCTGTAATCCCAGCACTTTGGGAGGCTGAGATGGGAGGATTGCATGAGGCCGGAGTTCAAGACCAGCCTGGGCAGCATAGGGAGACCCTCATTTCTACAAAAAAAAAAAAAATTAGGGGCGGGCGCGGTGGGTCACGCCTGTAATTCCCAACACTTTGGGAGGCCGGGGCGGGCCTGAGTTCAGGAATTCGAGACCAGCCTGGCCAACATGGCGAAACCCCGTCTCTACTAAAAGTACAAAAATTAGCTGGGTGTGGTGGCGGGCACCTGTAATCCCAGCTACTCAGGAGGCTGAGGCAGGAGAATAGCTTAAACCCGGGAGGCGGAGGTTGCAGTGAGCCAAGATCGCGCCACTGCTCTCTAGCATGGGTGACAAGAGCAAGACTCCGTCTCAAAAAAAAAAAAAAAATATGCTGAGCATGGTTGTGCATGCCTATAGTCCCAGCTACCCAGGAGGCTGAGGTGGGACGATTACATGACCCCAGGAGGTTGAGGCTGCAGTGAGCTATGATGGCACCACTGTACTTCAACCTGAGAGACAAAATGAGACCAACTCTTTCTCTAAAAAAAAAAAAAAAAAAAAAGAGAAAGAATAAGAAAAAATCAGCAAGGATATAGAAAATTTAAATAACACGAGCAGTAAATTTGATTCAACAAGCGTATAGAGTCCACTATACCCAACGACTTCAAATTACAAAGCACATGTTCAAGCACATTTGGAACATTTAAGAAACTGACCAGATTGTTCTATAAAGCAAGTTTCAACAAATTTCAAAGGCTTCAAATGATGCAAAGTATGTTTCTTGCCTACATTACAGTGAGGCTAGAATCAGTAACAAAAAGGTAACTGGGAAGTCCCTATGTTTACAAGTTAAATACAGCCGGGCACAATGACACATGCCTGCAGTCCCAGCTACTTGGAGGCCAGAGGATCCCTTGATTCCAGGAGTTTAAGGCTGTAGTGTGCTGAATACATTTTTAAATGACCCACAAAATAAATCACAATTGGAGTTAGAAAATATTTTGACCTGAGTGATAATTTAAAATGTCACAAAGCATTCCGGGCACCATGGCTCAAACCTTTAATCCCAGCACTTTGGGAGACTGAGGCAGGTGGATTGCTTGAGGTCAGGAGTTGGAGACTAGCCTGACCAAATGGTGAAACCCCATCTCTACTAAAAATACAAAAACTTAGCCGGGCGTGGTGGTGGGCACCTGTAGTCCCAGCTACTCAGGAGGCTGAGGCGAGATAGTCACTTGAACCTGGGAGGTGGAAGTTTCAGTGAGCCGAGATTGCGCCACTGCACTCCAGCCTGGGTGACAGAGCGAGATTCTGTCTTAAAAAAAAAGAAAGAAAGAAAGAAAAAAGGGCCGGGCGCGGTGGCTCACGCCTGTTAATCCCAGCACTTTGGGAGGCCAAGGTGGGCAGATCACAAGGTAAGGAGTTTGAGACCAGCCTGACCAACATGGTGAAACCCTGTCTCTACTAAAAATACAAAAATTAGCCGGGTATGGTGGCGTGTGCCTGTAATCCCAGCTGCTCGGGAGGCTGGGGCAGGAGAATCGCTTGAACCCAGGAGGCAGAGGTTGCAGTGAGCGAAGGTCATGCCACTGCACTCCAGCTTGGGCGACAGAGTGAGACTCTGTCTCAAAAAAAAAAAAGAAAAAAGAAAAAAAAGAAAAGAAAAAAATGTGCTTAGAGGAAAATACATAGTCTTAAGAGCACATAAGAAAAAAGAGCCTGGATGTGGTGGCTTACACTTGTAATCTCAGTGCTTTGGAAGGCCAAGGAAGAAGGATTGCCTGAGGCCAGGAGTTTGAGACCAGCCTGGGCCACATAGGGAGACCCCTGTCTCTTTTAAAATAAGTAAGTTAATAAATAAATAAAAATTTTAGGATGAAAGAAAAGCTGAGAATTTGTGAGTTCTGCATCCATCTCAAGAACCTAGAACAGTGAATTACACTGAAAGGATTTAGAAGATTGGAAATGTGTACATAGAGATGTCTGGAAGAATATATACCTAAAATGATAGTGGCTTTTTAAAATCTCTTGGGGTGGTATTTTTGGGTTAATTTTATTTTTCTCTATTGTTCAAATAAGCTAAAACAAATAATAAAGCCATTGTAATTTTTGGGGGTAAAAACACTAATGGAAATTTTTTTTTTTCTAGACTGAGTCTCGCTCTGTCACCCACGCTGGAGTACAGTGGCACAATCTCAGCTCACTGCAACCTCTGCCTCCCAGATTCAAACGATTCTCCTGCCTCAGCCTCCCGAGTAGCCGGGACTACTGGCACCTGCCACCACACCCGGCTAATTTTTGTATTTTCAGTAGAGACGGGGTTTTACCATGTTGGCCAGGCTGGTCTCGAACTCCAGACTTCAAGTGATCTGTCTGCCTTGGCCTCCCAATGTGCTGGGATTACAGGCATAAGCCACCGCGCTGGGCCTGAGGAAAATTTTTAAAAAATAATCGAGACTGCTGTTATGGTGACACCACCACGAGAAGCTACAAGCAAAATACTGATAACCTCATATGTGAAAATTTTTCATATTGTTTAAAATATTATGAACAAAAGAAAAGACAAATAACAAACTGGGAAAAATATTTACAACTCATCACAAATGGCTAATCCTTTTAATGTTAATATTTAAAAAAAAATACAAATCAGGTCAGGCACAGTGGCTCATGCCTGTAATCCCAGTACTTTGGGAGGCTGAGGTGAGAGGATCACCTGAAGTCAGGAGTTCAAAACCAGCCTGGCCAACACGGAGAAACCTGTCTCCATTAAAAATACAAAAAGTAGCCGGACGTGGTGTGGGCACCTGTAATCCCAACTACTCGGGAGGCTGAGGCAGGAGAATCGCTTGAACCCGGGAGGTGGAGGTTGCAGTGAGCTGAGATTGCACCACTGCACTCCAGCCTGGGCGACAGAGCAAGAATCTGTCTAAAAAAAAAAAAAAAAAAAAAAAAAAAAAAAAAAAAAAAAAGGCTGGGTGCAGTGGCTCACACCTGTAATCCCAGCACTTTGGGAGGCCCAGGCAGGTGGATCACGAGGTCAGGAGATGGAGACCATCCTGGCCAACATAGTGAAACCCTGTCTCTACTGAAAATACAAAAATTAGCTAGGCGTGGTGGCAGGCGCCTGTAGTCCCAGCTACTCAGGAGGCTGAGGCAGGAGAATCGCTTGAACCTGGGAGGCGGAGGTTGCAGTGAGCTGAGATTGTGCCACTGTACTCCAGCCTGGGCAACAGAGCGAGACTCCATCTCAAAAAAAAGAAAAAGAAAAAAAAGACGGGGCATGGTGGCTCATGCCTGTAGCACTCCCAAATCCCAGCACTTTGGAGGCCAAGGCGGGTGGATCACCTGAGGTCGGGAGTTCGAGACCAGCCTGACCAACATGGAGAAACCCTGTCACTGCTAAAAATACAAAATTAACTGGGCGTGGTGGTGCATGCCTGTAATCCCAGCTACTCAGTAGGCTGAGGCAGGAGAATCGCTTGAACCCAGGAGGCAGAGGTTGCGGTGAGCTGAGATCGCGCCATTGCACTCCAGCCTGGGCAACAAGAGTGAAACTCCATCTCAAAAAAAAGCAAATCAGTAAGAAAAATGAATAATAGGCCGGGCGCAGCGACTCACGCCTGTAATCCCAGCACTTTGGGAGGCCGAGGTGGGCGGATCACAAGGTCAGGAGATCGAGACTATTCTGGCTAACGCGGTGAAACCCCGTCTCTACTAAAAGTACAAAAAATTACCCAGTCGTGGTGGCGGGCGCCTATAGTCCCAGCTACTCGTGAGGCTGAGGCAGGAGAATGGTGTGAACCCAGGAGGCGGAGCTTGCAGTGAGCCGAGATCGCGCCACTGCACTCCAGCCTGGGCAACAGTGCAAGACTCCATCTCAAAAAAAAAAAAAAAAGAAAAGAAAAGAAAAATGAATAATAATTTAAAAGGGGGAAAGGAGGTAAGACTTTACAGAACAGAGCTGGGTGTAGCATGCACCTCTATGTAGCTGCTTGAGAGGCTGGGTCCCTTTGAGCCAAGGAGTTCGAGACCAGCCTGGGCAACATAAGGAGATTCTATCTCTAAAATAAATGAATAATAATGAAATATTGTACAGAACAGGAAATACAAATGGAGACTAAACATCTGAAAAGATAGTAGGCCAGGTGCAGTGGCTCATGCCTGTAATCTCAGCACTTTGGGAGGCTGAGGTGGGCAGATTGCTTGAGCTCAGGAGTTCGAGACCAGCCTGGGCAACGTGGCATGAAACTCCGTCTCTACAAAAATATACAAAAATTAGCTGAGCATGGTGGCATGTGCCTGCTGTAGTCCCAGCTACTCGGGAGGCTGAGGTGAAAGGATCACTTGAGCCCAGGAGGCAGAGGTTTCAGTGAGCTGAGATTGCACCACTGCACTCCATCCTGGGTGACAAGAGCAAAACTCTGAAACATAGGTTTCACCGTATATTCTTTTGTCCTTTTTAAATTTGGGGCAAGTGCATGTATTATCTATTCAGAAGTAAATATTTTAAAATCAAATGTATGTAAAAGTTTGTTCGCATTTTATCATATTTGTGCTTTCCCTGCTCTCTCCTTGCCTGCATGTTTAATGTATTCATCCTAAGAGTTCCAGTTCAAAGGCCATCAGCCATATCTGATTCTCTCAGGCATAGTTACTCAGACAGTACTTTGTATATCTCCAGAATAGGGATTTCTTTTTATTATTATTATTATTATTATACTTTAAGTTTTAGGGTACATGTGCACAATATGCAGGTTAGTTACATATGTATACATGTGCCATGCTGATGTGCTGCACCCACTAACTCATCATCTAGCATTAGGTATATCTCCCAATGCTATCCCTCCCCCCTCCCCCTGGGATTTCTTATTTTATGGTAATTGTCACCATATTAGTTTCTCCTACCCAAAGAGGAGGTAGAGATGAAGTCCCATTAATGGTTAAACGCAAAGTCTGTAGTTCCAGAATCCCTAAGGGTGATACCAATACCACAGAAGGTGCTGCACATACCTCAGCCCATTCAAGGGAGGGGGGGTTTAGAGTCCCTGCAGTTCTACTGTGCTTAATGGAGAACCACCAGGCTCTCCTTGTGTTTTCAGAAACAGGTTCATTATTGATCACTGTCTGCCATTTAGGGCCATCAATAGCCCCCTGCTACTGCTCCTAATCGCTCAGATCCCTGCTGCTAATTTTATATTGGCCTAGCGATGGTAGAAAGGTATATCAATTGGTTAAGTGTGTGACTTCTAGAGCCAGGCTGTGCTTGGATTGAATTCCAGGTCTCTACCATTTAATTGCTGTGTGATAGGGCTTTCTTTCATTCAACTTGTACTTCAATTTCTTCACGTGTAAATGAGGATAATGAGAGAACCCACCCCAGGGTTATAACCAGAAATAAAGGAGCTGATGTTTGTAAAATGTTTAGGACAGTGCCAAACACATAATAAGCACCGTATAAATGTTAGCTTAATATTATAATTCTTTTTACCAAGTGATTCTAAGTGTGAACCCAGTTTCTCATAGCATAAGAGACCAAGCTACAATTTACCATAATTCTTTGTTGAAGTCTCCAGGATAATTAAAGGTAATAACAAAAGAGAATAACTTCCAAAACTTACTGTCCATCTACACTAATCTTCTATAACGTGGCTTCCTCCCTATAGCAGAGCTATCATTTCTTTCACCGTTCTGAGTTATTTTCCAGCATATTAGAGTCCAGACCAATGCCTTAAAGAACAGAGGAGCCGGGTACAGTGGCTCACACCTGTAATCCCAGCACTTTGGGAGGCCGAGGCGGGTGGATCACAAGCTCAGGAGATCGAGACCATCCTGGCTAACACGGTGAAACCCCGTCTCTACTAAAAATACAAAAAATTAGCTGGGCGTGGTGGCAGGTGCCTGTAGTCTCAGCTACTCAGGAGGCTGAGACAGGAGAATGGCGTGAACCTGGGAGGCAGAGGTTGCAGTGAGCCGAGATCATGCCACTGCACTCCAGCCTGGGCAACAGAGCGAGACTCTGTCTCACGAAAAAATAAAAAATAGAGAACAGAGGAAAAGCTTCCTCTTTTTTCCCTAATCCAAGATTTATTTCTCTAATCCAGTATTCACTTCTCTTTCTGTCCCAGGAGCTGCCTTTTCCCATGATGACAGACAGTGGGGCTTTCAACTACCTTCAGGGGTTCTCCGATGCACCCAACTGTCCTATTGCATTGCCTACATTTCCTAGAATTGAGCTATTTAATCAATCCTTTTCTATTCTTTTTTTTTTTTTTTTGAGATAGAATGTTGCTCTGTTGCTGAGGCTGGAGTGCAGTAGTGCGATCTCACCTCACTAAAACCTCTGCCTCCTGGGTTCAAGCAATTCACCTGCCTCAGCCTCCAAGTAGCCGGGACTACAGGCACACACCACCACACCCTGCTAATTTTTTGTATTTTAGTAGAGATGGGGTTTCACCATGTTGCCCAGGCTGATCTCAAACTCCTGAGCTCAGGCAATCCACCCACCTCGGTCTCCCAAAGTGCTAGGATCACAGGCGTGAGCCACCACGCCTGGCTGAATTCCTTTTTATAACTATTTAAGGATAATTTCCATGAGGACAGGGAGCCCACCTGCCTATGCACTACTGTATTTCCAATGCCTGGAACATATTAGGAACTCCATAAACATTTGCTCATGAATGAGTTCTTCCTCTGAAAAACAGTGAGGCTCAGGCCTACATACTCTTCCTTATTATTTTTTTTTTTTGAGACGGAGTCTCGCTCTGTCGCCCAGGCTGGAGTGCAGTGGCGCGATCTCAGCTCACTGCAGGCTCCGCCCCCCGGGGTTCACGTCATTCTCCTGCCTCAGCCTCCGAGTAGCTGGGACTACACACTTTTTTTTTTTTTTTTCAGAGATGGAGTCTCTCTCTGTCGCCCAGCCCGGAGTGCAGTGGCGAGATCTCGGCTCACTGCAAGCTCCGCCTCCCGGGTTCACGCCATTCTCCTGCCTCAGCCTCCCAAGTAGCTGGGACTACAGGCGCCCGCCACCACGCCCGGCTAATTTTTTTGTATTTTTAGTAGAGACGGGGTTTCACCATGTTAGCCAGGATGGTCTCGATCACCTGACCTCGTGATCTGCCAGCCTCGGCCTCCCAAAGTGCTGGGATTACAGGCGTGAGCCACCGCGCCCAGCCCCAGTCTTCTCAATTTTAGTTTCTTGTCTCATGTGAGCATTACTTAATAGTAAGTTAAATCCATAGTTTAAACATTTCTCTAAAAGAGGCATGTCCTACTGAGATGCAACTATGCCTATAATAGAGGCAGGCCTATGTTTATAACAGAGACAGTGCTTTGTATTATCATACATTATTATGTGCTATGCTTTACTAAATGGTTTAATAAGGTGATTTTCCGGCCCGGTGCGGTGGCTCAAGCCTGTAATCCCAGCACTTTGGGAGGCCAAGGCGGAAGGATCACTTGAGGTCAGGAGTTCGAGACCAGCCTGGACAATATGGTAAAACCCGTCTCTACTAAAAATACAAAAATTAACTGGGTGTGGTGGTAGGCCCCTGTAATCCCAGCTACTGGGGAGGCTGAGGCAGGAGAATTGCTTGAACGCAGGAGGCGGGGGTTGCAGTGAGCCGAGATTCAGCCATTGCACTCCAGGCTGGGCATCAAGAGTGAAACTCTGTCTCAAGGAAAAAAAATAAAAATTAAAAATGGGGTGGTTTTCCAAAACTATGAAACAAAAACAACATGCAGCTTTATAAAGACAATTTTTCTGGTGCTTACTTTATGTATCAAGATACTCATTGATGTTAAAAATATTGATTGAACATTTAATCTGTGGCAGACGCTATATTAGGTTTTAGAAGCACAGCATTGAACAAGATAGATACACAATCCCTACCCTGATTGAGCTTCCAGGCTATCAAGACAATTATACAATTAATAAAGTGTGATGAGTAGTTACCATAGAAGTATTCTCAGGGATAGAGGTCTTCTGCCTGCACTTGAACAAGAGCAGCGCTATATTGATTATAATTTGGGACTCCAGGTAAGATTTTGTTTGTAAACCTGGCTTCACTACCATATAAAAGTTTGAATACTGCCATTTATTTATCTGAATTTCATCCTAACAGCCTATTATGTAAATGAATGGCCATTGCGTATATAGTTATAACTATATAAGCTTTTTTTTTTTAAATTGAGACAGAGTCTTCCTCTGTCACCCAGGCCGGAATGCAGTGGTTCAATCACGGCTCATTGCAGCCTTGACCTCCCAGGCTCAAGTCATCCTCCCATCTCAACTTCCCAAGTAGATGGGGACACAGGTGCACGCCACCACGTCCAGCTAATTTTTAAACTTTTTGTGGAGACGGGGTCTCTCTGTTTTGCCCAAGCTGGTCTCGAACTTGTGTGCTCAAGAAATCCTCCTCCCTTAGTCTCCCAAAGTGTTGGGATTATAGGTGTCAGCCACCATGCCCAGCCTTATAAGCCTTATCCTCATTTTATAGTTGAGAAAATACAGTTAACAGAGTTAAAGAACAGAGTTAAAGTAACCCTTTTTTTTTTTTGAGATGGAGTCTCGCTCTGTCGCCCAGGCTGGAGTGCAGTGGCCTGATCTCGGCTCACTGCAAGCTCCGCCTCCTGGGTTCATGCCATTCTCCTGGCTCAGCCTCCCGGTAGCTGGGACTACAGGAGCCCACCACCACACCCGGCTAATTTTTTGTATGTTTAGTAGGGACGGGGTTTCACCGTGTTAGCCAGGATGGTCTCGATCTCCTGACCTCGTGATCTGCCCCCCTCGGCCTCCCAAAGTGCTAGGATTACAGGCGTGAGCCACCGCACCCCGCCGCTAAAGTCTTACGACAATTAAATTGCAAAGCCTCATTCCAAATCTCTGCTCTCTATATCACACCACAGTGCCCACACCCAAAATGGAATAAATCTTATTTCCCCAGAAGAGAGATCTCTAGTTAAGAAGTACAAAGCTCTGCCTTAGCCTTATCCAATATCCATTTTTTTTTATGAAAGAGATATATAGCATGCTGATAAAAAACAAAAAACACACCATCATCTCAATCAACATGGAAAAAGCATTTGAAAAACTCCTTTATAAGGCCGGGCGCTTTGGCTCATGTCTGTAATCCTAGCACTTTGGGAGGCCGAGGCAGGCAGATCACCTGAGGTCAGGAGTTCAAGACCAGCCTGGCAGACAGGGTGAAACCCCGTCTCTACAAAAAATGCAAAAATTAGCTGAGCATGGTGGCCTGCGTCTGTGGTCCCAGTTACCGGGTGGCTGAGGCAGGAGAATCACTTGAACCCAGGAGGGGAGGCAGAGATTGCAGTGAGCCGAGATCACACCACTGCCCTCCAGCCTGGGTGACAGAGGGAGACTCCGTCTCAAAACAAAAATCAAAAAACAACTCCCTTTTGAGAAAAACCGTCAACGCCAGAAGGGAACTTCCTCAACCTGACAAGGGCATCTGTGAAAAATCTGCAGCTTAACCTCATATTTAATGGAGAAAGACAGCCGGGCGCGTGGCTCACGCCTGTATTCCCAGCACTTTGGGAGTCCGAGGCGTGTGGATCACGAGGTCAGGAGTTCAAGACCAGCCTGGCCAACATGGTGAAAGCCCGTCTCTACTAAAAATACAAAAAATTAGCTGGGCGTGGTGGCGGGCGCCTGTAATCCCAGCTACTCCGGAGGCTGAGGCAGAGAATTGCTTAAAACCTGGAGGGGCGGAGCTTGCAGTGAGCCGAGATCGCGCCACTCGACTCCGGCCTGGGCGACAGAGGAAGACTCTGTCGCAAAAAAAAAAAAAAAAGGAGAAAGACATTGATTTTCCCCCTAAAGGCAGAACGAGACAAGGATGTCTGCTGGTAACACTGTCTTTTTTTTATTTTGAGACGGAGTCTTGCTCTGTCGCCCAGGCTGGAGTGCAGTGGCGCGATCTCAGCTCACTGCAAGCCCTGCCTCCTGAGTTCACGCCACTCTCCTGCCTCAGCCTCCCGAGTAGCTGGGACTACAGGCACCCGCCACCATGCCCGACTAATTTTTTTGTATTTTTAGTAGAGACGGGGTTTCACCATGTTAGCCAGGATGGTCTCGATTTCCTGACCTTGTGATCCGCCCGCCTCGGCCTCCCAAAGTGCTAGGATTACAGCCGTGAGCCACCGCGCCCCGCCAACACTCTTACTCAATATTGTACTGGAGGCTGAGCACGGTGGCTCACGCCTGTAATCTTAGCACTTTGGGAGGCCGAGCGGGCTGGATCACCTGAGGTCAGGAGCTCGAAGCCAGCCTGGCCAACATGGTGAAACTCCATCTCTACTAAAAGTACAAAATTAGCCGAGCGTGGTGCTGCATGCCTGTAATCCCAGCTACCCGGATGGCTGAGGTAGGAGAATCGCTTGAACCCAGGAGGTGGAGGTTGCAGTAAGCCAAAATCATGTCACTGCACTCTAGCCTGGGTGACAGAGTGAGACTCTGTCTCAAAAACAAAACAAAACAAACAAACAAAAAAACTTACTGCCACAGGCTGGAATGATTCACTGAATAAACAGTGAAATAAACATAAATAAAATAAATAAATATATTTTTAAAAATTTTGGTCTTACTTTGACCCCCCAGGCTGGAGTGAAGTGGTATAATCTTGGCTCATTTGCAATCTCGACCTCCGGGGTTCAAGAGATCCTCCTGCTTCAGCCCCCAAAATAGTTGGGACTACAGGTGCCCGCCACCACTCCGGCTAATTTTTGTATTTTTTGTACAGCTGGGGTTTCACCACGTTGCCTAAGCTATTTTCGAACTCCTGGGCTCAAGCCATCTGCCCACCCCGGCCTCTGAAAGTGCTGGGGTTATCTGCGTGAATCACCGCACCCGGCCAAACAAGATATTTAAATCTATAATTAACGTTTTTAGGTTTTATTTATTTTTTGAGACGGAATCTTGTTCTTGTTGCCCAGGCTGGAGTGCAATGGCAGGATCTCGGCTCATTGTAACCTCCGCCTCCCGGGTTCAAGCGATTCTCCCGCCTCAGCCTCCAAGTAGCCGGGACTACAAGCGTGCGCCACCATGCCTAGCTAATTTTGTATTGTTAGTAGAGACGGGTTTCACCAGTCAGGCTGGTCTGGAGCTCCTGACCTCAAGTGATCCACCTGCCTTGGCCTCCCAAGTTGCTGGGATTACAGGCTTGAGCCACCACGCCAGCCAAACAGGATATTTAAATTAAAGCCAAAATGGCCGGCGCGGTGGCTCACGCCTGTAATCCCAGCACCTTGGGAGGCTGAGGCAGGTGGATCACCTGAGGTCAGGAGTTCAAGACCAACCTGGCCAACATGGCGAAACCCGGTCTCTACTAAAAATACAAAATCAGCCGGGCGTGGTAGCACATGCCTGTAATCCCAGCTACTCAGGACGCTGAGGCAGGAGAATCAATTGAACCCGGGAGGCGGAGGTTGCGGTGAGCCGAGATCATGCCATTGCACTCCAGCCTGGGCAACAAGAGTGAAACTCGGTCTCCAAAAAAAAAAAAAAAAAAAGCAAAAATTAATGTGTTTAGATTTTAAGTCCAACTGGAGTTTGTTTATTGTTTCCCCACAAGTAATCCCAGCACTTTGGGGAGGCTGGGGCAGGAGGATCGCTTGAGCCCGGGAGATGGAAGATGCAGTAAGCTATGATCGTACCACTGTACTCCAGCCTGGGCAACAGATTGAGACACTGTCTAAAAAAAAAAAAGTCTAGGACTCAGTGAATGGCTAGACTAAGGCAGAAATCTTGCAGGGATTTGTCTTTTGATTCTGCATGGTTTCTAATCTTTATCAGGAGTTAAACATCCTTCTACAGGATAACTGCATCTAGAGGCAGGACTATATATAAGCAAAGGAAAAGTTCTTCGAAGAGGAAACACGAATCGCTCGTTTTAGGAAGTCAGTGCCTTGAAAAGCGCCTTGGGGTTGGGGGCTCGGGGCTGGGGGAGGGATAGCATTAGGAGAAATACCTAATGTAAATGACGAGTTGATGGGTGCAGCAAACCAACATGGCACAAGTATACCTATGTATCAAACTTGCACGTTGTGCACATGTACTCTAGAACTTAAGGTATAATAAAAATAAATAAATAAGTAAAAATGCCTTCAGCAGCCTGAAGTTCTAAGAGCTTTCCAAGTTTGGGAAGGTGTCCGGGTTTTCTGCGATTACTTCTCTGAGCATGAACGGAAGTCACCCTTTGTGCCTTATGCGGTGATTTTAATGATAGGTGTCATATATAGGACGGAGTAATCTGTTTACATTCTGTTCTTCTCGATGCACTCACAAGCGGGTAACTAGGTGACAAGAAAACAAAGATCTTATTCAAAAGAGGTCTTACAGCAACCCAACGTCTCATCTTCCCATAGTAAAGATGACGGCGCCTTGAGGTAAGCTACAGGCAACACCACTTCCGCGTTTCTCTTGCGCCCTGGTCCAAGATGGCGGATGAAGCCACGCGACGTGTTGTGTCTGAGATCCCGGTGCTGAAGACTAACGCCGGACCCCGAGATCGTGAGTTGTGGGTGCAGCGACTGAAGGAGGAATATCAGTCCCTTATCCGGGTTAGTTGTGTTTCTACAGTCTAACGCGTAGCATAAGGGTTGGGAGAAATCAGGTGTCCTCAATAATAGGCTCCGTGTGGAAGCCGCTTCCGGTTTTTAAGTTTAACGCCCAAATTCATAGAAATGGGACTATTGTGGGGCTCGGGGACTAAGGAGGGATGGTGGGGAGAGGGCAAAAAAGACTCGGGTGAGGTGCACAGTGGGGCCAGACCTTGCGGCTAAAAGCAGCAGTTATTTTAGGGATACGCTTCCCCAGAAGGTGACGTGTCTCCCTGGCTACAGGTGTTTGTTCACCTGGATGTGAACAAAAATCCTCAGGGCGCCAACTCCCAGTCCGCATCTCTCTGCCCCCTTCTTCACTCTTCACTGTTTTGTTTGTTTGTTTGACGGAGTCTCGCTCTGTTGCTAGGCTGGAGTGCAGTGGCGCGATCTCGGCTCACTGCAACCTCCGACTCCCGGGTTCAAGCGAGTCTCCTGCCTCAGCCTCCTGAGTAGCTGGGACTACAGGCGCGCGCCACCACACCCAGCTAATTTTTGTATTTTCAGTAGAGACGGGGTTTCACCGTGTTGGCCAGGATGGTCTCGATCCCCTGACCTCGTGATCCTGATCCACCCGCCTCGGCCTCCCAAAGTGCTGAGATTACAGGCGTGAGCCACCGCGCCTGGCCTCACTCTTCACTCTTTCAAGCCACATTAGGGCTGAAAATTCAAGTAGGTGTTAACTACAGAGAGTTGGGGAGTTTAGCTCATAGTTAGAAACGGGCTGTCTTCTCAGTTATCTCTACTGTGGAAGGTGAGAAAAGTTTGTCTTCCTTGTAGTTTCTGCCTGCTTCAAAGACCAGCAGTTCTAGTTCTCCTACCTCATGTATTCATTCACTAAAAAAAAAAAATTACTGTGCATATAGAACCTAGGGAGGAGATACCAAGCCGAATAAGGAGGAACTTACTGAGGTAGACAAAACCAGATCATTATAATACAGTGTTTAAGTGGAGAGAGACTGAGACAGATATGGACAGATATAAAGCGAGAAATGGCTAGGATGTTTTGAGAGCATAAGAGGAGACATCCAGTTTGCATTCGGTCACGGAAGGTTTCCTGGAAGAGGTAATGCTTGAGCTGAAACTTAAAGAGTAAACATAAGCTAGCCTGATAAAACATAAGAGTAGAAGGACATTCAAGCCAAAAGGGACAGCATGAGCAAAGGCATAGAATCTAGAAACGGCACAGGCACCAGCATGATGTGTTTGAAGAAACAAAGTAGCTCAGAGTTGTTAGAGCATCAAATGTGAGGCAGGGAATGGTAGACAAAGCTAGGAGACATATTTGAGCACTTGAATTTTCTCTTGGAGGCTTTGGGATACCGTTAAAAGTTATTAAGCTGAGGAATTACATGGCCGATTTGGGTTTAGATCAGTCACATTGGCAATAAGGGGAAAATACAATTGACAGGGACAAGACTGAAGGTAAGAGACAAGTTAGGCTGTCATTAATCTCAGCGAAACAAAAGGCAATCTAAACTAGGCAGTTGTGAGGATAGAGAGGAGAGGTAGATTTGTAGAATATTCAGAAGGTAAAATTAGCATAACATGGATTAGTGTAGTAAGGGATAGGGAGGGTCAAAGATGATTCCCAGGTTTTTGCCTTGGGTGAATGCTCATACTGCCACCTGAAATTGATAATTCAGGAGGATAATTCAGGAAGTGTATCCAAAGGAATATAAAAAATTCCAGATGGAAATGCTGAGTTTGAAGTACCTGTGAAATGAAGGTCAAAACGTCAACATACAGTTGGATACTAAAGGCTGAAGTTCTGAGGAAAGATCTGGACCAAAGATGAAAATCTGGGAGTCATTAGCCTGTGGGTGTTAGTTGAAACCAGGACTATATGAGGCTAGAAGGGAGTTACCCAGGGAAGGAGTCTATCATTAAATGAGTTGTGGGCTGAGGGCAGACACTATCAGAGAAGTGAGAGGAGAATCCAGATGGTATCTTCAGGTCTTTTGTGCTTGCTAAATTGAGTGGAGCCCATTCTATTCTCTGTTCTGGGCAGACCCCCACTTACCAGTATAGCCTTGTCTTCAGCTTTGCTAATGTTAGAAAAATTAGGTAAACATATTAAGAAAAAGTAGGCTGGGCGTGGTGGCTCACGCCTCTAATCCCAGCACTTTGGGAGGCCAAGGTGGGCGGATCACGAGGTCAGGAGATCGAGACCATCCTGGCTAATATGGTGAAACCCCATCTCTACTAAAAAAAAAAAAAATACAAAAAATTAGCCGGGCATGGTGGCGGGCACCTGTAGTTCCAGCTACTTGAGAGGCTGAGGCAGGAGAATGGCGTGAACCCAGGCAATGGAGCTTGCAGTGAGCCGAGATTGCGCCACTGCACTCCAGTCTGGGTGACAGAGCGAGACTGTCTCAAAAAAAAAAAAAAAAAAAAACCGGCTGGGTGTAGTGGCTCACGCCTGTAATCCTAGCACTTTGGGAGGCCAAGGCAGGTTGATCACCTGGGGTCAGGAGTTCGAGACCAGCCTGGCCAACATGGCAAAACCCCGTCTCTACTAAAAATACAAAAATTATCCGGGCATGGTGGTGCACGCCTGTAATCCCAGCTACTCAGGAGACTGAGGAAGGAGAATCGCTTGAACCTGGGAGGTGGAAGTTGCAGTGAACCCAGATTGCGCCACTGCACTCCAGCCTGTGCGACGGGAGCGAGATTCCATCTCAATAAAAATAAAAAATAAAAAAAATAACCACATACTTTTCTTTTGAGGAGAGGGGGACTGCCCTTGGCCCCAACTACTCTCTCAAAGACCTCATTCTCTGCTTTCAGTATGTGGAGAACAACAAGAATGCTGACAACGATTGGTTCCGACTGGAGTCCAACAAGGAAGGAACTCGGTAGGTAGACCCTCTTGGGAGGTGTGGGGTGGGAGTCTTATATGAGTTAGGCAATTTGGTATCCTAGCGCCCACTACCAAAGCTGCCCTGTCACATGTTAGCTGTCTCCACTCCCACAGCGCCAGAGTTCCCCAGTTCCCATCCTATGAGTCTCCCAGGCTGGTGGCCTAAGCCAAGATATCATTTGAGTACTGGAAGAATAGGCAAATTGGACTGAGGTTTGGTCTTTGTTACAGGTGGTTTGGAAAATGCTGGTATATCCATGACCTCCTGAAATATGAGTTTGACATCGAGTTTGACGTGAGTGTGATAGAGTGGGAAATATGAAGGTTAGTAGAAGGGGAGGGATTAGATGATGGGTAACAAGCTATCCTTTCTTGAAGGGACCAAAGAAAACTTTAAAAATGGGAGAGAAAAGCTGAGGTTTGAGGCAAGCATAAGTTATATTTACTCATCTCCACATCCAGAATCCTGGTATGGATGTGCTCCTTGGGGAGTTTTACTTAACATTTCAGTTTAACCAAGAAATATGTATGTCTGATTATATTAGTTCCTTTCTATCCTGATTCTGTTTTATTAAGGTTTTATAATTTCTCCAGATTCCTATCACATATCCTACTACTGCCCCAGAAATTGCAGTTCCTGAGCTGGATGGAAAGACAGCAAAGATGTACAGGTAGGACTGAATAGGAGATGGCAAAGAGTCAAAGAAAGCCTTAAGGAAGAACTTCGTGGCGGGAGGGAGAGCATCAGGAAGAATAGCTAATGGATGCTTGGCTTGATGTCTGGGTGATGGGATGATCTATGTGTAAATCACCATGGCACGTTTACCTATGTAACAAACCTATACATCCTGCATGTGTACCTCTGAACTTAAAAGATGTAAGGAAAAAAAAAAAAAGGAAGAACTTTGGAGGCAGAGATTTTCCCAGGGTCTGCTGGCCTAGTGGGGTGCCAGGCCCTCCTTTGCTGAGCCTAAGCAAAGTACTTAGCTGAACTTGTTCTCAATTCTGATCACTAGTAGTCTTCCTATGCCCCCAAGAGGCTGCTGTGCTTTATGGTAAACTTTGCATGTCAACACCTTCTTCATGTCCCTCTCATAGGGGTGGCAAAATATGCCTGACGGATCATTTCAAACCTTTGTGGGCCAGGAATGTGCCCAAATTTGGACTAGCTCATCTCATGGCTCTGGGGGTAAGTTTTGTGTATTTGGCATAAAAGGAGAAAGAGGGACTTAGGCCCTGAGCAGTACAAGAAAAGCAGCTAAGAATAAAAGGAATAACAGTGATGTCCCTTAAGCATGTTCCCCCAGAATCTGTCTCCAGGAAGGAGCTTCTAATGGAACAAGAAGCATTGACTGGTAGTAATCTCACAGGATTTTCCTTGTATTGCAGCTGGGTCCATGGCTGGCAGTGGAAATCCCTGATCTGATTCAGAAGGGCGTCATCCAACACAAAGAGAAATGCAACCAATGAAGAATCAAGCCACTGAGGCAGGGCAGAGGGACCTTTGATAGGCTACGATACTATTTTCCTGTGCATCACACTTAACTCATCTAACTGCTTCCCCGGACACCCTCCACCTCTAGTTGTTACTAAGTAGCTGCAGTAGGCATTGCTGGGGAAGAAACAAACACACACCAAACAGTACTGCTACTTAGTTTCTAAGGCTGCACAGGGAAGGGAAAGACTGGGCTTTGGACAATCTAGAGGTAATTTATATCCGCCCCCAGGTGGAGCAACATGCGATTCTGGAGGCACGGGGGTAACTGAAAGTGAGTACATATAGTCTTTCTGGTTTCTGGAGATAACCCATCAATAAAAGCTGCTTCCTCTGGTAGCCTGTGGTTCTCATTGGGAGCTGTTAACAGAGGGCAAGTGGGCTGAAACCTGAGGCACATGAACAGCTACGCCGGGTTGGGTTGGGAAAGAGTCGGAAATAGGGGATGCTCTGGTCAGGAGTGGGAATGAAATGTTGACTGTTCCCCCTGCTGCTCAGATCTACCTTTGTCCTTTAGTGGTGAGCCATGCTTTGCCCTACCGTGTTAGCCTGCAAGAAGTGGTTTTGCCGGACCAGCACTTCCCGCCCTCCAGGGATCTTCCCAGCCCTCTGTGAAGTGCTAGATGCTTCTCCACTGGTCTGCGGGCTGGACCCAGGCCTGCAGTTTGCCATACTTGCGCCCCTGCTGTTTGGGAAGGATCTGTGCTGTAAGCCTCGCGGCCATACTACGACTGTCAGATCTCCATCCCTATGGGCTATAGGATGGGGCGACGGCACCCTATACCTCAGGGACTTGCTTTGGAGTCATGGATTAAAGACCTCTCTGGGCAGCGTTGAGAACCAGCGACCCTAAACTTGGCTGCGTTTCCATGGTGTCGATCGCGGAGCCGTGGGGGCGGGCTCACGCAAGCGCCAAGGGACCGGTGGGAGGAGTTCGGGTGTGGATGCGCAGGCGCTTTGAGAGACGGTGAAGCCGGTGGCCGGTGGCCGGGCGGGACCAACAAAGATGGCGGCGGCCCCTGCGGCGGGAGCGATCTGGGCAACGGCTGCGGCTAAAGCTGCAGCCGGGCCCACGGGGGGGCTGCACGGGGGTAGTAGGGGGTGGCCCTGAACTGGGGCCTGGCCCTGGCTGGCCTCTCCCGCCGCCTCACTGGGGGACAGGTACGGGCCGGGGCGTTATGGCATGGCGGGGTGTGGGGGGGCGCAGAGGGAAGACTGCTCCAGACCCGAGAGGACACTCTCCACAAAGGCGCGTGGGGCCCGGCGGGGCCTGGGAGAACTGGGCTGGAGGGACAGCATCCCTGGACCGCGGGGAATACGCCGCCGGATTCCGTAGCCAATCAGCGGTCTCGGCCTTTCTGCCCTCGAGGGGGGCGGACCCGGCTAAAGCCCTGCTGTGGTGGGAGAAGTGCAGAGATTAAGGGTCAAGGAGTTGTTCGTCCTCCATCCCCGACTACTGCTTTCTGAACCTCGACACCATGTCGGAGGTCGGAGGTGGGGGAGGGAATGGATCGTAAGTCACCCATATAGTCTGCTTCATTTGCAGCCCAGAGAGGCAGGGATTCGAGGATGGAGGGCTGTCTTTTGGGCTGTTATTCTTGCATCTACACTACCATTTGGCTAGGGTCTTAAGTGACCCGAGGCACATCCTACTTTACTAGCCGGGTATGGGGTCCCATGTTACGTTAGAGCCGAGATAGGAGTTATCACTGGCTTTTCAGTAAAGATGTGTTCTGCAGGGAGGGGTCGGGAGTATAGAAAGGGTCAAAGCCATGGGCTGCTTATCTTTCATTCATTTGTTTACCCAATAGATACTAAGTATTTACTTTGTACCAAACACGATGCCAGGTACTGGGGATACGATGGCTGATTCGATAGATCTGGTTCCTGCCCTCAGTGCGTATACTGCTCCCCACTTTCGTTGATGTGGTAGTGGTGATGACTGAGCCAACCACCTAATGTGGAAATGAGAGGACAGCAAGATTGTGGGTATGGAATGGGGCAAAGCAATAAGGGAAAATTAGTGTGGCAGGGTTCAGTACAGCAGCCTGGGTTCCCATTTCCCCCCATATTCAAATGCTGACACTCTCTTCTCCTCCCAGGTCCAGCCTGTGGTGTCCACAATGCCCCAGGCCTCTGAGCACCGCCTGGGCCGTACCCGAGAGCCACCTGTTAATATCCAGCCCCGAGTGGGATCCAAGCTACCATTTGCCCCCAGGGCCCGCAGCAAGGAGCGCAGAAACCCAGCCTCTGGGCCAAACCCCATGTTACGACCTCTGCCTCCCCGGCCAGGTCTGCCTGATGAACGGCTCAAGAAACTGGAGCTGGGACGGGGACGGACCTCAGGCCCTCGTCCCAGAGGCCCCCTTCGAGCAGATCATGGGGTTCCCCTGCCTGGCTCACCACCCCCAACAGTGGCTTTGCCTCTCCCATCTCGGACCAACTTAGCCCGTTCCAAGTCTGTGAGCAGTGGGGACTTGCGTCCAATGGGGATTGCCTTGGGAGGGCACCGTGGCACCGGAGAGCTTGGGGCTGCACTGAGCCGCTTGGCCCTCCGGCCTGAGCCACCCACTTTGAGACGTAGCACTTCTCTCCGCCGCCTAGGGGGCTTTCCTGGACCCCCTACCCTGTTCAGCATACGGACAGAGCCCCCTGCTTCCCATGGCTCCTTCCACATGATATCCGCCCGGTCCTCTGAGCCTTTCTACTCTGATGACAAGATGGTGAGGACTTGCCACACACATGGCCTTCATGCCCATGTTCCTCTGTGCTTTCCTGCCATCCTCTGCCTTTTCTGTCCCCCATTTCCCTGAAGTTCCTTTCTCAGCCCTTCATTACAGCAGTTTGGACATGCCTCTCCCTTGCTTAAATACCCTTGAGCCTCCTAGACCCTTTTTTGGGTTGTTGGTGACTCTTCAGCATGGTGTGCCATTTCGGTCCCCAGGGGATTACCCCAACTATTTAGAATTCTTCTTTGGGTCCCCAGGCCCTTCCTTTCCCTTGCTTGCACCTTCTCTACTGGGACTCTGCCTAGGCCTAATTAATCTCTGGAGCTAAAGAGAGGCAGGCACAGAACATCTTAGCAAACGTGGTTGCACATTTTCTGAGCTAAGTAAGCTAGGCTGATTGCAATTGGAGCCAGCAGGAGAAGGGCAAGAAGGGGCCACGGGGGCAGGAGGGGGTTTTGGGGGCAGAAAGGTGGGAGTGGTGAGCAGCTGGGCAACCATGCCGGTGCTGGGGGAGTTGCCCCAGGAGCTGCAACGTCAGCTAGCTGAGCAGAGGAGTAAGTGGGCAACAGGTGGGACAGCCATGGCTGAGTCCGTGGTACATTCAGCTGTGATGGGCTTACTGCTCATGACCAGTGAGGTAGGGAGACTAGAATACCTAGTGAGGGGAATAGGGTAGAGTTTGGGGATGAAACATGCATGGGATGGGGGAGGCAGTGGGCAGCATGCTGTTGAAAGGTTAAAGTGCCAGGTAGGATATATAGGAACTTGCCGATTGTACTCTGACCTTCCAGGCTCATCACACACTCCTTCTGGGCTCTGGTCATGTTGGCCTTCGAAACCTGGGAAACACGGTGAGAGCTATTCTCCTATCTTTCCTCTCTAAAAGGAATGTGAAATGGTGCTGGGGGTGGGGAAAACCCACGAGCTTGGGGAAGGCATGTGGAAGGAGAGCTCTGAAGCTCTTCTAAGGCTTCCTGGGCAGTGGTCTGGAGAGATAACAGCAGTGTCCCTACTGCTCCCCAGTGCTTCCTGAATGCTGTGCTGCAGTGTCTGAGCAGCACTCGACCTCTTCGGGACTTCTGTCTGAGAAGGGACTTCCGGCAAGAGGTGCCTGGAGGAGGCCGAGCCCAAGAGCTCACTGAAGGTGGGGCAACAACTCCTGCTCCCTCTGTTCAAGTCCCTTTTTCCCCAACCACTTGCAGGTCCATCTGCCACTGGTGGTGGCCCCCAACCCTTAAATCTGGCAGTTGTATCTACTTTTCCCAGTGCCTACTTTCCTAAAGGTTATTTTCTACCCTCTGAGCCACCTTTTGCTTGCCTCTTCCAGACATTAACCTTTGTTTGCCTTCCCCACTCCCATCCCAACAGCCTTTG
This sequence comes from Homo sapiens, assembly GCF_000001405.40. Classification (NCBI taxonomy): domain Eukaryota; kingdom Metazoa; phylum Chordata; class Mammalia; order Primates; family Hominidae; genus Homo; species Homo sapiens. Next base: position 161,162,621 of record NC_000001.11, read on the forward strand.
CAGATGTGATTGGTGCCCTCTGGCACCCTGACTCCTGCGAAGCTGTGAATCCTACTCGATTCCGAGCTGTCTTCCAGAAATATGTTCCCTCCTTCTCTGGATACAGGTGGGAGAGCTGGAGGCTATGGGATTTCTCTCTGGCCATGTCTGGGGGTAGGGCCAAGCAAGGGCCCTGGCAGCATTGTTCTGAGCCTTGAGATGTTCTTCATCCAGGAAGTGGGGACCAATATCTGGGCAGGGAATAGTGTCTGTGGACTAGGAGAGGAGTCAGTTGCCCATACTCTTTGTCTGGCTGTAGCCAGCAGGATGCCCAAGAGTTCCTGAAGCTCCTCATGGAGCGGCTACACCTTGAAATCAACCGCCGAGGCCGCCGGGCTCCACCGATACTTGCCAATGGTCCAGTTCCCTCTCCACCCCGCCGAGGAGGGGCTCTGCTAGAAGAACCTGAGTTAAGGTAAGGGTCGTTCCCTCTACCTCCTTTCCCCGTAGTTTATCAGCATCATTCACACTTCATAGAACTAAACTAGTAAAGATTGAAGATGTAGGGTCCAGGGAAACCCTTTAGTATAGAAAATAGTATGAGAAGCAACATAGAAGTAGAAGGAAGGAAGGAAGAGGGGGAGTCTAAGGGAGCAGATGGAGGCAGAAGATCATGCTAGGGATGTCACCAAATTGAAGAAGGGGATAATTCATTTACAGGTAGAGGAAGACAGCATATTCTTCCCTTATGTACATTCCTTTCTTTTCCTCTCACCTCGGATTTCCCTAGAAAGTTCATTGAGGCATTATTCTTTTGACTTTTCCTTGAAATTTAGGGAAGGAGCAGGGGTGTGGATGGGGAGTAGGGCTCTGTAGGTTGTTTCAGTGGGTGTTGGGGGTGCCCAGTGTTCCTGCTGTCTCATGGGTGCTCCCCACTTCCTTTGATCTGTGGTAGTGATGATGACCGAGCCAACCTAATGTGGAAACGTTACCTGGAGCGAGAGGACAGCAAGATTGTGGGTATGGAATGGGGCAAAGCAATGAGGGAAAATTAGTGTGTGAGGGGGGTACAGGCTTGGGGGGAAAAATCGATACTATCAAGGGGTATGGGAACAAGACTGGATGATGCAAATGTGAAGCTGTGTGAAGAGTTGATTAGGAGTGTTGGTAGTGGGAAAGGAAGGGTCAAGCAAAGGGGCAGGAAGAGATGGAAATCCAAGAAATCATCTCATAACATCCAACAATGACCTTTTCTCCTGTCCCTGTGCTTCTGTCTAGACCTGTTTGTGGGCCAGTTGAAAAGTTGTCTCAAGTGCCAGGCCTGTGGGTATCGCTCCACGACCTTCGAGGTTTTTTGTGACCTGTCCCTGCCCATCCCCAAGGTGGGATTCCAGAGGATTCCGGGGTGGACAGGACAGGGGCTCTGTGACCCAAGCCTACCCACCCCCAGAGTGTGGGCGGGAACCCTGTGGGTTTCTGGAGCAGAACTGAAGCCTGGATTGATTGAGAAGAGTTGGAAAAGGAAATTCAGAACATGTTGACCTTTCTTCCCCTTTTCCCCCAGAAAGGATTTGCTGGGGGCAAGGTGTCTCTGCGGGATTGTTTCAACCTTTTCACTAAGGAAGAAGAGCTAGAGTCGGAGAATGCCCCAGTATGTGGAGGTTCACAAGGGATACAGTAAGGGTGGGAGACCTGGGGGGACTCCATGTGGATAAAAGGGATTGCATGATGTCTTCATATGGGGAATAATATTTATGTATCTGGGTTTGTGTTGGAGTCTCAGATCTGTTCTAGTACTCCTAGAGCAAAGGGGAGAAGCCAAGAGGATCCAGCTGTAATGAAGAGCATACTAAATTTGTATGTGGATCGGGGTGTCAGAAAAGCCAATTGAGGTTAGGAGCATATTAACCTAACACTGTTTGCCATTTATTCAGGTGTGTGACCGATGTCGGCAGAAAACTCGAAGTACCAAAAAGTTGACAGTACAAAGATTCCCTCGAATCCTCGTGCTCCATATCCTAATCTTCAGATTCTTACTTCTCTTAGGATACCTCCCATACATTCTCTTTCCTCCATGTTTCCAGAGAATTGAATTTTCCTTAGGAAAAGTCTGCCACCCACTTTTCCACAAGATGCTCCCAGTGTGTCGGGAGTGGGGAGAGGACAGCTTTCAGGATAGAAGAAGTTCCCCTCAGAGGCCCACTGCCTCCCAAATGCTCCTTAACCAGGGCTTAGATCTGAATCGATTTTCTGCCTCCCGAGGCTCCATCAAAAAAAGTTCAGTAGGTGTAGACTTTCCACTGCAGCGACTGAGCCTAGGGGACTTTGCCAGTGACAAAGCCGGTGAGTCTGGTGGGGAAAGTCCTAAGGAGCCAAAGGAGTGGGGGCACAGCTCTGATTATAGAACTTGATCATCTCCAACCCCGCAGGAAGTCCTGTATACCAGCTGTATGCCCTTTGCAACCACTCAGGCAGCGTCCACTATGGCCACTACACAGCCCTGTGCCGGTGCCAGACTGGTTGGCATGTCTACAATGACTCTCGGTGAGAATAGCCTCCTATTTACATCCTGCCCCATTCCCACTCAGCCCTGACACCCTCCCCTTCTATGAAGCTCCAGGAGAGCAGAGTGCCAGGTGAAAGGAGAGGTGGAGGTCTTGCCTGATCATTTCCTGGATGCTCTGAGGTTCGGTCTTGTAGGGAGAAGGGAGTAAACAGGAATGACCACAACCCTTTCCCGATCTCCTTTTTTCCTAGTGTCTCCCCTGTCAGTGAAAACCAGGTGGCATCCAGCGAGGGCTACGTGCTGTTCTACCAACTGATGCAGGAGCCACCCCGGTGCCTGTGACACCTCTAAGCTCTGGCACCTGTGAAGCCCTTTAAACACCCTTAAGCCCCAGGCTCCCCGTTTACCTCAGAGACGTCTATTTTTGTGTCTTTTTAATCGGGGAGGGGGGAGGGGGTGGTTGTAGCTCCATTATTTTTTTTATTAAAAAATACCCTTCCACCTGGAGGCTCCCTTGTCTCCCAGCCCCATGTACAAAGCTCACCAAGCCCCTGCCCATGTACAGCCCCCAGACCCTCTGCAATATCACTTTTTGTGAATAAATTTATTAAGAAAAAATGATGTGCTTATTTGTATTTTTGCTTAGGGGGTGATAGAGAACTGAGCCAAATTGGAGTCTTCTTGGGACCCAAGTTCCCTCTCTAACAGGTGGGGGCGCTCTCAGAGCCGAGGGGGAAGGTTTCGGGGATGGTGCTGGACCCGGACCTGTGTCCCCCAGCAGTGAAGGTTATGTACTGGGAGGAAAAGAGGAAAGGCATACTTGAGTGAGGCTGCGTGCAGGCTCTGGGGCGACTGGTTTGGTCGGCGATGGGGGAGTGCCACTGTTGACAAACACTGGGTACGTTGCCGGGCGGCCCTAGCTCCCGTAGGCCCGGTCTGTTGCTAACATCAAGGAGCTGTTTATGGAGCCGCCTCCCCGTGGACTGGCCTTAAGTGTCCCTATCTATTCTCCCTACGACCAAAGCTCCTGCGGCCTTCCCTCTAGGGTTGTCACCCTAGCTGGACCTGGTAAGCTTGTGCTGGGGAACGCTAACTCCAGCATTAAGCGCTCGCCGCCTCGGTCCTGAGGAGGGCAGTGACGGGTACGGCCGCTCACTCCCAGCTCGGCGCTAACACGGTTAACCTCCAGCTCTTACAGCTGCCGTCGCTCCGCCTCTGCCAGTTCAATGTTTTATTGGTGAACGTGATCCGGGGCCTTCCAAGTCCCGCCAATCCAGATGTAGGAGAGGTAGGGTTAGGCGCGTGCCGCGAGAACAGAGTGGACGGAGCGTAGGAGAGACCGAAAAGGCTGGGGGTGGGAGTAGCGGATTTGAAGCACTTGTTGGCCTACAGAGGTGTGGCAAGCAGAGCACCTCAGAACTCAGGCGTACTGCCCGCCGCCCGAGCCCTGCGAGGGCCGATAGCGAGGGTGTGGCCCTTATCTGCACCCAGCAGAGCGCCGGCGGGGTACGGTCTTAGGACCTCGATCTCCTTCTCCCTCATTTTCTCTCATCCCTACCTATTGTGGGTGAGTCCTGGCCCCTGGACGGGGACCTCGCTGTTCCACCAGCCCATCCGTGCACACTTAGTTTCCCCTAAAGCAGTGAGTGGCCGGGATAGAACTCAAAACCGGCGGGGCTTCTGGAGCGCAGGTTGTCCCCGGTCTGCCTGTCCATATCGCCCCCTTTCCCCCAGGTTTCCGCATGGGCCGGACCGTGGTCGTGCTGGGCGGAGGCATCAGCGGCTTGGCCGCCAGTTACCACCTGAGCCGGGCCCCCTGCCCCCCTAAGGTGAGTGCTCCACTTGTGCCAGAGGGAGCTTCATTTAATGCTCTTCCCATTTCCATCAAAAGCTAGATGGATCCTGGCCCTCTGAATATGCCTCTTCCCCTCCCCTCCTGACCTCTCGCCGGCGGCTACAGGCGGTGCTGCAGTGTCTCTCCCTCTTGTCGCCAGGTGGTCCTAGTGGAGAGCAGTGAGCGTCTGGGAGGCTGGATTCGCTCCGTTCGAGGCCCTAATGGTGCTATCTTTGAGCTTGGACCTCGGGGAATTAGGCCAGCGGGAGCCCTAGGGGCCCGGACCTTGCTCCTGGTGAGAGGCTTGTGGGATGTCTAGGAGAGGTTGTGGAGGGGGCTTCCATTGGGGAATAGAGTTTAGGGGAGGAAGTATGTTTGGTGGGTCAGATCTTCCCTTAGTTTCTCCTCTTCTGAGGGCATGTGGAGAGCAGGTTTCTGAGCTTGGCTTGGATTCAGAAGTGCTGCCTGTCCGGGGAGACCACCCAGCTGCCCAGAACAGGTTCCTCTACGTGGGCGGTGCCCTGCATGCCCTACCCACTGGCCTCAGGTAACACCAGCACCTCCGCTCCTTTTACTGTGCCCTCATCCTCATATGCCTTCCATTTCTTTCTTCTTTTCTTTTTTTTTTTTTTTTTTTTTTTTTTTGAGACGGAGTATCGCTCTCGCCCAGGATGGAGTGCAATGGCGCGATCTTGGCTCACTGCAACTTCCGCCTTTCGGGTTCAAGCGATTCTCCTGCCTCAGCCTCCCGAGTAGCTGGGACTACAGGTGCCTACCACCACGTCTGGCTAGTTTTTGTATTTTTAGTAGAGATGGGGTTTCACCATATTGGCCAGGCTGGTCTTGAACTCCTGACCTTGTGATCCGCCCGCCTCGGCCTGCCAAAGTGCTGGGATTACAGGCGTGAGCCACCACGCCCGACCTGCCTTCCATTTCTTCATCTCCCTGTCAGCCTTCCCAGCAAAAGGAAGCCAAATGAGTGGAAATGACCCCAGCGCCTGGAGCTGGGGAGGTATGTCAGGAGCTTCCCCCTCACTATGCCTTTCTCCATGCAGGGGGCTACTCCGCCCTTCACCCCCCTTCTCCAAACCTCTGTTTTGGGCTGGGCTGAGGGAGCTGACCAAGCCCCGGGGCAAAGAGCCTGATGAGACTGTGCACAGTTTTGCCCAGCGCCGCCTTGGACCTGAGGTGACACTTGCCCAGAGGCCCCAAACCTCTTCCCTCCTAAACCAGCTGCAGAGCTCCCTGTTCAAATCTACCACCTAGGGGCTCTTCTGTATCATTTGGGGATGCCCTCTTCTCTTCATACCCCACCCCCTCATAATTCCCAAAACTCATTATTGGGAGTGAAGGCCTTCATTTCCATCCGTCACAGTGGGAATGTCCCCCAACCCAAACCCTATCCCACCCTCATTCCCTACCAAATAGGGGCTGTGGAAATCAGTCAGTGTAGATTATTTTTTCGCTCCTTAGTCCTAGTCTCACCCTTAAGGTGGCGTCTCTAGCCATGGACAGTCTCTGCCGTGGAGTGTTTGCAGGCAACAGCCGTGAGCTCAGCATCAGGTCCTGCTTTCCCAGTCTCTTCCAAGCTGAGCAAACCCATCGTTCCATATTACTGGGCCTGCTGCTGGGGGCAGGTGAGGGGGGATTGATTCAGAGGGTGAAAATATTAAGTACTGCCAAAGTGAGGGAGTGGGGACAAGGGGTGCTATTCAATGATTCTTTTTTTCTTTTTTGAGACGGAGTCTTGCTCTGCTGCCTAGGCTGGAGTGCAGTGGTGCAATCTCAGATCGGCTCGCTGCAACCTCCGCCTCCCAGATTCAAGCAATTCTCCTGCCTCAGCCTCTTAAGTAGCTGGGATTACAAACATGTGCCACCACTCCCAGCTAATCTTTGTATTTTTTTGTAGAGATGCAGTTTCACTATGTTGGCCAGGCTGGTCTCAAACTCCTGACCTCAAGTGATCCACCCGCCTCGGCCTCCTAAAGTGCTGGGATTACAGGTGTGAGCCACTGCATCCAGCCTCAATGATTCTTCTTTGCTTCCTCTGCAGGGCGGACCCCACAGCCAGACTCAGCACTCATTCGCCAGGCCTTGGCTGAGCGCTGGAGCCAGTGGTCACTTCGTGGAGGTCTAGAGATGTTGCCTCAGGCCCTTGAAACCCACCTGACTAGTAGGGGGGTCAGTGTTCTCAGAGGCCAGCCGGTCTGTGGGCTCAGCCTCCAGGCAGAAGGGCGCTGGAAGGTAGGGGAACCCCTGGAGTGTAATGAACCTGTCAGTGTTTCCATCTTTATCCAAGTGGCTTAACTAGGCCAGGGCCGATAGGACTGGAGTTCCTCATTGTTTTTGTGCCTTAGAAGCTACTTAGACATGGGCTACCCCAGAATCCTAGGCCCTATTTGTGAACCTTCCTCAAAGAGCCTATGCAAGTCTGTGGATAGAAGTAGTACTTATAAGTGGCTTAGAGATAGGGGAAAGAACCCAGCTTCACTGAACATTTCAGAACAGCCACACTGGCCTGTCTGGTCCACTTCCTGGAGTACACAGAGGAATGATTTTTTGTGAAGTCTACATAGTCACCCAATCTCTTCATCCTGGGTCAGTACACAGTCTCCCCGGCCACATGGGTGCCTGGGAAACTGAGAGTGAGGCACCAGAAGTCTCTTTTCACTCATCAAATTCTCATTTTCTGGGTCTCTCAAATGTTTTCATGCTCTCAGGTATCTCTAAGGGACAGCAGTCTGGAGGCTGACCACGTTATTAGTGCCATTCCAGCTTCAGGTAATGGAATAGCCACCTTCCCCTTCCCCAACCCCTACCAGTGAGAAGCAAAAGCTATACCTTCCTGGGTCAGCAGGACCACACCATGCCCCTGAACTGGTCATCTCTATGGGAGTCTAATCCCAAAGAGGACTGACAACTGTAATGGGAATGCCTTCTGAGTCAGGCCTCTGCCTGATCTCTAGTGCTCAGTGAGCTGCTCCCTGCTGAGGCTGCCCCTCTGGCTCGTGCCCTGAGTGCCATCACTGCAGTGTCTGTAGCTGTGGTGAATCTGCAGTACCAAGGAGCCCATCTGCCTGTCCAGGTATGATAAAGGGACGGAGAGGCTGGGCATGGTGGCTCACACCTGTAATCCCAGCATTTTGGGAGGCCGAGGTGGGCAGATAACAAGGTCAGGAGTTCGAGACCAGCCTGGCCAACATGGTGAAACCCCATCTCTACGAAAAATACAAAAATTAGCCAGGTGTGGTGGCTTGCACCTGTAATCTCAGCTACTCGGGAGGCTAAGGCAGGAGAATCGCTTGAACCCAGGAGGTGGAGGTTGCAGTGAGCTGAGATCTCGCCATTACACTCCAGCCTGGGTGACAGAGTGAGACTCTGTCCCCCCCACCCCCCCAAAAAAATGGGAAGGAGAGACAGCCTCAGCTAGAGCCCTTTCCTTCTGACGCATGAATGTCCTTCTCTCCAGGGATTTGGACATTTGGTGCCATCTTCAGAAGATCCAGGAGTCCTGGGAATCGTGTATGACTCAGTTGCTTTCCCTGAGCAGGACGGGAGCCCCCCTGGCCTCAGAGTGACTGTGAGGAGGAGGAAACTTTGCCTAGTGGCATTTCCAGAGGGCTCCTCTGTGCTCCATTGTAGGCAAGGCCAGACTGATCAGTGCTATATTCCCTCCTTAGGTGATGCTGGGAGGTTCCTGGTTACAGACACTGGAGGCTAGTGGCTGTGTCTTATCTCAGGAGCTGTTTCAACAGCGGGCCCAGGAAGCAGCTGCTACACAATTAGGACTGAAGGAGATGCCGAGCCACTGCTTGGTCCATCTACACAAGGTAAGTTGGGATAAACTTCCCTCAGCTCTCCACTGAAGGCCTTGAAGACAGAGACTGGAACATTTGTCACTGTATGTCAGCCAAGGCCTAGGACATCAATAATAAACTTTTCCCTGCATCCTCTCCTCTCTTCTCAGAACTGCATTCCCCAGTATACACTAGGTCACTGGCAAAAACTAGGTAAGTTGGGAAAACAGCTGGGCTGAGGAGGGCCAAGGACATCAGACCCCCAGCTAAAACATTCCTTTCATCCTTTCCTTCCAGAGTCAGCTAGGCAATTCCTGACTGCTCACAGGTTGCCCCTGACTCTGGCTGGAGCCTCCTATGAGGGAGTTGCTGTTAATGACTGTATAGAGAGTGGGCGCCAGGCAGCAGTCAGTGTCCTGGGCACAGAACCTAACAGCTGATCCCCAACTCTCATTCATGAAAATAAAAATTGCTGGAGCTTGGCTTGGTCTGGCTGTTCTATCACCTATAGGCATAAGAATGCGGGGCAGCAAAGAGGCAAAGTGTGCCTGGGATGCAGAAAGCAGGAGCAGATGCGAGACAAAGTCCTTTATTAGAAAATATATCAAAATCCCAGCCCCCTGAGCCAGGACCAGAAGAGGGAGCTATTCCAGCATAGGCAGAAAATGCCCAGGGAGGGGCTTCCTTCACCAAACAACTTCCCGGGAACCATAAATAGAATAAATATTCACAGAGGTCCGAGGAGAAGCCAGATCACTCTTCTCTCCATGGAAGAGGGAGGGGCTTGGGGTCCAGCCCTGCTCCTACTCTAGGGGCAGGGACTCCTAGGAATCGTCACATAAAATCATGACATCAAGGATTCACAGTCATAAGCCCTACAGGAGACCCTAGAGAGAGGGACCCCTCAGGTCTACAGGAGCCCAGCTCCAGTCCAGCAGTGAGGGAGAGGCCCCTACCCCCTAGCACGGCACCAGAGTTCAGTTCCCTCACATCCCTCTGAGAACAGTGAGGAGCTGAGGGTGGGGAGAATACAACCCCATGAATTCGGTTTCATGATTAAGGTAGACAGGAAGGAGGAGTCAGTGTGAACCTCGGAGGGCTGTGTGGTTGGCAGTAGATAGAGGCCCAGGCCTGGCTGGGGGCCGGCGTTGCAGCATCTCTTGACGGAAGGCTTGGGAGGAACCAGGTGGGTAACGTGGCCCAGAAGGAGCCCGAGGACCCCGAGGGTCAGTCCCAATGTCTGCTGTGATGTTGGTATAAAGAGGCCCCAGCTCTCGAGCCAGCAACTGGTATGTCAGTGAGTTCATCCCATCTTGCGTCCAGGAATTCTGGGTACGGACCAGGAGGTCAAATCTGAGGGTTAGAGGTTGGAGACTAAGACCCAGAAAGGAACAGCCAGAAATCTAGGGACCTTTAGGATTTTCCTGGCTAGGGGTACAGAACCCTGAGGATCCAGTAACAATTCCCAGGCAGTCCTTCCTTCTTCCTACCTGTGGGGATTTTCCTCATTGCCCTTATCTCCTCGGTGCTTCACCATCTTATAGTGTCCTACAGATGTGGGGGGCCGAGAGATCTTCATCCCAGCCAGGCGCACCCTATGGGAAAAGTGAGGGTATCATGGGGGATCCAGAGTAGAGAAAAGCAAGGAAGGGATTAAATGTTTCTGTACACACAAAAAAACAACTATTACTTAGTAGGCAAAAGAAAAAAAAAGCCCAGGACAGAAGTCAAACAGAAAGAAGGAAATGGCTGAAGAGAATATAAAAGCTGGATGTATCCAAATCCTCAGGGCCCAGTGCCAGTCACCCTAGGGCCTTTAAACAGTTGGCAACCTATTCCCTTGGCTTCCTAAAGGGCTCCTAGGAGCTGCCCTTGCAGTCTAGGAAGGACGCAGAGAGAGGCCATTCTGTCAAAAGAATAAGAGAAGACTGGGAGTTGCTGAGAATCTTAGAATAGTGACTGAGCTACCCCAGCTTCTCTCCCACATCCCCCATGTTAAGAAAAAGGTAGGCCAGGTGCAGTGGCTCACACCTGCAATCCTAGCACTTTTGGATGCCAAGGCAGAAGGATCACTTGAGGCCAGGAGTTCAAGACCAGCCTGGGAAAATAATGGGACCTTGTCTCTAGAGAAAAAGAAAAAAAAAAAAAACGAAAGAAAGAAAAGAAAAGGGTAGAACCAGGTAATCAGGACCTTAAAAGAAACAAACTCCACTTCTGACACACAGAAGCATGGAGTGCAGATGGCCTGGGAAGGAACTAGAAGAATACTTATGTATATTTACAATTCACTGGGTATTTCACACACATACAGAGGATGAGAATTCACAGAGATGTCATCACAGAGGACACAGGGGGAATGGAGGCAATTGGTCCTGCATACCAAGCCCAAATATTCATACCACAGACATGAAATTGGGTCAGCTGAGGCTGAAGGTCAGAATGTTTCACATGCTAAAAATGAGTTGGCCCTGTGCCAATGGCACAGGCCTTTTACAAAGCGATTCTGGGAACATGGAGCAGAGCCCCTCTCTCCTAACCCCATAGGAAGTGGCCTGGCTGGAACCCCAGCAGAAGGCAAGACTAAGCTGTCTCTGGGCCCCTTTCCAGTTCTGGAATCCGACGATACTATTTCCTATTGATCTTATGTCCTCTCCCAAGAACAAACTAACCAGGAGACTGAAGGATGACACAATGGGCAGTAGCATGCAAGCCTGACCTGGGTATCCTAAAAAGACTAAGGGAAAGGAATGGGCTCAGTGCAGGACCAGGGAGCTAAAGGTTAGTGTTGAAGGGCTATGGTCAAAGGTGGTCTTAGAGGACAGGGATCCAGACTGGGGTCAGGAGGGAGGAAGTGGCAGGAAGTCTGACCTGGTAGCAATGTCGTCATCCTCACCACCCCAGCCCCAGTATTCATTGGGGAAGCCATTCATCTTCAGGTACTGGTCAGGAGTAAGTGCTGAGACTCCTCCGAAGTACTGGGGGTACGGGAGGCTAGGGAGAGAAAGATCCTTGCATACCCCGAGTCTTCTGGGGACACATCCCCAACCACAATCCGCTTGGCTCTCCTCCTTCCACAGGATAGTAGGCTTCCCTGTTTCCCAGTACCCTTCCATGCCCTCTACCTGTATCCAAACTTGTTCATAGCAACGGCAACATGGCGGGGTCCCCGGGGGTCACACACATACAGATTGTGGTCATTTTCTGGCAAGAGGTCCACATCGTGCAAGAACAGGCAGTCCCACTCTTCATCACGCAGGGCCTCTCGCACCCCAACGTTCAACAGTTTTGCCCTGTTAAATGTTCCATTTCCAGCCTGGAAGATAATGGAGGGGAACCAGACTATGTCTGTAGGTGGCACGGAGAAAAGGGGGCTAAAGAATAAAAGTGAAGGCCGGGCGCGGTGGCTTACGCCTGTAATCCCAGTACTTTGGGAGGCCAAGGCAGGCAGATCACAAGGTCAGGAGATTGAGACCACCCTGGCTAACACGGTAAAACCCCATCTCTACTAAAAATACAAAAAATTAGCTGGGCATGGTGGTACACGCCTGTAGTCCCAGCTACTCAGGAGGCTGAGGCAGGAGAATGGCGTAAAACCCGGGAGGTGGAGCTTGCAGTCAGCCGAGATCGTGCCACTGCACTCCAGCCTGGGGGACAGAGTGAGATCTCAAAAAAAAAAAAAAAGAAAAAAAAGAATAAAAGTGAAAAGAGGGAAATCAAAGTGGGGTGGAGGGCAAGGAGAATGAAAAAGAAAGACTATCTTTTTCATTTTTCCACTTAGTCATTTGACAAATCTTGCTTGTGTATTGGTATGGACCTGATACTTAAGATGCTGCTGTCTAACATTTAATCCTGACAATTGGCAACCAACAATGGTGTGGTGTGGAACAGATGGTATATTAGTTATCTTATGCTCTTTCCTCATGTTAGATGTTTAAGTATCTTGCTCAGAGTCATACATGTAACAAGTGACGGAACTAGAATTTTAGCCCTATTGTGTCCAATTCCAACTCTGCACAAGCCATTCAATAAAGAAAAAATCACAGGAGAGTGTAGGACAGTGGGAATAACCTAAGCAGATTAAGGAAAAGTATGGGACTAACAAAGTTGGAAGAGCAGTGCCGGGTGCTTCTCCACACTCTAACAGTCTGGCCTTCTTAAAATTATTCTAGGGACCCATTTAGATGAAAGTGAAGTGGCATGTGCTTGAGGCTTCCTTAGAAGAAAGTCAGTCAAAATGAGGTGGAGATTGGGGGTACCTGGTGGATGACATAGATGCCATAAGCAAGCTGCTGGCGCTGCAAGAAGGGGTGCAGGTGGTAGAGCAGCAGGCGCAGGTGGTGCTCCCGGGCACGATGAGGCACAATGATGGCTGTTCGGGAGCGGGGCTCACAACCTGCAGGGCGGTACCGGCCCCCTGGTTCTACCCGGGGATTCCGCTCCACAATCTCTGCCAGTGATGGCACTGGGCTAAAGGACACCGACACAGGACCCACTGTTGGGAAGGAATGGCAAGTAGAGGGATCAGAGGGGCAAAGAGAAAAGAATCAAACTAGGGTTTGGGAATACCTCTGACACTGGCAGTCTGGTTCTGGGGCTTAGTTCTCAGGGCTCACTCAGAAATCTCGCATGCCTTGGATTACCTATCACTGGGACAGCTCTACAAAGGCTGGAAGGTGCAGGATCCTTACCTAGCCTTCTCTTCTTATTTTAGGGTTGCCTAACTTTCTCCTGTCTTACAGGGTTGGAAGCTATAGTTGAAGGCTGGAGAGACTTGCAACTAATTAAACCAGGGCTCATCTACAAGGAAAACAATTCCTAGCCTGGGGCAGGAAGAGCCCATAAAGGGACAAGCAGTAGAAAGTGGAAACCCAATAGTCTAATCTAAACTCCCAATTCAGAGTCTACTCTATCTCAACCTCAGCCCTCTATCTCAACCTCAGCCTACCTGCAGCCTCAGCCTACCTATCCTCTTCTAAGTTCCACTTCTGCCACTCCATGCCTCCCTATCCCCAAGCCTCCCTGTCTCCGCACCTTGTCCTTCCTTTCACCACCTCCTTCCTCCTGCACTTACCTAAGAGAGGAGATCGTTCTGGACAGTAGGGCAGACCTTGAGGAGCTGGAGGACCCCCTGGGGCCCCAGGCAGGTGACTGAGGTTACTGTAGACATCACGAGGGTGAGAATAGTCAAATGTCGGTCCCTGATCTCGGCCAAATAGGGCACTGAGACTTCGGAAGCCCCCCAGTGACAGGTACATCATGACAGCCAGCTGGGAGCCCACAAGCAGGGCCAGCGTGCAAGGCCGCTCCAGCAGCCTCCGCAACATCCTGGGGGTGAGATCTAGGGAGGGAGAGGGGAATTCTGGGGGTAGGCAGGAAGAGAGCAAGCCAGCAGAGAGGTCAGTAGGTAGGGTTGAAGGTGATGCCAGGGGTAAAGAGGAAAAAGCAGAAAACAAAGTCACAGAAGGGAGCACACAGGTGCACAGTCACGCAAGGAAACAGAATGTAACCACCAGTAACCCTACCACCTGTCACTTCAGCCCAAGTTTCGCTCTCCTCTACCTCCCCCCAAACCACTCCCACCATCTACTGTCAGTCCTCACCCCCAAAAATGTTTACATCATTCAAATCTCATGTTCATTTCAGAAAGTCTCTAGAGAACCCCCTCTTCCAATTTTAGAAGGGAAGAGATAGACTCACCTAGGTTCAAGCTGTCTTCTTAGGGATCATGGGGGCTCCAGGGGGTCCCGGGGGGACAGAGATGTGAGGCATTATCTAAAATTGGAAATGTCACAGAGGGCAGAGAAAGGCTCCATCCAGCACTCCAGCAGCGAATCTGGGACCAGCTGGAACAGAAGTGGTAAAGGATAACTAGCTACCTGCACCGCCAGAGATCAGGATCAGGGTGAAGCTGGTTTCCCAGCAGGCGAAGTGAAGGAAAGTGGTTGGAAAGGAAGAGGAGGAGCAGGAGATGGTAGGTCCCTCGCCTATCTCCCGTGCTACCCTGGAATGATAAGTGTCAGGTTCATACTTAACCACCCCCGTACCCCCACCCCAACAGGACAGATTGGGGAGTGGGGACAGGACAGCTAATGGAAACATTGTTTTCCCCCAGACCAAGAACCAGTTGAAGTGGCGACAGAGTCATGACAGGACCGTGGAGTGGCCTAAGGAGTACCCAGGGCGAAGTAGGAAACAGGCTCCTTCTATTCTTCATGTGCCTGGGTGCCAACTCCTCAGGTGCAGGGACCGTGACCACCTGGGGGCTGTAAGCGAACAGCCCCGGAGCTCGGCGGAGAGTAGGGTGGGGGTGGCGTCCTCTACCTTTTCTACCTTTCCCCTCTTCTAGCGGGGGTGGGGAGGAGGGTTACTGCTGAAGAGAAAGGGAGAGGGAGAGCAGGGGCAGAGACAGTCAGGGGTGGCTGGAAGGGCTCACCTAGAGGGGCGTGGTCCGCGCTGTGGAGGGGGTTAAAACCCAGCTCTTTCGGAGCACGCCCATCCTATCCCAGTCTCTTGCTTTTGCCCTACCTACTAGCAACGTGAGCCCGCCCGGCCCCCGTCCATACTTCCACCTAGGACCCCGTCCCTGCTCAGGCTCGTCTCCAGGCGTTACCCAAAACTTCTCACTCTCTCGAATGCCCAAACCTTTATCCCAGGCCTCCGTGTCGACGCATTCCCAGCGCACATACCTGGTCTTTTGCTGCCTGTCGTCACCGCCACCCCAACAGCCGGGCAGGCATCGCTGCCGCCATCTTGGAAGCGGGCGCTGCGGGGGCGGGGTCTCGCGTCATGGGGCGGGGCCTCGGGGCGGAGCCACCCGGGCTGACTAGGCACCCGGTCCCAGACACCGCGTGGCCGGGGGCTTGTGAGGGAGCAGCGCCTGAGCCTGCCCACCTGGAACGCGTTGTAGGCGACCCCCTGGGGAGCGGGTGCTAGGGTTCAACTCCACTACGCAGACTGCTAGTGGGATTTCATTTCCTGCCCCTCAGATTTGTAAAAGCAGAAGCTCAAGCCCTTCATTTTCCTCTGGGCCGAGACTGATCAGGAGGCTAGTGAGCCGGTTTCTGGTGCTCCGCTGACCTCGTTATCACCTTGTGGTTGGCTGAGCCCTCTCCCAGTGTGTCAGTGGCACCCCCTGCAGCCTAGTGCCACTTAGTATCAATTGTTCCTTACGCAGGCTACAGCGTTGCGGACCGCTCTAGCGCATTTTTGTATTCCCGTTGTATCCCGCAGGCCTGGAAATAAAAAGCGATTAGTTAATAAAACAATGAAACATTGAAGGTGGAGGGAAAGACAGCGTCTTCTTTAAAGTCAAATGATGTTTCCCCAGATATTAGAGTAAAATGGATGCTCCGTTAACATGCAATATGTTTACCTTACGACAAACACTACCGCCTAGCATATTGTGTTCCTTAGAAGCAGATATTCACGCTGAAGAAGCAATCAGAGACTTGAATAACTCACAGAATCTGCCCCAAAAAGCCCATGGTCTTGTGTATCTTGTATGGAGGGAGGGATGTAAACAATATAACGTGATAAATATGCTGGCCTAGAAGTGGCAACTCATTCATACGTGGAGATTCTAGAAAGGCTTCCCAGAAGTGATGGCTAATGGGAAACCTGAAGGACTTGTCTATAGCATATCCTTCTGCTTTAAAGATTCTGTTTTCATGGGAGTTATTTTACAATTCATGTAGGTAACTGATCTGTATGCAAATTCTATCCTGTCTGGTAGAGGTTCAATTAACCTGCTGTTCCCCACACTGTGGGGAAAAAAAGCAGTTTTGGCGTCCATTTTCATATTCATTTCTGTTTTCCTGATCCATAAATATGTCCGTTCTCTAGATTTTCTCTTGTATTAATTATAACATCTGCTAGTTTCTTCATGAGTTAGGTAAAATAAACACGTGTTCATTCTTTTCTTAATTTCTTTTTTCTTTACTTTTTTTTTTTTTTTTTGAGAGGGAGTCTCCCTCCTGTTGCCCAGGCTGGAGTGCAATGGCGCTATCTCGGCTCACCGCGACCTCTGCCTCAGCCTTCCTCAGTAGCTGGGATTACAGGCATGCGCCACCACACCCGGCTAATTTTGTATGTTTAGTAGAGACAGGGTTTCTCTGTGTTGGTCAGGCTGGTCTGGAACTCCCGACCTCAGGTGATCCACCCGCCTCGGCCTCCCAAAGTGCTGGGATTACAGGTGTGAGCCACCACGCCCGGCCTTTTTGTTTACTTTTTTTTTTTTAATTTAAAAATTTGTGACAGGGTCTCACTCTGTCACCCAGGCTGGAGTGCAGTGGCAAGATCACAGCTCACTGCAGCCTCAACCTCCTAGGCTCAAGGGATCCTCCCACCTCAGACCCGTGAGTAGCTGAGTAGCTGGGACAACAGCACATCCAGCTAATTGTATTTTTTGAAGACACAGAGTTTTACCATGTTGTCCAGGTTGGTCTCCAACTCCTGGGCTCAAACTATCTGCCCACCTTGGCTTCCCAAAGCGCTGGGATTACAGGCGTCAGCCACAGCATCAGGCCTCTTAATTTTATTTCTCTTTTTCCTTCCTTCCTTCCTTCCTTCCTTCCTTCCTTCCTTCCTTCCTTCCTTCCTTCCCTTCTTCCTCCCTCCCTCCCTTCGTCCCTTCCCTTCCCTTCCTTCTTTTTTTTCCTTTCCTTTCCTTTTTTTTTTTCCCAAATACCCAGTCTTCAAGGAGAATTTTTTTTTTT
Source organism: Homo sapiens (assembly GCF_000001405.40). Classification (NCBI taxonomy): domain Eukaryota; kingdom Metazoa; phylum Chordata; class Mammalia; order Primates; family Hominidae; genus Homo; species Homo sapiens. The sequence continues at coordinate 161,179,451 of NC_000001.11, forward strand.
TTGAGTCGGAGTCTTGCTTTGTCACCCAAGCTAGAGTGCAGTGGTGCGATCTGAGCTCACTGCAACCTCCGCCTCCCGGATTCAAGCGATTCTCCTGCCTCAGCCTACCGAGTAGTTGGGATTACAGGCTCCCGCCACCAAACCCGGCTAATTTTTGTATTTTAGTGGAGACGGGATTTCACCATCTTGGCCAGGCTGGTCTTGAACTCCTGACCTCATGATCCACCTACCTTAGCCTCCCAAAGTGCTGGGATTATAGGCATGAGCCACTGCACCCGGCCTATGTGTTCATTTTTATGTTGGTATTGACAAAGACCATCTCCTTAACCAGACTTTCAACAGGCTCCTCTAAGGCCTCTTTTTGGCTAGGTCTTGTCCTTATGCGCTGTCTTGGGCCTGCCTAGCCAGTTATAGCAAGAATCCTGCCAAGTCAGTTTAGGGATAATTCCCTGCCCGCTTCTCCACCCTTGATAGCTGATCTATCTGATCACCCTCACCTGCCTTCAGGAAAGATCCTGTTAGGTCAGTTTAGCAAGAATCCTCCTAGCCTTAATGTAATTTTCCTTCCATCCACTGACTCTGATTCTGCTCATTGACTATTGCAATAGTCTTCCTTACTGTTTTAACAAGTGTCAGAATAATTTTTTCTTCAACAGTTTAAGGGTCATAATTTTACCTTCTTCTGAAAATTACCTTTTTTTTTTTTTTTTGAGACAGAGTTTTGCTCTTGTTGCCCAGGCTGGAGTGCAATGGCACCATCTTGGCTCACCGCAACCTCCGCCTCCTGGGTTCAGCCAATTCTCCTGCCTCAGCCTCCCGAGTAGCTGGGATTACAGGCATGCGCCACCACACCCAGCTAGAAAATTAACTTTTAACAGATGAATAGTGTTCCAAGCAGAGGAAACCATAAGTGCAAAATTCTGGAAATGAGGAAGAAATTAGGGAGTTTGGGAAATTAAAACTGGGCCCGCAAGGCTGGACAGTAGAGTGAAGGGAATGTTGAGATATGAGACTGGAGAGGTAAGCAAATGCCAAATAATGAAGGACTCCACAAACCATGCTAAAAGAGTTTGGGTCTTATCCAGAGGGCAAGAAGAAGGCATTAAAGTGCTGTAAATAGAGAGTGCTATGATCAGAACTTTAGGAAATGTGGAGCACTAATTGAAGTAGTCAAGACCAGAGGCAGGGAGACTATTTAGAAAGTTACTGCAGAAATCCAGGAATAAGATGAAGCTCATGCAGAATAGGTAATACCCGTGGGACTGGAGGGAAGAAAGTAACTTTGGGAACTTTCAGGAGGCAAACAGGACTTGAAGATTGACTGGATGTGCCAAGTTAGGGAATTGGACTCCAAGAGGACACCCAGATTTCTAATTTGGACCACTGGGTGGTGCCATTTAATGAGAAACAAAACTTAGGAAGAAGCACATTTTGGGGAAGGGGTAGAGATGACAAACTTTAGACATAATGAGTTTGAGGTGCCTGTGAAGGCTCAAAATGAGATAATGCTGGGTTTAAATACAATACCAACTTTGAAACCCATTGGCTGTGTACTGAGCAATACACTCTGGATTTCATCTGTAAAATGAACTCTAGCCTTAAGGGGTTTTGTGATCATTAGAACTATGGAAAACTTTTGAGCACAAATAGAAGCCAAGACAAAGCCTTGATTTTTTTTATTATAATTTTTTTTTTTTGAAGAGACAGTCTCACTATGTTGCCCAGGCTGGTCTCAAACTCCTGGGTTGAAGTGATCCTCCCGCTATGGCCTCCCAAACTTGATTTTTTGTTTGTTTTACTTTTATTATTTTTTATTATTATTTTTAGCTTCTGATATAGTATAACTCAAAAAGCCTTGATTTTTTAAGAATATCACTGTGTAGTGGAAAAGACAGACTTAAACAGATCATTGAAATGTGGTTCTTGGCCTGGCATCATGGCTCACGCCTGTAATCCCAACACTTTGGGAGGCCCAGTTAGGTGGATCAGTTGAGTTCAGGAGTTTAAGATCAGCCTGGGCAATATGGCAAAATTCCCTTCCAAGAAAAATACAAAAATTAGCTGGGCATGGTGGCTCACAGCTGTAGTTCCAGCTACTCACAGGGCTGAGGTGGGAGGATCACTTGAACCCAGGAGTTCAAGGCTGCAGTGAGCTGATTGCACCACTGCACTACTCCAGCCTGAGTGATAGAGCCAGATTCTGTCTCAAAGAAGAAAGAAAGAGAGAAAGAGAGAAAATGTGGTTCTCCCAGAGGACCCTTCCTTTGAGCCTCTGTTCCTCCATCGCGTTCTGTCTTACAGGACTGACCCTCACTTTCTTTTTTTTTTTTGGGATGGAGTTTCTCTCTTGTTGCCCAGGCTGGAGTGCAACAGCATGATCTGCAGCTCACCGCAACCTCCGCCTCCTGGGTTCAAGTAACTCTCCTGCCTCAGCCTCCCAAGTAGCTGGGATTACAGGCATGTGCTACCACGCCCGGCTAATTTTGTATTTTTAGTAGAGACGGGGTTTCTCCATGTTGGTCAGGGTGGTCTCAAACTGCTAACCTCAGGTGATCTGCCCACCTCGGCCTCCCAAAGTGGTGGGATTACAGGCTTGAGCCACCGCGCCCAGCCTTCACTTTCTGTCTCCTTCTGTATCTAACCATCTTCTTTTTTAGAGTCAGAGACTCACTCTGTCACCCAGGCTGGAGTGCAATGGCATGATTATAGCCCACTGCAGCCTTGAACTCCTGGGTTAAGGTGATCCTCCTGCCTCAACCTCTCAAGTAGCTAGGACTACAGGTGTGTACCTAGCTAATTTAGTTTTTTGTGGAGACGGAGTCTCACTCTGTTGCCCAGGCTGGTCTTGAATTCCTGGCCTCAAGTGAGCCTCCTGTGAGCCACCACAAAGGCCTATCTACTATCTTCTGGCCATTCCTTTACATTAATTTGTAAGCTCCCTGTTTTCAAGAACCTTCCCTTCTGCTCTGTCTCACCCTGGCCACACCCTGGACTTAGTCATCACCTAGAACTGTTATGTTTCTGAAAACTTAAATTTTAACATGCTGGTTTCCACCACAACATCCTGTCTTTCAATATTCTGAATAAATCCTGGGGCCCACACTGGCCCAGTCATGGCACATAACACAATAGAAGAAACCCAGTTTAGTAATCAAAAACTAATTTAAATCTCTACTTAATTTCTCAAGGAAATATCAGAGACAGGGGAAAGGGGCAGTGGATTAGGAGCACATTTTAATGGACAGCCCAATGTCTTTAAAATCCTCTGTCTCGGCCGAGCGCAGAGACTCATGCCTGTAATCCCAGCGCTTTGGGAGGCCGAGGCAGGTGGATCACCTGAGGTCAGGAGTTCGAGACCAGCCTGACCAACATGGTGAAACCCTGTCTCTACTAAAAATACAAAAATTAGCCGGGTGTGGCAGCACACGCTTGTAATTCCAGCTACTCGGGAGGCTGAGACAAGAGAATTGCTTAAACCTGGGAGGTGGAGATGGCGCCACTGCACTCCAGCCTGGAAAACAGAGGGAGACTCTGTTGCAAAAAAAAAAAATATTCCTCTCCCTCTTCCATTCAACATTTTCTACTTGGATGTTATTTCTTCCCAAAACTATCCCTTCCAACTCCCCTCAGCCTACACTGTTGTTCCAGATCTCTCTCCCACTCAGCTCTTTCTCTTACCATATTATCCTCCAGTTTCTGGTTTTCTGGTCTGTTCTCTTTACCTCTTTACCTCACTTTGGTTTTGTATAACATAGAAGAACCTGAACCTGACCTAGCAAACAGAAATCATGCCCCCCTGACACCCTCCCACCATCCATGGGTTCCCTGCAGTCTTACAGCTTTCTTTTTTTTTTTTGGAAACAAGTTCTCATTCTGTCACCCAGGCTGGAGTGCAGTGGCACAATCACAGCTCACTGCAGCCTCCACCTCCTGAGTTTAAGTGATCCTCCCACCTCAGCCCCCACCCCATTCCCTGAGTAGCTAGGACTACAGGCGTGCACAAGCACACCTGGCTAATTTTTTTTTTTTTTTTTTTTTTTTTTTTTTTTTTGAGATGGAGTCTTGCTCTGATGCCCAGGCTAGAGTGCAGTGGCATGATCTTGGCTCACTGCCACCTTTGTCTCCCAGGTTCAAGCAATTCTTCTGCCTCAGCCTCCCAAGTAGCTGGGATTACAGGTGCCCACCACCGTGCTGGCTAAATTTTGTATTTTTAGTAGCTATGGGGTTTCATCTTCTATCTACTAGGCTGGTCTCGAACTCCTGGTCTGGTCTCGAACCAGAGACCAGATTCTCAAACCAGGCTGATCTTGAACTCTGACCTCATGATCCACCTGCCTTGGCCTCCCAAAGTGCTGGGATTACAGGCATGAGCCACTGCACCCTGCCTTTTTTTGTATTTTTTGTAGAGACCAGGTTTCATCATGTCCCCCAGGCTGGTCTTGAACTTCTGGCCTCAAGTGATCCTCCCACCTTGGCCTCCCAAAGTGCTGGGACTACAGGTATGGGTCACTGTGCCCAGCCTTACTGCTCACTTCTAGAAGGAGAGACAGGCACCTCCTCCAGAAACACTTCTGTGGCCTCATATTCTGTGCTAGGTGCCCCTCCTTGATCATGGCACCTATCACAGAAGTCTGAAATTTTTGTCCTACTTGACTGTCTCAGCCACCAGATTGTGAACTCTGAGGATTAGGACCATGTCTTTCCTTTTATCATCCCTTCAATGTAAGCCAGAACTTTTTGCACAAATTTACAAAATGGCCCTTAGATCTGACCTAGACAGTTCCTTGATATAACTGTTTTCTCACGTGAATGCAGGGGTTAGAAGTCAGGGAGCAGACAAAGGAAGAGATATAAGGAAAGGAGAACTGGCCTTTATTGACCACTTACTAAAAGCCAGACACAGTGCCAAACATTTACATCATCATATTCTTAAGTCTGGACCTCTCTATAAGGCAGGTAATAGTACAAACGTTTTGTAGGTAAGGAAACTGAGGTTTACAGAGATCAAGTAATTAAGGTTGCATCATTACAGGTAAGTAAGTAGCAAGGCTTAGATTCAATTTGACTCCAAAAATCCATGTCCTTTCCACATGCTGTGGAATGTTTACAATGTTTACAACCCATTGGCTTATTTATTGAACAAATAAATGGGATAAACAGTCAATTCTCAATGCACGATTAGGTCAATTAATATCTTTTACTCTTCAGATCCATTTTCAGGTGAAAATTCTTACATTTTCCGCTCCCTACTACTTATTTGCATCTATATTATCAACAGAATGTGTTGGCCAGGCACCCTGGCTCACACCTGTAATCCCAGCACTTTGGGAGGCCGAGGCAGGCAGATCACTTGAGCCCGGGAGTTCAAGACCAGCCTGGGCAACATGGAAAACCCCGTCTCTATACTAAAAATACAAAAAATTAGCTGGGCATGGTGGTGCATACCTGTAATCCCAGCTACTTGGCAGGCTGAGGCAGGAGAATCACTTGAACCTGGGAGGTGGAGGTTGCAGTGAGCCGAGATCACGCCATTGCACTCTAGCCTGGGTGACAGAATGAGAATCTGTCTTAAGAAAAAAAAGAAGAAAAAGAAAGGCAGGGGGGGAGGGGGGAGGGATAGCATTAGGAGATATACCTAATGCTAAATGATGAGTTAATGGGTGCAGCACACCAGCATGGCACATGTATACATATGTAACTAACCTGCACATTGTGCACATGTACCCTAAAACTTAAAGTATAATAATAATAAAATAAATTTTAAAAAAAAGAGAGAATGTGCTAGTGTGTCTCTGTGAAGTTGGATGTGTGTTATGTCAATGTGTCACTGTTGGTGTGGGTGTATGGTGCCTGTTTGTTGTGCCAAGACTGTGAGGGATACTTAATCTACTTCCTCCCCTCCCTTTCCTTCCTAATGCTACTTAAGTACCCTGGGTCTGTCCCCATGTAAGATCCTGCCTGGGGAAGTTGTTCAGTGTTGTTGCTCCCCCGCCTTCCCTGACCCCCCTCTTTCTGAGCATTTTTAGCACTCGTGGTTTCCTCCAGCTGTCATCTGGTTTCTCGTGGTGCCAATGATTTTGGCTTGGCCCCAGCAACAGTCAATGGGGAAGGTACTCAATTGGTTCAGAAACATCCTCTCAGCCAATAAAATGTTAATACATTGAAATCCACTTTCTTCTCCCTTCCTCCCCCACAAGCCCTGACCAATGAGATGCTAGTTTTGTCACTTACTGCCAATCTGGTATTTTAGAAAACAAAATACTGTAATACTGTATGAAGATTACAGAAATGAGACTAGAGATGGAAGAGAAGTGTAAATGCCGATTCCACAGCACACTCCAGGAACCCTGGCTGTCCCACCTCCATTACAAAAATAGTGGCTGGACAAATGTCCAGATTTCCTCTGTTTGAACCACAGAAGCAGAGAATCTCAGGGGCAGAAGGGACTTTAGGAAATTGGCCCAACTTATTGCTTCAACTTCCTCCCCCACCTCAAACACATACTCATGCACAACACTTGCCATCTCATAAAATGGTTGTCCAAACTCTTCTTGAACTTCTCTAGGGACAGGGTTCTAATCCCTTGTCATTCAATGCCTTTTCTTTTTCCATTTCCTCTTTTCATCTCCAGGACCAGATACTTGAATTGTTTCAGTGCCTCCTTACTTCCTGTTATTACTGTTTCTGTTCCTCCTTATATATCTACACCCCAGCTCAGGCCCACGAGGGCAATAAGTAGGCAGATGGGAAACAGAGCTCACTGTGGCTCTTACAGGGAGATATGTGCCCCCCCACAATCCCATCCCTAGCAAGAACTTGTTGGACTCCTATTAGGTAAAGCCTACCTACAATCTGGGTCTTGGAGGTGTGGTAAGGCAGAGACCATTCCAGAAAAGGGTCAGGCCTTGCCTGGGATTGAGGGCTGAGATGCCCATCACTTCTCTTCGATGAGCTAGCTCTCTCTGCCCCTCTTTCACTCTAGCTCCTGCTTACTTACCCAATCACAGAGGTGGCCCCTAAGCTCAGTCTCATTTTCAGAAAAACTTACTTATGCCAGTGAGAACCCTACTTGGTGAGCGAAGGGCTTTCTCTTAAAATAACAGGCAGAAAAGTGATTTAAAAGTGAATCTACACCTGTAGTCCAAGCTACTTAGGAGGCTGAGGTGGGAGGATTACTCGAGCCCAGGAGTTCAAGGCTGTAGTAAGTTATGATGGTGCCACTGCACTCCAACCTGAGCCACAGAGCGAGACTGTCTCAAAAGAAAAGGCCAGGCATGGTGGTTCACACTGGTCATCCCAACACTTTGGGAGATCGAGGTGGGAAGATCCCTTGAGGCCAGGAGTTCAAGACCAGCCTGGGCAATATGATAAGACCTCGTCTCAACCAAAAAAAAAAGTAAATTAGCTGGGTGTGGTAGCTCGTGCCTGTAGTCCTAGGTACTCAGGAGGTTGAGGTGGGAGGGTTGCTTGAGCCTGAGAGTTCAAGGCTGCAGTGAGCCAAGATCACACCACTGTACTCCTGCCTGGTCAACAAAGGGAGACCCTATCTCAAAAAAAAAAGTGTATCTCCATGAACATTAAAGGAAAGTGAGAAGGGCTATCATGATGACCTGTTCTCCAGGGCCCAGCCCAAGGTAGCCCTCCATAACCCTCATAGTCCATTCAGTTCAGGGCTCATTAGGCTCTTATCTTCTAGTCCCTTTTACTGTCCCATTGCTTCTGTTTGCGGGGAAGGTGGAGTGGGAGCAGTATACAACCTCCCCTGCCCAGAATGCAGTGTGAACCCCTTTAGGACAGTCGTATATATTGTTTGTATTTGTACCTTACATCTACTTATCACAGAACTCTGCTCATTGTACCATCAACTCATAGTATCAAGGTCCATAAACATACTATCTGTGGTCTCATTTTGCAAACTAGATGAAACGAGTAAAGATCACTATTGTCTTGTCTCCATCTTCTTCAGCCTGGTTAGTAGGAGGACCACAGGAAGGGCCAGGGGGCCAAGCCTAGCAGGGAGAACCGTGTTTACTGGAGAGAAGAGAGTGTGGGCAGTCTTTTCTCATTGCTGCAGAGGAAGCAGGCGCTGTGCTGGCTGGTGTAGAGTACAGGGTGCTGTATAAGGCACTGCCTGGTACAGAACTTGATTAGCAAAGCCCAGATCCAGTAAGCATAGCACATATAACCACTACAACCTCCATGGCCTGCCTCAACCCCATAGTCCCAGCTTCACATTCCAAGCAGTATTTGGCATCCCAGCTAGGGGCTGCTATGGCAGAGTGAAGTGCCTTTGGTTCCCCCATTCTTCACTCTTCCACCTCAACCTCAGGGTCTTCTTTACCTATAGTTTCTCCCACAACCCCACATCCAGTACCTTCCCCAATCCCTAGCAGTCCTGCGTCTGCCTCTCAAAACTCCAAATTCTTGCAGGGTCTACCTACCACCCTTGCCCATCCCTGTTCCATCCATGACACATAGAGGACTGCCCAAGTTCTTTTTTTTTTTTTTTTTTTTTTTGAGATGGAGTCTCACTCTATCGCCCAGACTGGAGTGCAATGGCGCAATTTCGGCTCACTGCAACCTCCACCTCCCAGGTTCAAGCGATCCTCCTGCCTCAGCCTCATGAGTAGCTGGGACTATAGGCGCTTGCCACCACACCTGGCTAATTTTTTGTATTTTTTTTTTAGTAGAGATGGGGTTTCACCATGTTGGCCTGGCTGGTTTTGAACCTCAGCCTCCCAAAGTGCTGAGATTACAGGTGTGAGCCACCATGCCTGGCCCTTTTTTTTTTTTTTTTTTTTTTTTTGAGTTGGTGTTTTGGTCTCTCACCCAGGCTGGAGTATAGTGGCATGATTGTAGCTCACCATAGCCTCGAAATCGTGGGCTCAAGCAGTCCTCCTATTTTAGCCTCCCAAGTAGCTGGGACTACAGGTGCCACCACGCCCGGCTAATTTTTCAATCTTTTTTTTTTTTGGTAGAGATGGAATCTTTCTATGTTGCCCAGGTTGGTCCCAACCTCCTGGCCTCAAGCAATCCTCCTGCCAAAGTACTGGGATTACAGGTGTGAACCATCTCATCCAGCCCAAAATTCTTTCTCAAGCAAAGGCGCCTTGCCCAGAGGGGAAAATGCAGATGTTTTATTCCCTCCCTCTCCTCAGGCATCAGGTATTCTGCCATTTTGAGGCACCTGGCTCCCTTACCTCAGATCCTTTTCCAGGTTATTCTTTTTGCCTTCTTGCCTATTTCCTGCCAAACCATATCCTGTTTTTGTTTTTGTTTTTGTATCGAGACGAGTCTCACTCTGTCTCCCAGGCTGGAGTGCAGTGGCGCAATCTCGACTCACTGTAAGCTCTGCCTCCCGGGTGCAAGTCATTCTCCTGCCTCAGTCTCCCAAGTAGCTGGGACTATAGGCACCTGTCACCATGCCCGGCTAATATATATATATATATATATATATATTTTGTATTTTTAGTAGACACGGGGTTTCACTGTGGTAGCCAGGATGGTCGGTCTCAATCTCCTGACCTCGTGATCCGCCCATTTCGGCCTCCCAAAGTGCTGGGATTACAGGCATGAGCCACCGTGCCCGATTGTTTTTGTTTTATGAAATTTTATTCTAATCTCACATCTTCTAGGCATTCTGCTGGGTTTACACTGGCAGATTCTGGAGACTCCGTTCCATCTTCAGGTAGTCATAGGGGTAACCTCTCACATGGCCATGACTATAACCTTTACTATTTTGAAAATATTCTAGCATTTGTTCCCAGAACAACTCTGTGGGAGTAGATACTGTTAGTCCCATATGAGCAATCTAAGGCTCAGCATCAGTGACTTACCCAACACCACCCAGCTAATAAGACGCCGAGCCCCAAATTGAATCCAGACCCGCTGGCTCCCACTCCAGTGCTCTTTCTACTGTTGTGAAACCCAGACCCCTCAACTATCACCCTTATTACTAAGCACTCATTTGTGTTGATGCAGTTGTTCTTGTTATTTGTTCTTGTTATCCTGCACCTTCATGTTCTTGTCAATTGTATTTGTAGCCACGTGCTTACTATGTTTCCTTCCTGTGATTGGGAACTTCCAGAGGTGAGGGATGGAATTTTCCTTTCTCTGTTGGTCCCTCAGAACCCAGGATAGGGGTCTGCCAACCAAAGGAACGGACCCTGAGGATAAAGGCAGGCACCATGGTTGTGGATCTTTGCCACCTTCAAGTGCATATGGAGAGTGGATGTGGACAGAAATTTGATAACAGTAAGTAACAGCAGCTGCTATTTGTTGAGCACTTACTAGATGCTGAGTGTTATGCTAGTTCTTTATTTACATTATTTAATCCTCACAACAAACTTCTAAGGGAGGTATTATTATTGGCAAATGAGAAATCTAATGCTCAGAGACATGGAGTTAGGATGCAACCACATCTGTCTGACTCCAAAAGGATCACATAAATAGTAGAATTCAATTTAAAAAATATGTACCGGGCGTGGTGGCTCACACCTGTAATCCCAGCACTTTGGGAGGCCGAGGCAGGTCGATTACCTGAGGTCAGGAGTTCAAGAGCAGCCTGGCCAACATGGTGAAACCCTGTCTCTACTAAAAATACAAAAATTAGTTGGGCGTGGCCAGGCACGGTGGCTCACGCCTGTAATCCCAGCACTTTGGGAGATGAAGGCGAGTGGATCACCTAAGGTCAGGAGTTCGAGACCAGCCTGGCCAACATGGTGAAACCCCGTCTCTACTAAAAATACAAAAATTAGCCGGGCGTGGTGGTAGGTGCCTATAATCTCAGCTACTCGGGAGGCTGAGGCAGGAGAATTGCTGGAACCCAGGTGGCGAAGGTTGCAGTGAGCTGAAATCATTCCAGCCCTGGTGACAATAGCGAGACTCTGTCTCCAAACAAAACAAAACAAAAATTAGCCGGGCGTGGTGGCAGGAGCCTGTAATCCCAGCTACTCAGGAGGCTGAGGCATGAGAATCACTTGAACCCGGGAGGCGGAGGATGCAGTGAGCCGAGATTGTGCCATTGCACTCCAGCCTGGGCGACAGAGCGAGATTCTGTCTCAAAAAAAAAAAAGAAAGAAAGAAAGAAAAAAAAAAAAAGATAATCCCTCACTCCCTGAAGGCCCACCCTACCCTTGACTTTTCTTTTCCCAAAAAATAAAATTCAGGAAGAGGAAAGCAGAACAGGTTGTACCTCATACATAAGCACACACACATTTTCACACACACACACACGCATACACACACCACTTATACCTATCACCACCACCCTGGATTTCCTAGCCCCAGGGTGAGGGCTATGAGGGGTCAGGGGTCAGGTTCCCCAGGACCCTAGTCCTTGTCCCCTTCCCTGGTGCTAAATAAAAGTGAATAAATACTAAATAAATACAACTGGGGCCCAGGCCCTCCCTGCCTTCCCCCTCCCTCCTGTGACCCGCAGGGCAGAGGGGGCAGTTTAGATGGAGGGCTGTCTGTCAGCCCCTTCCATCCACTAACCCATCACTGCCTCCCAGGGCAGGAAACCAGGGCAGGGCCAGCCTGCGCATTAGGGCAGAGAGGAGGGGCAGGTCTCACGCCCACAGCCCCTCCCCACTGAGTCTTAGCATGAGGCAGCAACAGAAGCTCTCTCTTTCTCCCAGCTAAGTCCGAGGCCCCGGTGCCCAGAAAGGGCAGCCGGGATAGTGAGGTTATTTCCTGCCCGCCCAGGGGCGCCGCCGAAGGATCTCCAGAATCTGTGCTCTTCGGTGCAGCCAGTCCTGGGGAGTGGGGCGTGGCGTTGAAGGGGTCGGCCGGGGCACGAAGAAGCTGTATCGGAGGCGTGTGTCCTGGGGGTTGCCAGCCACTAGGACTTGCAGTGTCAAAGGCTGGGCCAGTGGCCCATGGCCTGACAGTGTCTCTGAGGCTGCAGTGGCCCCGCTGTAGCGCAAGCTGACTGCCCCAGGCAGTACCACATCTGTGGGGGAGGGCATCAGCGTGTATTCACCATTGAGGGCATAGGAGCCATCTGGCAGCTTCAGGGCCAAGTAGATGCTCCGGTGGCCAGGGTTTCCCTGCTGCCGGACAAGAATGTGGGTGGCCCCCGCGGGGATAGTGACCACATTGTTGTATCCGTACCTGTGTGGAAGGAGTAGATGGGGAGCTCAGGATCACCTGAATCCCCTCAGCCTTCTGAGCTGTGCTTATGTGACTGTATGTGTGTACATGTGTGTAGATGGCTGTCACCCAATCCTATGTGAGCTGTTCGGTCTGGATCAGAGCTACATGCACATGTGCCCTACTGCCTCTTATCTCTGGACCTTTACACCCACTGCCCCCTTATTGAGTTGCCCTTCCAAGCCCCACTTCCTTGGTACCTGTCTAATTCCTACCCTCCTTCTGAGACTCAGCTCAGAGGTCACCTCCAAGGAAGCCTTCCCTGATGCCCACAAGGGCACTCACAACACCCTGTTCCAACTTCGGATGAATACATGGGAAACCGCACTGTAGCTGCCTACTCGTCTATCTCCCGCTAGACTGTGAGCTCTTTGAGAGTGGAAACAGTGCTGAGTTCCCCTCTGCATCACTAGGACCCAGAATGTCCAGGAAGGTAGAGGGAGGAATGATGGTGAAAGAACCTGAATTTCCTGAAGGAGCCTGACTGCTTGCTGCAACCAGAACCGTCCCCTCCGCACACCATGCACTTGTCAAACTTCTTCTTGGAGCCAATGATGCGATCACAGCCAGCATGGATGCATCGGCCCTGGACACAGACCGAGGAGCTGTCCGGGGAACAGGGGGTCCCATCTACCACCTGAGGAAAAGAGAAAGAACAATGCTGAAGGTTCCTCCTAAGTCAAAAGGGGTTGGTAAATCAAACGAGACCCATGTCCCATCAGGGAAGCAATGTTGTCGGAAAAGTTGGATGAAGTAGGGGATGTAGATGGGTGAGTGCCGGCCACCATGTGGGTGATAATCATAACAATAATAATTATTATCACATATAACATCTAGCCAGCATTTTCAGAGCACTGAGTATGAATCAGGCAGCATGCTAAGTGTTTTATAAACACAAATGTAAATCTCACCACCACTATTTGAGGTTTTTAGGGATGGAACGTTGAGGTTTAGAAAAGCTAAAGAACCTGTCCAAAAGCCACACAAATGGCAAGCAGAGGAGCCAAGATGGGAAGTGCAGTCTGTCTGGTCCCAGCACCAAGCCCTAAACCTTGATGGCACTGTCCCTAAATGGACGCTAGAGGGCAGCCAGCCTGTAGAAATTCTCAGGTTGGGGCGAAGGGAGCAAAATGCTGCTGGGGCTTGTTTTTCTTTGTGCAGCCTTCAACCCACCACCCTATCACAGAGAGGGAGTGTAGGGACTTCAGTCATCTCCAGGAGGCCTGTCCATTGAGGGACTGGCTGTCCAGGAGCTGAATGAAACCACCACTATAATTTGACAGAGGAGCCCATGGAAGAGGGGTGAAGGACTTGTCCCAAAGGCCACACATTCGATTCTCACCAAATGCAGCATTAGAAGATGGGGAGTCAGAGGAAAAGAAACCACGGGAAATAGGATAGGCTAGAGGGACCTATTGGCCACATATCTGGAGTCTGGGGCTCGTTTTCCTGATACCCATGTACAGATAAGTCTGAGTGGAATCCTGGACTGGGCTGGCGTGGCTGTAGGAACAGGGTTACTTTGGGTGATCTTTGTTATCAGAAAGCAGAGGGAGCACTGCGGGTGTGTGTGACCATAGACAGGGCCTGGGGGTGTCCTGACCCTCACCCGTGGCTCCAGCACATAGTAGTAGCCCAGTGCCTGGGCCTGGCAGGTGAGTTTGCACTGGTCCTGGGGGGCCACGCCTGTGTAGCGAGGAACCCAGTCCATGGGCCCTGGGAAGCTCTTGAAGAGGTCGGTGCGGTGGTTGTAGGCAGCACACTGCTCCTCGCGGAAGGTCAGGGCTGGAGGGGTAAAACAGTCAGAGCCCCTCCTTCCTTCCTCACATCACCCCACATCCCTCCACCCAACCCCTGAGAACTCTAGACAGCACAGCTCTGCTCTTCCCTGCAGACGGCCAAGGACAATTCCCAGAGGTTAAAGGCACTCCCCACAGCAGCAGGGGAATCAACACCCCCTTGGTCTTGCACTCAAGGGACAGTCCTTCCTGCTCTACTGTCCCCTCCCAAGGGCTCCCATCCCCCCTACTCCTCACCTGAGCCAGTTGGGCAGTCCTCAGTGTTGCAGGAGCGGAAGCGGGTACGGCGGCCCTCACAGTACTTGCCACCATTCCGGGGGACAGGCCTCGTGCAGTCTCGGGAGGAGAACTGGACACCACCCCCACAGGTCCGAGAGCAGTCACCCCATGGTCCCCAAGGACCCCAGCCACCAGCCTGTGGAATCTGCAAAGGCACAGAACGGAAGTGGGGCATAAGTGAACTCTCTCCTGGGCTTAAGGCCAGTCCCCACACCCCCGGGCCCTTTACCCCACCCCTGCCCTAGGATCTCACATTGAAGTCCTGGAGCTGGTCCATGTGGAGGCAGCGACCACCCATGCAGGCCTGTGCGGGCCCGCAGGGTGTGCCATCGGCCCAGGGCGAGTGTTTGGTCTGGCACATGGCATGGCCATTGAGGTGGCCAGAGCACCAGAGGGCAGCACAGGGCGGCGGCAGCTGTGGACAATGGCGTGAGTCGGGCCCGAAGGTCAGCTGGCACTGGCGGTCAGCATCATAGTCCTTGCCAGGGAAAGTCACAGGCAGATGCAATGGAGCCTCTGGTTTGTCTAAGAGACAGTGCCCTGGGAAGGGGGTTGGGGCACAAAGTCAGCAACGGGCTGAGGGGAGCATTCAGGATTGCCAGCAGAAAGCTTAGGCTCCCTGGGGCCTGATGGAGCCTAGAAAAACAATCCTAGGACTATAAGAGGATTTAAATTTTTGTTATTTATAATTTTTATTTTAATTACTTACTTTTTTTTTTTTTTCCTGAGACAGAGTCTTGCTCTGTCGCTCAGGCTGCAGTACAGTGGCATGATCATGGCTCACTACAGCCTCAAACTTCTGGGCTCAAGCAAACTTCCTGCCTTGGGCTCCTGAGTAGCTGGGATTACAGGCATGTGCCATGTCCAGCTAATTTTTTGGAATTTTTTGTAGTGATAAGGTCTTGCTATGTTGTCCAGGCTAATCTCAAACTCCTGGTCTCAAGCAATCCTCCCACCTTAGCCTCCCAAAGCATTGGGATTACAGGTGTAAGCCACTGTGCCTAGCCCTGTAAGAGGCTTTAATGGGCAGCTATAGTTTATTGGATGCTTATTATGAGATGAGCATTGGCTAAATGCTTGACCAGCACTATTTAATCATGGCAAATACCTATGAGATAGGTACCGCTATTATACTTATCTGACATATCAACTACAAACACAGAGAGGTGAAGTAACTTACAGTCACACATCTACACCTGCTTAAAGAACAGAATAAGAGGCCAGGCATGGTGGCTTAATGTCTGTAATCCCAGCACTTTGGAAGGCTGAGGTGGGAGGATTGCTTGAGCCTAGGAGTTCGAGACCAGCCTAGGCAACACAGTGAGACCACATCTGTATTTAAAACAAAACAAAACAAAACAAAACAGAGTAAGGATAGGAACTCAATTCTGCCTATTCTAACCAACTATAGAATATTTGAGTTTGCTTCTCATCAACATCTCTGCCTAGTGGCAGTCATCCTGCTATTCTTGCATACCTCACTGCGTGACAAGGTAATCACCTCCTTCATAGCCAGCCCATTCCAGTGGTGGACAGTTCTGGCCCTCAGAAAGTCAGTTCTAATTCTACTGAGCCAAAATTCGCCTCCTCTAGCTATGCTATTTATTCTGGGAGGAAGTGAGAACTACACAAAGACAGCAGCATTTCTCACCCCTTCCCACACTGCAGAGGAAGCACACTTGGGGGAGGCAATTTGGTCCATGCAGAATGCAGCGGAAGTGAGAGTGCCCTGGAGGACAGGAATTGAGTGCTACCCAGGGAAAGGTAAGTGCCATCTGCTTACCATAGCCATTGTCCAGGAAGTCAGTGATGAAGCGGGCACTGCAGGGGGACCAGGGCTCCTCAGGATCCACATGAGCCATCACAGGGGCCATGACATGGCGAGAGGTGCTCAAAGGCCCATTCAAACTGATGCATGGCTTGGAGTTGTCATGGAGCATGTTGAAGACATGACCTGTGGGAGCAAAGGCCCTGATAGGATCTGAGGGTCCCTTCCCCATGCCCTGAGGGACTCCATAATAAATCTGGCTGCAGCTGTGGATGATCAGATCCATTACCCACCTCACCCTGCCCCCAGTCCTTTCCTTTATGGTACTCTCAGGGCTCCCAGTATGTAGCCCCGTCTCTTTCTCTGTCTCCTCTTCCCCAAAATATACTCAGGGTCCCTCCCTACCCACTTTTCCTTATAGCCAACATTCCCAACTGTGACCCCACCCATTGTCTCTGACTCCCCCTCCAAATACACACACACAGACACACACACACACACACACACACACACAGAGGAGTTCACAGTAGTTTCGACCAACTAATTTATTTAATAGAAAAATGTAAATGTATGTCTACACCTGGAGCAGAGAGGAGTAATAGCCCTATACCTAGGCCTGGGGGAAGAATACCTTGGGACCCCCATTAACACTGTGGTGAACTTGCTACCCCCTCCCCCACCTTCTCCTCCCTAATACCTTTCTCATCCACCCCTACTTTACCCAGTTCATGAGCAGCAGTGAAGGCTGACTGGAGCCCATCATCCTCCACAATGGCACAGCTCCGAGCCGGGTCACAGACGGTGCCCACATCAGCCATACCCAGCGTGTCGCAAGTGGAGACTCCACACAGGTCCTGTGGAGAGGGATCATAGAAGGTGCATAGACAGCCAAGACACCTGGGTCCATTGGGTTGAGATCCAGATTCCCGGGGACCTGGGCACTGAGGACCCAGCACTGTCAGGGCCTAGGTAGCCACACATGGCAGTGTGGCTGGGGCAAGGCACCATGTCACACAACTCCAGGAACATCATTTGCATCATAGTCTATGTAGTGGCGCTTCTTAGAATTGTGCAGTGCATGGCCTGCGGTGCTGACTGGGGCCTCACCTGACGGGTAAACAGAATGGCTGTGTCAAAGTGGTCAGGGTCCGAGTCCTCAGGGGTGTTGAGGCCCCGCTGCCAGGCACAGAAGCTGCGCAGGGTCTGGGCAGCACTGGGCCCCACTTGGGGCCCCTCCTCGCCTGACCCCAGGATCACTAGCCGAGTCACCACCAAGCTGACAGGATTGCGGATGCTTGGGTGCTTGAAGGCCTTGGCTGCTGCTGCCATCACTGTTAGCAGGTAGCGCTTTAGCCCCGCACCGTGGAATGCGGCCATCTTGTCATCTGCCACCACCAGTGTCTCCACAAATCTACTCAGTGAAGCAAAGCGCTGTAGAGAAAAAGGGAGAGGAAGATCCTGAAATAGCCTCTCAGACCCATGGGTCGGTCGATTCTCCAATCCCTCACTTCCTGGGTCTGGAACTCAGCATAGTCAGCTGGGCCCCACACACCCCACGGGATTCCTGACTCCTGGCGGGTCTTGGTTGGGCCCTTCCCCCAACGCCAAATCTCAGGGCTTTTGTGGTAACTCTGAGGAGTCAGCAGCTGGTTCTAAGAAGGGGAGGAGAAGGGGACGCCACATCCCAGGGCTGCGGGAGCCCCAGAGGTGAAAGCAGCCTGGACTGCCGTCAGGAGGGACTTTGGGGTTCTCCAGGCCTGAGTGTGGCTGGGGCCTATGGGACCAGGGCTAGAGGGCTGGGCTGCAACGTGTCTGCCCTGTGTGGTTGGAGGAACGATTCAGTCAGCAGCTAGGGCCAGGGCCAGAGCTCAGCGTGGCGGTTGTGGAGGGAGCGTCTGGTCTGGATTAAAGCTAGAGAGGGAGGAGGGAGGAGGGAAGGGAAGAAGGGGGAGACCAGGAGTGGGAGGGAGGAAAGGATGGAGCCTCAGGCAGCCTCGCAGTCCGGCCACAGTGTGTGAAGGGGATTGACCAGAAGGAGGTATGGGATACCCTCCCTCTCTTGCCACTCCTGCCCTAGTTTGCAGTTTGCCACAGTGATTTTAAAGGCAGCATCAGAAGCCAGACACCAAGCCCTAGGGCCTCAAACCTGACTCCTATAGCTGGGAGTGGGGGATGAAAATCAAATTTGGAGCAGAGAAAAGAGCCAAGGCCAAGGGGCTGTTAGGAGACCTTTACTGCTGGGGACTGTGTCAGTAGGAGATGCCATGGCCAGGAAGGGGTGGGGTGGGGAGAGGGAGCAGTTATTCCCAGCCCAGAGTCTGTGACCCACCTCTGAGAACCCTCGGTGGGTCTGGCTAGGAGAAGGGTGAAGGGGAGAGGCCTGAGCCTTACCAAGAAAGGAGGCTCATGGAGAAAGGAAAGGCAGGCAGAAGGGAGGGAAGCAGAACGGCCAGAAGTGTAAGTGGGTGGAGAGAGGGTGAATAGGGGTCAGTAGGACAGACATGGCGGGAGGACACCGCAGGACACAGACTCCAGAGATGCCTACCTTGGCTCTTCGGGGTCTGGGGCTGGGGCTTCCAAGAGGAGCCTTGACGTTGCACATGGGACCTTGACCGCTGGCAGGACTCTTCCGGCGTAGGATGTGAGCCCCAGGTCCCCCAGCAGAGTTAGGGGTGCCTCCCTCCAGGGGCTGGAGGTGGAGTTCAGCCCCCCGATATTGTAACACGCCTAACAGGGCTCCCCCATCCCAGTGCAGAGATGCCACCGACTCCGGATCTCCATTGATGGTGCCAGTCAGGTAGGTGCCAGGCTCTGCTCCACCCAGCAGCTCAGGCGCCTGGCCCAGGTACTGCACTGTCAGCCCCTCGACCTGCACACCGGAGTCCTGCTCCAGCTCTAGTAGCAGCGTCTCCCCAAAGGCCTGCAAGCGGCACAACAGCCTGGCAGGGGCGCCCGAGCCAGGCAGGACGCTGCCGTTGAGCTTCTCTGGAAACACGATCTCCTCCTCCCGGGGGAGGGGGCTGGCCAGCCGGGCTGAGGGCAGGAGAGAGGCCAGCAGTAGCAGAAGCAGCCACACCAGCCAGGAGAGCGGCACAATGGGGAGCAGGAGGCAGGGTTGGGCTCCCCACAGCCAGCGCCCTGCCAAGCCCCTCCCGGGATGCGAGCCTGTCTGGGACATGGCACTGGTACTGCAGCTGGGAGGGACTGAGGCCGTCTAGGGCACCAAGTCCTCCACACCCTAGCTTTGGAAAGCTCCTCTCTGTAGCCTGGGGGCTTGGACTCCTGCCAAGGTCAGAGGCAAAGTTTTCAGAAGGGCTGAGGACCGTTAAAGGAAATGGAGAAAACTTAGTCCTTGGGCTTGGGAGAGGTGCCCAGGGGTCTGGCTTCTCCAAACTCTCCTCCTGAGCCCTCCTTTCCTGGATCTTTGTCTCTCCCTGCCTGTGTCTTCTGCAGCTTCTCTGGCCTCTCCCTCTGTAGGACTCTGTCTGGGCCGCTTCTGTGCCTGCCCTGTCTCTGCCTTCTTCCGCTGTGCCTTTGTCTCTGTCTCTTTCCTCCTCTGTCTCTCTCGTGCATATGTGTCTGTGGGTCTCCCTGTGGGTTCTCCCCAGCCTCTCTCCGCGCCAGCTCTTTTAAGCATGGTGAGCCTCTGCGATTGATTGGCTGATCTCTAAGCCACTCAGCTGAGCTCTGTCGGTGGGACTCAGATGGGTGTATCATCGCTTCCCAAAAAAATGGGACTTGCCCAGGGGAGGGGAATCTCTAGCAGCCGAATGGATAATAGGCACTGGGCCAGCTGATGACATAGCCTTTTCCCAAACCCCACAATCAGCCCTCAGCTGTCTCTTTCCCTTTTTGGTGGGACAGAGCCCCAGGAGAGGCAGAGAGTGAGGGAAAGGGCCTGGCCGGCATGCACAGATAGGATCACGGTCCTGGGAGAATTCCTGCTCTTATAGTCTAACCTACCATGGCTTCTCTTTTCTCAAGGCTCCCTCATGCTGCCCTTTGGCCCTAGTGGCTGGTTTCCAGGGCTGAGGGGA
The DNA here is from genome assembly GCF_000001405.40 of Homo sapiens. Classification (NCBI taxonomy): domain Eukaryota; kingdom Metazoa; phylum Chordata; class Mammalia; order Primates; family Hominidae; genus Homo; species Homo sapiens. The sequence continues at coordinate 161,199,487 of NC_000001.11, forward strand.
CTGAGTGAGCTGCCTGAGAAAAGAGGGTAGGGAACAGGTAAGGAGGCATCAAGAGGGAAGAACAAATAAAAGAGGTAGCTTGACATGGCTCAGGATAGAACTGAGCAGCTGGGAAGAGTAAAAAAGGCAGAACATTGGGGGAGGCAAGGAGACAGTGATCAGGGAGTTGACTGCCCAAAGGTAGGATGATCCTGCTTGGAATGAACATAACAGAGGCGGCAGATGACAAGGCAGGAGGGGTTAACGACTTTTCCTTTTATAGAAGGCGGATCCAGGGTGGCACCTCCTCTTTTCTAACGTCCCTTCTCTCCCTCAGGATCCCCCTTCCTGAGTTACCACTACCCACCCCCTCCAAAGCCCAGAACAGCCATTCCGCCTCCATTTCCCCCCAGGGTTCCCCCTCCCCACTTCCTGACTCCCCATTTCCCTGGCCCAGCTCCCAGTAGCTTCCCCCAGGCTTTTGGCCCTGCTCCTACCCACTCCCAACTGCCCTAAACCCTCCCCCAGCCTCAAGTCAGCCAGCCCCCAGCATAGGCAAGACTTGCTCTCAGGAACCCAGATTCACCCAGTATCAATCTGGGAGAATCCCCACCTGGCTCCCACCATCCACCCCACCTTGCTCTGAGAACCCAGTGGTTCCTGGAATATCTAGTCATCTTTTCTTTTTAATTCTCCCTGGGGCAGGGAGAGGGTGGAGACAGCATTGTGCATATAGGGAAATTAGGGTACTGGGAGAAATCCATTGCCTGGGGTGGGGAAAGTGGCTGGGGAGGAAGAGGTGGTGTTAGGGAAAGGAAGCAAATTATTCCTTTGGCTTTGGATAGGAGGGAACTCGGAAAAGAGGTCTTGGGTATGAACTCTCAAGGCAAGGAAGGGTTCAGAAGTAGGGGCAATTTCTGCTCACCCCATCCTCTGGCTGCTTGTTTCCCCAGGAAATCCCCAGGAAGGAGAGTGCAGTCAGCAGTCTCTTTCCTTTCCCAGAAGTGGACCACCTCCTCTTGCCTCTATTCCCCTATTCACTCTGCTTTGTCACCTCCTGTCCCCCGCATATCATATCCGTCAGAATACTTCCTTTCCCCCTCCCTTCCTGCTCAGGTCGGTAATACCTGCCCTGGTGCCTATCACTTCCTGGATCACCCACCCCCTTGTGACTGCCAGACCCACCTCTTGACCCACCACTTGCCTGACCCTGGTTCTAAGCCAACGGGGCTGGGACTAGAGGAGTCGGACAAAGGGTGGGAGACCAGAAGGGGCAGGGGCAAGAGGAGCTATCACCAGAGAACTCTACTGCCCCTTTCCACTCCCCTATTTGAGATGAGGACAAAGGGGGTGACTAAGCAATGAAAGACAAAGGGCTTTAGAGTGGCTGCAGCAGTGTGTGTGGGGGTGTTGGCAGCAGGGAGAAGGCACAAAAGCTGCAGTGTCCTAGGCAGCCCCTCAGGAGCCCCCCACCCCAGTCCCAGCTCAAGCTGCCTCCAGGGCCAAGCAGCCCAAAGTCTATCCTGACTTCTCCCAGGCTGGATCAAGGCAAATAAATGCAGTCCTTCCCATCCCCCACCACCATGGCCACATTTGCTGTGTTTCAACAATAGAAAGAAGGCCCAGGGAAAGAGCAAGGAATGAGGACAACAGAGGGACCAAACCTCTGCCCTGGCTCTGTGGCAGCTGCCTTGTCTAGCCCAGGTCCTGGTCAGTTCCCACAGCTAAGGATCTGGCCCCACCCTTTGGTACAGTTCCCATTAGGTCAATTCCCAGGCCAGAAGTCTGGCTTTCCCCTCTTTCTCTGCAGTGAAGAATTCCACCATCTCTGCTTCCTGGTCTGTCTGCCTCACCCTGCTGCGCTGCTGGTGGGCTGTGTCCCTGGGATCCTGTCTAGGGGATATCTGGGGAAGGCCTCTTTCCAGGCTCAGAGTTGGAGAGTTGTACAAACTCTACGGGTGGGTGGCCCAGCTGGAGTTGGGCTTAGAGGCAGAGGGAGAAAACAGGAACTAGCCTCTAAGGCTGGAAGAATCTTTGTCCATACAGAATTGTGATCAGACTCCTGGTGCTACTACATTTCCGTGCTGTTGGCCATTACCCAGGAGGGCTATAGCAGGGTCAGAAAGACGTTAGGGAAAAGAGGCTGACGCAAGACGGAAGTGGGGTGTGAGGCATCTCTAAGGGCGCTTCCTGGGTCTGTGATTCTGTAGGTTCGGGAAGCCTGGAGGATGTCAGGGTCACCCACAGAGGACCTCCACTCCCCCATCTGGGATGAGGTGGCTCCTACACACCCCGACACTCCCCTCCGCACCACCAATGCCGGCGGCCTTGGCATCCTATTCTTTTTTGTTTTGGTTTGGCGGGAGCTCTCAGACCCGCCCAGCCCCACTTAGGCTCCTTTCTCCAATCTCAATTTATGACATCTGGAAATTAGCTGGCTTTCCCAACTCCTGTCTTTTGGATTCAGTGATGGGAAAGTAATTGGCAAAGCCTGGGGCTACCCTATAAGGGCAGGGCTCAGATACAATCCGAGAGCAGGACTAAAGCATGAGGGCGGCCAAGGCGGAAGGGAGTAGGGAAGGAAGCGCCGCGCGTTTCCAAGATACGCAGGCGGGCTCGGCGAGAGAGCACGAAGTATCTGCCCCACGCAGGAACGGCAATTTTCCCTTGCTCGCTCCTAGAAAAGCCAGCCAGGAGCTGTGGGAGGAAACGCCCTCAGTAAAGATGACCGCGGTCACTGTTATCTAAACGCAAGTGAAGCCGAGTCACAGGACCCGGATGTTGTCAGTTCGACGGTAAACGACCCTGCCAGCTTCCAAGAGGGCGGCTTCACTGTGCGAATAGGTGAGAAGCCAAGAAGGAGGCGCGCTGGAGTTACTTCCGCCCGGTTCTCCTTCCCGCAGTCTGCAGCCGGAGTAAGATGGCGGCGCTGAGGGCTTTGTGCGGCTTCCGGGGCGTCGCGGCCCAGGTGCTGCGGCCTGGGGCTGGAGTCCGATTGCCGATTCAGCCCAGCAGGTGAGATCGAGGGCAGCTCTCGACACACTTTCTCCAAGGCTAGGGTTTCTCAGGTTGGGGACGCTTTACTCCCCCAGAAAATAATAACCCAAGCCTGTGACCCCATTGTCCATCCCTGATTTCTTGGGCTACGGGATGCAGTGGCGCCCACTCTGGCGAGGGAGGGGAGAGGGTCTAGAGTTCGTTCGTGCCGAGGTGAAATCAGCGGAGTGGGAGACTCTGCTTTTTAGCTTCAGTAATTTGAATGCACCTCTCCTGTCATACCTGAGTAGAGCTCAGCCAAAGAGCCAGAATGCTCGCTGTCTCTCTGTCGTTGACCTTGAACAAACACTTTTCTCACGTTCATATTCACCTGGTTGATAATATCAATATGATGAAAATATGAAGAAGCTAGGATCCCAACCTTGCATGCCCAGGGGTGATGGGTGGAGTTATTCCAGGAATAATTTGTTAGTAGGAATGGAACCTCTAGAGTTCCAGCTTGTTTTGCCGAAGCTACATTAACTTCAGATCAGTGACTTGGCATTAAAAAATCCAGGACATTGGCTGGGCGCGGTGGCTCACACCTGTAATCCCAGCACTTTGGGAGGCCTAGGCGGGCAGATCATCTGAGGTCGGGAGTTCGAGACCATCCTGACCAAAATGGAGAAACCCCCGTCTTTAAAAAAATACAAAATTAGCCGGGTTTGGTGGCGCATGCCTGTAATCTCAGCTACTTGGGAGGCTGAAGCAGGAGAATCACTTGAACCCGGGAGGCGGAGGTTTCAGTGAGTCGAAATCACACCATTGCCCTCCAGTATGGGCAACAAGAGTGAAACCCAGTCTCAAAAAAAACAAAAAACAAAACAAAACAAAAAAACAGGTCATCCTTCCTGGGTCCCCTTGAGAGTGAATGGGAACACAGGAACCAAACACTGTTCAGGCCCTTTGTCTAGGATCTGTCTTTGACTCCCCAGAGGTGTTCGGCAGTGGCAGCCAGATGTGGAATGGGCACAGCAGTTTGGGGGAGCTGTTATGTACCCAAGCAAAGAAACAGCCCACTGGAAGCCTCCACCTTGGAATGGTGAGTGACCAGAGTTGCTGTCCCAACCCACACCCATCCCTGCCCCCAGCTGATTTCCTTTTCTTTTTTTGAGACAGGGTTTCCCTCTGTCTCCCTGGCTGGAGTGCAGTGGTGCGAAAGTGGCTCACTGTAGCCTTGAACTTCTGGGCTCAAGGCAACCTTCTGTCTCAGCCTCCCCAGAAAGCCGCAACAACAGGCCTGTGCCACCACAACTGGCTAATTTTGAAAATTTTCCTTTTGTAGAGACAGAGTCTTGCTATGTTGACCAGGCTGGTTTCAAACTCCTGGCCTCAGGTAATCCTCCCAACTCAGCCTCCGAAAGTGCTGAGATACAGGCTTGAGCCACCATGCCTGGCCTCCAGCTGATTTCTAAGTGCTCTTGAGCTCTCTGTCTTAGGCAAATTTTAGCCCCTATCCTGTTTGCTTCTTTCACCACGAAATTCAACAGACATAATAGTGATAACAACAGGTATTTGTGAAGTAGAGAAGGAAAGGAAGGATGTTGCAGAAGAAAATAAAGAATGGGTCCCAGTAAATACCCAAAAGTCCCTACCAATTTAAATATTAATGCCAGCTTTTCCCATGTTCAATATATTTCAGGTTCACTACATTATCTCCCTCTCCAGACAAGGTGGTGGTTTTCCCGTTGGTAACCAAATGAAACCTACATGAATACAAACCATTTTTTTTCCTATCAAAACTAGCTCTTCCTTTTGACTTTTGATTTTGATCAGTGGCACCCTCATTCTCCTAATCCCTCAGGATTGAAACTTTTTAGTCATCTTTGGCTGTTTTATCTTGCCCTCCATGTCTATGTCCAGTAAGTTACCAAACCATGTAGATACTTTCGTAATGTCTCATATCTGGTCATCTCTCCCTTTTAATTTTTATTGCCATCATTCTTATTCAGATTTATCTTGTATTAGACCCTGATTATTTTAGGAGTCTATTCACTGAGTTTTTGCCGCTGATGTTGTCCCCTTTCCATCTATCCTATACAGTGTCATCACCTTCATCTTCCCCAAACATTATTTTACCATGTTATTCATACTCTTGCTCCAAAACCTTCAAAGACACTTCCAGTTACTTTCCACAAACTTACAGTAACAATAGCTGAGTGCTTACCATTTGCCAAACATTTTCGTATGCATTATTTTGTTTAATCTTTACAACAGCTCTATGAGAGTATTACCCCAGTTGTGAGGAAATTATGGTCTAAGGAGATTAAAACTTGATTAAAGCCCGGATGCGGTGGCTCACACTTTGGGAGGCCGAGGTGGGCGGATCACCTTAGGTCAGGAGTTCAAGACCAGCCTGGCCAACATGGTGAAACCCCGCCTCTACTAAAAATACAGAAATTAGCCAGGCGTGGTGGCACGCACCTGTAATTCTAGCTACTCAGGAGGCTGAGGCAGGAGAATCGCTTGAACCTGGGAGGTGGAGGTTGCAGTGAACCGAGATCACGCCATTGCACTCCAGCCTGGGTGACAGAGCAAGACTGTCTCAAAAAAAAAAAAAAGGTTAAGGACACACAGGCAGATTTGTACTCGGGTCTGTCAGACTCCAAAGCCCATCATGAAGAATTTTGGTGGAAAAGATGGGCTCTGGTTTCAAATCTCCACTCTCAATTTACCAGTGAATAAAGTGTCTATTTATAGCATTATTTTAAGGATTAAATGAGATAACATGTGCCTGGCACATGTAAGTCCCCTATAAGTGTTCATTGTTATTAATGATATGTACAGATAATTGAACCACTACCCCCTACTTTGTCCCAGTACTAATCATCCCTCTCTTAGGAAGTCCCAATAAGAGTTCCATGGATGTTTACTTCCTTGTTTCTAAGATTTGGCCCATGTTGATTTCATAGCCTGGAATGCTTCTTCTCCCTTCTAGCTATCTAAATCATTTCCTATATTTGAGCTCAGATCCTACCTACATGAAGTCTTTGCAGTGTTCTTTCCTTCTTTTAAAAACTTAATGGCTAAGGCACTTTCTTGGTTACTTACAAATTTGGCCTCTGTTCCTAGTTTTTCACATGTACTTCTTTCGCAAATTAAAATGTAAGCTTCAGATTAGGTGGGCATGGTGGTGTGCGCCTGTAGTCCCAGCTACTCTGGAGGCTGACACAGGAGAATTGCTTGAACCTGGCAGGCAGACATTGCAGTGAGCCGAGATGGTGCTGCTGCACTCCAGCCTGGGTGCAGAGTGAGACTCTGTCTCAAAAAAAAAAAAAAAAGGTAATCTTCTTGAGGGTAAAAGTTCATTTAGTGCGAGTAAGCATTAGGTATACCATTTCCTGACTGGTTGGCCATTCATTGGATACATTTGGAGGACAGTATATCATAGTAGTTAAGATGTTTGGATCCTGGAGCTAAACAGGCTGGGTTAAAATCCTGGTTCTGCCACTTACTAGTTTTATGATCCTGGAAAAGTCATTTAAGCTCCATGGCCTCAGTTTATCCAATGAAATGGGGATAACGATAGTACCTATTACTCATAACAGTTGTTGTAAGAATTAAATCAATTAAAGTGCCTAAGGTAGTGCCTGGCACATAATAAAGCTATATAAGTGTTATGTATTATTAAAAAGATATTCTATGCACACTGACTATGAACCATGAAAAAAAAAAAGGTATTCTAGGAGACATAGAGTGAGATTCATGATGTCTGTCATCAGAAAGTTTAGATCTTCCTTTTCCCCATCTAAGAGTCCTCTTCCTGGTTATAGTGGAGATTAGGAAATTAACAAAGTATGGAATGGTGAGTTAGAAAATCTATAGGGAGAGGCTAACTCCTTGCTATCTTTTGGGGGATCCCAAGGGAATAACCATGTGGCTCTGAACTATTTCTTACTTCTCAGATGTGGACCCTCCAAAGGACACAATTGTGAAGAACATTACCCTGAACTTTGGGCCCCAACACCCAGCAGCGCATGGTGTCCTGCGACTAGTGATGGAATTGAGTGGGGAGATGGTGCGGAAGTGTGATCCTCACATCGGGCTCCTGCACCGAGGCACTGAGAAGCTCATTGAATACAAGACCTATCTTCAGGTGTGGGGGGTGAACAGGAGCCTTTTGGCGGGATCTGGGGTTGCTTTAGCCTGGGGCTTTGCCAGTTTGCTGCCCTTAAAACGTGAGGGGAGGAAGGTGTTGAGAGGAGTAACCCGTTGAGATTACTCTTGGTTGGGTGGATGGAGGGAAGTGGCAGGGGATGCTTGAGTCATTAGGATTTGGTTTATTTAGCAGCAGTGCTTTGAAGCTGGAGCTATACTCAGCTTTTCTCTGGCTGACTTTTTGGCAGGCCCCTTTGCCATTACTTGAGTGCCTCAGTTTCCCTGCTCTTACGTTAGACTAGTGCGTCAAAGCCAGTGTCCCTAGGGGCAGGGAAAGAGAAAAGACATTAGCTCGCTAAGTTTAACAGCTGATTCTTGTATCTTCCAGCTGTCTACGTTTGTTTTCAAAACATTCAATGAGTCACAGCAACTCAGAGAGGGTTTATGACAGTTTGCCATTTTTAGGAGAACTGTATAACCCAAATGATGAAGGTCAGATTTGAAGGAGTTGGATCTCTAATAGGAATCTGAAGTTTTTTTCTTACTGTCATGAAGAAAGGTCCTGATAACAGGATGGTAGGATTAGGATTTAGATCCAGCCCAGTGTCGGGGTGAACAGTGACTAGAATGTGATTCCCCAAGAGAGCCTCGGCGATGACAGTTTCTGGTCCTGGAGTCTATGGGTTAACCCCTGTAGCATTAGCCCCCGTCACAGTGACATCAGAATAAGAACAGGCTGTCCCAGCTAGTAGCGTCTTAGCTCCACCCTCTTCCTGGAAGCTGAAGCTGGTTCAGCAGACAGCTAGGACTTGGCTTTTTGGCATTCTGGAGGAAGGACCATTTCTACCTGATGCTCTGTCTTCCTTAAATACCTCACTCTGGCCGGGCTCACGCCTGTAATCCCAGCACTTTGGGAGGTCGAAGCAGGTGGATTACTTGAGGTCAGGAGTTTGAGACCAGCCTGGCCAACAAGGTGAAACCCCATCTCTACTAAAAATACAAAAATTAGCCAGACGTGGTGGTGTGCGCCTGTAGGAGAATCACTTGAACCTGGGAGGCAGAGGTTGCAGTGAGCCAAGATGGTGCTACTGCACTCCAGCGCCTGGGCAACAGAGCAAGACTGTGTCTCAAAAAAAAAAAAGATTAAAAAAAAAAACCCTCCCAGATACTCTTAAGACTGATTGCCTTTCTCCTTCAGTATCTGAAGTTTTTTGTTTGTTTTGTTTTTTTCCCTACGGAGTCTCGCTCTGTCGCCCAGGCTGGAGTGCAGTGGCGTGATCTTGGCTCACTGCAACCTCTGCCTCCCGAGTTTAAGCAATTCTGTTTCAGCCCCCAGAGTAGCCAGGATTATAGGCACGCACCACCATGCCTGGCTAATTTTTTTTTTTTTTTTTTTTTTTTTGAGACGGAGTTTCACTCTTGTTGCCCAGGCTGGAGTGCAATAGTGTGATCTTGGCTCACTGCAAACTCCACCTCCCAGGTTCAAGCGAGTCTCGTTCCTCAGCCTCCCAAATAGCTGGGATTACAGGTACTCACCACCACGCCCAGCTAATTTCTATATTTTTAGTAGAGATGGGGTTTCACCATGTTGGCCAGGCTGGTCTCAAACTCCTGACCTCATGAGCCACCCTGACTTGGCCTCCCAAAGTGCTGGGATTACAGGTGTGAGCCACCGCGCCTGACCAGTATGTCAGTTTTTTAAATTTTTATTATTTTTTGAGATGGAGTTTTGCTCTTGTTGCCTAGGCTAGAATGCAGTGGCATAGTCTTGTCTCACTGCAACCTCTGCTTCCTGGGTTCAAGTGATTTTCCTGCCTCAGCCTCCCAAGTAGCTGGGATTACAGGCATGCACCACCACGCCCTGCTAATTTTGTATTTTTAGTAGAGAAGGGGTTTCTCCATGTTGGTCAGGCTGGTCTCAAACTCCTGACCTCAGGTGATCTACCCGCCTCGGCCTCCCAAAGTGTTGGGATTACAGGCGTGAGCCACGTGCCCGGCCAAGGACTCTTGACAGTGGTATCCTGGAGCTAGCTCATACGGGCTTGCAAGAGTGCAGTTGTTAAATTTTCAGGAGTTTTGTGAGCCAGTTGTTGAACATAGCCATTGTCAGAAATTAATTTATATAAGCTTATGATTTAATACATTATATTAAAAGCAAAGGTAAGATTAAATATTCAAAGCTCATCACTTCATTATTTTACCACATTTTACTATGCTCTGCCTTTGAGGTATTTGCTTTGAATGTGTCTGTATGGTGGAAATACTGTATAATGGTGTGGTATTCTTCCCAATGCTGCATTCAGTTACATGATATTGGTAACTTAAAATTGGCCATTGTGGGAGTATTTTTACCATGGAAATTGGCAAACATGACAAATCAGAGTCCTCCCTCACTTTGGAGAGCCAGTTTTTAAACATTTACTAGAATACTACTGGTTTTTGGGATATTTTTACCTGCCTTGTTGGGGCTCCTGAGACTAGAAAGGCTTATACAGCACCAACTTCTGGTGCCGACTGAGAGCAAGGCTTCAGGCAGCCAGACTGTGGGCTCCTGAGCCTGTTAGATGTGACCCACATTCCTCCCTCTTCCCAGGCCCTTCCATACTTTGACCGGCTAGACTATGTGTCCATGATGTGTAACGAACAGGCCTATTCTCTAGCTGTGGAGAAGTTGCTAAACATCCGGCCTCCTCCTCGGGCACAGTGGATCCGAGGTATGTCCCCCCAACTTTTTCTGTGGCCCACTGTGAGCATAGCATAGTGCCTTTTCCACCACTTCCCCGTTGAACCCAAGCTTAGTGTTCAGACCCCAGGCTCTGCCCAGACCTCTCTGTCCGCCTCAGTGCTTGGCTCCTATATCCTGTCTTCTCCTTGTCTTCACAGTGCTGTTTGGAGAAATCACACGTTTGTTGAACCACATCATGGCTGTGACCACACATGCCCTGGACCTTGGGGCCATGACCCCTTTCTTCTGGCTGTTTGAAGAAAGGGAGAAGGTAAGAGTGGGAGGAAAGGATAGGAATAGGGAAGGAAGTGCAGGAAGTAGAGAAGGTATAAAGGAGACAGGAGATTAAAAGAAGAGAGAGAACATGGGAGAACATTTAGAGGGGGAAGGTATGTTTAACTTGGGTTATATTTGTAGAAACTATATCATGAGGGGTTGGTTGGGCACAAGAAGGCAGAAAGTGGGGGAGTAGGCCATCATAGGACCTGGGGGCCTGGGACTTTGACACTAATTCCCAGCACGTTCTATGAAGATGTTTGAGTTCTACGAGCGAGTGTCTGGAGCCCGAATGCATGCTGCTTATATCCGGCCAGGAGGAGTGCACCAGGTGAGCAGGTCCCCGGCTTCCCCAAATGTCCAGCCCAGGCCTATTTTCCCTGTGGCCACTGGAGGGCAGTGCTGGATGATGGAAACTCCAAACCTGTATCGCTGGGGGAGGGGGTGCTGAGAGGGCTCTCCTTAGTGAAGGCTATGCCACATTCAGTAGCACTTCCGTTTGGCTTCTAGGACCTACCCCTTGGGCTTATGGATGACATTTATCAGTTTTCTAAGAACTTCTCTCTTCGGCTTGATGAGTTGGAGGAGGTAAGCTAGGAGTCAATGGGAAAAATCTCTCCCCCACAAGAAGGGCTAGAGAAATACAGAGATATTTGAAGAGTGTGAGGAAGAGTATTAACACACCAGTTTTCTTGATCAATAGTTGCTGACCAACAATAGGATCTGGCGAAATCGGACAATTGACATTGGGGTTGTAACAGCAGAAGAAGCACTTAACTATGGTTTTAGGTGAGGGGAATACAACTTCTCTCCGTAGGAGTGGGGGTGGGAGTGGGGGAGTTCCAGCCTAATATCTTGTCTTTGAAGACTTGTTGGCATCCTCCTAGTCATACCCTGAATGTGAAGGATCAACAAGGGAGGCTAAGGAAGAAGGAGCCTCCTTACTTAGTTTGTGGAGAGTGGCCCTTATTCCCATTATGCTCTCCACAGTGGAGTGATGCTTCGGGGCTCAGGCATCCAGTGGGACCTGCGGAAGACCCAGCCCTATGATGTTTACGACCAGGTTGAGTTTGATGTTCCTGTTGGTTCTCGAGGGGACTGCTATGATAGGTAAGGCCCCAATCCTTTCTTGGCTGATATTCCAGCTAGTTTCCCCTGCCTCACTCTTCTCTTTGCCACTTCCTTCTTTACCCTACTTCTCAGTGTCTGTGGGAGCTCTTGTGTGTGTTAGACGAGGTTGCTCTCAAAACACTTTCACATATATGGAATCTTACTTATTTTTTTCTTTTTTGAGACGGAGTTTTGCTCTTGTTGCCCAGGTTGGAATGCAATGGTGCAATCTCGGCTCACTGCAACCTCCGCCTCCTGGGTTCAAGTGATTCTCCTGCCTCAGCCTCCTGAGTAGCTGGGATTACAGGCATGAGCCACCACGCTCAGCTAATTTATGTATTTTTAGTAGAGACGGGATTTCTCCATGTTGGTCAGGCTGGTCTCAAGCTCCTGACCTCAGGTGATCTACCCGCCTCGGCCTCCAAAATTGTTGGGATTATAGGCGTGAGCCACCACACCCGGCCTATGGCATTCTTTTTATCTTTACATTATCCTTGTCTTAGATGGAGCTAGCTTTGGCTGCATTTTATAGCTGAGAAAGCTGAGGCATAAAAGTTAGGGATTAGCTGGGATTATTCTTCAGGAGTGGTCGAGACTAGAATCCTCCTGATCCAGTGTTCTTTCTAGTAGATCCTAAGCTTCAGATTCTCCTCCTGGGCCAGGCACAGTGGCTCATGTGTGTAATCCCAGCATTTTGGGAGTCCAAGGTGGGTGGATCACTTGAGGTCAGGAATTCAAGACCAGCCTGGCCAACATGGTGAAACCCCATCTCTACTAAAAATACAAAAAATTAGCTGGGTGTGGTGGTACATGCCTGTAAGTCCAGCTACTTGGGAGGCTGAGGAAGGAGAGTTGCTTGAATCTAGGAGGTGAAGGATGCAGTGAGCTGAGATGGAGCCACTGCATTCCAGCCTGGGCGACAGAGCGAGACTCTGTCTCAAAAAAACAAAAAACGAAAACCAAAAACAAATTCTCCTCCTGTTTTCTCACCCTGAGTCAGATTTGTTACTGTGTATTGTTTTTTTTATTTTTGTTTGTTTTATTTTTTGAACCTGGTAGCTACTGCTGTTATTTTTGTTTGTCCATTTGACTCTCACCCATCCTGTGGTCCAAAAAGTGCTTAAGGAGGTAATTAAAGAAATAAATACTACAGGCCATGTTCTGAGAAAATAAGGAGAGGGTTTGGGGAAGCACCCAAGAGTAGAAGCAAACGATTACAGGGGGCTGGGGTTGGTGGCTCATGCCTATAATCCTAGCACTTTGGGAGACCAAAGCAGGCAGTCGCTTGAGCTCAGGAGTTGGAGATCAGCCTGGGCAGCAAAGTGAAACCTCGTCTCTACAAAAAATATTCGGATGTGGTGGTGCACGCCTGTAATCCAAGCTACTTTGGAGACCGAGATGGGAGGATCACTTGAGCCCCAGAGTTCGAGGCTGCAGTGAGCTGTGAAACCCTGTTTCAGAAAAAAAAAAAAAGACTACAGGGTTTATATGGGTGGCCAAGCCAAGCAGAGATGCTGTACTTGGAGAAAAGAGTGGGGAGAGTTGACCTAACCCTTTTGAGGTTGGCCAAAGGGCATCCTTCCTAGCCCCATACCTGCTCCTCTGACTGTTCTTCTCTTGCTCTGTCTCATCTTCTTGAGGTACCTGTGCCGGGTGGAGGAGATGCGCCAGTCCCTGAGAATTATCGCACAGTGTCTAAACAAGATGCCTCCTGGGGAGATCAAGGTTGATGATGCCAAAGTGTCTCCACCTAAGCGAGCAGAGATGAAGGTTGGCTGCAGGGAGGGGGAAAGTGTGGGGTGTTGGAAAGGGGCCAGTGGCTGGGGAGGAGTATCCTTGGATTAAATCCTATCTTTTGGTTTTCTTTTTTTTTTGAGACAGAGTTTTACTCTTATTGCCCAGACTGGAGTGCAATCTCGGCTAACTGCAACCTCCGCCTCCCAGGTTCAAGCAATTCTTCTGCCTCAGCCTCCCAAGTAGCTGAGATTACAGGCGTGTGCCACTACGCCCAGCTAATTTTTTGTATTCAGTAGAGACAGGGTTTCACCATATTGGTCAGGGTGGTCTCGAACTCCTGACCTCAGGTGATCCTTGGCCTCCCAAAGTGCTGGGATTACAAAGCGTGAGCCACCACACCCAACCCAGTTTTCTTTTAATAGAGAATTTACTGTGTAGTAAGAGATTCGGGTTTTTTTTATTTTTTTATTTTTTTTGAGACGGTGTCACGCTCTTTCACCAGGCTGGAGTACAGTGGCATGATCTTGGCTCTCTGCAACCACTGTCTCCTGGGTTCAAGCGATTCTCCTGCCTTAGTCTCCCGAGTAGCTGGGATTACAGGCACCCACCACCACGCCCAGCTAATTTTTGTATTTTTAGTAGAGACGGGGTTTCACTCTGTTGGCCAGGCTGGTCTTGAACACCTGACCTCTTGATCTGCCCACCTCAGCCTCCCAAAGTGCTGGAATTACAAGCGTGAGTCACCGCACCCGGCCATATAAGAGATTCTTAATCTCCCATAGCTCTCCTGTTTTATTCTGTATCCTCTCTGCTTACTGACTGACATGTGGCTTTAGTCTCCCTGAGGGTAGAGATTATTTTCTGTGCTGGGGGAGGCCTAGGAGACAGAGTTTGGATATGGTTTATTGATGCTCCCTGTTTCCTCTCTTCAGACTTCCATGGAGTCACTGATTCATCACTTTAAGTTGTATACTGAGGGCTACCAAGTTCCTCCAGGAGCCACATATACTGCCATTGAGGCTCCCAAGGTAAGGAGAGGAGGGGAAGGAAAAGACCATATGTAGAGTAGGTAGCTAAAGATAGATGTTTAACAAATAGCTCATTCATCAATGAGAGAGAAAACAGAATGAATAGAGGTTTTGTTGGCAGAGAAAAATACTCTTCATGTTAATACAGACACCCAACCTTCTTCCTTGAACAGGGAGAGTTTGGGGTGTACCTGGTGTCTGATGGCAGCAGCCGCCCTTATCGATGCAAGATCAAGGCTCCTGGTTTTGCCCATCTGGTAAGAATCAATCCCAGTAACTATAACTCCAATGAATTAAACCTGACCTTGGTTGAGGTTTTTATGAACTCTTCTTTCTCCTCCCACCTTGCAAGTCTTAACTAACATTGTTGCCATCTCAATCTCCCTAGGCTGGTTTGGACAAGATGTCTAAGGGACACATGTTGGCAGATGTCGTTGCCATCATAGGTACGAGGCCTATTGTGTAGTAGAGGTATCCTAGACAAAGGAGTTCGGGACGCCCACTGGGGACAGAAGGAGAACACTTCCTGTTCACCATAGGCCATGGCATGGACTCGGGTCCTCAATCTTTTGAGCACAGTAATGGGTTCTGGATCTTGGGTAACACCACTTTTTTTGTTTGTTTTGCCTCACAACAGGAAGATAAGTAACATCACTTTTTTCCTCCATCCTCTCACCTAGGTACCCAAGATATTGTATTTGGAGAAGTAGATCGGTGAGCAGGGGAGCAGCGTTTGATCCCCCCTGCCTATCAGCTTCTTCTGTGGAGCCTGTTCCTCACTGGAAATTGGCCTCTGTGTGTGTGTGTGTGTGTGTGTGTGTGTGTATGTTCATGTACACTTGGCTGTCAGGCTTTCTGTGCATGTACTAAAAAAGGAGAAATTATAATAAATTAGCCGTCTTGCGGCCCCTAGGCCTAAACTTCTGGTATCTTAGTGTCTCAGTATCTTAGTGTCCTTCACTCGGACTGTAAACCTAAGAATGTTCATTAACCCTCCATTCCTGTTAGATTCAGTCAGGTCTTAGCAATTTTTCCTGCTCGTCTCCACCCCCTTCTCTGACTCTTGTCCTTTCCACTTCTCTATTCCCCATTTCCTCTTTCGCCTCAGTTCCCTCCTTGCCCAAACCTTCTCAGTGCCCACATAACTTGGTAAACCACTCAAATCAAGACCTGGGGTAAAGTTGGGAGGGAAAGGGCTATAGTGGGGTCTGAGGGAATGTTGACGGGCAGTTTCACACAGATAAATCTCTGAACCAGCCGGGCGCAGTGCCTCACGCCTGTAATCCCAGCACTTTGGGAGGCCGAGGCGGATGGATCACCTGAGATCAGGAGTTCAAGACCAGCCTGATCAACATGGAGAAACCCCATCTCTACTAAAAATACAAAATTAGCCGGGCGTGGTGGTGCATGCCTGTAATGCCAGCTACTCGGGAGGCTGAGAGAATCGCTTGAACCTGGGAGGCGGAGGTTGCGGTGAGCCGAGATGGCGCCATTGCACTCCAGCCTGGGCAACAAAGCAAGAGTCCGTCTCAAAAAAAAAAAAAAAAAAAAAAATCTGAACCAGGTGGAGTGGAAAATGGCAGATGTAGACAGCCTTTCCTGAGCGTGAAAGTCTCCTCATTCTGTGGGTTAGGAGTTGGTCATTGAAGGGCTGACGCTTAAGAGCCCAGATCTCCCAACTCCCTTAGTTGGCCCTTCCGGGAGCCGCCCGGTCTCTTGTGCAGGAAGGGGAAGGGGCCAAAGCATGGGGGAAGGCGTGGCAGGAAGAGGGGGACTCTGTGGTCAGGGAACTGCTCGCTGAGCACAGCTGCACAGTGCTGTCAGAACGGCCGATCTCCAGCCCAAGATGATTCCAGCAGTGGTCTTGCTCTTACTCCTTTTGGTTGAACAAGCAGGTAAGAGGGTTTGGTGAGGGATAGCGTGAGCTGGCTCCAGGGTGGAAGTCCAGAGCTTGGGTCTGAGGGCCAAGTCAAACACAGGTGAAGGAAGGCTGACAGTGGGTAGGTGGGCATAGGGAGACCCTGAGGCTAGTCCTCTCCAGCCCCGACCCAGGGCACTAGACTCATAGTTCCCTCCTTTCTTGTTGCCTTCTTACTTCATTCCAGACTTTTCTCCGTATTATTATTATTATTTTGGAGATGGAGTCTTGCTCTGTCACCCAGGCTGGAGTGCAGTGGCGCAATCTCTACTCACTGCAACCTCTGCCTCCTGGGTTCAAGCGATTCTCCTGCCTCAGGCTCCCGAGTAGCTGGGACTACAGGTGCCCGCCACCACGCCCGGCTAAGTTAAGTATTTTTGGTAGAAACCGGGTTTCGTCATGTTGACCAGGGTAGTCTTGAACTCCTGACTCAAGTGATCCACCCACCTCGACCTCCCAAAGTGCTGGGATTACTGGTGTGAGCCACTGCACCCAGCTATTATTATTATTAAAAAAAGACAGGGTCTTACTATGTTGGCCACATCGGTCTTGAACTCCTGGCCTCAAGCAATTCTCCCACCTCGGCCTCCCAAAGTGCTACTGTGCCTGGCTGACTTTTCTCTTTTCAGGGTTGATAGAAAGTGGCAGGGGAAGGGTCTGGTTGTATGGCATGAAGAGCTGGTCTGGTGAAAAGCCTCATTTCTCATGATGAGCATTTCCCATGGGGTGCCTTTGGTCTTGTCTGCTGGGAGCTGATCTCTAGCTGGTTTAATATACAAAGCACCCTTGGTGCCTATAATTCCAGCTACTCAGAAGGCTGAGGCAGGAGAATCACTTGAACCCAGGAGGTGGAGGTTGCAGTGAGCCAAGATCGCACCACTGCACTCTAGCCTGGGGGACAGAGTGAGACTCCGTCTCAAAAAAAAAAAAAAGATTTTACATATATATCTCTATCTATCTATCTATATACACACACACACACATACACACACACACACACACACACACACACACACACATATATATATATATATAGAGAGAGAGAGAGAGAGAGAGATAACCCTTTAGGAAGGTAGGACTCTGTTCTTGTGCTTGGGAGTAAGGCAAGGATATAGCCAAGACAAACAGACGGGATTGCTGTTTCTATGGGTCATTGTTAATGCTCCATTCTGTCAGCAGTTGATAATGAGGGTGGGCAGCATGAGATCCCCAGTTCCAGAGACCTGAGCGTCAGCTGAGAAATAGAGGCAGAAATGGGAAGGTCTCTGAAGCTCTACAGCTCCAGCCACTATCTAAGAATTCTCACTCCTCGTTCACTCTGTGTTGTCTGTGCTGGATTGGTGTGTGTGTGTTGGTGGCAGCTGGGTGTTGGGGAGGAGGAGGTCAGTAAACTTCAGGGAAACTGTGGAAATTGAAAGAGAATGACTGGGGAGGAATTCCAGCAGCCTAGCTGAGAAGGTGGGAGCAAGTATTAAGTTAGCCACTGGTCTGCTGCCGTGGGATGAGGAGGGAGGAGGCCCGCTGAGGCACAAAGGAAAGCATGGGCTTTAGAGGCAGAAAACCTGCATTTGAGTTCCAGCTCTGTCACTTAACTCTGTGGCTCTGAGTGAGTTACTTAGCTTTTCCGAGCCTTGGTTTCGTCACCCATAAAATGGCGATGATGATGTTTCCCTCACAGGGTAGTTTTAAGATTTGTGCAATATCGTGTGTGTGAAAGAGTGTTGCAGAATAAAAAGTACTTGACCGATGTCAGCAATTGACTGACGTTAGTCACATGTTCCCTACTGGTCCTCTGATACGGGGTGAGAGCAGTCTCTGGAGCCCAGACTTGATTTGATTTTTTAAATTGCACAAAACTTCCCCTCTCAGAGACCCAGAGAGTGAGTAATAGGGCAGAGTAACAGGAGCTGGAATCCATATAGCTGTGGTCATTCCCCCAGCCTTGTGTTCAGGGCCAAAGGTATCTGTAAGGTCTGGGAAAAACAGACACACTTTTTTTTTTTTTTTTTTTTTTTACATATTTAAGTGTCTTGTGGTGGGACAGAAAGCAACAAGGCTGAGGCTAGGAGATGACCAATGATAGAGTAATTGCCTTCTCTCCCTTCCCCAGCTCACATCCTTCCTGTCCAGCCCTCAGCCACAGGTCACAGGACTTAGTAGAGACACTTCTGTGGTTTCTTCACTGAAATTTGCCACTACCTCTCCCTCCCACTACCCATCTTGGCTGAGGTTTTGGTTTCAGTCCAGTGGACTCAGATGGGTCCCTTGAGGTGGATAAAGTGCTCAATGGTGCCTGAAGAACCCACAGTGCTAAAAAGAAAAGGTTGGGGGCTGAGGGGGAAGGCCTCAATTATTAGTCCGTGTGAGTCCCATTTCAATAGAACCCTCAAGCTTCCTATCCTAGCCTGACCCTATGGTGTGGGAGGAGGGAAAGGTAAGGGCAGTGGAAGGCCAGAGAGAAACAGAATTTCTTCCCTTAGACGGCTCCCCTCCAGGCCCTGTCCTACCTCCCAGAGCCCCTTCCCTTCTCTCCTCTGAGTACCAGATCCTCCCTGATACCCCCGACCCCATGGGCATCCTCTATCCCCTCAGCGGCCCTGGGAGAGCCTCAGCTCTGCTATATCCTGGATGCCATCCTGTTTCTGTATGGAATTGTCCTCACCCTCCTCTACTGTCGACTGAAGGTAGCGCTGGGCAGGGTGGGGTAAGGGCTGGAAGGGGAAGTGGGAGGAGGGCAGCAGCAAGGATTCGAAGAGAAGGAATAAAAGGGGATCCTCCACAAAGTTTGGAGGGAAGGGGGATGGGCCATTAACTTACCCTTTACTGATAACCTTTCCCCCATTCCAGATCCAAGTGCGAAAGGCAGCTATAACCAGCTATGAGGTATGGACCCTCCTACACCTGGTGTGGACAACTTTTCAGACCCTCAGCCCTCCTGGGGCTCTAGCCTGGGTTTCCGGGCCTCTGGGAGGGCCTGCCTCTCAGGTGCTGATCTGCATACACCTCAGAGGCCTCCCTCCCACCTTACCTAGCCAAGCCACAAGTAAAATATTCAGCAGGTGACAGGGAAGAATCAAGCATAGAGTGATAAAGAATATGTGAGAGACTTGGATGTAGTATGTCGGGTGTATATGTGTGCTTGTAGCCATGTGGGCAAACAGGTATCCATGTCCCAGAGTGTCCATGTGAGTGCCCTCTAGCCCAAGGTGGCTGGCTGCCCACCCCCCATGCCTCCCTGGGTGGGGCAGATGCTGAGGGGCCCTGGAGAAAGTGTGGGTCTTTAATGTTTTGCTTCTTTTGTCTCTGCAGAAATCAGATGGTGTTTACACGGTAAGTGTGCCTACCTCCCCCACCCAGGAAGTCAGCAGAAGAGGGTGGGATTTTGAGCGATCTTTGGAAGGCCGGTGGGGGGAGGGGGGTCCTGTGGAGGTGGGAGGGGCCTCTGATGGACTCCAGCTCCTGATCGCCCTTTGACTCCCATCTCCAGGGCCTGAGCACCAGGAACCAGGAGACTTACGAGACTCTGAAGCATGAGAAACCACCACAGTAGCTTTAGAATAGATGCGGTCATATTCTTCTTTGGCTTCTGGTTCTTCCAGCCCTCATGGTTGGCATCACATATGCCTGCATGCCATTAACACCAGCTGGCCCTACCCCTATAATGATCCTGTGTCCTAAATTAATATACACCAGTGGTTCCTCCTCCCTGTTAAAGACTAATGCTCAGATGCTGTTTACGGATATTTATATTCTAGTCTCACTCTCTTGTCCCACCCTTCTTCTCTTCCCCATTCCCAACTCCAGCTAAAATATGGGAAGGGAGAACCCCCAATAAAACTGCCATGGACTGGACTCTATTCATTCATTCATTCATTTATCATAGATTTATTCAGTCTCTGCTAAGCACTAGATACAGCTTTTCAGTTCCAGAACTCACAGTCTAATGGACTTCAGAGCTATTTTGCTCGACTGAGGGATAAATGCTGACTATGGCTGGGGGAGGGATAAAAACCTTTGACCTGTAGGTGCTCTGAGGATGGAGCTGGAGCAGGGACTAGTGTGTTGGGAGTCTAGGCATATTTGGAAACATAAGAAATGACTTCTGTATCAGCATGGCCTTCTGTGTTCGACAATTGAACCAAGGTTGGGTTGTAGGGGAGGCTGGGTGTCCCCAGATGGCCACCAATCCAGACAGCATCAATCCAGTACATGCATATGGGAATTAGCATAGCTGAAAAGCCAAATATGCAGAACGGATGGTGTAACTAGGGCTGAGTGAAGCTCCTAATGGAAGGTTTTATAGCAACAGTGAATTTTCAGGGCATCTGGGGCAAGTGGGACCTTAGAGGGCCAGATGGGTCAGTGGTAGGTAAGGCAAAGGGAAATAAGTTGGGTCCAAATGGGGGGGTCATCTCCTTCAAGTGCATGGGTGGTGGTCAAGGCCCTGTCAATGCCTGTCCTGTTTTCAGAGCTACGAGGAATATTTGCCTGAAAGAATTTAAACCTCAGGAGATGCTGCCAGTCCTACTCGTGACCCAGTCTTTTCAGAATGGGTCTAGAGACTCCAAGCTTACCCCTGGCATAACCCCCAACCTCCACAGTGCTGCACAACACTTCACACTGCATAGTGACTTACACTTTTCAAAGTATTTTCCAGCTCATTGTACCATTTGATCTGCTAATTAACCCTGTGAGGAAATTCAGGCTCTTTGAAGTTAATTAACCTGTCCAAGGTCACCTTGCAAGGAACCGACTGAGATCACTTTCGTCTCTGCACATTTTGCCACATGAGAAGAAGCAGATATTGGGAAAGAGAAGGGGTAGTGAGTAATCATGAATGGCGAGGGTCTTGAAGGCCAGATGAAGCAGGTTGATCAATATCTGGAAGGAATTGGAGCCATCTCCGGTGTCTGGCGGGGGAAAGGTGATTTCAGATGAGATAAGAGAAATGAGCCAGGGTAGGAAAGTAACTTTTTTTTTTTTTTTTTTTTTTGAGATGGAGTCTCCCTCTATCACCAGGCTGGAGTGCAGTGGCATGATCTGGGCTCACTGCAACCTCTGCCTCCTGGGTTCAAGAGATTCTCGTGCTTCACCCTCCCGAGTAGCTAAGACTACAGGCACCACCATGCCCAGCTAATTTTTTTTGTATTTTTAGTAGAGACAGGGTTTCACTATGTTGGTCTTGATCTCTTGACCTCGTGATCTGCTCGCCTCAGCCTCCTAAAGTGCTGGGATTACAGGTGTGAGCCACCGAGCCTGACCTGGAAGTAACTCTTTTAAAGATAAAGTGGGAATAAACTTTTATTGGAAAATGTTTCATTTTCCTTTGCTCTGCCTTTTGGGATTGTAAGTCTCTCCCCATCAACCCGGACTGATTTCCATTCCATTTTCATTTAATCCAGGTATCACAGCTCCCAAAGTTTTTCTAGTCCCACATGTCCACCGAATTGGATACTTGCCAGGCCTTTAAATGGCTACCACAGCTACTACTTCCAGGCTCCAAGATGGCTACCAGGCCAGTTCTATGAATAGTGCCTGGATAGCAGTGGAGGAGAGGCTTGGAATGGGTCTTCCACAGACAGTGTCTAGATAAGAGGGTTTTTGTTGTTGTTGTTGTTGTTGGGATGGAGATTCACTCTTGGTGCCCAGGCTGGAGTGCAATGGCGTGATCTCGACTCACTGCAACCTCCACCTTCCGGGTTCAAGCGATTCTCCTGCCTCAGTCTCTTGAGTAGCTGGGATTATAGGCATGTGCCAACACTCCCAGCTAATTTTTGTATTTTTAGTAGAGACAGGGTTTCACCATGTTACCCAGGCTGGTCTCGAACTCCTGACCTCAGGTGATCTGCCTGCCTCGGCCTCCCAAAGTGCTGGGATTACAGAGGTGAGCCACTGCACCCAGCTGGTCTTTTGTTTTTAATTAAAAAAATATATATATTAGGGGGGCTCACTGTGTTTCTCAGTCTGGTCTCGAACTCCTGGCCTCAAGTGAGTCTCCCACCTCAGCCTTCCAAAGTGCTGGGGTTACAGGTGTGAGCCTTGATGCCTGGTCTAGATAAGAGGTTTTAAATGGAGAAATTAGAGCACTTCTAGGGAGAGGAGCAAACTCAAGTCTTTTATTGTGGGAAAGGGGGAAACACAGTGTTCCCCTGGCTCAGAAGGGAAAGGAGGGCCACGGGTGACACCTTGGGAAGCTTTCTTTTCTTCATAGAATGACTAACAGGAAATTATGAGGGGTACCCTCATTTTCTTTTTTTCTTTACTTTCTTTTTTTTTTTTTTTTTTTTTTTTTTTTGAGACGGAGTCTTGCTCTGTCACCTAGGCTGGAGTGCAGTGGCACGATGTCAGCTCACTGCAACCTCCGCCTCCCCGGTTCAAAAGATTCTCATGCCTCAGTCTCCCGAGTAGCTGGGATTACAGGCACGTGCCACAACACCTGGCTAATTTTTGTATTTTTAGTAGAGACGGGGTTTTACCATGTTGGCTAGGCTGGTCTGGAACTCCTGATCTCAAGTGATCCACCTACCTTGGCCTCCCAAAGTGCAGGGATTACAGGTGTGAGCCACTGCACCCCACCAGGGTACCCTCATTTTCTATGACCTCCAGAAATCGAGGGATTCAGTTTGTGAATCCTTCCTTCCTCTCCTAGTTCCTTGTGCAATGCAAAGCCTCTTTAGTGTTCACCTGCAGAGTCGTGCCCAGGCTGTAGGAGACTCTGGGTTTGGAGAATCATGGCACCCTCATCCTGTCATTTTCATCAGTTGTGTCTTCAATCCTTTCTTCACCCCTCCACACTCAAACCTCTCTCCTTCTAGAAGCAGATTTTTCCTTTTCCTTCCTCTTCTCCTCCCTTACTCCCCTACTTTTCCCAGTCCCCCAAACATACCAGGCTCAGAGCTGGATTCATTCAGCATTTATTGTAGCAAAGAGTGGGTAGGGACAGGAGCTCTAGGACTGGCCAGTGGGTGTTCTAGAGGCCAGCTGGGGTTGGAAGACAATGGTCTGGACACTTCACTGGGTGGCAGGCTGTGTTCCAAGTTCCACGAAATAGCTCAAGAAGTTAACCAGTTCCGTTCCAGCCTTCTTGATCAGGGGTGTCAGCTGCTCCTTTGACTTTTCAAAGTAAGACCTGGATAGGTGAGGGGATTAGAGTTTAATCTGAGGGACCCTAGGCACTGGCAGGGGCCTTGGTGGTGGTGGGAGGTCAGAGCAGACTGACTCAGGTCCCCAAACTCTAGTGCCTGGTCCATCGCATGGCAAAGCCCCTAGGTAGGAATAGAGTCAAGACCTTTGCTAGGTAGAGGGACAGACTCTAGAGACTGAAATTCAAGGCCCAGTTCTTGCTGTTCCTCTCTATCTAAGAGACGTGTGGGATCTTTGGGTGATGAAATACTTTTTCTCTGCAATTTAAGCCTAATCTGCCCTAATCCCCACCCCTGGGTTCAGACTTCTGTGGGACCTCTCATCTTCCCTTCTTTCTCTCCACAGTTCCACAGCCCCTGAACCCCTTGCCCTGAGACTTACTTGGCCTCGGCCTGAAGCTCTGGGCTCTTGACCTTCTCCATCAGGTCCTTGCCATAGTCAGTCACGGTCTGGAAGTACTGAGAAACCAGGCTCTCCACACATGGCTCCTTTGCCTGTCTCCGAACCAAAGCTCCTGCCCACACACACACACACACACACACACACACACACACACACTCTTTTCAGCTGGGTCCACAGCAGTGAATCCTGGCCTCCTGCCATACCTCTGCCAGTACCCACCCCAGCTCTCTGCCCCCTCCCCAAAAAGGTATCCAGCCAGATCTTTGGATGGGCTTTCTGGGCTTTAGAGAGGGAATGATCTTCCTTTTGAGCCCTTTGGTTGCCAGACCTGGATATAAGAGCACAGGCAGATAGGTAGCTATAACCACCAGCACATTCTCCCTTTTGGCCCCCTCTCCATATCACACCCACCTTCAAGGCTGCAGATGGTGAGGAGTAGCACAGTTGCTGCGAGCAGCTTCATGTTGGTAACAGTGGGGAGGGCGGCCTAGGAAGAGGGTGGTGGGGGTTTGGGGGACACTGAAGCCAAATGGGCTTCAGCTCCTCCCCAGGGATCTCCCTACCTGCTGCCCATTCCAACCTGGCTCTCTCCCTCTCCACAACTGAAGCCCAGGCCTCTTTGGATGCTGCTCACACATCTTGCCTCCTTATCTTACCTAGCCAGCGTCTCTGTCCTTGGTGTCTGTGCCTGCCCTGGCTGGAGAGGAAGGGGCTATATACCTGTCTGTTTACCCACCCCCTGTCAGGTGACAGGGACTATGGATGGGCCCAGTGGGGCAGGGATTATGTGAGGATAAACAAGTTGGAGAAATGGGGGAGGAGAGGACAAGCACATGGAAGACTCATGGTGATGGGGTGAGAGGCAGGGGGTACAGCTCTTAGTGGAGGCTAAGGGGGTACACTTCAGGTATATTTGAGGTTCATTCTTTTGAGATCTGAGGTCCTTGGACTTGAGTGCAACAGGAAGCAGGATTCCAAGTTATTTCTCTGGAAAGCTCTGACATATCAACCCATGGAATACCATCAACCCATCATACCATGGAAAGCTCATGGTGTCTTTATTCCATTATGGGTAGATCTCATCTCTCAACCTTATCCCACTTTACTGCAACTTGGCAGAGAGATATTGGGGAGCAGAAGAAAGGAGAAAGGAATTGAAATCAGGGACAGGGTTGAGGGCTATGGGGGTTAGGGGAATGAGGGTCGGGTAAGAGGGCAAGTGTAAATGATCTTGTCCGTTTTTGAGTTAATGTGTAATGAGACGGGGAGAAAACAGGAGAGCCCAGAATGACCTGGATGCTGATCACTGAACATACCCTACCCCCAGTAAAACAAATTCAGAAAACAGCTTCCGCCCGTCCCCTCCCAATGGAGGGCTCTGGCAGGAAAAGAGGTGAATAAGAGGCTTCTACCAGGGTAAAGGTTGAAGGCACCTGGTCATTTGATCACCTTATCAGTTCTAGGCAGTGATTAGCCAATATTGAGTCAGCAGGGGCAATAGCCCTGGCCCTTGTCTCACTCCTGTTGGGGGTGGGGGAGGGGGAGAGGTACATTCCCAGGTTCAAAGCATTTGGGTGAAATCAGTTAAATAGATATCAGAAGCTTTTGTATCTTTCACCCTTTTGCCCCCCAAGCATACTCGCTGAGTATGTGGAACATTCCTGAGGGTGACAGTGGAGGCGCAAAGCTGATGAGGGAGGTAGTGACCAGAGACCAAGAAATCTTTGTTTTTTAACTTTTGTTTTAAATTCAGAAGTATATGTGCAGGTTTTTTTGTTTGTTTTCCTGAGACGGAGTTTTGCTCTTGTTGCTCAGGCTGGAGCGTAATGGCATGATCTCGGCTCACTGCAACCTCCACCTCCCGGGTTCAAGGATTCTCCTGCCTCAGCATCCCAAGTAGCTGGGATTACAGACATGCGCCACCACGCCCGGGTAATTTTGTACTTTTAGTAGAGACGGGGTTTCCCCATGTTGGTCAGGCTGGTCTTGAACTCCCGACCTCAGGTGATCTGCCCGCCTCGGCCTCCCAAAGTGCTAGGATTACAGGCATCAGCCACCGCCCCTGGCCTATATATGCAAGTTTGTTACACACGTAAACTTGTGTCATGGGGATTTGTTGTACAGATTATTTCATCACCCAGGTATTAAGCCTAATATCCATTAGTTATTTTTCCTGATCTTCTCCCTCCTCCCACCCTTCACCCTCCAAGACCAAGAACTCTTACTCCATTTTCAATTATTCCCCTGTGGAGCGCTTAGTGCTTGAGGTCAGCCCTTTGGCTTGTCCCTGGTCCTGGGATGGAGTGCCTTTGGGGGCCAGGCTCCATATTCCTAGATTTTATTTGCCAACTCTGCCTTGGGACTCAGGGAAGGAAGGGTTAAATACAGAAAGCAGCTGTTTCAGCGAATAGTTCTGCTAGAACTTACTCCTCTGCGCCAAACTCTCACACCCGTTTCCATTCCACCAAGTGGTCAAGAGCGGGGACTTCGAGAGATGTAGACCTCCAGAAGAGAAGGGTGGGTCCCTGTTCTAGGGAGTGCTGCGCTTAATGAGTAGTACTCATTTGGAGGTGTGCTGTGGAGGGCTGTGAGGAGGATTTCCCATGGGTTCTTTGGAGAGAAGGGAGCGATAGAAATGAACCAGGGTTCCAAAGAAGTCTTCATAATCGTTCTTTCTGCCACCCTTCACACTATGCCAGTCTACAAGCTGTAGTTCCACTTTTCTCATGGATGAAACTACATGGGTGGAAGGAGCTTCAGTGGCCCAAGCTACAAGATGCTCCCTCTAGTGTCTTGTACGCTCACAAGTTTTTTTCCGACCTTGGAGAGGCCTAGTGATCTAAAGCCTTCCACTTAAGTCTAAGGGGCCACCAATCAAGTCCTGCCCGCCTCTGCAGCTCCAGGGTTGAAGCTCTTGGGCCGTCAGACCTGCCACTCATTTTCTTCCTCCCTTCCCATTGGCCCATGGTAAATAGCGAGGCTTTTTTTTTTTTTTTTTTTTTTCATTGATTGGGCGGGGCCCAATCAGGGTTGGGTTGGGTCTTTGACAGCTTTCTTTGCCAGATTCAAAGATGGCGCTTACGGCCACGCTAAGAATGCAGCGTGAAGCTGCAGTTCTGCCATCACTCAAGATGGCTGCCCCCATCAAGATGACCGGGGTGTGCCGGGGGGAAAGGGGCAGCATGATGGTCTGAGATGGTAAGGGATACTGCACCATTGCGGGCCTGGTCTTGGGGCCTGGGAATGAAGAATAGAGAGGCTAGGGAGCTAGGTGAAGTCTGTGGTGGGGGCTAGGATCAGAGAAAGGGAGAGAGGACAAGGGTGACAAGTGGGGGTGAGAGATCAAAGATGGGGCGGGAGTGTGCCTAGGGTTGTCTCTCCATGAGTGCTCTCCTTCCCTACTCTTCCTGTTCCAGGTGTAGCGTCGGACCATGTGGAAGTTTCTGAGGCTGGGGAGCCGGATAATGGGGGGTGGGGCCCGTTGGGGGGTAAAGGGGCAATAGCGTCCTTTCACAGGCTAACCTCGGCTCTTCCCAGTCCTCTGGACTAAAATGGGGAACACATTGGGCCTGGCACCAATGGGGACTTTGCCCCGCCGGAGCCCCCGCCGAGAGGAACCCCTGCCCAACCCTGGGAGCTTCGATGAGCTGCACCGTCTATGCAAAGGTGAGAACTTGGCACTTGGGTGTCTCAGGATGAAGGGGCAGAGGAGTGGAGGGTCTTGAATGCCGGATGTCCGGCGATGGGAGCAGGAAAGGGGAGATCATAGCTGGGTCATGCAGCCTCAGGGAGGATCAGGTGCCCAAATGAAGTGGAGCATTTCATTGCAGGACTTGAAAGGAGGTTAATTCCTCCAAAGTGTTCCCTATGGGATTGAAAGGGGAGACTATCTTTTGGGGTAGGGGTTCTTTGTCTGTGCTTATTCCTTCCCTTCCCCTACCCCCTTCAGATGTATTCCCAGCACAGATGGAGGGAGTGAAGCTCGTTGTCAACAAGGTTCTGAGCAGCCATTTCCAGGTGCTCCCACTTCTCTGGCCCCTCCTTACTATTCCCCCTTTCCTGTCCCTGGATCATCTTCTCCTTTCCTTTGTACTCCAGCCCTAGCCAGTCTATGTGGGACAAATGAGGGAGGATGTGGGGTTCTCTTTACCTCCGTGCCTGTGGGACTTGTTGCTTTTAATCCGATGACCTTCTCTGTATATGTTGGAATATTTAGGATTCTTGAGAGGCCCTCTGGATGGGGAAAAGACTAAGGGTGGGATGAGGGATTGAAGTGGAGCAGGAATGCGCTTTTCTCCACTGAATCCTCTTTTCCTCAGGTGGCGCACACTATACACATGAGTGCCCTGGGCTTGCCGGGATATCACCTCCATGCGGCCTATGCAGGGGATTGGCAGCTCAGTCCCACTGAGGTGAGGGCTCCACACACCTGGGTCATCTCCCTAAAAACCAATCTGGGACCCAGGTCTGGAGGAAGAGGAATTGTGTGTGTTATGGGGAGGAATGGGCCGTAACCTGATTCTCTGTGTCTTTTCTGAATGAGAGAGGGTAGAGAAACATTTTCTGTGAAGAGCCCAGAGTGTGTCTTTGTGACTCCACCAGGGGGCGCTGTGCACTCTTAATGAAGTTCTATATTTGGGTTTAGGCTGAGTGGTGCCATCCGGCTCAGCCTTACTACTGTGTACACCCTTCCACAGGTGTTCCCCACTGTGGTAGGGGATATGGACAGCAGTGGCAGCCTGAACGCCCAGGTCTTGCTCCTCTTGGCAGAGCGGCTCCGAGCTAAGGCTGTCTTCCAGGTGACCACAGTTCCTGCCTCCATCCCCTGAGGCACTTCCTCTTTCTCCTCCACGGGTTTCCTGCTCTGAGGGCTTGGAAGGAGGAGCAGAGTCTATAATGATCATAAAGAGGGAGGGAGATTTTACTTCTTGCTCTTGCCACCCAGACGCAGCAGGCCAAGTTCCTGACATGGCAGTTTGATGGCGAGTATCGGGGAGATGACTACACAGCCACTCTGACCCTAGGAAATCCTGACCTGATTGGGGAGTCGGGTGAGGAACTGGGACAGGGTTCTTTTTATCTTGGCGGCCCATTTGCTAATGTTACTATGCCTCTTCATCTTCTGTACAGTTTGGAGTTTAGAAAAGGAACTTCTTGGGCAGGCTGGGGTGGCGGTTATTGGGAGTGAGGGAGCAGGTCTGGATATTGTCTCTATGACTGACTCCATGTCTCCCCATTCCCCCACAGTGATCATGGTTGCTCACTTCCTGCAGAGCCTCACTCATCGGCTGGTGCTGGGAGGAGAGCTAGTTTATCACCGGCGGCCAGGCGAAGAGGGGGCCATCTTGACACTGGCTGGGAAGTACTCGGGTATGGGGCGAAGTGAAGTAGTGGTGGTGGTGGGGGGCAATTCTGGACTTTTCTGGGGTTCCTGGCCTGTGTCATACTACAGTTAACACTCCTTCCCCTCTGTACTTTGGATTTTACAGCTGTACACTGGGTAGCTACATTGAATGTGGGATCAGGCGGGGCCCATGCAAGTTACTACCACAGGGCAAATGAACAGGTGAGACCTCTGATCTCATTCCCTCCTTGTCAGCAAGTCAGTCATGAACTTCTGTTCATCTGGACCTCTATCGCCCTGCTGACCTATTTTTCTTCCTACCACGCTGTGTATATATTTACATGCATGCCTCCATTCTGCTGATTCCCCATCAGGACCCTTCTGGTCTTCACTGATACTGATCTCTCTCTCATCCTTGCCCATGGTTCTCAGGTTCAGGTTGGAGTGGAGTTTGAGGCAAACACAAGGCTACAAGACACAACATTCTCCTTTGGTTACCACCTGACTCTGCCCCAGGCCAACATGGTATTTAGAGGTGAGGGTTATTGGGAGACATTTGGCTATCCTGAGGAATGGGGGATGCAGAGGAGGGAGGGAAGCTCGACCTTACTTCTGGTGACTATTTCCTCCAATCCCTGTTAAATAATCTAGTGGGTATTCTCTCCCCCAACAGGCTTGGTGGATAGTAACTGGTGTGTAGGTGCTGTGCTGGAGAAGAAGATGCCCCCTCTGCCTGTCACCCTAGCCCTTGGAGCCTTCCTCAATCACTGGCGCAACAGATTCCATTGTGGCTTCAGCATCACTGTGGGCTGAGGTTGTCCAGAGCCAGCCCCCACAGCAGCTGGAACCTCTGAGTCAGGTGCCCTAGGGCCAAAGACTAGGCCCCTCTTCAGAGCCCACCTTGCTGGGTGATCTCTAGGACCCAGGAGCAGAGTGGTGGACAGGACCATGCCCTCCTCAGAACTGGAGCTGCCACAGGGGCAGTTGATGAGGCAGAGGTTTGAGGATCCCCCCTCTGCTACCAGCCCCAGTATCACCTTCCCCATGCTCTTGTGGCTGTGGACTAAGGGAGAAGGATTAAGGGGTATGGCTGAATTCCCCCGGCACCCCTTGCCCTCAGGCTTCCTTCTTCCTTTCCCTTTGGTTAATCCTGCATGGGATTAGCTGACCATCCTGTTTTCCATCCCAGAGCCTCCCAAGGCTGGGAAAGTAGGGCTGAAGGGCTAGATGTTTGGTCTCAGGAAGTGGGGCCCACCCATTCCCAGAAGGAGCTTCTTTACCTCTTAGCCCTGAGGTTTCCTCCTTCCCATCTTCTGTGCTTCCAGAGAACAACTTTGTTCCTATGGTCACCCCCACTATCCCCATGACCGCATGAAGAGGCAGTTATTGCTTTAGTCTTTCATTGCAACCACTGGGCTCCCTTTGAACCCGGCCCAATCTTTGGTCCCAGCATTTTCCCACTCCAGTGTATCCAGGGTGTTCCAGGTGAGCTGGGGAAGGAAGTGAGCATGGCCTCAGCTGCAGATCTCCTGGAGCAGCGGCATCATGGCAGACAGGCCCTGGATGTGCTGGATTTGGTACCCGTAGGCCTCATTAATGCTCCGGAGCTCAGCCAGCAGGCCTAGCAACTTCGCATACAGAAACCTTTGGAGGAAGTAGTGGGGTTGCCAGGAAAACAGGAGGGAAATAAGGCAGTTGGGAGTCTTGTCTCTAGGCCCTGATCCCCTGAACTATTCCTCAGTGAAGCCAGGTCTGAACATTAGAGAAAATCATGCTCTGGTATGACAGACTATCAGAGGTTCCAAAGGTCCTCCAGGGGGCCTCGGTCTGACACTGTCTTCTCTCACCATGCTCAGTTTTTTCTGAACCCAGAGCTCTGAGAGCCGAGTGTGAAGAAAGCTCCAGACTTGGCCAGAACTCCAACCATGTGGAATCTGAGGGCCTGGCCTTCTAGAGCAGGTTCTAGAAGGTGGATGTGTTCTATGGTATAAAGCATCCCCTTTCTGGCCAAACTAGCTCTTGGAGGAACGAGCAAAACAGAAGCGGTGCATACCTCAGAGCCTGGATAAATCACAGACTATTGAACCTGGAACTGGCTTTGACCATGAAACTGTGAATGGCCCTAACTTCAAGGGAAATGAGAAATCGAAGGAATTGGCCCAATGGCGAGGAGAGGAAAGGCCAAGGGAAGAGAAAAGTCTGCGTTAGTCTGGAGAAGTTGGACTAGTGAGGTAATGGATGTCATCAATCTCAGGAATGCTATTACCCAGAGCCTCTGAGCTACTACTTTGCATCTGTACTGAATAAAAAAAAAATCTGGAAAAAGTGAGATGAAACAGCAGTATCCAAATACAGCAATTTGGATGCTGAAACGATGTGAGACAGGGATGGCCAGGGGGAAGGACTAGACCCCACGATACCTGAATTCCCTAAGGAAAGGACAGTAAAAAAACATTCCTCCCAAGCTCAATGTTTCACCAACCCCTTCCTGCCCTGGTGTGGCCTCCAAGCCCTCAGTGTCCCACCGTACCGATCCCGGGGCCTTCGCTGCTGGCCCTTGATGTAGCTTTGCAGAGTCAGTGCCATCTCCTCTTGCAGCTGATCAATCTCATCTCTCTGGGTAACTCCAGGTCGGTCTGTAAGATAGGGAGCTGGGAAGGACAAGTTGGGTGGCAGGGGTGGGCCTGCGTGGTGCCCCGGGGACTGAGGCTGGGATAGACCTAGTCTGCAGGTTTGATAGCTAGGCTAGAAGGCCTGGGTGGATGGACTCAAGGAGCTGAGTATTTGGGCAGAGGTGGTGCAGCAAAAGGCTCTGGGCTTTGGGAGGTGCTCACCAGGAGAGAAGAGGGCCATGGCAGCCAAGAGCACATACTCAGGCTCTTGGAGCTGCAGTTTTCGTAGTGTTCCATGGAAGTGAAAGAGCAACTCCAAAAACTCTACCTGGAACCCCACTGTGGGAGATACTAGGATTAGGAGCCTCTAGGTCACCTGACCACATCCTGTACCATGAGGACACATGCCCCCTATTGCTCTAGCACCATCTCACCACGGGCTCCATCTTCAATTGTGTAGCGAAGAGGCCCGCAGAGGAAGTTTTGTGTTTGGAGACAGAAAGTGGTATTGAGTACGATGTGACAGATTTCCACAGCTGCTCCCTTGAGAAGGGAGATCTGGTCTTCAATGGGCAGGGAACTGTGGAAAGCAGGAAACAAGGACACTTTTCAATTTTTTTTTTTCTGAGACAGAGTCTCACTGTCACCCTGGCTGGAGTGCAGTGGCGTGATCTCTGCTCACTGTAACCTCTGCCTCCTGGGTTCAAGCAATTCTCCTGCCTCAGCCTCCCAAGTAGCTTGGATTACAGGCGTGTGCCACCATGCCTGGCTGATTTTTTGTATTTTTAGTAGAGACGGGTTTTCACCATGTTGGCCAGGCTGGTCTCCAACTACTGACCTCAGGTGATCCACCTGCCTTGACCTCTCAAAGTGCTGGGATTACAGGCATGAGCCACTGCACCCGGCCCACTTTTTAATTTTTTGTTTGTTTATATGTTTTTATTTTTTGTAAAGATGGAGTCTTACTATGTTGCCCAGGGTGGTCTCGAACTCCTAGGCTCAAGCAGTCCTCCTGCCTTGGCCTTCCAAAGTGCTGGGATTATAGGTGTGAGCCACTGTGCCCAGCCGACAAGGGCACCTTATTATTATTCTTATTAATTAATTTATTTTTGAGACAGAGTGTTGCTCTGTCACCCAGGCTGGATGTAGTGGCCTGATCTCGGCTACAGCAAACCTCCGCCTCCTGGGTTCAAGTGATTCTTCTGCCTCAGCCTCCTGAGAAGCTGGGATTATAGGCGCCCACCACCACACCCAGCTAAGTTTTGTATTTTTAGTAGAGACGGATTTCACCATGTTGGCCAGGCTGGTCTCAAATTCCTGAGCTCAAGTGATCCACCCACCTTGGCCTCTCAAAGTGCTGGGATTACAGGCATGAGCCACCGTGCCTGGCCTATTATTATTATTTTTAGCTTTCATTTTTTGAGACAGAGTCTCACTCTGTCACCCAGGCTGGAATGCAGCGGTGCTATCTGAGCTCACTGCAGCCTCAACCTCCTGGGCTCAAGTGATCCTCCCACTTCAGCTTCCTGAGTACCTGGGACTACAGGCACCCACCATCATGCCCAGCTAATTTTTGTATTTTTTGTAGAGTTGGGGTTTTGTCATGTTGCTGAGGCTGGTCTCAAACTTCTGGACTCAAGCGATCTGCCAGCCTCCGCCTCCCAAAGTGCTGGGATTACTAGTGTGAGCCACTGCGCGGCACCTCAAGGGCACTTTAGATGCAAGCCTGTACTTCAGAGATGGAGAAGAACTCCCAGTTCTGATTGGCACATTTAAAACCAAAGCTGGGAATTCAAGACCTAATGCTTGGAAAGGCTGACGCATGTGATAATTTGTAGTCAGTGACTTTTCGGGGTGGATATACAATTTACTGAAGTGTTTGCCTCCTGAAAGATGAGGGGAGGTCACTCACCGGAAGACGGGCAGGTCCTTAGTAAACTTGATGACTTGCAGTACCATGAAAGTGTTGATGTCTGCGAAGTGTGTGACCAGAGGCAGCACAGGGGCCAGGGTGGGCAAGGGCTGGTGATGGATGAACAGATGAGCTGGAGGCTGCAATGATCAGAACATTAGCTAGAGGCTCTGGCCCTAGGGCCCTCCTTTAGGCCTCGCCAGCCTTATCTTGGAAGAGTTCCTTGCTGAGAAGCCTGCTCAGGCTGGGGTTCTGGAGATCTGTTCTCAGTATCAGTGCATGGCATACACCCCTCTCCTTCAGACCAGCATTTTTGGGTGCCCTTTTAGTTGTATTCCAACCCAAATCCTGTCGGTGCTCACCCTAAACTGCACAAACTGTTCAAACATGGTGCCCATGTGGCGGGTGTGGGCCCCCAGGAGTGTCCGGATCAGCTCTTCTTGCTCCTTACTCAGTTGCACAGGTGTTTGCTGTGCCCGCCGCTGGGCCTGCTTTGCTCGCCGCAATGCCAGGGCTTCTGCCGACAGTATCACTGTGCCAGGCAAGAGATCATGACAAAGCTGTTGAGACCAGCAGAGCATTTCTCTCTGCTGGTCCCTGATCTGGGGCCCCTCAGCTGCCCTGCACAACGAAGGATGGGGGCAGTGGGGGGAATTCCTGAGACTTTCTTGGGCTTGGCTAAAGTCCTAGAGGCTCCAGGAGGCAGGGGGCTCCTATACACTTCCACCAACCTGTGAAGAACTGCAGCAGAAAACTGCACTGTGGGGGAGAAGGGAAGGGTGGCGAGGAAAGTATGAAAGATGTGAGGAAAGGTGCGAGGGCTTTTGGGGAAACAGTGTAGAGGGAGGGGTCTTCATACCTAGAACATCACTTTATATGATGTTTTCAAATAATCCTTCAAAAATAATCAAATAATCCTTTCAAATAAACCTTTATCTGATGTTTTAGCAAAATTTCAAAACTTCTGAGGTTAAATCCCACTGAATGAAACAACCCCAGGATAGGCAGGGCTGGTATTCATCATATATATATGTGTGTGTGTGTGTGTGTGTGTGTGTGTGTGTGTGTGTGTGTGTGTGTGTATATGTGTGTGTATATATATGTGTATATATGTATATATATGTGTATACATGTATATATGTGTATATATGTGTATATATATGTGTATATATATATTTTTTTGTTTGTTTTGTTTTGTTTTGAGATGGAGTCTGTCACTCTGTCGCCCAGGCTGGAGTGCAATGGAGCAATCTCGGCTCACTGCAACCTCTGCCCCCTGGGTTCAAGCAATTCTCCCTGCCTCAGCCTCCTGACTAGCTGGGATTACAGGCACCCACCATCACGCCCTGCTAATTTTTTTTTTTTTTTGTATTTTTAGTAGAGACGGGGTTTCACCATGTTGGCCAGGCTGGTCTCGAACTCCTGACCTCAAGTGATCCACTCACCTCGGCCTCCCAAAGTGCTGGGATTACAGGCGTGAGCCACTGCACCCAGCCCAATCACATTTTTTAGAAATGTGGACAGGCTTAGATTCTGGTGACAGAACCAAGGTCACAAAATAAGTAATATAGATTGAATTCAAACCAAAATCTTTTGACTTCTGCAAAAGATCCAAGATCAAACCAAGATCTTGAATTCAGACCAAGATCCTTTGACTTCTACAGTTTCCTTTCATTCTTCCATAGTGAGAATCGTGTGATATGGAAAAAGCAAGAGTTTGGGAGTCAGGTAAACTTGAGTTTGAATACTGACTGTACAACTTCTTCTTCCTTCTTCTTTTCCTAGAGAGGACATCTCACTCTGTTGACCAGGCTGGTCTTGAATTCCTGACCTCAACAATCCTCTTGTCTCAGCCTTCCAAAGTGCTGGGATTAGAGGTGTGAGCCACCGTGCTCGGCCTGCACAAGTTTTTAGTTGAATTAACTTGGGCAAATTAACTTCCGTGAGCCCCAGTTACATCCTCCTTTGGGAGCATAGCACAGTTACCTGGCACAGAGAAAGCATTAATTAAGTTATTGAGCACCTACTAGGTGACAGGCACTATACTCAACAGATAGAAAATAAAAAACACACCTGTAATCTGAGCACTTTGGGAGGCGGAGGTGGGCAGATCGCCTGAGGCCAGGAGTTTGAGACCAGCGTGGTCAACATGGTGAAAGCTCATCTCTACTAAAAATACAAAAAATTAGCTGGGTGTGGTGGCACATGCCTGTAATCCCAGCTATGCAGGAGGCTGAGGCAGG
The DNA here is from genome assembly GCF_000001405.40 of Homo sapiens. Taxonomy (NCBI): domain Eukaryota; kingdom Metazoa; phylum Chordata; class Mammalia; order Primates; family Hominidae; genus Homo; species Homo sapiens. Next base: position 161,235,050 of record NC_000001.11, read on the forward strand.
AGAATCACTTGAACGCAGGAGGCGGAGGTTGCAGTGAGCCGAGATGGCGCCACTGCACTCCAGCCTGGGCAACAGAGTATGAGACTCTATCAAAAAAAATAGAAAGAAAAGAAAAGACAAGACTAGCCATGTGGCTATCTAGGAGAAAAGCATTTCAGGTAGAGGAAATGGCAAGTGGAAAAGCCTTGGGGAAGAGTGCGCTTGGTGTTTTTTTTTTTTTTTTTTTTTTTTTTGAGTCGGAATCTGGCTCTGTCACCCAGGCTGGAGTGCAGTGGCGCGATCTCGGCTCACTGCAAGCTCCGCCTCCCGGGTTCACGCCATTCTCCTGCCTCAGCCTCCCGAGTAGCTGGGACTACAGGCGCCCGCCACTACGGCCGGCTAATTTTTTTTGTATTTTTTTAGTAGAGACGGGGTTTCACTGTGTTAGCCAGAATGGTCTCGATCTCCTGACCTCGTGATCCGCCTGCCTCGGCCTCCCAAAGTGCTGGGATTACAGGCGTGAGCCACCGCGCCCGGCCTGGTGTTTCTAAGAATGACAGTGAAGTCAGTGTGGCTAGAATTGGTTGAGTAAAGGGGGAAGAGTATGAAATAAAGTCTGAAAGGTGTTGTGGGAGAGCTAGATCATGAGATCACGTACTTTGAGATGGGGAGCCATTGGATGTCTTGAGTGAATAGTGACATAATCCAACTAGTTTCAAAAAGAGTACTGTGCCTGCTATGTAGAGAATGCACTGTTGGGAACAAGGACAAAGACAGACGCAGTCAATGGATTCTTGAGATGTAGGGGGCCAACTCACTGTCTTTCCTCATGCCAGCATCTAAGCACTTCTGCAACCTGCAGGCTGGGCAGTGGCGCCTCTGAGTCTTGCTGACTTCACAGCTTCCAGCAAAGGGGCAGGTGGGACCAATGCTTTTGCTGACTGTTCTCCTGTGAGACACAGAGATGTTGTTAGAGTCTGGGATGCAATGGATAGGTGAGGGGCTGAGATGACATGGTCTAAAAGACCTGGGAATCTGGTGAAATGGACTAATCTGAGCTGTGCCCAAAGGTCCCCAGGGGTGGATAGTATCCAACACATCTCAAGCATTTCCATGGCAACACAGGATCACTCCAGAAAGCCTAGTTGATGTAGTACTAGCTAGGTGCTTCACAGGCAGTGGGTACATAATAAATGCTCTTGACTAATGGGCTGTGTCCATCAGACAAACATTCAGCTTTCCCTCTGTTATGCCACCAGTTTATACAGTGATGTGTTTGGCAAGATGTAGGATGCCAGCCACAGGGTAGTTAGACTCTAAGATAAAGGAGTAATGTAGCTGGACAGGCTTGGGCACCAGCGAGGGTGTAAAGGCTGACTAATAGGGAGTTTGGTTTGGAGGGCTATTTCCATTGGGGAGGAGACTCTCACCTGAAGAAACCCTTGCAGCCCTCACAAGTCAGCGCATTAAAGTGGTAGCCTGTGGCTTGGTCCCCACATACCACACAGTTCCTCAGCTCATCTTCCCTACTGGCCATGACGTCACGTGTTGGGGTGGCTGTCACAGACTCCTGAATGTAGGAGGGGTCAGCAGTCAGTTTTGGGCCACCCTTGACCCTTTTCTGTCCCTTCTAGAGAGTCTCTTTCCAAACCAAACCAAACATGCCCTTGACTTGATCCCTGGCGTTATCTTTTGTGGTTTTCTTTTTCTTTTTCTTTTTCTTTTTTTTCTGACACAAGTTCTTGCTCTGTCACCTAGGCTAGATCTCTGCTCATTGCAACCTCTGCCTCCTGGGCTCAAGCAATCCTCCACTTCAGCCTCCTGAGTAGCAGGGACTACAGGTCCAGACCACCATGTCCAGCTAATTTTTGTTTATTTATTTATTTATTTTTTTTGTAGAGATGGGGTTTTGCCATGTTGCCCAGGTTGGTTTTTTTGTTTATTTTTTTTTGTTTATTTGTTTGTTCTGTTTTTTGAGATAGAGTCTTACTCTGTTGCCTAGTGTTGCCTAGGCTGGAGTGCATCATAGTTCAATGTAACCTCACACTCCTGGGCTCAAGGGATCCTCCTGCCTCAACCTCCTGAGTAGCTGGAACTATAGGTACACACCACCACACCAGGATATTTTTTTCTTTTCCTTCCTTCCTTCCTCCCTCCCTCTCTTATTCCTTTCTTTCCTTTTTTTTTTTTTCCCTGAAATTGAGTCTTGCTCTGTCACCCAGGCTGGAGGGCAGTGGTGCAATCTTGGCTCGCTACAACCTCCGCCTCCCAGATTCAAGTGATTCTCATGCCTCCGCCTCCTGAGTAGCTGGGATTAAGGTGCCCGCCACCATGCCCAGCTAATTTTTTATTTTTAGTAGAGATGGGGTTTCACCATATTGGCCAGGCTGGTTTCAAATTCCTGACTTAGGCCTGGTGCAGTGTCTCATGCCTGTAATTCCAGCACTTTGGGAGGCCGAGGTGGGCGGATCACCAGGTCATGAGATCGAGACCATCCTGGCCATCATGGTGAAACCCCGTCTCTACTAAAAATACAAAAATTAGCTGGGCATCGTGGCATGTGCCTGTAGTCCCAGCTATTTGGGAGGCTGAGGCAGGAGAATCGCTTCAACCTGGGAGGCAGAGGTTGCAGCGAGCCGAGATTGCGCCACTGCACTCCAGCTTGGGCGACAGAGCGAGACTCCATCTCAAAAAAAACCCAAAAAAACAAAACAAAAAACAAAAAAACAAAAAAACAAATTCCTGACTTCAAGTGATCAATCCTCCCACCTTGGCTTCCCAAAGTGCTGGGATTACAGGCATGAGCTCCCGCGCCTGGCCTCTTTTCTTTCTTTTTTGTAGAGATGGGGTCTGTTATGTAACCCAGGTTGGTCTTGAACTCCTGGGCTCAAGCGATCCCCCCACCTTGGCCTCCCAAAGTGCTGGAATGACACACGTGAGCCACTATGCCTAGCCCCCAGCATTATCTGTATTTTATTACATTTAGTCTTTGGTCCCCAACAGATTTCCTACCTGCTTCTCTTAGGCAGCATGTCACCTGCAGGCCACAGAATCTGGTATGGAATGCCTCTCCCCAAACTCCCACGCTGTTGCTGGTTTTCCTCTGATCTCAGGAGTTGCCAGTGATTGGAGTTAGGGATTATGACCCGTAGTATCTGGAAAACAAGAGATGTCTGTTTTATGTGGCCTCCAGTTGCTCTCAGTGACTGTGGGGTTAGGGCACAGACCCTGGACTCAGGGCAAAGGCCTGGGTGGGAGGTTTTCCCAGCATGACAAAAGTGCTGGTTGGTGGCACACGGGGAGGGACTCCAGTGGGTGGGAACCTTGTGACTCATTGGAAGCTGCTGCTTATTAGACTCATCGAGATTTTCCCTGTTGATGAGTTTAAGGCTACATCTGCAGCCTTCTGTGTACAGAGATCCTGAACAAGCTGGGAAGAGAGAGAGAGAGAGAGAGACAGGCAGACAGACAGAGCAAGCTTTTTCACACGCAGTATGTCAGTACTAAAAGAAGAGGTGTGACAGTTCCACAAGGCTCCCCCAAAAAAAGTTTTTAAGAGACTAGGGGCTGGGCACGGTGGCTCACACCTGTAATCCCAGAACTTTGGGAGGCTGAGGCAGGCAGGTTACTTGAGGTCAGTAGTTCGAGACCAGCTTGGATAACATGGTGAAACCCTGTCTTTACTAAAAATACAAAAATTAGCTGGGCATGATGGCACATACTTGTAATCCCAGCTAATTGGGAGGCTGAGGTGGGAGGACTGCTTGAACTCGGGAGGCGGAGGTTGCAGTGAACTGAGATCATGCCACTGAACTCCAGCCTGGGCACAGAACAAGTGAGACTCCGTCTAAAAAAAAAAAAAAAAGAGAGAGAGAGAGAGACTACGATCTAAGTAAGAGCTTACGGAAAGAGCCCTCTCACTTCCTAACTAGGGAGGGCTGAGAATCAAATCAGAGTGACCACAGGGCACAGTGACATGCCCTGTACATCCCCCTACTCTGGAGACAGGGAGAGAATGGTTTGAGCCCAGGAGTTTGAATCCAACCTGGGCAACATAGCAAGACCCTATCTCTAATAATAATAATAATAAAGTGCTATTTTTAAAAAATATTTTTTTTTTGGCTGGGCGGGGTGGCTCATGCCTGTAATCCCAGCACTTTGGGAGGCCGAGTTGGGCAGATCATGAGATCAAGAGATCTGGCCAACGTGGTGAAACCCTGTCTTTACTAAAAATACAAAAATTAGCCAGGCATGGTGGCGCACGCTAGTATTCCTAGCTACGTGGAAGGCTGAGGCAGGAGAATTACTTGAACCCGGGAGGCAGAGGTTGCAGTGAGCCGAGATCGCAGCACTGCACTCCAGCCTGGGTGACAGAGCGACCACACCCAGCTAATTTTTGTACTTTTAGTAGAGCTGGGGTTTATGTTGACCAGGCTGGTCTCGGACTCCTGACCTCGTGATCCGCCCGCCTCGGCCTCCCAAAGTGCTGGGATTACAGGCGTGCACCTGTAATAATAGCTACTGTGCCCGGCCTATTTTTCTTTGTTTTGCTATTATGTCTTCTGCTTCTTCATTTGCATTAAATTATAATTAATGTTTCTCTAAAGATGAGTTAAAACCCCAAGTGCAGGCTGGAGTCATACACACACACACACACACACACACACACACAGAGAGAGAGACTGAGTTAAAAAGATCCTTGTTTAGGTTACCAGAATGAGTTGGTAGAACCCCTAATCTCAAGTGGTATAGCATCTAACTATGCATAACTTTGTATTTTGAAATAAACTGAGTTCCAGAGAGCACAGATGCTTGGATCTGTTCCTTGGGAGATGGTAAGAATATTTATGTGTATGTATCTGTTGGTGTCTTTGTGACTCTGACAATTCATACTAATTTATTCAATCAACAAATATTGACCAAGAATCCACCTATGTCTTAGATACTAGAGTTAAAAGATGAGTAAGATGCTCTCCTACCCTCATGAATTTTAATCGCTAATGGGGGAGACAGACCTTTACACAGATATAAAGAAATATGGTCAGATCAGTGATGGTGCCATGCACAGAGCATTATGGCACTGAAATAGCGGGGCACCTAATTCTGCTTTGGAAAAGGGGTGTCGAGGAAGAGGCAGGAGAGGCTTTCTGGAGGTGTGGCAACTGAGTTGACTTTTACAGGGTAATGATGAGTTAGCTAGGGGGAATATAAAAGGCAGTTCAGGCAGAGGGTGCAACCTGAGATGGTCAAGAAGCCAGATACAAAAAGGTAGATATGGTAGAACCACAGACGGGCCTCTCTTACTGGAGTATAACATTTCAGGCTGGGAGTGGGAAGAGATAAGGCTGGAGAGGTGGGATATAAGGCTGAGATGTAGGCAGATCACAGGAGACCTCATGTGTCAGGCTAAACACTTTGAGTCCATCAGGAAACTTTGAAAGAGAAAGCTGTGAAATGACATTGTCATGTCTATATTCTAGATCATTTACTCTGCTGGCTGTTGGATTTGAGGGGGTAGGACTGAAGGCAAAGAGACCAGTTAGTAAGCTATTGCCTGCCGGGTGTGGTGGCTCATGCCTGTGATCCCAGCACTTTGGGAGGCCGAGATGGGCAGATCATGAGGTCAGGAGATTGAGACCATCCTGGCTAGCGCGGCGAAACCCCGTCTCTACTAGAAATGCAAAGAATTGGCTGGGCACGGTGGCGGGTGCCTCCCAGCTACTTGGGAGGCTGAGGCCGGAGAATGGCGTGAACCTGGGAGGCAGAGGTTGCAGTGAGCCGAGATTGCACCACTGCATTCCAGCCTGGGCAACAGAGGAAGACTCCGTCCCCCCTACCAAAAAAAAAAAAAAAAAAAAAGAAGAAGAAGAAGAAAGCTATTGCCATAATGTAGGTGAGAGAAGATTAAGCTGGAGCTAAGATAGTGGAAGGATGTAGGGGAGGAGAGGGTTTTGAGAAATACATGGAAAGTGGAATTATTGGAATTTGGTGACTACTAGAGTGCCTGGATTAAGAAAGAGGACGAGGAATTAAAGATGACTCCAGGTTTCTGGCATGGGTGACTGAGTGGATGGTAGTATCGCCAATTGGGAGACAGACTACAGGAGAAGGACAAGGGCCCTCCATACTTGGGTGCCAATCCATTTTCACAGTTGACAATTTACTCCAGCAATAAGTTATCAAGTGTCCACTCATGATTAGGCACCAGAAGGAGAGACAAAAGAGAGTCCCTATTACAGAGACACTTCCAGATTAATTATGAAGACTGAATACATAAATTGAATTCCTAGGTCTTAAAAGAAAATATATAATCAAACCTTAAATGTTTGATTTAAGGTTGTGGTAAAGACTATGTATAATATTATAGGTATTAATTGCTCCCTTAATTTATTCTTCTTGTGTACCCAGTATGAGCAGAGTACTATGTAAAAATCCTTGCCTGTGTTAACACTGTAAGATAGGTAATATCATCATTTTACAGATGAGAAAACTGAGGCTCAGAGTGTTTAGATAGCTTATACAAGGGCCAATATACCCAACAGTTTATTAGATGACTCCACTTGGATGTCACATAGACACCTCAAATTCAATATGTCTCAAATTGAATTGTCAATCCCCCACAAACTAACTTTTCCTATGTTACCTAACTTGGTGACTAGTCCAATGTGAGAAAGTGGAAAGAACATGGGCTTTGGGGTCATATAGACTTAGGTTCAAATTCTGACTGGCTCTTGCTAGTTGAATTACTTATTTTTTGCCACTTCTCTAATTGTTTGACGTGACTGAGACCCAGCTCCATGGGGCCCTGGGAATCAGATATCATCAGGCTGAGCCAATACCGGACCAGGGAAGGGAGGCATACTTCCTCTTCCTACATCAGCTTTGAATGCTTAGGGAGAGGCTAGGCTAGAAAGATGTTCTGGTCCAGGGATGCCCTTCACCTGGGGCCAGGGATTACACCGAGCCTTGTTCTTCTTGGAGAAGTCCACCTTGAAGTTCTTTGAGATGGGGTTGCCTTGGGAACAGACTGCTTTGAGTTTGCTCTTCTGTGTACACAAACCCTCCCCTGGCTTCAGGGTCACTGCTGTAATGCAGATGGAGAGTGGAATCTGCTGCAGGATGCCCCTGGCATCCATGGTGAACAGGCTTTCAGGGTTAACTGACACCCTCACCCTCTTCCAACATGCCTTTTCCAGGCCAGGGTCTGAAAAACACCTGTGAGGATTGTGACCTGATGGGTTAAGCTCTCTGAATTTCAGTTTTCTCACCTGGAAAAAAAAAGGGTTAAAACACTCATTATCCAGGTTTGCTGTGAAGATTAAACAAAGTAATAAAGTAGTAAAATGTAAAATTCCTTACACGGTGCTTGAAATATGGAAGGAAATCAACACATATTCATTCTCTTACCTTCTTCGTTTCCTTCCCCTTTTACTGCTGTCTTCTCCCAGATACAAAACCAGAAACTGGTGAGTCACCTAGTCTCCTTTCTCTCCCTCACTCCCTATAAATGACCAAATGCCATGACCTGTCATTCCTATCTTCTGACCTCTACATGCCCACTACCTCTTAGCTGAGTTTAGGCCCTCATCATTTTTCACTTACTGCTGCAGTAGACTATTCAATTATTCTCCCTGCTCCCAGCCTCATCTCCTTCCAACCCATCCTCCATGCTGTTGCTATTTCTAAAATGCAAATTTGATCATGTCTCTCCTCTGCTTAAAATTCTTCATTTGCTTTCCATCACCTTCACGATAAAATCCAATCTCTTTAGCATGTCACACAAAGTCCTTTGTGATCTGGCCCCTATTTAATCACTCTGGCCTCATCTATTCTGTCCCCACTTCCCTCCCCTGACCTAGCACATCACACTTTGGCTCTAGATGTGCTTAGGCATTTAGAGTTCCCTGAACAAGCTGTGCTCACTCACCTCTGAACAACTGCCCTTGTTGTTCCCTCTGGTTGGAATCACGTCACACACCCTTACTTTCAAACCCTCCTCCTCGATCCTCCTGATCCTCTTGGTCCTTCAGGCCTGGGTAGAGCAGATCACCTCTGTGAGCCTAATAGATCTACACCTCTGTACACAAATTTGTGACAGCACTTATCACATTGCAGAACAACTGACTGTTTCTTTTTGACTCTATCAATCAACTGTGAGTTGATGAAGTCAAGGGCTGCACCTGTCATTTGGGGATCCTTAGGGTCTTATGTACTCCAAGCATATATAATAAATATTTATGGAATGAATAAATGGACTAGGATACAAATTAAGATCTGATTTCAAACCCGTGCTCTTTTCATGCAACATCATATGCTATTGTTTGTGAATGAGCACACTCATTCATTCAATAAATATGTAATGGGTATCTACTTTGTGCCAGGCATTTTGCTAGCACTATCATCTGAATACATTTCTATTTCCCTTTTAGCTGCTTTCTTTTTTAATTTTTTAATTTTTTTTTTTTTGAGATGGAGTTTTGCTCTTGTTGCCCAGGCTGGGAGTGCCATGCAGTGGCATGATCTCGGCTCACTGCAACCTCTGCCTCTTGGGTTCAAGCAATTCTCCTGCCTCAGCCTCCCAAGTAGCTGGGATTACAGACATGCACCACCACATCTGGCTAATTTTGTATTTTTAGTAGAGACTGGGTTTCACCATGTTGGTCAGGCTGGTCTTGAACTCCTGACCTCAGGTGGGCCACCTGCCTCTGCCTCCCAAGTGCTGGAGTTACAGGTGTGAGCCACCGCACTTGGCCTAGCTGCTGTCTTTCACAGCTCTGTCACCCAGGTTGGAGTGCAGTGTCTTGATCTCGGCTCACTGCAACTTTCTCCTTCTGGGTTCAAGCGATTCTCCTGCCTCAGCCTCCTGAGTAGCTGGGACTACAGGCGCACGCCACCATGCCCGGCTACTTTTTGTATTTTTAGTAGAGATGGGGTTTCACTATATTGGCCAGACTGGTCTTGAACTCCTGACCTCGTGGTGCACCCACCTCGGCCTCCCAAAATGCTGGGATTACAGGTGTGAGCCACCACGCCCGGCCTTTCATAGCTTTTTTTAAAAAAAATTCTGAGGCCGGGCGCGGTGGCTCACGCCTGTAATCCCAGCACTTTGGGAGGCCGAGGCGGGTGGATCATGAGGTCAGGAGATCGAGACCATCCTGGCTAACAAGGTGAAACCCCGTCTCTACTAAAAATACAAAAAATTAGCCGGGCGCGGTGGCGGGCGCCTGTAGTCCCAGCTACTCGGGAGGCTGAGGCAGGAGAATGGTGTGAACCCGGGAAGCGGAGCTTGCAGTGAGCCGAGATTGCGCCACTGCAGTCCGCAGTCCGGCCTGGGCGACAGAGCGAGACTCCGTCTCAAAAAAAAAAAAAAAAAAAAAAAAAAATTCTGAGACATGATGGGCGTGGTGGCTCATGCCCACTCCGGGAGGCGAGGCAGGTGGATCACTTGAGTTCGAAACCAGCCTGGCCAACATGGTGAAACCCCGTCTCTACTGAAAATACAAAAAATAGCCAGGTGTGGTGGTGGTGCCTATAACCCCGGCTACTCAGGAGGCTGAGGCTTGGGAATGCCTTGAACCTGGGAGGCGGAGGTTGCAGGGAACCGAGATCGTGCCATTGCGCTCCAGCCTGGGTGACAGAGGGAGACTTTGTCTCAAAATATATAATTAATTAATTAAAAAATAAAACAAAATAAAATAAAATAAACTCGGAGACAGGCCTTGTTCTGTTGCCCAGACAGGAGTGCAGTGGTGTGACCACTGCTCACTGTGGCCTCCACTTCCTGGGCTCAAGTGAATGAATTTCCTTCCTTGTCCTCCCAGGTAGCTAGGACTACAGGTGCATGCCACCACACCTGGCTAATTTTGTTTATTTTTTGAAGAAACAGGGTCTCACTATATTGCCCAGAGTGGTCTCGAACTTCTGGGCTCCAGCAATCCTCCTGCCTGGCCAGACTTCCGTTAGTCTTCTAGTCCTATTCGTGACTCCTTTCATACTTCTGAACTGTTCCTACCTGCTGTTCCTACTTGCCATGTTTGCGTTTGCTATCTGGCTGACCTCATTCAGGTATCTACTGAGCCAAATATCCAGTCTGGGCCTGTTGTGTCCTATTTGGCCTCCCAGATTCTGGCACAAACACTTTGAACAGGAAGAGTTCCTTTCTTTTGAGACTTATAATCTGGTTTTAATCTTCTTTCTTTAAATTTACCACCAATCACCTGTGGTCTATTGAATTCAATGGGCTTTCTTTCATGTTTCTCCCAATCAACCAAACTCCCTTCTGCTTTTGACCTCCTAACAACTATTTTCTTTTCTTTGAAACTTATTCTCCCTAACCTCTATGATGTTATGTATTCTTGGTTCTCCATTTCTATTTCTAATAGGTCTTTTTTTCTTTCTTCTCTAATTGATCCTCCTTTTTTCTAGGCCCATGGGTTAGGAAAAACTATGGAAACTATGGGTTTTTTTTGTTCCCAAATGCTCTTTTTTTTTTTTCTTTTCTTCTTTGAGATAGAGTCTTGCTCTGTCACTGAGGCTGGAGTGCCGTGTGCAATCTTGGCTCACTGCAACCTCCACTTCCTGGGCTCAAACAATCCTCGTGCCTCAGCCTCCAGAGTAGCTTGGATTACAGGCGCCTGCCACCACACCTGGCTAATTTTTGTACTTTTAGTAGAGACAGTATTTCGCCCTCTTGGTCAGGCTGGTCTCAAACTCCTGGCCTCAAATGATCCAGCTGCCTTGGCCTCCCAAAGTGTCAGGATTGCAGGTGTGAGCTGCCACGCCTGTGACCTAAAGCTTGATCTTAACCTTCCTACCCTTCTTTCATGTTCTTCCCTAATGCTTAATTTCTACACAAGGCTCTGGTAAAAAGTAAAAATGTCTAATATTTTAACATCACAGTTTACAGAGTTTATATGCTTCATTTCGTTCACCCTCATCTCAGTATGTGAATGTCTCTAAAATCTACAACTCTAGTTCCAGGAAATCTTGCTGTTCTTTTTATTTTTATTTTTTATTTTTTGTACAGACGGGGTCTCACTATGTTGCCCAGGCTGGTCTTGAACTACTGAGCTCAAAATATCCTCCTGCCTTGGCTTCCCAAAGTGCTGGGATTACAGGCATGAGCCACTGTGCCTGGACAAATCTTGCTGTTCTTAATAGTCACTCTTTTTTATTTTTATTTTTTTGAGACAGGGTCTCACTCTGTCACCCAGACTGGAATGCAGTGGTGTGATCATGGCTCAATGCAGCTTCAACTTCCTGAGCTCAAACGATCCTCCTGCCTCAGCCTCCTAAGTAGCTGGGACTATAGGTGCACACTATCACACTCAGCTAATTTTTATTTTTATTTTTTGTAGAGATGGAGTCTCACTGTGTGGCTCAGGTTGAGTAGTCACTTCTAATGCCTCTGCAGATTGCATTTCATTCTGTTCCTTTCTCTGGACTCCCACTGCACTTGCCCAGACTTCTATCAGATAACCTATAACAATATCATGCCTTTGCATTCACATGACTGTCTCTCCCCTACCACACCATAAGCTCTATGTTGTGTAGGTTTTTCTATCCAAACACTCAGCATCTGTCCTGGTCATAATGTGTGCTTAATAGCCAATGAAAGTTTGAAGAATTTTCCCAATTTCCCGATCTTGAATTCCAAAATCACTGTGAATCCTCCTCTAAATCTTTCTAGTCACCAAGTCTTGTAGATTTCTTATGTCACATGTTTCTTGATGCTGTCTCTTCTCTTCTGTTACTGTCACTACGCTCACCCAAGATCCTACACTTTGTACAACTGCAGCGTCCTCATCTTGGCCTTCCTGCTCTTAGTCTTTCTCTTGTCAAATCAGTCCTATGTTTCTTCTGCAAGAATAAACTAAAGGTGCTATTTGTATGAAGGCTAAATTTAAATTCCTTACTCTGATATTCAGGACCCTGCCATATCTCCTGCAATTTCTCCATTCAAAACCTGAGTTTTCTTTCACCATTTTTTTTCTTATTGTCACTCGGATACTGAAGAGACACATCTTTTCCTCTTTCTTCTCTCCCATTCTCCATTTGTTTATATTCTACTCTTCGTTTAAGGCCTAACCCAAATTTCACTTTCCCCAGGAAGTTTTTGATTCTTTTGGTCCCGGCTGATGTCTGTCTTCTTTGACTTATTTATTTACTTATTTATTCATTTATTGAGACAGAGTCTTGCTCTGTCGCCCAGGCTGAAGTGCAGTGGCATGATCTTGGCTCACTGCAACCTCCATCTCCTGGGTTCAAGCGATTCTCATGCCTCAGTCAACCGAGTAGCTAGGACTACAGGCATACGCCACCATGCCTGGCCAATTTTTGTATTTTCAGTAGAGGCAGGGTTTCATCATGTTGGCCAGGCTGGTCTTGAACTTCTGACCTCAAGTGATCTGCCCGCCCTGGCCTTCCAAAGTGCTAGGATTACAGGAGTGAACCACTGCACCCCACCTGTCTTCTTTGACTTATTACATTTTTTTTGGAGACAGAGTCTCTCTCTATCCCCTAGGCTGGAGTGTGGTGGCACGATCTCAGCTCACTACAACCTCTGCCTCCCGGATTCAAGCGATTCCCATGCCTCAGCCTCCTGAGTAGCTGGGATTACAGGCACCCACCACCACCCAGCTAATTTTTGTATTTTTAATAGAGATGGTGTTTCACCATGTTGGCTGGGCTGGTCTTGAACTTCTGACCTCAGGTGATCCACCTGCCTTGGCCTCCCAAAGTGCTGGGATTACAGGTGTGAGCCACCACGCCCAGACTGACTTATTACTATTTATTATTATACAATTAACTGTTGGAGCATACTTGGGCATTTAGTCGCCTGAGGCAGATATTGACAATTTATGACCTACGAGCCCAATCTGGCCTGCTGCCTGTGAGCTAAGAATGGTTTTACATTAATATTAAACATTTTTTAAAGAAGAATATTTTGTAACGCATAAAAATTACGTGAAATTTAGACTTTAGTGTAGATGGAGTCTCACTCTGTTGCCAGGCTGGAGTGCAGTGGCAGGATCTCAGCTCACTGTAACCTCTGCCTCCCTGGTTCAAGCGATTCTCCTGCCTCAGCCTCCCAACTAGCTGGGACTATAGGCCCGTGCCACCACACCCAGCTAATTTTTGTATTTTTAGTAGAGACAGGGTTTCATCAGGATGGTCTCGATCTCCTGACCTCGTGGTCCACCCCCCTTGGCCTCCCAAAGTGTTGGGATTACAGGCGTGAGCCACCATGCCTGGCCGTCTATGTCCTCCTTCAAGCTATAATGGGAGACTTAAGTAGTCTTGACAGATAACATACGTGGCCTGCAAAGCCTAAAATATTTATCATCTGGTTGATACAGAAAAAGCTTACTGATCCCTGATCTCAGATCTTGAATTCTCTTTATAATCTTTTCATAGCTGTTTAAGAACTTTGGAAAGGTCTGCTTCACTAAAGATAATCTTTTGAAGCTAATTAGTGGTTCATTAGAACAGTGGGGGAAGCTGGAGGAGTAGGCTTTATAGAGTGTGTAGGAGCTATCCTAGTTAGAAACTTAGTAACTTAGGCAACTGGATTGCCATTGGAAAGTGAGAGTCAGAGGATCTCAGGTGGATGAGGGAAAAGACGTGATCTTTTTTCCATCTTCTCTTTTTCTTTTTTCTTTTTTTTTGAGACGGAGTCTCACTCTGTCACCCAGGGTGGAGTGCAATGGCGTGATCTCTGCTCACTGCAACCTCCACCTCCCAGGTTCAAGCAATTCTTCTGCCTCAGCCTCCTGAGTAGCTGGGACTACAGGCGCACGCCACCATGCCCAGCTAATTTTTGTATTTTTTAGTAGAAACGGGGTTTCACCATGTTGTTCAAGCTGGTCTTGAAGTCCTGACCTCATGATCCGCCCACCTCGGCCTCCCAAAGTGCTGGGATTACAGGCATGAGCCACCACGCTAGGCCTCCATCTTCTCTTTTTCTGACTTAGCAGAGGAAATGTAAAAGCAAATGGGATCTAGCTACAGAAAGGAGTATCTGAGGTCTTACCTGAATCTGGTTGTTGAGAAGAGATCAATGGTTGCTGGCTGACAGCAGCTCAACTATCAATGATACAGTTATAACAGGCAATGAAAGAAATCATCAAAAGGGTATAACTGCTAAAGCTGAAAGTAGCCTCAGCTGACTGAAGCTCTAAGTGGCTAAGAGGTTTTACGATGCCTAGGAATATTATAGGCTTGATAATTTCAAGGATTTCTTTAAAGAAGAAAAGAAAGCTAAATATTTAGATAAACAAGAATAGCAACTGAAGTTATCAGAAAGTTCATGCCTTTTACCAGGTGTTCTATTTCTTCTCATCTTCCCCTAATCATATTTTTTCCTTAAAATTATTCAGCATAGTAACTTTTTTTTTTTTTTTGATATGGAGCTTCACTCTTGTTGCCCAGGCTAGAGTGCAATGGCATGATCTCAGCTCACCACAACCTCTGCCTCCCGGGTTCAAGCAATTCTCCTGCCTCAGCCTCCCGAGTAGCTGGGATTACAGGCATGCACCACCACGCTTGGCTAATTTTGTATTTTTAGTAGAGATGGGGTTTCTCCATGTTGGCTTGGCTGGTCTCAAACTCCTGACCTCAGGTGATCCACCTGCCTTGGCCTCCCAAACTGCTGGGATCATAGGCATGAGCTACCAGGCCTGGCCCACAGCATAGTAACTATTTAGTAATAAATTATATAGATTGGATTGTGGGGCCCATCTTTCACGTCTGCCCCGTATACCCTGACAGAATCCACTTGGCTAGTTTGGGTACTCAAATATGGTACCAGCAACCAGATGGTGAGTTGCTGCCTGAAATGTGTGAAGAAACAAGCTAGACTCTAGGAGACAGGACTTGCATATTTTAATGGAAACAATAGGTGCAAGGTCATAGGAAGTGTCTTTTTATAAATAGCTTCACAGCCTTGGCACAGTGGAGAGCACATTGTCAGACTGAGATTGAATGAATAAACAGTTGGAAATTAACTTTTGTGGGGCATCATTTACCTATTCAAGTGGACACTGGAGACCATCATTTTGTTGGAGTGAGTTTTTTGTTTTTTTGCATTGTGTGGGAGGTAGTGAGAAGTGAAGCCAGCTGGACTTCTGGGTCGGGTGGGGACTTGGAGAACTTTTCTGTCTCACAAAAGGATTGTAAAATGCGCGAATCAGCACTCTGTAACTAGGATTGTAAAATGCACCAATCAGTGGTCTGTAGCTAGCTAGAGGTTTGTAAAATGGACCAATCAGCATTCTGTAAAATGGACCAATCAGCACTCTGTAAAATGGACCAATCAGCATTCTGTAAAATGAACCAATCAGCAGGACATGGGCAGGGACAAATAAGGGAATAAAAGCTGGCCACCCCAGCCAGCAGCAGCAACCCGCTTGGGTCCCCTTCCATGCTGTGGAAGCTTTGTTCTTTCGCTTTTCACAATAAATCTTGCTGCTGCTCACTTTTTGGGTCTGTGCCACCTTTAAGAGCTGTTAACACCGTGAAGGTCTGTGGCTACGTTCTTGAAGTCAGCGAGACCAAGATTGCACCAGAAGAAACCAACTCTGGACACATCTTGGCAACCCAGATGGGACTATTGCCAAGTGGTAAGTACCATTGGACCCCTTTTGCTTGCTAGTCTGTCCTATTTTTCCTTAGAATTCAGGGACTAAACACTGGGCACCTGTCAGCCAGTTAAAAGCGACTAGCGTTGCAGCTGGACTAAAGACATGGGTGTCAGGCTTTCTGGGAAAGGGCTCTCTAACAACCCCCGAATCTTTGGAGTTGGGAGTGTTGGTTTGCCTGGAACCAGCTTCCACTTTTCCTGTACTTCCGGGCTGAGCCAAGGGTCGACAGAGAGGAAAGCCATTCAGCTCTGGGGTCCCGACAAAAAGTTAGTTGACCCTGTAGCCATGAGCAGAACTCTCAAAGTCATGTTGCCCAAGCGAGACTTGCCCATCTATCCTGTCTATCCTGACCTTTGCCTCCTGGGTCCTAATGCCTGTCAGACAAACTTCCTTCCGCCTCTCTTCTCTGAGGCTAGTCCTGCTTCTAAAAACCACTCCCCGCCTCTGGTGCTTTTCTAGTTTCTCCTATAAGAATGACTTCTAGTATAAATTTCGGGACTCTGTTCCTTTCTTTGGGCACCCAGGCTCACCAATTAGACATAATTTTTGCCCAAAGCCCTGTCAGTTGGGGAGACCAACTATCCTTTTAGGATCCCTCCTCAGACAAGCAGGCCTAACAAAGGCTATTCCCGAAGCTAGGATATGGGGAGCCTCAGAAATGATATTCTTCCTAGTCGTATGATGAGAAGTGAGGACAAAAGGCGTCAATCTTCCAACCCTGGAGATCCCTTCCCTCCCTCAGGGTATGGCCCTCCACTCCATTTCTGGGGCATATCATCTTTATAGGAGAGGGGTAAGGTCCCAATACTACCAGGAGACAACACTTAGGACTCTAACAGGTTTTTGAGAATGTGTTGGTAAAGGCCACTAAATCCGATTTTTCTTGGTCCTCTTTGTGGTCTAAGAGGAAAGACAAGGGTGCAGGTTTTCAAGAATGCACCGGTAAGGGCCACTAAATCCGATCTTCCTCAGTCCTCTTTGTGGTCTAGGAGGAAAACTAGTGTTTCTGCTGCTGCATTGGTGAGCACAATTATTCCAATCAGCAGGGTCCAGGGAGCGTTGTGGGTTCTTGGGCAAGAGGGGGATCTGCTGCTGCATCGGTGAGCACAACTATTCCCATCA
The DNA here is from genome assembly GCF_000001405.40 of Homo sapiens. NCBI lineage: Eukaryota > Metazoa > Chordata > Mammalia > Primates > Hominidae > Homo > Homo sapiens. The sequence goes on from NC_000001.11 coordinate 161,251,792, forward strand.
GCAGGGTCCAAGGACCATTGCGGGTTCTTGGGTTGGGATGGAAAACAAACCGTAACCGCGGGTGGTTTTATCTTTCACATGGGAAACACTCAGGCATCAACAGGCTCACCCTTGAAATGCATCCTAAGCCATTGGGACCAATTTGACTCTGAAACCCTGAGAAAGAGGTGGCTCATTTTTTTTCTGCACTATGGCCTGGCCCCAGTATTCTCTCTCTGTTGGGGAAAAATGGCCACCTGAGGGAAGTATAAATTATAATACTATCCTGCAGCTTGACCTTTTCTATAAGAGGGAAGGCAAATGCAGTGCAATACCTCATGTCCAAGCTTTTTTTTCATTGAAGGAGAATCCACAACTATGCAAAGCTTGCAATTTACCTCCCACAAGAGGACCTCTCAGCTTACCCCCATATCCTAGCCTCCCTATAGCTCCCCTTCCTACTAATGATAAGCCTCCTCTAATCTCCCCTATCCAGAAGGAAACAAATAAATCTCCAAGGGACCACAAAAACCCCCAGGCTACTGGTTACGTCCCCCTTCAAGCTGTAGGGGGAGGGGAATTTTGGCCCAACCCAGGTACATGTCCCCTTCTCCCTCTCTGATTTAAAGCAGATCAAGGGCTGGGCACAGTGGCTTATGCTTGTAATCCCAGCACTTTGGGAGGCTGAGGTGGGTAGATCACCTAAGGTCGAGAGTTTGAGACCAGCCAAGCCAGCATGGAGAAACCCCATCTCTACTAAAAATACAAAAAAATTAGCTGGATGGGGTGGCGCATGCCTGTAATCCCAGCTACTCGGGAGGCTAAGGCAGGAGAATCGCTTGAAGCTGGGAGGCAGAGGTTGCAGTGAGCTGAGATCATGCCATTGCACTCCAGCCTGGGCAACAAGAGCGAAACTCCATCTCAAAAAAAAAAAAAAAAAAAAGCAGATCAAGGTAGATCTGGGGAAGTTTTCAGATGATCCTGATCCTGATAGGTACATAGATGTCCTACAGGGTCTAGGGCAAGTCCTTTGACCTCACTTGGAGAGGTGTCATGCTATTGTTAGATCAAACCCTGGCCTTTAATAAAAATAATGCAGCTTTAGCTGCAGCCTGAGAGTTTGGAGCTACCTGGAAGCGGAAAAATTACCTACTGGCCAGCAAGCCATCCCCAGTATGGATCCCTACTGGGACCCCGACTCAGATCATGGGGACTGGAGTTGTAAACATCTGCTGACCTGTGTTCTAGAAGGACTAAGGAGAATTAGGAAAAAGTCCATGAATTATTCAATGATGTCCACATAACTCAGGGAAAGGAAGAAAATCCTTCTGCCTTCCTTGAGCAGCTATGGGAGGCCTTAAGAAAATATACTCCTCTGTCACCTGACTCCCTCGAGGGTCAATTGATCCTAAAAGATAAGTACATTTCCCAATCAGCCACACATATCAGGAGAAAGCTCCAAAAGCGAGCCCTGGGCCCTGAACAAAATCTGGAGGCATTATTAAACCTGGCAACCTCAGTGTTCTATAATAGGGACCAAGAGGAACAGGCCAAAAAGGAAAAGTGAGACCAGAGAAAGGCCGCAGCCTTAGTCATGGCCCTCAGACAAACCTTGGTGGTTCAGAGAGGACAGAAAATGGAGCAGGCCAATCACCTGGTAGCGCTTGTTATTAGTGTGGTTTGCAAGGACACTTTAAAAAAGATTGTCCAACAAGAAACAAGCTGCCCCCTCGCCCTTGTCCACTATGCCGAGGCAATCACTGGAAGGTGCACTGCCCCAGAGGACAAAGGTTCTCTGGGCCAGAAGCCCCCAAACAGATGATCCAACAACAGGACTGAGGGTGCCGGGGGCAAGCGCCAGCTCATGTCATCCCCCGGGTACGATTAACCATTGTAGGCCAGGAAATTGACTTCCTCCTGGACATTGGCACGGTTTTCTTAGTGTTAATCTCTTGTCCCGGACAGCTGTCCTCAACATCCATTACCATCTGAGAAATCCTGGGACAGCCTGTAACCAGGTATTTCTCCCACCTCCTCAGTTGTAATTGGGAGACTTTGCTCTTTTCAAATGCCTTTTTTGTTATGCCTGAAAGTCTCACACCCTTATTAGGGAGGGACATATTAGCCAAAGCTGGAGCTATTATCTACATGAATATGGGGAACAAGTTACCCATTTGTTGTCCCCTGCTTGAGGAGGGAATCAACCCTGAAGTCTGGGCATTGAAAGGACAATTCAGAAGGGCAAAAAATGCCCACCCAATCCAAATCAGGCTAAAAGACCCAACCACTTTTCCTTATCAAAGGCAATATCCCTTAAGGCCTGATGCTCATAAAGGATTACAGGATATTGTTAGACATTTAAAAGCTCAAGGCTTAATAAGAAAATGCAGCAGTCCCTGCAACACCGCAATTCTAGGAGACTAGTTCAAGATCTTAGACTTATCAATGAGGCAGTAATTCCTCTATATCCAGTTGTACCCAACCCCTATACCCTGCTCTCTCAAATGCCAGAGGAAGCAGAATGGTTCACTGTTCTGGACCTCAAAGATGCCTTCTTCTGTACTCCCCTGCACTCTGACTCCCAGTTTCTCTTTGCCTTTGAGGATCCCACAGACCACACGTCCCAACTTACATGGACAGTCTTGCCCCAAGGGTTTAGGGATAGCCCTCATCTGTTTGGTCAGGCACTGGCCCAAGATCTAGGCCACTTCGGAAGTGCAAGCACTCTGGTCCTTCAGTATGTGGATGATTTACTTTTGGCTACTAGTTTGGAAGCCTCATGCCACCATGCTACTCTAGATCTCTTGAACTTTCTAGTTAATCAAGGGTACAAAGCATGTGAATCGAAGGCCCAACTCTGCCTACAACAAGTCATATATCTAGGCCTAATCTTAGCCAGAGGAACCAGGGCCCTTAGCAAGGAATGAATACAGCCTATACTGGCTTATCCTTGCCCTAAGACATTTAAACAGTTGTGGGGGTTTCTTGGAATCACTGGCTTTTGCTGACTATGGATCCCCGGATACAGTGAGATAGCCAGGCCCCTCTATACTCTAATCAAGGAGACCCAGAGGGCAAATACCTATCTAGTAGAATGGAAACCAGAGGCAGAAACAGCCTTCAAGACCTTAAAGCAGGCCCTAGTACAAGCTCCAGCCTTAAGCCTTCCCACAGGACAAAACGTCTCTTAATACATCAGAGAGAGAGCAGGAATAGCTCTTGGAGTCCTTATTCAGACTTGTGGGACAACCCCACAACCAGTGGCATACCTAAGTAAGGAAATTAATATAGTAGCAAAAGGCTGGCATCACTGTTTATGGGTAGTTGTGGCAGTAGCCGTCTTAATATCAGAGGCTATCAAAATAATACAAGGAAAGGATCCCACTGTCTGAACTACTCATGATATAAATGGCATACTAGTTGCCAAAGGAAGTTTATGGCTATCAGACAACTGCCTGCTTAGATACCAGGCACTACTCCTTGAGGGACCAGTGCTTCAAATATGCATGTGTGCAGCCCTTAACCCTGCTACTTTTCTCCCAGAGGATGGAGAACCAATCAAGCATGACTGTCAACATCTCTTATGACTGCCAACAAATTATAGTCCAGACTTATGCCGCCCAAGAGGATCTTTTAGAAGTCCCCTTAGCTAATCTTGACCTTAACCCATATACCAGTGGAAGTTCATTTGTGGAGAATGGGATACGAAGGGCAGGTTACGCCATAGTTGGTGATGTAACAGTACTTGAAAGTAAGCCTCTTCCCCCAGGGACCAGCGCCCAGTTAGCAGAACTAGTGGCACTAACCTGAGCCTTAGAACTGGGAAAGGGAAAAAGAATAAATGTGTATACAGATACCAAGAATGCTTATCGAATTCTACATGCCCATGCTGCAATATGGAAAGAAAGGGAGTTCCTAACCTCTGGGGAACCTCCATTAAATATCACAAGGAAATCATGGAGTTATTGCATGTAGTGCAAAAACCCAAGGAGGTGGCAGTCTTACACTGCCAAAGCCAAAGGAGAAGGAGAGGGGAGAACAGCAGCATAAGTGGCTGGCAGAGGCAGGGAAAGACCAGCAGAGAAAGAAAGAGAGAAAGAGAAAGAAAGCCAGAGAGAGAGAGAGAGAGAGAGAGAGAGAGACAGACAGACAGAAAGTCAGAGAAAGAGAGAGGGGAAAGACAGAAAGTCAGAGAAGAAAGAGAGAAAGACAGAGAGAGGGAAGTAGTAAAGAAAAAACAGTGCACCCTATTCCTTTAAAAGCCAGGGTAAATTTAAAACCTATAATTGATAATTGAAGGTCTTCTCCGTGACCCTATAACACTCCAATACCACCTTGTTGTCAGTGTAAACAAGAGCATAGTCCAAAAGCACTGAGGCCACTGACAGCCCATAGCCTTCCTATCAAAAATCCTTAACCCGGTAGGTTTCCTAACAGGGCAACTAAATCTTAATTAATTACCATACAAAGGTCTAACCAGACCTAGGAAGAACTCCCTCCAGGACAGGATGATAGCTGGTTCCTCCTGGGTGATTAATGGAAAAAGACACAATGGGTATTCGGTAAGTGATAAGGCAATTCTTGTAGAAGCAGAGTTAGGAGAATTGCCTAATAATTGCTGTGCTCAAACATGTGAGCTGTTTGCACTCAGCCAAACCTTAAAGTACTTACGGAATCAGGAAGGAGACATCTATACCAATTTTAAGTTAATATGGACTGAATGAGGTCTTATTAATAGCAAAGAATAATTGAAATCCCAAATTTACAAGGTTTTCAACAAAAGTAAAGTTTGCTGAAAGTTAACAGTATAACATGTATTATCCTAACTTCTAATCTTGTGGAAATCAGACCCTATCAGTGCCCCACAAAGCTCCTGTCAGCACAGGGCCATACAACTAATACCCCTACTTATAGGGTTAGGAATGGCCACTGCTACAGGAACCAGAATAGCAGGTTTATCTACTTCATTATCCTGCTACCACACACACTTGAAGGATTTCTCAGACAGTTTACAAGAAGTAACAAAATCTATCCTTACTCTACAATCCCAAATAGACTCTTTGGCAGCAGTGACTCTCCAAAACCGCTGAGGCCTAGACCTCCTCACTGCTGAGAAAGGAGGACTTTCACCTTCTTAGGGGAAGAATGTTGCTTTTACACTAACCAGTCAGGGATAGTACGAGACTCCGCCCGGTGTTTATGGGAAGAGGCTTCTGAAATCAGACAAAGCCTTTCAAACCCTTAGACCAACCTTCAGAGTTAGGCGACATGGCTTCTCCCCTTTCTAGGTCCTGTGACAGCCATCTTGCTATTACTCGCCTTTGGGCCTTGTATTTTTAACCTCTTTGTCAAATTTGTTTCCTCCAGGATCAATGCCATCAAGCTACAGATGGTCTTACAAATGGAACCCCAAACGAGCTCAACTAACAACTTCTACCGAGGACCCCTGGACCAACCCACTGACCCTTTGGCTGGCCTAGAGAGTTTCCCTCTGGAGGATACTACCACTGCAGGGCCCCTTCGCCCCCATCCAGCAGGAAGTAGCTAGAGTGGTCATCGCCCAATTTCCAACAGCAGCTGGGGTGTCCTGTTTAGAGGGGAGATTGAGAGGTGAAGCCAGCTGGACTTCTGGGTCAGGTGGGGACTTGGAGAACTTTTCTGTCTTACAAGAGGATTGTAAAATGTGCCAATTAGCACTCTGTAGCTAGGATTGTAAAACGCACCAATCAGCACTCTGTAGCTAGCTAGAGGTTTGTAAAATGAACCAATCAGCACTCTGTAAAATGGACCAAACAGCAGGACATGGGCGGTGACCCCAGGAAATAAAAGCTGGCCACCCCAGCCAGCAGCAGCAACGTGCTCGGGTCCCCTTCCATGCTGTGGAAGCTTTGTTCTTTCGCTCTTCACAATACATCTTGCTGCTGCTCACTCGCTCACTGACTCACTCTTTGTGTCCGTGCCACCTTTAAGAGCTGTAACACTCACTGCAAAAATTCCCAGCTTCATTCTGGAAGTCAGCGAGACCAAGAACCCACCAGAAGGAACCAACTCCAGACACAGTAGGATTTGATGAATCCTAAAATGTCTTCCAACTCCTGAGATCTATGATCTTCCACATCAAACAGGCACTTCACAATTTCCCTGTTCTTTGCCAAAGAAAGCTGTCCATTTGCTCCAGTCTCTCTCTCATTCTGTCTCTCTCTCTCTTCCCCCAGCCTTCCTCCCTCTCTTGTGCTATTCTCTGGTCCAGGGTTCTGTTCTTTTTTTTTTTTTTTTTTTTGAGACGGAGTCTTTCTCTGTCACCCAGGCTGGAGTGCAGTGGCGCGATCTCGGCTCACTGCAAGCTCCACCTCCCGGGTTCACGCCATTCTCCTGCCTCAATCTCCCGAGTAGCTGGGATTACAGTCGCCTGCCACCACGCTTGGCTAATTTTTTGTATTTTTAGTAGAGACTGGGTTTCACCGTGTTAGCCAGGATGGTCTCGATCTCCTGACCTTGTGATCTGCCCGCCTCGGCCTCCCAAAGTGCTGGAATTACAGGCTTGAGCCACCGCGCCCGACCTCCAGGGTGCTATTCTACTAGGAAATCTTAATCTGCAACATCTCTTGGCTTTACCCCTTTCATTCACTGTTTCCTGTTTTCCGTGTACCCTCTTGATTTCTTTCCAGGCCTTCTCTTTCTCAGACTCACACACTCCTTCCATTCCACTCCCCACCTTGCCTTCTTCGTGTACATCTCCTTTCTCCCTCTCTTTCTTTGCTCCCCCTACTTCATTTTCCGTCCCCGCATCCCCCGATGGTCTCCCCCTCCTTCCCGCTCTCTGTCTTACCCTAGTTTGGAAATGCAGCAGACCTCTAAACCTGCCAGCATTGGATGCAAGAGGCTGTCATTCTACGGTAGGAGGAGCTTCTATTGGTCGGGCTGGAGGCGGGTACCGAGCTGAGTATAAAAGGTGGGGCCGGAGGCGGCGAGCTGAGCGGCTCTGACAGGACGGGTCGCAGGGGGTCGCCTGGCCGGAGCTGGGCTCCGAGAATCCCGGGTGCCAGCACCAGAGCAGCGGCTCTCCGCACTAACTCTCCTCTCCTGGTCAGCTGTAACCCCTGCCGCAGAGCCCGGCAACTTTCAGCTGTCGCCCGCGGAGCCCCGAGGGCCACTCGCCTCACCTGTGCGTGCAGCGCCTCGCGCGCCCTGTCCGGCTGCGGAGATGAGCGAGGTGAGCGGTGCGGCCCCCGGCGCTGTCGGCAGGGCTGCGGCGGGGAGGGTGCTGCGGCTCGGGATCCCAGGGAGGCGAGGGAGAGCGAGGCAGACCGGAGCCGCGAAGAACCCTCCAGGGGCGCCCCACTGCCCTCCTAGGAAAGCTCCCACCTCGGGGCGCTGGGAAACGATTGGAAGACGGGGTGCTTTCAGTCTCCCTACTGTGGACGGCGCTTTTGGGGGTAATTGGAATCGGCTGTAGAGTCCGGAAGCGGGGATGCTGAGCTCTCAGGTGGTAGGTCATCCCCTCTGGATACTGCCCCCTGCATCTGTCTTACTGCCCGAGATTATTCTGGCTCCCCTTACCCCCCTCACTTCGCTTCTGTCCTCTCTCTCCTAGGGATGTAAGGCACTCACATTCCTTCTGTAGCATCTAACAAGAACTCCATCCCTGGCCCCCGGGGAGGGCCACTGTGCCCCTTTTAGAAAGGTGGCATCCTGCCCTCCACTCATTCAGTCAGGAACGTTGGAGGGACGTGTTCCGGTATTTAGAAGCCCCTGCCAGTTGCTGGGGAGATTTCCCCTTCAAGAATAGACCTCCCTCTGCAGTGCTTGTTACAAACTAGGTCTTCCGGCAGGCTCTGTGGTGTTCACCGTGGCCAGACCCAGGCCATTAACTGATTTACTGTTTTCAAAGAACACTGTTCATGGGGTGGGGGAGTGGGGGGTCAAAGCAGAGACTTTGGAAAGACGTCTCCTATTGTCTATTTGTAGGCACAGTCTCATCTCCAGAAACAAGGATCAGCCTTTCCAAGTGAAGTCAGTCTGGTTAGTGGCATCACAAGCTTGCCCTCTGCAACCTCTTTCCTAGTACCCACATCGTTGTGTTAAATCCAACTCCTCTGCTATATGTCAGATATGTATGTAGGCCAGCTACTTACCTGTGATGTAGCCTTAGGCAAAGTACAAAACCTTTGTTTCATTTTTTGTCTGTAAAATGGGGATAATACTGGTTGTTGTAATAATTAAATGAGATAATATATGCCAAATACTTGAAACAGGACCTGGCACTCAATCTATATTAGCTATTATCTTTCTGTTTCTTTTTTCTTCCTCTCCCATTAGAGTATTACAGAAATTTAACAGAAGAATTCCCAAAGACATTAGATTACTGAAGGAATAGGACCCTGGAGCCTGGGTTCCAGTTTAGATACTAAAAATGAAGATCTCTATGACTCCTACCAAAAGTTGTCACCCAGGGAGCTAATTAGTGCCAACTGCTGTGTTGTCTTGGTTGCCGTGTTCACTAATTTTATCCTGGAAAATTCGGCTAGTCTGGGGGCTGCAGATGAACCAAAGTGGTTTCCAGTCCCTCAGCTGGTTGTGACTCTGATGATGGCAATCTTTCAGAAAGAAAAGAAAAAAACGCATCAACCTCCTCTTTCACCTCTAATGTGGGAAGAGAGGTTTTCTTTGCCCCTTTTCACTGAGGTCTAGGGTTCATACTACTCCTCCCACCCCGAGCATTTCTAAATCTGAAAGTTGTAATCCAAGCCATCCCCTGGGAGTTTGTGATCTGAAGGCTATGCCAACGTGAGGATTTGCAGTTAGCCTGTGTTTTCTGGGGTAAGTGCACAGCCCCTTTGTAGGACACACTACAGGGGCTGGCATTTAGAGTGGTATTTGGTGGAATGAGAAGCCTGTTTTGTAGCAAAGGAAACAATTCGGTGTTTGAGGAGAAAGCCAAGTCCGCTCCCTCCTGACTCAGCAGCTGAATTTGGTTAGCCTTCATCAGGGGCTCAGTAGAATGATGAGAGAAGGATCCACGGATGGAGACTATCAGTGTACCCAAGTCTGCCCAGCCTCCTAGGCTATCAGAGCAAACTGGTTTTAACTAGCAATTTAGTCATAGAAGCTGTCTCCTAATACAGAGCTGAGCCTGGTCTTAGGGATGAATACTTATAAAATCCAGAAGCAGCTGTCTCTGAATCAGGTCACAAAGGGGTCTCTGCTTCTCTAGGGGCCGAGATCCAGCCTGTTTTCTTCCTCTTGTAAAAGCTATGGTAAAAGGTGGAAGTGTTGCCCAGAGCTCTAGGGAGACTCCAAACTGCTTCATTTCTCTCAGGCCAGCCCCATGGGGCTCCTCTTTCAGGTGGAAGAGCCCCGCCCAGGAAAGCCCTGTGTACCTTGAATCTTACGTAAGTTTCACCTCCCCCAACTGCTTATTTTCTTGCTTCAGAGAAAGTGCATGAAGTGAGACAATTTGGGATGTCTTTAAGAGACTCCTATTTCAACTGAAGAACAAAACCAGGGAGGAGTCTCCAGACCTAGAACAACCAACAGTGCAGGGGTTCTGGTGGGGCTGCTGGGGAGGATCTCTGGCTCTGCCTTGCCTTTGTGGCTCTTTGCTGTCACTCATTACTGCAGTAGAGCATTTCCCTGTGAGTGTGTGTGTGCGTTCGTGCACGAAGGAGCTGCAGGGACTCATCTCCAATTTGTCTGCATTCACAGCTGCAGGCGGGACTTGATTGCTGTGGATCACACTCTATCTCCTGTGGTTTAATAACTTTTCCCTAGTTTCAGTGAAGGATGGGAATGAGAGATGTGTTCAGTCCCTGAGGGCTCTTCCCTATAATCCTTTTTCATACAGTGTAGCTGGCTGCTTAAAGCAGAATTGCAGGTTCTTTTGTAATCCTGTTGTATTTCTCATCTGCGAGAAGCCTAGCTAGGGGAATCCCTTGGTCCAGCAGTCGTTCTGCTGAAATGGGAGTCATGGACCATTGGTGACAGTCTTCATGGTGTCTGTCCTGTGTTTTGGCTGGCAGGGGCTGGGGCAAGGGACAGATCAACTAGAAATATCATTTAGGGGAGAGCTTAGACCTGGTGCTCCTTCATTATCCTGTTTGCTCTCTTCTTATCTAATGAGAATGGGATATCACACTTTGGAGATCCACACACTCTTTCCTGTGCACATCTGTCTGCATCTGCCACCTTCCCAACAAGGGAAGTTCAGTCAGAGTGATACTATTCTGTTATGTCTCCTGTGAACCAGTTGTTAGGGAACCTGGTGTGGACTTGGAGGAGATCCAAGTTTCTCTCTCTCATTGGTATGTTACTTTTATTATGGTTATATTGGATATACAAAATAGAAAGTCTAGTCACTTACTGCTATTGAAATGCCTTCTACCGGCCAGGCGCGGTGGCTCACGCGTGTAATCCCAACACTTGGGGAGGCCAAGGTGGGTGGATCATGAGGTCAGGAGATCGAGACCATCCTGGCTAACATGGTGAAACCCCATCTCTACTAAAAATACAAAAAATTAGCCAGGCATGGTGGCAGGCGCCTGTAGTCCCAGCTACTCGGGAGGCTGAGGCAGGAGAATGGCATGAACCCGGGAGGCGGAGCTTGCAGTGAGCCGAGATCGCACCACTGCACTCCAGCCTGGGCGACAGAGCGAGACTCCATCTCAAAAAAAAAAAAAAAAAAAAAAAGAAATGCCTTCTACCTCTGGAAACATCTGCGTTGGAGTGAGGAAAATGAGAACTTGCTCATCCCTTTCTTAGTCTCCCATTTATGTTGCTGGTTTTAGCTGCTTAGGCAGGAGCCTCTGACTGGTAGAAGTGGATGACTTTGTCATCCTGTGACCTGGAAATATGGATGATTCTTTCTCTCAACTACAGCTGTGATTTGTTAGCTCTGAGAATGTCATCTTTATAGGGTCAGGCAGCCATAAGTAATATGGCTGAAGTCCAAGTGCACAAACTTGATGCATCTTTCATGTCTGCCTATGGAGGGTCTTAACTGATGGAAGTGGTGGAGATAGAGTTGCAGGCAGAGAGGATGAAGAAAGATGAATAATTGTCTCTTCAAGGTGGTGGTTCTATGCATGCCTCCCACTATTTTCTTTTTACTTTTCTATATTTCTAAATTGTCTTTCATGAGTCTATTTTATCATAGAGAAAAATAAACTTAGTTCTGCAAAAAATTCTTCAAAATAGAAAGATATATCTTTCACCCAGAAAACCTCAAATAAAATATCAAAACATTTTAGTGATGCGATTTTAGATTTGTTAAGGAACGCTAAAGATCATCTGGTCCAATATTCTCATTTTACAGGTGAGAAAACTGGGGCCCAAAACTTATCTAAGTTTACACTGTACTAGAACCAAGGCTAGGGCACTGTACTTCTGACTTCTCATTCCAAAAGAACATTCCACAAGACTCCTTTAACATTTTACTTCAGTAAATACAGGGTTTTTGTTTTTGTTTTTGTTTTTGTTTTTTTTTGGGTTGGAGTCTTGCACTGTTGCCAGGGCTGGCTGGAGTGCAATGGTGAATCTCGGCTCGCTGCAACCTCCACCTCCGGGGTTCATGCAATTCTCCTGCCTCAGCCTCCCAAGTAGCTGGGATTACAGGCACTCGCCACCACGCCCGGCTAATTTTTTGTATTTTTAGTAGAGATGGGGTTTCACTATGTTGGCCAGACTGGTCTCGAACTCCTGACCTCAAGTGATCTGCCCACCTCGGCTCCCAAAGTGCTGGGATTACAGGGGTGAGCCACTGTGCCTGGCCACAGAATTATTTGATTAGCATGTAAACTTTTAATGAATATATTTCAAGTACTTTTTTTTTTTTTTTGAGACAATATCTCTGTCACCCAGGCTGGAGTACAGTGGCATGATCATGGCTCACTGCAGCCTCAAGCTCCTGGACTTAAGCAATCTTCCCACCTCAGCATCCCTTGTAGCTGGGACCACAGGTACACGTCACCATGCCTGCTTAATTTTTTTTGTATTTTTTGTAGAGACAGGTTTCACCACGTTGCCCATGCTGGTCTCGAACTCCTGAGCTCAAGCAGTTCACCCATCTCAGCCTCCCAAAGAGCTGGGATTACAGGCATGAGCTACCATGCTTGGCCTCAATACTTTCTTTCCTTTTTTTTTTTTTTTTTTTTTTTTTTTTGAGATGGAGTCTCACTCTGTCGCCCAAGCTGGAGTGCAGTGGCGCCATTTTGGCTCACTGCAATCTCTGCCTCCTGGCTTCAAGTGATTCTCCTGCCTCAGCCTCCCAAGTAGCTGAGATTACAGGCGTGTATCACCAGGCCCGGGTAATTTTTGTATTTTTTTTAGTAGAGACGAGATTTCACTATGTTGACCAGGCTGGTCTGAAACTCCTGGCCTCAAGTGATCCACCTGTCTTGGTCTCCCAAAGTGCTGGGATTACAGGCATGAGCCACCATGCCTAGCCTCAAGTACTTTTTATAAGAAATATAGGCTGGGCACTGTGGCTCATGCCTGTAATCCCAGCATTTGGGAGGCCAAGGTAGGTGGATAACGAGGTCAGGAGTTCGAGACCAGCCTGGCCAACATGGTGAAACCCCGTCTCTATTAAAACTACAAAAATTAGCCAGGTGTGGTGGCAGCCACCTGTAATCACAGCTACTCGGGAGGCTGAGCCAGGAGAATTGCTTGAACCTGGGAGGCAGAAGTTGCAGTGAGCCGAGATAGCACCACTGCACTCCAGCCTGTGACAGAGTAAGACTCTGTCTAAGAAAAAAAAGAAAAAGAAATATAAGCAATGTAGCTGAGTGTGGTGGTTCACGCCTGTAATCCCAGCACTTTGGGAGGCTGAAGCAGGAGGACTGCTTGAGCTCAGGAGTTTGAGACGAGCCTGGGCAACATGACAAAACCCTGTCTCTACTAAAAATTAAAAAATTAGCTGGGCATGGTGGCACATGCCTGTGATCCCAGTTACGTGGGAGGCTGAAGTAGGAGGATCTCTTGAGCCTGGGAGGTCAAGGCTGCAGTGAGCCGTGATGGCACCACTACACTCCAGCCTGGGCGATAGAGTGAGACCCTGTCTCTCACAAACACGAAAAAGAAATATAAGCAGTGTGATCTAATAATGCTGAGCAAGAGGATAGAGACAGGAGACCAACATTAGATAATATTTTATCAACAGGGTACATTCTGGTAGAATACTAGTCAGGGCAGGTACTATCCATCATTACGCAGGATGCCTAGTCACCTTAAAAATGGGTGCAGAAAATTGGGTGGAGTAGGTAAGCTGATAGGAGTGAAGGAAGTAGGGAGCCTGGAGGCCCTCTTTTCATGAGTTCTTAATTTCAATGTTCATCATTGATTCCCATAATTGCAGGCAAGCAGGTGTCTAAGTAAAATTGGTGCACCTGATGAACAAACAGCCTCTGGGTATTCAGTCCTCTTTCGTTTGGCCGTTTGACTTCCAAGTCAGGAGTTCAAAGGCTTTGGGAAGAGAATGGTAAGGCCAGATGTGATGGCTCATACCTATTATCCCAGCACTTTGGAAGGCTGAGGTGGGAGGATTGCTTCAGCCCAGGAGTTTGAGACTAGCCTGGGCACCATAGCAAGACCCCGTCTTTACAAAAAATAAAAAATTAGCCAGATATGGTGGTGTGCATCTGTAGTCCCAGCTACTTGGGAGGCTGAGGTGGTGCTTGAGTCCAGGAGATCAAGCTGCAGTGAGCCGTGATTGTGCCACTGCATTCCAGCTTAGGCAACAGAGCACGACCCTGTCTCAGGGAAAAAAAAGCAAGAAGATGGGGAAGGAAGAATGAGAAGAATGCATTAGGCTGGCAAGGTAAGTGATGAAATCTTACTGGGATTCAAGCATCCTGAGTGCATGATTTTCTAAATCCATACTCCGACCTGCTGCTCAAAATGGCTTGACTTGCGTTGGAATTATTTTAGTTACAAAAGTAAGCTAAATCAGAGCAGATCCAAAACCACTTTTTTTTTTTTTTTTTTTTTTTTTGAGACAGTTTCGCTCTTGTTGCCCAGGCTGGAGTGCAGTGGCATGATCTCGTCTCACTGCAACCTCACCTCCCGGGTTCAAGCAATTCTCCTGCCTCAGCCTCCCAAGTAGCTGGGATTACAGGCACCCAACACCACGCCCGGCTAATTTTTTTGTATTTTTAGTAGAGACTGGGTTTCATCATGTTGGCCAGGCTGATCTCAAACTCCTGACCTCAGGTGATCCACCTGCCTCGGCCTCCCAAAGTGCTGGGATTATGGGTGTGAGCCACCATGCTGGCCTCAAAACCACTTTTCTAAGAGATCTGCATCCCTGAAAGGTGCCCATAAACAGGTACCTAGAAATCTAGACCTTGTCACAGTCTCCTCACTGAAGGCTGATTTCTATTTCCCTCCAGGCTTATTCCCGAAGCCATGCCCAGTACCCCACCCAGGGAAAAGGGGTACATTTATCGTTCTGTTGTCCTTGGTGCTGCCTCCCTCCCACACAAAGCCCTCCAGCTGAGTGTTTGCTTTGTAGGCTGCAGCGGGGATTAATACGTTTATTTTGGGACATTAACACCATGGGTGGGATGCACATTGAAGATTATAGTAATAAATGATGCTTTGGCACTACTCTCTCTCCCCCATTCCCTAAACCTCAGTGTGGGGTGAAGGCACAGCTCTAAGCTGTGTGCAGAGCACCACAAATAACCACTCATTAAACTGTGGCAGCCCATGCTGGGGGGAACAGGCTGGGGCTGTTGACTCACTGCATACCATGAGCTGGCATGGCCAAGGAATTCTGCCTCTGACTCCAGTTGGGGGTACTTCTATTCCAGGAAACAGGGATGGGGTGGCTAAGGGGAGAATCAGACAAGGGGGCTTGGGAGCTAGGGTTGTTTAGGTTCTATTTTTGTCTCAGGATGCATCTGAGATATAGGGCATTGGGGGAAATAGTATATATATTAAGAGAGGAATGTGTGTATGTAGAACCTGCAGTAAGGATTCCTAGTTCTTTTTCTGTTATTATCTTGAGGGTGACCTTGAGCAAGTCTTTCTGAAGCTGTTTAAGGACTGCAGCTGGTTGCTGCACTGAAAGAATTGAAATGGTTCCAACGGTGCTCCAAAAACAGCAGTCTAGGGTCTTCCAGGGGCACTAGAGGATCCCAGAGGCCTCTATAAGGTTTTTTAGCAGTTACTTTCATTTAACATTGGAGGAGAATATGTCAGAAGGGATAAAAGGGTCCCAGGGTGGAGTGGGAGGGTGCAAAGCCTCTTTGTCGCCACTTGGAAGCAGATCCACTAACTCTCCTGTCCCCCTTCACTTCCTGCACCTCTAGAACAAGCAGGGAGCTTAGGAAGCCTAGGATTTATGTCAATACAAAGGCAAGGAAAGGGATTTTTAAAGGCTAGAATTTAGGATTTTTAGGATTCAGTCCCTTTTTAGGTTTCTCTGCCTTGGACTGTAGGACAGGATTCTGAGTTCCTGTGTGTATTCATCCAAACTAAGTATTCTGGCAGTAAGTACCAAAATGTGTTTATAATGTGTTTTTATTTACACAGCACCCAAGCTATGTCATGCAAATACAGGTATAGGTAGTCTAGGTATGATGAGGTGATCCTTGTTCCTGTCTGTTGCTGCTGTTGACAGCCTGTGATCTCTCTTTAAAGAGCCCAGTGGGCTGAGGAATATGGGGAAATCTGGATAGTTTATCTTTTCCAAGGTTCTAACTCACTGCTTGGAGCAGAAGGGGCAACACTATCTTCCCTTTTCTGGTGACAGTGGTTGCTGTGGCAACGCTATTAAAGATGAAAGCCACAAAGGAAGGAGGAAACACAGCCCAAGAAGGGAGCGGGGAAGATTGGGCCTAGAGTTATAGGGGATCTGTTCCCCAGTAGTGGCAGCAGGAAAACAGCACCAAAGTTGCTACCGTTTTGAATGTCTAGGTGCTTGCTACCACAATACTATGTTTTGTTTTTGTTTTTTTAGACAGAGTCTGGCTCTGTTGCCTAGGCTGGAGTGGAGTGCAGTGGTGCGATGTTGGCTCACCGTGACCTCTGCCTCCCAGGTTTAAGCAATTTTCCCACCTCAGCCTCCTGAGTAGCTGGGATTACAGGTGCCCACCACCATGCCCGGCTAATTTTTGTATTTTTAGTAGAGACAGGGTTTCACCATGTTGGCCAGGCTGGTCTCAAACTCCTGACCTCAGGTGATCCCCCTGCCTTGGCCTCCCAAATTGTTGGAATAACAGGCGTGAGCCACCGCACCTGGCCGACAATACTATCTGGTGAGGCAAGGAATAGACTTACACAATCATTTTCATGACACAAAAGTGGACGAAAGGACTCAATCAAGGAGTATAGTTTGTTGACTCCTGAGTACTAATCTCCTTTTCCCTGTGGTGTATAACTTAAAAAAAGAGATGTCTCAGGGTTCCCAGAGGTTTAGAGCCATTCTCAGCACTTTTGGGGACAGACATTGGGAAGACAGGGAGATTGTGATTTCTAGGGCTTGTTTAGAAGGGGAAAAAAAAAAGTATTTATGAAACTCCTACGGTAGCAGAATAAGCCTCCAGGGCCCTTCGAGCAATCCCAGGTATTCTCTTCCTCTTTCAGTTCCACTTAGAGAAAAACTACTCTGTGGCAACTCCACTCTCTGATTCTAGTATTTTAACCCTGCAATAAATACCTCAGCATCTTGACCTAAACCTATTCTTATATTCAACCCCAGGTTATATTACTTTGGAATAATAACTATTTATTGTAATATGTGCTATGTATTTTACATACATTTTTCTCTGGTTCCTTTTACCTTTTTTTTTTTTTTTTTTTGAGATGGAGTCTCGCTCTTGTTGCCCAGGAGTGCAATGGCACGATCTCAGCTCACTGCAACCTCTACCTCCCAGGTTCAAGTGATTCTCCTGCTTCAGCCTCCCAGATAGCTGGGATTACAGGCATGCACCACCATGCCTGGCTAATTTTGTATTTTTAGTAGAGGTGGGGTTTCACCATGTTGGTCAGGCTGGTCTCGAACTCCTAACCTCAAATGATCCACCCGCCTTGGGCTCCCAAAGCCCTGGGATTACAGGCGTGAGCCACCATGCCCTGCCTTTTTACCTTTCAAGATAGATATTATCTCTCTTCTGCAGATGAGCGATCTGAGCACAGCAAAGCTAAGTAATTTACCCAATGTCACACAGCTAGGAATGACAGAGCTGAGATTTGAACAGATAGTCAATGCAGATCCAGGGTATGAATCCAGATCTGTCTGACTAGTGTGCCACATTGCTGCTCCCAGGAATTTGAAGCCTAACAGAATTTTATTTTATTTTTTTTCTTTTATCCTCATCCTCTATGTAATGGTAAGGCCTAAGCAAATTTTAATTCACATAAATATCCATTAAGTACCTACTATTACAAGACATGGGTTGTAGTTATTGTAGCCTAGACATAAACAAATGGAAAACATGGACTGTGCTTCAAAGGAAATAAAATCTATCAGGGTGCTGAGGGTGGGGAAGGGGGGGTAAGACATTACCTGTACCTGTAGTACAGGTAATATGAAATATACTTCATGAGAAGGTCTTTCCTTCATTCTCAGCTCTTTTTCAGGCACATATGTTAAAGTGAAGGAAAGCAATGACTTGGCTTCTGAATCCCTTTTCCACAACCTCTGAACTGGCTACAGAATGGAGGCCTTCAACTTCTGAAAACAAATTTGATTTCAGAAGTTTAGATGAGGTTGCAAATAAAACAGAGAGCTCCCTTCATTTATTTAAAAAATTATTAGTGTAAATCATATGTAAAGGATCAAAAAGGATCAATAGGAATTAATGATACAAAAAGGAGGCAGGGATAAGAGAACCATATGCCAAGGTCCTGAGGTGGGAAGGAACATAGTATGTTCCAGAGATGAGGTTATTGAGGTAATCAGAGGCTGAACAATGTAGAGCCTTTTAGGCCGTATTAAGGATTTTGGGCTGAGTGTGGTAGCTCACACCTATAATCCCAGCACTTTGGGAGGCCGAGGCAGGAGTACTGCCTGAGTCCAGGAGTTTGAGACCAGCCTGGGCAACATGGCAAAAACCCATCTCTACAAAAAATACAAATATTAGCCGGGTGTAGTGGTGTGTGGCTGTGGTCCCAGCTACTCAGGAAGCTGAGGTGTGAGGATTGCTTGAGCCCAGGAGGCCAAGGCTGCAGTGAGCTGAGATTGTACCATTGCATTCCAGCCTGGGCAACAGAATAAGACCTTGTCTCAAAAAAAAAAAATAAGGACTGGGCGTGGTGGCTCACGCCTGTAATCCTAGCATTTTGGGAGGCTGAGGAAGCTGGATCACCTGAGGTCAGAAGTTCAAGACCAGCCTGGCCAACATGGTGAAACCCGGTCTCTACTAAAAATACAAAAATTAGCTGGGCATGGTGGTGCATGCCTGTAATCCCGGCTACTCGGGAGGCTGAGGCAGGAGAATTGCTTGAACTCAGGAGTCAGAGGCTGCAGTGAGCTGAGATCATGCCACTGTACTCCAGCCTGGGCAACGGAGAGAGACTCTGTCTCAAAAAATATATAATAATAAAATTAAAAAGAATTTCATCTTTTATCCTAAGAGCATCAGTAACCACTTGGGTTGTTACAATTGCTCATGTCAGAGCCAACTGTGTTAGGGTGTGCAATGGTCTGAATGTTTGTGTACCCCCAAAATCCATATATTGAAATCCTAACCCCCAAGATGATGATACTAGGAAGTGAGGGCTTTGGGAAGTGATTAGGTCATGAGGGCAGAGCCCTCATAAATGGGATTAGTACCCTTATAAAAGAGACCCCAGGCTCAAAAAAAAAAAGAGAGACCCCAGGCTAGGCGCAGTGGCTCATGCCTGTAATCCCAGTACTTTGGGAGGCTTAGGCGGGAGGATCACAAGGTCAAGAGATTGAGACCATCCTGGCCAACATGGTGAAACGCCATCTCTACTAAAAATACAAACAAAATTAGCTGGGCATGGTGGCATGTGCTTGTAGTCCCAGCTACTGGGGTAGCTGAGGCAGGAGAATTGCTTGAACCCAGGAGGTGGAGGTCGCAGTGAGCTGAAATCGTGCCACTGCACTCCAGCCTGGTGATTGATAGAGGGAGACTCCGTCTAAAAAAAAAAAAAAAGAGACCCCAAAGAGATCCCTCTCCCCTTCTACCATGTGAGGATATAGCAAAAAGATGGCCATCTACATATGGAAAGTGGGCCTCACCAGTCATTAATTCAGGTTGTTTCCAGTTTTTGGCAATTACAAGTAGAGCTGCTATAAATATTAATTTACAAATGTATGTGTGAATATAAGTTTTAATTTCTCTTGGATAAATAACTAGCAATAGGATTGCTGGTTGGTATGGTAAATGTATGCTTAAGAAATTGCCAAAGTAGCTATACCATCTTGCATTCCCACCAACAACGTATGAGAGTTCCAGTTGCTCTGTATCTTTGCCTCTACATTGTATTGCCACTAAACAGAAAATTTTTAATAGGTATGTGGTGATATCTCATTGTGGTTTTAATTTGCATTTCCCAAATGATGATGATGTTATATATCTTTTCATGTGCGTGTCATCCATGTATCTTCTTTGGTGAAATGTCTGTTCAAATATTTTGCCCATTTAAAAAAACTGTGTTTTTATTATAGAGATTTAAAAGTTCTTTCAATACTTATTCTGGATGCAAGCCTTTTATCAGATATTTGATTTGCAAACATTTTCTTCTAGTCTGTACTTTGTTTCTTTTTTTTTCCCCTCACCCCCAAGACAGAGTCTTGCTCTGTCGCCCAGGCTGGAGTGTAGTGGCATGATGTTGGCTCACTGCAACCTCTGCCTCCAGGGTTAAAGCAATTCTCCCACCTCAGCTTCCTGAGTAGCTGGGACTACAGGCACGTGCCATGACGCCCGGCTAATTTTTGTATTTTTAGTAGAAACTGGGTTTCACCATGTTGGCCAGGCTGGTCTCCAATGCCTGACCTCATGATCTGCCTGCCTTGGCCTCCCAAAGTGCTGGGATGACAAGTGTGAGCCACTGTGCCTGATCTTTTTTTCTTTTTTCTTTTTTGAGACAAGCTCTCACTCTGTCACCCAGGCTGGAGTGCAGTGGCATGATCATAGCTCACTGCAGCCTTGATCTCTGGGTTCTAGTGATCGATCCTCATACCTCAGCCTCCCGAGTAGCTGGGACTACAGGTGCATGTCACCACACTTGGACTAACCTTTTTTTTTTTTAGTGGAGACAAAGTCTATGTTGCCCAGGCTGGTCTCAAATTCTTGGCCTCAAGTGATCTGCCTGCCTTGGCTTCCCAAAATGCTGGGATTACAGGTGTGAGCCACCGTGCCCTGCCTAATTGTACATATTCATGGGGGTACATAGTGAGTGATATTTTGATACATATAACTTATAGTGATCAGATTGGGGTAATCCCTTTTTTTTTTTTTAAGCAAATTCTTCTAGATCCTGATTTCTTTTTTTCTTTTTTAAAGCATTTCCCTAAACTTTTAACATTGGTATTCCTGGGCTGGGCACAGTGGCTCACGCCTGTAATCCCAGCACTTTGGGAAGCCGAGGCGGGTAGATCATGAGGTCAGGAGTTCGAGACAAGCCTGGCCAACATGGTGAAACCCTGTCTCTACTAAAAATACAAAAATTAGCCAGGCATGGTGGTGGGCACCTGTAATCCCAGCTACGCGGGAGGCTGAGGCAGGAGAATTGCTTGAACCCTGGAGGCGGAGGTTGCAGTGAGCCGAGATCGTGCCACTGCACTCCAGCCTGGGCAACAAAAGCGAAACTCCGTCTCAAAAAAAAAAAAAAAAAAAATTGGTATTCCTCAATATTGACAATTCCTATTGTCCGAGACCTGCTTCTTTCGTCTCTAATGGTAGTTGGAAAAGAAATTCAGGTTGAGGGAGGCTTTTATTTATTTATTTATTTTTATTTAAGGATAAATATATTTATTTATCCTAAGTCATATATTTATTTACTTCTTAAGGAGAGAGGGAAGCTTTATATGTGAGAGAGTAAAGGGAACTGATTGTCAAGATTCCTGAGGAGGAGAAGGGTGATGGGATCTAGAGCTCAGATGGAAGGACAAGACATCATCTGACAAATGCTCTGGGAGGAGGCAGATAGGCAAGTGTGTGGTGCTTCTCTTTCCTGGAAGTGGGAGGAAATGAAAAGGGTAGGTACTCCTGGGGAAAGTATTAGGGAAAGGAGGAATGTTACTATGTCATGTTCCTCTCTGCAATCTCAAAGCCGAAAGAAAAAAAGACCCTTAAGCCAACAAGACTCTCCTTCCTTTCCTTCTTCCCCATGGGAAGGGAGAATCTGCAGCTTTGAGCTGCAGAGGAAACAAAAGAGTACTCATGGGGAATTGGCAGTATCACCAAGATGATGGAATGGAACACTGGTACACATCAGGCTCAGAGGCAAGGATTAAAGAAATATAGGAAGGTAGGCAAGGAAAGCAACTAAAACCCTCTAGGGAAAATAAATTAAGGAAAAGAAGGAGTTGATGGGCCTCACAGTTGCTAATTAGTGTTTGGTATCTATTGAGAAGTGAGAAACATTTAGTCCTGGCTGGGGAGGGTGTGGGTGGCTCACACCTGTAATCCCAGCACTTTAGGAGGCTGAGGCTGGAGTATTGCTTGAGTGAGAACCTGTTTCAAAACAAACAAACAAACAAAACCCCCAAAGTCCCATTCAGTCCTATGTGGGCAGTGAGGCTGAACGAACCAAGCTCCAAGCTCACTAGAAACTTGGAATAACAGGCTTGAATGACAGTGAGGGAGGCATTTGAAATGGAAGCCAGTAGAATGATCCTACACATGGAATTCTCAGACTCTGAAGGGCTGGGTTCTGGCTCTGGGAGTAAAGAATGTAAACTATGGCTGTCCTCCAGGAGTCAGCCTCGTGTATCAGGAGGCCCACTGAGCAAACATTAAGATGAAAACCAGAATCAGGGTGATTAGATCAATTAGAGCAGAAATCTGAGTGATAGGCGTGGTCTGGGATCAGGTTGTCAAATATTAATAACATGTAAAATTGCCCCATAATGGCAGGACTGGACCCTGTTCCCCAAGTTCCCTTTGGAGTATATGTGAAGATAGCATTGTATACGCATGCACATACATACTCATACATCCCCATACTTTTGATTGGAGATTGAGAGATAGTGTAGGATAATGATCAAGAGCATGGATTCTAGAGCCAGACTGCCTGGGTTCAAATCCTAGCTTTGTGGTTTGTTTGTTCTATGGCTTTGGGCAAGATAACCTCTCAACTTCAATTTCCTTCTCTGTGAAATAGAAATAATAATTATACCTATTTTATAGGGCTGTTATAATCATTCAACGTGTTAGTGTTTATAAAGTACTTAGAAAAGTAGCTGGCACATAGTGTATTATATATGATTGTTCATAAAGTAAAGCGAGGTGACATTCTGAAATCCTTGATTTCTTCCAGTTCCCCCAGTTGGGTCCTATAAGGAGAAGGAAGGATTTCCTAAACCATGTCATTGTTGTTATTTCTGGTCAGAAAAGCTCAGTATCGAAAGGAGTAGAAGGCTAGGCACTCCAGCCTGGGTGACAAGAGCAAAACTCTGTCTCAAAAAAAAGAAAAGGAGTAGAAGAGCACCTGAGAGGTTTGTGATCCATACCTGGCTAGAATGAGGAGCTGAGAAGTGCTGACCTGTTACAGCTCTTGCAGTTTGGCCTCACTCCTCTGCAGGTATGAGTTTTTGTGAGAAACACTAGAGTATGTGGTCTCTGGTCCCAGGGTGTACCTCTGTGCCTCCTTTGTTTATGTGAAGTATGGTTAGTCTGATGGCTTGCAGATGCGTATACCAGAGGACCTTAATTCATCTAAAATTGCTGCGTTTCTGGAAGATAAACAGGAGGGTTGAGGCAGAGACCAGAGACTAATAAAGGACTGAGCACCACATAGAGGGTGGGAGCAGACAACTTGTGATCTAACTGCCCCCACCCCTAACCTCAGCAAATCACAAACAACTAAATCCAGAAGAGTGTCCAGAGTGGCTATTTCGAGAACTGGCTAGAAAGAGGGAAGAGGGGCAGGAGGTAAAAGCTCCTGCACCCCTTTCAGTGGAAGGTAAAAGGGAAATTTCAAGGGGCATTGTGAGTAATAGGAGTTTTCTTCTCCTTGCAGCATCCTTTGCTGGTTTCCCAAGTGGAGACCCCACTTTTAGATTATTATCTCTCATAAATTTAACCTAAATGGAGCTAGAAACCCCGGGGGGTGGGGGGACCAGATGGCAGCTGAGCCACTGCTCCATTCCAGGGCCAGTGATCTCCAGAGAGACTTGGGAGGGAAGCAGCTGGCAGGGCAGAGGGAAAGTGGCAGCCTGTGTGGTTTAGTCCTGACACACATTCCTGCTTATTCTCAAGGTCTGCTGATATGAGAAGGAATGTAGAGGAAACAGCCACCTGAGGGAAGATATTTAGAATCAGAGTCCAGTGGCCGGGTGTGGTGGCTCACGTCTGTAATCCCAGCACTTTGGGAGGCTGAGGCAGGCGGATCACGAGGTCAGGAGATCAAGACCATCCTGGCTAACACGGTGAAACCCCGTCTCTACTAAAAATACAAAAAATCAGCCAGGTGTGGTGGCGGGCGCCTGTAGTCCCAGCTACTCGGGAGGCTGAGGCAGGAGAATGGCATGAACCCAGGAGGCAGAGCTTGCAATGGGCCGAGATCGCGCCACTGCACTCTAGTCTGGGCGACAGAGCAAGACTCCGTCTCAAAAAAAAAAAAAAAAAAAGAATCAGAGTCCAGATTTTCCTTCAAAGAGGAGGGGTTGGGGTGAGAGAAAAGATCTGATGGATTAAGGGAATAGGCTTAGAGTCAGACAGAGGGATAATGGCTAAATCATAGATCAGAGTCCGAGATTTACTGGCAAAAGAGAGCATAGGATTTGAAGTCAGAGATCATGAGACTATAGAACTTGCCTCTTAACCTATGATCCTCTTGTCTGGACAGTTGCTGTTATCCTATTAACTGCATACTCCATCTAGGTCATACTTTTTTTTTTTTTTTTTTTGAGACAGAGTCTTGCTCTGTCACCCAGGTTGGAGTGCAGTGGTGTGATCTCAGCTCATTGCAACCTCCGCCTCCCTGGTTCAAGCAGTTCTCCTGCCCCAGCCTCCCCAGTAGCTGGGATTACATTTGCCTGCCACCACGCCCAGCTAATTTTGTGTTTTTAGTAGAGATGGGGTTTCGCCATGTTGGCCAGGCTGGTCTCGAACTCCTGACCTCAAATGATCCGCCTGCTTCGGCCTCCCAAAGTGCTGGGATTACAGGTGTGAGCCACTGTGCCCGGCCAGGTCATATTTTTACAGTGTGGACAAACCTCTTGTGATGACAGTATTCCTGTGGAAGGTGTCACCTCAGTAACTATTGGGACATTTTATCGATTATGTGCAAAATTAAGCAAAGAAAAACATTTGACCACAGGGGGATTATGGGGAGAGAAAGAGTAACAACTGGGTCAGTCTCCTAAGTCTCAGGAACAGTCCTTCCTCTCATGGAATCTTTCTTTTGGTCAAAGGGGAACAAGCAGGAATTCCATAGGGTTTCAGGAACACCTTTATGTATGTTCTTCCAGATTTTAAAATGAAAATACATATGGGCCTGGCGTGGTGGCTTGTGCCTTTAATCCCAGCTCTTTGGGAGGCTGAGATAGGAGGATTGCTTGAGTCCAGGAGTTTGAAACCAGCCTGGGAAGCATAGCAAGACCCAGTCTCTACAAAAAATACAAAAATTACCCAGGTATAGTGGTGTGCCTGTAGTCCCAGCTACCTGCAAGGCTGAGGTGCGAGGATCGCTGGAGCCTGGGAGATCAAGGCTGCAGTGAGACATGATTGTGCCACTGCACTCCAGCCTGGGTGACAAAGCAAGACTTATCTCTTAAAAAAAAAAAAAAGGAAAATATGTGTGTGTGTGTATATATATATGTGTGTGTGTGTATATATGTGTATATATGTATGTATATATATAAAAAATATACATATAAATATAAACACATATGTATCTTACACAAAATTTGGACCATATAAAGTTATAACTGAGTTTGAAAAACTTGCCCATGTCAAATACAATATCGCATTAGCATTTTTAATAATTTTTTTCTAAATTATTATTTTCTTTCCCCCTAATGTTTTATTGGAACCATTTACCAGAAATGAAAGAATAGTTCAAGCCAGGTGCAGTGGCATTACACCTATTATCTCAGCTATTTAGGAGGCTGAGGAGGAAGAACTGCTTGAGCCCACCAGTTTGAGACCAACCTGGGCAGCATAGTGAGACCCCATCTCGAACAAACAAATAATTAGAGTTAATAAATGATTTCAGCAAAGTTGTTGGATACAAGATCAATATATAAAAATCAGTGGTGTCTCTAAACACTATCAATGAAAACTCCAAAAAAGGAAATTAAAGCAATCCCTTAAGGAAAGAAAAAATAGTTCAGTACATATCCACGTCTTCCACTTAGATTCAGTAATTGTTAACATATTAGCATATTTGTGTCAGCATGTGACAATATTTGGTCTTATGGAGACAGTACAGCCTGTTGGCTAGGAGTATGGAGTCGGTCTACCTGGGTTCCAAAGCCAGGTTCACTGTTTTCTATTGTGTGATTTGACTTGGGCAAGTTCCTCAACATCTTTCTAAGCCTGTTTTCCTTAACTATAAAATAGGGTGCCATCTTCTTAGAGATTTCAGAGGATTAAATGGGATAATGTTTGATATATAATAAACAATACATATTATTTGGGTCCTTATCTCCTCTAAAATCACTTAGCCTGGAAGATAGGAAGAGTATCTTGATTGGTTTCACCTTAAATTCACAGCCATTAACCCCCAATGTGCCCTTTGTGCTATCTGGTAATCCTGCTACATCTTTAGGGTCTAGTTGTGTTGCCTAGGCTGGTCTTGGACCCCTGGGCTTAGGTGATCCTCCTGCCTCATCCTATATCTCACCAGCTCACTCGCTCTCTTACTTTCTTAGATAATCCTTTCAGTCATTCTCCTCTTTCCTCAAACATTTAATACTTCCGTGCCTTCTTCACTCTCAGCTGACAACTGTCTTTCGTGTTTCATTGAGACAATGGAAACAATCAGAAGAAAACTTTTATACATTTCTACGTCTGCCACCTTTCCTGCATCTATTCCTTCATTCCTATATTGTAGATAAACTGTCTGTATTCTTATCGAAGGGCAACCCCTCCACTTATGCACCAGATCTATTTCCTCTTGCCTATTCAAGATATCACTCTGGTAATTATCCCCTCTCCTGTATCATCAGTTTTTTTCTTCCTTACTAAATCATTTCCATCAGCATTTAAAATCCCCCATCTTACCAAGCCCTCCCATAACCCCACATTCATCTCCAACTAATGTCCAATTCCTCCACCGCCCTTTAAAGAAAGGCTCTTTGATAGAGCTCTCTGTACTGAAAAATATACAGGCAGATCCAGCTTATTTTACCATGAAACTTGTCTCAAGTCTTAGTATTTCCTATTATCTCCATCACTACCACCCTAGTCCAGGCCCCATCATCTTGCTTGTACCATTGCAAGACTCTCTTGTTTTCCCTGGTTTCTTGTACCTCTATTTTCTTTCTTTCTTTCCTTCTTTCCTTCCTTCCTTCTTTTTTTTCTTTTCTTTTCTTTTTCTTTCGAGATGGGGTCTCGCTATGTTGCCTGGGCTGGTCATGAACTCCTGGGCTCAAGTGATCCTCCCATGTCAGCCTCCCAAAGTGCTGGGATTATAGGCATGAGCCACCACGCCCAGCCAGTAGTCTTTTTTCTACCCATCTGTCAGAACAATCCTTTAAAAACATGACAGACCATGTTTTCCTCTGCCCCAAAACCTATAATGCCTTTTCATCAGCTCAGAAAAAAATCGAAATTCTTTGTCCTGTTCCAAAGACACATATTCTGGCTATCTACCTAACCTCATTTCTTATACTCTCTCCCTTACATAGCTCCAGCCATGATGGTCTTTCTTTCTCTTTCCTCTTCCCCTTCCCATTCCCTCACTCTTGTTGCTGAGGCTGGAGTGCAGTGGCGCAATCTCAGCTCACTGCAACCTCCGCCTTCCAGGCTCAAGTGATCCTCCCATCTCAGCCTCCTGAGTAGCTGGGACCACAAGTGCACGCCACCATGCTTGATTAATTTTTGTAGTTTTTGTAGAGATTGGGTTTCACCATGTTGCCCAGGCTGGTCTCAAACTCCTGGACTCAAGCAATCCGCCCACCTTGGCCTCCCAAAGTGCTGAGATTACAGGCATGAGCCACTGCATCTGGCCCATGATGATTTTTTTTACTCTTCCTTGAACATACAGGCACAAACCTGCTTCAGGGACTTTCTAGTTGATATTTCATCTGCCCAGAGGATCTTTTCCCACACATTCACATATCTTATTCTTACATCGTCATTAAAGCCTCTACTCAAATGTCAGTCTTCAGAGAGACTTTCCTAGACTACTCTGCTTTATTTTCTTTCATGGCATTTGTCACTAACTGATGTATTTGTTGAATAAGTGCAGGGACTTTCTTTTGCTCACTGCTGTATGCCCAACACCTAGAACAATACTTGCCATGTGATTAGGCACTGACATATTTGTTGAATGAATCTTTTGCTTCTTTTATACCTCTTGAGTGTATAGAACAGTGCTGAACACAAGTAAGTGCTTGATAAGTATTTATTGAAGTGAGATGGAAACAGCATAATCTACAGAACATAAATTGGATTCTATCAGTTTCTCAAAGCAGAACCCTTACGTCTGGCAGTCATTCAACAGAGGTCTGCATCTGTAAAATGGGGGATAATATTAAATACTCCACTAAGCTGTTCCAAGAATTAGATGAGAAAACATTTATGAAAGCACCCAGTTTTTGTATTTTGTTAAATATAAAGTACTTAAAATTGTGAGGTGAATAAACAGACTCCAAAAGTACCAAGTGCAGGAATGATTCTGTCTCCAGATGAACCATACCTTGAGACTGATGAATGTCCAGATGAAGTAGCCTTATTAATATAATTTTGAGGAAGGGGAATTACTATTTTTTTTTAAAGAGCTAGGATCTTGCTATGTCTTGCCAGGCTGGTCTTGAACTCCTGGGCTCAAGGGATCCTCCCAAGTAGCTGAGACTACAGGTTTATGCCACTGTACCTGGCCTTACTATTACGTTTAACTCTCCATCTGAGCAGGGAACCTGGGAAAAAGCATAGACATCAGCTGATTAGTCTCACTTCAAATTCATGACCTCCTGCCTTATGAGGGGCCTTAATGTCTCCAGCAATCCTATCACTGTTCCTTAGTCCATTTACTCTCCTACTTGCCTAGGTGAGTATTTCTCCCTTCCTTTCTTTAATACCTCTTCCCTCCTCCTCTTGGATGATGACCTTGTTACATATTTTACTTCAAAATATAGAAGCAGTTAGGGAGACCCTCCAAATGTTCCCTCTGCTTGCGCCAGGGCCTATAAGCTCTGCCTTCCCTCCAGTTCCTGTGGGTATCCTAGTCTAGCTCTTATTCAAGGCCAGCCCTCTACTGATGCACTAGATCTCACCCCCTCTCTCCTATTCCAGTAATGATTCTCTTTCTCTCCTACAGTTTTTCCTTGTCTACTGGATCATTTCCATAAGAACACAAACATTCTGTAATTTCTGTCATCTTAAATAAAATCTTCTTGTGACCTCATGTCTGCCAAAAGTTATGCCCCCATTCCCATTTTTGGAATTCCTTCTATATTTGCTGCTGCAATTCCTCTCTTCCTTTTCCCTCTTGAGCCCATTACAATCATGCCCTCCCCTTGCTCCCCTCCTTCATGGACACTTCTCTTATCAGTGTCACCAGTGATCTCCCCATAGCAAAACTCAATGGTCAATCCAGTTCTCATCTTACTTGGCTTACCTGCAGAATTAGACATAGTCATTCTCTACTCCCTGAAATATTTTCTTCACGTGGCTTCCACATTACTGTAATCTCTTGGCTTTTCTCCTACCTGGCTTCTTCTCCATCCTGTTGATTTTTCTTAATTTCTACAATTCTTTTTTTTTAATGTTATTTATTTTATTTTTATTGATCATTCTTGGGTGTTTCTCGCAGAGGGGGATTTGGCAGGGTCATAGGACAATAGTGGAGGGAAGGTCAGCAGATAAACAAGTGAACAAAGGTCTCTGGTTTTCCTAGGCAGAGGACCCTGAGGCCTTCTGCAGTGTTTGTGTCCCTGGGTACTTGAGATTAGGGAGTGGTGATGACTCTTAACGAGCATGCTGCCTTCAAGAATCTGTTTAACAAAGCACATCTTGCACCGCCCCTAATCCATTTAACCCTGAGTGGACACAGCACATGTTTCAGAGAGCACAGGGTTGGGGGTAAGGTCATAGATCAACAGGATCCCAAGGCAGAAGAATTTTTCTTAGTACAGAACAAAATGAAAAGTCTCCCATGTCTACTTCTTTCTACACAGACACAGCAACCATCCGATTTCTCAATCTTTTCCCCACCTTTCCCCCTTTTCTATTCCACAAAACCGCCATTGTCATCATGGCCCGTTCTCAATGAGCTGTTGGGTACACCTCCCAGATGGGGTGGTGGCCGGGCAGAGGGGCTCCTCACTTCCCACAAGGGGCGGCCGGGCAGAGGCGCCCCCACCTCCCGGACGGGGCGGCTGGCCAGGCGGAGGCGCCCCCCACCTCCCTCCCGGACTGGGCGGCTGGCCGGGCGGGGGCTGACCCCCCACCTCCCTCCCGGACGGGGCAGCTGGCCGGGCGGGGGCTGATCCCCACCTCCCTCCCGGACGGGGCAGCTGGCCAGGAGGGGGCTGACCCCCACCTCCCTCCCGGACGGGGTGGCTGCCGGGCAGAGATGCTCCTCACTTCCCAGACGGGGTGGCTGCCGGGCGGAGGGGCTCCTCACTTCTCAGACGGGGCGGCCGGGCAGAGACGCTCCTCACCTCCCAGACGGGGTCACGGCCGGGCAGAGGCGCTCCTCACATCCCGGACGGGGCGGCGGGGCAGAGGCGCTCCTCACATCCCGGACGGGGCGGCGGGGCAGAGGCGCTCCCCACATCTCAGACGATGGGTGGCCGGGCAGAGACGCTCCTCACTTCCTAGACGGGATGGCGGCCGGGAAGAGGCGCTCCTCACATCCCAGACGATGGGCGGCCAGGCAGAGACGCTCCTCACTTCCCAGATGGGGTGGCAGCCAGGCAGAGGCTGCAATCTCGGCACTTTGGGAGGCCAAGGCAGGCTGCTGGGAGATGGAGGTTGTAGCAAGCGGAGATCATGCCACTGCACTCCAGCCGGGGCACCATTGAGCACTGAGTGAACAAGACTCCGTCTGCAATCCCGGCACCTCGGGAGGCCGAGGCTGGCGGATCACTCGCGGTTAGGAGCTGGAGACCAGCCCGACCAACACAGCGAAACCCTGTCTCCACCAAAAAAATACGAAAACCAGTCAGGCGTGGCGGCGCGCGCCTGCAATAGCAGGCACTCGGCAGGCTGAGGCAGGAGAATCAGGCAGGGAGGTTGCAGTGAGCCGAGATGGCAGCAGTACAGTCCAGCTTCAGCTGGGCATCAGAGGGAGAGCGTGGAAAGAGAGGGAGAGGGAGACCGTGGGGAGAGGGAGAGGGAGGGGGAGGGGGAGGGAGAGGGAGAAGGATTTTTACAATTCTAATCACTGGGATACCTCAGGATTTTATCCTCTTCTCTATCTGAACTCAGTTTCTTGGTGATCCCATTCAGTCTCATGGCTTTAAATGCTATCCATATATCAATAGCTCCCTAACTGATATCTATAGCCCAGGCCCTTCTCTTTAACTCATCTTGACTATTCAACTGTTTATAAAAGCATCTTCTCTTGGATAATTAATAGCCATCTCAAATTTGTTAAAAAATAAGCTCCTTATCCTCCCCCTAAAACCTCCTCTCCCTGTTTTCTACATCTCAGGAAACGGCAGCTCTATTTTTTTCAGATCATCAGGCCAAAATTTGGAATCATCCTTGACCCCTCTCTTTCTCACAATGCCATCTTTCGAATCAACAAATCATATTGGTCATAGCTGGAAAATATACCCAGAATCCAACCATTTACCATCTTCATCGCCACCATGCTGATTCAAGCTACCATCGTCTCTTGCTTGGTTTTCTGCAATAACCTCTTAACAGATTTTTCTGCATCCTTTCTCTTTCCCTTTTATGCAAATCAGAGGTCTCCAGCAACTCCTCATCTCACTTGTAGTAACAGTCAAACTCCTTAAAAAGACTTCTAAAGCCCTACATAATCTGCTTCCACCCCCAGTTAACTCTGTTCTCATCTCCATTAATCTTTCCTCTTTCCTCTCTCCACTCCAACTACACTGGTCTGCTATTCCTCAGACAGGCTAGTCACACTTCCAACCCAGAGCCCTTGAAAACTCCTGCCAGATATCTATGAGCCTTACTTCCTCATCTCCTTCAGCTATTTGGTCAAATGCTGCTTTTCAGAGAGGCTGTTCCTGACTACTCTATGTAAAACTGTATTCCTCCATTTCCACCCCAGTACTTACTATTTCCTTTCGCTACCTTTTCTCCATAGCACTTATCATCATAGTAGTCATTTTATGTGCTTTATTTGTCTCTATATACACTGGAATGTAAGCTCCATGAGGGCAGAATTTCTTTGTCTGTTTTGTCCTCTACACTTTCTAGCATCAGTAAATCTTTGCTGGATGAATTTTGATAACTTTTCCTCTGGTCTCTGATCTCAAGACTTGCTTCTTCAAAAGACTAAGGGAATGCACCTGGTAATAGGGTTTGAGAGTATATAAGAGGTCTAAGGTGATGATGCCTTCAAATTACTTCCATGAATATCTAATATTCTGATATCCTAATATTTTTTCCAGCTTAATACCAAAACATCCCCAGCAACCAACCAGGCAGCTGGCCAAGAGGAAAAAGGTGAGTGGGGTTGGGCTAGGCAGTTTGTAGAGCAGGTGACTGTAGAGACATAAAGACAAGTAGGGTGAGTCTGGAATTTCCTAAAGTCAGACATGAAAGGAATAAGAATGTGGATAAGTGAAACAAAGTACCAGTTTGGAACTACAGTACTATATCTATAGGCTTCCTTCTATTTTTCCTAGAAAGTAAACGATCAGTATTTCCTCCTTGATTTTAGAAACTGGGTCTGGAGTGTTGGGGGGAGAGAGGTACAAGATAAGAAGAAACTCATCAAAAGTCCCAGCATTATCTCCATCAGAAACTGAGAGAAAGCTGAGGAAAGTGAGTGTGCATTGGAACTTGAACTGTAGGATTTATGAATAAGTGATGAAAGAAGACATTTGTTGTTTGGTCCAAGAGTAGCAGAGCTCCCCTAAGTAACTATAGCTAATTCCCAGCCTAAGTACCTTGACTCAGACTTCTAGGGGAATTATCAGGCATTCATAATCCTAGCAAAAATTTGGGGACCCCACAGAGTCTGGCACAAGGTGGACCTTACCCACTGTATTGGGGGCCTGGAGAAAGGGTCTAGAGCAGGTCAGATTAACTCATTAATGAGTCTCCCAACTATCTGCAGGAAAAGCTGGCAATGTCAAGAAGGCGGAGGAGGAGGAGGAGATTGACATTGATCTGACAGCACCAGAAACAGAGAAGGCTGCCCTTGCTATTCAGGGCAAGTTCCGGCGATTTCAGAAAAGGAAAAAGGATCCCAGCTCCTGAATGGCCAGGCTTGCCCTTCACCTTCACCTTCATGCTGGTCCCTTCTCTCCCCTTCTCCACACCCATGTATCTTTATCCCTTGTCCCTCTAGCCTTTCCTTGAGGCAAGTTCAACCTTTATATACTCTTGTATCTGGCCCCCTCAAGCCATCACAGAAGTAGAGGCACAAGAGAGGTGGAGAAGATGAAGACTTCAATCAGCAGTCACTAGTCTAAGGGTGGAACAATTTCTTCTTGGTATAAGGTTCTTTGATCAGTAGCTATGCCTGCCCTGTAGGGCTAAACAAGAGGCTTCGAGGCTGAGAGATCTCCCCAAAGAACAATGTGGGAAGGAGGGGAAGGCTTTCAGAGTAGGGTGCCTGAGGGTGGGACATATGCACTGTTCTGCTAGTTACGGCATTCACACTTTAGGTAACATTTTTTTTCCCCTTCAGATCCTTCTGCACCAACTCCAACTTCCCCTCCCAGGATCTAAGCCACAGTGGGGACTGGAGCCTCGTTTTCCCCCTAGGCAGACCTAAATCAAGCAGCTTACCACAATAGTGCATGCTGAGTAGATTAGTTCCAAGGAAGGGAGACTGGAATGCTGGTGTCAAGGAAAAGCCTCCCTCATCATCTAGTCTAAGACCATAACGGGCAGAAGCATAAGAGGTTCCAGGGCCATAGGAGAATGAGAAGTAGGGCACATATAGGGAGGAAAGAAAAGTGAAGAAGGGGGAAATCTCTGAATTTTTTTACTGCTGGGAAAAGTGTACTACATGAAGGATGCTTGGGGCTTTGCTAACCTGCTCACCGCTAACCCTCCAAGTCTAACCATCCCCAGAG
This sequence comes from Homo sapiens, assembly GCF_000001405.40. Lineage (NCBI taxonomy): Eukaryota > Metazoa > Chordata > Mammalia > Primates > Hominidae > Homo > Homo sapiens. The sequence continues at coordinate 161,285,306 of NC_000001.11, forward strand.
GCCACACAAACCAAGTGACTCCTGTAGTTCCCATTTGCCCCACTATGGAGTCAGGGCAAAAGTGGAATAGCCACTCCATGTGATTTTAGCATGTTTAATCATTTTAACAATAAACCACCCCACAAATGGGGTCATTTAACCTCTACTAATGTTTTTTTCTTGGGAGGAATGTGAGTATAAGCCTGAGCTGGCCTCAGGGAGTGGGGTGGAGAAGCAACTGCGTTGACTGCGTGGTAGCGCAAGAAACTAACACTGCCTGAGCAATTTTCAGACTGAAGCCAACCCTCCCTTTCCCCCACCCCTACTGACCTTGCCCTCACCTTGATTTGCCACCCACATTGTCTCTGTGTTGCTGTCACCACCCCCAGGGTGCACTTGCAAGAGTGCTCATTTTTCCTTTCTCCTTCCAGCTGAGAGCGTGCTGGGTACACATCCCTCTGAAAACAAACCTGGTCTTCCTTGCTCCGGATTCCCAAATGACCTATCCTAGATTTCCTTCTTGCTTTGTCTTCCTCCCACATTCTCCCCTCCCCTCCCTCTTGTTTATCAGATGCAAGGAAAGGAAAAGACTGGTCACTAGAGAGCACCACTGTTACATTAAAATTTTAATCCACTAATTACATAAAATTATGGCTTTCAAGTAGCTTAAATTGCTGAGAAATTACCTCTATATGCTAAAACCGGAAGCCAAATGTTTAAAGATGGAGCAAAGAATGATCTATTTTTTTTTTTTTTTGAGATGGAGTTTCGCTCTTGTTGCCCAGGCTGGAGTACAATGGTGCAGTCTGGGCTCACCGCAACCTCCGCCTCCCAGGTTCAAGCGATTCTCCTGCCTCACCCTCCCGAGTAGCTGGGACTACAGGCATGTGCCACCACGCCTGGCTAGTTTTCTATTTTTAGTAGAGATGGGGTTTCTCCATGTTGGTCAGGCTGGTCTCAAACTCCCAACCTCAGGCGATCTGCCTGCCTCGGCCTCCCAAAGTGCTGGGGTTACAGGTGTGAGCCACAGCACCCGGCCTTTTTTCCTTTTCAATTGTTTTTGTTCTGGTAAAATATACATAACAAAATTTTTCATCCTAACCATTTTTAAGTGTACAGTTTAATAGCATCAAATACATTCAATAATACTGTGTAACTATCATCGCTATCCATCTCTGTAACTCTTTCCATCTTGTAAAATTGAAACTCTACACCTATATCCTTTAGACAGTAATCCCCATCTCCCCTCTTCCCAGCCTCTGGCAACCACCATTCTACTTCCTATTTCTAAGTCCCCTTACTTCTTCATATTTACCCTTCCCTTCTTGATTTAAGAATACAGAAGTCAGGCCGGGCCCAGTGGCCCATGCCTGTAATCCCAGCACTTTGGGAGGCCAAGGTGTGTGGATGACCTGAGGTCAGGAGTTCAAGACCAGCCTGGCCAACATGGTAAAACCCTGTCTCTACTTAAAAAATATAAAATTAGCTGGGCATGATGGCAAATGCCTGTAATCCCAGCTACTTGGGAGGCTGAGGCAGGAGAATCGCTTGAACCCAGGAGGCAGAGGTTGCAGTGAGCAGAGATGGCACCACTACACTGCACTCCAGCCTGGGTGACAAGAGTGAAACTCTGTTTCAAAAAATATATATATATGTATATATATATGTATGTATATGTCAGCTGGAGGCCAAGTGCGGTGGCTCATGCCTGTAATCCCAGCCCTTTGGGAGGCCAAGATGGGTGGATCACCTGAGGTTGGGAGTTCAAGAACAGCCTGACCAACATAGAGAAACCTCATCTCTACTAAAAATACAAAATTAGCCTGGCGTGGTGGCACATCTTTTTAATCCCAGCTACTTGGGAGGCTGAGCAGAAGAATCACTTGAACCCAGGAGGCAGAGGTTGTGGAGCTGAGATCATGCCATTGCACTCCAGCCTTGGCAACCAGAGTGAAACTCCATCTCAAAAAAAAAAAAAGTCAGCTGGGCACGATGGTGCATGCCTATAATGCCAGCTACTTGGGAGGCTGAGGCAGGAGGATCGTTTGAGCCCAGGAGTTCAAGGCTGCCATGAGCTATGATCACACCACTGCACTCCAGCCTGGGTGACAGAGGGAGACCCTGTCTCTGAAAAAAAAACGTGTATGTGTGTGTAAACCATGTGGCAGCTATGAATGGGAAACAAGGAACAATATCCCTAGAAGGTAACCTATAGCTCAAAGTTTACTCATGCGTAGCAAGCCCGTTGCCATAGGATATGAGGAGAATTGACCAGTAATTCATTGGAAGGTCCTATGTTAAAGGAATTCCCCCCTTCTTCTGATGCCAGGGAAAAGGAGGAAATTTTACTGTTACTTTTGGAATCTGTTCTGAGTACAGTATGGTAATGATGGTGAACTTTGGTCCCAGCCTCATAGGCAAATAAAAGGATAACCTCATTGCCACACCTGCTGTGTGTCCAGTGTGTCTGATAAAGCTGGAGTATTCCCCCTTCCCTTGTTCCATGGACATAAGATGAGAATTGATGGGTGCTGTACCTGGTCTGCCCCTGTGGGTACTAGGGTAAGGCAGGGGCTTCCTCTTTTTGGTGAAGTGAACTTTTGTGGCTGGTGCTAAGGCAATGCTGGAGTCCTTTGCCACCAGCTCCTCTCTTGCAGACTCTGCTGCTTGGGGGTATCTGTTTATTTGTTTTTTGCCACACTGATCTGGAGCACAGTGCTGAAATGATTTTTCCCTTTACCATCTCTCGCTTTAAAAATGTTATGCTTGTTCTCATGCTCATACTCATATTTTTAATAAAGGGCATGGTAGCAAAAACATAGTCATTGCTTTGGGAAAGAGCTCTAACCAGAAAGAGAGACTTGGGCATCTTTTGCTGAACAAATGGTAGTTCTCAATGAAGGTTCTGAACACTGTTTTCTCTCTGCCATGCTACTTATTCCTATCATGGGCACTCAAACTGAGCCTCTTTTCTCTAGCATGCCTATAATTCCTCCTTGGGGCCCTGGGCTGAGGCTGGGATCTTGGGGCTCTAGAACCTTGCTTCACTTCCCTGTCCCTCTAGTACCTACTACTGAAGAACTAATCCTCAAATACTAATCACTGAGGAATTATTCTTGAGTGCTTTCTTTTGTGGAGCAAAAACTGAGTATTTGGGGAATGGGTGAATGCCTTTATAAATGGCTTAGCAGAAAATACAAGCATAAGAAACAGTCAAGGAAGAAAGTTAAAAAGAAGAAACTCATTTTTCTTATATTCAGCACTTCCGACACCAAATGTTTGAGTTTTCTCCTCCCATTAGGCAATTCTCCAACTGTGGACAGCAACTGGGTGTCCTGCAATCCAATTATGACACTACCAAGACTTCACACTAGTTGCAAGTCTCAGATTGTGACCTATACTTCTGGCAAACTGGTTGTACATCAGGGGTTCCCATGACCATGCCTCAGGTTCAGTAATTTTCTAGAATGGTTCATAGAACTCAGAAAACTGCTTTACTTACTGTTACTGATTTATTAGAAAGGATACAACTCAGGAACAAACAAATGCAAGAGATGCATAAAGCAAAGTATGGGGATAAGAGGTGCATGGGGCGTCCATGCCCTCTCTGGTGTGCCAACCTCTCAGCACCTCCATGTGTTCACCAACCTGAAAGCTCTCCGAATCTCAAGCCCCATTGTTTAGGGTTCTCATGGAGGCGTTATTATGTAGGCATGGTTGACTGAATCATTGACCATTGTTGATTGAGTCAGTCCCCTCTGCCTTTCCTGAAGGCCTGGTGGGGGTTGGGGGGGTGGGGGGCGGGCGCTGAAATTTCCAAACCTCTAATCACAAGGTTGGTTTCTCTGGCAACCAGGCTTTCATCCTCAGAGAGTTGGCTCATTAACATAAACACAGATAAGGTTGAAAGGGGCTTATTAAGCCGGGTGCGGTGGCTCACGCCTGTAATCCCAGCATTTTGGGAGGCCAAGGCAGGCTGATCACCTGAGGTTGGGAGTTCGAGACCAGCCTGACCAACACGGAGAAACCCCATCTCTACTAAAAATACAAAATTAGCCAGGCATGGTGGCGCATACCTGTAATCCCAGCTACTCGGGAGGCTGGGGCAGGAGAATTGCTTGAACCTGGGAGGTGGAGGTTGCGGTGAGCTGAGATAGCGCCATTGGACTCCAGCCTGGGCAACAAGAGTGAAACTCCATCTCAAAAAAAAAAAAAAAAGAAGAAGAAGAAAGGGGCTTATTACAAATAATAAAGATGCTCCCCTCCTAACACTCAGGATATTCTTTAATTTTTTTTAACTAAAAAATTTGTTTCTAGAGATAAGGTCTCACTATGTTACCCAGTCTTCAGTACAGTGGCTATTCACAGGTGCAATCCTCCCACCTCAGCCTCCTGAGAAACTGGGACTACAGGCATGTACCACTGCACCTGGCTCACTTAGGAAATTCTAAGGGTTTTAGGAGCTGTGTGCTGGAACCCACTGTGCCAAAACTGAAGGAGGAAAACCAAATATATATTTCTTATTATATCACAATATCACATCCATATCGCTGATATCTGTTTTGGTATTTTTTTCAACTGCGTAGGGGTGGCAGAGCTGGGATAATAGTCCCATCTATACGTGGGAGAGGTCTGGCAATCCAAGCAGGGGATATAGTTGTAATTATGTTCCTGAAGTCCAAATATGTACATCTTGGTGAAGTTTCAGGCAGCTAAAGGTAGAAGGATTCTGCTCCCTGGATGATCCTGCAATTCTAATTTCAGAGACTTAGTGTTGCTGCTGGGTAGGACCCTTGATGTCCCCTTGATCTTGCCCCAATCTAGAGTCAGCTCTTTCCACTTTCATCTCTTCCATCTCCTCCTCTTGCAACTAATCCCTGCCCTAATGTCCTTTTTGGGAGCTGCCCTCGGTGCCCACCTCTTTGCCATTCCCTCCACCCTCTTTCCCTTGCTGAGTTTCCCTTATTTTTGGAACTGTTTGCAGTGGGAGTGGCTTCTGGCAGCTTCCTTGTCCCTGCTGTGCTCGGTCCCTGAAAACTTGCCCTCACAGGAATCACTCTCCAGTGAGCTGCTGTCTTCCTTCATCATCTTCTCTGCAAATGTAGCTCCTCTGCTGTCTGTGCCTCTGAAAACTGAGGGTGGGGGTCAGGAGGTTTGCTTTTTTTTTTTTTTTTGAGACAGAGTCTGGCTCTGTCGCCCAGGCTGGAGTGCAGTGGTGTGATCTCAGCTCACTGCAAGCTCCGCCTCCCGGGTTCAAGCGATTCTCCTGCCTCAGCCTCCCAAGCAGCTGGGACTACAGGCACCCGCCACCAGGCCTGGCTAATATTTTGCATTTTTGTTGAGATGGGGTTTCACCGTGTTAGCCAGGATGGTCTCAATCTCCTGACCTCATGATCCGCCCACCTCGGCCTTCCAAAGTGCTGGGATTACAGGCATGAGCCACCGCGCCTGGCCTGAGGTTTGCTTTTTGTGTAAGATGGTGCCTTTCCTTCTGGTTGTTTAGGTGGCAGCTTTGACTCCAGATCTACAAAGGCAGAGATTCACAGTCCACAGATAATTAGAAAGTCAGCCTGTTCACTAGGGTGCAGGAAGAGCTTCCTCATTCCTTTGTTGGCTCTTTCTCTCCTGCAGTCATCGGGTTAGGGTGAACCCTTCCTCTCAGCATCATGCTTCAATCATCATCATCATCATCATCATCATCATGGTCATCATCATCATAGGCTTTCCTTACTCACCAATCCACATGAAGCAAAGGGAGCCACCCCCACTAGATCACTTGAGAGTATCCTTACCTGCACATAACTCTTTGTTGGCTCAGGTTACATGAGACTTAGGATCTTCAGTGATGCTCACCCCCAAGTTGGGGTGATTCCTCAGCCTTATGCTACCTACAGAATATGAATGGTGATGATAATAGTAATATCTAAGATTTGTAAGTAGTTGTGTGTCAGATCCCATTCTAAGCACGTTTACATATATTAACTCATTTAATTCTTGCTGCTTTATGACATAGATACTATTATTATCCCCATTTTATAAATGAAGAAACTGAGGCACATAAATATTAAATAACCTGCCCAAAACAAATAAATGTTTGAGCTAGGACCAGAACTCAGGCAGTCTGGCTCCAGAATCTGAGCCCTTTGTATTACCCTGATAAGGGGCTAGATAAGTGAAGGGCAATAGATTGGTTGTCAAGAATGTTGTCCAGCCTAGCTTATAGGGCAGAGCTTCCCTTAGCTGAGCTCAGGCATATCCACTTGGTCCCTCATAACCTAGACAGGTAAAATCTGTACCTTCTCTGGTCCCTCATCCTTCCAGGGAAGAACCAGTGAGTAGGTGTGGATATCCTGAAGCTAAGCTAAACTCTCCTCTTAACTCATGGGAAGGCCCTAGGCCTCATTTATTCTTCTAAATCAGTTCTCAACAACAGGGTGCACTGCCCTCTAGGGGATGTTTTGGGTATCTGTGGGGGGATTTTTTTTAGTTGTCACTGTGTGTGTGTGTGTGTGTGTGTGTGTGTGTGTGTGTGTGTGTGTGTGTTGGGGTGGGGGGTGAGGTGGTGATGGTGGTGGTGAAGGTTCCTGGTATTTAGGAGCCAAGGATGCTAGACAATACTGCAATGACCATTGTGTGTGTGTGTGTGTGTGTGTGTGTGTGTGTGTGTGTGTATTGGGGTGGGGGGTGGGGTGGTGATGGTGGTGGTGAAGGATCCTGGTATTTAGGAGCCAAGGATCCTAGACAATACTGCAATGACCAGGACAGTGCTGCACAAAAAAGAATTGTCCCACATCTCACATGACTTTTAAAAGCCCCATTGGAGGCCAGGCGCCATGGCTCACACCTGTAATCCCAGCACTTTGGTAGGCCGAGGCGGGCGGATCACCTGAGGTCAGGAGGTCGAGACCAGCCTGGCCAGCATAGTGAAACCCCATTTCTACTAAAAATACAAAAATTAGCTGGGCATGGTGGTGGGAGCATGTAATTCCAGCTACTCGGGAGGCTGAGGCAGGAGAATTGCTTGAACCTGGGAGGCGGAGGCTGCAGTGAGCTGAGATCGTGCCACTGCACTCCGGCCTGGGCGACAGAGCAAGACTTTGTCTTTAAAAAAATAAATAAATAAAAATCCAAAAATTAGTTGTCCATGCTTGCGTGCACCTGTAGTCCCAGATACTCGGGACGCTGACGCAGGAGAATCGCTTGAACCAGGGAGGCGGAGGTTGTAGTGAGCTGGGATCGCACCACTGCACTCCAGCCTGGGTGACAGAATGAGACTCCATCTAAAAAAAAAAAAGTCCCATTGGATATTAATTTAGGTAAATAAAGCCTGTTATAACCAGAAGGAGCCTGGAACACAACTCCATTTTACATATAAATGCAAAGTATTTTTGTCATTGTTTTAGACCCTGAATTTCCAAGAAATACAAGTAATGTGTAGATTGAAGGGACATCATAATTTTTGTTCAGAACTTTACCAAGAGTTGTTTGCCATTTCAGGAATCCATGTCATAAGACAATGCTATCTGTGGTATTTGAGTCTCTAATACCTACCTATCAGTTTGCATGTATTACTGTTGCATTCACAGCAGTTTTTTTTTGTTTGTTTTTGAGACTGTCTTGCTCTGCCTCCCAGGCTGGAGTGCAGTGGCAGCATCTCGGCTCACTACAGCCTCCATCTCCTGGGCTCAATTGATCCTCCCGCCTCAGCCTCACAAGTAGCTGGGACTACAGGCATGTGCCACCACACCCAGCTAGTTTTTGTATGTTTTGTAGAGAAGGGGGTATCGCCACATTGCCCAGGCTGGTCTTGAACTCCTGGGCTCAAGTGATCCGCCTAATAAAAATTAGCCGGGCATGGTGGTGCTTGCCTGTAGTCCCAGCTACTCGTGAGGCTGTGGCAGAAGGATCGCTAGAGCCCAGGAGACCAAGGTTGCAGTGAGCCAAGATCGTGCCACTGCACTCCAGCCTAGGCAACAGAGTAAAACCATGCCTCAAATCAATCAATCAATCAATCAATCAATCAGTCAATCAATCTGACTTAAAATTAGCCGGGCATGGTGGCGGGCGCCTGTAGTCCCAGCTACTCGGAGAGGCTGAGGCAGGAGAATGGCGTGAGCCCGGGAGGCGGAGCTTGCAGTGAGCCGAGATCGCGCCACTGCACTCCAGCCTGGGTGACAGAGCGAGACTCCGTCCCAAAAGAAAAAAAAAAAATCCTACATGACTCCAAAGCCACTTTTGAAGGAAAGAAGGTATTACTGAAGATGATTCTGAATCAGGTCTATTTATGGTAAATAAATTTTTTTCTTTAACACCATAATTTGACATTCAACATTTCCCTTGATTCTCTAACAGTTATATATTATTACTCCTATTTTATAGATTAAGAAGGATTCATAGAGAGAGACTAAATAATTTCCTTAAAACTTTAGGCCTTTCTGACTTCATAACTCATATTTTATTTTAAACCCCTAATACTCCTCTGATGGTCTCCTGCATTCAGAAATAAGTTGCGTAGCTGGGTGTGGTGGTTTATGCCTGTAATCTCAGCACTTTGGGAGGCCGTGGCTGGAAGATTGCACAAGGCCGTGAGTTTGAAACCAGCCTGGACAACATAGTGAGACCCTGTCTATACAAAAAATTAAAAATAAAAAATAATTTTAAAAAGGAAGAAATTAGGCTGGGCATGGTGGCTCATGTGTCCAATCCTAGCACTTTGGGAGGCCAAGGCTGGCAGATCACCTGAGGCCAGGAGACCAGTCTGACCTATATGGTGAAACCCTGTCTCCACTAAAAATACAAGAAAATTAGCCAGGCATGGTGGTGCACAACTGTAGTCCCAGCTACTCAGAAGGCTAAGAATCTCTTGAATCTGGGAGGTGGAGGTTGCAGTGAGCCGAGATGGGGTTTCTCCATGTTGGCCAGGCTGGTCTCAACCTCCTGACCTCAGGTGATCCGCCCGCCTTGGCCTCCTAAAGTGCTGGGATTACAAGTGTGAGCCACCGTGCCCAGCTGCAGCATTTTTTTTTTTCTGAAACAGGGTCTCACTCTGTTGCCTAGGCTAGAGTGCAGTGGTGAGATCTCAGCTCACTGCAACCTCTGCCTCCCAGGCTCAACTGATCCTCCAACCGCAGCCTCACGAGTAGCTGGGACTACGGGTGTGCAACACCACACCTGGCTAATTTTTGAATTTTTTGTAGAGATGAGGTTTTGCCATGTTGCCCAAGCTAGTCTCAAACTCCTGGGCTCAAGCCATCCACATGCTTTTGCCTCCCAAAGGGCTGGGATTACAGGCATAAGACACTGTGCCCAGCCACAAAGCAGCAATTTATCATTAAATGGAAATGGTTATATGTGATGGTTAATTTTAAGTGTCAACTTGACTGGGCCACAAGGTGCCCAGATACTTGGTTCAACATTATTCTGGGTGTGTCTGTGAGGGTGTTTCTGGATGAGACTAACATTAGAATCAGTAGTCTGAAGCAGATTATCCTCCCCATTATAGGTGAGCCTCATCCAATCTATTGAAGGTGTAAATAGAACAAAAGGCTGAATGAGAGAAAATTCATTCTCTCTGCCTGATGGTATTCAAACTGAGACATTGGTATTCTCCTGCCTTTGGACTTGAATTGGAACTTATGCCATTAACTTGCTGGTAGTCAGGCCTGCAGACTGCAGGTTTTGGAACTTCTCTGCAGATCTTGAGAATTCCCAGCCTCCAAAATCATGTGAGCTAATTTCTTATAATAAACATATATCTATATCTATATTGGTTATATTATAGATGAAGAAGAGATACATGAATGGAACACAGAATGGATACAGACTGTGAAAAAATTAATGTTCCAGGTGACTGTCCACCAAAAGCCTCTTTTCCTGGCACCCCCAGTGCTGCTCAGTTAGCCCTTGGACAAAGTGGCCATTTTGGCAGGCATGGAGCCTATGCATGAGCTCAACAACACAGAGTTTCCCTTACCAAGGCTGATCTAATTAATGCTACCACTGAGTGCCTAATATGTCAAGAGCAGAAACCAACATTGAGGCCCTGATACACACTATTCTCTGAGGGGACCACCTTCCCACTGGATGCTTAATGGCAGGTTAATTACACTGGCCTTCCTCCATCATGGAGGGGGCAGAGGGTTTTTTGTTTCGTTTTGTTTTTGAGGCAGGGTCTTGCTCTGTCACTCAGGTTGGAGTGCAGTGGCACAATCACACAATTACAGCTCACTGCAACCTCTGTCTCCTGGGCTGAAGCAATCCTCCCACCTCAGCCTCCCAAGTAGCTGAGATTACAGGCATGAACCACCACGCCCTGCCAAAAGATACATTCTGAATATGGATTTGCTTTCCTTATACACAATGCGTTTACCAGGACCACCATTTGTGGGCTTACAAAATGCCTTATCCATAGTCATGGCATTCCCCATAGCATTGTGTCTAATCAAGGAACTTATTTCACAGCAAAGGAAGTACAGTAATGAGCTCAATGTTCATGGAATTAAGTGATCTTACCACATTTCTCATCACCTGGAAGCAGATGCCTATTTGAAACATGGACTGACTTACTAAAGACTCACAGCAACACTTGGCAGACAATACCCTGAAACAATGGGGATCTATCTTACAAGGTACAGTATGTGTTTTGAATGAGAGGCCATTATATGGTGGTGTTTCCCCCACAGCCAGAATATATGGGTTCAGGAGTCAGCAAGTAGATGTGGGAATGGCTCTTCCACTGTTACACTAATAACCCACTCATTGAACTTTTGTTTCCCAGCAGCTTTGAGCTCTGCTGGTTTGGAGGACTTTGTCTCCAAAGGAAGATTGTGTCCACCAGTGAACACAGCAATGGTTTCATTGACTTGGAAGACAAGAATGCCACCTAGCCATTTGGGGCTTTATATGACACTGAACAAAAAAGCCAAACAAAAGGATTATAATAGTTCCCCCTATCCACTTATTTATGGCTTCACTTCTCAAAGTTTCAGTTTCCCACAGCCAACTGTGGTCTGAAAATATTAAATGGAAAATCACAGAAATAAACAATTCAAGAATTTTAAATTGCATACTGTTCTGAGTAGCGTGATGAAATCTTGTGCTGCCAGGGATGTAATTATCCTTTTTCCAGCATATCCATGCTGTATACATTACCTGCCCTTTAGTCATTTAGTATCTATCTCAGTTATCAAACCAACTGTCCAAGTGCTTGTGTTCAAGTAATCCTCATTTTACTCAATAATGGCCCCAAAATGCAAGAGTAGTGATGTTGGCATACTGTTATAATTGTTTTCTATTATTAGTAGTTATTTATGTTAATCTCTTACTGTGCCTAACTGGTAAATTAAACTTTATCATAGGCCAGATGCGGTGGCTCATGCCTGTAATCTCAGCACTTTGGGAGGCCGAGGTGGGCGGATCACCTGAGGTAAGGAGTTTGAGATCAGCCTGGGCAACATGGTGAAACCCTGTCTCTACCAAAAATACAAAAAATTAGCCAGGCGTGGTGGCGCACACCTGTAATCCCAGCTACTTGGGAGACTGAGGCAGGAGAATCGCTTAAACCAGGGAGGCGGAGGTTGCAGTGAGCCAAGATTGTGCCAATGCACTCCAGCCTGGGCAACAGAGCTAGACTCCATCTCAAAAAAACAAAAACAAAAAGAACAAAAAACTTTATCATAGATATATATGTATAGGAAAAAACATAGTATATATAGGGTTCAGTACCATCCCTGGTTTCAGGCATCCGGAAAGTTCTTGGAACGCATCCCCCACAGATAAAGGAGGGCTACTGTATTCCACTGGCTGGTGTGACTGATCCTGATTACATAGGGGAAATTGAATTGCTGCACAGTGGGGACAAGGAAAGCTATTTCCAGAACCCAGGGGATTCTCTGGGAGTGCCACTTAGTACTTCCCAGCCCAATAGTAAAGGTTAATGGACAAATACAGCAACCAAATACAGAAAAAAAAAAAAAAAAAAAGGGCAAGACAATTGAGAACTCAGACCTTGAGCGAGAAATGGAAGTTTGGGTCCCTGTACAGGTGAAGAACTCTGACCATCTGAAGTTCTGAGTGAGAATGGGGAAATACAGAATGAGAAGTAGAAGTGGAATATGTCTTTTGACCCAATTATGGAAATGAGGACTGGACTGCAGGAAGTTGGCCTATTTTCTATTTGCTTATTATAATAGATATGTGTTTATGTTAGCCATTTATTCACCTCTCTTCTTTTTATATTATTAGACAGTTTACTGGAAGTGAACTTTACAATATAGTCTACATCATAGAATATTTGGTGGGACTGTGACAGAATTAACATAATCAGGGATGAATACAATCACTGTTGGCCTATTTGAAGAACTGTGAAAAGCTCTGTGTGTGTAGTCTGCCCATGCCTTTCCTTCTTCAACCTTACTTCTACACATGAATATTTGTCCAACAATTTCTCAGATGTTTTAAGGCAGGGTAGCAAACTCATATGTTCATAGTGGTCAGGCAGGTAAGGAAATGAGAGAAGTGAGGATTTAGATCCCATCTAAAGGGGAAAAACAATATTCAGTTCAAAGTGATTGTTGCCTGATGACAATCAATTGTAGCATTATTTGAATAAACAAACATATAGGACAAACAACAGATGTTTTCCAAGTTGTTGCAATCTCTGATTTAAAGTTAATTTATTGGCCAGGCGCAGTGGTTCACGCCTGTAATCCCAGCACTTTGGGAGGCCGAGGCTGGCGGATCAGGAGGTCAGGAGTTCGAGACCAGCCTGGCCAACATGGCGAAACCCCGTCTCTACTAAAAATACAAAAATCAGCCTAGTGTGGTAGTGGGCGCCTGTAATCCCAGCTACTAAGGAGGCTGAGGCAGGAGAGTCGCTTGAACCCAGGAGGCAGAGGTTGCAGTAAGCCAAGATCGTGCCACTGCACTCCAGCCTGGGTGACAGGGCGAGACTCTGTCTCAAGAAAAAACAAAAAAAAAAAGAGAGAGAAAGTGTTAACAGAAAGAGGAAGTGGCTAGTAATGTTGAATACTTCTGAGAGGATGAGAAAGACAAGAGTGACCACTGAATCTGCAAAATAAGCATCATTAATGCCCTTTGAAACAAGCAGTTTTAGTGGAGTGATGAGGATAGAGACATGATTGAAGTGGGTTGAAGAGAGAATGGGAGGTATTAAATATAGTATCCTAGACTTGTTCAAGGAGTTTTGCTATACAGGGAAGCGGAGAAACGGGGCAGTATCTGGAGGTAGGAATTTCGGAGATATTAAGAAATGTATAGAGGCCGGGTGCAGTGGCTTACGCCTGTAATCCCAGCACTTTGGGAGGCCGAGGCTGGTGGATCATGAGGTCAAGAGATCGAGACCATCCTGGCCAACATGGTTAAACCCTGTCTCTACTAAAAATACAAAAAAATTAGCTGGGCGTGGTGGCGCGCGCCTGTAATCCCAGCTACTCAGGAGGCTGAGGCAGGAGAATCGCTTGAACCTGGGAGGTGGAGGTTGCAGTGAGCCGAGATCTCACCATGGCACTCCAGCCTGGCGACAGAGTGAGACTCCATCTGCCCCACCCCCCCAAAAAAAAAATGTGTAGAAAGACATTTCATATGTCTTGTGTTTTATCCATCATCACCAGTTGTCTTTTGTCTTTGTTTATAATGTATTTTGCCATTAAAGAGGTTGAACTAGGTTGGGCATGGTGGCTCATGCCTGTAATCCCAGCATTTTGGGAGGCCGAGGTGGGAGGATCACTTGAGGTCACGAGTTTGAGACCAGCCTGCCCAACATGACGAAACCCCATCTGTACTAAAAATACAAAAATTAGCCGGGCATGGTGATGGACACCTATAATCCCAGCAACATGGGAGGCTGAGGCAGGAGAATCACTTGAACCCAGGAGGTGAAGGTTGCAGTGAGCCAAGATTGTGCCACTGCACTCCAGCCTGGGTGACACAGCGAGACACCATCTCAAAAAAAAAAGAGAGAGATTGAGTTTCTTTTTTTTTTTTTTAATGTAGTCAACTTTATTCTCCTTAAACCACAAAATAGAGTCTTTGGTTGTACAAACATCACTAGTTACAGTCTCGACCAGGTCTCTGCTGGGGTGGGGCAGTTAGTCAGAGGCCAGAACTCCTGCAGGGTCTCTTTAAAATGCTAACACTCAGGTTAAAAGACTCGGGGCAAGGGTGGTGCTGGAGCTGGCAGAGCCCCCACCTCAAGTCTGGGGGACCTGCCTGCTCCTCTAGGAGGGCACAGGGCCCAGGCCACAGGGCCCAGGCCACAGCGCCCAGGCCTTACGAGGCGGCGGCTGCTACACAGCGCCACATCTTCAGGGCCCACAGCCCCGGGAGATTGAACTTTTTATCACTTTCTTTTATGATTTCCGGATTTCCTGTCTTGCCTAAAGACCTTCCCCATTTGGAGATTAAACAAATATTTTTATTTCCTTCTAATATTTGTCTTTTTAAAATTTTTATTTTATTTTTGTATAGGATGTGAGGGAAAAAACTTTTTACTTTGATTTCTTCCAGGCGTATAAGTCAACTGTGCCAATGCCAATATATTTTATTAAATAATCAATTCATTTACCACTGAACTGAGTGGTAAATGAATTTTTGAGACAGGATCTTGCTCTATCACCCCGGCTGAAGTACAGTGATGCGATTTTGGCTCGCTGCAACCTCCACCTCCTGGGCTCAAGCGAGCCTCCCGCCTCAGCTTCCGGAGTAGTTGGGACTACAGGCACGCACCATCATGACTGGCTAATTTTTTTTTTTTTTTTTTGAGATGGACTCTCACTGTGTCACCCAGGCTGGAGTACAGTGGTAAGATTTTGGCTCACTGCAAGCTCCACCTCCCGCGTTCACGCCAGTCTCCTGCCTCAGCCTCCCAAGTAGCTGGGACTACAGGCGCCCGCCACCACGCCCAGCTATTTCTTTTTGTATTTTTTAGTAGAGAAGGGGTTTCACCGTGTTAGCCAGGATGGTCTCAATCTCCTGACCTTGTGATCCGCCCGCCTTGGCCTCCCAAAGTGCTGGGATTACAGGGGTAAGCCACCGCGCCCAGCCACGACTGGCTAATTTTTGTATTTTTTGTAGAGATGGCAGTTTCACCATGTTGCCCAGGCTGGTCTCGAACTCCTGGACTCAAGCAATCCGCCTGCCTTGGCCTCCCAAAGTGCTGGGATTACAGGCGAGAGCCAATGTGCCCAGCTGACAAAGGTTTTTAAAGGCAAAATGAGGAGGCTCACATAATTGTTTTGAAATATTAATAATTATCCTTTGCTACAATAATCAATAAAGACAATGCCAGTTGGAGGTTTGACAGACAGTTGTTGGGCAGATGTCCTTGTAGATGTAATTTTTGTGTAAGGTCGTGAACAGCATTTGTGCAAGGTTGCAGTTTTTGCATTTTTTTTGTTTGTTTAATTTCAACGTTTATTTTAGATTCAGGGGGTACATGAACAGGTTTGTTACATTGGTATACTGTGTGATGCTGAGGTTTGGGGTACAAATTATGCCGTCACTAGGTAGTGAGCATAGCACCCAATGAGTACTTTTTCAGCCCGTCCCTCCTCTTTCTTTCCCCTCAAATAGGCCCCAGTGTCTATTGTTCCTATTGTCATGTCCATATATACCCGATGCTTAGCTCTCACTTATAAGTGAGAACATGCAAAGATAAAGAAAAAATTTGGCTGCAATATAGTAGGCAAAATTCATTTGCAAGGAGATCAGAAAGCCATTTGATTATAGCCTAATCCAAATAGATTTATCATTTAGTTTAATAATTTAACGAGGGGGAAGGGAATATTTCAAAAACGTTTAATGTTTATTTCTCATAGAATTAAAAAAAAAATTTATTTATGGCCGGGCGCGGTGGCTCACGCCTGTAATGCCAGCACTTTGGGAGGCCAAGGCAGATGGATTACCTGAGGCTAGGGGTTCGAGACTAGCCTGGCCAACATAGTGAAACCCCGTCTCTACTAAAAATACAAAAATTAGCTAGGCATAGTGGGCGCCTGTAATGCCAGATACTCGGGGGGCTAAGGCAGGAGAATTGCCTGAACCCGGGAGGCAGAGGTTGCAGTGAGCTGAGATCACGTCATCACACTTCAGCCTGGGCAATAAGACCAAAACTCAGTCTCAAAAAAAAAAAAATTATTTCCATAGGTTTTTGGGGTACAGGTGGTGTTTGGTTACATGAGTAAGTTCTTTAGTGGTGATTTGTGAGATTTTGGTGCACCCATCACCTGAGCAGTATACACTGAACCTAATTTGTAGTTTTTTTTATCCCTCACCACCCCCACCCACCCTTTCCCCTAAGTCCCCATTTTGCATTCTTTTGTCATAGCTTTTGTTATCAAGTATTTATGCATGAGAACCTGTTTCTTCATAGCCCTCCCTGGTTCTGTTTGTCAGGGTTTTCTTTTGTTTTGTTTTTGTCTTTTTGTTTGTTTTGGGGTTTTTTTTTTTTTTTTGAGACGGAGTCTCGCTCTGTTGCCCAGGCTAGAGTGCAGTGGCATGACCTCAGCTTACTGCAGCCTCCGCCTCCCAGGTTCAAGCGATTCCCCTGCTTCAGCCCCCTGAGTAGCTGGGATTACAGGTGAGCACCACTATGTCTGGCTAATGTTTTGTATTTTTAGTAGAATGGAGTTTCACCATGTTGGCCAGGCTGGTCTTGAACTCCTGACCTCAAGTGATCCACCCACCTCAGCTCCCAAAGTGCTGGGATTACAGGCGTGAGCCACTGCGCTTGGCCCTGTTTTTCTTTTTTAACACGAGTGTCTCCATCTTGATTCTGACAACTTTCACATATTGTTACTTAATAAATCTTATAATTTTTTTCATACAGGTTATGTACCTTTCTTGTTAATTTCTGTTTCTGTTCTTTTTACTGTCATCAGTGGGCTTCCCTATTATTTTCATTTCTAGCTAGATTTCTAGTTATAGACTGAAATTAATTTATTTTATAATCACACTACCAGATTGACTTCTTAGTTCAATACATGTCTAGTTGCATCTTATGGATTTCCTAGAAACACAATCATATTATCTGCAAATAAAGATAAGTTTCTCATCTATGTATACAGATTGTTCCTTGTTTTTGGTTAATTACACTAGCTAAATTCTTCAAATATAATACTGAATATTTTTAGCGATAATGTAAGTACTGTCTTTTGTTTTAATGACAATGGCTGCAATATTTCATATTTAATATGCTTTTTAAATGATTTTTGAAAAATAGTGTCCATTATGGTTATTTCTATTACTATTTTACTTAGAATGTTTTGTAGGAATAGCTACTAAAAAACAATTGCTTTTTTTTTTTTACATCTCCTCTTGATAGAATTACGTTTTTTCCCTGATGATATAACACATCCTGTTAGTAAATTTCCTGATACTGAACTATTCTTTCATTCCCAGAGTAAATTCTTCATGGTCATAATTTATTATTTTATTAACTCATTGTGGAATTCTCTTTTGCAAATATTTTATTTAGACTCTTTGTCTGCGTATTCATAAATTGGGTTATAATCTTTTTCTTTTTATGGTTAACACTGAAAAAGGCTTTAAATTATTCTCAAAGTGCTCACATGCCTGGGCAAAATTATTGCTATTATTAACAACGCACTGAGGATTGTGAACGATTTATTTCAAAGTAATAATTAGATGGGATTCAAAGTTTCCCATATAACAATGTCATTTCCCTTTATCTGAATCATTATTCTAGACTTTATTTAATGCTTTACTGCAGAGGAAAGAAAGGGGGGATGTGGCTTACTTTGTTGGGGATTGTGGAAAATGGGCACAGTCCTGGAAAAACCCACATTAAGTGTGCAATGCTTGTGAAAATGCCTAATGCAAGAGATTGCAAAATGTTGTCCCAGGGTACCAGGATTCTTGATGGAATAAGAAATATTAAAATAATTGGATAAACTGAGCTAGCAAAATGCAGGTGGCTGATAAATTTTAGAACAAAAGTGTAATTAAATGAGAAGCTTTGAGCTATACTCTATCTCATAAGTAGCATAATATTTCATTTGACTCTCTCTCTCTCTCTTTCTTTTTTATTTTTATGAGACATAGTCTCGCTGTGTTGCCCAGGCTAGAGTGCAGCGGCATGATCTCGGCTCACTGCAACCTCCGCCTCCGCGGTTCAAGCAATTCTCGTGCCCCAGCTGCCCAAGTAGCCAGGGTTAGAAGGCGTTCACCACCATGCTCGGCTAATTTTTGTATTTTTAGTGGAGACAGTGTTTAGCCATGTTGGTCAGGCTGGCCTCAACCTCCTAGCCTGAAGTGATCTGCCCACCTCGGCCTCCCAAAGTGCTGGCATTACAGGCATGAGCCACCACATCCAACCTCATTTGACTCTCCTGACAGTCTGGGAAGTTTAAGCAGGGAACCCAGCTGCAACTATCTAATGAATAATGGACAGTTTAGCATCTTAACTAATAAGGAATCTTGGGCTTAAGATATTCCCAACTTTATTACTGGGTTGTGACTAAGTTTCCTCTCCCACTTCCCCCCAACAAAAGGCTATATATACTCTATTAGCTTTTATATTTAAATGAAGGCAGATTGATTTTTTTTAAAAGACATTGAAGACACCCCTCAAACAAATGGAAGCACTCTGGGTTTTGGTAAAGCTGGTGTTAATCATATCTTTAGCTTCTTAACAAGGGGAAGAAATTACTTGTGGGCACTTTGGGTTTTTTTGTGCCATCAGTAATCCCCAGGGGAAAATGATACGTATATGTTTTTCCACAATCAGTTCAGGATACCAGGATATTAATGGTATACCTAAATCAACATACCAACAAACTAGCTAATGAGGTATTAATAGTATACCTATTAATAGGTAAACAGAAGTAAAATCATGTACCAACAAAACAAAGCAGTGATTGTTTAGAGAGGTGAATGGGATTTGTGCTAATTTGTAAAGTGTACTACCTTAGGCAAGCACTAGAAACAAATATTGAACACCTTAATATTTAGTTGTATATCAACTTACAGTTTACAAAGTTTTCCATACACAGGATCTCATTTGATTATTATAAAATCCCTAGGAATTAAGCAGGGCAGATATCATTATCTCAGTTGTTTACAAGTACATAAACAAGCTTACCAAAGTCAGGTAACTGTCCTGGGGATCACACAGCTAGAGAGTGGCTGGGATGTTTTAAAATTCAGATCTTGGTGAAGACAGATTCTGCGTTTTAACTCATGTAAAAGCAGAGACTGGCAGAGTTTACAACGTAGTATAATCTCACTGATTATTTGCTGAAGGTATGAATGTGTCTTGTGAGGCTATTTCAGAGTTCTTTCTAGTATACTATATAAGCCCACCCCAAAAAAACAAACTAAACAACTGAAGCCAAGTATGGAAGGTTGGGGATGGGATAAGGGGCAGGAATTATTCCCAGGAGGACTAGGAAATTCTAGACAAGGCAGCAGCTTCTGGAAATGTCAGTGTTTATTAAACATTTAAGGACATTTGGAGGTTTGAGAAGAAATATACAGAATGTAGAAAAATCCTAAGAATCCCCTGTGGCTGCAGTGCAGCCTCTTCCTCCCCCCCGCCCCCCCATTTCCCATTTGTTTTTCCTGCTTTTTGTTTGGTTGTTTAAAAACCATTTCTTAAGGCTCATTTGCCCCCTCCCCCACTCCCTGACCTATGAGGATCCATTCTCTCTCTCTGTCTCTCTCCTCAAGACCTGGAGTCCCAGAACAGTGCTCCAAAGTGGTCAGGGGGAACCAATGCTATACTGAAGTGTGAGGATCAGGGGCCCCTCTACTTGGGCTGGCTCTTCATTAAGGACTTAAGGGGGGCGTGAATTGCAAAAGCCACATGACGTCATTGGTCCTCAGTCATGGGTGTAAGGGCAGAGGATGAGCACAGGTAAACAAACAAAGAATGGATTAAAAAATAAAAAATAATAACCTAAATAAACCCTGAAGGAGAGTCTGATCTGGGTGCTCTGGGTATTAGCTGGGGGGACAGAGTATGGAGCTGGGCCACCTGGTAGAGGGGAGGGAGGGACGGGAGAGGAAACAGCCAGGGGGACAGGCTGGGGGATGCAGGAGATGGGAATGCCAGGTGGCCTGGACTTGAGGCAGAGGGTATCAAAGTCCCTTTCTTCTCAGTGCTCAGGTGGACAGGCACCAAACACACAGCCCCCGGGGCAGGTGAGGGGTAGGATTAGCTCCTGGGCTCCCAGAAAGCCAGGGGTGAAGGTGGGGGAGAATACAATTGCCTGGGGAATGAATTCTGGAATGAAACTTACATCTCAAAGGGAGGTGAGGGCAGGGCAGGGCGGGGGAGCAAAGAGGGAAAGCACCTAGACGGGGGTAAGAGGAGCCTAGGTCCCCCTGCTCTGGCAGGGCCTGGGGTGGGGGGGTGGCGATCACTTGTCCGAGTTCAGGCCCATCATGTTCTTGAGGGCGTTTTTGAGGCTGGTTCTGCTGGGGGACTTGACAGCAGGCCGGAGCTCCGGGCTCTGCTCATCCTTTCGTAGCTCCATCTCGATGACCATCACCTTTGGGCCTTTGGCGGACTCCACCCCTAACCCCCGATCCCCCGCCCGGCCCGCTAACCGCTATTTCTTATCCTTGCGAGACTCCCCCAGCCCCTTGGCCTTCTTCTCACTGACAGCTTTGGTGCTTCTGCTGTGGTCCAGCATTGCATACAGCACTGGCGTCTGGGGGAGGGGCGCACACATCAGTCACCGAGCGACTGGGGCTTGACTGTTCCCATCCCACCCCTCACTGCTGCCCGGCGGCTCCCAGGGTTCTCCTTCCCATCTTGTCTAGGCCCCAAGTCCCGCTAACCTGCCGCCCGCGCTTCGACGCGTCCTTTCCTGGCTTGTGCAATTTCCCCTTCTCCATAGCACTGCAAGAAGAGAGACTGCTGTACGTTTGGCCTCGCCGGAACCCCTTGCACCGCGGACACAGCTTCCTCTTCCCCTTGGCCCTCCCACCCACTGGAGTAGTCTCCGCCCAGATGGGGGATAGTGGGGAGAGGGGGAGGGGAGCTAGGCTCCGCCCCTTACCTGAGCCTCCTCTGCAGGGCCGCCTGCCTGCGTAGCCAGCAGTACCGAACCACGTAGAAAAGCAGCAGCAGCAACAGCACCACCCCGAGGACACCCCCGATCACAGCTCCCAGAACGACCCCGTACCTAGTTGGCACTAGGAGGGGTGGGAAAAGAAGTGGGAGAATGAGCAGGGCCCTGTATCTGTGGTTCCTAGTCCGAGTGTATGCCCTGCATTGAGGATGTAGGACTCCCAGCTAAAACTGCCTTCTGCCCACGCTCCCAGAGCCTGAATAAAGGTCCTTAGGCCGGGCTTTTTGCCTCTTCCCCCAACCTATCAGTCCTCCCTGATCCCCTCCCAAACTGCTTCCCATACCCTTGTCCCCATCCCTTCTCACACCTTTTTCAAAGACATACAGCGTGACCTGAGAGGTCTTGCCCACTATGTCTGGAGGGTTTTTGACGTCACAAGTGAACGTGCCATTGTCACTGTAGTCTAGGTTGTGTATGACAATGGAGCCATCCTTCCAGCGAGGGTCCCCTACCCACTGGATGCGCTCTTTGAAGGTCCCCACCTCGTCAATGTAGGGTTGTCCCTTGGCATAGTGGAAGATCTATGAGGAATGAGGGGAAGCATGTGAGAGGACCCTAATGAGAACACAGCTGTCAAAGCTTAGCTCCATAATTTGTTACAGAAAGAAAAAAGCAAAAAAAAAAAAAAAAAAAAAAAAGCTTCGCTCCAGCCTCAGGGTAAGGGATCTTGGGCTGGAAAGGGTAGTGCTGGAGAAGGGAGGACAATGTAGTCAGGGTGACAAAGACTGTCATTTACCTTGCCAAAGTTGGGGTTATGGCTCAAAAAGGATTTCCCCCTCCTTAGCCCAAGTTATCTTTTTTGTTGTTCTTTGAAGCACTTTCTGTTATCCAACCCCAGGATTCCCCCAGGCACTCACCGAAATGGCATCTCTGCCCCCTTCGGGCTGGTAGCGCCAGGTGAAGGAGATGTCATCTGAGACCCACTCACTGGACCAGAAGGAGCAGTGCAGGGTCACCCGGGAGCCCACAGCACCATGGACCTCCCTGTCGGTGTAAACCACGATGGCCTGGGCCGGGGACAGCACTGCAAGCACAAAGTGGGGAATCAGATGCACCTATGGGCCCAGTAAGGGATACAGAGGAAGTGAGATCAGTAGGAAATCAAGTGCTGAGTCACAGGTCAGAGGCCAATTTGGAAAAGAAACAACAAATTCTGAGCCCCAAGTCTCTGGGGACTAACTGAACAGATGAGCATAAATGCTGTGTCTGTCAAGCTCTTTAGCATGTCTGTAGAGAAGATGAAATCAGCAGTAACAGAATTCTCTTGAGGACTTCCAGAGATTGGGTTCTGTCTTTAAGTCTCACTTCTCCTTTGGGTCAGTATCTAACTTTTAAGCTATCCTTTAGATGCAGTGTTCTAAATTTTTAAAATTTATTATAAATTATACAGGTAATACATATTGTACTCTTCTTATAAACTATTCAAGCAATAGAAATAAAACAAAAGTCTCCTTTGACACTTAGCCCAACAAATTCCTTTCCTGTATTCCCTTCCAAGATGTAACAAGTTATCCATTTAATATGAATCAAACTCAGTATAAACTCAATAAACTCAAGATATACACATACTTACAACAAATAGTTTTGTGGAGTTTTTTTTTCCACATACATATTGCATTGTATTCTAGTGTCTTTTTGCTTAAGAACTTACGTATCTGGAGGAGCTTTCCCTGTTGATTCATAGATATCAATCTTATTTTAACAGCTGCATTGGATTTCACAATACAGCAAACTCAGATTTCTTGCAGAAAAAAATGAAGATAACTAGAAAATATAAGTCTTCTTCCCTGGCACAACTGTCCTCATTGCTGAATCCCTGGTTGCCATACAGCTTGCTCTTGACTGGAGAGTCAGGAAGGGAAGGGCCTCATACCCCTCTCAGCTGGGTGCAGAGCAACACCCCAAGCCTACAGCTCAGATGACCCTACATGTGAGCCCTCTATGGTTCAACTGTCCTCACCTTCCTCTTGGCCACTGTGGCCCAGTGCCATCCCCAAGACTTACCCACACAAGGAAGGTCATTCCAGAGAGACTATGTGTGTGGGCTGGCCCCAGGGAGGGGCAACTGTAGACCTTTTTGTTCTACAGGAGGGGGAGGTGGCAACCAAACAAAGTTCCATTGTCTGACCAACGCTGGGGGGCTCATGCCACCCCTACTCCCACCCCAACTGTCCTGAATCTCTCACCTCAGCATGCAATACCATGTACTTACCTTCTGGAACTTCCACCTTAGAACCTTCTTGGGAATCCCCCTTGTTTAACAAGGGAGATAATTCACTGGCTCTAACTTCTATTCCTCCTGTTACAATATCAACCATTGCCCTTCTCAGCTGTGCTCAATGGTTCTATGAGTGGAACAAGTGTTGAGACACAACTCTCCCTCTTCCTTATACATCAAGATTCCTTCCCCCTATTTCCCTCACTATGCCCTTCTCCAACTCTCTATCTTTAACATTTTCTCAGGGTACCCCCAAATAGCCCAGTACAACCCAGAAGAGTCTAGGGCTCAAGCAGCTGACAGCAGAGAACCCTGGGCATTCTGGCCAGCCCCCTTTCCCTTGATGTCCTCCCCACCACCCCCACTTGCCTATGGCTCACTCATTGCACTAGGATTCAGGGCAGTTCAGAGAAGGGAAGGGGCCATTCCAATAATCCTGCTTTGACCTCTTACTCACCCAACATCTGCCAGGGGGCAAGGAAAGGGCTGGTCAGCTTATGAAGGAAGACAGCTTTAGAGGGATAAGATCCCAGAATCTCATAGAACCTCACTCCATTCACCCACACAACAGGTGAGGAGCCATAGAGAGACAAAAAATCTGAGGAGCTGAGACCACAAACCTGGGCTCCTTACTTAGATCGCACTCTCTTTTTCCTTCTGGGAAACTAAGGTTAAGGCACCTCCTGCACTGCTAGGGGACGAGTGGGAACCAAACCCAGGTGTTTGAGCCTATTTCTTTATGTAATCTAACACTGCTTCCCACCAGGCTGTTAGCATGGCTCTGGGGGCATGCTACTATTTCCAACCTGGGTCCAGCCATGGCCACCACTCAGGGAAGCTTGCTACACTCTCTTTTACCCTTTCTTTTAAAATAAAACCTCTACTTCCTCCCTCTAAATGCATATTTTTTTCTTTTCATATATATATATATATATTTTTTTTTTTTTTGAATTTTACAGATGGAGTCTGGTTATGTTGTCCAGGCTGGTCTCCAACTCCTGGGGCTCAAATAATTATCCCACCTTGGCCTCCCAAAGTGCTGGGATTACAGGCATGAGCCACCATGCCCAGCCGCATATTTTTTCTTTCTGAATATAATGTCACCTTCCTGCTCCTGCTTGTTCTTTCTTTGGTTGCAGTGGGGAGTGCAGCAAAGGCTGTGGGGATTGCTGAGAGACACCTGAGTCCCAAGACTCCCAGAGTAGAGTGGCTCCACTTACCCAAAGAAGAGAAGAGCAGCACAGCCAGGATAGGGCTGGGGCTGGATGAGGGAGCCCCAGGAGCCATAGCTGGGGCAGGGGCAGGGGCCCGGAGCATCTGTGGGGTTGAGAAAGTGGGGGACCAGGAACTGAACGGGGGGTTCCTGGAACCTGCTTAAAATCCCCTAGGGCCCCAGCATGAGGGGGCTGTCCTCAGCCAGTAACCAATTGCAGCCTGGCATGTGCAGTTGAGAGGTGGTGGGGAGGGGGGCAGAGTGCAGGGAGCAGAAGGGGCATTGTATAGTCTGGGTGGAGGGGTGGGGGGACACATACCACCCCATACACAGAGGGCTTTGTGTCCACTGGCCTCCCCCTGCCCCAGGCTGGAATGTTGTGGGGGGTGGTGAGGGAGAGGGACAAAAACAGGGACACAGACACACTTCTCTGAGGGATAGATATGGAACCTCAATTTAAAGGCCATAAAAAGGGATTTCTCCTCAGCCTCCTTGCCTGAGAGAGGCTGCCTCACAGCCCTAGGAACTAGAGGGAGGTTTCCCCCAGAGAACTCTGAAAATAGGATATCCCCTGTTATCTCCTCTAATGTGGGCTGCATTACAGACTTCTTGAGATGACCAAGTCCTATGGGAGTTTTTTTCCCCGCACCTCCCTTCATCCTGTGCGATTCTTCCCAGACAGAAGTTTTTCTCCACTGGACTATTTCCAGGCAAGAAGCCCCTGACCTTTCCGTTTGTCAAGAAGTCCTTCAGTGCTTCATGCTGCTGTTTAAGTCCATTTCAATTTATTTCAAGGCTACAAAATTGTATTAAGTGCCAGCAATATGTAAAGTATGAGAATGCAGGTAATAGAGAGAGGAATAAAAATTAAGTCCTTCCAGCAAGGAGTTGAAAATTTGGTTTGGGGAGGTGGAGATGGGAAGATCAGAGGACAAACCCATCAACAATCAAGTATAATAAGCCATGACACTTCCTTTAGTAATGAACAAAATGCTGGGAGTACAAAAGAGGGGCACACACAGCTGCAATATCAGGAAGACTAAGTTATATGAGAGATTAAAGACAAAATAAACTTTAATAAATGAAGTTTATGCCAGGCATAGTGGCTGACACCTGTAATCTCAGCACTTTGGTAGGCTTATGCAGGAGGATTGCTTGAGTTTAGGAGTTTGAGACCTGTCTGGGCAACATAGCAAGACCTCGCCTCTACCAAAATTTTTTAAAAAATCAGCTGGGCATGTTATCACATGCTTGTAGTCCCAGCTACTTGGGAGGCTGAGGCAGGAAGATCGCTTGAACCTGGGAAATCAAGGCTGCAGCGAGCTATGATTGTGCCACTGCTTTCCACCCTGGGCTACAGAATGAAACTCTGTCTCAAAAATAAATAAATAAATAAATAATCAAACAAATAAATAGTTCAGAGGGAAGAATAGTTGTGTCTAGGAGGCAATGTTAGATATGAATCAGCCTTGAAGGATGACTGTCATTTTGGAAAGGGAGATAGGGAGGGTTACCAGAAGATAGAACAGCAAAAGCAAGGACAAAGAGGTGAGACGGAGAGACAGAATGTGTGTGTGTGTGTGTGTGTGTGTGTGTGTGTGTGTGTGTGTGTGTGTGTGTATGTATATGAGATGTAGGTTTCTGAAGTGTTGGATATATTCAGGGCCGATCTTGTGCCATCCACTTTGACTTGATTTGGGGAAACTTGAAGTGGCATAGTCAGAAATGAGACTGGACAGGAAAGTCGAAACCAGTTTGTGAAAGGCCTTAAATGACAGGTGAAAGAAGGTGAATTCAATTTGGTACATCATGAGAACCTGAAGGTGTTGGGGTGGAGTTAGCCATGGGGATGTCTACATAACCAGAGCTGAGGTTTTTTTGTTTGTTGAGGCAGTCTCGCTCTGTTGCCCAGGCTGGAATGCAGTGGCATGATCATGGCTCACTGCAGCCTTGACCTCTGAGGCTCAAGCAATTGTCCTACCTCAGCTTTCCAAGTAGCTGGGAACTACAGGCGCATGCCAGCATGCTGGGCTAGTTTAAAATTTTTTTTTTTTTTTTTTCAGAGATAAGGTCTTGCTCTGTGGCCCAGGCTGTAGTGCAGTGGTGCAATGATAGCTCACTGCAGCCTCAACCTCCCAGGCTCAAGCGATCCTCCCACTTCAGCCTCCAGATTAGCTGAGCCACAGGCAGCCACCACCATACCCAGCTAATTTTTCAATTTTTTGTAGAGATGAGGATCTCACTGTGTTGCTCAGGTTGATCTTGAACTCCTATACTCAAGTGATCCTTCTGCCTTGGCTTCCCTAAGTACTGGGATTACAGGTGTGAGTCACCGTGCCTGACCTCTAGAAGTTAATGTAAGTGGGGTGGTCATTGTTATTCCTGCTATGAGACCACTGCAGGCTCACCCAGGTGAAGGACAGTGTCCTGGTACCTTCCTGGCATCTCATTAGACCACAGCCCTGGTGGGTATGGTCATTAGTATTAGATTTGGGTTGTGGAATTCTAAATATGGGATTGCTTATGAAGTCCATAGGCAAAACCATCATCATTGACAAATGTTTACAGGATGTTGTAGTCAACATTTCTATAAAACAGCAATTCAAAGTACAAAAAAAAAAAAACCCCCAAAACTCTCCCCTCCAAAATTTCCACCTAACTCCACCTCCCAACTGTAAGCAATCATTTCCTCTTTATCTAACCACCCCTTTTATCAACACCCTCTTCAATGGGTTGTTGCTACTTTCTTTGTTGCATGTCTTTATTGATCCTGCTAAGGCTATAACCTTCTTGGGGACAGTACAAACATCTGTATCTTTGAATCCCCTACAGAACTTTTCACGGACTGACAAAAAGTCCATAACTACATGCTAAATGAAATTATTAATATTTAAAGAGCTGAGTGGGCTGGGAGTGGTAGCTCGCACCTATAATCCCAGGACTTTGGGAGGCCGAGGCCGGTGGATCACTTGAGGTCAGGAGTTCTAGACCAGCCTAGCCAACATGGTGAAATTCCATCTCTACTAAAAATACAGAAAATTAGCCGGGCATGGTGGTGCAGGCCTGTAATCCCAGCTACTTGGGGGGAGGCTGAGGCAGGAGAATCGCTTGAACCTGGGAGGCAGAGGCTGCAGTGAGCTGAGATAGCGCCACTGCACTCCAACCTGGGCGACAGAGTGAGACTACGTCTCAAAATAAAAGAAAAAGAAAAAGAAAAAGAAAAACCAAAAAAGATCTGAGTGAAAAAGGCATTCCTTGGGTTTGTTAACGTGAAGCTCCAGAGAGCCAAGTCAATGACTGGAATTTCGATAGCACAAAACTGTATTTAAATATAATAACTAACGAATAAGTTGTTCATTAAATAAAACTTGTTGTTTGAGGTACCCATCATTGAATATGGGGGGGTAGAGTCTTGAAGATCAGCTGTTATGGGTGTTGCAGAGGAGATCCCTGCATAGATAGTAGATTGGATTAGAGAGCCTCTTTCAATCCTAAAGTGTACGAATGTGCTTTGTCAAGCATTATAGAAATGCAAAGTAGTATTATTCATCTGATGCAGAAATAAGTGAATTTGTGCTATTTAAATCCTGAAGTGCAGGGATGCTAAATATACATAAGATCTGAATATTAATATAATTGAGTATTTTTTTTGTAGAAATAGGAGTTGCTCTAGCCTGTCCCTTTTACTCCTCTCCACCCTACTCCCCACAAGAGTCAAGAACTTTTGTGCTCTGTTCCCTTCCTTTATCATTTGCTCTTCTTCTTTCTTCAGTCTTGAGTGCTCGGCAGTTGATTCCTGTGCTTGGGTTCCCTAAAACTGTATATATATATATACACATATATAAATCAAAGCGTGTTCTTCCCCTCACTCCGGGTTCTTCTAGCTGTGGGTGTCACCCACATAGCGCTGAAACAACGAACAAGGGAGCATTGTCCTCGGCTAGTGGGCGCCTGGTCCATGTGGCAGCTCAAACCCAGGAATTGTGGGGTCTAATCGAGGTGGTTAGATGAGGCTCCTCGTTTTCGGGAATGGTGGTCCGCAAGGTCTTCTCGAGGCCCCTCTACACACTCCCCAACTTAGGTCACAATTTATGTATCTGTCTGGTTAAAGCTTCGTATTAGAAAGGGAGGGAACCCAAAGTATCTTTTCTCTTCGGGGTCTCAACCGGCCAACCACCACGTTTTTAGGCCGACCTGGGAGGCAGGGGGAACGCAACAGACTGCGAAGTCCTTAAGGAAGAATCTAAACAAGTCCGCCGTTTGCTGTTTGGGAGTGCGATACAAAATGAATATGTACGCAGGTGGAACGTAGACTGCAGATTTTGAGCCAGCGGCGTTTCTGCCGAAATCCTGGCAAATTCCGGTAGAAGTCGGCTGCAGGAGGCGGAGGAGGAGACTAAAAAACCAGAAAACAACCAGCAAACCAGCTAGGCAGAGCTGAGCGGAGAAGCTCCAGAGCCTTTTAAAGAGACTCTCGTCACATGACACCCCCAACCCCGACCCCCAGCCGGCGCGCCTCCGCCCTCGGGTGGCGGGGCCGCCTGGCGTCACTTCCGTCCAGACCGGAACCCAAGATGGCTGCGCTGTTGCTGAGGTGACTTCAGTGGGACTGGGAGTTGGTGCCTGCGGCCCTCCGGAGATCTGAACTGGCCCCTCACGTTTTGCTGATAACTGTTTATCCTGTGCCTGGGCAGGGAAAGGACCCATGGGTGTGGAGGCCAAGCGCTCGGGGATCCTAGAGACCCCTTTTCCCGTCCCCCCCAGCCGCTCCGGTGCGCTCCGTAGGGCTTCGGGGTCACTGACTTCGTATCGAGGGGCCCTCGGCTCTCGCCCCTTCTGTTTTCCCCACCTCCTCTAGTACTTCTAACGCAAATTGCTCTCGGGCCTGCACCCAGAGCCGAGCTCTGAGAAAATAACTTCAAGGTCAGCCACCCATGGGTCCTACGATTTCGAGAGCGTATTTAGACATTTAGCTTCGGAGAGAGAGATCTTCGTGTATTTTGCCTTTGCTTCGAATGCCTTCAGACACTAGCTGCTCCCACCGTGAGTGGGCGCTGTCTGGGTTCCCAGCGGGCTGCTGGCAAAGGGTGGATCCCTACTGGGGTGGCGATTAGCATTAGCACCCAGGGCGGACCTCTGCTGCCCCAGAGCAACCCGGGGAATTCATTTTTAGTTAATCATTTTACTTGGGAGGGAGAGTGAGTGTCCCAGTTTTTCTCTAAAATGTGAATTAGTTGTCCAGAGAAATACCCTAGATTTTCTTTCATTCTGAACTTTCCGCTGTCTAGGTCTCATTCTCTGCTCAGCCTCTCTAGTCACAGCGACTAGCGCCTTTAGACACGCCTGGTACAAATCCCAGCATAGTTTTGTGCCAGCCTTATTTTTGGAAATTGTTTGTTATGGAAAGTTAGCTTCAATGCTGTTGAGATTTCAATCCCTGATTTCCCCAAATGTGTTCTCATTTCTCTTTCCACTTCAGTCACCCAGTTTAAAAATAGAGGGACTTTGTTTAGTTTTTCTGTGACAAAATGATTCCTCTTGGAGTTGAAATCAGGGTTATCTTAATCCTTCATTTTCTCCCTGTTTTTCATCTCCATATGTATCTTCTGTCTAAGGTATGCCAAGGCTTGTCTTGCCAGTGCTGTCTTCTTTATTCCAGATGGTTTGACCATAATTGAATGCTTTTGAATTCTCTGATATATTTTGGTATCGATGTTAGGGGCTTTTGGTAAAATTAACATTTAGTTTGAAGTGATCATATTGGTTCCAAACAGTTCATTTTAGGAGTTTTGGAATTAGTGTTTAAAAGCTGAGGATCATTATAGTCATTAAGTGTATCCATACAGTATCATTTTGAGTTGTGCAGCGCTGTCCACTGAAGGGATGGGTCGCCCCTCCACACCTGTGGGTGTTTCTCGTTAGGTGGAACGAGAGACTTGGAAAAGAAAGAGACACAGACAAAGTATAGAGAAAGAAAAAAGGGGGCCCAGGGAACCGGCGTTCAGCATACAGAGGATCCCCGCCGGCCTCTGAGTTCCCTTAGTATTTATTGATCATTATTGGGTGTTTCTCGGAGAGGGGGATGTGGCAGGGTCATAGGATAATAGTGGAGAGAAGGACAAAGGTCTCTGCATCATAAGGTAAAGAATTAAGTGGTGTGCTTTAGATACGTATACACATAAACATCTCAATGCCTTGAAGAGCAGTATTGCTGCCCACATGTCCCATCTCCAGCCCTAAGGCGGTTTTCCCCTATCTCAGTAGATGGAATATACAATCGGGTTTTACACCGAGACATTCCATTGCCCAGGGATGATCAGGAGACAGATGCCTTCCTCTTGTCTCAACTGCAAAGAGGCGTTCCTTCCTCTTTTGCTAATCCTCTTCAGCACAGACCCTTTACGGGGGTCTGGGGGACGGTCAGGTCTTTCCCTTCCCACGAGGCCATATTTCAGACTATCACATGGGGAGAAACCTTGGACAATACCTGGCTTTCCTAGGCGGAGGTCCTTGCGGCCTACCGCAGTGTTTTGTGTCCCTGGGTACTTGAGATTAGGGAGTGGTGACGACTCTTAATGAGCATGCTGCCTTCAAGCATTTGTTTAACAAAGCACATCTTGCACAGCCCTTAATCCATTTAACCCTGAGTTGACACAGCACATGTCTAAGGGAGCACAGGGTTGGAGGTAGGGTTACAGATTAAAATGGAGTCTCTTATGTCTGCTTTCTATACGGACACCTTAACAATCTGATCTCTCTTTCTTTTCCCCATAGTCCACACTAGGATTCAATGCCAAGAAAGGTATATTTTTCATTAGTGGTAATCTGAAGCTCTCGTGGAAAGGACACCTCCATTTCTCATAAGGGATTTTTTTAGGAGGATAAATGAGGAATTAAAAATTTTTTTTTTCTTGATAGAAGTTCCCAGTCTAATTCCATTTCACTAGAGGGATTTGGAACTGTTTATAATGTGCTGATTTAACCTCAAAGGAAAATACCTTCTGAGAAATCCTAGGAGCTGATTTCTGGTTCTACATTTATTTTGGACAAGTCAAGGTCATTGATTCCATGATTTTGGTTTCCTCATTTGTGTTGCAAACGGCAATAACTTGGGCCCACTTAAGAGAAATATTGGTTAAACTTTTCTTTTTGTTCTTTTTTTGGGGGTCTCTTTTTTTTTGGTTCTTTTTCTTTTTTTTTTTTTTGAGACGGAGTCTCGGTCTGTCACCCAGGCTGGAGTGCAGTGGCACGATCTTGGCTCACTGCAACCGCCCCTGCCCGGGTTCAAGCATTTCTCCTGCCTCAGCCTTCTGAGTAGATGGGATTACAGCAGGGGTCTGCCACCACGCCACCACGCCTGGCTAATTTTTGTATTTTTAGTAGAGACGGGGTTTCACCATCTTGGCCAGGCTGGTCTTAAATTCCTGACCTCATGATCCATCCGCCTCGGCCTCCCAAAGTGCTGAGATTACAGGCATGAGCCACAACGCTTGGCCTTTATTTTTATTTTTGGTTAAACTTAAAAAATTTTTTTATTTACTTATTTTAATTGGCAAATAAAAATTGTATATATGGTGTACAACACGATGTTTTGAAATATGTGTACCTTGTGGAGCTATTGACATATGCATTACATCTTTGTGGGGGAACACTTGAAATCTATTCTTAGTGATTTTCAAGTATGCAATGCCTTGGTTTTGTGTGTGTGTGTGTGTGTGGTTTTTTTTTTTTTTTTTTTTTTTTTTTTTGAGACAGAGTCTCACCCTGTCGCCCAGGCTGGAGTGCAGTGGCGCAATCTCAGCTCACTGTAACCTCTGCCTCCTGGGTTCAAGCGATTCTCCTGGCTCAGCCTCCCAAGCAGCTAGGACTACAGGCGTGTGCCACCATGCCAGGCTAATTTTGTATTTTTAGTAGAGACGGGGTTTCACCATGTTGATCAGGCTGGTCTTGAACTCCTGACCTCAGGTGATCCACCTGAGCCAGGCATCAGCCACCGAGCCAGGCATAAGCCACCACGCCGGGCCAATGTAACAACATAATAACATAATAATAACAATTGTGGCTGGGCATGGTGGCTCATGCCTGTAATCCCAGCACTTTGGGAGGCTGAGGCTGTCAGATCACAAGGTCAGGAGATCAAGACCATCCTGGCCAACATGATGAAACCCCATCTCTACTAAAAATACAAAAATTAGCCGGGTGTGATGGTGCGCGCCTGTCGTCCCAGCTACTCGGGAGGCTAAGGCAGGAGAATCGTTTGAACCTGGGAGGCGGAGGTTGCAGTGAGCTGAGATCATGCCACTGCACTGCAGCCTGGGCAACAGAGCAAGACTCCATCTCAAAAAAAAAAAAATTGTACTGTGTTATACAATAGATCTCTTGAACTTATTCCTCCCTTCTAACTGACATTTTGTATCCTTTGACCAACTTCTTCCCCTTCCCCCTCCCCCGCATATAAACATGTTTATGCTTGGCTAATTAAGAATTATTAGTTATCAGAGTATTGTATTGTCATGGCTTTTGAATATATGCTCTCTATTTTGTATGTTCTCTAAACAGTTCAGGGACCAGCTAGAGATGAACAACCAGCTAAGTAACACAAACCATTGGCACTCAGTCAAGGAATGACTTGCCAAGGCCAAGGAGTTAGAGAACTAAGCTAAGGACAGCTAGGCTTCTATGTAATAATGTTCATGCTCCTTAAACACAAAGTCACCAAGAGTCATTAACTATCTGGCCAGTACTCATTGTATTAAATGCCGTATGTGAAATGCCCCTAAATATTAAGGTTTAACTCTCAATTTATGAAACTGCTTTTTAAAATAAGCATATTCATTCACAAACCTTTTTATTTTGTTATTTTTATTTTTTTTAACCTTTTTCTTTGTGTCAGACATTATTATAGGTACTGTGGATCCAAGGCCAGGTGCAGTGGCTCATGCCTGTAATGCCAGCACTTTGGGAGGCCGAGGCGGGAGGATCACCTGAGGTCAGGAGTTCAAGACCAGCCTGACCAACATGGAGAAACCTCGTCTCTACTAAAAATACAAAAATTTGCTGGGCGTGGTTGTGGGTGCCTGTGGGTGCTGGTAATCCCAGCTACTTGGGAGGCCGAGGCAGGAGAATCACTTGAACCTGGGAGGCGGAGGTTGCAGTGAGCCAAGATTGTGCTGTTGCACTCCAGCCTGGGTGACAAGAGCAAAACTCCATTTCAAAAACAAACAAAAAACAGAAACAAAATTAGCTAGGTTTGGAGGCACATGCCTGTAATCCCAGCTACTCAGAAGGCTGAGGCAGGAGAATCGCTTGAACTCGGGAAGTGGAGGTTGCTGTGAGCTGAGATCGTGCCATTGCACTCCAGCCTGGGCAATAGGAGCGAAACTCTGTCTTAAAATAAATAAATAAATAAATAAATAAATAAAGTACTGTGGTACTATGGATCCAAAATATTTTGATAGTTTGAGCTCAAAGTCTAGCAGGGAGATAAATAGATTAATTATTAAACCACATAAGAAATATTGATAGATATGAACAAGTGTGAGAGCAAGGCAGATATAGCAAGTAAGGCTAAAGAAGTGATCTTGCTATCCAGGAATTGGTTGTTTTTTTTTTTTTGGTTTTGGTTTTTTTTTTGAGACTGAGTCTCGCTCTGTCGCCCAGGGTGGAGTGCAGTGGTGTGATCTTGGCTCACTGCAACCTCTGCCTCCTGGGTTCAAGTGATTCTCCTACCTCAGCCACCCGGGTAGCTGGCATTACAGGGGTGTGCCAGTATGCCTGGCTAATTTTTGTATTTTTACTAGAGGTGGGGTTTCACCATGTCGGCCAGGCTTGTCTCAACCTCCTGACCTCAAGTGACCCACCCACCTTGGCCTCCCATAGTGCTGGGATTACAGGCATGAGCTACCACGCCGGCCCTTAGGAATTGAGTTTTGAAGGATGAGTTTAACAGGCTCTGAGGGAGGCTCTATTCAGAGAACAGCATGAGCAAAGGCATGTGGTCAAAAGATGGTTTGCTGTAGCTGGACATAATGTAATGTTCAGTGTGGCAGAATTACAGTGGATTGAAAGGAATTTGTGGGAGGTTAGGTCCAGAGAGTTGGCCACGTTGTGAAGTGCGTTGTTTGCCCACAGTTTGGATCTTATACTGTAAGCAGCGGGAAATTGTTAAAGACTTTTAGGCAGGAGAATGATGAAACCATGTTATTTTATTTATTTTTCAGTAAATTAGTGTTGGTGTTATTGAATGATATGTAAGAGATTGGTGCGAGGGAGATCAGTTCAGGAGCTCTTGTTACAGTCCTAGTGAGAAACGAAGAGGATATAGACTATAGCAATGGATTGGAATGAATTTTCCTAGCTGTTAATGATAGGATTGGGTGATGCCATCATATGGGGGGGGTGGTGAAAGAAAAGAAATCAAGGATGACTTAGGTTATAGTTTGGTAGTTGGGTGGTAATAATCATTAACCAGAACTTTTGTATACAAATTATTATTCATCATGCCATTCAAAGTTATATATCTATTTTATTGTTGCTGTTACCTAGACATTTATGAAACTTTTTGGTATACCATCAGATCAAGTTTAGAAACTCATTATATTACAGTCATATAATGTATGACTATAATAAGATAAATTATAGTCACATCTTGTTTTGGACTAAAAATGGTATTCAGTTTGATCACATAGACTTGGCTTTGAATAACTTTTTTTTTCCAGAAATCAAATTTATTTTCAGTGGATGAGTATTTTTGTCACCACTGAGGGTTTTAAAAAGAATGTGATGCAAATTCTAAAGACCTCGGGGAGACCAGTGATAATATGTTACATATATATGTGGTGTATTGTAGTTTAGACAATGCTTTCCTGTATGTTTTCTTGTGCAGTCCCCTCAGCAACCAATAAGGTAGGTATTATCAATCCCATTTTATAACTGAAAACGCTGAAGCTCAATGACTCACTCAAGTTATACAACTTATTCTAAGACTTCAGTCTTGATTTTTTTTTTTTTTTTTGAGATGGAGTCCCGCTCTGTCACCAGGCTGGAGTGCAGTGGCCCAATCCCAGCTCACTGCAACCTCTGCCTCGCGGGTTCAAGCGATTCTCCTGCCTCAGCCTCCCGAGTAGCTGGGATCACAGGCGTGCGCCACTACGCCCAGCTAATTTTTGTACTTTTAATAGAGACGGGGTTTCATCATGTTGGCCAGGATGGTCTTGATCTCCTGACCTTGTGATCTGCCCGCCTCGGCCTCCCAAAGTGCTGGGATTACAGGCGTGAGCCATCGCGCCCGGCCCAGTCTTGATTTTTTACTTCCCAATGTTATTTTTACATTACCATTGCTGCCCCAATCCAGAGAAGAGTTTCAAAAATGATTTCAGCAATGATTACATTTTGGGGAGACATGTTAATGCATTTAGAAGGGGCAACAATAACTAGAAATTGTAAGTTCTGGCTTGTCAATTAAAAATACAGAGTTCCTGTTTTCACATGAAAGGGAAGGATAATTACTTTTGTCATATTTCAAATAAGGTTATGGCATTTGTGCAGCTAGTTTCTGTGAGGGCCTTGTAGAAAGTTTACATTGATATTTGTCTGGGAAACAATAGCGCTAGACAGAGAGGGCACGCCATAGATTCCAACCCACATCTGCAAACTCTTGCTGGGTAGCTGAGTGACTGGGCCTAGCCTGGTGTGAGGAATGCGTGCCCTGCAACTTCAGAGTCACAATTCAATTGATTAAAAGAGATTTGTTCCCACTTCTTTCTGGGAGCCTTGGGTATACAATGTCTGTATTCACCTCTTGCCTTCAAAGCTGGAAAGAGGGAAGAGCTGAAGAAGGAAGTGTTCGTTAGATTTTTTTCCTTTAAATAGTGGGCCCTTCTAGTGTACTAATATGAAGCTTTTGAAAAGTTTGTGCATCTAATATCAATGGTGTGAGGGACATCATGAGCTTTTTTAGAAGATCATTAGATCTGTATGAGATCTTGTGTCCTAGTGCCTTGCAAGTAGTGGATATGCAATAAACTTTTGTAGAATCAATGTGTTTTTAAGTTTTAGTCCCAGAAATTCACTCTATTTACCTTCTTAAATGCTTTTGGAAAGATTTGATACAATGATGTGACTGAAGGATATAATGATGTGACTGAAGGGTATAATGGTCGTGTGTTTTTCATAGTACACAATGAACATCCCTTTTCTGAAAAGCTTGGGACCAGAAATATTTAGGATTTCTGATTTTTTTCAGATTTTGGAATATTTGCATTATACTTAACTGGTTACATGTCACTAAGCTGAAATCCAAAATATTCCAGTGAGCATTTCTTTTGAGCATCATGTCAGCACTTAAAACATTTTGGGTTATGGAGGGTTTCAGATTCTGGATTTTCCACAGTAGGGGTGCTCAACCTGTACCGTGTAAACTTTGGATCAGTTAAATTCTCCTTAGAATGCCTAGGCACATCTTAGTTTTTGACTTGAAAAGCAATTCTGGCACTGATGTATACATTTCAAAAATGGCAATTTTTAAGTAGAAAACTTTCATGGGGTCAGTAAAAATTTTTTTTATTCCCATTTTTTTGCACATTATAATAATTACATGAAAGACTTTTTGACTTGAAATTCATTCAGGATATCTGGAGTTTGACTGATGTTAGTTCCTGAAATGAACTAGCTTAATATTTAGGATGCTCTCTTCACAAACCCCTTGTACTCTTAAACCTTTTTTTGTTTGTTTGTTTTTGTTTTTTTTTTTTTGAGACAAGGTCTAGCCCTGTCACCCAGTCTGGAGTGCAGTGGTGCGATCTTGGCTCGTTGCAACTTCTGCCTCCCGGGCTCAAGTGATACTCCCACCTCAGCCTCCAGAGTAGCTCGTATTATAGGTGTGCACTACCACACCCAACTAATTTTCATGTTTTTTGTAGAGATGGGGTTTTACCATGTTGTCCAGGCAGTATTGAACACCTAGGCTCAGTCCACTGGCCTCAGCCTCCCAAAGTGTTGGGATTACAGGCGTGAGCCACTGCACCTGGCCTGACCTTTTAAATTCATCCGTTTGTAGTAGATATTTGCTAAAGCTAAGCTATATGGTTGCAGTTACCAGTGGGCTTATTCTGTTTTTTTGTTTGTTTTGTTAACCCCGTCTCTTAGACATCACCTCCTGTAAGACCTAGCTTTTATTTTTTTTTTGAGACAGAGTCTCGCTCTGTCACCCGGGCTGGAGTGCAGTGGCACCATCTTGGCTCACTGCAAGCTCCATGTCCCAGGTTCACGCCATTCTCTCGCCTCAGCCTCCTGAGTAGCTGGGATTACAGGCATGCGCCACCACGCCTGGCTAATTTTTTGTATTTTTAGTAGAGACGGGGTTTCACCGTGTTAGCCAGGATGGTCTCGATCTCCTGACCTTGTGATCCGTCCGCCTCGGCCTCCCAAAGTGCTGGGATTACAGGTGTGAGCCAGCGCGCCTGGCCCAAGACCTAGCTTTTAAAAAATCACTTTCTCTATTTCTCTGTTGAACATTACCAACTCTGATTATTCTTATTCTTTTGTCTTGCATTATTTGTGTTTGATTAACTCTATTTTGCATTTTTAGGTAATATTTCTTATTATTTTCAAGTTACTTGGAGTTGTAGCTTTTCAACTAGAAAATGGTATCAAGGACACTGATACTGTCATTGTTTTTATATCTTACTTTTAATCTATCCCTTCACCCCTAAAAATAGAGAAGTTGATATACTAAAGTTGATCTCTAAATGTGTATTGATTTTTGATTCTCTTATCTTGCAGACACGTTGGTCGTCATTGCCTCCGAGCCCACTTTAGCCCTCAGCTCTGT
Organism: Homo sapiens; assembly: GCF_000001405.40. NCBI lineage: Eukaryota > Metazoa > Chordata > Mammalia > Primates > Hominidae > Homo > Homo sapiens. The sequence goes on from NC_000001.11 coordinate 161,323,663, forward strand.
ATCAGAAAGTAAGTTTCTAAGTCTGGAGATTATTTATTTATTTTTTTTTTTGAGACGGAGTCTCGCTCTGTCACCCAGGCTGGAGTGCAATGGCGCGATCTCGGCTCACTGCAAGCGCCGCCTCTTGGGTTCACGCCATTCTCCTGCCTCAGCCTCCTGAGTAGCTGGGACTACAGGCGCCCACCACCACGCCTGGCTAATTTTTTTGTATTTTTAGTAGAGACAGGGTTTCACCGTGTTAGCCAGGACGGTCTCGATCTCCTGACCTTGTGATCCGCCCGCCTCGGCCTCCCAAAGTGCTGGGATTACAGGCTTGAGCCACCGCGCCCGGCCCTGGAGATTATTTTTTTTTCCTTAGGGAAGAGCAATAGATTGTTGACTTAGATTTGATGGATATGTACGACAGTGGGCAGTTGTAGACAGTTGACTGAAACTTAAGTAATTGTGGTGACTATTTATGGTTTGTGTGTATGTGTGTTGTTTGTTTGTTTTTGAGACAAGCTCTCACTCTATTGCCCAGGCTAGAATGCAGTGGTATGATCAGGGCTTGCCGTAGCCTCAGCTTCCTGTAGCTGGGACCACAAGCATGTGGTGTGCCACCATGCCTGGCTAATTTTTTGTATATTTTGTAGAGACGAGGTTTCACCATTTTGCCCAAGCAGGTCTTGAACTCCTGGGCTCAAGTGATCCCCCTGCCTCGGCTGGGATTATAGGCATGAGCCATTGCACCTGGACTTTCATGGTGTATATTTATTCTCAGCCTGTTGATGTCAACAATTGCCTTTGTGTTATTTTTTAAAAACTTTTTATTTTGGAAATATTTTATACTTTCAGAAAAGTTATACGAATAGTAGGATGAAGTTCTACATATCTTTCACCCACATTTGCCAACTGTTAACATTTTATTGTGTTTGCTTATCACTCTTTTTTGTATTTTAGATTATGCCATATGAAATTTTTATTTTTGTAGGTCAAAACTGGTAAAATATTAATGATTTAGTGTAGTTCAGCCGAATACATATTTAATTATTAGTATTTTCACTGAATGCTTTAAGGGTAAATTGTGAACATCATGACCATTTACTTCTAAATATTTCTTCTAAGAACAAAGAAATTGTTTTACATAATGCAGTATAATTATATAAACATAATTATCAAATTCAGGAAATTTAACATTGATGAACTCTTATCTGATACACAGTTGATTTTCAGATTTTTCATTTGTCCCAAATAATATATTTCATAGAAATATAATCAGCTAGGCATGGTGGTTCATGCCTGTAATCCCAACACTTTAGGAGGCCTACACAGAAGGATAGCTTGAGGCCAGGAGTTCAAGACCAGCCTGGGCAACAGAGAGAGACCCAGTCTCTACAAAAAATTAAAAAATAAAAAATTAGCTGAGTGTGGTGGTGTGTGCCTATAGTCCCAGCTATGGGGAGGCTAAGGCAGGAAGATGGCTTGAGTCCAGCAGTTCAAGGTTGTGGTGAGCTATGATCATGCCACTGCACTCCAGCCTGGGCAGTAGAGTGAGACCCCTCATCTCTATTTTAAAAAAAAGAAGATTGGATGTGGTGGCTCACACTTGTAATTCCAGCACTTTGGGAACCTGAGGCAGGAGGATCCCTTGAGCCCAGGAGGTCAAGACCAGCCTGGGCAACATAGGGATACCCTGTCTCAATAAATAAATAAATAAATAAATAAATAAGAAACAGCTATCCTCAACAATTTAGTAGGCTGGGCATGGTGGCTCATGCCTGTAATCCTAGCACTTTCGGAGGCTGAGGTGGGCGGATTGCTTGAGCCCAGGAGTTTGAGACCAGCCTGGGCAACATGGTGAAACCCCTTCTCTACAAAAAATACAAAAACTAGCTGGGTGTGGTGGTGTGCACCTGTAGTTCCAGCTACTCGGGAAGCTGAGGTAGAAGGATCACCTGGATGGGGCAATGGAGAATTGTGCATAGCCTGAGCATGGCTGTTTAATAGTTGGTTTCAACCTAGCCCAGTGACAAAGGAAACCAAGAAACTACTGAGGTACCGAGCTGAATCTAGTTCTTGATTTTTGAGAACCTGAAAGGGAATCTTGAAAAGCCAGATGAGAGCAGATGGTAATGTATGAGATAAAACTGTGGCCCTGGAAAAGCATAATCTATTTATGTGAATATTTTTTAAATATACTTGCCCTGCCACCCAACAAGAAGTTGTGCTTTCATTGCCAGACCTGTGTATTGGGTGGGTTTAGAAAGCAGAGTTATCGGCCTGGCACGGTAGCCATGCCTGTAATCCCAGCACTTTGGGAGGCCGAGGCAGGCAGATCACGAGGCCAAGAGATCAAGACCATCCTGACCAACCAACGTACTGAAACCCCATCTTGACTGAAAATACAAAAATTAGCTGGGCGCGGTGGCATGTGCCTGTAGTCCCAGCTACTCAGGAGGCTGAGGCAGGAGGATGACTTGAATCCAGGAGGCGGAGGTTGCAGTGAGCCGAGATCGCACCACTGCACTCCAGTTTGGCCACAGAGCGAGATCCCATCTCAAATTAAAAAAAAAAAAAGCAGAGTTATCGTCTGATATGACCTCATCAGATGATTCAGGTTAACTGAATTAAAGTTGGTATAAAAATAAGATAAGTGGAGGAACATGTTTTCCTAATACTGTGGGTTTATCCAGCCCACCATACTGTTACCGGAAAAGGGGTCTTGACCCAGACCCCAAGAGAGGGCTCTTGGATCTCATGTAGGAAGGAATTCAAGGTGAGTAGCAAAGTGCAGTGAAAGAAGCAAGTTTATTAGAAACTACTCAATTATATAGTAGGGTGTCCTCAGAAAGCAAGTGGGGGAACATGCTGTCTTTGAGTTTCTTTTTTTCTTCTCTCTTTCTCTCTCTTTTTTTTTTTAAATATATATATATATATATTAGGTCTTTAAGGTTTTATTTTATTTTATTTTAATTTTTAATTTTTTTTTTTTCTTTTTTTTTGAGACAGAGTCTCGTTCTGTCGACCAGGCTGGAGTGTAGTGGCGTGATCTGGGCTCACTGCAACCTCCACGTCCTGAGTTCAAGTGATTATCCTGCCTCAGCCTCCTAAGTAGCCGGAATTACAGGTGTGCACCACCACGCCTAGCTAATTTTTGTATTTTTAATAGAGATGGAGTTTTACAATGTTGGTCAGGCTAGTCTCAAACTCCTGACCTTGTGATCTGCCTGCCTCAGCCTCCCAAAGTGCTGGGATTACACGCATGAGCCACCGCACCTGGCCAATTGTTAAAAATATTTTGATGTAGAGTGTTGCTCTGTTGCCCAGGGTGGAGTGCCATGATGCAATCACAGCTCACTGCAGCTTCTACCTCCCTGGGCTCAGAAGATCCTCCCACCTCAGCCTCCCGAGTAACTGGGACTGCAAGCTCGGACCATCATGCTTGGCTAAATTTTCTTTGCATTTTTTGTGGAAACAGGGTTTTGCCATGTTGCCCAGGCTGGTCTCAAACTTCTGGGCTCAAGCCGTCTGCCCACCTTAGCCTCCCAAAGTGCCGGGATTATAGGCGTGAGCCACCATGTCTGGCCTAAGTTTTCCTTATATAGGGATCTTGTCTATGTAAGGACTAAACTAAGCTGTGCCTACATGCGGGGGACCAGACAGCATGACAGAATTTATTATTCTATTGATTTAAAGAAAACTGTCCTTGACATTTTAGTGTGTAAGTACATCAAAGCATAACTATAATTATTTTGAAAGCATATGTTGTTATGGGTATTGGGACATCTGGACTTTCTGTTGTTGGAGTTTGTCCTTGCAGGTATTACCAAGCTGCTTCCTTAGCTGTAAACATGTTAGAACCGTGGGTTGTCACTGGCAAGGAATGTGCCTTGCTAGTTTTAAGATGGAGTTTATTTATTTATTTTATTTATTTTTTTGAGACGGAGTCTTGCTCTGTCTCCCAAGCTGGAGTGCAATGGTGTGATCTTGGCTCACTGTAACCTCTGCCTCCCGGGTTCAAGTGATTCTCCTGCCTCACCCTCCTAGGTAGGTGGGATTACAGTCGTGCGCCAACACACCCGGCTAATTTTTTTCTATTTTTAGTAGAGATGGGGTTTCACCGTGTTGGCCAGGCTGGTCTTGAACTCCTGACTTCATGATCCACCCACCTCGATCTCCCAAAGTGCTGGGATTACAGGCTTGAGCCACTGTGCGTGGCCTATTATTTTATTTTATTTTTATTTTTATTTTTATTTTCTGTTTTCTGTTGCTATAACAAGATGGAGTCGATTTTAAAATAGTGTCACTCTGGCTCTCCTAGGCTCCTGCTTCCCTAACAAAACCTTTTCTAAAAAGATACTGCAAATTTTTTTTTTTTTTTTTGAGAGAGAATTTCTTGTTGCCCAGGCTTGAGTGCGATGGCGCAATCTTGGCTCACCGCAACCTCTGCCTCCTGGGTTCAAGTGATTCTACTGCCTCAGTCTCCCGAGTAGCTGGGATTACAGGCGCCCGCCACCACATCTGGCTAATTTGTATTTTTAGTAGAGACGAGGTTTCTCCATGTTGGTCAGGCTGGTCTCGAACTTGTGACCTCAGGTGATCCGCCCGCCTCGGCCTCCCAAAGAGCTGAGATTACAGGCCTGAGCAACCATGCCTGGCTTGGTATTGCAAAATATTGACTTAATAAAACGTTATGCAAAATATTAAACCAAGTTTACTTTTAGTTATTTTCAAACGGTCTGGTTTTATTTTAGTGCTGTTCCTTTGGGAACCACGGCCAAAGAAGAGATGGAGCGGTTCTGGAATAAGAATATAGGTTCAAACCGTCCTCTGTCTCCCCACATTACTATCTACAGGTAAGGAAGGATTCTGGAGCCAGAGAATCTAGAGGTAGTGGGTGAAAGTTCTGAAGGTTGATCTTTAGCCTACTTGATACTTCCCTCACTTTTACTCAACCAAAATACTGCTATGTAGATGAGGTGAACCCTTCAGGGTAGAGGGAGATGACATAAGGATTATCTTACACCTTTTTTATGTGGAGATGACTAAATTCTATCTTGTCATTACAAGGGTAATCTATTTTGCAAAACTACCATTTAGAAAATTCTGGTAAGTCAAAATATAATTCCCATTAATTAAAACATTTTTGAAACAATTTCAAATTTACATAAACGTTGCAGAAATAACATACAGAGTTCCCATATACCTTTATATGGAAGGTATATAGTATATATGCTAAGTTATATAGAAGTTGCAACTTTGCAAATTCTTCTTCTTTTTTTTCTGAGACAGAGTCTTGCTCTGTTGCCAGGCTGGAGTGTAGTGGCGCGATCTCAGCTCACTGCATCCTCTGCCTCCCGGGTTCAAGCGATTCTCCTGCCTCAGCCTCCCGAGTAGCTGGGGCTACAGGTGTGCACCACTACGGCCAGCTAATTTTTGTATTTTTAGTAGAGATGGGATTTCACCAGGTTGGCCAGGATGGTCTTGATCTCTTGACCTAGTGATCCGCCCGCCTCGGCCTCCCAAAGTGCTGGGATTACAAGTGTGAGCCACCATGCCCGGCCACAACTTCTTAAATTATTCAGACATGCTAATAAGCAGATTCCCAGCTGCTTAACATGTCTGAATGATACAAGAAGAAGTTGCAATGATGATGATATCCAAGTATTATTCCTGTATTTGTTTTCTTCTTCTTTTTTTATTTTTCTGAGGCAGAGTCTTGCTTGGTCACCCAGGCTGGAGTGCAGTGGTGCGATCTAGGCCCACCGCAACCCCTACCTCCTGAGTTCAAGTGATTCTTGTGCCTCAGCCTCCTGAGTAGCTGGGATTACAGACATGAACCTCCATGCCCGGCTAATTTTTGTCTTTTAGTAAGAGATGAGGTTTTGCCATGTTGTCCAGGCTGGTCTCAAACTCCTGGCCATAAGTGATCCACCCACCTCGGCCTCCCAAAGTGCTGGGATTATAGGCATGAGCCATCACGCCCAGTCCCTGTATTTGTTTTCTATTGCTACTATAACAAGTATCACAAACTTAGTGGCTTAAAATAACACAGATGTATTGTCTTACCATTCTTTAGGTTAGAAGTACAACACAGGTCTCATTAGGCTAAAATTAAGTTGTTTGCAGGGGCTGCATTCTTTTCCAGAGGCTCCTTGCCTTTTCCAACTTTTATAGGCCATCCACATTCCTTGGGTTATGGCATTCTTTTTCTATTTTCAAAGCAAGCAATAGCAGAGTCCTTCTCGCTTTGTATCACTCTGACTTCTTCTACCTCCCTTTTCTCCTTTCAAGGGACCCTTGTCATTATATTTAGACCTCCCCAAATATTTCAGGACAATGCCTCCATCTCAAGGTCTTTAATTTAATAATATCTGCAAAGTTCTTTTTGTGATATAAGATAATATATTCACAGGTTCTGGGGATTAATACATTGACACCTCTGGAGGGGAGGGTGCATTATTTTACCTACCACAGTCTACCCTCTAGCCCTCAAAGTTTATGTCTGTCCCATGACAAAATACATTCACCACATCGCGGTGGCCCCAAAAGTTTCAACCTACTGTAGCCTCATCTCAAAGTCTTAAAATTTCATCTAAATCTCCCCATCTGAACCAGATATGGGTGAGGCTCTGGGTATAATCCTTTTGAGGAACATTTTCTCTTCATCTGTGAATCTAAAGCAACAAGTTACATACTCCCAAAATACAGTGGTGGGACAGACATAGGATAACAACTGTAGACATTCCTGCTCAAAAAGTGAGAAAATGGAAGGAAAAAAGGAGTCTCTGGTTCTAACCAGGTTTGAAATTCAGCCAGGCAAACACCATTTGATTTCAAGGCCTGAGAATAATCCTTTGCAGCTATTGGCTTTGCCCTCTGGGCTTATAGCTCCATCCGCTATCCTTCTTTGTGAAAGGTGACACATGCTTTTGCAGCTGAGTCATTTTTAACAGCCTCTTTTTTGTCTGTAGAAATTTCGGGGTATGACAGTCTTCTTTTCATCTTCTCTCTGTCACTTTTAGTCTATGCTGGCAGTATTTCTGTTGGTATAACATTCTTAAGAACATTGTTGGGACCAGGCGCGATGGCTCACATCTGTAATCCTAGCACTTTGGGAGACCAAAGCAGGTGAATTTCCTGAGCTCAGGGGTTTGAGACCAGATTGGGCAACATGGTGAAACCCTGTCTCTACGAAGATACAAAAAATTAGCCAGGTGTGGTGGTGCGCCTGTAGTCCCAGCTACTTGGGAGGCTGAGGCACAAGAATCTCTTGAACCTGGGTGGTGGAGGTTGCAGTGAGCCGAGATTGCGAGATTGTGGCGCCACTGCACTCCAGCCTGGGCTCTGTTTCCAAAAAAAAAAAAAAAAAAAGAGAACCTTGTGGGTCTCCTGCTTGTGTCATGGGAATTTGCTCCATTAGACAAGACGTTCCCTTATAGAATTTTCCTAAATAATCCTGCCTCTGTTTCTGCCTTCTGATGAGATGGTTGAGGGGATCTACTAGTAACATGCTTAATTTCAAAACGCCTTTTATGTGACTAAATATTCTGCCCTTTCAATCTTTCTCAGGTATTAACATAAGGTTACATGGCCACGCCCTGACTTTTTCTTTTTGCCAATGAATATCCTTTTTTTTTTGTCCAGACAGAGTCTCACCCAGTCACCCAGGCTGGAGTGCAGTGGCACGATCTGGGCTCATTGCAACCTCCGCCTCCCAGGCTTAAGCAATCCTTCCACCTCAGCCTCCTGAGTAGCTGGGACTACAGTGCATGTCACCACGCCCAGCTAATTTTTGTATTTTTTTATAGACATGGTGTATCACCATCTCTATAAAACCATGTTGCCCAGGCTGGTCTCAAGCTCCTGGGCTCAAGTGATCTGCCTGCCTTGGCCTCCCAAAGTGCTGGGATTATGTGTGAACCACTGTACCAGGCCTTGACAGTAAATATCTTTTTTTTTTTTTTTTTCTGAGACAGAGTCTCACACTATTGCCAGGGCTGCAATGCAGTGGCGCAGTCCCGGCTCACTGTAACCCCCGCCTCCCTGGTTCACGCGGTTCTCCTGCCTCAGCCTCCCAAGTAGCTGGGATTACAGGCGCACACCACCATACCTGGCTAATTTTTTGTATTTTTCGTAGAGACGGGGTTTCGCTATGTTGGCTAGACTGGTCTTGAGCTCCTGACCTCGTGATCTGCCCGCCCTGGCCTCCCAAAGTGCTGGGATTACAGGCATGAGCCACCGCGCCTGGCAACAGTGAATATCTTAATTTTAGTATTTTTGCTGGGAAGGCTGAGAATTTCCCAAATCATTAAGTCCTGTTTTTTTGTTTGTTTGTTTGTTTTATTTAAGAGACAGGGTTTCACTGTGCCACCCAGGCTGGAGTGTAGTAGTGGTGTGATCATAGCTCGTTGTAACCTTGAACTCCTGGACTCAAGTGATCTTCCTGACTCAGCCTCCTGAGTAGCTGGGACTACAGGTGCATGCCACCACACCTGGCTAGTTTTTAATTTTTTGTAAAGACGGTCTCAATATATTACCCAGGCTGGTCTTGAACCCCTGAGCTCAAGCGATCCTCTCACCTTTTTCTCCCAAAGTGTTGGGGTTACAGCTGTAAGCCACCGTGCTCAGCTTGCTTTTTATTTAACAGCTCTTCCCTCAGTCTGTTTCTTTCCTTTCACATTTTACTATAAAGAGCAAAAAGAAATCAGGTTGCCACTTCAGTAGATTCTGCTTTCCACATTATCGTGGGACATAATTCTGCTAAACTTTCTGCCCTATGTAACAAGGATCCCCTTTCCACAAGTTTTTAATAACATGTTCCTAATTTCCTCCTGAGCCTTTACTAGCTGAATTAACATTCATATTTTCCTTTTTGAAATACAATTTGTATACCATACGGTTCACACATTGAAAGCATACAGTTTAGTGGCTTTTGTTAAATGCAGAGTTGTTCAGCCATCACCACAATTTTAGAATATTTTCTTTTTCTTTCTTTTTTTTTTTTTTGAGATGGAGTCTCGCTCTGTTGCCCAGGCTGGAGTACAGTGGCATGATCTCGGTTTACTGCAACCTCTGCCTTCTGTGTTCAAGTGATCTCCTGCCTCAGCCTCCCAAGTAGCTGGGATTACAGATGTGCATCACCATGCCTGACTAATTTTTGTGTTTTTAGTAGAGACAGGGGTTTCACTGTGTTGGCCAGGCTGGTCTTGAACTCCTGACCTCAGGTGATCTGCCTGCCTTGGCCTCCCAAAGTGCTGGGATTATAGGCATGAGCCACCATGCCCAGCCAATTTTAGAATGTTTTCATCACTCCAGAAAGAAACACTACATTTCTTAGCCATCACCACCAATCGTTTGTCCCTCCCAGCTCTAGACAATCAGTTATTTACTTTCCATCTTATAAACTTACCTATTCCGAACATTTCATTTAAATGTAGTGATAAAATATGTGGTCCTTTGTGACTGGCTTCTTTTACTTACCATAATGTTTTCAGCGTTCATCCATGTTTTAGCATATATCAGTGCTTCCTTCCTTTTTATGGCCGAATAATATTTCATTGTATGTACATACAGTGTTTTATTTACCCATTTATAAATTGATGGACGTTTGAGCTGTTTCCACTTTTTGGCTATTAGAAATAATGCTGCTATGACCATTTATTTGTGTACAAGTTTTTGTGTGCACATATGTTTCATTTCTCTTGGGTATATACCTAGGAGTAGAATTATTGCATCATATGGTAACTCTATGTTTAACTTTTTTTTTTTTTTTTTTTTTAAAGACGGAGTCTCGCTCTGTTGCCAGGCTGGAGTGCAGTGGCGCAGTCTCAGCTCATTGCAACCTTCACCTCCCAGGTTCAAGCGATATTCCTGCCTCAGCCCCCAAGTAGCTGGGACTACAGGCATGCGCCACCGCGCCCAACTAATTTTTCTATTTTTAATAGAGACGGGGTTTCACCATGTCGGTCAGGATGGTCTTGATCTCTTGACCTCATGATCCACCTGCCTCAGCGTCCCAAAGTGCTGGGATTACAGGCATGAGCCACGGCATCCGGCCTATGTTTAACATTTTGAGGAACTACCAGACTGTTTTCCAAAGTGACTGTACCATTTTACATTCACACTAGCAGTGTATAAGGGTTCTAGTTTCTCCACATCCTCACCAGCACAACATCCATATTTCTACTAAAATCTGTTCAAGGCAATCTGGGCTTTTTAAAAATCATGGTCCTAAAAATTCTTTTAGTCCCTTCCCACTGCCCAATTTCAAAGGCACTTCCACATTTTTGGGTATTCGTTACAGCTGCACTCCTCTTCTAGTTACCACAATCTATACTAATTTTCTATTTGCTGCCATAACAAATTACTGCAAACGTTGTGACTTAAAACAACACAAATTTATTACCTTATAGTTCTGTGGGTCAGAAGTTTGACAAGATCTCCCTGGGCTAAAATCAAGGTGTTGGCAGGGCTCTGTTTCCTTCTGGAGGCCCTAGGGAAGAATCCATGTCCTTGCCTTTCCTAGCTTCTAGAGGCTATCTGAATTCCTTGGCTTCTGCCCTCCTTCCTCCATCTTCAGAACCAGCAATGCTACATTGAGTTCTTCAGTCACATCATGCTGACCCTGCTTCCGTCATCTCATTTCTTCTTTGACTCCTTTCTTCTGTGAGCCTCTTCTGCTTTTCTTTTTTCTCATTTCTCTCTTCTGCTGTTAAGGACCTTTATGATTACACTGGGCCCGTCCTAATAATCTAGGATAGTCTATGTTGTTTTGTTTTTGAGACAGGGTCTCGCTGTGTTGCCCAGGCTGAAATGGCACAAGTTTTCTACAAGTTTTTAATAAAACTTGTGGGGCATGATCATGGCTTACTGCAGCCTTGACTTCCCAGGCTTAAGTGATCCTCCCAGGTCAGCCTCCCAAGTACCTGGGACTATAGGCATGTACCACCATGGCTGACTAATTTTTAAATATTTTCTAGAAATGGAGTTTGGCCATGTTGCTCAAGCTGGCTTTGAGCTCCTGGGCTCAAGCTGTCCTCCCACTTCGGCCTCCCAAAGTTCTGGGATTACGGCTCACTCCCTCTTTATCTTAAGGTTGTCTTATTAGCAACCTTAATTTCATCTGCAACCTTAATTCCCCTTTGCCGTAAAAGGTAACATATTCATAGGTTCTAGAGATTAGAACATGAACATCTTTAAGGAGACTATTATTCTGCCTACTACAACTTCTTAATACTTGGCTGTGCATTTCCTCAATTGCAAGACAGTCTCCAAAGTACAACCATCACAATGTTACTATCTAAACCGTAGGTCCCATTCAAATTTTGCCACTTGTCCCATTAATGTCCTTTATAGGCCTAAGATTGAACCTAGAATTATATATTACATTTAGTTGTCATGTCTCTTTTTCCTGCAGTATGGGAGAGATTTTTAGTCTTTCCTTATTTGTTATGACCTTGACGTTTTTAGAATGTTCCTTAATTTGGGTTTGTTTGGTGTTTTATGATTTATGCATTTTTGGCAGGAATACCCCTGCGGTAATGCTATACTTCTGTCAGTACATTGTATCAGGAGGCATGTGCTAATGATTTATCCCATTACTGGTGATGTTAACTTTTGTCACTGTTTAAGATGTGTCTGCTAGATTTCTCTACTGTAAAGTTACTGAATAAGGATGTTGTATTAATTAATACATATTTTGGCGGGAGATACTTTGAAACTCTAAATATTCTTTCTCATCAGATATTTACTCACCAGTATCTGTTGGAGGTACTTGCCTAAATCATTTATTACTGTGATAGTTGCCAAATGTAATGTTGCTAATTTTATATATTATAATAATATTTTCTAGATTTGTTTGTTTTGATAGGGTAAAGCTTGCTTTTTTTATCAGTATGGACTCAAGGATAATATGGATCAAGCATTAATTTCCCCAAAGGATTATACTTTGTTATTATTTATTTTGGTGTTCAAATTGTCTCAGACCTGGCCAATAGGAGTTCTTCAAAATGACTCCTGTGAAATCAGTATCTGGGTGCTAGATGTGCTCATTGCTACTAGGATGTCATTGCTTCTAGGCCCGGTCTGTGGATAGAGGTAGCATATATATGTATGCAATCTCTGTCACATACATACGTGTGTGTATATAAGTATATACATACATCATACATACATATATACATATATACATACATCTCTGTTTATCTCATCTTCAGAAGTGGCATTGATAACAGTTTTTGCTGATGTCTTTGAAGATAAGTCCCTGTAAATCTGCTTTTTGTTTTTTTAGGCTAACCCAGCAAAGCATCTTGAGCTCTGCTACTCTCTTGGGTTTCTGCCAGTGAGGCTGGCCATTTTTTAACCACCTCCACAAATACCATAACCCTTCAGTTTTTTTCCAAGCCAGATTCCAGGAATAATCCTGTTTGTAGAAACTGGACATGCCACTAAAACAGAAGGAGGCTAATAAGTGATCTTATTTCTTGCTTCTCAATCGTGAAACTTTCTTTTTTAAGAGATAAAAGTTTTAGGAGGCCCGGTGCGGTGGCTCATGCCTGTAATCCCAGCACTTTGAGATGCCAAGGTGGGTGGATCATGAGGTCAAGAGATCGAGATCATCCTGATCTCAGGTGAAACCCTGTCTCTACTAAAAATACAAAAATTAGCTGGCCGTGGTGGCACGTGCTTGTAGTCCCAGCTACTCAGGAGTCTGAGGCAGGAGAATCGCTTGAACCCGGGAGGCGGAGGTTGCAGTGAGCCAAGATTGCGCCACTGCACTGTAGCCTGGCAACAGAGCAAGGCTCCGTTTCAAAAAAAAAAAAAGTTTTGGGGAAGAATTATAATGAAAAAGAGAAAAGAGCATCCTAAATTATTCTGAATCTGTATATTTAAAGCCGTGGCCTTTTTTCACAGGTCATATAAAGAATGGTTGTAGGTTGGTGAGGTGAGTCTTTCACTACCTTATTTGCTTTTCTGGTTATGTAACTCCAGACATACTTGGGGGGAAAAAAGCAGCAGGGAACACGGGGCTATATCCAGAGTGGCATGTCAGGGAAAGATATCTGAGATACCTGAAGTCATATTTTCTATTACCCATTTTTTGGGTTTTTTGAAAGAGGCCTGGAAGTAAATGGTTAGTGATGTTAAACATCTTTTCATGTACTTATTGGCCATTGGCAGTCTGGGCTGTTGGAGAAATGTTTTTACTTTCTGGAGGTATTTTTTTATTGTTTTTTTTGCTTTTGAGGCAGAGTCTCCCTCTGTTACTCAGGCTGGAGTGCAGTGGCGTGATCACGGCTTGCTGCAACCTCGACCTCCCGGGCTCAGGCAATCCTCCTTCCTCAGTCCCCCAAGTAGCTGAGACTATAGACACACGCCACCATGTCCGGCTAATGTTTGTATTTTTTGTAGAAATGGGTTTTTTTTTTTTTTTTGCCATCTTGCCCAGGCTGGTCTCAAACTCCTGAGCTCAGGCAGTCTGCCCACCTCAGCCCCCTAAAGTGCTAGGATTACAGGCCTGAGCCACTGTGCCTGCCCACATCTTGATTTTCTATACTAGACTCTTACCTAATGTTCAAACAGGGCCTAGTGAAGAAGACTTGTCTTTGCTCCATGGTGCCCGAGGCCTCAGCTGGAAAACACAAAGGCTAGGGCCTGAATTAATCTGAAGATCCAGTCACTCACATGTCTTGGAGTTGATTCTGGCTCTTGGATGGGGCCCTTATTTTCTCACCACATAGGTCCTTTCACATGTCTTTGTAGGCTGCTTTGGGTTTCCACACAGCATGAGGAAGGAAGGAGAATTCGTAAGTCATGCAGCATTACTTCTGCCGCATTCTACCTTTTGAGGCCGTCGGTCATCAAGTCCTGCCCAGGTTCAAGGGTAGAGGCTAAATACTTGCTTGATGAGAAATGACAAGATTCTGGAAGATCCTGGGGGACTGGAAATAATATTATGGTTATTTTTAGAAAACAATATTTTTACCTTGTCATTACTGGGCTAGCCAGGCTATGATTTTAACCGTTTTTGAAAAATAGGGTAACATTTGAATTCAGCAGTTTCATATTACATCACTCCCATTTTGTATATCAGTATTTCTGAAAGATTTCTGGAACAGTGCATATGTTTCTTCTATTAGCTCTTTCAGTCATGGGATTTGATTCATCTGGTCCCAGAGCCCCAAGTGTGTTTGGAATCTTCCAATTTCCTCACCTCTTTAGGGTTTCAAGTCTTTCAGATCAATATTTGTTCTGTCTTTTTCATGCTGATAATTATTCTCTTTGACAAGAAAAATAATTGTGCAATCTGTTTCACACTCTTGTCATCAATTAGCATAAAATTGTTCATCCCAGTTAGGAGGCTGACTGTGTCAGAATACAATTTTAAAACCTCTTTTTTGTTGTCCTTGAAATTGTTGCAAGCCTCAGCTCCTTCTGGGTTTCGGTCTCCTGATTCTTCTTACCAAATTATGCTATCGTTCTCTGTCCTTGGTTATGTGTCTGTTCTTCCACCTTTTATATTTCTGTTGTTAAATCTGAGTTGATCAGAGTGGTATGTGGCTCTTCTTCCACCTTTTATATTTCTCTTGTTAAATCTGAGTTGATCAGAGTGGTATCTAGTTAGTATTAATATTTTTAATTTATTTGGGAATACTCCTTTCTTACTTACTATGACCATTTTCATTATGTAGGCAGAATTTTCTTTTGAGATCTTTTTAACCTCTTTATTTCTCTTCAAAGTGTTGAAGATACGGTTTGATTATGCTTAGTATTCTTTGTCTAAGCTAACATTCCAAGATGAGCGTTAGCTTTCTTCAGAGACTCTTGTTCTTTCCATTTTACCCACCAGTTCTCTCTTGAGCATGAGAACTAGGTCTAGAATAACAATGTTGGTTGTCCTTCAATGGAAAGTTGATGATTCATAATTTAAAAAGGGGTTTGATGATGAAAAGTATTTCAGAACTACTGTGGATTAAGAAATATATACTAAATCCAGAAGATTGGATATAAAAATTTGGGATAGGTAACTTATTAGGAAATAAGTGGTATGTTCAGTTTGGATATTTTGGGGCATATAATAAGGGAGGATTCAAGGATGACCATGTATTATATGAAACTGTGGATAAATGAAACTCAGGTTTTCTTCCATCAGTGTTATACCTGGAGAAATAGAGGGACCCAGGTTGTATTACAGTGATTGCTTTCTTTCTTTTTCTTTTTTTTGAGATGGAGTCACCCTCTGTCGCCCAGACTGGAGTGCAGTGGCGTGATCTCCATTTACGCCAAACTCCGCCCCCCGGATTCAAGTCATTCTCCTGCCTCAGCCTCCCAAGTAGCTGGGATTACAGGCATGCACCACCACGCCTGGCTAAATTTTTGTATTTTTAGTAGAGATGGGGTTTCACCGTGTTGGCCAGCCTGGTCTCGAACACCTGACCTCATGATCCACCCGCCTCAGCCTCTTAAAGTGCTGGGATTACAGGCGTGAGCCACCGTGCCCGGCCTATAGTGATTACTTTCTAATTGTATCAACTGTATTTATTTATTTAGAGGCATGGTCTCTGTCTCTCTCTCCCCAACCCGGGCTGGAGTACAGTGGCACAGTCATAGCTCACTGCAGTCTGGAGTTCCTGGCCTCAAGCGACCCTCTCACTTCAGTCTCCCAAGTAGCTGGGACCACAGGCCTCTGCCACCACACCCAGCTAATTTTTTTTTTTTTTTTCGTAAAGATGGGGTCTCATTACGTTGCCTAGGTTGACCTTGAACTCCTGAACTCAACGGCCCCCGCCTTGGCCTCCCAAAGTACTAGGATTACAGGTGTGAGCCACCATGCCAGCTCCAACTTTAATGAGTGTCTTTGACCCATGTTTCTCCTTGCGAAAGGAGTTTTGAGTTATAATCATTTTTTTTTTTCTCAGCCCTATCAGTGATGCAGTCTGGTAAAGGTAGGGATCCTTCTCCATAAATCAGTTTTCTTTATTCTTTAATTTATTTTTGTAACCTAATCCTGATACAGGTGTTTTTTTTTTTTTTTTTTTTTTTTTTTTGGAGACAGAGTTTCACTCTTGTTGCCCAGACTGGAGCTGGAGTGCAATGGTGCGATCTTGGCTCACCGCAACCTCCACCTCCTGGGTTCAAGCAATTTTCCTGCCTCAGCCTCCCGAGTAACTGAGATTACAGGCATGTGCCACCACATCCGGCTAATTTTGTATTTTCAGTAGAGACGGGGTTTCTCCATGTTGGTCAGGCTGATTGCGAACTCCTGACCTCAGGTGATCCACCTGCCTTGGCCTCCCAAAGTGCTGGGATTACAGGCGTGAGGCACCGCGCCTGGCCCAGGTTTGTATTTTTAAAGTAAAAAGTGGAAACACGGCTGGGCACAGTGGCTCACACCTGTAATTCCAGTACTTTGGGAGGCCGAGGTGGGCGGATCATGAGATCAGATCAAGACCAGCCTGGCTAAGGTGATGAAACCCCTTTACTAAAAATACAAAAATTAGGCGGACCTGGTGGCAGGCACCTGTAATCCCAGCTACTCAGGAGGCTGAGGCAGGAGAATCTCATGAACCCGGGAGGCAGAGGTTGGAGTGAGCTGAGACTGTGGCATGGGACTCCAGCCTGGGTGACAGAGCAAGACCCTGTTCCGGGGGGGTAAAAAAAAAAGTGAAAAGACAGGAATGCAAAAGCTGGTGATTTTTTGTTTTGTTTTGTTTTGTTTTAAGAAAATATTACCTATTCAGGAGAATTGCTTGGACCCGGGAAGTGGAGGTTGCAGTGAGCTGAGATCATGCCATTGCCAGCCTGGGCAACAGAGCGAGACTCTGTCTCAAAAAAAAAAAAAGAAAAAAAAGTGCCTATTTCAGAATTAGTTTATATTTTTGCCAAGATAGACTCTCTACTATGGTGTCATCTTTTCCTTTTTAAAATTGTCTTTGTGTGTTTCTTTACAGTTGGTCTCTTCCCATGGCGATGTCCATCTGCCACCGTGGCACTGGTATTGCTTTGAGTGCAGGTATGTATATGTGTTTTTACACACACATATGTGCTTCTTTGAAAAACTTGGCTGTTTCATTGGCCCTAGTCTCCGCCTCCTTTGAAACTCAGCACTTGATTTAGAGGGAACAGTAAGTCTCTTAAGTTTATTGTTCATTCATCCCTTTAACAATTAATTATGAGTTTGCACTGTGCTCAGATTCTTTTCTTCTTTTTTTTCTTTTTGAGACAGAGTCTTGCTCTTTTGCCCAGGCTGGAGTGCAGTGGCGCGATCTCGGCTCACTGCAACCTCCGCCTGCTGGGTTCCAGCGATTCTCCTGCCTCAGCCTCCTGAGTAGCTGGGATTACAGGCATGTGCCACCACGCCTGGCTAAATTTTTGTATTTTTAGTAGAGACGGGGTTTCACCATGTTAGCCAGGATGGTCTTGATCTGACCTCATGATCCGCCTGCCTCAGCCTTCCAAAGTGCTGGGATTACAGACATGAGCCACTGTGCCTGGCCCAGATTAGTTTCTTAGCAAATTTTTAAACCATTCCCTAGCACTTCCTGATATCATGTTTATTGAAATTATAGAGAGCAGAGAAATGTAATAGAGATGGGCTGGCTGACTGATCATTGATGAAACACAGTCCAACCTTATTTTTCCAGAAGCTCAGTTTTAGCACCCATTCTTATCACCTAGACATGCTCAGTCCCCCAAAGACTAGCTCACTAACCAGTCTCACAAAATCTTGATTTACAGACCAGAATGTCTATTTATTCATTTATATAATATGAACTGCAGCTACAGAGTGAATTATATACTGGTCTTAGATAATTAGTACATCCTTTTTAGGTAGGAAGGTTTATTATATGGAGTGCAGATTATAATCAGTTTTCTGGGATCTGATGTATCTTTTCACAGTAGGGATATACTTTACAAGAGGGTCAGCTAGATTTAAAAATTATGTCTGGCTGGTGCTGGAGACATAGACATTTTTGCTTTTTTATGTATTTATTTTCTCACAAGAATGTGCATGTAACATATTTTTACTTTTTTAGCTTTCCTTTATTTAGCCTTATAGCATACTTTGCTCTCCTACCCCCACCAAAAACAGAAACAAAAACTAGATTATGTTCCCTGGATACATGCTCTTAAAGCATTCTAGTTTTTCTTTCATAATCATAGTTGTAATTTACTTGTTCATTGTTGTTCTTCCTTACTGGATTGTCTGTTCCCTGAGGGCTTAGACTGCATCTGTCTGTATTTTTAATTATCTAGTAGGGTACCTAGAATGCAGTAGATAATTTAGTAAATATTTGGTGAATACAAAATGAATACCACTCTCTTTTTTGTTAATGTGTTTTATATATTTCTGTCCCAAATTTCTATTCCATTTATAATCATATTTTTTGGCTCTAGAAGTATCTTATTTTGGTCCCCTGCATATTGACTATAATAACTACCTAACTAGTATTGTATTTCAACTGGCATTTCTGTGTGATGTGATTACTAGTTTAGCTGAAAGCTATTCAGTTCAGTGGGAGCCAGAAGAGGTTATTGTACATGAGAGTGCTGCATAGGTAAATCTGAGTTTGCTCTCTATTAGTCTCCTTGAGACATTGGGGGAACTTGTGTTCTCTCCCAGCGAAGGTGATCTAGCCCATATATATCCACAGGGAGAACAGGTGCAAACTAGGAGTAGTGGAGTGCTTTCTAAAAGAAATGCTCCAATGCACTATTAGCACATACTCAACAAGACTTCTGTTCCAAGTTGATAGTCCTGGGACCTTTGCTGGCAAAGGAAAATGAGCTTATGACTTAGAACAGTGTGTAAATCCCTGCTGTGTGTACAAACTTTTCTCTCCTGTGGATAGTTCCCTGGTATGTCTTTTTTTTTTTTTTTTGAGACAGAGTTTCGCTCTTGTTGCCCAGGCTGGAGTGCAATGGCACAGCCTTGGCTCACTGCAACCTCATGAGACCAGCCTCCTGGGTTCAAGCTATTCTTCTGCCTCAACCTCTCAAGTAGCTGGGATTACAGGCGCCCACCACCATTCCCTGCTAATTTTTGTATTTTTGGTAAAGATGGGGTTTCTGAACTCCTGACCTCAGGTAATCTGCCCGCCTCGGCCTCCCAAAGTGCTGGGGTTACAGGCGTGAGCCACTGTGCCTGGCCCCTTGGTATATCTTTAACCTCATCCTAGGGAATAAGAGGAAATATCTTGCCTAGAATCGGTATGAAATTATATACCTGAGAGACAGAAGCCCCACTGTTTTACCTTATGTAAAGCTCTGTCTGAGCCCCTCCATCGCGTCTCTTTTGTTACTTTAGCCTGGGAGCAATGCCTAAGTTTTATTCATCACATCAGGCATCATTACAGTCTTGCCAGGAGATGGCCCATTTGTACAGAGTAGAGCAGATGGCAACCTTCAGGTCCTATCGTGTAAGTGTGCTCTTGCTCCAGAAATTTGATGCCAAATAGAGCTTTCGAGGTAGGAAAGGGAGTTTCTATTGACTTTTGCTTTGTTGAAGCAGTGGTGGTATTGGAAAAGTGCTCTTGTTTCTGTCTTCTGAGACCCTGAAGGATCTCT
Source organism: Homo sapiens (assembly GCF_000001405.40). Lineage (NCBI taxonomy): Eukaryota > Metazoa > Chordata > Mammalia > Primates > Hominidae > Homo > Homo sapiens. The sequence goes on from NC_000001.11 coordinate 161,343,211, forward strand.
CCTAGGCTTCTGTAGACTATGTTTTTAACTGACGTGGTCATCAGTAGGGCCAGTGGCTCTAGTGTAGGGATCCTGTATTTAAGGAACTGCTGATGAGACATTGGCAGGAATTATCTGAATCTAAGCCTCTGCTATTTGCAATCTCATATATGTGTGTGTGTATATATTTATATATGTCCATTTATAGACATATATATGTAGTTTTGTTGATAAGGATAGAGACTCCTATCTAAGATCTGATGCCGTCATTTTTGTTCTTTTTCATTCCTTTGGTTGGTAAAGGGACGATGGAATCAAGGTATAAGGATGATTTGTGTTGTTAGGAATCCATATGTAGTTCCTGGTTTTTAACCTGCTTGCACTGAACTGGTGGGGATGATAGGGTAAATCTCAAGATTAGGCTATTCTAACTGTAGATTCATAATTACTTTTATTTCTGCTTCCTTAGAATAAGAAATTTTTAGATTGATTAAGGAATTTCTAGATGGATGCTTTCTACTCAGTTTGGTGATATTGATGAACAGATTTAATCCTAAAAATCACTGAAAGAACAAGAGCAGTTTATTTATTAGGCTGTAGTTTCCCTTATTATCTCAGTATATTTGTCACCACTAAATGAAAAAAAGATACTGACTTTTTTATAGACTATAATGATAAAAAAATATTCATTTGTATTCATGGCTAAAATTGAATATTTTTCACAACTGAAGAATTATTTGGGCAGGGTGCAGTGATTCACACCTGTAATCCCAGCACTTTGGGAGGCCGAGGCAGGAGGATTGCTTGAGCCCAGGAATTCGAGACCATCCTGGGCAACATATCAAGACCCAGCACTTTGGGAGGCTGAGGTGGGCAGATCACGAGGTCAGATCGAGACCATCCTGGCTAACACGGTGAAACCCCGTCTCTACTAAAAAAATACAAAAAAAAATAGCCGGGCATGGTGGCGGGCACCTGTAGTCCCAGCTGCTTGGGAGGCTGAGGCAGGAGAATGGCGTGAACCTGGGAGGCGGAGCTTGCAGTGAGCTGAGATTGCGCCACTGCACTCCAGCCTGGGAGACAGAGCGAGACTCCGTCTCAAAAAATAAAATAAAATAAAAAATTAGCCTGGAATGGTGGCATGCATCTATAGTCTCAGCTACTAGGGAGGCTGATGTAGGGAGGATTGCCCAGGAATTCAAGGCTGCAGTGAGCTGTCACTGTGCCACTGCACTCCAGCCTGATGACAGCAAGACCCTATCTCAAAAAAAAGAAAAAAAAAAGAAAAAAGTTGTTTTTTTTCTGTCTTTACCCCTTTGAATGGTGGCCTTGCATTCATCAGCATATGTCCTGTTTTTCCTCTCTCCTAGTTCCATGATAGAATATAGTAGCTGTTTTCTATAGAGTAGAAGTTAAGTATAACTACAGCATTTTCTTCAAATGTTGAAGGTCCCTCCATCAAAATCGTAAAGGAATAGGTTTTTGCCAGGTGGATGACTTAAGCAAATTACTCAGTTCTCTAAACCTCAGCTTATTCCTTATAAAATGGGCATATTAATAATGCCTATCTCAGAATTCATGGGATTTCAAGAAACTTTATGCTCTGGGTTTTGCTTTATGGAAACAAGGATGAAAAACATGATACCTTTAATAACAACTGTCTCTTAGAAGATAATGTGCCCTGGACCGAATGGCAAGAGAAATTGGATCATTTGTTCTGAAATGAAGTCAGTTCCAGCAACTGTGGTCTTTGCATTCTTGTGGCCCTAGTCCCATCCATTTTTCACACAACAGCAAGAAAAATCTTTTGAAAATAAATGGAATCATGTCACTCCCTTCCTTAGACTCTCCTAATGACTGTGTTCACTTTAGCACTTAGATTAAAATTCAAATATCCACCTTTGCCCTGCCAGCTCTGGCTCTTCCCTAACTCATTCCTGCCATTCCTCCCTTTGCTTACTGTGCTCCAGCCACACTGGTGTTTGAACTCATTGGAACAGGCAAAATTATTTCCTACCTGAGAGGCATTGCATGTTTTGTTTCTTTAGTCTGAAATGCCCACCCTGACCTCTTGCTGCACTGTGCTTGGTTAGTTCTTTCTTATCCTTTACATCTTAGCAAAATGTTAACTCAAAGAGCACTTTGCTTACCACCATATTTAAAGTACAAGCTTCCTTACATCTGTTTTACAGTACTCTATTCCTTCATAGTTCTTATTGTGCTGTGTTGTTTCTTTCAAAGCTTTTATTACACAAGTTGTAATTATTTTATTTTATTTTATTTTTGAGACAGAGTCTCGCTTTTCTGCCCAGGCTATAATGTAGTGGCGCGATCTCAGCTCACTGCAACCTCCACCTCCCGGGTTCACGCCATTCTCCTGCCTCAGCCTCCCCAGCAGCTGGGACTACAGGCGCCTGCCACCACGCCTGGCTAATTTTTTGTATTTTTAGTAGAGACAGGGTTTCACCATGTTAGCCAGGATGGTCTCGATCTCCTGACCTTGTGATCCGCCCGCCTCGGCCTCCCAAAGTGTTGGGATTACAGGCTTGAGCCACTGCGCCTGGCAGTTGTAATTATTTTATTTGCTAACTTTTTATAAATCTGGGTTTTTTTGTTTTGTTTTTTGTTTTTTTTGAGACGGAGTCTTGCTCTGTTGCCCAGGCTGGAGTGCAGTGGCGCGATCTCAGCTCACTGCAGCCTCTGCCTCCAAGGTTCAAGCAATTCTTCTGCCTCAGCCTCCCGGGTAGCTGGGATTACAGGCACCCACTACCATGCACGGCTAATGTTTGTATTTTTAGTAGAGACAGGGTCTCACTATTTGGCCAGGCTGGTCTCAAACTCCTGACCTCAAGGAATCTGCCCGCCTCAGCCTCCCAAAGTGTTGGGATTACAGGCGTGAGCCACCACGCCCAGCCAAATCTGCGTCTTTTATTAGACTGTAAAGTCTTCAAAGAGTGGATACTCTATCTATCTTATTTACCATTCATACCCTCTAGCACTCAATAGGTGCTTAGAAAATCTTTATTTACTAAATGAACATACCCATGTAAATCACTTTGCTCATAGTGGTCACTTAGAAGTGTTCATTTTTCCCACCTTCTAATTAACCTCCTGTTACACATTAGAAATTAGATAGGGATAATATATAGTCTCTACTCTCAAGGATAGAGGAATCTAAGGAGTAAGACAAATATTTATAATGCACTGTGATAGCTTTTTTTTTTTTCGAGACAGAGTTTCGCTTTTGTTGCCCAGACTGGAGTGCAATAGCGCGATCTCAGCTCACTACAACTCTGCCTCCCAGGTTCAAGTGATTCTCCTGCCTCAGCCTCCCGACTAGCTGGGATTACAGGCATGCACCACCACGCCTGGCTAATTTTGTATTTTTAGTAGAGGCAGGGTTTCTCCATGTTGGTCAGGCTGGTCTCGAACTCCGGACCTCAGGTGTTCTGCCCACTTTGGCCTCCCAAAGTGCTGGGATTACAGGTATGAGCCACCATGCCCGGCCATGATAGCTTTTTAATAAGAGATATGAGACCCCAGAGGAGAAACCAACAAATACAGTTGTCCCTTATTATCTGTTGGAGATTGGTTCCAGGATTCCTCCTCAGATACCAAAATCTACAGATACTCAAGTCCCTTATATAAAAGGATGTGGTATTTGGATATATCCTATGTACATCATATACTTAAAATTATCTCTAGATTACTTATAATACCTAATACAATGTAAACGCTATGTAAATAGTTATATTGTTTATGGAATAATAACAAGAAAAAAAAAGTGTACGTTTTCAGTACAGATAAAACCATTCATTTCCCCCACCCAATATTTTCAATCCACAGTTAGTTGTATATCCACAGATGCAGAATCCATGGATGCAGAACTCAGGACACAGAGTTGACAGCACTCTGAGGGAGTTAGAAGGCTTGAAAGAAGTGTGAACAGGAGAGTTTGTGAAGAGGAGGTAGAGGAGGGCATTCCAACAGAGAAATTCCTTTATGGAAAGGCATAGGGATTGGAAATCTCCCGGATCATTGGATGATTATGACGAGGTCTGTTTCTTTTTTTCCTTTTTTTTTGAGATGGAGTCTCGCTCTGTCGGCCAGGCTGGAGTGCAGTGGCACGATCTCGGCTCACTGCAACCTCCGCCTGCCAGGTTAGAGAAATTTTCTTCCTCAGCCTTCCGAGTAGCTGGGATTACAGGCACCTGCCACCATGCCAAACTAATTTTTTTTGTATTTTTAGTAGAGTTGGGGTTTCAACATCTTGGCCAGGCTGGTCTTGAACTCCTGACCTCGTGATCCACCTACCTCGGCCTCCTGAAGTGTTGGGATTACAGGCATGAGCCACCACACCCGGCTGAGGTCTGTTTCTTAAGAATGGTGTTTATGGGGCCAGGCGCGGTGGCTCACACCTGTAATCCCAGCACTTTGGGAGGCCGAGGCAGGTGGATCACAAGGTCAAGAGATCAAGACCATCCTGGCCAACATGGTGAAACCCCATCTCTACTAAAAATACAAAAATTAGCTGGGCATGGTGGCATGTGCCTGTAGTCCCAGATACTTGGGAGGCTGAGGCAGGAGAATTGCTTGAACCCAGGAGGCGGAGGTTGCAGTGAGCCGAGATCACGCCACTGCACTCCAGCCTGGCAACAGAGTGACACTCTGTCTCAAAAAATAAAAAAAGAATGATGTTTATGGGAGAAGTGACAGAAGATAAGGCTAGAAAGTGGGCCAAATGGTGAAGGACTTTGACTGCCATGCTGTAGACCATGAAAAGCCATTAAAAGTTCATGTGCTCTTTTGTTCCAGTAACAGGACAAGCTGGCCTCCTGGATAAATACAAAATAAGTTATTTATTTTAACTATAGAGATTTTATGGCTAATATATAAATTTTAAAAAGCATGTTAACACTAGTTTGACTTTAAAATAGAATTTATTAAAAAGAAACTTGACAATTTTTGTTTGTTTGTTTTTTTTTGAGATGGAGTCTTGCCCTGTCGCCCAGGCTGGAGTGCAATGGTGCCATCGTGGCCCACTGCACTTCTGTCTCCTCCTGGGTTCAAGCAATTCTCCTGCTTCAGCCTCCCAGGTAGCTGGGACTACAGGCATGTGTCACCATGCCTGGCTAATTTTTGTATTTTTAGTAGAGACGGGATTTCACCATGTTGGCCAGGCTGGTCTTGAACTCCTTACCTCAAGTGATCCGCCTGCCTCTGCCTCCCAAAGTACTGGGATTACAGGCATGAGCTACTGCGCCTGGCCTGCAATGTTTTGAAAGGTTGAAAGAGGAGACTAATAGCACTCTTATATTGCTTAGGATCCATAAAGATTAAAATACTCAGGGCTGGGTGCGGTAGCTCATGGCTGTAATCCCAGCACTTTGGGAGGCTGAGGCGGGTGGATCACCTGAGATCAGGAGTTTGAGACCAGCCTGGCCAACATAGTGAAACCCCATCTCTACTAAAAATCCAAAAAAAAAAAAAAAAAAAAATTAGCCAGTTGTGGGTGGCGCATGGCTATAATCCCAGTTACTTGGGAGACTGAGCCAGGAGAATGAATTGAACCTGGAAGGCAGAGGTTGCAGTGAGCTAGGATCGCACCAGTGCACTCCAGCCTGGGTGACAGAGCGAGACTCTGTCTCAAAAATAAATAAATAAAAATACTCAGGATTTTTCATAGTGACAGAAAAAGTCTATTTGACTTTTTCCTATAAAAGTCTAGTTGAATTTAGGTACATGCCTTGAGAATGGCAGATAGCTGAAGTTGCAATAATGAATGAGTCTAGGAAATCATAAATAACAAGATAAAACATACAACATAAAGCATGAGATTAGGAAGAGAGAATAAAGATACTAAACAACAGATATTTTAAGCTTTGAACCAATATATACAGATATTCATGTATCTGTATATGAATTGTACAATTAGCTTGAATGGATATAAGAATGGTCCTGCATGTTTTGGGTAGTCTTTAAAAACAGTCAGGCCAGGTGCTGTGGCTCACGCTTGTAAACCCCGCACTTTGAGAGGCCAAGGCAGGTGGATTGCTTAAGACCAGGAGTTTGAGAACAGCCTGGCTAACATGGCGAAATCCCATCTCTACTAAAAATATAAAAAATTAGCTGGGTGTAGGTGGCACATTCCTGTAACGTGGGCTACTTGGGAGACTGAAGCACGAGAATCGCTTGAACCCAGGAGGCAGAGGTTGCAGTGAGCCGAGATCATGCCACTGCACTCTAGCCTGGGTGACAGCGAGACTTTATCTCAAAAATAAAAATAAATAAAAATAAAAAATAAAATAAAAACAGGGTCAGATGGAAGAATCAGAACTTTTGTGAGAGATTGCCTGAATTTGTAGGCAAACCTGCTGCTCAGGCAGGTAGCCTATTCTCTAGAAAAGCCAAAAGATTTACAGATTCATAAAGTAACTGATGGGCTTTGAAAATGACTGTGTTTTTCTTCTGTCATGAGATGGGATATTAGTTATTGATTCTTAAATATCATCTGTTATACTTTAGAAATCCTGGTTATTCCAGACTGAGTGTAGAAAAAGTGAAAAAAGTGCACTTTGGAATGAGACAGATCTGAGTTCAATTCTAACTCTGTCACTAACTGTGAGACCTTACCTTGAAAAAGTTATTTGTCACCACACCTGCCACCAAGCCTCAGTATTTTTGTCCACAAATTTGGATAATACCTTTTTTTTCTCTTTAGTTTAAAAAAATTTTTTTGAGACCAAGTTTCGCTCTTGTCTCCCAGGCTGGAGTGCAGTGACATAATCTCGGCTCACTGCAACCTCCACCTCCTGGGTTCAAGTGATTCTCCTGCCTCAGCTTTCCCAGTAGCTAGGATTACAGGCACGCGTCACCATGCCTGGTTAATTTTGTATTTTTAGTAGAGACGGGGTTTCACCATGTTGGCCAGGCTAGTCTTGAACTCCTGACTACAGGTGATCCACCTGCCTTGGCCTCCCAAAGTGCTAGGTTTACAAGGGTGATCCATGTACCCGGCCTCGTTTTTAAACAATTTTTTAAAAATGGAGATGAGGTTTCACAGTGTTGCCCAGGCTGGTCTCAACTCCTGAGCTCAAGTGATCCGCCTACCTTGGCCTCCCAAAGTGCTGGGATTACAGGCGTGAGCCACCATGCTCAGCCTGGATAATACCTTTTTGCTGTGTATGGGGGCAACAGTTAGAATTTAGAGACCTTAAAACTAGTATAAATTCTTTCACAGTGGATATGATTTGCTCTCCATTTGAGAAAAAGTTTATGCATGTCACTGAGTAATGTAGTGTAGCTTAAAACATCAACAAAAGTTCCAGACTCATAAAAACATATGCATTAAATATGTACAATTTTTTCATGTTTCAATTATACCCAATAAAGGTATTTTTTAAAAAAAATCAAAGATAGCCCAAATGTGTTAGAGACATAAGACCGGAATGTGATTGAAATTAAGTAAGGCAATAATTCAGTTGGTAGTATTATATTCTTTCTCAGGATACAAACTGGCAGCCTGTGGGCCATGTTTGGTCAACAGATGTACTTTGTTTCTTTGTGCTGTGATGAAAAGAAATGGAATTTGAGTGCATTTAGGTGGAACATACATACTTCCCCTTTCCAACAGTTTTCTATGAGCACCACTAGTCTATATGGCCTTAATTGCCTTATACTCTGCTTGATTCACACATCCGTTTGGCTCCTTAGGCATTTGGGTTTGACCTGCCTCTTGGGAGGGGCAAAGAATGAGATGAGTGGTGGTGACAGTAAGAGGGAAATGGGTAATCAGAAACAAAAAAGGAAAAAAGAGAAGGCCAAGGAACCAAATATTCAGTGTTTATTCTCTAGAGTCCAAAGGAGAGAGGCATTGAACCTGGAAGGCACAAATTATCCAGTCAGTGGAGAAGTGTGTGTGGTGCACGTGTGATTCCGGTTTATCCAGCCTCAACTTGGCCTAAATGACATTTCTGTCAAAATTAGTTCCTCCATTTGCTCTAATCTGCTAATTTTTAATTTGGCTTTCTGGGTCTTGGATTTTGGTTATTAGAAGAGGTTTTGCCATCTATCTTCTATACTTTAGTCTCTTGTAATTTTGACAAGCCTGAAGGTAGGCTTTGGGCTGTAGAAAATGCACCAAGAGTTCTTGTCATCTTTGAGATCTCTTGAGAGATCTTGTAGTTACTTTTCACTCTGCTACATCATCATTTCTTTTTCTACTTAAAATAATGCCTGTTAAGGATTATAAAAATTAAATACTATATTTGAAATTCCTAATACAGGCTTGGTGGTGATTATTATTTACATTAATAATCAGAATAGTTAATCTTATACCTCTCAGAAAATGTGTGATATTTGTAGTTAAACAAGTCCTTCTCAGCCCTTCCTATTTCACAACTGCTGACTGCTACATCTTAGTCCTTGCATTACCAAGTTGGGATGACCTGGCAAAACTCTTACCAGAAGAGAAAATGCTTCTCAGAAATGCTTTACTTTACCTCAGTACGTGAGTACTCTTGACCTCAAGAGAGGTTGTGGGGAAGCAGATGGGCAGAATACATCATGATGAGATTAGTGTGACAACACTGGAAATAAAAGAACAGTTATGTGCTGTCACACTGAGTTTTAATCATCAGTTGGACAGCTTCATGAAGGCTCTTTTAGATGTTTTCTTTTCATTTGCTGTGACATCTGCATGGGCTTTCTAGGAAGAAGTGTCTGAAAGAGCTTATGATGACTTCTGGAAGTGACAATAGGACTTGCTGACAGTCCGCACAGTTACATATATAGGACTTAACTGGGGTGGATCCAGCAGGAACTGGTCTTGGCAGTCAAGAAAAAGCACTATTTAATTTTTCTCAGTGATTAGATAGGACAGCTTCAGTGGCTTTATTTTCCCAATTGAAATTGTTCAGCTGTTAGAGGACTCTCTGAGGCACTCAGATTCTAGGAGTGGGGTCAGTTTCCTGATGCCCAATATACTGAACATCAGAGGAGAATTCAGAAAATCTCATATTTAATTCTCATATGTTTTTCACTTGTAGTGATGAAAGCTTTGGCTAAAGTAGCTTTCAATTGAATTAACTGATTAATATTCCTGTTTGAAGAGGTAGAGCCTTTTTTGAAAATTAGTGAGGCAGCCAGCCAAAATGATCTCTCTCCTGATTATATCTGGCTTGGAATCTGGTAATGATCCCAGATCTCCTTGACCTCCCAGAGATTTGTATAAAAAAAAATTTTTCCTGATTACAAGAACATATTACCAAGAATGAAAATATTATACAAATGTATACTTAGAAAAGTTGCCCATAATCCCGCCAGTCAGAAATAACCAGTATTCTATGTATATCCAGAGACTGTATCATTTTATGTTTTTTGTTTAAGGACTCAACCCATCAGAAAAATACCTAATTCAAATACAACTATTGCTATAGCCATTATTTACTAAACATTTACATAATTATTTAACCCTCATAATAATCTGAGAAACAGGAGTATCTTCATTTAAGAGCTTAAGAAACTGAAGTGGCCGAGGTGGGTGGGAGGCCAAGGCGAGTGGATCACCTGAGGTCAGGAGTTTGAGACCAGCCTGGCTAATGTAGTGAAACCTCGTCTCTACTAAAAATACAAAAAAATTAGCCGGGCGTGGTGGCACACACCCGTAGTCCCAGCTACTCGGGAGGCTGAGGCAGGAGAATTGCTTGAACCTGGGAGGCGGAGGTTGCAGTCAGCTGAGATCGTGCCACCGCACTCCAGTCTGGGCGACAGAGCGAGACTCCGTCTCAAAGAAAAAAAAAGAAAAAAGAAAAAATTGGTGTGGGGGTATGTAGTAGTAGAATGATTTTGAGAACATTTGACTTATTTAGAGGCAGTCTTCTCTTTTTGAATTGATTAAACTAATTGACATAATTCTGTATTATTCATAGGAAAACAAAAGCTGAAGACACTGTTATTCACATCCTAGTATTTCCAAGAGTTTTGACTCTCGTAGGTCATTTGAGAGTAGGTGGTGTTATCCTAGGATAACACCATATCAGGGTCTGGTTTTCTGTTGGTTAATATTGGTGTGGGTGGCCATCCCTGGGACTCAGCTGTGAGCCTGTTGTCCTATTTGATGCATAGATCAGGGATGAGTTTGCCCAGATATCTAAGGCATATATTTGGCTATTGAAGTTTCAGAGCTTTGTGCTGGCACTGAAATTCAAAAGATAGTTTTGAATTTCCTATCAAAACTACCAAAAGAGGGGTTCCTGCAGTCTTCTATAATAGCTTATCATCTATCCAGAGTGTCAAAGACTCTGAACCCTCTTGAGTCATATCTTCCTCCCAAATGTTCATCAAACTGTTTGAGTTCAGGTTTACCTCAGTGTCTTCAGTAATTATTTTCATGGTGCTCCTAAGTCAAGGTAAATACCTAACACTTTTGTTTTATTAGTTTGTTAGATCCAAACAGCTTATTTATTTCTTAGCCATTGAGTAGACATTTTTTAAAAAAAATCATCCACATAGGCTGGGCACAGTGGCTGACAACTATAATCCCAGTGCTTTGGGAGGCCAAGGCAGAAGGATCGCTTGAGCCCAGGAGTTAGAGACCAGCCTGAGCAACATAGCAAGACCCCGTCTCTATGAAAAACAAAAGCAAAAACAAAATCATCCACATAAATGGAAAGAAAAAAATATTTTTATTTCATTCTTAAATAATCATACTTTTTTGTTTGTTTGTTTTTGAAACAAGATCTCACTCTGTTACCTGGGCTGGAGTGCAGTAGCACAATCACAGCTCACTTTGTGCCTGGCTAATATTTTTTATTTTTGTTTTTATTTTTTGTCTTATTTTTAGTAGAGACAGGGTCTCATTATGTTGCCCAGGCTGGTCTTGAATTCCTGGGCCCGAGTAATCCTCCCACCTCAGCCTCCTAAATTGCTAGGATTACAGGCATGAGCCACCATACCCAGCCAATCATAATTACTTACTAATAGGATGTATATGCTGTTGGATATTATACAACTCCTCCAACCTTAGAAATCAGATTGGATACTGCCACCCTCATTTCTTGTTCCACAGTGATTTTCACACAGTACTTCATTTTTGCTGAAAACCCAGCTTTGCAAAGATGTGATCATTGAAAGAAATCTAACATCTAATGTTGAAACTGAACTACCTTGAGCTAGTAGTGGTTCACATGATGACCAACAGATGTTAAGTATCACTGTGTTTCATTTGAATATGTAAAATATCCTGTAGGACCTGTGAGTTTGCTTTGGTACCCCAGGGCAGCTTGGTGTAGTTTGGAAACCACAGTTCTAGCAATGATCCCAAACTATCAAATCAGGGTCTCTGGGAGTTGTGATGTGGGTACTCTTTTTTGCTTCCCCAAAATATTTTTTGGTGATTATGGGAAACAACTGGCCTCTTCTTTTTTTCTTTTTTTTTTTTTAATTCCCATTTTACAGATGATGTCTTATTTCTTTGTGTGTGTGTGTGTGTGTGTGTGTGTGTGTGTGTGTGTGTGTGTGTTTTGTCATTTGAGATGGAGCCTCACGCCTCACTCTGTTGCCCAGGCTGGAGTGCAGTGGTGCGATCTCAGCTTCCTGCAACCTCCACCTCCCAGGTTCAAGAGTTTCTCCTGCCTCAGCCTCCTGAGTAGCTGGGACTACAGGTGTGCGCCACCACAACTGGCTCATTTTTGTATTTTTAGTAGAGATGGGGTTTCACCATGTTGCCCAGGCTGGTCTTGAACTCCTCACCACAAATAATCTGCCCACCTTGGCCTCCCAAAGTGTTGGGATTACAGGCATGAGCCACCGTGCCAGCCAAGATAACATCTTATTTCTAATTTGAGTTTCATATTTGTTATACTTGATTTCTCAGTCATTGGTGGTCGATAGCCACTGAGCTCCAACAGATAATGCAGCCCTGTCAGACATTAAAATATTCATACTTTTTCTTTCACATAGGGAAATAATCTTCCAAGTATATACACATAGCAGTTACATTATATCATTATGGTTTTGATTTGCATTTGTCTAATGGCTAATGATGTTAAGCACCTGTTCATGCACTGATTGGCCATTTATTTATCGTCCTTGGAAAGATGTCTATTCAGATCCATTTGTCATTTTATTGATTGAGTTGTAAGAGTTTTTTATGTATTCTGGATAAAAGTCCTCCATGATTTGCAAATATTTTCTCCCATTCCTTTGAGTTGTCTTTTCACTTTCTTGATGGTATTATTTGCAGCACAAAAGTTAGTAATTTTGATGAAATCCAATTCATCTGTTTTTTCTTTTGTCATTTATGATTTTGGTGTCATCTGTGAAACCACTGCCTAATCCAAGATCATGAAGATTTATTTCTATGCTTTCTACTAAGAGTTTTATAGTTTTAGTTCTAGCATTTAGGTCTCTAATTCATTTTAATTTAAATTTTTGTGTAATAGAGATTTGAATGATTTAAAATTTTTCCTCTCTTCAGAGGTAGCAACACTAGAAGATAAAGATAAAAAAAGGGCCAGGCGCAGTGGCTCATGCTGGTAATCCCAGCGCTTTGGGAGGCTGAGGTGGGCGAATCACTTGAGGCCAGGAGTTTGAGACCAGCCTGGCCAACATGGCAAAACCCTGTCTCTACTAAAAATGCAAAAATTAGCGAGGCATGGTGGCATGCATCTATAAGGCCAGCTACCTGGGAGGCTGAGGCACAAGAATGGCTTGAACCCAGGAGGCGGAGGTTGCAGTGAGCTGAGATCACGCTTACTGCACTCTAGCCTGGGCAACAGAGCGAGACTCTGTCTCAAAAAAAAAAAAAAAAAAAAGAGAACCTAATTTTTTTTCTGACTCTTCTCTGGACTGAGTACACTGTTTTTACCTTTTCTTAGTTAGATGATGAACTAGATGATATAGCAAGGCTTGATGTCTAAACTGGCAAGTGAAGTTTTTATAGAGACGGATGTTGAAAGGAGGAATAACATACTAAAACATATGGCACATTTAGTTTATGATGAGATCCCAAGTAGTCTGTCTCCCATCATAAACTTGAACATGAGTTTAAATCTTCTCCTTTTCAAGGCCGGGTGCAGTGGCTCACACCTGTAATCTCAGCACTTTGGGAGGCAAAGGTGGGCAGATCACTTGAGGTCAGGAGTTCGAGACCAGCCTGGCCAACTTGGTGAAACCCTGTCTCTACTAAAAATACAAAAATTAGCTGGGCGTTGTGGTGGGCACCTGTCATCCCCACTACTCAGGAGGCTGAAGCAGGAGACTCGCTTGAACTTGGGAGGTGGAGGTTGCAGTGAGCCAAGATTGCACCACTATACTCCAGCCTGGGTGACAGAATGAGACTCTGTCTCAAGAAAAAAAGAAAACAAAAATCTTCTCCATTTCAAAATGGTTTAGAATTGTATGAGGTGCCAGGGGTCCCAGTTTTATGTATCATATTAGTTGTAACTTATGAGCAGCTGTGACAAGCTACTTGGTTTTCTCCTCAGGGGTCTCTCTTTTTGGCATGTCGGCCCTGTTACTCCCTGGGAACTTTGAGTCTTATTTGGAACTTGTGAAGTCCCTGTGTCTGGGGCCAGCACTGATCCACACAGCTAAGTTTGCACTTGTCTTCCCTCTCATGTATCATACCTGGAATGGGATCCGACACTTGGTAAGTTAATTCGGGATTTGCACATTTTCTCTGTGAAGGGAGTGGGGAGACTGGGAGGATTCTTTCCTTCATTACTGGGTTTAGTGCTGTTCTTTTTTTTTTTTCCCAAGAGTGGAGTCTCGCTCTATTGCCCAGGCTGGAGTGCAGTGGTGCGATCTCAGCTCACTGCAACTTCTGCCTCCTGGGTTCAAGAGATTCCTGTGCCTCAGCCTCTTAAGTAGTTGGCGTTATAGACGCATGCCACCACTCCTGGTTTTTGTATTTTTAGTAGAGATGGGGTTTCACCATGTTGGCCAGGCTGGTCTCAAACTCCTGGCCTTAAGTGATCCGCCTGCCTAAGCTTCCCAAAGTGCTAGGATTATAGGCGTGAGCCACCGCGCCCAGCTAGTGCTGTTCTTAAGGTTAGTTGTGACTCAGAGTCCTCTTGGGGAAAGCCAGACAAGTTCACAAGTTCCCCTGTGTGTTACCTGGCAGTCCTGCTGGTGGTGTAGCTGAGCAATGGTATAGGCCTCACAGATACTTGCAGGGTCTCATTGGGAACTCTTCCTTTTTTAATTTAATTTAATTTTATTTTTTGAGACAAAGTCTCGCTCTGTCTCCCAGGCTGGGGTGCAGTTGGCGCGATCTTGGGTCACTGCAAACTCCACCTCTTGGGTTCAAGAGATTCTCCTGCCCCAACCTCCCGAGCAGCTGGGACTACAGGCGCCTCCCACCACGCCCGGCTAATTTTTTGTATTTTTAGTAGAGATGGGGTTTCCCCATGTTAGCCAGGCTGGTCTCAAACTCCTGACCTTGTGATCCACCCCTCTCAGCTTCCCAAAGTGCTAGGATTACAGACGTGAGCCACTGTGCCCTGCTGAACTCTTCATTTTTAAGAGGGATATTTAAAAGAGATCCCTGAAGGCATAGAATGCATGTTTATGACATAAATATTAATTGGTACCTATTTATGTGTCAGGTACTGTTGTAGACACTGGGGATTCAGTTATGAGCTAGATAACCATTGTTGCTGCTTTCATTCTTCCGTTCCTGTTGACCCAGAGTAGTGCTTCTGACAGGACTCAAATAGATTACCTTTTCTTATCTACACATTATATTGCATTTCTGTTTTGAGATGTTGGACAGAATTGGGCCAACTTTAATAGAAACTGGGTGCCAAGAATTCCAGGTTTCAATATTGAGGTTAGGAATCTTTTTTTTTTTTTTTTTTTTTTGAGACAGAGTCTTGCTCCATTGCCCAGGCTGGAGTGCAATGGTGCAATCTCAGCTCACTGCAACCTCCACCTCCCAGGTTCAAGTGATTCTCCTGCCTTAGCCTCCCAAGTAGCTGAGATTACAGGTGCCCACAACCACGGCCAGCTAATTTTTTTTTTTTTTTGGTATTTTTAGTAGAGACGGGATTTTGCCATGTTGGCCAGCCTTACAGGTGCCTGCCACCACACCCAGCAAATTTTTTTTTTTTTGTATTTTTTAGTAGAGATGGGGTTTCACCATGTTGGCCAGCCTGGTCTTGAACTCTTGGCTTCCCAAAGTGCTGGGATTACAGGCGCGAGCCACTGCACATGGCAGGAATCATTTAATAGATTGGAAACTGTCCATGTTGCCTCCTATGTGACCTCATCGTCTGCTCAAAACTGGTTTCTAAAATTAGCCAGGTATGGTGGTGTGCGCCTGTGGTCCCAGCTACCCGTAAGGCTGAGGTGGGAGGATCGAATGAGCCTGGGAGGCGGAGGTTGCACTGAGCCGAGATTGTGCCACTGCACTTCAGCCTGGGTGACAGAGTGACCCCATCTAAAAAAAAAATAGGCGGGCACAGTGGTTCACGCCTGTAATCTCAGCATTTTGGGAGGCCGAGGCGGGCGGATAATCTGAGGCCGGGAGTTCGAGACCAGCCTTACCAACATGGAGAAACGCTGTCTCTACTAAAAATACAAAATTAGCCGGGCATGGTGGCACATGCCTGTAATCCCAGCTACTCGGGAGGCTGAGGCAGGAGACTTGCTTGAACCCGGGAGGCAGAGGTTTCAGTGAGCTGAGATCATGCCATTGTACTCCATCCAGCCTGGGCAACAAGAGCGAAATTCCGTCTCAAAAAAAAAAAAAAAAATACAAAAATTAGCTGGGGGTGGTGGCATGTGCCTGTAATCCCAGCTACTTGGGAGGCTGAGGCAGGAGAATCCAGGAGGCAGAGGTTGCAGTGAGCCAAGATCATGCCACTGCACTCTAGCCTGGGTGACAAAAGTGAAACTCAGTCTCAAAAAAAAAAAAAAGAAAAGATTTTATATTTTGTAGTCTCCCTAGTTTTGCTTCCAAGAAGGCAATTAAAATTCAGTTCTTTCTGTATTTTCATTACTTCTGAATCTGAGTCAACTGTCAGATGGATGCTTTTGCCTTAATTTGACTTTTTATTACTTCCAAATCATAGCCTTAGAGACAAGCACTTTCTGGATTTCAGTCTGGTCCAATAGACAGTTTAATGGAATAAAAAAAATGAGAGACTAAATTACTTATTAAATTAAGTGTCTGTATCAACTGTTCCCTGGGGCAGTGTTCAGTTTGATTTAAAATGACTTTTTACTTCCCTGAGGGGGAGGCAGTAGAGAGGGAGGACATTTCCATTAATGACTTCCTATTCCACAGAACAAAGCTCTGTAAAGAAAATCAGCTGATCAGCTTCCTCTGTTCATATTTTGGCTCAGACAGAGACTTGCCCTATATTTGTCTTTGTCTCAATATGGGGGTAAGAGAGGGGAGGTTTTATAAAATTGCAGAACTTAGAGCTTTTCTGCCCTGGTTCTTGCCTGTGATGGTAATCTTTTTGTTGAGGGAAGTGAAGAACCTAAGGGTCCTTAAGTCTGCTTTTATTTTTTCTTCTAGCAAGTACTGGCTGTGAGTGTGGGACAGGATTTTGTGTTTTCTGTGACAGTCTGCAGTTTTTGGCCTCTGAACTTGATAGTTGACTTGCCAGAAGATCTAATGGGGGAGTGAGGAGTGAAAGAGTAGGATGTTATAGGGTCTGTGGCATTCTAGGGAATATCCCTGCCTACTACTGCTACCCAGTAGGACTCACTCTCTATAAAACATTGTCCTTATTTAAGCAAAACAACTCTTTGTGGAATCTGCTTGACTCCTAATCTCCTAGTTAGAAGCAATTTGAGGGTTGAGGTGGAGGCATCTTCTCATCTTGATTTTTTTTTTTTTTTCTGGGCTTCCATCTTTTCTCTGAACTGACTCCTAATTTAGGCAGTTTTACATTCAGACTGTGGGTGTATGTGTGTATGTGTGTGTTAAGGCGCCATGTATGTGGGAAGTGTGGAAAATGAAGACTGCTTTTGCCCCATGGGCTCATTTAGTGACTTATAATATAATATTAATATGTTAATATCCCTAAGACACAAGAGAGTCAAAATTAGTGTTTTGTTAAATGTGGGGCTGGGGGCATGGTAGCTCATGTCTGTAACCCTAGCACTTTGGGAGGCCAAGGCAGGTGAATTGCTTGAGCTCAGGAGTTCAAAACTAGCCTGGGCAACGTGGCAAAACTTCATCTCTACCAAAAATACAAAAAATTAGCTGGGCATGGTGATGGGTGCCTGTAGTCCCAGCTACTTGGGAGGCTGAGGCAGGAGGATTGCTTGAACCTGGGAGGTCAAGGCCTCAGTGAGCTGAGATTGTGCCACTGCACTCCAGCCTAGGTGACAAAGTGAGACCCTGTCTCAAAAAATTAAAAAAAAAAAAGTGGGGGTGGGTGGTGGGGTAGGGGCTGGGTGAGATGGCTCACACCTGTAATCTCAGCACTTTGGGAGGCTGAGGCGGGAGGATTGCTTGAGCCCAGGAGTTCAATACTAGCCTGGGCAAGACATAACAAGAGTCTATCTCTATTTTTTAGTATTAAAAAGAAAAGTGGGTTTTAACTCAATTGGTAGAAAACCAATTTAGTGGCATGCTACCAACAAAAAAAGAAATTTAAATAGAATAGAAAATATAGGCTGGGGCTGGGCGTGGTGGCTCATGCCTGTAATCCCAGCACTTTGGGAGGCTGAGGAGGGTGTATCACTTGAGGTCAAGAGTTTGAGACCATCCTGGCCAACATGGTGAAACCCCATCTCTACTAAAAATACAAAAATTAGCTTGGCATGGTGGCATGCGCCTGTAGTCCCAGCCACTGGCAGGGCTGAGGCAAGAGAATCGCTTGAACCTGGGAGGCTGACGTTGCTGTGAGCCAAGATGGCGCCACTGGAGTGGCTGGGTGCAGAAGTTCACGCCCGTAATGCCAGCTTTTAGGGAAGCAGAGGCAGGAGGATAGCTTGAGTCCAGGAGTTCAAGACCTGCCTGAACAATATAATGAGACCCCGTTCTCCACAAAAAGGAGAAAATATATGTTTTTTAATGAAGTTTATTTATATATAAAATATATAAATATATACTTGTATATATATGGCACCACTTAGTAATGGTAAATATTGTTTTATCAACTTTTGCTATATTATATATACATATCTATTGGGTTCCAGTTTTAAAGGTATTTCTTAGTGGAGTCACAGTCAAAACAAAATTGAGAAATAGTGTTCTAGATCTCAGAGTATCCTTTAGAATACTAGTCCTCTGATAAATAGAGTTTCCCTCTATAAAAAGATTCTGAGATTGACTGTATCTAGGAAATCAGGCATATTATATCTCTCTTTTGGAGATTCACAGTGTGCATTAGTAAACTGTAAGAGGCTGGGCGCAGTGGCTCACGCCTGTAATCCCAGCATTCTGGGAGGACAAGGCGGGCAGATCACGAGATCAGGAGATCAAGACCATCCTGGCTAACTCGATGAAACCCCATCTCTACTAAAAATACAAAAACAAAATTAGCCAGGCGTGGTGGCGTGTGCCTCTAGTCCCAGCTACTTGGGAGGCTGAGGCAAGAGAATGGCATGAACCTGGGAGGTGGAGCTTGCAGTGAGCTGAGATCATGCCACTGCACTCCAGCCTGGGCGACAGAGTGAGAGTCCGTCTCAAAAAAAAAAAAAAAAAAAAAACTGTTTAGAAAGTCTTGCAGTTAAATGTTTATGAACTTTGTATGACCACAGAACTTTTTTTTTTTTGGCCCATACAATGGCTTTCAACATTCTGAGAGCAAGTGTTTGGAAGAATACACCTTGAGAAACATTAATCTAGATGTGTGGTCCTGAGGAAAAGTTGTATCTATTCATTCTGGAAGCTTTTGTATACCGTATGGGGCCTGTGGCATTCTAGAGAACATTCCTCCTACCATCACCACACAATAGAACCTGATTTTCTGTCATTGGAATAAGTGGATAATAGGTTCCATACTGTGGGTTTTGAGAAGGGTAAAGGTGGGGCATAAGGGTAGAAGCGCTTTTCTCTAGAATCATGCTGAGAGGAGATATCTATTCCTTTAGGTAGAATTACTTTCTGAGACAGGAACTGTTAATGTCCTATTTACTGAAATTCCTTTTTTTTTTTTTTGCTTTGTCCACAGATGTGGGACCTAGGAAAAGGCCTGAAGATTCCCCAGCTATACCAGTCTGGAGTGGTTGTCCTGGTTCTTACTGTGTTGTCCTCTATGGGGCTGGCAGCCATGTGAAGAAAGGAGGCTCCCAGCATCATCTTCCTACACATTATTACATTCACCCATCTTTCTGTTTGTCATTCTTATCTCCAGCCTGGGAAAAGTTCTCCTTATTTGTTTAGATCCTTTTGTATTTTCAGATCTCCTTGGAGCAGTAGAGTACCTGGTAGACCATAATAGTGGAAAAGGGTCTAGTTTTCCCCTTGTTTCTAAAGATGAGGTGGCTGCAAAAACTCCCCTTTTTTGCCCACAGCTTGCCTACTCTCGGCCTAGAAGCAGTTATTCTCTCTCCATATTGGGCTTTGATTTGTGCTGAGGGTCAGCTTTTGGCTCCTTCTTCCTGAGACAGTGGAAACAATGCCAGCTCTGTGGCTTCTGCCCTGGGGATGGGCCGGGTTGGGGGGTGGGTTGGTGAGGCTTTGGGTGCCACTGCCTGTGGGTTGCTGGCTTAAAGGACAATTCTCTTCATTGGTGAGAGCCCAGGCCATTAACACCTACACAGTGTTATTGAAAGAAGAGAGGTGGGGGTGGAGGGGAATTAGTCTGTCCCAGCTAGAGGGAGATAAAGAGGGCTAGTTAGTTCTTGGAGCAGCTGCTTTTGAGGAGAAAATATATAGCTTTGGACACGAGGAAGATCTAGAAAATTATCATTGAACATATTAATGGTTATTTCTTTTTCTTGGATTTCCAGAAAAGCCTCTTAATTTTATGCTTTCTCATCGAAGTAATGTACCCTTTTTTTCTGAAACTGAATTAAATACTCATTTTATCTTTGACTCTCCTTGAAATCTAGAGAAACCAAGAAAATGGCTGTTGGGAAGGAACCAATTTCCTCCTCTTCCCTCGGGTCTCAGGCATTTACATCCTCCCTCTCCCCGCAATCTGACCTTTACCAGGAGGGAAACAGTTCTCCTACATCTCATCATTGGAAAAGTTTTCAGGGAATCAGATAGAACTTAGCCAGAGATTTAAATATCACAGAAAAGCCTCAGAGAAGGAAGGAGAAAAAGAAAAGAAGTGACGCATGTAGAGTGCTTTTGGGTTATAGGCACCAAAATCCCATTAAGGACTGATTATAAGCTTCATGGTACAGTTCAGCAAATTATGATTCATTGAGGGGCACAGAGGACCAGTGTTGGTGACAGCTAGGGGATGATGACCTGAGGTTATAGGCTTGGGGTGAATGAAGCATAGAGTTTTTTTTTAAAAAAGAAGGGATTGTTGAAAACCTGGCAAAAATGTATAATTTAATGAGAAAACTTGCTGCTTTTAAAATCCATATAGGCCAGGCTTTAGCAGGCATGCTGTTTTGATAGTTTTTGGGAACTCTGGAATAAGAGACTTATCTCATCTGTCACTTCGAGTTGTTGGCCAGCCAGTTAAAGCTGTGGGTCGAAGAGGGGAAATGTTAACTGGCTGGTGTCAATTGGATAGGAAGACCTTAGTTAAGGTGGGGACCCGCTGTTTTAACAGTCTTCATTCAGGGTCCCAAATAGTATTTGGCTTTAAGTAATGATTGGTTTTCCCTTTTTACTAGAGGGGCCCTGGGAAGTCCTTGTACCTTTCCTCCATTTTAAACCAGCTGTTCTCTACTTTGTCCTTGGAATGAGGGACAAGTGATCATGACAGAACACTTTGTCATTGGGACTGGGAAAGGTTTGGCAAGGGCATTAAATTTAACAGCCAGTGCCAGGAAAATATAAAATGGGGTCAATGATAAACAGCTGTTAGAGGCTGGAAAATGGGTAGGGCAGTTGAATTTTTTGGTGGTTTCGTACCATTTGGGTGATTGAAGCATGGTAGTGGGTGGGTGGGGGGTGTGACAGAGCATCATGTTTGTTATTCTGCCTTAAATTTCTACTTACTGTCTTTTTCTTCTCTGTCTTCCAATCACTTTAATATCTTCAATTTTCAAACTATATTTGTACTTGGGCTTAGATAGAAAGTCTTACACAAGCATAGTATCTTCTACTTTGGTTTTCCCTACCTTTTCTTCCCCACCTTCTCCAAACACACATATACATACTCTACTCAATTCTATTTCTGATTTTGTAGTTGTTAGTTGTCCATGCTCAGGATAAAAAATGAGTGGGTAGGGTTGAGGGACTGGTTCTTTGAGGTTCTGCCCTTTTTCCATGATTCAGACCAACTTTCTCTTGGTCATTTCTGGAGTATAACTGACTCAATTCTTGTAAAAATGTGTTCCACCCAAACCACTGTATGTTCTTTTCCCTACTTTATTTTCTCCTACCTTCCTTCTCCTAATTGTGTTACAAGAGGCAGCCATAGCAAGAATGGAAAATCCAGATCAGTAAAAGATTCAACAAAAAAAAGTTTATTTTCCAAATTTGCTTTTACTCCCACCCCAAAATTTCCCTGTTTCACAGTTCTGACTGGGGGCTCTTGTTTATTTCACTGAGTCGCTATACGGGTTTTTCAGTGTGTGGCCACTTGGTCCATATGAAGTTCCAGGTTTGTATTTCTGGACCTCAGCTAGATTAGGCCCTGCCCAGAGTTCTAGCATACGTGGACTTCCAGGTGGGCTCTTAGGATTTGGCTGGTCTTTGGGGACCTGGAGTATGACCTGCAGAGGGGTGTGAGCTTTGGAGTTCATCTGGGGAATTGAGGTTGGCAGCTGGGGAGCTTGGAATTATGGTTGGACTTCGTGCTTGTTGTACAGTCTTTGTGATAGACTTCTTTCTGAGTTTCTTCTGACTGTCTGGATCATGGGGCTGTCAGTGATAAGAGTGGGAGAGATAGTCATGTCTCTGGTCAGGCCCGGATCATTCCTAATGCACCTCAGGATTCTAACTCCCTTTCTCCCCATACCATGGGCAGTAGATCAAGTTTCAAATAAGAAAAGTTAAATTTGATTTCTCTAACCACCCTCCCCCACCTTGAGATTAGATCATTTTCTACTGTTGGGGGTATGATGTCCTTAGCCCATCCCTTCAGGCCTCAGAAGGTGATTAAGGACTAGTCAAGATAAGACAAATTGGTTAGAGGTCCCCCATGCTGGGATAGTGGTGGCATAACAATAGACATTTTTTGAGGTTGAAAAGAAATTGAGACTACAGGGTTTTGGGTTAGATGGGAAGAATAGATACCTTGCCTAAGATTTCAGGACACAGCCCATTGGAGGCCTTGAGTAAATCAGGATTTTTCTGTATCCATTTGGTGAGGGAGGCAGCACCAGCAGTTGTACGGGAGGTCAGGGTCACCCGAGCAGGGGGTATCTTCAGAGGCATTTGCCAGGTGCCCATGAAGGAACCCCAAGGATTTGCCTAAAAATGAAAAGGGATTCCTCAGTAGGGCTTCTCACTCCCAGTAACTGACTTAGACCTCTGTATTATTTCCTTTCTTTACCTTTAGGAATGCATGGTTATGAAACAAGACTGAAAGCATAATCTTCCCACCCTTCCTTATCCCCCTCCCTCATTTAGGCTTTGCAGGCCTAATTTTTTCATCCCCTTTACTCTGCCAACTTAAATTCCACATCCTTAGGCCGAGTGTGGCAAAGGAGTACCCACTGCACAAATGTCATCACCTGAAGGCTTTCATTTATACAGATCATTGATCAATTTAAGAACTTCTGAAGGGTGCTAAACACAACTCTATCCTGCTGGGTAAGCTGGCCGGAAGTTCAGGGGCTCTCACATTACAACATGAATTAGATTAAACTTTAATTTTCCCGATAATGGCTGTGAGAGACTGCACATCTCCCAGTTCTGTGCCTTAATTATTTGACTTTCTTGATAGGAGTGAAGATAGTATCTCACCTTGGAACGGGGCACAGAAGGCAGTAGATGACCACGATCGTTGGCAATAATTTGAGTGTAGCCTTCATGAGAAGAGATGCTCTGGGGTACAAGTGGGAGAGATAAAGGTTTGTGAGGGGAAAAAGGGAAGTATTTGGGGAGCTTGGTCAGAGAAGGATATGGGAGTTTAGAGAATGCTAAAAGGAGTTAATTGACAGGGAGAGCATGAGGCTATCTTGTAGGTGCACTGAACATGGAATACCTCTTTTGTTGGCTTAGTGGGAGACCAGTTCTGCAGATACTTGGATGAGAAAGCCTTTTCATACTGTGGAGAGAAAGATAAGTAGCCCTATGAGACTTCAAGGCCCCAAACCCAGGAAATGAAGACTAGGCACAATTCTTTAGATTTGAAGACCAAAGGCCTGACCAACCATGTAGGCTTTAAGTCACTATGACAAGGGTGTAATTTGTTTGGTCTAGATGTGTGCTGTCCAGCATGGAGCCGGGAGCCACATGGAGCTGTTGAGCACCTGAAATATGACTAGTTCAAATTGAGGTGCTTTGTAAATATGAAATATGCTGAATTTTTAAGTTTTTTTCTTTTCTTTTTTTTTTTGAGATAGGATCTTGGTCTGCCACCTGGGTTGGAGTCAGTGGCATGATCCTAGCTCACTGCAGCCTTGGACACCTGGGTTCAAGCGATCCTCCTCCCTCAGACTCACAGGTAGCTGGGACTACAGGTGCATGCCACCATGTCCAGCTAATTTTTAAATTTACTTGTAGAGACGAGGTCTCACCATATTGCCCAGGGTGGTCTCAAACCCCTGGCCTCAAGCGATCCTTGTGCCTCAGCCTCCCAAAGTGTTGGGATTACAGACGTGAGCTACAACACCCAGCAGGTTTTGGAGATTTAGTACAAAAAAAGAACGTAAAATGTCTGATTATAATTTTTTAAATACTGATTAAATGTTGAAATAATATTTGGATTTATTGGGTTAAATTCAATATATTTAAATTTTATGTTTTAATTTTTTCATGTAGCTACTAGAAAATTTAAAATTACATTTGTGGGTCGCACTCTTTTTGTTGGGCAGCACTGGTCTAGATCAGGAGTTGGTAAACTATGGCCTATGGGCCATATCCATATTGCTGCCTGTTTGGGGATGGCCTGAGAGTAAGGGTGATTTTTATAGATGAACATTTACAATTGATTCAGTCAAATGGAACACTAACTTTGAATCCCAGTTAAGTGAAATGTTTTCTCAACCCCCAAAATTCCATTATTTTCATTAGTAGTACAAAAAATTGTACTCAGTTATATTTTGAATTTGTCAAAAATGTTATGGAAAAATGTTTTTCTTTAATTATGCAAGTAGCTACAGAATATTTTTGACTTTGCCACTTGGCCTGCAAAGCCTAAAATTTTTACACTCCGCCCTTTTACAGAAAAAAAATTGCCAACTTCTGGTTTACACCCTACAAATTTAACCAAGAGATACCTTTGGATCGCCCCTGGGCTCTCTCTATCCCTGAGGAGGTAAAATATTATCTCACTCCACTCTCAGCTATCTGTTCAAAGATCAGAATCCTATGAGAGGGGACAGTCCAAAGATAGAATCTGAAAAACAAAAGTAAACGTTAAAGAAATGGAGAATGGGAACTTACCTGGTTGGCACTGTAGTTAGTGGCCATGATCTTGTGCTGTTTACACTCGTTGCTTGGCAACTGCAGAAGGCCGACCTCCTGGGACTACCAATGAGCAGAGGCTGCCTTTCTCTTCTGCTTATTATTATTCACTTCCTTGGCTCACACTGCCCCCATTTGTTTTCTCTGGAACTTAGATTCATTTTTATTTTACAGACGGGAAAGACTGAGTAAATGTGAGAAAATTAGCTGAATAGCCACTACTTTTTTTCTGGCATAACCTACCCCTGCTTAAGAACTTCCACGGGCCTTTGATTGGGGTTTTTAACCACTTTAACAAACCATGTAACCCTGAGAGCTATGCTTGTTGGACAACATGGTGTAATGTACCACAGGCTGTAGAGCCAGATACTGGGGTTTGAATCCTTATTCAACATGGGAACATAGGAGCTATATGACATTAAACAACTGTCTTGTCTTCACTAAATTTCTATCAACTCATTTGTATTGTGGGGATAATAGAGCCTGCTTTTACAGGGTAAGTGAGATAAAATGAATAAAGTGTCTAGACAATATCATAGCATAGTAGGTATTCAATCCTGGTGAGATCCTGTTTATAAGGCCCACTACTTTGTCTTATCAGGCAGAATAACAAAGGAACAATATTTAAAAAGCAACTAGCTCAAATCTGTCCCCAGAAGGAAAAACATATCTTGTCCTTGGTCCTTAAAAAATTTCCTCTGTCACTGTCTAGAATCAGCACCTAAGAACACAGGCGTTTAGTGTTGACTGGAATAAAATGGAATCGGGTGCTGGTGCAGGGAGATTGAGCAGGGATGAAGAGAGAAAATCACAGAGTGGAAAGGATCAGGTTTGGAGAGTTCAATGGGGGGCTGCCAGGACATAAGCCTAATATGTGTGGGACAAGGAAACCCCTCTGAAACTCATAAAATGGTATTGTAATACCCATCTATGAGGTGGTTAGGAGAATTAATAAGTAAGTAGAACTGTGCTTTGTGAATTGTAAAGTGAATTTATATATAAGGTGTCAAGATGAAAGGGAAAAACTAAGAAATAAGTTGCCCAAAGATATCATTAGGACCAGGAGACCATTATAAAGTATATCCAGGCCGGGCACGGTGGCTCATGCCTGTAATCCCAGCACTTTGGGTGGCCGAAGCAGACGGATCACAAGGTCAGGAGTTCGAGACCAGCCTGGCCAACATGGAGAAACCCTGTCTCTACTAAAAATACAAAAAATTAGCCAGGCATGGTGGTGCATGCCTCTAATCCCAGCTACTCGGGAGGCTGAGGCAGGAGAATTGCTTGAACCCGGGAGGCGGAGGTTGCAATGAGCAGAGATCATGCTACTACTGCACTTCAGCCTGGGCGACAGCGTGAGACTCCGTCTCAAAAAATAAAAAATAAATAAAGTATATCCATCAGTCCCTTCTCTTTTCCTTCTTCCCCCAAAATCCTCATCTTAACCAACACACCAAGTATAAGAGCACTCCTATGCTTCTGCAGATGGAGGGAAGAACAGCTCTTGTTTTATAGGCTCTGGAGTTAATACCTGGATAATGTGAGATCTGGAAAGATAACTCATGAGCTTAGTCCCTGTGGTTCTTATCACTCTCTAGAGAAGAGTTCTTTAAGGACCAAGGACTATCTTTGCTCTAGGATATCCATTTTGGCCCTTTAATCTGCAATGATAGGCTAGCATTATTTCTCTTAGAATTTGTCTTCAGTTGGTATGCCTCCCTCTGCCTTTCTGATAGGAATGTAATGATAAATGATGACTGCACTCATTTTTAAAAGTTAACCAGTTTTTGTTCAATTGAAAAAGTAATGTACATGGAAAAAATTTCATGTTTACAGGATGTTCAGTGAAAAGCAAATCTCCATTTGATTTCAACTCTCAGTCTTGCTCCTCAGGGCAACTGCTGTTACTCATTTCTTGTGTCTCCTTCCAGAAATCTTCTCTGCATACAAACACTAATGAGAGAGCTGTCCACATTGCTTTTTGATTTGCTTTTTGACTATCTTGGGGATTATGTTTTTATCATAATATTCCATTTTGGGATGCACCATAGTTTGTTCAGACCCATATGGATGACCATTTAGTTTATTTATAGTCTTTTGCTAATAAGGACATTGCTGTAATGAAAAATCCCTATGTATCTTTATGAATATGTATGTATGTATTTTTATGTACATATGTGATCTGTAGGATAAATGTTTTAAAGTACATTGCAAAGTCAAAAGGGTTTGTGCATTTAAAATAAGTAGATAGGCCGGGTGCGGTGGCTCACATCTGTAATCCCAGCACTTTGGGAGGCTGAGGCGGGCGATCACGAGGTCAGGAGATCGAGACCATCCTGGCTAACATGGTGAAACCCCATCTCTACTAAAAATACAAAACATTAGCTGGGCGTGTGGCGGGGGCCTGTAGTCCCAGCTACTCAGGAGGCTGAGGCAGGAGAATGGCGTGAACCCAGGAGGCGGAGCTTGCAGTGAGCCACGATCGCGCCACTGCAGTCCAGCCTGGGAGACAGAGCGAGACTCCGTCTCAAAAATAAATAAATAAATAAAATAAAATAAGTAGATAATGTCAAATTACCACTGAAAGACATTGTGCCAGTTTGTACTTCTACCAGTGGTGTATGATGGCGTATGAGTGCCTAGTTCTCTGCTTTCTTTTCAACATCATCGTTTTTTCTTTTTTTTTCAGTTTAAACCAATTTTAATTGAACTAATAGAATTGAACTAATAGAACTAATTGATTGAACTAGTAGAACTAATGTTAACTGAGCAGTTACTATATACATGCCAGGCACAGTTCTAATTGCTTTACTACATTTTCTCATTTAGTTCTCAACCCAACCAAGGAAACTGGAGAATACACAGTGAGGAGTAGAGCCAGGATTTAATCCCAAGTATTCTGACTCTAGAGCCAGCAGTTTTAACCATTATATCATATTGCTTGTTAAGCTGTAGGTTAAACATGGTATATAATTTTATTTTTTGTTTTTGTTTTGAGACGGTCTCCCTGCCGCCTAAGCTCTGGAGTGCAGTGGTTCCATCAATATCCTGAGGTCAAGCAATCCTCCCACCTTAGCCTCCCAAGTAGTTGGGAGTATAGGCATGAGCTACCATGCCCAGCTAATTTAAAAAAACAAATTTTTTTTAAGAGATAGGGTCTTAACTATATTGTTCCTCTTGTCTTGAATTCATGGCCTCAAGTGATTCTTCGACCTCTGGAAGTGTTGAGATTACAGGCACGAGCCACCACACCCACCCAACATGGTATATCATTGTTTTAAATTTGCATTTCTTTAATTAGGGTGTTTTTATATGTGTATAAACTGTTTTTATTTTAATTTTTTTCCCTGAAAATGGCCTTTAATGTATTTTGCCACTTACTATTGGGCTGTTGACTTTTTTTTTTGAAACCAGTCCTCCCTCTGTCACCCAGGCTGGAGTGCAGTGGCATCATCTTGGTTCACTGTAACTTCTGCCTCTCAGGTCCAAACAATCCTCCCACCTCAGCCTCCCGAATAACTGGAACTACAGGGATGCACCACCACACCCAGCTGATTTTTTAATTTTTTTTGTAGAGATGGGATTTTGCCATGTTGCCCAGGCTGGTTTTGAACTCCTGGGCTCAAGCCATCTGCCCACCTCAGCTTCCCAAAAAGCTGGGATTACAGGCTTGAGCCACTGCACCCAGCCTGTTGATCATGTTCATTAATCTGTTTGAACTCCATATATTAAGGAAATTAGTCCTTTGTCAAATATGTTGCAAATATTCCCTCCAATTTGTCACTTACTTTCATTTTGTTGGTGGTTTTTCTGTTTTGTTGTTGTTTTTCTGTGGGTTTTTTTTTTTTTTTTTGCCATGGACATGTTTTTAGTACTTATGTAGTAGTCAGATGTATTACTCATTTTTTCTGTGCTCTGGATCTTATGCTTTGAATGGCTTTTTGTGAATTCCAATATTTTAAAAATAATTTACCCCTAGCTTCAGTTCTTACATTTAAATATTTGTTCCTTCTGGAATTTTAGTGAATGTGGACAAGGTTATGCTTCAGTTGCCTTAACTAGTTGCCTTGGCATCATTAATAAGTTTTCTTTTCCTCTACTGATTTGAAATGCCATTTTTAATGTATTCCCTAACATATTTGGGTCTGTTTCTGGATCCTCTAACCCACTGTTCTAGAGAGAAAGGTGATCGTTTTAGATTATTTGTCTCTCTGTAATCTAAAATCCAAGGTACACGCTGGGCACAGTGGCTCACACGTGTAATCCTAGCACTTTCGGAGGCTGAGGCAGGTGGAACAGTTGAGGACAGAAGTTCGAGACCAGCCTGACCAACATGGCGAAACTCTGTTTCTACTAAAAATACAAAAATTAGCTGGGCATGGTGACACGTGCCTGTAGTCCCAGCTACTCGGGAGGCTGAGGCAAGAGAATCGCTTGAACCCGGGAGGTGGAGGTTGCAGTGAGCCGAGATTGCGCCACTGCACTCCATCCCCCGGGCGACAGAGTGAGACTCCATCTCAAAAAAAAGAAAAAAAAAGGCCAGGCGCGGTGACTCACGCCTGTAATCCCAGTACTTTGAGAGGCTGAGACGGGAGGATCACGAGATCAAGAGATGGAGACCATCCTGGCCAACATGGTGAAACCCCGTCTCTACTAAAAATACAAAAATTAGCTGGGCGTAGTGGCGCGCGCCTGTAGTCCCAGCTACTCCAGAGGCTGAGGCAGAAGAATCGCTTGAACCCGGGAGGCGGAGGTTGCAGTGAGCCGAGATTGCGCCACTGTGCTCCAGCCTGGCGACAGAGTGAGACTCCGTCTAAAAAAAAAAAAAAAAAAATCCAAGGTGGAGTCCTGGCTTGATCCTATGTGAATTCTAATATTTAAGATTTCAGGCCGGGCGCGGTGGCTCAGGCCTGTAATCCCAGCACTTTGGGAGGCCCAGGGGGGTGGATCACAAGGTCAGGAAATCGAGAGCATGCTGGCTAACACGGTGAAACTCCGTCTCTGCTAAAAATACAAAAAATTAGCCCGGCGTGGTGGGGGGTGCCTGTAGTCCCAGCTACTCGGGAGGCTGAGGCAGGAGAATGGCGTGAACCCGGGAGGTGGAGCTGGCAGTGAGCCGAGATCGCGCCACTGCACTCCAGCCTGGGCGACAGAGCGAGACTCCGTCTCAACAAAAAAAAGATTTCACTAGGAAATTGTAATATCAGTAGTAACAGGCAATTTTAAGCTTCTAATAAAAGTGTATTGAATTTTAGCCTTTCTTCAGATGAACTGGTTGACTTCAGGTACAGCAGATGGTCTTTTACTAGGACCAGATTTACTTCTTCCAAAGTTGGAAGGGCTCTTTAAAGGCCCCATCCTTTACGTATGCCTTAAGATACTTTTTTCCATTCACTTAAATTCTTTGATGACTGAAACTAAACCATTAGGAAATCTTTTATTTGGACTGAGATTATCTGCTATTGAAGTACAAGTTTAACCTGTACTCTATAGGCGATGTGTACATTGGACCTACGTGAAGGCAACCACCAGCATAAGTACTAGAGTCACATTGCCTGGATTAAATTCTGGCTTTGCCTAAATGTGTGGCCTTACACAAGTTAATCTTTCTGGGTCTCAGTACCCTTACATGTAAAATGGGGATAATCTTAGTTTTGAGCATTAAATATATGTAACATGCTAATAGGGTGCAAGATGCATAATGAATGCTCAATTATTTTAGCATTATTATTGGCTTAAGACTGCCAAGTAAGAAGTACTCATTCAGGTTACCTTAAACAAAAAAGGGGAAGTGGGGAAATTATAATTAATAGGAGTATTTAACAGATTCCAAAGGTAGGAAGTATAGTTTGGGCTTCAAAGGATACTAGAATTTCAAAGATAGAACATGATCAGAAAGATTTTCTGTTTCTTCTTTATCATCTCTGTTTCTCACTGCCTTTATTCTTTTCTTTTCTTTTTTTTTTTTTTTTTGAGATGGAGTTTCGCTCTTGTTGCCCAGGCTGGAGTGCAATGTGCGATCTCGGCTCACCGCAACCTCCGCCTCCCGGGTTCAAGCGAGCGATTCTCCTGCCTCAGCCTCCCGAGTAGCTGAGATTTTAGGCATGCACCACCACACCCGGCTAATTTTGTATTTTTAGTAGAGACAGGGTTTCTCCATGTTGGTCAGGCTGGTCTCGAATGCCTGACCTCAGTTGATCCGCCCACCTCAGCCTCCCAAAGTGCTGGGATTACAGGCGTGAGCCACCGCGCCCGGCCTCCCATGGCAATTTTTAAAACCAGAAAAAATTATTAGTAACCCCTTCATAGTAAAAATGGGGCATTTATCTCATCTATTACACAGTGTAACCACCTGAATCACTGTCTCTAGTTATACCATCAGCTCTCTACTAAGGTTTCTTCTAAGTAGCTCCAAGGTGCCCTCCATGTCACCTCACTGGGTCAGGTGTTGATGGGTCTTGGATAGGAGACCTGGCTTTTGCCCCATTTCCTGGGCTAACAGGATTTCATCCAACCAAGCTACTGGCCAAATTTTGAACTATTCAAACACCCTGGTTTTTGTAGATTTCCTTATAGGAAATGAAGGCGTAGTTCTGACCCCTGAAGAGATGCATGGCTACAAATGTAAAAGCTATAGTTTCAAAACTTCTCTATAGAGTTAAAATAGCTGATCCAGTTTTCTTTCCTGAGACTAAGGCTCCCTCTCTCGGAGACTGCTGTTACATCTCTCCTTTCCACTGACAATACCACAAAAGAATAATATTCTTGATAAGATCCCCTTCCTGAGGAGCCAAAGAACAAGCTTTGTATACTCCCCACACACTGCCTATGGGGTAGCCCTCTCTGCAGCATTCATAGAGCTATTTAACACTATTTCTTTTTCTTTTCTTTCATTCCTTTTTTTTTTTTTTTTTTTTTGAGACAGAATCTTGCTCTGTTGCCCAGGCTGGAGTGCAGTGGCACCATCTCAGCTCACTGCAACCTCCGCCTCCCAGGTTCAAGTGATCCTCCTGCTTCAGCCCCCCTCCATAGCTGGGATTATAGGCACACACCAGCATGCCCTGCTAATTTTAGTATTTTTAGTAGAGACAGGGTTTCGCCATGTTGGCCAGGCTGGTCTGGAACTCCTGACGTCAGGTGATCCACCTGCCTTGGCCTCCCAAAGTCGTTGGATTACAGGCGTGAGCCACTGTGCCTGGCCTATAACACTATTTCTTAAAACAAAACAAAAAGACCAAAGAACAAGCTTTAAACAACCAAAATGACTGAAAAGACATCAGTATCTCTCACTAGTGGTGTGAATTAAGTTTGTTTACTTGCATAACTAAGAATAAATGATGGTTATAATGGCACCAGTATAGGATATCTTGGCTATGTGCTTTAACAATATACAGGTTGACCATGAAGTCTGGAAATAGATACTATTATTTTATCATGTATTTAAATATATTAATAAACCATTAATATGTATTCATTAACTTTTCCACATTTCTTGGCAATCTTGTAAATATAGTACAACTATCAGTAAAGAGAGATTAGGGGGCTGGGCACGGTGGCTCACGCCTGTAATCCCAGCTTTTTGGGAGGCTGAGGCAGCGGATCACTTGAGGTCAGGAGTTCAAGACCAGCCTGGGCAGCATGGTGAAACCCCGTCTCTACTAAAAATACAAAAACTAGCCAGCTGTGGTGGCACACGCCTGTAGTCCCAGCTACTTGGGAGGCTGAGGCAGGAGAATTACTTGAATCCGGGAGGCGGAGGTTGCAGTCAGCCGAGATCGTGCCGCTTTAGTCCAGCCTGGGCGACAGAGCGAGACTCCGTATCAAAAAGAAAGAAAGAAAGGGTTTAAATAAAGAAAGAGAGAAAGAATGGGTTTACCTACCTATTAAAAGAAAATAGTTTTCACATTGACAAAGCAAAGTCCAACACTGTGCTATATAAAAGAGCTACATCTAAGAAGAGTTTCAGGAAGCCTAAATAAATGACTAAGAGATGTACCAGAATTTATTCCTAAATGTAAGCAGGGGTTGCAGTTGTAATTATCCATCAAAGTAGAATTCTGACTAAAAAGCATTACTTTTAATGAGAAAAGAGAAAGAAATTTTAGCCACAATTTTTATAAAGATAATGACATTTTATACAAGGAGAAATAGAAGCACACTATAATAGGAGGACTAACAAATCCCTCAGATCTAGAAAGGTCAAGTGAACAATAAGTTAGGATACAGAAGACCTAAACAACATAATAAATATATTTAAGTAGATTTAATAATATTAAACTCTGAACCTTAATAATAGAGAATAAACTTTTTAAAAAAATGCGTAAAGGGCTGGGCGTGGTGGCTCATGCCTGTAATTCCAGCACTTTGGGAGGCCGAAGCGGGTGGATCATGAGGTCAGGAGTTTGAGACCAGCCTGGCCAACATGGTGAAACCCCATCTCTACTAAAAATACACAAAATTAGCTGAAGATGGTGGTGGGCGCCTGTAATCCCAGCTGCTCGGGAGGCTGAGGCAGAATTGCTTGAACCCAGGAGGAGAGGTTGCAGTGAGCCGAAATCGTGCCACTGGACTCCAGCTTGGGCGACAGAGTGAGACTCCATATCAAAAAAAAAAAAAAAAAAGAAAAAGAAAAAAAGAAAAAAATGCATAAAGCATTCACAAAAATGTGGCACATTCACATCCTAAGCTACAAAGAAAATCTCAGTGTATCCAAAGTGAAGAAACAATAATTCAAATAGTATTATCTGACCAAAATGTAATACAATTAGACAAATCAAACAATAAAACAAAAAGGCCTCTTCCAAAGGGAATTTTATTTGCACACACTCACACTCACTCTCCCATACATTTCCCCAAAGGGAAATTTCAGAACGTGTTAAACCACTCCTGGGTCAAGGGGGAAATGCAAAATAAATTGCAGGGGTTTGTTTTTGTTTTTCTGACAATGCAAGGCAAAGCCTTTATTCATTTTAATGTTGCACAAGTGTAAGGACCATATAATCTGGGTTTATTTAGGTAACAATAAAAGATAGAAAATCTCATATTACAGAAATTTTAAAATTGACTATATAATAAATGATTAGGAAAACTAAAAATAGAACAGGACAATGTTCAAATAGATAATAAAATTAACAAATGGGGCCAAAAGATCAACACATATCCTGCATCATCTTTCATGTAGTGTCTCAGCTTTCTTTTTCCCAAACATAAAGGCAGATTAATTCAAACTAGCCCTATTAAGAATATTAGTTTGCCAGGTGCAGTGGCTCAAGCCTGTACCCAGCCTAAAAAATATTTTCTAATTTCAAAGACATGTAGGCCGGGCGTGGTGACTCATACATGTAATCCCAGCACTTTGGAAGGCCAAGGGGGGCGGGTCACCTGAGGTCAGGAGTTCGAGATCAGTCTGGCCAACATGGTGAAACCCCGTCTCTACTAAAAATACAAAAATTAGCCCACCACCACGGTGGGCCCTGTAATCCCACTTACTCGGAAGGCTGAGGCAGGAGAATGGCTTGAGCCCGGGACGCAGAGGTTGCAGTGAGCCAAGATCTCACAACTGCACTCCAGCCTGGGCAACAGAGCGAGACTCTATTAAAAAAAAAAAAAGGGCCATATAGTAAATGTAAATGAATTAACTATTAACTCACACAACCTACTTAAACAAGACTAGAATAAACAACTTTTAGGAACCAACTCCAGTTGATTTCACCACCTAACAGGAGCAAGATCTTAGGTGGGTCATTTTGTTTAAGGATGACTTGAAATTTTACAATGCCACTGTAGTCCCCACATATAAAAACTCTTCAATAATTTTTTCTTATCAACTAGAAGTTGGGGAAAATATAGTGAGAAATAAAATGATATGGCTTCTCACACATATGAAGGCCCAGATCATGCCTAAATTTCTCATCTGTCTTTGCCGTGAGAGATTCCTTAATCCACAACACTCTACTCAGATAGGACAGAGAATCCCAGGACACTCCCCAGGCCACAGGATAAAAAACACTACCTGTCTTCTATCTGGCACCAACAGACTAATATCTAGCTATATACAGGATTGACTTTAAAGTTGATTAAGGAATATTTTAATTCATTCAAGAAAATAAAATTTAGAAATTATATGCTTAGTCTACACAAGTTTAACTTACTTTAGTTACTTAGTGAATTTTGAATTGGCTCCAATTAGTGGTCAGCAGAATACTTTGGTGTAGAAACCAAATAAATCAAGCTATTATTACCTTGATAGTACAAACAATGTTTGTAAAGTGCCAGTTTTATATTTAAGTAAACAAAATCTGCTTTGAAGTAGGGAGGCTGCATCTTTCAACTGCCTGTGCTAGTTAAGTGAATGTTTAATCCTGCTGGGCCAAGCTCACTAGAGAGTCACCCCTCACTTTAAAGCCAAGACTGCTGCTGTCACTGCTATGGTAAGTCACAGCCAGCCAGCCTGCTGGCAAAAGGTGATACCACCAGCATTATAAATAAACAGGCCTGGTCGTGAGGTAGCTACACAGTTTTAAAGATGCTGTTAATGGCCGGACGCGGCGGCTCAAGCCTGTAATCCCAGCACTTTGGGGGGCTGAGGTGGGTGGATCACCTGAGGTCAGGAGTTTGAGACTAGCCTGACCAACATAGAGAAACCCAGTCTCTACTAAAAATACAAAAACTAGCTGGGTGTGGTGGCGCATTCTTGTAATCCCAGCTCCTCGGGAGGCTGAGGCAGGAGAATCGCTTGAACTCGGGAGGCGGAGGTTGCAGTGAGCGGAGATCGCGCCATTGCACTCCAGCCTGGGCAACAAGAGCGAAAGTCCGTCTCAAAAAAAAAAAAAAAAAGAAAAAAAAAGAAGATATCTTCCACTGCAGCAAAGGCTACAACACATTCACCATAGGTAGCCTCTTTGTCCCCAATACAACTCAAGGCCCAATTTGCCTTCTTGACACAAGGTGTTTCAATGGTGTTGAAGAGAAATTCCCTTTCTTTGGCATCTTTTATGTAAGTGTCAATAAGGAGACTATACATTTCAGAATGTGTGTTTTCCATGGCAATTTGGAAGTCATAGAAACAGCGGGCTTCTGTAATCTGAACTTCTTGGCTAAATCGCTCCACCAAGTTTTCATTTACTATGCCATCACTTGCTGCAAAGAAAGCCAGAACACGGGATATAAAATCACTCTCCTCGGTCTCCTCGGTTTAAGGAAGCCTCCGCCTTCTTATACATCTGCCAAATATCATGGTACTCGTTGGGGAAGATGATAAAGTGGCGGGGTCTTCTCTCAGCAGTGGTTCATCCTCCACGCCAGGAGCAGCTATTTTAGTTTTCGGCTCCGCTGGTTCCTGGAAGATCCTCCTCGCCGCCTTGCTGGCCAGGATGCGAGTTCCGCTCAGGGTCGAGGGCGTGTTCTCCTTGTTGGCCAGACTGAGAACCTTCAGCAGCAAGAGCTGCTGTTGCTGTGGGTCAGCGATGGAAGTGATCCGGACGCGGACCGAGAGCATGGTGGTGGCGCGGGAGAAGTTTTTGAAAATAGCAATGAAAACCCCCAGAATTTATGGGAAACAGCAAAAACAGCTATGAGGGAAAGGTTTATAGCATTAAATACCTATATAAGTAAAAATAAATAACAATCCAACTCAAAATATTATACACAAAACCCAGGGTAAACCGAATGACACAAAAATAAGAAATTAGTAAAAATAAAGGCAGAAGTTAATGGGTTTGAAAACAACAACAATAACAATAACAATGGTAGCATTATATTAATTAAAGAATCCAAAACTGTTTCTTTGTAAAAATAATTTTGATAATTTCCTAGCTAAGGAAAGCACAAATCCATGAAACTGGAAATAAAGTGACACAAAAGAAGAAATTTGAAAAATATTCTTGTAAAAATATTTTAAAATCTACATTAAATGGATTTTT
Organism: Homo sapiens; assembly: GCF_000001405.40. Taxonomy (NCBI): domain Eukaryota; kingdom Metazoa; phylum Chordata; class Mammalia; order Primates; family Hominidae; genus Homo; species Homo sapiens. Next base: position 161,379,784 of record NC_000001.11, read on the forward strand.
TTAGAAAATCCAATTTAACAAAATTTGCCCCTATAGAGACAGCAAATTTAAACCGGCCAAGTAACATAAAATAATCATAGAAACTAGTTAAGGAGTTCCCCTACAAAACAAAGCAGGCCCAGATCGTTTTACAGATGATTCTACCAAACTTTAAAAAACAAATCTTTAATTTTTAAAACTATTTTAGACTATGACAAAAAAGGGAAAACCCCCAAAATCATCTTGCAAAGTAAGTATAACATTGATTTCCAAACCTCAATTTTAGAATCGTGACAAAGACTGTAACAAAAAAAACCATTATAGATCAATTTCACTTTTGTATTAATATTGATACATATATATAAAACATTAGCAAAGTGAATCCAACAGCATGTTAAAAAATATTTATCATGACCAACTGGATAATATTCCAAAAATGCAAGAACATATAATATTAGGAAATCTATTAATATAATCCACCATATTAATTGATCTAAGGTGGAAAAAATGTTTGATTATCCCCATAGATGCAAATTGATAAATTTTACATAATAACAAAAAAAAGTAAAAAGACTAATGGGAAAAGAAATTTATAAATTACATTACAAAGGAGTAATATATTTGATTCAGGAAAAACTTCTAAAAATAGGGAAGAAAAAGACTAATAGCTCTGTAAAAAACTGGGCTAGAAAATGGGGCCAGCCTGATCTGTCCTAAAAATTTATTTTAGGCCGGGTGTGGTGTTTCATGCCTGTAATCCCAGCACTTTGGGAGGCTGAGATGGGCGGATCACCTGAGGTCAGGAGTTCGAGACCAGCCTGGCCAACATGGGAAACCCTTTCTCTACTAAAAATACAAAAAGTAGCTGGGCATGGTGGCATATACCTGTAATCCCAGCTACTTGGGAGGCTGAGGCAGGAGAATTGCTTGAGCCTGGGAGGTGGAGTTTGCAGTGAGCCAAGATCGTGTCATTGCACTCCAGCTTGGGCAACAAGACTGAAACACTGTCAAAAAAAAAAAAAAAAAAAAGATGGAATAGTTTTGTCAGTACATGAAAATGTGAGGGGGCCAGGTGTGGTGGCTCACACCTGTAATCCCAGCACTTTGGGAGGCCGAGGCGGTCTGATCACGAGGTCAGGAGTTCAAGACCAGCCTGGCCAAGATGGTGAAACCCCGTCTCTACTAAAACAGCAAAAATTAGCCAGGTGCAGTGGCAGACGGCTGTAATCCCAGCTACTCGGGAGCCTGAGGCAGGAGAATCGCTTGAACGCAGGCGGCAGAGGTTGCAGTGAGCTGAGATCTCGCCACTGCCCTCCAGCCTGGGTGACAGAGTGAGACTCAGTCTCAAAAAAAAAAAAAAAAAAAAAAAAAAAAAAGAAAGTGTGAGGGACTCTTAGTGGTTGTCTGTTTGTATGTATACTCCTCAGTAAAAGAGGGTTGTTTTGTGTATGTGTGTGTGTTTTTGTTTTTTTGTTTGTTTTTTGAGACGGAGTCTCGCTCTGTTGCCAGGCTGGAGTGCAGTGGCTCCATCTTGGCTCACTGCAACCTCCGTCTTCCGGGTTCAAGTGATTTTCCTGCCTCAGAGTCCCAAGCAGCTGGGACTACAGGTGCGCACCACCACGCCCAGCTAATTTTTGTATTTTTAGTAGAGACGGGGTTTCACCAGGTAGGCCAGGATGGTCTCGATCTCTTAACCTCGTGATCTGCCCGCCTCGGCCTCCCAAAGTGCTGGGCCTGGCCAAGTGTGCTTTTTTGTTTGTTTTTCATTACAAAAAGAAGAAGGGGCCAGGCACGGTGGCTCACGCCTGTAATCCCAGCACTTTGGGAGGCCGAGGCGGATGGATCACCTGAAGTCAGGAGTTTGAGACCAGCCTGACCAACATGGAGAAACCTCGTCTCTACTAAAAATACAAAAATTAGCTGGGCTTGGTGGCGCGCGCCTGTAATCCCAGCTACTCGGGAAGCTGAGGCAGGAGAATCACTTGAACCCAGAAGGCAGAAGTTGCAGTGAGCTGAGATCGAGCCACTGCACTCCAGACTGGGCGACAGAGCAAGACCATCTCAAAAAAAAAGAAAAAGAAAAAGGAAGCTGAGCTACAGATTAAACAAACATTTCATAGAGAAGGAAATACCATGGCCGGCTGCGGTGCTTATGCCTGTAATCCCAGCACTTCAGGAGGATCACTTGAGGTCAGAACTTCCAGACTAGCTGGGCAACATAAATGAGACCTCATCTCTACTAAAAATCAAGTGATTACCTTTAGGGAGAGAGAAGGAGTGATATGGAAGGTGTGGAGGTAGATGATAAACTTATTTAAATATGCCTTGTTTTATAGCGTTTATTTTGAAACCCAAGTATTTTACATAGTTATAAAACAAAATTTTAAAAATTTCTAAAATAAATAAATAAATTCTCTTCATTTTTACAACAAAAAGATTTTTAAAGAAGAGATAGTTGGCTATAATACAAAAGCTATATAAACAGTTAATACCTCTGCTTCCTCTCAACTTGACACAGATCATATTGTTTTCTTTCTTGAGATTAAGTCTCCCTCTAGTGGAGACTAGTTTTACAACTAATCCCCAACACCCAGCACCACAAAGGAAAATATCCTTTGCCTATTTCCTCCTGCTGCTGTAAAATTGTATATTTTAGGTATCAGAGTCTTGAGAAGGAGGACGTGGTAGAAGATACTGAGCAATGGGATAGTAAAGAGCTGGGGACAGAGTTAAGTTTTATAAGGAATTAGGGATATGAGAAGCTCTAAGAGCCAAGATTTGGGTTATTCAACTCAGAATGGGCAAGGAACCTCAGCTTCATGATGGTAAAAAATTCCACCACCTCTGCCCAGAAAAAGGTGATTCACATCCTGATATCACTGTGTACTCAGGGAAATAGCTCCCCACAAGGCATTGCATTAGGGAGAAACTATGGTGAGGAACAGCGATGAGCAGGACATGAAGAGTGATGGTCCTAAGCCAGATATGATGTCATGAGGGTGAACTCCAGGACCTCCTGTCCTTCAGGACGATCCCACAGTCTCACTAACCACTGAGGGCAGATGCAGAAAAGCTTTGCCTTCCCAGAGACTGATCAGGGGAAAAGGTACTGGCACAGCCTCTTCAGTTCCTGGCAGGGACGGGCAGAGACTAGCCCACATTGAAAGTGGCCCCTTGGGGGATTATGGGAGGATCCTTGTGTCCTGGGCTACCCTAGGTCTCATCTGATCTTGCACAGTGAAAGCTACTCATGGAAGAACTCCCTTAGCAGGGAAGCCGTTAGAGTGAAATCTTTCCTAACATTGACTCTGGTTTGTGGAAGTATATGACATTTTTCTCCATTCTCTGTAGCACTGTGGTCTTACCCTCTGAAGAGAATGTTTGTTGGTTGCCACCTCAGCATGTATCTTCCACCCCCTTTACAATTTTTGATAAGAACACAAAAAGAAATGAAGACTAAAAATGGCCCAGTTTCCTAAGATTGTTTTCTGATCCTATAAAATCTAATTCCTTAATGCAGCTCTGTGGTCCTGCTCTTTTGCATACCTAGCTTGAGAATGCTGTCTAGGAAGGGACTCATTTGAAGAATTATTATTTCTGCCAATTCCCACATCTTTCTTTCTCTTGCCTTCACTTCCTCCTTTAAGAGGTGAATTTTCAGACACATTAAAATTCTGGAGGAAAAAAGTGGGCTAATTAGGTGTGGTGACCCTTCCTGGATGCAAAATGTAGCATAATTCTCTAGGAATCCATCAACAAAGAAGATAGGCCATTGAGGAAGATATCTCTCTCCCCAAACATATTGGTTGCTAAAGGCCAGCCCCCAGACCATGATTCCTAAAGTAACAAAAGGTAATGTGAAAAATAATGGAATGTTATTTAGACTTGAAAAGGCAGGAAATTCTGACACATGCCAGAACATGGATGAAACTTGAGGACATTATGCTCAGTGAAATAAGCTAGTCATGAAAGGACAAATGCTGTATGATTCCACTGATATCAGGTACTTTGAGTAGCCAAATCATAGAACAGAAATTAGAAGAGTGGCTGCCAGGAGCTGAGGGGAGGGGTGATCGGGAGTTATTGCTTAATGAGTACAGAATTACAGTTTTGCAAAATGAAAAGAGTTCTGGAAATGGATAACGGTGATGGTTGCAAAACAATATGAATGTATTTAATACCACTGAGCTGTACACTCACAAATGGTTAGGATGATAAATTTTATGTTATATAATGTTACCACAATAAAAAAAATTGGGAAAAAAAGCAATATGACACTTACTGAGGACTGCCAAGGAGTAATGAAAGGAGATACCAGTGACTGATGCCAGGATGAGATCTTGTGTCTCTCTTTTTTTTTTTTTTTTTGAGACAGAGTTTTGCTCTGTTGCCCAGGCTGGAGTGCAGTGCCATGATCTCAGGTCACTGCAACCTCTGCCTCCTGGGTTCAAGCAATTCTCATGCCTCAACCTCCCGAGTAGCTGAGATTACAGGTGTGCACCACCATGCCCAGCTAATTTTTGTATTTTAGTAGAGATGGGGTTTCACCATGTTGGCCAGGCTGGTCTTGAACTCCTGACCTCAAGTGATCTGCCCGCCTCGACCTCCCAAACTACTCTAAATTTTACCCTCTCCCTTGTCTTTTGTCAGAAATCTTGCACAGAGTAATTTCCTAAAAAGTCTAGATCAAATTAAAAAACTAAAAAAAGAAGCTGGACTACAGTCTATCTAGATCAGTGTTGGTAGTCGCATCATCATTATAGTAGTGATTAAATTAAAATGTAACCAAAAAGGTTTAACTTATTTTTGCAACAACCAAATGTAAAACTAGAATAATAATAGCACATTTTGCATATGAAAAAATTGAAGCTTAGGAAAGTTAAGTAACTTCTCCAAGAACACACAGTAAGTTGTAGAACCAGTTACCAAACTCAGGTAGTCTGGCAAACCCCCACACCAGCCTGTTCCCAAAAGTCCAGACCCTGAAATCTGAAATCTCTAGCCTTCATCTAATTTGATTGGTTAAACAAATTGAATAAATTTATTTCCTACGGGAATGCTCAGATGTTTAATTTCTTTTCTTTTTTTTGAGACGGAGTTTTGCTCTTGTTACCCAGGCTGGAGTGCAGCCTTGTTACCCAGGCTGGAGTACTCGGCTCACCGCAACCTCCGCCTCCCAGGTTCAAGCGATTCTCCTGCCTCAGCCTCCCTAGTAGCTGGGATTACAGGCATGTGCCACCACACCCAGCTAATTTTGTATTTTTAGTAGAGACGGGGTTTCTCCATGTTGGTCAGGCTGGTCTCAAACTCCTGACCTCATGTGATCCACCCGCCTCGGCTTCCCAAAGTGCTGGGATTGCAGGCGTGAGCCACCGCGCCCGGCCTGTTTAATTTCCTAATGTTTACTGAGACTCTTCAAGAGTGGGAGAGGGATATAATATACAGCATTTCCTCAGTTTATTTAGCCACTGAATTTATTTTTTGTAAGCATCTCAAGGAACTTGAGCCCAAATTTTGCAAAACTGCATGTAATATACAATGTTGCTTTTGTTTGCCTTTTCCAGCTACTGTAAGAGAATATTTAAATTATTTTATCTCACTTAGAAACATTTTTAAATTGAGATATTGAGAACTTGATTTGCCCAAGGTCATAATCAGTTAATATTGGAATCAGAATGAGAATCTAGGTCTGGCCACAATTTCAGGTGTCTTCTTTTAAAGTTATTTATTTTTAAACACTTTTTTTTTTTTTGATACAGGATCTCACTCTGTCACCCAGGCTGGAGTGCAGTGGCAAGATCGAAGCTCATTATAGCCTCGACCTCCCCAGGCTCAGGTGATCCTCCAATCTCAGCCTCCCGAGCAGCTAGGCCCACAGGCTTGCACCACCATGCCCAGCTAATTTTTGTATTTTTTATAGAGACAGGGTTTCACCATGTCGCCCAGGCTTGTCTCGAACTCCTGGGCTCAAGTGATCTGCTTGACTCGGCCTCCCAAAGTGCTGGGATTACAGGCATGAGCCACCACTCCCAGCCTAAAGTTATTTTTTTAATTAGAGAAGGAATACTAGCAGATTTCATTGTAGCAAATCGAACAATACCAAGCAGTTACCTAGGTGAACTAAGTAAACCCCCATAGCACTAAGTCCTGGTTATCTATTTCTGTATAACCACTTTGAAATTTAATGGCTGTGGCAGGTTGTATTTTTCTTTTCTTTTTTTTTTTTTAAGAGGGAGTTTCCCTCTTGTTGCCCAGGCTGGAGTGCAGTGGTGCAATCTCGGCTCACTGCAACCTCCACCTCCTGGGTTCAGGCGATTCTCCTGCCTCAGCCTCCCAAGTAGCTGGGAGCCACGTTAGCTGCGCCACCACACCCAGCTAATTTTGTATTTTTAGTAGAGATGGGGTTTCTCCATGTTGGTCAGGCTGGTCTTGAACTCCTGACCTCAGGTGATCCGCCTGCCTCGGCCTCCCAAAGTGCTGGGATTACAGGCGTGAGCTATGGCGCCCAGCCAGGTTGTACTTTTTTCAAGAGAGTTGTAACAAGATATTCCACACCACATGCTCTTCTTTAGTGTGACACTCCTCCCATTAAGAGGTGGAGTCTGTATTCCTTCCTCTTGAACTTGGGTGGGCCTGTAGGTAAGGTGGAAGTGATGCAAGGTCAAAAAAGGTTATACATCTTCCACTTGATTGTCTTAGGAGTCACTCAGAATCCAGCCACCTTGGATATGAGGAAGCAGAGCAACCTCATGGAGAAACCACGTAGGTGTTCCTGCTGACAATCCTAGCCGAGATCCCAGCCAACAGCCAGCATAACCTCAGACATATGTTGAAGTAAATTAAAATGGAGACCAGGCCTGAAGAATCTCTGAGCAGACAAAACCAGTTAGGCCTCATAAGTGACCTCAACCTTGATTTACAAACACAAGGGAAACTTATGTTGAGCCATTTCTTGTAAATGCCTGTATTAAAGAAAAACAAAACTTAAGCTCAACCAATTGGAAGTAGCCAAAAACTTATATAACTAGGGACTTTCCAAGAAGGTGAATGAATGAATAAGGCAACTGTAAAATTGCAATCAATCAAATTATTTATTTTGCTCCACATTTACCCCATAAATACTTGCCCCTGATGATTTGTCATGAGAAAATTAAACTTCTTTTGGTTTGGTATTTCCCAATTCATTAATTGCTTCCTATTCAAATGAACTCTATTTTTTTTTTTTTTGAGATGGAGTCTCGCACTGTCACCTGGGCTGGAGTGCAGTGGTGCGATCTCGGCTCACTGCAACCTCTGCCTCCCCAGTCACACATTTCTCCTGCCTCAGCCTCCCAAGTAGCTGGGATTACAGGCGCGTGCCACCACGCCTGGCTAATTTTTTGTATTTTTAGTAGAGACGGGGTTTCATTATGTTGGCCAGACTGGTCTCAAATCCTGACCTCGTGATCCACCCGACTCGGCCTCCCAAAGTGCTGGGATTACAGGCATGAGCCACAGCACCCGGCTGGTCAAATGAGCTCTTAAAATTTTTTTTTTGTGCCTTAGTTTACCTTTTACATATGTGAATGAGCAACTCCAAATGATTCCAGCCCCAAGCTTTTAAGTCATCTCAGGCTTCCAAGTCTTCTCAGCTGAAGTCTCAGTGATTCTGAAGCAGAGACAAGTCATCCCCACTATACCCTTTCCGAATTCTTGACCCACAGAATCCATGACATAATAAACTGGTTGCTGTTTTGTACCAGTAAGTTTGGAGTGGTTTGTTACACACCAATAGGTAATTGGAACACTCCCTTATCTTCCCCGAGGTAGCATCTTGGTGAAGGTGGAGCAACCAATGACCTAGAGGTAGCAGAAAACGGAGGCAACCTCAGGTCCCTGTGGCTGGACTCTGGCACCCTAATGCTCTCCGATGTGTTGGACTGGCCTTGTCCCTGGGTACCCTGTGCTGAGCAAGGTGCAGCTTTTTTCTGCTGGGCCTTTTGGAGTATCATCCTAACATGAACTTCTCAAGTCCGTGGTCTCATACCATTCTATTTGCCTCTAGTTGCCAAGTCCCTGCCCAGTGGGCTTCCTTGTCTTATTCCCAGACTTCTACAAAAGACATTTATTCTTGTCTATGTATCTTCCCTTAGAAGGAGATGGGAGTCAAATCTGTTCAAAATCCATTCCTCTCTCCATACCCCCAACTCCTGATAGGGCTGGGTGAAGTTCTCACCACCTACTCCTAAGGGTTTTTATTTATTTATTTATATTTATATTTATATTTTTTTTGAGACAGAGTGTCGCACCCAGGTTGGAGTACAGTGGTGTGATATCGGCTCACTGCCAGCTCCGCCTCCCCTCCCGGGTTCATGCCATTCTCCTGGCTCAGCCTCCCGAATAGCTGGGACTACAGGCGAACGCCACCATGCCTAGCTAATTTTTAATATTTTTAGTAGATACGGGGTTTCACCGTGTTAGCCGGGATGGTCTCGATCTCCTGACCTCGTGATCCGCCCGCCTCGGCTTCCCAAAGTGCTGGGATTACAGGCGTGAGCCACGGTGCCCGGCCTCCTAAGGGTTTTAAAATCCATTCCTGGCCGGGCGCGGTGCTCAGGCCTGTAATCCTAGCACTTTCAGAGGCCCAGGTGAGCGGATCATGAGGTCAGGAGTTCGAGACCAGCCTGACCAACATGGTGAAACCCGTCTCTACCAAAAATACAAAAATTAGCCGGGTGTGGTGGCGTGCGCCTGTAATCCCAGCTACTCTGGAAGCTGAGGCAGGAGAATCTCTTGAACCCGGGAGGGGAGGCGGAGGTTGCAGTGAGCCGAGATAGCACCACTGCACTCCAGCCTGGGCGACAGAGCCAGACTCCGTCTCAAAAATAAAATAAAAATAAATAAATAAAATCCTTTCCCTCAGGAGCAGGAGGCTTAGATTCCTTCCAGCACTGGCCTTGCCTTCAGGGTTTCACTGGTATATTTGGGGAGTGTTCTGCAAGGGGTGTAAAAGTGAGCAGCTGCATTTGTTCAAGGCAGCAGGAAGTACTGCTGGGACCCCAAACCCAGCCTCCTGCAGTTTCCTCACTGCCTCACCTTGTGGCCAGAAGAAGCTAGGCAATCCACCCCTTCCATGGTAGGGCCGGGGCTCATGTTCCTTTATTTGGTTCGAACCTCAGTTTACCTCTCCAAGGACTCCAAGATAAAAGCACATTCTTTGTAGGACTGGTTTCAAGTGATGCACCAGTGTAAAAAGGGATTTGCGGGCAATCAGTATAAATGATTTGGGTTTGGATTTAGCTCCGTCACTTAATATAAGGGGATCTTGGGCATGTCTCTACAATTTTATTTCTTCATCTGTAATATCTTGATAATGGTTACTTCATAAGATTATTAAAAGGATTAGATGACACTGTAAATTACTTAGCCTTACAGAAAGTAAATGTAAAGCAGGCCACGCACGGTGGTGGCTCACGCCTTAATTCCAGCACTTTGGGAGGCCGAGGCGGGTGGATCACCTGAGGTCGGGAGTTCCAGACCAGCCTGACCAACACGGAGAAACCCCCATCTCTACTAAAAATACAAAATTAGCTGGGCGTGGTGGCACATGCCTGAAATCCCAGCTACTCGGGAGGCTGAGCCAGGAGAATCGCTTGCACCTGGGAGGCGGAGGTTGCAGTGAGCGGAGATCGCGCCATTGCACTCCAGGCTGGGCAACAAGAGCCAAGAGCCAAACTCCGTCTCAAAAAAAAAAGTAAATGTAAAGCAAAAGTTAGTTACGATTAGAAAAATGCATATTAACAAATTAAAGACTCCGCAAGCTATTTAATTAAAGAGAATTGCTTAATTCTGTCGGACCCCAAATTTTCCTGCTTGACAAATTCACAGAACCCTTTCAAACGAAACACCAATAATTAGGATTAGGGTGGAGACGGAGGAGCTGGAGTGAACGGGACTTGGCTGGAACACGTCCACGCACGAGTATGAGGTGAGGTATGCAGGTCAATGGGAACGCCACTCCCCTCGGGAAGGACACGGCACAGTCTTTTCGTCCTCCTGGGGCTGAACCCGGGACGTCAACACGAGGCTAACGGGACAGCTGTTTCTCCGCTCCCTCGTCACAGCCCGCGCGTGCTCCGCTCCGCTTCCCTTCAACCGACGTATTGCCAGTACCGTCTCCGTCTTGTCCAGCCCCCGCTGTCGGGAACTGAGAGCACCCTTTCCCAGACTTCCGGTCTTGACTCATTGCTGACGGGAAAGCTCCGGACCTCTGCGAGCCGTGGGGCGGGGCGCGGCGAGAGGAGGGGCGGGGCTCACGAGTGACGAAGGGCAGAAGGGCGGGGCGGGACGAGAGGAGGGGAGGGGCGAGCGGAGGGGAGGGACGAGAGGAGGGGCGGGACGAGAGGGGGGCGGGACGAGAGGAGGGGCGGGGCTCACGAGTGACGCAGGGCAGAAGGGCGGGGCGCAAGAGAGACTGAGAGCACTACGCGGGTGAGAGGAGGGGCGGGGCGTGGGAGTGACGGGGCGTGGGAGTGACTGGGCGCGGAGAGGCCGGAGCCGGAGGCGAGGCGAGGCGTGAGAGTGAATGAGGGAGGAGGGCTGTGAGGGGCTGGAGCGCCCCTGGGTGTCCTTGAGATTGCGGGAAATTCGGGTCACTTTTTCCCCAGGCCTCAGGCCTGCCGCGTCGAATTTGGGGTCTTCGCTAGGCCTGCAAGGTTGGCCGACGTTCAGGATCGGTGCCCAGGAGATGGGCTGCCTTCTCTGGGGCTGGGCAAGGGACTCTGCCTGGCAGCGCGCCTGGACCGGGGCGGGAGCACAGGGCTGGATGCGGGGCACCTCGGCGTGATTCGCGGCGGCAAGTCTCTTTTGCATCCCTACCCTGAGTTCCCCCATTCTCTTTCCCCGAAGCAACCACTGTTAGGGTTTTTGCGTGCCCTTCCTAGATGATCTCCAGTCGTCCCTCGGTATCCGCAGGCAGATTAGCTCCAGGACAGCAAGCACCCCATACTAAAATCTGCGGATGCTGAAGTCCCTCCTATAAAATGGCATAGTATTTACCTACAACTACGCACATCCTCCCACACACTTTAAATCAGCTATGGATTACTTGTAATACCTAATACAATGTAGTTATACTGTGTTGTTTGTATTTGCATTATTTTTATTGTTATTTTTCCTAATATTTTGGGAACCCGCTCGTGTGGGAGGTTCCCATACATGTATATATATTAATATGCATAAATATATTTCCTCCATTTTCCCCTTACTCAAAAACCCCACACTACACACTACTCTTCACCCATCTTTTCAGTTAGCAGTAAGTCTTGAATCTGTCCAAGAGCAGGATGACATGCAAAATGAGTGATTTAAAACTCTTTCTACAGCTGGGCTTTAAAGTACTTCCAGCTTTTTACTACTGTTTTGGCAGAGGGCTCACCTATGGGAATTAAAAGATGAATTTCCAGCCTGGGCATATAATAAGACTTGTCACTACAAAATAAAATAAAATTAGCTGGGTGTGGTGGCAGTCGCCTGTGGTCGCAGCTACTCAGGAGGCTGAGGTGGGAGAATCCCTTGAGCCTGGAACGTCGAGGCTGCAGGTTCAAGTGATTCTCCTGCCTCAGCCTCCCTAGTAGCTGGGATTACAGTGTGCACCACTACGCCTGGCTAATTTTTGTATGTTTAGTAGAGACAGGGTTTCACCATGTTGGCCAGGCTGTTCTCAGACTCCTGACCTCAGGTGATCTGCCGGCCTCGGCCTCCCAAAGTGCTGGGATTACAGGCTTGAGCCACTGTGCCTGGCCCGAAGTGGGGAGTTTTTATGCAGCTGGAGAGTAAAGGAGGGGGAGTTTCAGAGACCTGAGGGGAAAAGTCTATGTTTCTTCAGTCTCCGATAATGCCTTGAACAACCAGACTTCTGGGCATCAGCAATTGGACATAACATCCTTAAAGTAATTCATCCGAATCTTCTGCTTTTTTTTTTTTTTTTTTTTGAGACAGGGTCTCACTCTATTGCCCAGGCTGGACTGCAGTGACATGATCTCAGCTCACTGTAACCTCCGTCTCCCAGGTTCAAGCGATTCTGCCACCTCAGCCTCCTGAATAACTGGGACTACAGGCACGTATCACCCAGCTAATTTTTGTTTTTTGTTTTTTTTTGGTAGAGATGATGTTTCACTATGTTGGCCAAGGTTGTCTCGAACTCATGACCTCAAGTAATCTGCCTGCCTCCGCCTCCCGAAGTGCTGGGATTACAGGCATGAGCCACTATGCCTGTTCCTTCTGCAATTTTTTTTTCAAGACCCTGAAGTTATATTCTTTTGCTTGACAAAGAAAACAGTACATCAGCAGTTTATAATTATATTATAGAAGGAATATTGGGCAAAACACAAGTGCAAGCAAGCAAGGGCCTGATCAGAATTTTCATCCTTTCAGTCACTAAAAATGCTGGTGTGGTAAAATCTCAAGGGGTCCCATTATAAAATGTACCTTAGAAATTCCATGGGATGCCATGGTCTTGTTTGTTTTCATAAATAAGGCCTGTCTATCTGCCGCTGGATTTCCCTCTTGTATCCTAGCAAGGATCAGACTTTGTTTTTTGTGTATATTTTTTGATATGGAGTTTCACTCTGTCACCCATGGATGGAATGCAGTGCCGCAATCATAGCTCACAGCAGCTTCAAACTCCTGGGCTCAAGTGATCCTCCCATTTCATTCTCCCAAGTCTTTGGGACTACAGGTGTGCCCCAGTGCACCTGGCTAGGATCAGACTTCAGAAGATCCTGGCCCGACTGGGTGGCACAGGCCCATCACTCTTACTATTTCACTGTGCTCTCCGTAAAGTCCTGAAATATTCTGACCAACAGGGATGGACTCTTTTCAAGATCCACAGAGCTCCGAGGAATTTGTCCTATCCTTTTCTTCCCCTACTGCCTCATGTTGCTGGTGTCTGCTTATAAAGGAGCTAATGGAATGGGTAAACTAGGAGTGCTAGAGTGGTTGGTCTGAGACAAGGGTGAGGGGAAGGAATCAACCACTTTGGGATCAGAACAGAGGAGAAAGCAGGGCCACCACGGGAACTGTAGTTATTCCTTTCTTGCTGCTCTTTGGCTGTAGTTTCCCTCTCCCATACCATCAAGAAGCCCCAGTGAAACCACATGTACCACATTTATATTTCTTGCTCTGAGATCCATTCCCTGCCCTAACTCTCCCTGTTGTACTTGCAGGGAAATGCATTTCCCCAGGATCCCATCATGCAAAGTGAAAGCCAAAATCCTTGCTGTGTTCCACAAGACCCTTCACCTCCTCCTAGCTTACTCTGATCTGGCTACACTGGTTTTTGCTGTTTCTGGGACACAACAGCTTGCTGCTGCCACAGAACCTTTGCACTTTGTAGCCCCTCAGCCTGGAAGCTTGTCCTCTAGATAGTCTACATGGCTAGTTCCCTCACTTCCTTTAGGTCTTAACACAAAAGTTACTTCTCAGGGGGCCTGCCTTGGCCACACTATCTAAAATTCCACATACAAAGACACCCAGATATTTCATCTTCTGTTTCCCTCTTTATTTCTCTTTAGCACTTGTCACATCTGACATACTAAATAAAAACTGTTTCCTCTGCCCACACACTTTTGACATCAAATGTGTGGGTTTTCCACACCAAGCAATTCTCCAGTTCTCAATGGTCACCAATTGTGTGTCCTCCCATCTAACTCAAGTCTGGCACTAATTACCTGGAATTAATGAAGTTCCCACAGGTTAAGGACTCAGGCTCACAAGACTGCTCCTAACTTCAGATGTCAATCACAAGTTCCAGATTCTCATCTGTACTTCTCACCAATTGGCTATCAACTGGGGCTTTCCCAACACCCTCCTCTTGTTTGATAATTTGCCATAATGGCTCACAAACTCAGGGAGACATTTACTTACATTTACCGGTTTATTATAAAGAATATGACAAGGCCGGGCGCAGTGGCTCATGCTTGTAATCCCAGCACTTTGGGAGGCTGAGGTGGGTGGATCACCTGAGAGGTCAGGAGTTCAAGACCAGCCTGGCCAACATGATGAAACTCCATCTCTACTAAAAATACAAAAATTGGCTGGGTGTAGTGGCAGGCGCTGTAATCCCAGCTACTGGGGAGGCTGAGAGAATCGCCTGAACTGAGGAGGTGGAGGTTGCAGTGAGCTGAAATCGTGCCACTGCACTCCAGCCTGGAAAACGAGTGAGACTCTGTCTGCAATAATAATAATAAAAAAATAAAGAATATGACAAAGTTTACAGATGGACAGCCAAATGGAAGATGCACCGAGGGCAAGTATGGGTGAGGGCTTGGAGCATCCATGCTCTATTTAGGCTTGCCATCTTCCCAGCACCACAGTGTGTTCACTAAGCCAGAAACTCTTGGAACCCTGTTGTTTAGGGTTTGAACATAGGTTCCATTACTTAGACAGAATTGATGAAATCATTGACCATTGGAGTCAATCTCCAGCCCCTTTCTCCTCCCCAGAGGTTGGCGATGGAGCTGAAAGTTCCAGCCCTCTGATCATCTGGTTGGTTTCTCTGGAAACTGGCCCCCATCTTCTAGGAATCACCTCATTAGTATAAACTCAGGTGTGCTTGGAAGGGGCTTACTATGGATAACAAAAGACACTCCTCTCACCCCTATTACTCAGGAAATTACAAGTGTTTTAGATCTGTGTTAGGAACTAAGGACAAAGACCAAATGTATACTTCTTCACAATATCACACAAACCATATATTTTATCTTATTATCTGCCTCACAAACTAGGATGTAAACTCTATGAAGACAGGGATTTGTTTTTTGTTTGAGACAGGGTGTCACTCTGTTGCCCAGGCTGGAGTGCAGTGGCACTGAAACGGCCTTGTTATCTGGAGTAACATCCGAGGTTCGTTGTCTCACAGCCACCAAGAATAAGGATGCAGACACACAAAGAGTGAGGTTGAGAGTGGAAGTTTAATAGACGAAAGAAAGAGAATAGCTCTCTGCTGCAGAAAGGGGTCCTGGAAAAATGGGTTGCCAGACCCGTGGTGAAATTCAGGGGGTTTTTAGATGAGCTGGTGGGAGGCAGAGTCTGATCTACATAGCATGCAAAAAACTGGTCTGACCAGGTGTGCTATTTGTATACTATGGGAATCTCTGGCCTCCTCCACCCCAATCTTTGATTATGCAGGCAGGTTCACTGCCTGAGCTGCACCATGTTGCCCATTTCTTTATTACTGTACATGTGGTAACAAAAAAAGGGAAGATGGAGCCTCCATGGTGGACATGCCTGGCCCCCAGTTACCCCTTTTCTATTGGCACAGCTGCCAGCATTCCCCCATGCAAGCTTCCAGCTTGCTTACCTATGTTTGCAGCTCAATTTTTCAGGCTGCTCTTTCTTAGAAATGATTTTGGGGGCTGCTTTTTTGTTAGCAAAGAAATTCTACTGAGGACTCTTCTGCCCTCACTATCTCCTAAATAATTTCTATCTCCTGTATCAGCACGATCATGGCTCACTGAAACTTCTGCCTCCAGGCTCAAGCAATCCTCCCAACTCAGCCTCCCAAGTAGCTAGGACCACAGGTATGAGCCACCACATCTGGATAATTTTTCTGTTTTTGGTAGAGCCTGGGTTTTGCCATGTTGCCCAGGCTAGTCTTGAACTCCTGGGCTCAAGTGATCAGACCGCCTGGGCTCAAGCCATCCTCTTGCCTCAGCCTCCCAAAGTGCTAGAATTACAGGAATAAACCACCACACCTATCCATACAAAAAAAAAATTTTTTTTTTTGAGACAGAGTCTCGGTCTGTCACCTAGGCTGCAGTGCAGTGGCACGATCACAGCTCACTGCAACCTCTGCCTCCCAGGTTCAAGCGATTCTCCTGCCTCAGCCTGCTGAGTAGCTCGGATTACAGCTGCCCAACACCATCCCCTGCTAATTTTTGTGTTTTTAGTAGAAACAGGGTTTCACTATGTTGGACCAGGCTGGTCTTGAACTCCTGACCTCAGGTGATCAGCCCACCTTGGCCTCCCAAAGTGCTGGGATTACAGGCATGAGCCACTGCACCTGGCCATACAAAATTTTTGATTAAAGAAAAATTTAAGGCTGGGTGTGGTGGTTCATGCTTATAATCTCAGCACTTTGGGAGGTCAAAGCCTGAGGATCTCTTAAGGCCAAGAGTTCAAGGCCAGCTAGGCAATTTAGTGAGACTCACTTTCTACCAAAAAAAGTTTAAAAATTAAACTTTAGCTGTTTAAATTAATTTTTAATTTTTAAAAATTATACATTAGCAGGCCCGGCCGGGTGTGGTGGCTCACGCCTGTAATCCTAGCACTTTGGGAGGCCAAGGTGGGTTGATCACCTGAGGTCAGAAGTTTGAGACCAGCCTGGCCAACATGGCAAAACCTCGTCTCTACTAAAAATGCAAAAAATAGCCAGGCGAGGTGGTGGGCACCTGTAATCCTAGGAGGCAGAGGTTGCAGTGAGCCGAGATCAATGGTACTCCAGCCTGGGTGACAGAGCAAGACTCCATATCCAAACCAAAAAAAAAAAAAAAAAAGTATATATATATATATATATAGAGAGAGAGAGAGAGAGAGAGAAAGAGAGACAGAGAGAGCAGGCCCTGTTGGTGCATGCCTGTAGTCCTGATACAGGAGGTAGAAAGAAATTATTTAGCCACTGCAGCCTGGGTGACAAAGCAAGACCCTGTCTAAAAAAAAGAAAAAAAAAGCCTTAAAAATATGTACAGGTTGGCCAGGTGCGGTGGCTCACGCCTGTAATCCCCAGCACTTTGGGAGGCCGAGGCGGGTGGATCTCCTGAGGTCAGTAGTTTGAGACCAGCCTGGCCAACATGGCGAAACCCCATCTTTACTAAAAATACAAAAATTAGCCGGGTGTGGTGGTGGGCGCCTGTAATCCCAGGTACTTGGGACGCTGAGGCAGGAGAATTGCTTGAACTCGGGAAGCAAGGTTGCAGTGAGCCGAGATCACGCCATTGCACTCCAGCCTGGATGACAAGAGCGAAACTCTGTCTCAAAAAAAAAAAAAAAAAAAAAGTACAGGTTGAGTATCCTTTATCTAAAATACTTGGGACCAGAATTGTTTCAAATTTTGATTTTTTTCAGATTTTGGAATATTTGCATTATACCCACCCTAGTTGAGTATCTCAAATCTGAAAATCTGTAATCCAAAGTGCTCCAATGAGCATTTCCTTTGATCATCCTGTCAGCACCCAAAAAGGTTAGGATTTTGGAATATTTTGGATTTCAGATTTTCAGATTTGGGATGGTCGACATGTATTTTATATGAATAGTCCAAACAGCCTTCAAATATTTGGGCTTTTTTATTTTTTCTGGGAAATACTAAGAAATTATAATAAGGGAGGAGACCACCCCTTATATTGTCTTATGCCCAATTTCTACCTCCACAGAAAGAAGAAGTAAAAACTAAAAGGCAGAAATGGAATCCACAGGCAGATAGCCCAGCTCTGCGCCTGCGCCTGGTAGTTAAACATCAGCCCCTGACCTAACTGCTTGTGTTATCTATAGATTTCAGACATTGTATGGAAAAGCATCGTGAAAATCCCTGTCCAGTTCTATTCCGTTCTGATTACCGGTGCATGCAGCCCCCAGTCACGTACCCCCTGCTTTCTCAATCTATCACGACCCTCTCACACGGACCCCCTTAGAGCTGTAAGCCCTTAAAAAGGATAGGAATTGCTCACTTGGGGAGCTCGGTTTTTGGAGACGTGAGTCCACCGATGCTCCCAGCTGAAAAAAGCCCTTTCTACAACTCGGTGTCTGAGGGGTTCTTGTCTGTGGCTTGTCCTGCTACAATCATAGCTATGTTAAGGCTTAGCTGACATACAATAAACTGAACATACTTAAAATGTACAAGTTTTGACACGTGTATACACCTGGGAAATTATCACCGCAATTCGGGTCTGATTTACACGTTAGGCACAGTTCATAGGGCCTACTTTTTTTTTTTTTTTGAGACAGATTCTCTCTGTTGCCCAGTCTGGATCTCCGCTCACTACAACCTTCGCCTCTCAGGCTCAAGCGAGTCTCAAGCCTCAGCCTCCGGAGTAGCTGGGATTACAGGCGCAGGCCACCACGCCCGGGTAATTGTTATAGTTTTAGTAGAGACGGGGTTTCGCCATGTTGGCCAGGCTGGTCTCAAATTCCTGGGCTCAAGCGATCCGCTCACCTCAGCCTCCCAGAGTGCTGGGATTAAAGGCGTGAAACACCGCGCCTGGCCAAAAAATGTTTTATTTTAAATTCAAAATGCTGTAATGGAGGCTGGGTGCAGTGGCTTTTTTTACTCAGCATACTTGAGATTCATGTTGTTGTATATGTGAGCAGTTCCGTCCTTTTTTTGGCTGAGTAACATTCCATTGTATGGATCGGTCTTTCACTTGTTGATTGACATTTGGATAGTCTACAGTTTGGGGCTATTACAAATAGAGCTGCTATGAATGTTTGTGTACAGGCGTTTGTATGGGCATATGCTCTATTTACTCTTGGTAAATACCTAGGAGTGGAATGGCTGAGTCATATTGTAGTAGTTTAACGCTTTTAAAAACCCCCAAACTGTTTTCCAAAGTGAATGTACCATTTTACATTCCCAACAGCAGTGAATGAGTGTTCCGGTTTCTCCACATCCTTGCCAACTTGGTATGGTCAGTCTTTTAAATTTTAGACATTCTGATATGTGTGTAGTGGTATCTCATTGTGTTTTAAATTTGCGTTTCCCTAATGATTAATGACGTTGGACATCTTTCCATGTGATTATTTGCAATCCACATATCTTTTTTTTTTTTTTGAGATGGAGTCTCGCTCTGTAGCCCAGGCTGGAGTGCAGTGGCGCGATCTCAGCTCACTGCAACCTCCGCCTCCCTGGTTCAAGCAATTCTCCTGCCTCAGCCTCCTGAATAGCTGGGATTACAGGCACCCGCCACCACGCCCAGCTAATTTTTATATTTTTAGTGGAGACGGGGTTTCACCATCTTGGTCAGGCTGGTCTGGAACACCCTGACCTCGTGATCCACCCACCTCAGCCTCCCAAAGTGCTGGGATTACAGGCGTGAGCCACCGCGCCCAGCCCCATATATCTTTTTTTTAATCAAGTGTCTGTTCAAATTGTTTGTCCTCCTTTTAGGAGAATTGTGAAAATCTTTTAATTAAAAATGTACATTCTTTCCACCTGATTTAGAACCTAAAAATCTTGAAAGGAAAGAGAAAGAACTAACATTTTCGTGACTGAGAACTGGATGGTGACAAATGAGAAAATAAACACAGTAAAGACAAGTTTGGGGGGGTGACAGAGCAGAGCGAGTTGTGATCCCCGCTCCGTCACCACGTTCGTTTCGTTCCTCTGGACTACTGAGTTAATGATACCGGCAATCAGCGCAAAGCGAGATAATCACCAGCGCACTCTTGGATCTGTATACAGGTTTGTAAACTATGTGGAGGAAACCGACCCATCGCAGTCTCGGCCGAAGAGGCCGGAGCCGGAGCCAGAGCCAGAGCCTGAGCAGGGTCTGAAAAAAGGACCGGCCGTTCAGGACTAGGCCCTGAACTACAACTTGCTCCTCAGGGGTCCGGGTCGGAAGTGACGACTTCATTCACTGAGCAGCCATTTCCGGTTCCCAGTGTGTCCGAAGTTCCTTCTGGGTGTCAGAAAAGACACAAAAACTGACAGGGCGGAACCGCGACACGGTGCCTGATGATATCAAAAGGTCTCACGGCTCCGGAGGGACCCAGTCGCCCACAGCCGCCAGGGGCGCCGCCGGCTCCGAGCCCGTTGTCGAGAGCCGCTCGGCTGCTGGGGTCTGCCCTTCAGTCCTTCCAACTCTCCTCGGACCTAGAGTTCCGGGATCTCACTGCGATCTGGGCGAATTCTTACGTAGAATTCGAAAGGATATGGGGAAGGAAAAAAACAAAAACGGGAACCACTTTGTTTCCGCCCGGTTTCGAACCGGGGACCTTTCGCGTGTGAGGCGAACGTGATAACCACTACACTACGGAAACCAGGCGGTGGCAGGTTTTCCACAAATGACTCTGAAAAGTCAGAGGCTCACCACTGTGTCTCTGACCCACGAGAAAAGTACCCGGGCGGGCCACCCACAGCTTCGGGATCGGGGCGCGCAGGGAAGTAGCCAGCAAAGCAGGTAAGTCCCGGGCTGCTCGCGGCGGGGTCATGACTGAGGGCACAGGGGTGAACTCCATGGTGCTTCCTCAGGAAACTTCCGGCGCAGTCAGGGCTGCAGCCAGAGCCCGGAGATAGTTGGGCAGGGCTCCAGGCGTCCCCGAATGCTCGTCGTGGAGTTTTCCTGATCCTGTCGGGTCCCTAAGGAACGCTTGGCGGGGAGCGTGGACGCCCTGGGGCCAGGCCACCGCGGTCACTGAGAGCCACCCCCCCGGAAACTGGAGAAAAACGGAGTAGAAGAGACCTAGGGGACAGACTTGGCCGGGTCAAGGGAAACCAGCTCATATTTGGAACAAAATACGCCTTATGTTTGCCCAGCACTGAATTTAGAAGCATTTTCACATTCTCGAGTTTAACTAGTTTTGCAACAGTGCCACGAGCAAATTATTAAACGTGTTTTAAAGATGAAGAGACTGAAGCTAGGTAAATTGGACTTGGGTAAGATGGAAGCGCTACTTAACGTTAAGGAGAGTCTGCGACCCTGATGTTCTCAGGCTGTATCTCGCTTAGTGGGACTACACCTTATTATTGTCGGAGGAAACAAATGAAGAGGAAAGAGACCGTGAAGAGTATTCCTGGAGGGACTCAAGATACCGCTGTAGGTAGAACCCCAAGATAGCTGTGTAGAGTGACAGCTGATGTCGAATGACTTCATCTTTTCCACTGCTGCGGGTGAAATTATCTGAGGAGGTAGGAAGAGGAGATGGTTTAGGGATGCCATATGACAAAAGCTTTGGAAAATTAAGAAGAGGCCGGGCGCGGTGGCTCATGCCTGTAATCCCAGCACTTTGGGAGTCCGAGGCGGGCGGATCTCACCTAGGATCAGGAGTTCCAGACCAGCCTGGCTAACATGGTGAAACGCCATTTCTACTAAAAATACAAAAATTATCTGGGCGTGGTGGCGCGCGCCTGTAATCCCAGCTACCCGGGAGGCTGAGGCAGGAGAATAGCTTGAACCCGGGAGGCTCAGGTTGCAGTGAGCCGAGATCGCGCCATTACACTCCAGACTGGATGAAAGAGCAAAACTTCGTCAAAAAAAAAAAAAAAAAAGGAGAAGAAAATTAAGAAGAGAAGGATGAGAGAATTACCAAGGCAGCAGTGAAGACTTACGTGCTGTTGTATGATACAAATGTCCAGGGGCTAGCATGGAACAATGTTGGCTGACTGCGCCAGGAGCTCTAATCTGGCAAGAATCTAGAGGAGAAGGTGGATTGTGGGATGAATAAGCAAAGGAGGAGAGTTAAAGAGTTGGGGGTGGTAGTGAGAGAGCAGAAGAGAAGCACCTGGTTACAGGTTGAGGCTGTGCAGAATGTAGAAAGACATCAGAGATGTTCAATGGTGCTCACTTCGGCAGCACATATGCTAACATTGGAATAATACAGAGAAAATTAACATGGCCCCTGTGCAAGGCTGATGTACAAATTCATGAACTGTTCCTTTTTTTTTTTTTAAAGAAATGTCCAATGGACTGAATGCTAGACAGATAATAGTTTATCAGGTTAAGGAACTTTATCAAAAAATTGGCTTAAATAATAAAGGGAAAATATTGCCTCACAATCCTAGGTAGATCTGGGCTTCAGGTAAGTCTTCACACAAGGCTCAAAGAAGTCTCTGGGCCAGGCGCGGTGGCTCACGCCTGTAATCCCAGCACTTTGGGAGATAGAGGCAGGCAGATCACCTGAGGTCAAAAATCCAAGACCAGCCTGGTATTACTAAAAATACAAAATAATTAGCCGTGCATAGTGGTGCACACCTGTAGTCCCAGCTACGTGGGAGGCTGAGGCATGAGAATTGCTTGAACCCAGGCGGTGGAGGCTGCAGTGAGCCGAGATTGCACCACTGCACTCCAGCCCGGGCAACAGAGTGAGACTCCATCTCAATTAGTAATAATAATAAAGAAGTATCTGGTTTCTCTTGGTCCTTCTTCTTCAATGTGGACTCCATTCTGGGGCAGGCTCTCTACTCATGTTTTCAAAGTGCCCACCGTAAGCAGCTTGGGCTACAGGTTCCTGTGTTCACAGCCAGCAGAAAAAAGTGTGTACTTCTTGGAGAACTCATTGTCATGTAACAGGGATGGGATATGCTGCTTCGTTTAAATCATTAGGGCCTACTCCTGAGGTCTGGGGTAAGACTAATCCTACTCAAACTCTATGGCTGACAAATTTAGGGTACCCTTAAGAAGGGAATGGGATGTTGTAATGCTGAGGTGGCAACCAACAAACATTCTCTTCAGAGGGTAAGCCCACAGTGCTACAGAGAATGGAGAAGAATGGCATATACTTCCAGAAACTGGAGTCAATGTTAGGAAAGATTCCATTCTAAGGGCTTCCCGGCTAACGGAGTTCTCCCATGAGTAGCTTTCACTATGCAAGATCAGATGAGACCTAGGGTAGCCCAGGACACAAGGATCCTCCCATCATCCCTACACTGAAAGAGGCCACTTTCAATGTGGGCTAGTCTCTGCCCTTCCATGCCAGGAACTGAAGAGGCTGTGCCAGTACCTTTTCCCCGATCAGTCTCTGGGAAGGCAAAGCTTTTATGCATCTGGCCTCAGTGGTCAGTGAGACTGTGGGACCGTCCTGAAGGACAGGAGGTCCTGGAGTTCACCCTCATGACATCACATCTGGCTTAGGACAATCACTCTTCATGCCCTGCTCATCACTGTTCCTCACCATAGTTTCTCCCTAATGCAATGCCTTGTGGGGAGCTATTTCCCTGAGTACACAGTGATATCAGGATGTGAATCACTTTTTTCTGGGCAAAGGTGGTGGAATTTTTTACCATCATGAAGCTGAGGTTCCTTCCCCATTCTGAATTGAATAACCCAAATCTTGGCTCTTAGAGCTTCTCGTATCCCTAATTCCTTATAAAACTTAACTCTGTCCCCAACTCTTTACTATCCCATTGCTCAGTATCTTCTACCACATTCTCCTTCTTGAGATTCTGAGGCTGGGCGCAGTGGCTCATGCCTGTAATCACAGCACTTTGGGAGGCTGAGCTGGGCGGATCACCTGAGGTTAGGAGTTCGAGACCAGCCTGAGCAACATGATGAAACCCTGTCTCTACTAAAAATACAAAAATTAGCTGGGCATAGTGGCGGGTACCTGTAATCCCAGCTACTCCGAGGCTGAGGCATGAGAATTGCTTGAACCCGGGAGGCGGAGGTTGTAGTGAGCCAAGATGGCGCCACTGCACCCCAGCTTGGGTGACAAAGCAAGACTCTGTCTCAAAAAAAAAAAAAAAAAAAAAAAAAAAGACTCTGCTATCCCATAATATATAATTTTATGGCAGCAGGAGGCAATAGGGCAAAGGATTTCTTCCTTTGTGTTGTAGATGGGCTGGTGATGATGGGAAGATAAGGAATGTTATAAAATGAGTCTTCAGTAGAGGAGTCTAGTCTCAGGCAAGAAAATTGGATATTAAATTTGTAATCTGGAAAGGAAGTAGAGGAATTAACTACAGTTTTGAAACTAGTTTTTATGGCTTCCAGATTTCACCTTTTAACCTTGGTGCTATATAGTTTCTCAAAGAGGCACATTTGTTTTGATTAGCTACATAGAAAATGAAGCAGAATTATTAGTAAACTATTAGAATGAATAAAATAGTTCAATAAGATTGCTGGCTACAAAGTCAACATTAAAAAATCAGAAATTTCCACCACATCAGCAGTAGTCACCTAGAAAATATGAGAAAATAACATATCATTCATGATAGAACAAAATCATAACATGTCTAAGAACAAGACACAGAATAAATGCACATAACCTTTGTATTGAGAAACACTTAAAATTATTCAAGGGCAAGTTGAGAACTAATTAAGTGAAGAGATTTACCTTATTTATAAATGAGGTGATTTAGTATTATAAAGATGTGAATTTCCTCCATGTTCTCCTGCAAGACCCATGCGATATCAATATATCAACAGAATGGCTTATATAACTTGACAACTGATTGTAAAATTTATATGAATGCATAAGTCCATGGATAATCAACGGAATTTTGACAAAAGAAAATAAGGAGACTCATTGTAACTGATAACTGGGGGAGGGGGGAAGTGTTTGCTCGAGTCCACGATGCCAGCTCCAGACACCTCCCATGGAGGAGTCCAGTGAGCTGCCACTGGATGCCAAGTCCAAGGTCACCAACTAGCTTGTAGATTTTCTTTTCTTTTCTTTTTTTTGAGATGGAGTTTTGCTCTTTGTTGCCTGGGCTGGAGTGCAGTGGCACTGTAGCAGGACCAGCTGCAGACAAAACTCCTCAGACACCGGATTAAAGAAGGAAGTGGTTTATTTGGCCGGGAGCGTCGGCCGACTTGCGTCTTAAGAGACGAACTCCCCGGAAAAGAAATTCTTGGCCTTTTTAAAGGCTTAAAACTTTAAGGGGTCCACATGAAAGGGTCGTGATAAATCGAGCAAATGTGGGAAACGTGACTGGGGGCTACATGCATCAGCTAACAGAACAGAAAGTTTTACAGTGCTTTTTTCATACAGTGTCTGGAATTTACAGATAACACAAGTAGTTTAGGTCAGAGGTTGATGTTATTATTATTACTTTTTTTAACTCCTAGGGCTGGGTGGTGGTGTCAAGGTTGTCTGGCTATTTATCTTTTTTTTTTTTTTTCCAACTTTTTGCTTTCTCTCTTTTCTCCTGTCTTGTGAACTAGGCAAGATGGGGGGGAGGCAGCAGGAGTAGTAGTGGTCTCCTTCCTTATCCCCCACTTTGAGAATTTTCACTAATTAGTGGGAGTTCTCACTTTTATTTTTACCTTTTGAGTCTTTTTGCAAGACAGAGTGATAATGTTTTATGTAATACACTCGTGTTGAAGTTTTCTGACAAACCATGGTAGTTACAAAACCTTTTATCGTTTGAAAGAGCAAGCGTAATACACAGGGGAGCAGCAAGCAAGTTGCTATTACTAGTAATGCACTTACAGTGAGGGTTTTAAATTTTTTGTAGCTGGAAACTATTTTCTAAATAAAGACCTAGGATCAAACCTGTGTTAAACCTGTATATGCACATGTATCAACTTTGTCATGTCCTAAGCAGGTTAGTTTATTAACTGGGTCTTAAAAGCTTTTTCCTAGAGAATAACACAGTATTTTTTAATAATAGAAGATTTTAAGAGCCAGACACTTGAACTTGTGGCGTCTCTTTGGGGAAAGAGCTAGTTGAAGTTATCTTCGAGGCATTAACTCTTTTGCTTCTCAAGGCCATTGGTCTCTTATGTTAGCCTTTTTTTAAACATAACATGAAGAAACATCTAGGCTGCCAGCAATGTTTTCAGCCAGCTGAGCAAATAGGTTTTTTCCTTTTTTGCTAAAGGAGGAGGTTCTGGTAACTTCTGGTTTATATGTTTAAAGAATGACTGAAAGACTTGGAATTGTTGCTGGGCTGGATGGGTCTGGGTTTCCTAAGTAGTATGTGTACAGTGGGGACACCTTATATAGATGTTTCTTCTAGCATGGTTATGGGGGGGGTAGCAACAACAAAACAATGTACAGCATATTCATATCCAGCAAGGACAAAAGAGGTCCTTACTGGGAAAAAGGTTGAATACAGTGACAGAACAATAGGAAAACAATATTACAGGAAAACTATTAGTCTTAAGATTTTTAACTACATTTACTTGCTTGATGAGTCCTCAAGCTTCGGCTGTGCATAGACTAGTCAGCTGCCGGTGTGTGACTAGAGCAGGGCTTGTTGTCTCCTCAAGGTTCAGCCATGCGCAGACTGGTCAGCCTCTGGAGTGACCAGAGCACGGCTGTCATCCTCAGCAGCAGTTTGGTCTCATCTCAGGATCATCAGGGTTGGATAATCTGCATCCTGCTGGCTGCTACTTGTCTTGAGCTGCTGGTGTTAGCCAACTGTGGTGGATCCAAGACACCACACCTGCAACTTTAACAGCAGTGGGAGTGGACAAGGTTACAGTATAGGGCCCATGCTATATGGATCCTAGAAAAATTAGATTTTGCTTTAAACAGAGTCACTAGATTTAAAGGGGTGTCTGGCTTATAGGCATTTTCATTTATTTAATTATGAACACTTTGTATGGCTATTTTTAAAGCCTGCATTTGCTTTCTTAAGGTTAATTCCTCTTCTTCTGCGAGAAAACAACAAATGGCGGATGACACCGGTGCAGCGGGTGGGGGGGGGGGGGGCCCGGAGGCCCTGGTGGCCCTGGGATAGGGAACCGTGGTGGCTTCCACGGAGGTTTTGGCAGTGGCATCCAGAACCGGGGTCGCGGCCATGGACGGGGCTGGGGCCAAGGCCCTGGAGATCGCGGAGGCAAGGCCAAGGATAAGGAGTGGATGCCTGTCACAAAGCTGGGCCGCTTTGTCAAGGACATGAAGATCAAGTCCCTGGAGGAGATCTATGTCTTCTCCCTGCCCATTAAGCAAGGTGTGGTGGTCATGGCTAGGCCAAAGCTGGACAAAGCAAAAGGAAACCTGAGTGGAAAGCCACATCTCACCAAACAAGAGGAAAAAGGCAAATATGAAGAAACGATTGAGATGCAGAAATATGGAATCAGAGATCATTGACTCTTTCCTGGGGGCCTCTCTCAAGGATGAGGTTTTGAAGATTATGCCAGTGCAGAAGCAGACCCGTGT
Source organism: Homo sapiens (assembly GCF_000001405.40). Lineage (NCBI taxonomy): Eukaryota > Metazoa > Chordata > Mammalia > Primates > Hominidae > Homo > Homo sapiens. The sequence goes on from NC_000001.11 coordinate 161,406,559, forward strand.
CGGCCAGCGCACCAGGTTCAAGGCGTTTGTTGCTATCGGGGACTACAATGGCCACGTTGGTCTGGGTGTTAAGTGCTCCAAGGAGGTGGCCACCGCCACCCGTGGGGCCATCATCCTGGCCAAGCTCTCCATTGTCCCCGTGCGCAGAGGCTACTGGGGTAACAAGATCAGCAAGCCCCACACCGTCCCTTGCAAGGTGACAGGCCGCAGCGGCTCCGTGCTGGTGCACCTTATGCCTGCACCCAGGGGCACTGGCATCGTCTCCGCACCTGTGCCCAAGAAGCTGCTCATGATGGCTGGTATCGATGACTGCTACACCTCAGCCCAGGGCTGCACTGCCACCCTGGGCAACTTCTCCAAGGCCACCTTTGATGCCATTTCTAAGACCTACAGCTACCTGACCCCTGACCTCTGGAAGGAGACTGTATTTACCAAGTCTCCCTATCAGGAATTCACTGACCACCTCATCAAGACCCACACCAGAGTCTCCGTGCAGCGGACCCAGGCTCCAGCTGTGGCTACAACATAGAGTTTTTATACAAGAAAAATAAAGTGAATTAAGCATTAAAAAAAGGTTAATTCCTTTAGTTTCTGGAGGTCACCTTTAATTTGACCTATGATTTAGGGGTGGCCGACCGAACAAAATCTTATACGGCAAATACCTAGTTTGTTTGTTGGGGGTGCACCTGACTCGGAGGAGGACCGTAGGCAAAAACCTGATTTTATCTTAAATGAATTTCCTGGCAATATTTTTTTCAGTAGCTGCTCGAGTGTCCAGTTCATGTGTTCCACCTTTTCTTGAAGTTTGTGGCCGATAGGCTGTGTGTAACTTCCATTTTATTTTTAACAGTCTTGTTAAATCTTGCACTATTTCAGCTACAAATGCTGGCCTATTGTCTAACTTTAAAGTTAGAGGTAGTCTAAACCTGGGGATAATGTCTTTTAACAGTACTCTAGTCACTTCTTGTACTTTTTCTGTCCTGGTGGGGAAAACTTTAACTTACCCTGAAAAGGTGCAAAGAAGCACTAGCATGTACCGATAGCCTCCAGCACGGGGCAGTTCTGTAAAGTCCATGAGCAAGTTTTCACAAGGTATGGCTCTTTGTCCTGTTTAAGTTTCTTAGAGGAGGGTTTCTTCCCCCCACCCGGCCTTTGTAACTTTATCTAGTGGCTTAGCCTTCAGTGAGAAGCTGGAATACAGATACGGCAGAATCTTGCTGCTTTTAACTTCTAATGTGACCATGGGCTCCTGGGAGCCTAATGAGAAGGTGCCTAGTCTGCCCTAGTCTTTACATTCTTCAGCTCCTGTCAGCCTGATCAGATCAGTATTTGGTTCCTCCAAGGTGCAGCTGCCCTTGGCCGATGGCCTCTTTGTCTTGCGGCCTTGGCCATTTCCTTTATTGCCTTCTGAACATTTACCCTTCTAGTGTCCTTTCTTTTTGCATCTCATACATTATTCTCTCTCTAGCCTTGTCTGGCTCTTGAATACTTGCCTAACTTGACTTCTTTCTTGTCTACATCCACGTCCATGTCCTCTCACATTGCTAATTTTTTTTATAAGAGCTGTTGCTAACATATTGGCTTTTTCTTCTTAAGTCTTTAATTTACTTTTTTTTTTTTTTTTTTTCTGAGTTCTCCTGCTCCTACAGCCAGCTGGTGGGGCCGGGCAATGGCACGGGCCCTGCCCCCACGCACTGCTGTCTGTCTCTCCTGTTTCCTTCTGATTCTCTTTTTCACACTTAGTCTTTCTTTTTCTTTTGCTCTTTCCCAGTTTTGTTCCTTGGTCACAGTTAACGTACACCTTGGTGGCCACTTTTATAGACTAGGTGGTATTCATGCCTGCAGCTTCTGCTTGCTGTTACCGTAGGCTTGCTTTACAAATGAAGTATTCACTATATACTGATTTTCAGCAGCCTCAGGGTTAAATGGGGTGTAAAGCCAGAATGCTGTATAGAGTCTCTTATAAAACTGACTTAGGCTCTTGCCAGCTCCTTAAAGCATTCCTGAAATCTTTTTTATATTACTTGCTTTTTTCTACCAACTCTTAACCTCTGCAGAAGTGCTTCTCAGTACCTCTGCAAACACTGAAGCTGAGTTGCATTCTCTGGGCCTTTTTTCCCCTTTTTCCTGGAGTTTAACAGGCCCTTTTCTTTATATAATTTTTCATGCACTTGGAGGGTTAAACAGGCATACTGAGAGTCAGTGTAAATGTTTACAGTCTTACCTTCACTGAGTTCTAAGACCCGAATTAAAGCAATGAGCTCAGCTTAACAACAGTGTCCAGGGTTACCACTGCATATTCTGCATATCTCTCTCCTTGTGGGTTGATGAAGCTGTATAGCTCCCAGTCTACTGATGCCCAAGGCTGGTCCCGGAGGTCAGGTCTGCTAGAGTAAACTTGAGTCCAACACCTCTGCACTGTTATGCTCGACAGGGCTCTAGCTGCTGGGAGCAAGGTGGCAGGTTCAGGGTGTTTCCAGTTTAGTAGATCAATGGTTGAAAAGGGCTGATAGATGAAAGTCTGTTGCCCCCCAAGATGTGGGCCTGGTCATTATAATAGACAGGTCCTGGTGTCTTCCTGAGAGGCATTTGCATAGCTCCAGCAAGACCAGATCTGAGACGGCCCACTTGACTATCTTGACCTTCTTCCTTGGCCTCTCGAGGCTCCAATCCTCCCCTTCGAGGTGAGACCTGGGGCCTGTTAGCTCCTGAATCTCATTTCTGAGGGGGCTGTTGGCTTCAGTAAAGGTGGGTAGGCTGGGATATGTGGAGAAATAATTTCTATTATCTTTGGTGGCTCCTGCAAAACTGGCTTCTTTTGCTGTTTCTGGGACTCCCTTTTTAACTCTGACTGCTGGCGAAGCTGCTCTTACTTTTACTTTTGGCTTTTTTGCAATAAGCTGTTAAACAGGGCTAAATTTATGCTGGTTTTGTCTATATTATATTTAACCATGAGTCAATATAAAGGAATTTAATCTAGGTACACTGGCTGTCCTCTGACCCCTGTCACCACCTTAAATACATGGCCAATTGTTCCCTGTCTATAGTTCCTTCGGTGGGCCATCCAACACCAAAAGAGGGCAATTCTAATTCACACAGAGTTCCTAACCTCTAGGGGGTTAACTTAACTCTGTAATCTCCTGTGAAACCTTTCTTAAGGTTCTGTAACATACATTTTAATAGAGTAAGTTTTGATGATTTGATGACTATCCTTTTATTTTTCTTTTTGAAAATTTTTTACACAGTTCCTAGCGGAGTGGGCTTACTTTGTGTCTGACCTATTTTTCTCTTGAGACAAAACAACATTCACACTACAAGAAGGAAAGGGTAAAAGGTCACTCACTTGTCTAATTCACACTAAATCAAAATCGAAACGAAAACCAAAGTGTTGTTAAAGGCACACCTGTTCATCAAGCAATTTAAGCCAAGTCAAAATCAGAACCAAAACCAAAGTGCCAATAAAGGCATGCCTGTTTATCAAGCAATTCAAGTCAAATCAAAATCAAAACTAAAACCAAAGAGTCAAGCAATTCAAGTCAAGTCAAAAACAAAAACCAAAGTGCTGGTACAGGCACGCCATGGGTGATCAGGCCATGCTTCCACTCAAATGGAGTGGGCAAGATCCAAAGACCAGTCTTACCAAGTTTTAGATGTCTGGACTTAAAGTGCCAGTTCCTTCCCGGTGTTCAGCTACTGCATTGATCCTCTGCGGGGGCCTGCTGTGCACTGCTCTGACAAGGCATTCCACCAGGACAAATGCCTACCTGGGAGCGCTCTCAGGATCTGCATGGCTCAAGCTGGCCAGAGTCCCCCGCAGGGATGCTCTACAGGGCAGACCTAAGCTGCCTAAGGGGCTGCCTTGGCCTTCCATTAATCCCCTCACTTCCTGGTCAGGGAACCAAGAAATGCAGCAGGACGAGCCACAGACAAAACTCCTCAGACACCGGATTAAAGAAGGAAGTGGTTTATTCTGCCGGGAGCATCAGCCGACTTGCGCCTTAAGAGCTGAGCTCCCCGAAAAAGAAATTATTGGCCTTTTTAAAGGCTTACAACTTTAAGGGGTCCACATGAAAGGGTCGTGATAAATTGAGCAAGCGTGGGAAACGTGACTGGGGGCTACATGCATCAGCTAACAGAACAAAAAGTTTTACAGTGCTTTTTTCATACAGTGTCTGGAATTTATAGATAACACAAGTAGTTTAGGTCAGGGGTTGATGTTATTATTATAACTTTTTTTAACTCCTAGGGCCAGGTGGTGGTGTCAAGATTGTCTGGCTATTTATCTCACTTTTGTTTTTTTTCCAACTTTTGGCTTTCTCTCTTTCCTCCTGTCTTGTGAACTAGGCAAGGTGGGGGGAGGAGGGCAGCAGGAGTAGTAGTGGTCTCCTTCCTTAGCACGTTCTCAGCTCCTGGGTTCAAGGCACCTGGCACAAAATGCAGTTTCTTATGTCTACTTCTTTCTACATAGACACAGTAACAGTCTGATCTCTCTTTCTTTCCCCCACAAGCTCAAGTGATCCACCCACCCTCTCAAAGTGCTGGGATTGCAGCTGTGAGCTAATGAGCCTGGCCGCTATTATCTTTTTTTTGTCTGAATTTTTAAAATTATTTTTAAAAATGGAAAAACAGCTGGATGTGGTGGCGCACATCTGTAATCCAGCACTTTGGGAGGCCGAGCTGGGCGGATCACCTGAGGTCAGGAGTTCGAGACCAGCCTGGCCAACATGGTGAAACCCCATCTCTACTAAAAATACAAAAATTAGCGGGGTGTGGTGGTGGGCACCTGTAATCTCAGCTACTCAGGAGGCTGAAGCAGGAGAGTCCCTTGAACCTGGGAGGCAGAGGTTGCAGTGAGCCGAGATCATGCCACTGCACTCCAGCCTGGGCAACAAAGAGTGAAACTCCATCTCAAAAAAAAGAAAAAAAACAAAAGTGCAATTTTTCATTCAATAAATACTTCATTCTTATGCGGTTTTGTTGCAGAAAGTGAAGTCCATGACTTTAGAATGATAGTAATTTATCAACCAAATAATCCATTTCACATAGTTTCAATAACTGCAGCAATCTCCTTGAATTGTCTGCATAAATTCTGAAACTGTGGAATTGTCATTTCAAAGGACTTGTTCTTTACTTGGACTGAATGAGTGGCACTTTTAGCATCACTGCAACATAAGGATACTTAAGAGATCTGCAACTGTCACATCTCACAGCCAAACCCAGTTTCCATTGAAAATCTACAAGCTCAGCCAGGCGTGGTGGCTCATGTCTGTAATCCCAGCATTTTTGGAGGCCGAGGCGAGTGGATCACAAGGTCAGGAGATGGAGACCATCCTGGCTAACACGGCGAAACCCCCTCTCTACTAAAAACACAAAAAAATTAGCCAGGTATGGTGGCGGGTGCCTGTAGTCCCAGCTACTCAGGAGGCTGAAGCAGGAGAATGGCATGAACCTGGGAGGCAGAGCTTGCAGTGAGCCAAGATCACGCCACTGCACTCCAACCTGGGCGATAGAGCGAGACTGTCAAAAAAAAAAAAAGAAAAAAATCTACAAGCTCTGACCAGGCGCGGTGGCTCACGCCTGTAATCACAGCACTTTGGGAGGCTGAGGTGGGTGGATCACCTGAGATCAGGAGTTTACACCAACCTGACCAACATGGTGAAACCCCGTCTCTACTAAAAATACAAAATTAGCCAGGCATGGTGGCGCATATGTGTAGTCCCAGCTACTCGGGAAGCTGAGGCAGGAGAATCGCTTGAACCCAGGAGGCAGAGGTTGCAGTGAGCCGAGATTGCGCCGCTGCACTCCAGTCTGGGCGACAGAGTGAGACTCCGTCTCAAAAAAAACCAAAAAAACTGCATTTTGTTCTGTACTAAGAAAAACTCTTCTGCCTGCCTTGAGATGCTGTTAATCTGTAACCCTAGCCCCAACCCTGTGCCCCAGAGACATGTGCTGTGTTGACTCCAGGTTTTTTTTTTTTTTGAGACAGAGTCTCACTCTGTCTCCCAGGCTGGAGTGCAGTGGCGCCATCTCCGCTCACTGCAAGCTCCGCCTCTGGGGTTCACCACATTCTCCTGCCTCAGCCTCCCGAGTAGCTGGGACTACAGGCACCCGCCACAACACCCGGCTAATTTTTTGTATTTTTAGTAGAGACAGGGTTTCACCGTGTTAGCCAGGATGGTCTCCATCTCCTGACCTCGTGATCCGCCCACCTTGGCCTCCCAAAGTGCTGGGATTACAGGCGTGAGCCACAGCGCCTGGCCATTGACTCAAGGTTTAATGGATTTAGGGCTGTGCAGGATGTGCTTTGTTAAAAAAAGTGTTTGAACGCAGTATGCTTGGTAAAAGTCATTGCCATTCTCTACTCGCGAGTACCCAGGGACACATATACTGCGGAAGGCTGCAGGGACCTCTGCCCAGGAAAGCCAGATATTGTCCAAGGTTTCTCCCCATCTGATAGCCTGAGATATGGCCTCATGGGAAGGGAAAGACCTGACTGTCCCCCAGCCCCACACCCTTAAAGGGTCTGTGATGAGGAGGATTACTGAAAGAGGAAGGCCTCTTTGCAGTTGAGATAAGAGGAAGGCATCTGTCTCCTGCTCATCCTTGGGAATGGAATGTCTCGGTGTAAGACCCGACTGTACGTTCTATTTACTGAGATAGGAGAAAACCGCCTTGGGGCTGGAGGTGAGACATGCTGGTGGCAATACTGCTCTTTAATGCACCGAGATGTTTGTGTACATGCACATCAAGGCACAGCACCTTTCCTCAAACTTATTTATGACACAGAGACCTTTGCTCATATGTTTTCCTGCTGACCCTCTCCCCACTATTACCGTATTGTCCTGCCACATCCCCCTCTCCGAGATGGTAGAGATAGTGATCAATAAATACTGAGGGAACTCAGAGACCAGTGCCAGTGCGGGTCCTCTGTATGCTGAGCGCCAGTCCCCTGGGCCCACTGTTCTTTCTCTATACTTTGTCTCTGTGTCTTATTTCTTTTCTCAGTCTCTTGTCCCACCTGAGGAGAAATACCCACAGGTGTGGAGGGGCTAGCCCCCTTCAGAACTCAGGTGTTTGAAACCAGCCTGGGCAACAAACATGGCGATACCCTCATCTCTATTAAAAAAAAAAAAAAGACAATAGCCATAGTAAATTTTAAAAACTGTGTAGCACTGACACAAGAATAAATAAGTACCCAATGGAACAGAATACAGAATCCAGAAACAGACCTGAGTGTGAACAGAAATTTCATATATGATATAATATTTGAATTAATGAGTTGTTTAGCGGATAATCTTGAGAAAACTGACTTACAGTATGTTGGGAAAATAAAATTGGATTATAACTCACACAGTTACCACTTTCCAATAGATTAGATATCAAAAAGTCAAAGATGAAACCATGAAGCTAATAGACAAAAATTCAGAATAACGTTTTTGTTACCTTGGGGTGGGAAAGAATTTTTAAAATAGAAGATCGTAAAACCATACAGCATAGAGGGAAAATAAATGGATGAATCTGAGCAACTCGATATGAAAGACTTCAATGAGGCACATCATGGACGAAGAGATAATAACAAGGAGAAGATATGATATCTAAAACAAGGGATTTATAATTAGATTCTAGAAGATACAAGGAACTTCTGAAATTAGAAAGAAAAGAAAATACCCAACAGGAAACCTAACATAAAAAAATGGGTAAAGAATGTGAATAGTCCAACTTAAGAAGGGGAAAGCTAAGTAGCTAAAAATATGAAGAATGATGAACCTCACTAGTAATCAGAGAAATGGAAATAAATTAAAATGGCGAGATACCAATTTATATCTTTGGTAAACATTAGAAAGTCATGTCTTGGGTAACATATAGGCAAATGAGAGGCCGGGCACAGTGACTCGTGCATGTAATCCAAGCACTTTGGGAGTCTGAGGCGGGTGGATCGCCTGAGGTCAGGAGTTTGAGACCCGCTTGATGAATATGGTGAAATCCCATCTCTACTAGAAATACAACAATTAGCTGGGCATGGTGGTCCATGCCTGTAATCCCACATACTCGGGAGGCTGAGGCAGGAGAGTCGCTTGAACCTGGGAGGCAGAGGCTGCAGTGAGCTGAGATCATGCCATTGCATTCCAGCCTAGGTGACAGAGTGAGACTCTGTCTAAAAAAAAAAAAAAAAATAGAATAGAATAAAATAAAATAAAACATAGGCAAATGGGAAGTCTCATGTCCTGCTGATGGGAATTAAACAGGTATAGCACGTTGGGAAGCAACCTGGAAGTATTTAAGTAACTGTATGCTTTAAGACTCAGCAATCCTTCTAACTCTATATCTAAGAGAAACTAGCACCTAGGTCTATAAGGAGACATGTATCAGAATATTCATGACAGGACTGTGTGTGATGGTGAGAATTGGAGGCAGTCCAGATGTCCATCACTAATGCATAGATTTACTTAGGCTTGGTTTACTGATGCAAAAGAGAGAGAATAAAAATACACTGTTTTCACAAAAACAGTGAAAAGGGAGTAGGAAATAGCATAAAATTCATAGCAGAAACCCATTTTTGCAAATATACAATATTGCATTTTGTTAAATAAACACACTCTCACATACACAAACACTGATACCTTTTATATCTCCAGATTCATTTTTTTTTTTTTTTTTGAGGTGGAGTCTCTGTCACCCAGGCTGGAGTACAGTGGCACAATCTTGGCTCACTGCAACCTCCCCCTCCTGAGTTCAAGCGATACTCCCACCTCAGCCTCCTGAGTAGTTGGGATTACAGGCACTTGCCTTCATGCCTGGCTAATTTTTTTGTATTTTTGTAGAGACGGGGTTTCACGATGTTGGCCAAGCTGGTCTTGAACTCCTGACCTCAGGTGATCCACCTGCCTGGGCCTCCCAAAGTGCTGGGATTACAGGCATGAGCCACCGTGCCTGGCCTAATATTTTTAGAAATAATATGTATATTTAAAAAACAGACTAAATATACAAAACTGGGTGCATTGTAGGGGAGAGGAATTGGTGTAAGAATGGGAGATGAGGAGAAAATAATGAGACAATATAACAGAACAGGGATCTTACCCAATCAATGATTATAATGAGCAATAGGGCTGGGCGGGGTGGCTCATGCCTGTAATCCCAGCACTTTGGGAGGCTGAGAAGGGTGGATCTCTTGAGGTCAGGAGTTTGAGACCAGCCTGGCCAACGTGGAAAAATCCTGTCTCTACTAAAAATACAAAAATTAGCCAGGCATGACGGCGCATGCCTGTAGTCCCCACTACTCAGGAGGCCGAGGCAGGAGAATCGCTTGAACCTGGGAAGCAGAGGTTGCAGTGAACCAAGATCATGCCCTTGCACTCCAGCTTGAGTGACAGAGTGAGACTCCATCTCAAAATAAATAAATAATACATAAATAAATAAAGTGCAATAAACTGAGGGAGATGATTGAATCAATTTTGTGTGCCCGTGAGTGATAAGAGGGAAAAAAAGTGAAAGTATACAATACCTTTTGGGAGAAATAGAAGAGGACTGACTGGGGTGAAGATATTCACAACATAATATCAAAACTACTCCTACAAATCCATGAGACAAAGACAACTCAAGAAAAACATGTATTTTGGCCGGGCATGGTGGCTCACCCTTGTAATCCCAGCACTTTGGGAGGCCAAGGCGAGTGGATCACTTGAGGTCAGGAGTTCGAGACCAGGCTGGCCAACGCGGTGAAACCCCATCTCTACTAAAAAATACAAAAGTTAGCTGGGCGTGGTGGCTCATGCTTGTAGTCCCAGCTACTCAGGAGTTTGAGGCAGGAGAATCATTTGAACCCGGGAGGCGAAGGTTGCAGTGAGCCGAGATTGTGCCCCTGCACTCCAGCCTGGGCGACAGAGTGAGAATCCTTCTCAAAAAAAAAAAAGAAAAGAAAAAGAGAAAAATATGCTTTTTTGGCTGGGCGTGGTGGCTCACGCCTGTAATCCCAGCACTTTGGAAGGCAGAGGCGGGCGGATCATGAGGTCAGGAGATCGAGACCATCCTGGCTAACATGGTGAAACCCCGTCTCTACTAAAAATACAAAAAATTAGCCGGGTGTGGTGGTGGGCACCTGTAGTCCCAGCTACTCTGGAGGCTGAGGCAGGAGAATGGCGTGAACCCGGGAGGCGGAGCTTGCAGTAAGCCAAGATGGCGCCACTGCACTCTAGCCTGGGTGACAGAGCGAGACTCTGTCTCAAAAAAAAAAAAAAGCTTTATATATATATATAAAAAAGCTTTTATGTATATAAATATATTTTATATATATAATTTTATATTATATATAAAAATATATTTTTTATATATAAAAAAGCTTTATATATATATATATATATATATATATATATATATATATATATATATAAAGCTTTTTTTTTTGAGACAGAGTCTCACTCTGTCACCCAGGCTGGGTGTATATATATGTATATTCTCTCTCTCTCTCTCTCTCTCTCTCTCTCTCTCTCTCTATATATATATATATATATATATATATATTTTTTTTTTTTTTTTTTTTTTTTTTTTTTTTTTAGACAGTCTCACTCTGTCGCCCAGGCTGGAGTGCAGTGGCATGATATTGGCTCACTGCAACCTCCACTTCTGAGGTTCAAGTGATTCTCCTGCTTCAGCCTCCTGAATAGCTGGGATTACAGGCACAAGACACCATGCCCAGCTAATTTTTGTACTTTTAGTAGAGATGAAGTTTCACCATGTTTCACCATGTTGGCCAGGCTGGTCTTGAACTTCTGACCTTAAATGATCTGCCCACCTCGGCCTCCCAAAGTGCTGGGATTACAGGTGTGAGCCACCAGCCTGGCCTCTAGTTATTTTTTACATAATGTTCAGCATACAATAAAAATTAGGAGACATGTGAAGAGAAAGGAAAATGTGACCAATGGTCAAGAGAAAAAAGAAAACAGTAGAAGCAGAAACAAATATAAGCCAATTGTTTAAGTTCACAGGCAAGAACTTTAAAATAATCACAATTTTATTTTTAAAAAATAGAGGAAAAGATGGAAAGTAGATGAGAAGAATTTCAACAGAGAATTGGAATAGAGACAAAAACTTCTAGAACAGAACCCTCTGAATGGGTTTAACAGCAAATTGGACACAGCAGGAGACAAGATTAGTGAATTCAAAGACAGATCAATAGGCTGGGCACTGTGACTCACACCTGTAATCCCAGCACTTTGGGAGGCTGAGGCGAGTGAATCAGCTGAGGTCAGGAGTTTGAGACCAACCTGACCAACATGGTGAAACCCTGTCTCTACTAAAATACAAAATTAGCCGGGCGTGGTGGTGGGTGCCTGTAATCCCAGCTACTCTGGAGGCTCAGGCAGAAGAATCGCTTGAACCCGGGAGGCGCAGGTTGCAGTGAGCCGAGATCACACCATTGCACTCCAGCCTGGGCAATGAGTGAGACTCTGGCCTCAATACAGAAAGAAAGAGAAGGGAGGGAGGGAGGTAGGAAGGAAGGAAGGGAGGAAGGAACCAACCCATATTGAAGCACACACACGAGTTGAGCCTGAGACCTTGGTCAAGAACCAAACCTAACAATACTCTGGCTAAAGAGTGAGGGGACTGTGGGCATGGGGGAATGCCTCCCCACAGATTCCCATCCACGACCCTTGGCCTGATGACCACAGCATCTCAGTAATGCTTCTGTAGTCCAGTATCATTTCTTCTTTCTGAAATACATACATACATACATACATATATATATATATATATTTATTTATTTATTTGTTTATTTTTTGAGGCAGAGTCTTGCTCTGTCACCCAGGCTGGGGTGCAGTGGCATGATCTCAGCTAACTGCAACCTCTGCCTCCCGGGTTCAAGTGATTTTCCTGCCTCAGCCTCCCAAGTAGCTGGGATTACAGGCATGCACCACCATGCCTGGCTAATTTTTGTATTTTTAGTGGAGATGGGGTTTCACCATGTTGGCCAAGCTGGTCTGGAACTCCTGACCTCAAGTGATCTGCCTGCCTCAGCCTCCCAAAGTGCTGGGATTACAGGCATGAGCCACTGCACCCGGCCTGAAATACATGTTTAAAAGAAAAATGTTGATCGTTTACTCAAAGGGGTAAATTAAGAATGGTAGTGAGCTCCTAATATCGCTAGCCACAATTCTCAAGGGAAGCAAATGGGGAGGCCAAACATCTGGTTGCTAACCTCATCAGCACCTGATGGGTAGGGAGGCTGCGCGAAGGCTGATGTCCACTGAGGAATTCTGAAATGCTCCTTAAGGGGACTAGGCCCACCCATGTTGAGAATCACTAATGTATACTTGTGTTTAATTTTTTCTCTATTTCTTCTTCTTTTTCTTTTTTTAAGAGATGTTATGCTATGCTACCCAGTCTGCTCTCAAACTCCTGGGGTCAAGCGATCCTCCTGCCTTGGCCTCCTGAGTACGTTTAATTTTGCCACGGAAACATGCAGTCTCTCAGGAATATTCTAAATCTAGAATGGGTGGATTAGCACAGTCATAGTATTAGTAATTAATAAAACTTTCCCCCACTTTGAAATCCTGAAAGTAGTTAAAATCATGGAGTTCTAGGCAGTCCGGTATTAGCAGCCCTTGACCTTTGCATTGGCAGCTGTCACCAGGTGTTTAATGTGGCTTATTAGGGAAGTCCAGAGCCAGCCAATACTTTACTGAGCTTGTAAACTCATAATCCGTTTAGATTTTTTTGTAAAATAAAAACCATATATCTATATGGTAACGAATTGGTTAATTGTAAGCCAGGAAATAAAATGTATAAACAAAAGTGAAGTGGTAACAAATTAGTTAAATGGCAGGGGGATCAAATCCAGATCTGTCAGGACAGAAGGGAATACTCACCAACTATGCTAATGAGGAAGGAGATGAATCTAAAGTCAACAACATCTCCTCTAACTGCCCACTTTTACACTGGGCCCAGATAGGTAGGAAGCATTGATTGCTCATGCCCCATTTGCTCCCAGGCCACCACCTAGTCTGACCCTTTGCTGGCAGGACAGAGCGAGAGGCCAGCATCAGAGTGGCCATTTGTGAAAATGCCAGAAACGTTGTCTACTCTCCACCCCACCCCATCTCCCACAAAACTCACCTGTGCCATGCAAGACTGTGGCAGATGGTTGGAATTCCAGGCGCTACTGCTCTTCATCCTTCTAGGGAGGCAGATGTCAGGGCAGAGGCCTGGGAAGTGTGAGGCTGCTGGATCCAAGAGTGGGGGCAGGTGGAGCAGAGGTGAGGTTTGGCCTTTTGGAAGCACTGGGTCACGAAAATCCAACCACGTGCTTTGACCAGATTCGTTTCCTGCTCAGATTCTGGATTGAGGAAGGCGGGGAGTGAGACCATGGCAAAGAATTGACTAGGAAGAAGCTGTCACCCTTGATGGAGTGGGCAAAGAGAAAAAGCAATCATTTGGGCATAGGGCCCAGCTGGACTCCTGGGTGGAAGGTGTGGCCTGGGTGTTCTTGGGTTCCTTGTCTGCTTGAGCCCCAGAACAATAGAAAATCTTGATGGCCACAGCAACAGGAGCTTAATAGTGGGAAGGAAGAAAAATGAAGGACAAAACCAAGACTTAAACTCCCACTGGGAAGTTTGAGAAAAAAGCCTTAACCACTATACCAAAAATGTACCCCAGGAAACTGATCTTACCTTCTGGTACCAGCATCAGCTACATAAATTGTCGGGTCTAGTGCAAAGTGAAAATGCAACCTCTTCTGAAAAAAGCAGCAAGAAAAGTGCTGTGAAGAGTAGTGAACTATAAAGCTTTTTCCTTTCTTCCATAGTCCTTCCTATGATGGGGCTTTTTATTTGCTCTTATTTGTCATTCTATGTAAAGAAAAATTAAGAATTTAAATAATTAGCATGATTTTTTTTTTTTTCCGAGACAGAGTTTTGCTCTTGTTGCCCAGGCTGGAGTGCAATGACACAATCTCGACTCACTGCAACCTCCACTTCCCGGGTTCAAATGATTCTCCTGCCTCAGCCTCCGGAGTAGCTGGGATTACAGGTGCCCGCCACCATGCCTGGTTAATTTTTTATATTTTTAGTAGAAACGGGGTTTCACCATGTTGGCCAGGCTGGTCTTGAACTCCTGACCTCAGGTGATCTGCCCACCTCGGTCTCCCAAAGTGCTGGGACTGCAGGCGTGAGCCGCCGCGCCTGGCCGGCTAATTATTTGAAATTTTAAGAACATTTTCCAGACACTCCTAAAAGTTTATAACCTACGCTTGCAGTGGTTAAAGCGTCAGTCCTAAGGTATTTTTCCAAAAGGTGCTGCCCAGGTAACTAAGCTGTCTCTCCCTGGTGGTCTAGTGGCTAGGATTCTAGTGCTTTAACTGCCAGCGCCCAGGTTCAATTCCCGGTTAGGAAAGTTTGCTTCTTTGCTTTCTTGATCACACGCATTCTATTATCGCCGTGGCTGCGGCTGTCACTGCCCTCCGGAGCAGTTAAGGTTTGCTTGCAGGCACGCCTCTCTGCAAGGCACTACTGACATCCTGTACATCAGTATCCAGGGAATGGGGACTGCCTGTATGGAGTAAAAAGGTAGGCAGATTCAGACTCACCTCAGCCCCACTCTATTGAGAATTACTGATTTTTATTTTTACTTCTTGGGGGCTGAGTCTCGCTCTGTCGCCAGGCTGGAGTGCAGTCGTGCGCTTTCAGCTCATTGCAACCTCCGTCTCCCGAGTTCAAGGAGTAGCTGGGACTACAGCTCAGCCTTCCGAGTAGCTGGGGCTACAGGCCCGCACCACCACGCCCAGCTAATTTTTGTATTTTTATTTTTGTATTTTTAGTAGAGACTGGGTTTTACCATGTTGGCCAGGATGGTCTCGATCTTTGACCTCGTGATCCGCCCGCCTCCCAAAGTGCTGGGAGCCAACGCTCCCGGCTTGATTTTTAAAAATCAATATAAGTAATTTTTACATGAAACAAGTGAGTTATTTCAAATGTCTTCTAAATCTAGAAAGGTCTGATGAATTGGCATAGGCACAGTTTTAAGAATAAATGTAATTCTCCCTCCCCGACCTCCTGCCGAGTTCTCATTTAAACCCTAAGGGCGGTTTGTTTACATTTCAGAGATGTAGTAGATGCCCAGGTTATTTTACCAGATGCGCTACTGTTTCCTCTGGTAACAGGTGTTCCAAATCGGAAAACAAACTAGTCCGTTATGCTAATTTGCATATTTGAAACATGGAAAACCTCTCTTAATTCGTTTGGTATTTTGTAAAAATAGAAACATATTTTTATATGGTAATAAGTTAGTTAACTTTACCCGTAAGAGGAATAGACGAAAGTGAACCTCCTATGATGACAAGTTACTTGACAACACTAACTTGTCAACGTTCTTACTTGTCAAGGGCTCCCTAATGACATTGCCCCGCGGTTTTCAAGACTGACTTCAGGATCATCTGGGAGAGGTTGAAAGGCACATGCAGTGTTCACCGCCTTGAACTGAAGATCACTGAACATGGCTTTGGTGGAAACCACTGCAGTGATATCAGAAAGGAAAAAAGCAAACTTCCCTGACCGGGAATCGAACCCGGGCCGCGGCGGTGAAAGCGCCGAATCCTAGCCACTAGACCACCAGGGAGGGCTGGTGACACTGTGGGCAGCACCTTCTGAGAAAAGATCTTAGGACAGACGCCTCAACCACCTCAGGCACATGTTAGAAACCTATAGGAATGTCTTTTTCTCCCTCTCCCTCTCCCCACGGTCTCCCTCTCCCTCTCTCCACGGTCTCCCTCTGATGCGGAGCTGAAGCTGGACGGTACTGCTGCCTGATTCTCCTGCCTCAGCCTGCCGACTGCCTGCGATTGCAGGCGCGCGCCGCCACGCCTGACTGGTTTTCGTATTTTTTTGGTGGAGACGGGGTTTCGCTGTGTTGGCCGGGCTGGTCTCCAGCTCCTAACCGCGAGTGATCCACCAGCCTCGGCATCCTGAGGTGCCGGGATTGCAGACGGAGTCTCGTTCACTCCGTGCTCAATGGTGCCCAGGCTGGAGTGCAGTGGCGTGATCTCGGCTCGCTACAACCTTCACCTCCCAGCAGCCTGCCTTGGCCTCCCAAAGTGCCGAGATTGCAGCCTCTGCCCGGCCGCCACCCCGTCTGGGAAGTGAGGAGCGTCTCTGCCCGGCCGCCCATCGTCTGGGATGTGAGGAGCCCCTCTGCCTGGCTGCCCAGTCTGGAAAGTGAGGAGCGTCTCTGCCCGGCCGCCCGTCGTCTGGGATGTGAGGAGCCCCTCTGCCTGGCTGCCCAGTCTGGAAAGTGAGGAGCGTCTCTGCCCGGCCGCCATCCCATCTAGGAAGTGAGGAGCGCCTCTTCCCGGCCGCCATCCCATCTGGGAAGTGAGGAGAGTCTCTGCCCGGCCGCCCATCGTCTGAGATGTGGGGAGCACCTCTGCCCTGCCGCCCCGTCCGGGATGTGAGGAGCGTCTCTGCCCGGCCGCCCCGTCTGAGAAGTGAGGAGACCCTCTGCCTGGCAACCGCCCCGTCTGAGAAGTGAGGAGCCCCTCCGCCCGGCAACCACCCCGTCTGAGAAGTGAGGAGCCCCTCCGCCCGGCAGCCGCGCCGTCTGAGAAGTGAGAAGCCCCTCCGCCCAGCAGCCACCCCGTCTGGGAAGTGAGGAGCGTCTCTGCCCGGCCGCCCCTACTGGGAAGTGAGGAGCCCCTCTGCCCGGCCAGCCGCTCCGTCCAGGAGGGAGGTGGGGGGGTCAGCCCCCCGCCCGGCCAGCCGCCCCGTCCGGGAGGGAGGTGGGGGGGGTCAGCCCCCCGCCCAGCCAGCCGCCCCGTCCGGGAGGGAGGTGGGGGGGGTCAGCCCCCCACCTGGCCAGCCGCCCCGTCCGGGAGGTGAGGGGCGCCTCTGCCCGGCCGCCCCTACTGGGAAGTGAGGAGCCCCTCTGCCTGGCCGGCCGCCCCGTCCGGGAGGGAGGTGGGGGGGTCAGCCCCCCACCCGGCCAGCCGCCCCGTCCGGGAGGTGAGGGGCGCCTCTGCCCGGCCGCCCCTACTGGGAAGTGAGGAGCCCCTCTGCCCGGCCAGCCGCTCCGTCCAGGAGGGAGGTGGGGGGGTCAGCCCCCGCCCGGCCAGCCGCCCCGTCCGGGAGGGAGGTGGGGGGGTCAGCCCCCCACCCGGCCAGCCGCCCCGTCCGGGAGGTGAGGGGCGCCTCTGCCCGGCCGCCCCTACTGGGAAGTGAGGAGCCCCTCTGCCCGGCCACCACCCCGTCTGGGAGGTGTACCCAACAGCTCATTGAGAACGGGCCATGATGACAATGGCGGTTTTGTGGAATAGAAAGGGGGGAAAGGTGGGGAAAAGATTGAGAAATCGGATGGTTGCCGTGTCTGTGTAGAAAGAGGTAGACGTGGGAGACTTTTCATTTTGTTCTGTACTAAGAAAAATTCTTCTGCCTTGGGATGCTGTTGATCTGTGACCTTACCCCCAACCCTGTGCTATCTGAAACATGTGCTGTATCCACTCAGGGTTGAATGGATTAAGGGCGGTGCAAGATGTGCTTTGTTAAACAGATGCTTGAAGGCAGCATGCTCCTTAAGAGTCATCACCACTCCCTAATCTCAAGTACCCAGGGACACAAACACTGCGGAAGGCCGCAGGGTCCTCTGCCTAGGAAAACCAGAGACCTTTGTTCACTTGTTTATCTGCTGACCTTCCCTCCACTATTGTCCTGTGACCTTGCCAAATCCCCCTCTGCGAGAAACACCCAAGAATGATCAATTAAAAAAAAAAAAAAAAGAAACCTATAGGAATGTCTTTAAGAATATTTTGCAATGATGTGTATAGTACTGGATGCAGTGACTGCTGCCTGGGCCAGAGGGTGGCAGAAGGCTTTAGGGGCAGAAACGTTGGAAGAAAGATTGTCATAAGTCAAGCTGGGGAAGAGAAAAATATTTCCCAAATCATTTTTGTCACGGACTCCCTCTGACATGGGAGTTTCTCATCTCCCTTCCTGCCTCCCTCCCTTTTTCTTTCTTCCTCCTAAAATCTGCATCTCCTTCACTTATATAGTTTCCCCACGGTTGATTGAGAAAAAATGTGTCTTTTTGCCCCCCTCCCCAAAGGATCCTATTCCTGATCTCTAAATATGCCCCTCACCAGTGCAGAGGGAGGAGCAGTCAGAGCCTGGGAGACTTGCCTACCTGGAGCTGCACCCATCTTTGAGGCCTTGCTCTGTTTCCTGGAACCTGAAATGGATTTACCTATTCTACACATTTCATAGAAATGAAATCACATAATGTGTCACATTTTGTCTGGCTTCTCTCACTTGGCATAATATTTTTGGGTTCATTCATGTCATAGTATGTACTTCATTTCTTCTTATGGCTAAATAACATTTTATGTATATACCACATTTCCTTTATCCATTCATCTGTTGATGGGCATTTTGGTTGTTTCCACCTTTTGGCTGTTGTGAATAATGCTGCTATGAACATTTATGTACAAGCATTTGTTTGAGCATCTGTTTTTTATTTTTTGGGGTTATCTATTTAGTAGTGGAATTACTAAGTCACTTATATTCCCACCAGCATAGGTAAATCTATAGGAACAGAAAGCAGAGTAATGGCTGCCAGGGGCTGGGGAATGTGGAGTAATCACATAATGATATGGGGTTTTACTTTCTTTTGATGAAAATGTTTTGGAACTAGATTGAGATGGTGGTTGCATAACCGTGTGAACATACTTAATGCCACTGAATTTGTTTAAGATGGCTTCATTTTTCTTCACATTTCTGCCTATGCTTTATATTTTCTGTTGTTTTAAAAATTATAGCCATCCTAGTGGGTGTGAAGATACCACTACACATAAATTAGAATGTCTAAAATTAAAGAGACAGACTATATGCAGTGGACTGAATGTTTGCACACACACCCCAAGTTCATATGTTAAAATTCTAACTCCCAAGGTTATGATATTATGAGGTGGGGCTTTGGGGAGATAATTAGGTCATGAAGGTGGAGCCTTCATTAATAGGATTAGTGTCCTTATAAAAGAGACCCTCACCATGTGAGGCTTCTTAAAAGACTGCTTTCTGTGAGAAAACAGGCCCTCACCAGAAACCACATGTGCAAGCACCTTGATCTTGGACCTCCCAACTTCCAGAACCATGAGAAATAATTTTTGTTGCTTATAAGCCACCCAGTCTATGGCATTTTGTTATAGCACCTGAATGGACTGAGAGATCATACGAAACAAAAAAGAGGACATGCTGTATGATTTCATTTACATAAAACTCTAGGCAATGCCAACTTATCTATATTGACAAAAAGCAGATCAGTGGTTGGCTTGGGGATGGGCGGGTAAGAGGGAGTGTGAGGTGGTAAGGAGCAGGAGGGTGGAATTATGGAATTACAAAAGGCTATAGGGAAACTGCTTGGGGGTGATGGAGATGCTCACTATATATATATATATATATATATATATATATATATTTTTTTTTTTTTTTTTTTTTGAGACGGAGTTTTGCTCTTGTTGCCCAGGCTGGAGTGCAATGGTGCAATCTTGACTTACTGCAACTTCCACCTGCCAGGTTCAAGTGATTCTCCTGTCTCAGCCTCCCAAGTAGCTGGGATTACAAGCACGTGCCACCATGCCCGGCTGATGTTCGTATTTTTAGTAGATATGGGGTTTCACCATGTTGGTCAGGCTGGTCTCAAACTCCTGACCTCAGGTGATCCACCCACCTTGGCCTCCCAAAGTGTTGGGATTACAGGCATAGGCCACCACACCCGGCCTATATGCTCACTATCTTAATGATAGTGTTGGATTCACTGGTGTATACATACGTCAAAACATCATTTTGTATACTTTAAATATGTACAGTTTATGTTATACTAAATAACATTTTAAATAATGGTTTCTTGAAAAATTTTGTACATATATTTTGGAGACTATCTGCCCATTTATCTATCTTTACCTCTATATCTATATAGTTATACTGTTTTCTCTTAGGTATATACCTCAGAAAAAATTACTGAAACATGCATACATATGTTCAGCTGTGGCAGGTATGTCCAAATAGCTTTCCAAAGTGGTTGTAACTATTCACATTCCCATGATCTGTATACCACTTTCTATCCAGTAAGAGTTCCATAGTTACAGACAAAACAGAAAAAATAGGATATGTGTGTGTATATCTTGAATAGCCAAGATATGAACCTAAAATTGGATCCTGCAGGTTAAAAAACTAAAACCCAAGTTAAATTCATAGTCTGAGCATGCCTCTTCTGTGACATTTGGTGTATTCATCAACAGTGGGAATGGAAATGAGACAGTTGAGCAGATTATTATGAATCTGAGTGCTTTGAACCTACAAATCTCCCTGAGCCTCCCTTACTAGCAAAAGAGCCCCCTTTCTTCCTATATGAACAAGTTGAAATTCTCTTGTTTGAGGATTCTTTATGATAACATCTGAGACAGTTACATGGCAAGGAAATGCCAACTTATTTCAAGACCCACCTCTATCACCTATTATGTCCTCCAGGCCCATAATTTGAATCAGATACCATCAGAAACTAAGTTTTTTTTTTTTTTTTTTTTTTTTGAGACGGAGTCTTGCTCTGTCGCCCACGCTGGAGTGCAGTGGCATGATCTCAGCTCACTGCAACCTCCGCCTCCCAGGTTCAAACGATTCTCCTACCTCAGCCTCCTGAGTAGCTGGGACAACAGGCGCCCCCCACCATGCCCGGCTAATTTTTTCTATTTTTAGTAGAGACGGGGTTTCACTGTGTTAGCCAGGATGGTCTCGATCTCCTGACCTCGTGATCCACCCGCCTCTGCCTCCCAAAGTGCTGGGATTACAGGCGTGAGCTACCGCGTCCGGCCAGAAACTATTTAAGTTTTTAACTTAAAATATTTAAATTTTTAAAGGCACTTTTCTACAGAGATCTTGTAAAAACAACTCTTATTTTTTAAGCCTTTCCACATAGTTTAGTTGCTTCTTCACAACTTACTGCTCTTCATCCAATTTAGTATATAAATTACTAACTCTAACTGCTTCTTCTCATCTCCATTTCCTCATAAGTGTTCCCGTGCCACGTAAAACTTGTATTAAAGAAATTCGATCTATAGTCTATTAACGTAATTCTCAGGTGCAGTCGGGACCCTAAGAGAATGGAGGTGGAGTTTTGCTGCCCTGCACCCTTTAAAATTTCAGAGAGGTCATTGGGTTTCTCCAGCTCTTTAGCATCTGCTGTGGGAATTAATTGAGCGAGAGAGCCATACTTGTTTTCCTTAGTACTAGCACTCACCTGCAAAGTCTTGCTGGCTGCGAGGTTCTGCAGGAAAGCAGCTCTCAAAGGATTTGTTTCTGGAGGGAAAAGTACAGGAGCCTCTAGTTCAGTACTAGAGGACCTCTAAACGTGTAGGGTGGAGGATGTTATGAAACGTGTTTTACAAAGCAACCATTGTGTAGGATTTTAGGTTAGAAGTAGAACTTCTGGATCTGAAAAGAAGAATGGAGAAAAATAGTAACAAAGGAATTGGAATCTAAAATTTCAGCCGTCCCTGGGTGGGCTCGAACCACCAACCTTTCGGTTAACAGCCGAACGCGCTAACCGATTGCGCCACAGAGACTGACACGAATGGCCTGTTCTTGTAGATCATATTTATAGATATTTAGGTAAACACATGACGATTTCGCTACCTAGAGTTCTGGTTCACTACTACGTGACTGCAAGTCTAGGTCTGAGTTGGGTAATTCTAAAACCTACAACATGAAACCATTCCTGCTATGTGACATTCAGATACTTGCTTGCTTCCTCCCCAGTTTCTTAGCAGCAGCAGAAAGCAATTGGCTCCCAAAGTCGAGACCCAGACACGAGTAAAATCAAATTAACTATTGGCTTGAGGAAATGGGGAATGGAGAAAGGGTGTAGTGAGTGTTGGGAGAATAGCTCATTGCTGATTTGAACTAGAGATACACACTTAGGAAGTCAGCTTGATGTCCTTAAATCGGTAGTTTTTTGAAGCCCAGTTACATCACTTCTTTCTGAATTTCAAACCTACATGCTAAGTGTTTGTTCAAAGAGGTAAGTTAAGTGTGGAAGTGAGCTCTGAAGCACTCCCAGAATATGATTCTCAAGCTTAAATAGCCCATGGGAAAGTACTAAATATCCCATGGGAAGGTACAAAGACATCTGGGACACAAGAGATTGAGCAAGTTGAACAAATAAGCACCCCTCCGCTCCAAACAATCAAAAGCATCCCTGATGGGTCATGGCTTTTCATAGGGAATCACTAATTTATGATTAGTTCGATTATATTTAAGTTTTACACTGAAACATGCACCAGATCTATCAGTTATTTTGACTCAAGAAAATCAATTGTAGTAATGAATGTAATTCCCGCAAATCTTTGGCATTTGCAAAGCTGTTAACTTTTTGAAGTTTTCTACAGTCTGGACAATTTTTATGAAACCCTCTAATAATTTCTACCAGTAGCTTCCATGACATGTTCAGAGGTTTCTATTACAGAAACCCAGGCCACCCATACATCTCACTTAGGCTGAGAAAACAGTGTCACACCCAATATTGTAAGTCAATACAGTTAAGTCTTTCAAATAGCAACAATTTAGTTGACTCTATGTAAAAGACCAGGTCAAAATGAACTTTATAAAATGGAAAATAATAGGATGTTATTCTCTGGCTTGATGGTCAAGCAGCCCCAGATGGAAGACTTCTATGTCTCCAGTATACTTATTGGTTTGATTGAAACATTTCTGTTAAAAGTTCCAGTGGCGAGATTTGCTAGAAACTTTGAGAGACATCGAAGAGGCTCTGGATCCACAGAGTTGGAAGACTTTTTTTTTCCCCTTAACCTTTCTTAAGAGGTCCTCATAAATAATTATTTGAAAAAAAAAGTGAGACATGGTAGTTGCATGACCTAAAAGGGGTGTAACTGCAGTAATCCATGAACACTGGCTCAGCTACTTGAATGGCAAAGTAATTGCCTACTACCACTTTAAGTAGAGCTCAAAAGGGCTGAGAATGCAGATCAGACTAGCGATGAACACTGTTTATAAACAGAAGGATCATGCCAGGAAGAGGCATAGGCTGGCAAGAAAAGAATGGGAATGGTGCATACTCTGTGAAATCAAAATTAGAGAGGCACGATTGCAGTGGTA
The DNA here is from genome assembly GCF_000001405.40 of Homo sapiens. Classification (NCBI taxonomy): domain Eukaryota; kingdom Metazoa; phylum Chordata; class Mammalia; order Primates; family Hominidae; genus Homo; species Homo sapiens. Next base: position 161,429,700 of record NC_000001.11, read on the forward strand.
TAAGAACAAATGTACAGCCAAATGTCAGTGTAGAGAACATATATGAAAATATCTTTCCTGATATGCACAGAAGCTGTAGGGTGAAGTAGACAGAGCTCTGCAGTTTCCTTTGGGGGAAGCCATAAGACTCACAATAAGATCTATACAGAAATGAACAAACGGATGAAGAGCAGAGCTGATCTGTGGGAAAGAGAAAATGGGAAAATTTAGAGATCAAATCTGGGCACAGAATATAGGGGCATTCTCAGTGTGTTTCTTGTTATTTTGAGATGAGATTGAGACCATCAGCTAGAACTCTATCCTGACACCCAACCACCAAAAGCTCTTTAGTCAGCTTAGCTGCTGTGTTTCACCCACTGATTCCTTTAACTCCACATTTCCACCCTTGCTGCCAGAGTGTTCTAACTAGCTGGATCTCTAAAGATTCATTTTATACATCCAGAATAGGCAAGCAACTCGAACATGTTGGCAGTAAGCAAACACACACACACACACACACACACACACACACACACACACATGCCCCCAATATAATCCCATTAGAAAGTAGGCAAAGGACATTTCCCAAAAAAAAGACATGGGAATGGTCAACCAACAGTTGTATGAAGAAAATGCTCAACATCACAAGTGGTCAGAAAAATACAAATCAAAACCACAATGAGATATCATCTTACCCCAGTTAGAAGAGACATTATTTAACAGACAAAAGAAAACACCCCAAAACCTAACAAATCCAGATGATGAGGCAGAAAAAAGGTGGGTCTTAGACACCGTTGGCAGAAAAGTAAATAAGTACACTCACCATAAAAAAAACAGCATAGAAATTTCTCAAGAAAAGCAGGCTGGGCATGGTGGCTCACCCCTGTAATCCCAACACTTTGGGAGGCCAAGATAGGTGGATCACCTGAGGTCAGGAATTTGAGACCAGCCTGGCCAACATGGTGAAACTGCGTCTCTACTAGAAAGACAAAAAAATTAGCCAGGTGTGGTGGTGCATGCCTGTAAGCTCAGCTACTTGGGAGGCTGAGGCAGGAGGATCGCTTGAACCTGGGAGGCAGAAGTTGCAGTGAGCCAGGATCATGCCATTGCACTCCAGTCTGGGCTGGAGCAAGACTCCGTCAAAAAAAAGAAAGAAAGAGAGAGAGAAAAGAAAGAAAGAAAAAGAAAGAAAGAAAGAGAAAGAGAAAGAAAGAAAGGAAGAAAGAAAGATAGAAAGAAAGAAAGAAAGAAAGAAAGAAAGAAAGAAAGAAAGAAAGAAAGAAAGAAAAGCAAACAAAGGTACAACTTCTGTAGAATCCAGGAAACTCACAGCTGAGTATTTATCCAACGCAAAGGAAATCCGGATATCAGACAGATACCTGCGCCCCCATGTTTAATGCCGTACTATTCACAATGACAGAAATATCGAATCAACCTAAATGTCCATCAGCCGCGAAAAAGATAAAGAAAATGTGGCATATATACACCATGGAATACTATTTGGCTATTGTATTAGTCAGAGTTCCCTAGAGGGACAGAACTAATAGAAGAGAGCGAGACAGAGAGAGAGAATTAATTATATATTATATATATCATATTACATAATTTATATGATATATATTTATTATATGTTATATATTATATATAAAATATATTATATATAAATATATTATATATTATTTAGAAAATATATTATATATTATTTATAAAATATATTATAAATATATATTTTATAATATATAATTATATAATAAACTCCATATATATATACATATATAGCTCATATTAGTTCTCTCCCTCTAGGGGACAATGGCTAATATATATGGAGTTTATTATATAATTATATAATAAATTATATATACATAGAGAGAGAGAGTTTATTAAGTATTAACTTACACGATCACAAATTCCCAAAATAGGCTGTCTGCAACCTTGAAGAGAAAGGAGAGTCAGTCTGAGTCTCAAAACTGAAGAACTTGGAGTCAGATATTTGAGGGCAGGAAGCATCCAGCACGGGAGAAAGATCTAGGCTGAGAGGCTAGGCCCGTCTCACGTTTTCACATTTTTCTGCCTGCTTTATATTCACTGGCAGCTGATTAGATTGTGCTGACCAGATTAAGGGTGGGTCTGCCTTCCCTAACCCACTGGCTCAAATGTTAATCTCCTTTGGCAACACCCTCACAGACACACCCAGGATCAATACTTTGCATCCTTCAATCCAATCAAGTTGACACTCAGTATTAACCATCACAAGTACACCCCTTGTAAACTCAAACCCATACACGTCTTCTGAGATCATACATAGTCTTCAAATAAAGACAATAATAAGGTCATAATTATGCCTAACATAATACAACTATCCTTTGTACAACCAGAAATGCACCAATCCCCAACCCAAATACTATTACACAAAGTTAACATACTTAAATTCTGATATGAAGTCAATAAATCTTATGTCACATGATAAAGAAAAAGGAAATAAAATGATGATATTTTCTTAGTACAAGTGTATACATGCACAAACATGTTTTTAACAAAAGAAGGAGGAAATACACATGACAATTACAGTCCTCGTTTCTGCAGCTGGTCACATGGTGATAGCTGGTATTGATGACTACCCTCTTCTACTACTCATTCTGTATTCTCTTTGCCTTCAGCAAGCACCTCAGCAGTTCATAGTTTTTTTTTCCTGGTGGAATGACCCAAACTTTCATTCTTGAGGGATCTGGACCATTTGTAGTCTTGCCTGGATTGGGCGGTTGTAGTTTCCCATTGACTATAATCATAGGGCAGGGTAATACTAAGAGATGCCCTAATGGATCTCCTGTATTCCATGCATACTCTTCCTTACCTCCATTATAGAGTAGTATACTGATTTCATCTTGATAGTCTGGATCAATCACCCCAGCCAACACTGTAACTCCCTTCTTAGCCTGTTGACTTAAAGGTAGGAGGAGCCCAAAGTGTCTAGGTGGCAATCTCAGCTTCCGGTTTAATGGAATCATTCTTGTGTCTCCTGGTGGCAGTGTTCCTCCCCCTGGAACTAAGACCTCCAAGCCAGCAGAATGTAATGTCATGGGAACAGGAAGAAAAATTTTGCTTGTGGAACACTATGGGTGATGGTGAGTTGTGCCACTTCTACTTCCATCCCTTGATTCCTGGACCCGTGAATCCTGGCTATGGGAGAAACACTATCATATATTGGATGCTGATTTAGAGCATACATGGCTTTCTAGAGAACTTTGCCCCAGGCCTGCAAAGTATTGTCACCTAGTTGGCATTGTAATTGTGACTTCAAAAGGCCATTCCACCATTCTATCAATCCAGCTGCTTCAGGATGATGGGGAATATGGTAAGACCAGTAAATTCCATGGGCACGAGACCACTGCCACACTGCTTTTGCCATAAAGTGAATGCGTTGGTCAGAGGCAATGCTGTTGGGAATACCATGATGGTGGGTAAGGCATTTCATGAGTCCACGGATGGTAGTCTTGGCAGAAGCATTGCATGCAGGATAGGCAAACCCATATCCCAAGTAAGTGTCTATTCCAGTGAGGACAAAGCTTTGACTTTTCCATGATGGGAGAGGTCCAATATAATCAACCTGCCACCAGGTAGCTGGCTGATTACCCCGAGGAATGGTGCCATATTGAGGACTCAGTGTTGGTGTCTGCTGCTGGCAAATTTGGCACTCAGCAGTGGCTGTAGCCAGGTCAGCCTTGGTGAGTGGAAGTCCATATTGCTGAACCCATGTGTAACCTCCATCCCTGCCACGATGGCCACTTTGTTCGTGGGCCCATTGGGCGATCACAGGGGTGGCTGGGGAAGGAGGCTGAGTGGTGTCCATAGATCGGGTCATCCTATCCACTTGATTATTAAAATCCTCCTCTGCTGAGGTCACCTGTTGGTGGGCACCTACATGGAATACAAAAGTATTCACAGTTTTTGACCACGCAGAGAGGTTCATCCACATACCTCTTCCCCAACTTTGTCACAAATTTTCCAGTCATGCTTCTTCCAAGTCCCTGACCATCCAGCCAAACCACTGGCCACAGCCAATGAATCAGTATATAATCACATATCTGGCCATTTCTCCTTCCATGCAAAGTGCACAACTAGGTGCACTGCTCAAAGTTCTGCTTACTGGGAAGATTCCTCTTCACTGCTGTCCTTCAGGGGTGTCCTAGAAAGGGGGGCTGTAGTGCTCCAGTTGTCCACTTTTGTGGGGAAAAGAAAGAGAGATCAGACTGTTACTGTGTCTAAGTAGAAAGGGAAGACATAAGACACTCCATTTTGAAAAAGACCTGTACTTTAAATAATTGCTTTGCTGAGATGTTGTTAATTTGTAGCTTTGCCCCAGCCACTTTGACCCAACCACTTTGACACAACCTGGAGCTCACAAAAACATGTGTTGTATGAAATCAAGGTTTAAGGGATCTAGGACTGTGCAGGACGTGCCTTGTTAACAAAATGTTTACAAGCAGTATACTTGGTAAAAGTCATCGCCATTCTCTAGTCTCAATAAACCAGGGGCACAATGCACTGTGGAAAGCCACAGGGACCTCCACCCTTGAAAGCGGGGTATTGTCCAAGGTTTCTCCCCATGTGATAGTCTAAAATATGGCCTCACAGGATTAGAAAGACCTGACTGTCCCCCAGCCCGACACCCATAAAGGGTCTGTGCTGAGGTGGATTAGTAAAAGAGGAAAGCCTCTTGCAGTTGAGATAGCGGAAAGCCAGTCTCCTGCCTGCCCCTGGGAACTGAATGTCTCAGTATAAAACCCAGTTGTACATTTGTTCAATTCTGAGATGAAAGAAAAACTGCCCTGTGGTGAGAGGTGAGACATGTTTGCAGCAATGCTGCTTTGTTATTCTTTACTCCACTGAGATGTTTGGGTGGAGAGAAACATAAATCTGGCTTACGTGCACGTCCAGTCATAGTACCTTCCCTTGAACTTAATTATGACATAGATTCTATTGCTCACGTTTGTTGTTGACCTTTCCCCTTATTATCACCCTGCCCTCCTACTACATTCCTTTTTGCTGAAATAATGAAGATAATAATCAATAAAAACTGAGGGAACCCAGAGACTGGTGTCGGTGCAGGTCCTTGGTATGCTGAGCGCTGGTCCCCTGGGCCCACTGTTGTTTCTCTATACTTTGTCTCTGTGTCTTATTTCTTTTCTCAGTCTCTCATCCCACCTGACTAGAAATACCCACAGGTGTGGAGGGGCAGGCCACCCCTTCAACTTTTGGGTGGTGTCTGCATATTGAGCAAAACCATCTGTGAACCAGACCCTAGTCTTCTCTTCCTCTGTCAACTGATCATAGGGAACTTCCAATGAAGCCATCGGTGCAGGCTGGGGGAAAGAAGGCAGGGTGGCAGGAGTGGAGACCATGGCCATTTGAGCCACTTCCTCATGTAATTTACTTGTGTCTTCAGGACCAGCTTGGGCCTGATAACATATATACCACTTCGATTGGATGATGGAATGCTGCTGTGCATGACTGACTTTATGGCTAGATGGGTCAGAAAGCACCCAGTTCATGATAGGTAGTTTAGGTCGCATGGTGACTTGACCCACACTCAAACGTTCAGTTTCCACCAAAGCCCAGTAACAGGCCAAGAGCTGTCTCTCAAAAGGAGAGTAGTTATTTGCAGAAGATGGCAGGGCCTTGTTCCAAAATCCTAGAGGCCTCTGCTGTGATTCACCTATGGGGGCCTGCCAAAGGCTCCAAACAGCATCCCTATCTGCCACTGACACCTCAAGCACCATTGGATCTGCTGGATCATATGGCCCAGGTGGCAGAGCAGATTGCGCAGCAGCCTGGACCTGTTGCAGGGCCTTCTCCTGTTTTGGACCCCACTCAAAACTGGCAGCCTTTCAGGTCATTTGATAAATGGGCCAGAATAACACACCCAAATAAGGAAGATGTTACCTCCAAAATCCAAATAGGCCCACTAGGTGTTGTGCCTCTTTCTTGGTTGTAGGAGGGGCCAACTGCAGCAACTTATCCTTCACCTTAGAATGAATATCTTGACAGGCCCCACACCATTGGACCCCTAGAAATTTTACTGAGGTGGAAGGTCCCTGAATTTTAGTTGGATTTATTTCCCATCCTTTGGCACACAAATGTCTCACGAATAAGTCCAGTGTGTTTGCTACTTCTTGCTCACTGGATCCAGTCAGCATAATGTCATCAATGTAATGGACCAGTGTGACATCTTGCAGAAGCAAAAAGTGATCTACATCTCTCTGAATAAGATTATGACACAAAGCCGGAGAGTTGATATACCCTTGAGGTATATTGCTGGCCTTGCCAGCTGAAGGCAAACCACTTCTGGTGGACCTTCTGGACAGGAATGGAGAAAAAGGTATTTGCCAACTCAATGGCTGCATACCAGGTACCAGGAGATGTATTAATTTGCTCAAGCAATGAAACCACATCTGGTACAGCAGCTGCAATTGGAGTCACCACTTGGTTAAGCTTATGATAATCCACTGTGATTCTTCAAGATCCATCTGTCTTCTGCAAAGGCCAAATGGGAGAGTTGAATGGGGATGTGGTGGGAATCACCACCCTTGTGTCTTTCATGTCCTTGATGTCACCATCAAGGGGTGTGATATTGTTTTTTATTTACTATTTTTCTAGGTAGGGGCAGATCTAATGGCCTCCATTTGGGCCTTCCCACCATAATAGCCTTACCAGTCAGGGAGCCAATGTGGGGGTTCTGCCAGCTGCTAAGTATGTCTATGCAAATTATGCATTCTGGCACTGGGGAAATGACCACAGGATGAGTCTGGGGACCCACTGGATCCACTATAAGTCGGACTGAGCTAAAACTCCATTAATTACCTGACCTCCATAAGCCCCTACTTTAACTGGAGGGCCACAACGACATTTTGGGTACCCTGGAATCAACGTCAGCTCAGAGCCAGAGTCCAGTAGTCCGTGAAATATCTGATCATTTATCTTTCCTCAATGCATAGTTACCCTGGTAAAAGGCCAGAGATTTACTTGGGGAAGGATTGGAGAAAGATTCATTGCATAAATTGTGGGTAATGTAGTGGGGTCCTTCCTCAAGGGGAACTGGCCTCTCCTTCATTCAAAGGGTTCTGGGTCTGTAAACTGGCTCAAGTCTGGAAATTGATTGAGGGGCCATGATTCTCTGTTTTTATCATTCAAATTAGCCTTTTGTCCCTTCAATGTAGAATTCTCCTTATATAAATTAAGTAGAAATTCAGTAGGCTTCCTACCAATTTAACTTCTAGGAACACAGTGATTAATTAGCCAATGCCAGAGCTCTACATGAGTCAGACTATTGTGATTGCTGCTTTGTCTCTGCTGTCCATTACGGCAGCTACACCCACCTTGTCTTTGACGACTGAGTGCCACCACTTGGCCCCTGACACCTTGGGATCCAATTATTCCCATTGTAAGTAAATTTTGTAGTTGGTTGACTGCAGTTCCCACTGTTAGATCTGACATATAGAGAAGAGTAATTACAGGGCTCTTCAAAGATGCAGGTGCTGCCCTCACAAATCTATTTCACAAGGCATTAATTGCAAGGGTATATCTTCTGGACCCTCCCAGCTGGGATGAGTAGGTCGAAAGTGACTAATTCACCTCACCATCCCAATCTCCCTAAGCCTTTGGATCCATTCCTCTACATTAAACCAAGGGAGATCAGGCATTTCCAGCTTGTTAACAGTGGGCCATCTTTTAATCCATATTTCAGCTAACCAAGCAAATAAGCTATTAGAACCTTTTTTTTTTTAAACTCCCTGAGCTGCAACATTAAATGGAGAGTCCCTACTTAGTGGGCCCAAATCAATAAATTCAGCCAGATCCACCTCTGTGTTCCTTCCACCATTATCCCATACCCTCAATATCCATTCCAATGCCTGTTCTCCAGATTTCTGTTTATATAAATTAGAGAACTCAAGCAGTTCTTTTTGAATGTAGTGCAACTCCTCATGGGTCACACTTTCAACCTCACCTCTAGGAGCCTGCCAGGACTTTAGTTATAGGTCTAGAAGCAAACAGAGGTGTTGGGAGTGGCTCCTAAGGAGAATCAACATTATTTTGCCTGGCAACTGCCTCAGAGGAGGTCATCACTGTTGCCTCAGGCAGCACAGGGTTTATCTCCTCAGACAAAGGTGGAGAGGCTGATGGCAGCATGGGTCAAGGAGGGGATGCTGCCACTACTGGGGATGGGGAAGCTGTTCCTTCTGGCCAAAAAGGTTCATCAGAGTTTACAAGCTCAGTGTCCCCAGCTTCATCAGGTAACTCCCACACATCCCCATTCCAAGGTGCAGGGTCCCATTCTTTTCCAATCAATGCCCTCACTTTAACAGCAGACACCTGGCAAGGCTGTGCATGCACCTTTCATTGCAGATCAGCCACTGACATAAGAGCTTGTGTCTGTTTTTCCACAATTTCAGCTGTTTCCCTACAGGAGATAAGACTCTCACTCAGGAAAATCTTAGCAGATTTGAGGCTCAGTATCTGCTTCTGAAGCTGAAAGACAGAATCCCTGAGTTCATCATTTTCTTTCATCAATTTGTCCACTGAACTTAGGGGCAAAAAAACAGCTTCATTACATTCATTGGTTCTCCACATATGTCCAAAGGTATTATGTATAGAGTCACTAAACTCCTTGACTCTCACAAGTGGTGAATCAGGAGTGTCAAATGCATTTGTTTTGCATAACTTTCTAAACAGTTCACACCAAGGACTATCAGTGTTTTCCATCGCATTAGAAGTAGAGTCTTTAGCATTATTGGGTCTAATCATATTAAGTAGCTGACTCCAGAAACCTCAAAACCAATGAGAGAATTCCATCCTTAATATTCTATTCCTCTAGAACTACTTCTGGTACCAAAATCTGTACAAGTTAGGGTTCCCTAGAGGGAAAGTACTAACGTGATATATGTATATATATCCACACATACAAACACACACACGCACACACATAGAAGTTTATTAAGTATTAACTTACACAATCACAAAGTCCCAAAATACACTGTTTGCAAGCATGAGGAGGAAGGGCAGCTAGTCCAGGGGTCAAAACAGAAGAACTTGGAATCCAATGTTAAGAGGGCAGGAAGCATCAGGCATGGGAGAGAGATGTAGGTGGAGAAGCTAAGCCACTCTCCCCTTTTCACGTCTTTCTGCCTGCTTTATATGGGCTGGCAACTGATTAGATCGTGCGCACCAGATTAAGTATGGGTGGGCCTTCCCCAGCCTATTGACTCAAATGTTTATGTCCTTTGGCAACACCATCACAGATACACCTAGCATGAGTACGTTGCATCCTTCAATCCAATCAAGTTGACACTCATTATTAACAAACACAGCCATAAAAAAAAAAAAGAATGAAATCCTGCCATTGGCAGCAAAATGACAGACACTGGAGGTCATGATGTAACATCAAATGAGCCGGGCACAGAAAGACAGAGAGGGCAGGTTCTCACTACTATCGTGGCTGCACAAAAAGTTCACCTTGTGGAGGTAGAGAGTAGAACGATAGACACCAGAGGCTGGAGAGGCTGTGTAGGTGACTGGGGTGAAGAGAGGTTGGCGAAATGGGTATGAGCATGTGGGTAGATGGAAGGAATACGTTCTAAAGTTCTATGGCAGACTAGGGCGACTAGAGGTAACAACGATGTATTAGAGTGTGTTTCCAAAGAGCTGGAAGACAGCACATGAGTTGTTTCCAACAGGTAGAGATGACAGATACCCACTGGATGGATACCCACAGATACTGTACAACCCCTCAGTTGATCATGGATCATTACGCAATGTACAAGCATCACCACATGTCACAGGAATCCCACCAATATCATGTCTGCATGAAGAAAAACATAGTCATGCTACAAGAGTGATTGTCACAGCTCTCCCTCCCCAGCGCCATAGCCCGTGGTCTCGGCTCCTCAAGTTCTGCTGCCATTTCTACCAAAGCCGCTGACACCCGTGGAGCCCAATCAGGGATCCCGCGCTCAGGGTCTGGCATGCCTTGGAAAAGCCAGTGAGCTTGCTGGCATGAGTGGCTCTGGCGGGTGGCCCAATCATTAGGCGTAGATCCCCCTCAGCCGAGAGAGAAGTGGCCCCTCAGCCACCCGGCTTGGACTGGCGGAAGCCGCTCTGCTCCACACTACTGGAGCATTCCGTGGCCAGAAGAGAGTGCGAGGGTGCTGCTGGTGGTGGTGGTGGGTCACCTGGCGACAATCCGAGGAGAAAGCCTGACCTGGCCAGTGGGCTTGGCCGCTGAGAAACAGTGGCAGCGAGGTGAGCACATGACAAGGAAGAGCTGCAAAGCCGATGTTGCGAAGGTGGCGTCAGCCAGGCCAAAAGGACAGATGGGTGGAGGTAGGTAGCACACCCTCCAAACACCGCAAGCCTCCTTCCCCGGCGCACAGGCACGCAGCCACAGGCCAAGCTGCGACGCGAGCTCCGCGCGCGGGATCTCCGCAAAAGGTCCGCCCGATGCGTTGGGCGGGAATCGAGCCCGGGTCAACTGCTTGGAAGGCAACTATGCTCACCACTATACCACCAACGCCGCACGGCGCGGGCAGCCCCGCCGCGCCGGCCCGGGGCTCCCACCAGCGCGCCGCCGACGCCCGGGGCAGGCCGGCCCCGACGCCCGGTCCGTCCGCCCGCCCGCAGCTCCGCGCTGCCGCGGCCTCTCCAAAGGCCGCCCCGCGCCCCACCGGTGCAAGGCCAGCGCGGCTGACCCGTTACGCCCGCCTGCCTCTGGGGGCGCTCTCGCTCACTCGCCGCCTCGGGCCCCCAGAGCCCTTCCCCAACAGGTGCCCGGGGGGGAAACGGCCGGCGCCGGCAGGGTCCCCACTCCTACGCTTCCCACCGGGCGCAGGGCCCCGTGTGTCGCAGAAAGCCTCTTCCGACAACCACTTTGAGCCGGCAGCTCGTTGGGCGCCGTGCAGGGCCAGAGGAGGCCTCCCGGCTGCCGCTACCAAGCCGCGGACGAGAAGAAAAGACAGGAGGCCAAGGAGGCCCAGAAGGCCAAAGGGCCAGGCAGGCCAGGCCCGAGATGGCACCCTGCGACTAGCTGGAGGGCGGAGGAAGGAGAAGGAGGGCCCACAGGCTGGGTCCGAGGCGGCGGCCCAAAAAGCACGGCTGCCTCCCCGTCGGGGAATCGAACCCCGGTCTCCCGCGTGACAGGCGGGGATACTCACCACTATACTAACGAGGACGACGGCGACGGTCGCCGGGACGCCAGACCCCACTCCGACCGCGGACGCCTAGCCCTGCCTTGATCCCCTCCCCCGACGGCAGGGGCCGGGCGCGTGCTCGCCTTCCACCCGCCGCCCGCCGCCCGCCACCCGCCACACGCCACCCGTCACCTGCCACCCGCCCCCCGCCACCGTTGGCACGACCTACCCCGACACCCAACAAAGCACCCTGCGATCCCGCTGGGACCCGGAGCCGGAGCCGGACCCCGACAGGTACCGGAGCGGCGTGGAACCTCCCCGCGCGCCCTGCCTGCTGTCTCCAACGCGGGGATCGCGCCGGGGCAGGAGGAGGCGCGGGCGAAACAGTCAGGCCGCTGCTCCTAGGACGCGGTGGGCGCACGCCCTGCGGGGTTCGGCGAGCGGAGGCGCGGGGGCTGGGGCGTGCGCCGGCGGCGGCCGGCCCGACGCGGACCCTTTGGGTCCGGGGTGGGGACGCGGGGGCGTCCACGCCAACGCCAGCCGGCTCCGTTCACTTGGCGCCCGCTCCCCCCGCGCGGTCCGTCGGTTGCGCACCGAACCCAGACAGGCGCCGGCCAAGGGCGCAGGCGTTCGCGCCGGGTCCCAGCCATGCCAGCGGCGAAGCGCCCCGGCGCGCCGTCAGGATGGCCGAGCGGTCTAAGGCGCTGCGTTCAGGTCGCAGTCTCCCCTGGAGGCGTGGGTTCGAATCCCACTCCTGACAAGCCGACCTTTTGGCCCGCCCGCCGGAGGGCAACGCCCATGGCAACCCTGGAGCACCTTTGGCCGCTTCCTGCCTTGAGCCCTTGCCCGCTCTCCAGACTCCAGCCCCCTTGAAGCAAGCCTCCAAAACGCCGCCGCTTCTCAGGCACGTCCGTTCTTCCTGCCCACCCGCCGGCTGTCGCAGAAACAGCCCAGGACCATGCGCCAGCGCCCGCGACCCTCTACCAATTGCCCTTCGGACAGACGCCCTCCCCACCACCTCACACGCCCTCTTCCCTGGCCCCACACACAGCGAGCGACCGCGACCACCTTCCACGCTCTTCCCTGCCTATCTCCTCCGCCCGCCTTCTCCTCACTCGCCCAAACAGACACAGCCCAGATTCTTCCCCTATTCCTCCTTTTCCCTCCTTCCTCCCACCGGCCTCCGCCCACCGCCCACCGCCTTGAATCGCCGCTGCGCTGCCCAGAGGCGTCCTGGCCTGAACAGCCCGCCCGGTTTCACCCTCCAACTTCTGACCGCTGAGCAGCAGCGAGCGACTCGCTCGTGGAGCCGCACACACGTCTCCCACCAGAGGCACGCCATCCAACATCCTGTCCTTTCCTCCGACCCCTCGGACCCCGGCCGCGCATTCCATTCTGCCGACACCCTAGCCAGGTCGCCGATCCCACCTCGCTACCTGTGCTCCCTTCCCGCTAACACCTGCCTGCCGGCCCACCTGCAGCCCGGACGCCTGCCGGCCAGAGGCAGCGGGAACCCTGCACACAGCCGGGCAGGCGAGTCCAAACCCGGAAAGACAGCCCAAGAGGAATCACGAGCGGAAGCCCTAGATCCCCGTCACCCGCCCACAAACGCCTGGCCCCGCCGGGACCAGCTCTGCGCCACAGCGCATCCCCACGCGGGAAGCCGCGGCCTGGGCCGTCCCAGCCACACCCAGCGCGCCTTCTCCAGGGTCAGCCAGCTGCGGCTCTGCCGAAGCGCTCCTCCGCTCCTTTCTCGCGCTCCAGCCTCCCTACCAGCCCAGGGGGCCGGACCCCAAGTGCGAGCCGGTGGCGTGGGTCAGAGCGCAGGAGCGAGGCGCCCACGGACCTGGTCTGCGTTTCTGAGCCGCACGCCACGGCTGCGAGACCCGTTCCCCATCGCCGCCCCCGCTCGCTGACACACCCATCCCGCCTCTCACCTGCTGGTGACACAAGTGAGAAGGCTGGCCCCACGGTGGTGAAAAAAAAAAACACCACACGAAAGAAAGAAAGAAAGAAAGAAAGAAAGAAAGAAAGAAAGAAAGAAAGAAAGAAAGACAGAAAGAAACAACAAAAACAAAACACAAAAACTCTGGGTCTGTGCCGGGGATCCGCGCTCAGCAAGGCCCGCCACAGCAAATCTGCCCACACGGGCATTCGGGCGCGGGCCACGGCCGGTCCTTCCCCTGGAGACCCCGGCGGGCAGTCTCTCGACCCTGGGCGGCAGAGAAAGCGCAAGATGGGACGAGTCGGCCTCTCTCCCTCCGCTCTCCCTCCGCGCCCCGCCTCAGGTCCCTCGACGTGACGAGAGCCTCCCCTTCTGCTCGCCCCATCGGGCCAGCCTCTCGTGGACGCTGCAATAGGACGGAGGCCCACGGCAGGCGGTGACCAGTGAACGGCGGCTGGTGGCGAGTTCCGCTGTGCCAGCTTCCGTTGGCGTTTGCCATCGGTGCATGGGTGGTTCAGTGGTAGAATTCTCGCCTGCCACGCGGGAGGCCCGGGTTCGATTCCCGGCCCATGCAGCACGCCCTCCCATTTTGGTGCTGCAGCAGCACCAAGGCGTAGCTGCGCTCGCCTCTGCCGCCTCCTTACACTCGGGGCGCGCGAGCGAGTCCGGCACCGGCTGCGCTCCCACGCGCGACGGCCCTCTGCCCTTTCTTCCGTGCCTCTCTCGACTGACTTAGGGATGAGCCTACCCCCCGCACCCACACACCTTGGTGACAACAACCCCTCCAGACACGAGAGCGCGCCAGACACCAGAACTTGGCAGCCTCCTGGTCCTGTTTCTCTTCATTGCCCTGCCACCGCCTCTGCCCGACGCATTTCACTTCACGGAACACCGCCAGGCACCACGGGCTTGCAGCCACTCGCACCACCCCTTCTCTTCACATTTCACCGCCTCGACCTCTCTCTCTCTCTCTCTCTCTCTCTCTCTCTCTCTCTGTCTCTCTCCCCCCCACCCCTCGCTGGCTCCCCACATCCAGAAAATGATGCCATGGTTGCCCTTCCAGTAGGAAGGAAGTCGCGACTCCAGGGAGTAACTCATCACTTTCCCCTAGTTGGTCACACAGTCCTTAACGCGACCACACGAGTGTACGCGTGGCATGTGCACCGTCTATATTCACCGTGTTCCGGCTACTCCACACTCTCTCCCCTCATTCTGCCGGCACCACCACCGCCATGTCGCAACTCCCAACCTAACCCCAATCCACCACTTTAGTCGAGGATGCTGCCTTGTTTCTCCCCCTCGGACCTCTTTTCATCTCAGCCCCAGACACATGCCTGAGACGTGAATGTGCGTCCTGAAGACGGCTTATTTATGTCTCGGGTCCAGTTGCATTCCCTACCCTTTTGGGACGTGGGACGTGGCCTCCAGTCGCTCTGTCACGATGTCTCTCCCACCCTGGGCTGCTTGCCACCTCACCCCAGCCCCACTCCATACTCTGACCGCCCAGCCCAAGCAGCATCCCAGTCTCGCCGGCGCGGGTCCCCTTTGACCACACAGACTTCGTTCCTGCCCAGACCAACCGGCTGAAAATGTAGTGTTCCCAGCAGCCTTCAGGCTCAGCCCTCCCTCCCCCACCTTTGTCTCACGCCACCCACCCCTTCACTCACACACACACTCTGACGCGCACACACACACACACACACACTCACACTCTCACTCTCTCTCTCTCTCACTCTCTGTCTTTCTCTGTCTCTCTCTCTCTCTCTGTCTCTATGTCTCTATCTCTCTGTCTCTGTCTCACACAGCCAACTCTCCGTCTCGCCGTCAATGCCCCTCTCTCAGACGACTCATATCCCCCAGCCCTGGCCTCCTTCAGCCTCTTCAGACTCACGCCAGCTCCGCCACCAGCTGGGATCCCTCCGACCTATGGCATAGGCAGCCCGCGAGGTGCCCTAACGCCCCAGGCATCTGCACAACCTCCGTTTGACTGCACAGCCTCACTCCCAGACCTGGCCAGCCAGCCCTGTGCACCCCCTGGACACCCTGGACTCCTTCTTCCAGCTCCCAGCACGCGACATGCTTCTCTCCTTTCCTTGGTGTCAGCCCCTTGCCCCGGGCTAGGGTGGACGCCAGCCACGGGATCGGACACCTTCTTCCGTCGCTGTCACCCACTGACATCCACCCACAACACGCTGGCAAGCAAGCCAGCCTCCCGTGGGGATGGCAAACATCTCTATCCCCGATAGGGTCTGGTCCCTGCAGGTGATCCGACTGTGCCAAGATCCCACGAATGACACGGGACAGGTTTGTGCAGTTGGTTGGACGTCTACTTTGCCCCTACAGAGGGGTTTTGGCAAGAAGTCGACTGACTTCTGCCATTGACCTGGGGAATCAGCCAAACAATAAGATCAGTACGGGTTGAATAGAGGTTGGAGAACTGGGCTCATCTGTGCTAAGGAGGGGATGGGAAAAAAGTCCCACAGCGAATCTTGGCGCTGGGGATAGGTACCATCTCCACATGTTCCTTGACATTTGGAGAGACGATAGAGAGCGTAGGTCAGGCAATGGGAAGCAAACTTCGGCTAGAAGTCTGTCAGGAACCCCAACCCCGCACATGCGCTTTGGTCAGCCTGGCCGTTGGGTTTTCCCCACGAACTGCTGCATCTCCACGCTTCAATGCCCGTGGCCAGGTTGGTCTGACTAATGGGACCTCTCAAGATTCATTTTCACATCCAGAATAGGCGAGAATCTCAAACCTGTCGACGGTGAGCGGGAGCATGTGTACGCACATGCACGTGTACGTTGCGGGAAGTCAGGGACCCCGAACGGAGGGAGCGGCTGGAGCTGCGGCCGAGGCACGTAAATTGTGAGGATTTCATTTCAATACGGACATTCATCAGTTCCCAAATAATGCTTTTATAATTTCTTACGCCTGTCTTTACTTTAATCTCTTAATCCTGTTATCTTCGTAAGCTGAGGATGTACGTCACCTCAGGACCGCTGTGACAATTGTGTTGACTCTACAAATTGATGGTAAAACGTGTGTGTTTGAACAGCATGAAATCAGGGCACCTTGAAAAAGAATAGAATAACAGCGACTTTTAGGGAACAGGGGAAGACAACGGTAAGGTCTGACTGCCTGCGAGGTCGGGCAGAAAGAGCCATATTTTTCTTCTTGCAGAGAGCCTATGAAGGACGTGCAGGTAGGGAAGATGTGGCTAAGACAACCTAAGTGTCCATCGGCCGGGAAATGGATTAACAAAAATGTGGCATATAGACACCATGGAATACTCTTTGGCCATAGAAAAGAACGAAATCCTCTGGTCTGCAGCAACAGAGGCGGAGCTAAAGGTCACGATGGAACATCAAACGAGCCGGGCACAGAAAGACAGAGAGGGCAGGTTCTTACTCCAATCCTGGGAGCTCAAAATGTTCACCTTGTGGAGGTAGAGAGTAGAACGATAGACACCAGAGGCTGGAGAGGGTGTGTGGGTGACTGCGGTGAAGAGAGGTTGGTGAAATGGGTCCGAGCATGCGTTTGGATGGAGGGAATACGTTCCAATAATGTTCTACGGCGGAGTAGGGCGACTAGGGGTAACAACGATGTATTAGTGCTTGTTTCCGAAGAGCTCCTGGAAGACAGCACCTGAGATGCTCCCAACAGGTAGAGATGACAGATACCCACGGGATGGATGCCCTACATCCCCTCAGTTGACCATCGATCACTACGCGATGTACACGCGTTACCACACGTCACAGGAATCCCATGGATATCATGTCCGCATGAAGAAAAACATAGTCATGCTGCCAGGGTGATTGTCGCAGCTCTGCCTCCCTAGCGCTATGGCCCGTGGTCTCGGCTCCTCAAGTTCCGCTGCCATTACTACCAAAGCCGCTGACACCCGTGGAGCCCAATCACGGATCCCACGCCTTGGGAAAGCCAGTGCGCTTGCTGACATGAGTGGCTCTGGCGGGTGGCCCAACCATTAGGCGCAGATCCCCCGCAGCCGAGAGAGAAGTGGCCCGTCAGCCACTCGGCTTGGCTTGGCAGAAGCCGCTCCGCTCGAGAGTCCTGGCCCATCCCGTGGCCAGCCGAGAGTGCGAGGGTGGCGGTGGTGGTGGTGGCGGGTCACCTGGCGGCCATGGGAGGAGAAAGCCTGACCTGGCCAGTGGGCTTTGCCGCTGACAAAGAGTGGGAGCGAGGCGAGCACCTGACAAGGAAGGGCTGTGAAGCTGATGTTGCGAAGGTGGCGCCAGCGAGGCCAAAAGGAGGGATGGGTGGAGGTAGGCGGGGAGCGTTGGGGCGGCGCACGTGGAAGCCGAGGGAGGTTGTGGCTGGGGCGCGGGAGAAGCGAGCCAGCCTGTTGGTCAAAAGGGGAGGTGTGAAGGGGCCTGGCAGTTGGCAGGCAGAGCCAACGAAGGAAGGCTTCCCTGACCGGGAATCGAACCCGGGCCGCGGCGGTGAGAGCGCCGAATCCTAACCACTAGACCACCAGGGAGAGGCGGCTTCAGGGCCCGGCTTGCGCCTCCTGGCCCCAGCGCCTCTGGCCCCAGCACTGGGCGCTACCTTGGCGCCTGTCCCCTGCTTCGCTTTAAAACAAACACCGCAACCAGCCCCCGCGACGCCGGCGGCAACCGGCCTGCCCTCACGAGCAGCTCTGGCCCTGTTCGCAGCACACCCTCCAAACACCGCGCGCCTCCTTCCCCGGCGCACAGGCACGCAGCCACAGGCCAAGCTGCGACGCGAGCTCCGCGACGGGGACCTCCGCAAAAGGTCCGCCCGCTGCGTTGGCCGGGAATCGAACCCGGGTCAACTGCTTGGAAGGCAGCTATGCTCACCACTATACCACCAACGCCGCACGGCGCGGGCAGCCCCGCCGCGCCGGCCCGGGGCTCCCACCAGCGCGCCGCCGACGCCCGGGGCAGGCCGGCCCCGACGCCCGGTCCGTCCGCCCGCCCGCAGCTCCGCGCTGCCGCGGCCCCGCCAAAGGCCGCCCCGCGCCCCACCGGGGCAAGGCCAGCGCGGCTGCCCCGTTCCGCCCGCCTGCCTCTGGGGGCGCTCTCGCTCCCTCGCCGCCCGGGGCCGCCAGAGCCCTTCCCCACCAGGTGCCCGGCGGGGACACGGCCGGCGCCGACGGGGTCCCCACTCCTCCGCCTCCCACCGGGCGCCGGGCCCTGTGCCTCGCAGAAAGCCTCTTCCGACACCCACTTTGGGCCGGCAGCTCTCTGGGCGCCGTGGGGGCCAGAGGAGGCCGCCCGGCTGCGGGCGACCAAGCCGCGGGCGAGAAGAAAAGGTAGGAGGCCAAGGGGGCCCAGGAGGCCCAGGGGGCCAAGGGGCCAGGCCCGAGATGGCGCCCTGCGACTAGCGGGAGGGCGGAGGAAGGAGAGAGAAGGAGGGCCCACAGGCTGGGTCCGAGGCGGCGGCCCAAAAAGCACGGCTGCCTCCCCGTCGGGGAATCGAACCCCGGTCTCCCGCGTGACAGGCGGGGATACTCACCACTATACTAACGAGGACGACGGCGACGGTCGCCGGGACGCCAGACCCCACTCCGACCGCGGACGCCTAGCCCTGCCTTGATCCCCTCCCCCGACGGCAGGGGCCGGGCGCGTGCTCGCCTTCCACCCGCCGCCCGCCGCCCGCCACCCGCCACACGCCACCCGTCACCTGCCACCCGCCCCCCGCCACCGTTGGCACGACCTACCCCGACACCCAACAAAGCACCCTGCGATCCCGCTGGGACCCGGAGCCGGAGCCGGACCCCGACAGGTACCGGAGCGGCGTGGAACCTCCCCGCGCGCCCTGCCTGCTGTCTCCAACGCGGGGATCGCGCCGGGGCAGGAGGAGGCGCGGGCGAAACAGTCAGGCCGCTGCTCCTAGGACGCGGTGGGCGCACGCCCTGCGGGGTTCGGCGAGCGGAGGCGCGGGGGCTGGGGCGTGCGCCGGCGGCGGCCGGCCCGACGCGGACCCTTTGGGTCCGGGGTGGGGACGCGGGGGCGTCCACGCCAACGCCAGCCGGCTCCGTTCACTTGGCGCCCGCTCCGCCCGCGCGGTCCGTCGGTTGCGCACCGAACCCAGACAGGCGCCGGCCAAGGGCGCAGGCGTTCGCGCCGGGTCCCAGCCATGCCAGCGGCGACGCGCCCCGGCGCGCCGTCAGGATGGCCGAGCGGTCTAAGGCGCTGCGTTCAGGTCGCAGTCTCCCCTGGAGGCGTGGGTTCGAATCCCACTCCTGACAAGCCGACCTTTTGGCCCGCCCGCCGGAGGGCAACGCCCATGGCAACCCTGGAGCACCTTTGGCCGCTTCCTGCCTTGAGCCCTTGCCCGCTCTCCAGACTCCAGCCCCCTTGAAGCAAGCCTCCAAAACGCCGCCGCTTCTCAGGCACGTCCGTTCTTCCTGCCCACCCGCCGGCTGTCGCAGAAACAGCCCAGGACCATGCGCCAGCGCCCGCGACCCTCTACCAATTGCCCTTCGGACAGACGCCCTCCCCACCACCTCACACGCCCTCTTCCCTGGCCCCACACACAGCGAGCGACCGCGACCACCTTCCACGCTCTTCCCTGCCTATCTCCTCCGCCCGCCTTCTCCTCACTCGCCCAAACAGACACAGCCCAGATTCTTCCCCTATTCCTCCTTTTCCCTCCTTCCTCCCACCGGCCTGCGCCCACCGCCCACCGCCTTGAATCGCCGCTGCGCTGCCCAGAGGCGTCCTGGCCTGAACAGCCCGCCCGGTTTCACCCTCCAACTTCTGACCGCTGAGCAGCAGCGAGCGACTCGCTCGTGGAGCCGCACACACGTCTCCCACCAGAGGCACGCCATCCAGCATCCTGTCCTTTCCTCCGACCCCTCGGACCCCGGCCGCGCATTCCATTCTGCCGACACCCTAGCCAGGTCGCCGATCCCACCTCGCTACCTGTGCTCCCTTCCCGCTAACACCTGCCTGCCGGCCCACCTGCAGCCCGGACGCCTGCCGGCCAGAGGCAGCGGGAACCCTGCACACAGCCGGGCAGGCGAGTCCAAACCCGGAAAGACAGCCCAAGAGGAATCACGAGCGGAAGCCCTAGATCCCCGTCACCCGCCCACAAACGCCTGGCCCCGCCGGGACCAGCTCTGCGCCACAGCGCATCCCCACGCGGGAAGCCGCGGCCTGGGCCGTCCCAGCCACACCCAGCGCGCCTTCTCCAGGGTCAGCCAGCTGCGGCTCTGCCGAAGCGCTCCTCCGCTCCTTTCTCGCGCTCCAGCCTCCCTACCAGCCCAGGGGGCCGGACCCCAAGTGCGAGCCGGTGGCGTGGGTCAGAGCGCAGGAGCGAGGCGCCCACGGACCTGGTCTGCGTTTCTGAGCCGCACGCCACGGCTGCGAGACCCGTTCCCCATCGCCGCCCCCGCTCGCTGACACACCCATCCCGCCTCTCACCTGCTGGTGACACAAGTGAGAAGGCTGGCCCCACGGTGGTGAAAAAAAAAACACCTCACGAAAGAAAGAAAGACAGAAAGAAACAACAAAAACAAAACACAAAAACTCTGGGTCTGTGCCGGGGATCCGCGCTCAGCAAGGCCCGCCACAGCAAATCTGCCCACACGGGCATTCGGGCGCGGGCCACGGCCGGTCCTTCCCCTGGAGACCCCGGCGGGCAGTCTCTCGACCCTGGGCGGCAGAGAAAGCGCAAGATGGGACGAGTCGGCCTCTCTCCCTCCGCTCTCCCTCCGCGCCCCGCCTCAGGTCCCTCGACGTGACGAGAGCCTCCCCTTCTGCTCGCCCCATCGGGCCAGCCTCTCGTGGACGCTGCAATAGGACGGAGGCCCACGGCAGGCGGTGACCAGTGAACGGCGGCTGGTGGCGAGTTCCGCTGTGCCAGCTTCCGTTGGCGTTTGCCATCGGTGCATGGGTGGTTCAGTGGTAGAATTCTCGCCTGCCACGCGGGAGGCCCGGGTTCGATTCCCGGCCCATGCAGCACGCCCTCCCATTTTGGTGCTGCAGCAGCACCAAGGCGTAGCTGCGCTCGCCTCTGCCGCCTCCTTACACTCGGGGCGCGCGAGCGAGTCCGGCACCGGCTGCGCTCCCACGCGCGACGGCCCTCTGCCCTTTCTTCCGTGCCTCTCTCGACTGACTTAGGGATGAGCCTACCCCACGCACCCACACACCTTGGTGACAACAACCCCTCCAGACACGAGAGCGCGCCAGACACCAGAACTTGGCAGCCTCCTGGTCCTGTTTCTCTTCATTGCCCTGCCACCGCCTCTGCCCGACGCATTTCACTTCACGGAACACCGCCAGGCACCACGGGCTTGCAGCCACTCGCACCACCCCTTCTCTTCACATTTCACCGCCTCGACCTCTCTCTCTCTCTCTCTCTCTCTCTCTCTCTCTCTGTCTCTCTCTGTCTCTCTCCCCCCCCCCCCCTCGCTGGCTCCCCACATCCAGAAAATGATGCCATGGTTGCCCTTCCAGTAGGAAGGAAGTCGCGACTCCAGGGAGTAACTCATCACTTTCCCCTAGTTGGTCACACAGTCCTTAACGCGACCACACGAGTGTACGCGTGGCATGTGCACCGTCTATATTCACCGTGTTCCGGCTACTCCACACTCTCTCCCCTCATTCTGCCGGCACCACCACCGCCATGTCGCAACTCCCAACCTAACCCCAATCCACCACTTTAGTCGAGGATGCTGCCTTGTTTCTCCCCCTCGGACCTCTTTTCATCTCAGCCCCAGACACATGCCTGAGACGTGAATGTGCGTCCTGAAGACGGCTTATTTATGTCTCGGGTCCAGTTGCATTCCCTACCCTTTTGGGACGTGGGACGTGGCCTCCAGTCGCTCTGTCACGATGTCTCTCCCACCCTGGGCTGCTTGCCACCTCACCCCAGCCCCACTCCATACTCTGACCGCCCAGCCCAAGCAGCATCCCAGTCTCGCCGGCGCGGGTCCCCTTTGACCACACAGACTTCGTTCCTGCCCAGACCAACCGGCTGAAAATGTACTGTTCCCACCAGCCTTCAGGCTCAGCCCTCCCTCCCCCACCTTTGTCTCACGCCACCCACCCCTTCACTCACACACACACTCTGACGCGCACACACACACACACACACTCACACTCTCACTCTCTCTCTCTCTCACTCTCTGTCTTTCTCTGTCTCTCTCTCTCTCTCTGTCTCTATGTCTCTATCTCTCTGTCTCTGTCTCACACAGCCAACTCTCCGTCTCGCCGTCAATGCCCCTCTCTCAGACGACTCATATCCCCCAGCCCTGGCCTCCTTCAGCCTCTTCAGACTCACGCCAGCTCCGCCACCAGCTGGGATCCCTCCGACCTATGGCATAGGCAGCCCGCGAGGTGCCCTAACGCCCCAGGCATCTGCACAACCTCCGTTTGACTGCACAGCCTCACTCCCAGACCTGGCCAGCCAGCCCTGTGCACCCCCTGGACACCCTGGACTCCTTCTTCCAGCTCCCAGCACGCGACATGCTTCTCTCCTTTCCTTGGTGTCAGCCCCTTGCCCCGGGCTAGGGTGGACGCCAGCCACGGGATCGGACACCTTCGTCCGTCGCTGTCACCCACTGACATCCACCCACAACACGCTGGCAAGCAAGCCAGCCTCCCGTGGGGATGGCAAACATCTCTATCCCCGATAGGGTCTGGTCCCTGCAGGTGATCCGACTGTGCCAAGATCCCACGAATGACACGGGACAGGTTTGTGCAGTTGGTTGGACGTCTACTTTGCCCCTACAGAGGGGTTTTGGCAAGAAGTCGACTGACTTCTGCCATTGACCTGGGGAATCAGCCAAACAATAAGATCAGTACGGGTTGAATAGAGGTTGGAGAACTGGGCTCATCTGTGCTAAGGAGGGGATGGGAAAAAAGTCCCACAGCGAATCTTGGCGCTGGGGATAGGTACCATCTCCACATGTTCCTTGACATTTGGAGAGACGATAGAGAGCGTAGGTCAGGCAATGGGAAGCAAACTTCGGCTAGAAGTCTGTCAGGAACCCCAACCCCGCACATGCGCTTTGGTCAGCCTGGCCGTTGGGTTTTCCCCACGAACTGCTGCATCTCCACGCTTCAATGCCCGTGGCCAGGTTGGTCTGACTAACGGGACCTCTCAAGATTCATTTTCACATCCAGAATAGGCGAGAATCTCAAACCTGTCGACGGTGAGCGGGAGCATGTGTACGCACATGCACGTGTACGTTGCGGGAAGTCAGGGACCCCGAACGGAGGGAGCGGCTGGAGCTGCGGCCGAGGCACGTAAATTGTGAGGATTTCATTTCAATACGGACATTCATCAGTTCCCAAATAATGCTTTTATAATTTCTTACGCCTGTCTTTACTTTAATCTCTTAATCCTGTTATCTTCGTAAGCTGAGGATGTACGTCACCTCAGGACCGCTGTGACAATTGTGTTGACTCTACAAATTGATGGTAAAACGTGTGTGTTTGAACAGCATGAAATCAGGGCACCTTGAAAAAGAATAGAATAACAGCGACTTTTAGGGAACAGGGGAAGACAACGGTAAGGTCTGACTGCCTGCGAGGTCGGGCAGAAAGAGCCATATTTTTCTTCTTGCAGAGAGCCTATGAAGGACGTGCAGGTAGGGAAGATGTGGCTAAGACAACCTAAGTGTCCATCGGCCGGGAAATGGATTAACAAAAATGTGGCATATAGACACCATGGAATACTCTTTGGCCATAGAAAAGAACGAAATCCTCTGGTCTGCAGCAACAGAGGCGGAGCTAAAGGTCACGATGGAACATCAAACGAGCCGGGCACAGAAAGACAGAGAGGGCAGGTTCTTACTCCAATCCTGGGAGCTCAAAATGTTCACCTTGTGGAGGTAGAGAGTAGAACGATAGACACCAGAGGCTGGAGAGGGTGTGTGGGTGACTGCGGTGAAGAGAGGTTGGTGAAATGGGTCCGAGCATGCGTTTGGATGGAGGGAATACGTTCCAATAATGTTCTACGGCGGAGTAGGGCGACTAGGGGTAACAACGATGTATTAGTGCTTGTTTCCGAAGAGCTCCTGGAAGACAGCACCTGAGATGCTCCCAACAGGTAGAGATGACAGATACCCACGGGATGGATGCCCTACATCCCCTCAGTTGACCATCGATCACTACGCGATGTACACGCGTTACCACACGTCACAGGAATCCCATGGATATCATGTCCGCATGAAGAAAAACATAGTCATGCTGCCAGGGTGATTGTCGCAGCTCTGCCTCCCTAGCGCTATGGCCCGTGGTCTCGGCTCCTCAAGTTCCGCTGCCATTACTACCAAAGCCGCTGACACCCGTGGAGCCCAATCACGGATCCCACGCCTTGGGAAAGCCAGTGCGCTTGCTGGCATGAGTGGCTCTGGCGGGTGGCCCAACCATTAGGCGCAGATCCCCCGCAGCCGAGAGAGAAGTGGCCCGTCAGCCACTCGGCTTGGCTTGGCAGAAGCCGCTCCGCTCGAGAGTCCTGGCCCATCCCGTGGCCAGCCGAGAGTGCGAGGGTGGCGGTGGTGGTGGTGGCGGGTCACCTGGCGGCCATGGGAGGAGAAAGCCTGACCTGGCCAGTGGGCTTTGCCGCTGACAAAGAGTGGGAGCGAGGCGAGCACCTGACAAGGAAGGGCTGTGAAGCTGATGTTGCGAAGGTGGCGCCAGCGAGGCCAAAAGGAGGGATGGGTGGAGGTAGGCGGGGAGCGTTGGGGCGGCGCACGTGGAAGCCGCGGGAGGTTGTGGCTGGGGCGCGGGAGAAGCGAGCCAGCCTGTTGGTCAAAAGGGGAGGTGTGAAGGGGCCTGGCAGTTGGCAGGCAGAGCCAACGAAGGAAGGCTTCCCTGACCGGGAATCGAACCCGGGCCGCGGCGGTGAGAGCGCCGAATCCTAACCACTAGACCACCAGGGAGAGGCGGCTTCAGGGCCCGGCTTGCGCCTCCTGGCCCCAGCGCCTCTGGCCCCAGCACTGGGCGCTACCTTGGCGCCTGTCCCCTGCTTCGCTTTAAAACAAACACCCGCAACCAGCCCCCGCGACGCCGGCGGCAACCGGCCTGCCCTCACGAGCAGCTCTGGCCCTGTTCGCAGCACACCCTCCAAACACCGCGCGCCTCCTTCCCCGGCGCACAGGCACGCAGCCACAGGCCAAGCTGCGACGCGAGCTCCGCGACGGGGACCTCCGCAAAAGGTCCGCCCGCTGCGTTGGCCGGGAATCGAACCCGGGTCAACTGCTTGGAAGGCAGCTATGCTCACCACTATACCACCAACGCCGCACGGCGCGGGCAGCCCCGCCGCGCCGGCCCGGGGCTCCCACCAGCGCGCCGCCGACGCCCGGGGCAGGCCGGCCCCGACGCCCGGTCCGTCCGCCCGCCCGCAGCTCCGCGCTGCCGCGGCCCCGCCAAAGGCCGCCCCGCGCCCCACCGGGGCAAGGCCAGCGCGGCTGCCCCGTTCCGCCCGCCTGCCTCTGGGGGCGCTCTCGCTCCCTCGCCGCCCGGGGCCGCCAGAGCCCTTCCCCACCAGGTGCCCGGCGGGGACACGGCCGGCGCCGACGGGGTCCCCACTCCTCCGCCTCCCACCGGGCGCCGGGCCCTGTGCCTCGCAGAAAGCCTCTTCCGACACCCACTTTGGGCCGGCAGCTCTCTGGGCGCCGTGGGGGCCAGAGGAGGCCGCCCGGCTGCGGGCGACCAAGCCGCGGGCGAGAAGAAAAGGTAGGAGGCCAAGGGGGCCCAGGAGGCCCAGGGGGCCAAGGGGCCAGGCCCGAGATGGCGCCCTGCGACTAGCGGGAGGGCGGAGGAAGGAGAGAGAAGGAGGGCCCACAGGCTGGGTCCGAGGCGGCGGCCCAAAAAGCACGGCTGCCTCCCCGTCGGGGAATCGAACCCCGGTCTCCCGCGTGACAGGCGGGGATACTCACCACTATACTAACGAGGACGACGGCGACGGTCGCCGGGACGCCAGACCCCACTCCGACCGCGGACGCCTAGCCCTGCCTTGATCCCCTCCCCCGACGGCAGGGGCCGGGCGCGTGCTCGCCTTCCACCCGCCGCCCGCCGCCCGCCACCCGCCACACGCCACCCGTCACCTGCCACCCGCCCCCCGCCACCGTTGGCACGACCTACCCCGACACCCAACAAAGCACCCTGCGATCCCGCTGGGACCCGGAGCCGGAGCCGGACCCCGACAGGTACCGGAGCGGCGTGGAACCTCCCCGCGCGCCCTGCCTGCTGTCTCCAACGCGGGGATCGCGCCGGGGCAGGAGGAGGCGCGGGCGAAACAGTCAGGCCGCTGCTCCTAGGACGCGGTGGGCGCACGCCCTGCGGGGTTCGGCGAGCGGAGGCGCGGGGGCTGGGGCGTGCGCCGGCGGCGGCCGGCCCGACGCGGACCCTTTGGGTCCGGGGTGGGGACGCGGGGGCGTCCACGCCAACGCCAGCCGGCTCCGTTCACTTGGCGCCCGCTCCGCCCGCGCGGTCCGTCGGTTGCGCACCGAACCCAGACAGGCGCCGGCCAAGGGCGCAGGCGTTCGCGCCGGGTCCCAGCCATGCCAGCGGCGACGCGCCCCGGCGCGCCGTCAGGATGGCCGAGCGGTCTAAGGCGCTGCGTTCAGGTCGCAGTCTCCCCTGGAGGCGTGGGTTCGAATCCCACTCCTGACAAGCCGACCTTTTGGCCCGCCCGCCGGAGGGCAACGCCCATGGCAACCCTGGAGCACCTTTGGCCGCTTCCTGCCTTGAGCCCTTGCCCGCTCTCCAGACTCCAGTCCCCTTGAAGCAAGCCTCCAAAACGCCGCCGCTTCTCAGGCACGTCCGTTCTTCCTGCCCACCCGCCGGCTGTCGCAGAAACAGCCCAGGACCATGCGCCAGCGCCCGCGACCCTCTACCAATTGCCCTTCGGACAGACGCCCTCCCCACCACCTCACACGCCCTCTTCCCTGGCCCCACACACAGCGAGCGACCGCGACCACCTTCCACGCTCTTCCCTGCCTATCTCCTCCGCCCGCCTTCTCCTCACTCGCCCAAACAGACACAGCCCAGATTCTTCCCCTATTCCTCCTTTTCCCTCCTTCCTCCCACCGGCCTCCGCCCACCGCCCACCGCCTTGAATCGCCGCTGCGCTGCCCAGAGGCGTCCTGGCCTGAACAGCCCGCCCGGTTTCACCCTCCAACTTCTGACCGCTGAGCAGCAGCGAGCGACTCGCTCGTGGAGCCGCACACACGTCTCCCACCAGAGGCACGCCATCCAACATCCTGTCCTTTCCTCCGACCCCTCGGACCCCGGCCGCGCATTCCATTCTGCCGACACCCTAGCCAGGTCGCCGATCCCACCTCGCTACCTGTGCTCCCTTCCCGCTAACACCTGCCTGCCGGCCCACCTGCAGCCCGGACGCCTGCCGGCCAGAGGCAGCGGGAACCCTGCACACAGCCTGGCAGGCGAGTCCAAACCCGGAAAGACAGCCCAAGAGGAATCACGAGCGGAAGCCCTAGATCCCCGTCACCCGCCCACAAACGCCTGGCCCCGCCGGGACCAGCTCTGCGCCACAGCGCATCCCCACGCGGGAAGCCGCGGCCTGGGCCGTCCCAGCAACACCCAGCGCGCCTTCTCCAGGGTCAGCCAGCTGCGGCTCTGCCTAAGCGCTCCTCCGCTCCTTTCTCGCGCTCCAGCCTCCCTACCAGCCCAGGGGGCCGGACCCCAAGTGCGAGCCGGTGGCGTGGGTCAGAGCGCAGGAGCGAGGCGCCCACGGACCTGGTCTGCGTTTCTGAGCCGCACGCCACGGCTGCGAGACCCGTTCCCCATCGCCGCCCCCGCTCGCTGACACACCCATCCCGCCTCTCACCTGCTGGTGACACAAGTGAGAAGGCTGGCCCCACGGTGGTGAAAAAAAAAAAACACCTTACGAAAGAAAGAAAGAAAGAAAGAAAGAAAGAAAGAAAGAAAGAAAGAAAGAAAGGAAGAAAGAAA
Organism: Homo sapiens; assembly: GCF_000001405.40. Taxonomy (NCBI): domain Eukaryota; kingdom Metazoa; phylum Chordata; class Mammalia; order Primates; family Hominidae; genus Homo; species Homo sapiens. Next base: position 161,457,717 of record NC_000001.11, read on the forward strand.
GAAAGAAACAACAAAAACAAAACACAAAAACTCTGGGTCTGTGCCGGGGATCCGCGCTCAGCAAGGCCCGCCACAGCAAATCTGCCCACACGGGCATTCGGGCGCGGGCCACGGCCGGTCCTTCCCCTGGAGACCCCGGCGGGCAGTCTCTCGACCCTGGGCGGCAGAGAAAGCGCAAGATGGGACGAGTCGGCCTCTCTCCCTCCGCTCTCCCTCCGCGCCCCGCCTCAGGTCCCTCGACGTGACGAGAGCCTCCCCTTCTGCTCGCCCCATCGGGCCAGCCTCTCGTGGACGCTGCAATAGGACGGAGGCCCACGGCAGGCGGTGACCAGTGAACGGCGGCTGGTGGCGAGTTCCGCTGTGCCAGCTTCCGTTGGCGTTTGCCATCGGTGCATGGGTGGTTCAGTGGTAGAATTCTCGCCTGCCACGCGGGAGGCCCGGGTTCGATTCCCGGCCCATGCAGCACGCCCTCCCATTTTGGTGCTGCAGCAGCACCAAGGCGTAGCTGCGCTCGCCTCTGCCGCCTCCTTACACTCGGGGCGCGCGAGCGAGTCCGGCACCGGCTGCGCTCCCACGCGCGACGGCCCTCTGCCCTTTCTTCCGTGCCTCTCTCGACTGACTTAGGGATGAGCCTACCCCCCGCACCCACACACCTTGGTGACAACAACCCCTCCAGACACGAGAGCGCGCCAGACACCAGAACTTGGCAGCCTCCTGGTCCTGTTTCTCTTCATTGCCCTGCCACCGCCTCTGCCCGACGCATTTCACTTCACGGAACACCGCCAGGCACCACGGGCTTGCAGCCACTCGCACCACCCCTTCTCTTCACATTTCACCGCCTCGACCTCTCTCTCTCTCTCTCTCTCTGTCTCTCTCTCCCCCCCCCTCGCTGGCTCCCCACATCCAGAAAATGATGCCATGGTTGCCCTTCCAGTAGGAAGGAAGTCGCGACTCCAGGGAGTAACTCATCACTTTCCCCTAGTTGGTCACACAGTCCTTAACGCGACCACACGAGTGTACGCGTGGCATGTGCACCGTCTATATTCACCGTGTTCCGGCTACTCCACACTCTCTCCCCTCATTCTGCCGGCACCACCACCGCCATGTCGCAACTCCCAACCTAACCCCAATCCACCACTTTAGTCGAGGATGCTGCCTTGTTTCTCTCCCTCGGACCTCTTTTCATCTCAGCCCCAGACACATGCCTGAGACGTGAATGTGCGTCCTGAAGACGGCTTATTTATGTCTCGGGTCCAGTTGCATTCCCTACCCTTTTGGGACGTGGGACGTGGCCTCCAGTCGCTCTGTCACGATGTCTCTCCCACCCTGGGCTGCTTGCCACCTCACCCCAGCCCCACTCCATACTCTGACCGCCCAGCCCAAGCAGCATCCCAGTCTCGCCGGCGCGGGTCCCCTTTGACCACACAGACTTCGTTCCTGCCCAGACCAACCGGCTGAAAATGTACTGTTCCCACCAGCCTTCAGGCTCAGCCCTCCCTCCCCCACCTTGGTCTCACGCCACCCACCCCTTCACTCACACACACACTCAGACGCGCACGCACACACACACACACACACACTCACACTCTCTCTCTCTCTCTCTCTCTCTCTGTCTTTCTCTGTCTCTCTCTCTCTCTCTGTCTCTATGTCTCTATCTCTCTGTCTCTGTCTCACACAGCCAACTCTCCGTCTCGCCGTCAATGCCCCTCTCTCAGACGACTCATATCCCCCAGCCCTGGCCTCCTTCAGCCTCTTCAGACTCACGCCAGCTCCGCCACCAGCTGGGATCCCTCCCACCTATGGCATAGGCAGCCCGCGAGGTGCCCTAACGCCCCAGGCATCTGCACAACCTCCGTTTGACTGCACAGCCTCACTCCCAGACCTGGCCAGCCAGCCCTGTGCACCCCCTGGACACCCTGGACTCCTTCTTCCAGCTCCCAGCACGCAACATGCTTCTCTCCTTTCCTTGGTGTCAGCCCCTTGCCCCGGGCTAGGGTGGACGCCAGCCACGGGATCGGACACCTTCGTCCGTCGCTGTCACCCACTGACATCCACCCACAACACGCTGGCAAGCAAGCCAGCCTCCCGTGGGGATGGCAAACATCTCTATCCCCGATAGGGTCTGGTCCCTGCAGGTGATCCGACTGTGCCAAGATCCCACGAATGACACGGGACAGGTTTGTGCAGTTGGTTGGACGTCTACTTTGCCCCTACAGAGGGGTTTTGGCAAGAAGTCGACTGACTTCTGCCATTGACCTGGGGAATCAGCCAAACAATAAGATCAGTACGGGTTGAATAGAGGGTTGTAGAACTGGGCTCATCTGTGCTAAGGAGGGGAGGGGAAAAAAAGTCCCACAGCGAATCTTGGCGCTGGGGATAGGTACCATCTCCACATGTTCCTTGACATTTGGAGAGACGATAGAGAGCGTAGGTCAGGCAATGGGAAGCAAACTTGGGCTAGAAGTCTGTCAGGAACCCCAACCCCGCACATGCGCTTTGGTCAGCCTGGCCGTTGGGTTTTCCCCACGAACTGCTGCATCTCCACGCTTCAATGCCCGTGGCCAGGTTGGTCTGACTAACGGGACCTCTCAAGATTCATTTTCACATCCAGAATAGGCGAGAATCTCAAACCTGTCGACGGTGAGCGGGAGCATGTGTACGCACATGCACGTGTACGTTGCGGGAAGTCAGGGACCCCGAACGGAGGGAGCGGCTGGAGCTGCGGCCGAGGCACGTAAATTGTGAGGATTTCATTTCAATACGGACATTCATCAGTTCCCAAATAATGCTTTTATAATTTCTTACGCCTGTCTTTACTTTAATCTCTTAATCCTGTTATCTTCGTAAGCTGAGGATGTACGTCACCTCAGGACCGCTGTGACAATTGTGTTGACTCTACAAATTGATGGTAAAACGTGTGTGTTTGAACAGCATGAAATCAGGGCACCTTGAAAAAGAATAGAATAACAGCGACTTTTAGGGAACAGGGGAAGACAACGGTAAGGTCTGACTGCCTGCGAGGTCGGGCAGAAAGAGCCATATTTTTCTTCTTGCAGAGAGCCTATGAAGGACGTGCAGGTAGGGAAGATGTGGCTAAGACAACCTAAGTGTCCATCGGCCGGGAAATGGATTAACAAAAATGTGGCATATAGACACCATGGAATACTCTTTGGCCATAGAAAAGAACGAAATCCTCTGGTCTGCAGCAACAGAGGCGGAGCTAAAGGTCACGATGGAACATCAAACGAGCCGGGCACAGAAAGACAGAGAGGGCAGGTTCTTACTCCAATCCTGGGAGCTCAAAATGTTCACCTTGTGGAGGTAGAGAGTAGAACGATAGACACCAGAGGCTGGAGAGGGTGTGTGGGTGACTGCGGTGAAGAGAGGTTGGTGAAATGGGTCCGAGCATGCGTTTGGATGGAGGGAATACGTTCCAATAATGTTCTACGGCGGAGTAGGGCGACTAGGGGTAACAACGATGTATTAGTGCTTGTTTCCGAAGAGCTCCTGGAAGACAGCACCTGAGATGCTCCCAACAGGTAGAGATGACAGATACCCACGGGATGGATGCCCTACATCCCCTCAGTTGACCATCGATCACTACGCGATGTACACGCGTTACCACACGTCACAGGAATCCCATGGATATCATGTCCGCATGAAGAAAAACATAGTCATGCTGCCAGGGTGATTGTCGCAGCTCTGCCTCCCTAGCGCTATGGCCCGTGGTCTCGGCTCCTCAAGTTCCGCTGCCATTACTACCAAAGCCGCTGACACCCGTGGAGCCCAATCACGGATCCCACGCCTTGGGAAAGCCAGTGCGCTTGCTGACATGAGTGGCTCTGGCGGGTGGCCCAACCATTAGGCGCAGATCCCCCGCAGCCGAGAGAGAAGTGGCCCGTCAGCCACTCGGCTTGGCTTGGCAGAAGCCGCTCCGCTCGAGAGTCCTGGCCCATCCCGTGGCCAGCCGAGAGTGCGAGGGTGGCGGTGGTGGTGGTGGCGGGTCACCTGGCGGCCATGGGAGGAGAAAGCCTGACCTGGCCAGTGGGCTTTGCCGCTGACAAAGAGTGGGAGCGAGGCGAGCACCTGACAAGGAAGGGCTGTGAAGCTGATGTTGCGAAGGTGGCGCCAGCGAGGCCAAAAGGAGGGATGGGTGGAGGTAGGCGGGGAGCGTTGGGGCGGCGCACGTGGAAGCCGAGGGAGGTTGTGGCTGGGGCGCGGGAGAAGCGAGCCAGCCTGTTGGTCAAAAGGGGAGGTGTGAAGGGGCCTGGCAGTTGGCAGGCAGAGCCAACGAAGGAAGGCTTCCCTGACCGGGAATCGAACCCGGGCCGCGGCGGTGAGAGCGCCGAATCCTAACCACTAGACCACCAGGGAGAGGCGGCTTCAGGGCCCGGCTTGCGCCTCCTGGCCCCAGCGCCTCTGGCCCCAGCACTGGGCGCTACCTTGGCGCCTGTCCCCTGCTTCGCTTTAAAACAAACACCGCAACCAGCCCCCGCGACGCCGGCGGCAACCGGCCTGCCCTCACGAGCAGCTCTGGCCCTGTTCGCAGCACACCCTCCAAACACCGCGCGCCTCCTTCCCCGGCGCACAGGCACGCAGCCACAGGCCAAGCTGCGACGCGAGCTCCGCGACGGGGACCTCCGCAAAAGGTCCGCCCGCTGCGTTGGCCGGGAATCGAACCCGGGTCAACTGCTTGGAAGGCAGCTATGCTCACCACTATACCACCAACGCCGCACGGCGCGGGCAGCCCCGCCGCGCCGGCCCGGGGCTCCCACCAGCGCGCCGCCGACGCCCGGGGCAGGCCGGCCCCGACGCCCGGTCCGTCCGCCCGCCCGCAGCTCCGCGCTGCCGCGGCCCCGCCAAAGGCCGCCCCGCGCCCCACCGGGGCAAGGCCAGCGCGGCTGCCCCGTTCCGCCCGCCTGCCTCTGGGGGCGCTCTCGCTCCCTCGCCGCCCGGGGCCGCCAGAGCCCTTCCCCACCAGGTGCCCGGCGGGGACACGGCCGGCGCCGACGGGGTCCCCACTCCTCCGCCTCCCACCGGGCGCCGGGCCCTGTGCCTCGCAGAAAGCCTCTTCCGACACCCACTTTGGGCCGGCAGCTCTCTGGGCGCCGTGGGGGCCAGAGGAGGCCGCCCGGCTGCGGGCGACCAAGCCGCGGGCGAGAAGAAAAGGTAGGAGGCCAAGGGGGCCCAGGAGGCCCAGGGGGCCAAGGGGCCAGGCCCGAGATGGCGCCCTGCGACTAGCGGGAGGGCGGAGGAAGGAGAGAGAAGGAGGGCCCACAGGCTGGGTCCGAGGCGGCGGCCCAAAAAGCACGGCTGCCTCCCCGTCGGGGAATCGAACCCCGGTCTCCCGCGTGACAGGCGGGGATACTCACCACTATACTAACGAGGACGACGGCGACGGTCGCCGGGACGCCAGACCCCACTCCGACCGCGGACGCCTAGCCCTGCCTTGATCCCCTCCCCCGACGGCAGGGGCCGGGCGCGTGCTCGCCTTCCACCCGCCGCCCGCCGCCCGCCACCCGCCACACGCCACCCGTCACCTGCCACCCGCCCCCCGCCACCGTTGGCACGACCTACCCCGACACCCAACAAAGCACCCTGCGATCCCGCTGGGACCCGGAGCCGGAGCCGGACCCCGACAGGTACCGGAGCGGCGTGGAACCTCCCCGCGCGCCCTGCCTGCTGTCTCCAACGCGGGGATCGCGCCGGGGCAGGAGGAGGCGCGGGCGAAACAGTCAGGCCGCTGCTCCTAGGACGCGGTGGGCGCACGCCCTGCGGGGTTCGGCGAGCGGAGGCGCGGGGGCTGGGGCGTGCGCCGGCGGCGGCCGGCCCGACGCGGACCCTTTGGGTCCGGGGTGGGGACGCGGGGGCGTCCACGCCAACGCCAGCCGGCTCCGTTCACTTGGCGCCCGCTCCGCCCGCGCGGTCCGTCGGTTGCGCACCGAACCCAGACAGGCGCCGGCCAAGGGCGCAGGCGTTCGCGCCGGGTCCCAGCCATGCCAGCGGCGACGCGCCCCGGCGCGCCGTCAGGATGGCCGAGCGGTCTAAGGCGCTGCGTTCAGGTCGCAGTCTCCCCTGGAGGCGTGGGTTCGAATCCCACTCCTGACAAGCCGACCTTTTGGCCCGCCCGCCGGAGGGCAACGCCCATGGCAACCCTGGAGCACCTTTGGCCGCTTCCTGCCTTGAGCCCTTGCCCGCTCTCCAGACTCCAGCCCCCTTGAAGCAAGCCTCCAAAACGCCGCCGCTTCTCAGGCACGTCCGTTCTTCCTGCCCACCCGCCGGCTGTCGCAGAAACAGCCCAGGACCATGCGCCAGCGCCCGCGACCCTCTACCAATTGCCCTTCGGACAGACGCCCTCCCCACCACCTCACACGCCCTCTTCCCTGGCCCCACACACAGCGAGCGACCGCGACCACCTTCCACGCTCTTCCCTGCCTATCTCCTCCGCCCGCCTTCTCCTCACTCGCCCAAACAGACACAGCCCAGATTCTTCCCCTATTCCTCCTTTTCCCTCCTTCCTCCCACCGGCCTGCGCCCACCGCCCACCGCCTTGAATCGCCGCTGCGCTGCCCAGAGGCGTCCTGGCCTGAACAGCCCGCCCGGTTTCACCCTCCAACTTCTGACCGCTGAGCAGCAGCGAGCGACTCGCTCGTGGAGCCGCACACACGTCTCCCACCAGAGGCACGCCATCCAGCATCCTGTCCTTTCCTCCGACCCCTCGGACCCCGGCCGCGCATTCCATTCTGCCGACACCCTAGCCAGGTCGCCGATCCCACCTCGCTACCTGTGCTCCCTTCCCGCTAACACCTGCCTGCCGGCCCACCTGCAGCCCGGACGCCTGCCGGCCAGAGGCAGCGGGAACCCTGCACACAGCCGGGCAGGCGAGTCCAAACCCGGAAAGACAGCCCAAGAGGAATCACGAGCGGAAGCCCTAGATCCCCGTCACCCGCCCACAAACGCCTGGCCCCGCCGGGACCAGCTCTGCGCCACAGCGCATCCCCACGCGGGAAGCCGCGGCCTGGGCCGTCCCAGCCACACCCAGCGCGCCTTCTCCAGGGTCAGCCAGCTGCGGCTCTGCCGAAGCGCTCCTCCGCTCCTTTCTCGCGCTCCAGCCTCCCTACCAGCCCAGGGGGCCGGACCCCAAGTGCGAGCCGGTGGCGTGGGTCAGAGCGCAGGAGCGAGGCGCCCACGGACCTGGTCTGCGTTTCTGAGCCGCACGCCACGGCTGCGAGACCCGTTCCCCATCGCCGCCCCCGCTCGCTGACACACCCATCCCGCCTCTCACCTGCTGGTGACACAAGTGAGAAGGCTGGCCCCACGGTGGTGAAAAAAAAAACACCTCACGAAAGAAAGAAAGACAGAAAGAAACAACAAAAACAAAACACAAAAACTCTGGGTCTGTGCCGGGGATCCGCGCTCAGCAAGGCCCGCCACAGCAAATCTGCCCACACGGGCATTCGGGCGCGGGCCACGGCCGGTCCTTCCCCTGGAGACCCCGGCGGGCAGTCTCTCGACCCTGGGCGGCAGAGAAAGCGCAAGATGGGACGAGTCGGCCTCTCTCCCTCCGCTCTCCCTCCGCGCCCCGCCTCAGGTCCCTCGACGTGACGAGAGCCTCCCCTTCTGCTCGCCCCATCGGGCCAGCCTCTCGTGGACGCTGCAATAGGACGGAGGCCCACGGCAGGCGGTGACCAGTGAACGGCGGCTGGTGGCGAGTTCCGCTGTGCCAGCTTCCGTTGGCGTTTGCCATCGGTGCATGGGTGGTTCAGTGGTAGAATTCTCGCCTGCCACGCGGGAGGCCCGGGTTCGATTCCCGGCCCATGCAGCACGCCCTCCCATTTTGGTGCTGCAGCAGCACCAAGGCGTAGCTGCGCTCGCCTCTGCCGCCTCCTTACACTCGGGGCGCGCGAGCGAGTCCGGCACCGGCTGCGCTCCCACGCGCGACGGCCCTCTGCCCTTTCTTCCGTGCCTCTCTCGACTGACTTAGGGATGAGCCTACCCCACGCACCCACACACCTTGGTGACAACAACCCCTCCAGACACGAGAGCGCGCCAGACACCAGAACTTGGCAGCCTCCTGGTCCTGTTTCTCTTCATTGCCCTGCCACCGCCTCTGCCCGACGCATTTCACTTCACGGAACACCGCCAGGCACCACGGGCTTGCAGCCACTCGCACCACCCCTTCTCTTCACATTTCACCGCCTCGACCTCTCTCTCTCTCTCTCTCTCTCTCTCTCTCTCTCTGTCTCTCTCTGTCTCTCTCCCCCCCCCCCCCTCGCTGGCTCCCCACATCCAGAAAATGATGCCATGGTTGCCCTTCCAGTAGGAAGGAAGTCGCGACTCCAGGGAGTAACTCATCACTTTCCCCTAGTTGGTCACACAGTCCTTAACGCGACCACACGAGTGTACGCGTGGCATGTGCACCGTCTATATTCACCGTGTTCCGGCTACTCCACACTCTCTCCCCTCATTCTGCCGGCACCACCACCGCCATGTCGCAACTCCCAACCTAACCCCAATCCACCACTTTAGTCGAGGATGCTGCCTTGTTTCTCCCCCTCGGACCTCTTTTCATCTCAGCCCCAGACACATGCCTGAGACGTGAATGTGCGTCCTGAAGACGGCTTATTTATGTCTCGGGTCCAGTTGCATTCCCTACCCTTTTGGGACGTGGGACGTGGCCTCCAGTCGCTCTGTCACGATGTCTCTCCCACCCTGGGCTGCTTGCCACCTCACCCCAGCCCCACTCCATACTCTGACCGCCCAGCCCAAGCAGCATCCCAGTCTCGCCGGCGCGGGTCCCCTTTGACCACACAGACTTCGTTCCTGCCCAGACCAACCGGCTGAAAATGTACTGTTCCCACCAGCCTTCAGGCTCAGCCCTCCCTCCCCCACCTTTGTCTCACGCCACCCACCCCTTCACTCACACACACACTCTGACGCGCACACACACACACACACACTCACACTCTCACTCTCTCTCTCTCTCACTCTCTGTCTTTCTCTGTCTCTCTCTCTCTCTCTGTCTCTATGTCTCTATCTCTCTGTCTCTGTCTCACACAGCCAACTCTCCGTCTCGCCGTCAATGCCCCTCTCTCAGACGACTCATATCCCCCAGCCCTGGCCTCCTTCAGCCTCTTCAGACTCACGCCAGCTCCGCCACCAGCTGGGATCCCTCCGACCTATGGCATAGGCAGCCCGCGAGGTGCCCTAACGCCCCAGGCATCTGCACAACCTCCGTTTGACTGCACAGCCTCACTCCCAGACCTGGCCAGCCAGCCCTGTGCACCCCCTGGACACCCTGGACTCCTTCTTCCAGCTCCCAGCACGCGACATGCTTCTCTCCTTTCCTTGGTGTCAGCCCCTTGCCCCGGGCTAGGGTGGACGCCAGCCACGGGATCGGACACCTTCGTCCGTCGCTGTCACCCACTGACATCCACCCACAACACGCTGGCAAGCAAGCCAGCCTCCCGTGGGGATGGCAAACATCTCTATCCCCGATAGGGTCTGGTCCCTGCAGGTGATCCGACTGTGCCAAGATCCCACGAATGACACGGGACAGGTTTGTGCAGTTGGTTGGACGTCTACTTTGCCCCTACAGAGGGGTTTTGGCAAGAAGTCGACTGACTTCTGCCATTGACCTGGGGAATCAGCCAAACAATAAGATCAGTACGGGTTGAATAGAGGTTGGAGAACTGGGCTCATCTGTGCTAAGGAGGGGATGGGAAAAAAGTCCCACAGCGAATCTTGGCGCTGGGGATAGGTACCATCTCCACATGTTCCTTGACATTTGGAGAGACGATAGAGAGCGTAGGTCAGGCAATGGGAAGCAAACTTCGGCTAGAAGTCTGTCAGGAACCCCAACCCCGCACATGCGCTTTGGTCAGCCTGGCCGTTGGGTTTTCCCCACGAACTGCTGCATCTCCACGCTTCAATGCCCGTGGCCAGGTTGGTCTGACTAATGGGACCTCTCAAGATTCATTTTCACATCCAGAATAGGCGAGAATCTCAAACCTGTCGACGGTGAGCGGGAGCATGTGTACGCACATGCACGTGTACGTTGCGGGAAGTCAGGGACCCCGAACGGAGGGAGCGGCTGGAGCTGCGGCCGAGGCACGTAAATTGTGAGGATTTCATTTCAATACGGACATTCATCAGTTCCCAAATAATGCTTTTATAATTTCTTACGCCTGTCTTTACTTTAATCTCTTAATCCTGTTATCTTCGTAAGCTGAGGATGTACGTCACCTCAGGACCGCTGTGACAATTGTGTTGACTCTACAAATTGATGGTAAAACGTGTGTGTTTGAACAGCATGAAATCAGGGCACCTTGAAAAAGAATAGAATAACAGCGACTTTTAGGGAACAGGGGAAGACAACGGTAAGGTCTGACTGCCTGCGAGGTCGGGCAGAAAGAGCCATATTTTTCTTCTTGCAGAGAGCCTATGAAGGACGTGCAGGTAGGGAAGATGTGGCTAAGACAACCTAAGTGTCCATCGGCCGGGAAATGGATTAACAAAAATGTGGCATATAGACACCATGGAATACTCTTTGGCCATAGAAAAGAACGAAATCCTCTGGTCTGCAGCAACAGAGGCGGAGCTAAAGGTCACGATGGAACATCAAACGAGCCGGGCACAGAAAGACAGAGAGGGCAGGTTCTTACTCCAATCCTGGGAGCTCAAAATGTTCACCTTGTGGAGGTAGAGAGTAGAACGATAGACACCAGAGGCTGGAGAGGGTGTGTGGGTGACTGCGGTGAAGAGAGGTTGGTGAAATGGGTCCGAGCATGCGTTTGGATGGAGGGAATACGTTCCAATAATGTTCTACGGCGGAGTAGGGCGACTAGGGGTAACAACGATGTATTAGTGCTTGTTTCCGAAGAGCTCCTGGAAGACAGCACCTGAGATGCTCCCAACAGGTAGAGATGACAGATACCCACGGGATGGATGCCCTACATCCCCTCAGTTGACCATCGATCACTACGCGATGTACACGCGTTACCACACGTCACAGGAATCCCATGGATATCATGTCCGCATGAAGAAAAACATAGTCATGCTGCCAGGGTGATTGTCGCAGCTCTGCCTCCCTAGCGCTATGGCCCGTGGTCTCGGCTCCTCAAGTTCCGCTGCCATTACTACCAAAGCCGCTGACACCCGTGGAGCCCAATCACGGATCCCACGCCTTGGGAAAGCCAGTGCGCTTGCTGACATGAGTGGCTCTGGCGGGTGGCCCAACCATTAGGCGCAGATCCCCCGCAGCCGAGAGAGAAGTGGCCCGTCAGCCACTCGGCTTGGCTTGGCAGAAGCCGCTCCGCTCGAGAGTCCTGGCCCATCCCGTGGCCAGCCGAGAGTGCGAGGGTGGCGGTGGTGGTGGTGGCGGGTCACCTGGCGGCCATGGGAGGAGAAAGCCTGACCTGGCCAGTGGGCTTTGCCGCTGACAAAGAGTGGGAGCGAGGCGAGCACCTGACAAGGAAGGGCTGTGAAGCTGATGTTGCGAAGGTGGCGCCAGCGAGGCCAAAAGGAGGGATGGGTGGAGGTAGGCGGGGAGCGTTGGGGCGGCGCACGTGGAAGCCGCGGGAGGTTGTGGCTGGGGCGCGGGAGAAGCGAGCCAGCCTGTTGGTCAAAAGGGGAGGTGTGAAGGGGCCTGGCAGTTGGCAGGCAGAGCCAACGAAGGAAGGCTTCCCTGACCGGGAATCGAACCCGGGCCGCGGCGGTGAGAGCGCCGAATCCTAACCACTAGACCACCAGGGAGAGGCGGCTTCAGGGCCCGGCTTGCGCCTCCTGGCCCCAGCGCCTCTGGCCCCAGCACTGGGCGCTACCTTGGCGCCTGTCCCCTGCTTCGCTTTAAAACAAACACCCGCAACCAGCCCCCGCGACGCCGGCGGCAACCGGCCTGCCCTCACGAGCAGCTCTGGCCCTGTTCGCAGCACACCCTCCAAACACCGCGCGCCTCCTTCCCCGGCGCACAGGCACGCAGCCACAGGCCAAGCTGCGACGCGAGCTCCGCGACGGGGACCTCCGCAAAAGGTCCGCCCGCTGCGTTGGCCGGGAATCGAACCCGGGTCAACTGCTTGGAAGGCAGCTATGCTCACCACTATACCACCAACGCCGCACGGCGCGGGCAGCCCCGCCGCGCCGGCCCGGGGCTCCCACCAGCGCGCCGCCGACGCCCGGGGCAGGCCGGCCCCGACGCCCGGTCCGTCCGCCCGCCCGCAGCTCCGCGCTGCCGCGGCCCCGCCAAAGGCCGCCCCGCGCCCCACCGGGGCAAGGCCAGCGCGGCTGCCCCGTTCCGCCCGCCTGCCTCTGGGGGCGCTCTCGCTCCCTCGCCGCCCGGGGCCGCCAGAGCCCTTCCCCACCAGGTGCCCGGCGGGGACACGGCCGGCGCCGACGGGGTCCCCACTCCTCCGCCTCCCACCGGGCGCCGGGCCCTGTGCCTCGCAGAAAGCCTCTTCCGACACCCACTTTGGGCCGGCAGCTCTCTGGGCGCCGTGGGGGCCAGAGGAGGCCGCCCGGCTGCGGGCGACCAAGCCGCGGGCGAGAAGAAAAGGTAGGAGGCCAAGGGGGCCCAGGAGGCCCAGGGGGCCAAGGGGCCAGGCCCGAGATGGCGCCCTGCGACTAGCGGGAGGGCGGAGGAAGGAGAGAGAAGGAGGGCCCACAGGCTGGGTCCGAGGCGGCGGCCCAAAAAGCACGGCTGCCTCCCCGTCGGGGAATCGAACCCCGGTCTCCCGCGTGACAGGCGGGGATACTCACCACTATACTAACGAGGACGACGGCGACGGTCGCCGGGACGCCAGACCCCACTCCGACCGCGGACGCCTAGCCCTGCCTTGATCCCCTCCCCCGACGGCAGGGGCCGGGCGCGTGCTCTCCTTCCACCCGCCGCCCGCCGCCCGCCACCCGCCACACGCCACCCGTCACCTGCCACCCGCCCCCCGCCACCGTTGGCACGACCTACCCCGACACCCAACAAAGCACCCTGCGATCCCGCTGGGACCCGGAGCCGGAGCCGGACCCCGACAGGTACCGGAGCGGCGTGGAACCTCCCCGCGCGCCCTGCCTGCTGTCTCCAACGCGGGGATCGCGCCGGGGCAGGAGGAGGCGCGGGCGAAACAGTCAGGCCGCTGCTCCTAGGACGCGGTGGGCGCACGCCCTGCGGGGTTCGGCGAGCGGAGGCGCGGGGGCTGGGGCGTGCGCCGGCGGCGGCCGGCCCGACGCGGACCCTTTGGGTCCGGGGTGGGGACGCGGGGGCGTCCACGCCAACGCCAGCCGGCTCCGTTCACTTGGCGCCCGCTCCGCCCGCGCGGTCCGTCGGTTGCGCACCGAACCCAGACAGGCGCCGGCCAAGGGCGCAGGCGTTCGCGCCGGGTCCCAGCCATGCCAGCGGCGACGCGCCCCGGCGCGCCGTCAGGATGGCCGAGCGGTCTAAGGCGCTGCGTTCAGGTCGCAGTCTCCCCTGGAGGCGTGGGTTCGAATCCCACTCCTGACAAGCCGACCTTTTGGCCCGCCCGCCGGAGGGCAACGCCCATGGCAACCCTGGAGCACCTTTGGCCGCTTCCTGCCTTGAGCCCTTGCCCGCTCTCCAGACTCCAGCCCCCTTGAAGCAAGCCTCCAAAACGCCGCCGCTTCTCAGGCACGTCCGTTCTTCCTGCCCACCCGCCGGCTGTCGCAGAAACAGCCCAGGACCATGCGCCAGCGCCCGCGACCCTCTACCAATTGCCCTTCGGACAGACGCCCTCCCCACCACCTCACACGCCCTCTTCCCTGGCCCCACACACAGCGAGCGACCGCGACCACCTTCCACGCTCTTCCCTGCCTATCTCCTCCGCCCGCCTTCTCCTCACTCGCCCAAACAGACACAGCCCAGATTCTTCCCCTATTCCTCCTTTTCCCTCCTTCCTCCCACCGGCCTGCGCCCACCGCCCACCGCCTTGAATCGCCGCTGCGCTGCCCAGAGGCGTCCTGGCCTGAACAGCCCGCCCGGTTTCACCCTCCAACTTCTGACCGCTGAGCAGCAGCGAGCGACTCGCTCGTGGAGCCGCACACACGTCTCCCACCAGAGGCACGCCATCCAACATCCTGTCCTTTCCTCCGACCCCTCGGACCCCGGCCGCGCATTCCATTCTGCCGACACCCTAGCCAGGTCGCCGATCCCACCTCGCTACCTGTGCTCCCTTCCCGCTAACACCTGCCTGCCGGCCCACCTGCAGCCCGGACGCCTGCCGGCCAGAGGCAGCGGGAACCCTGCACACAGCCTGGCAGGCGAGTCCAAACCCGGAAAGACAGCCCAAGAGGAATCACGAGCGGAAGCCCTAGATCCCCGTCACCCGCCCACAAACGCCTGGCCCCGCCGGGACCAGCTCTGCGCCACAGCGCATCCCCACGCGGGAAGCCGCGGCCTGGGCCGTCCCAGCCACACCCAGCGCGCCTTCTCCAGGGTCAGCCAGCTGCGGCTCTGCCGAAGCGCTCCTCCGCTCCTTTCTCGCGCTCCAGCCTCCCTACCAGCCCAGGGGGCCGGACCCCAAGTGCGAGCCGGTGGCGTGGGTCAGAGCGCAGGAGCGAGGCGACCACGGACCTGGTCTGCGTTTCTGAGCCGCACGCCACGGCTGCGAGACCCGTTCCCCATCGCCGCCCCCGCTCGCTGACACACCCATCCCGCCTCTCACCTGCTGGTGACACAAGTGAGAAGGCTGGCCCCACGGTGGTGAAAAAAAAAACACCTCACGAAAGAAAGAAAGAAAGAAAGAAAGAAAGAAAGAAAGAAAGAAAGAAAGAAAGAAAGAAACAACAAAAACAAAACACAAAAACTCTGGGTCTGTGCCGGGGATCCGTGCTCAGCAAGGCCCGCCACAGCAAATCTGCCCACACGGGCATTCGGGCGCGGGCCACGGCCGGTCCTTCCCCTGGAGACCCCGGCGGGCAGTCTCTCGACCCTGGGCGGCAGAGAAAGCGCAAGATGGGACGAGTCGACCTCTCTCCCTCCGCTCTCCCTCCGCGCCCAACCTCAGTTGCCTGGATGTGAGGAGAGCCTCCCCTTCTGCCCTCCTCATCGCGCCAGCCTGTCTTGTACCCTCCAATAGGATGGAGGCCTACGGCAGGCAGTGATCAGTGGGTCAGAATGCGGATGAGGTCAGATAAGGGAATAAAGGTAGGCTGCCCAACCCAGCAGTCGGCAGCCAGCAGCGGCAACCGACTCAGTTCCTCTTCTACACTTTGGAAGGTTTGGTTTTTCGCTCTATGCAAAAAATCTTGCTGTTCTTCACTCTTTGCATCCGCTGTGCCTTGAAGTCCTGTAACACTGATTACAAAGGTCTGCAGCTTCACTCCTGAAGGGACCGAGACCACGAACCCACTGGCAGGAGGAAACTCCGGAGACATCTGAACATTTGAATGAATAAACTCTGGACACTCTATCTTTAAGATCCCTAACACTCACCACGAGGGTCTGCGGCTTCATTCTTGAAGTCAGCCAATCCAAGAACCCACCAATTCCAGACACATTTTGGCAACCCAGATGGGACTATCGCCTATTGCCAAGTGATGAATGCCATCGGACCCCTTTCACTTGGTATTCTGTCTCATTTTTCCTTATAATTTGGGGGCTAAATACCGGGCACCTGTCGGCCAGTTAAAAGCAAGTAGTGTGGCTGCTGGACTAAAGACACGGTTTTCAGGCTTTCTGGGAAAGAGCTCTGTAACAACCCCCAACTCTTCGGAGTTGGGAGCATTGGTTTGCCTGGAACCAGCTTCCGCTTTTCCTGTGCTTCTGGGCTGAGCTGATGGTCGACAGAGAGGAAAGCCATCCAGCTTTGGGGTCCCCACAACAAGTTGGTTGACCCTGTGGACATGAGCAGAACTCTGAAAGGCATGTCGCCGAAGCGAGACTCGCCCATCTATCCTCTCTATCCTGACCCTTGTCCCCTGGGTCCTAATGCCTGCCAGACAAACTTCCTCTCAACTCTCTTCTCTGAGGGTAGTCCTGCTTCTAGAAATCATTCCCTGTCTCTGGTGCTTTTCTAGTTTCTCCTATAAGAATGATTTCTAGTATAACTCCAGGACTCTGTTACCTTCTTTAGGCACCCAGGCTCACCAATCAGAAAGACATAATTTTTGTCCAAAGCCCTATTGTAGGGGGTACTCCCTGGAATTTTAGGATCCCTCCTCAGACCAGTACGCCTAAACAAAGCTATTCCCGAAGCTAGGATATGGGGAGCCTCAGAAATTGTATCCTTCCTATTCATATAAGTGAGGACAAAAGTGTCACTGTTCCAACCCTTGAGATCCCTTGCCTCCCTCAGGGTATGGCCCTCCACTTCATTTTTGGGGCATAACATCTTTATAGGACACAGGTAAGGTCCCAATACTAACAGGAGGACAGGGAAGCCTGCAGGTTTTTGAGAATGCGTCAGCAAGGGCCACTAAATCTGACCTTCCCCGGTCCTCCTTGTGGTCTGGGAGGAAAACTAGTGTTTCTGCTGCTGCATTGGTGAGTGCAACTATTCTGATCAGCAGGGTCCAGGGACCGTTGTGGGTTCTTGGGCAGGGGGAGAAACAAAACAAACCAAAACTGTGGGCAGTTTTGTCTTTCAGATGGGAAATACTCAGGCATCAACAGGCTCACCCTTGAAACGCATCCTAAGCCATTGGGACCAATTTGACCCACAAACCCTGAAAAAGAGACAGCTCATTTTTTTCTGCCCTATGGCCTGGCCCCAGAATTCTCTCTCTGATGGGGAAAAATGGCCACCTGAGGGAAGTACAAATTACAATACTATCCTGCAGCTTGAGCTTTTCTGTAAGAGGGAAGGCAAATTGAGTGAAATACCTTATGTTCAAGCTTTCTTTTCATTGAAGGAGGATACACAACTATGCAAAGCTTACAATTTACATCCCACAGGAGGATCTCTCAGCTTACTCCCATATCCTAGCCTCCCTATAGCTCCCCTTCCTGTTAATGGTAATCCTCCTTTGATCTCCCCTGCCCAGAAGGAAATAAGCAAAGAAATCTCCGAAGGACCACAACCCCCCCGGGCTATCGGTTATGTCCCCTTCAAGCTGTATGGGGAGGGTAATTTGGCCCAACCTGGGTACATGTCCCCTTCTCCCTCTCTGATTTAAAGCAGATCAAGGCAGACCTGAGGAAGTTTTCAGATGATCCTGATAGGTACATAGATGTCCTACAGGGTCTAGGGCAAAGTTTCGACCTTGCTTGGAGAGATGTCATGCTACTGTTAGATCAAACCCTGGCCTTTAATGAAAAGAATGCAGCTTTAGCTGCAGCCTGAGAGTTTGGAGATACCTGGCATCTTAGTCAAGTAAATGATAGAATGACAGCTGAAGAAAAGGACAAATTCCCTACTGGTCAGCAAGCCATCCCCAGTATGGATCCCCACTGGGACTTCAACTCAGATCATGGGGACTGGAGTCATAAACATCTGTTGACCTGTGTTCTAGAAGGACTAAGGAGAATTAGGAAAAAGCCCATGAATTATTCAATGATGTCCACCATAACTCAGGGAAAGGAAGAAAATCCTTCTGCGTTCCTTGAGTGGCTATGGGAGGCCTTAAGAAAATATACTCCCCTGTCACCTGAATCACTCAAGGGTCAACTGATTCTAAAAGATAAGTTTGTTACCCAATCAGCTGCAGATATCAGGAGAAATCTCCAAAAGCAAGCCATGGGCCCTGGACAAAATCTGGAGGCATTGTTAAACCTAGCAACCTCAGTGTTCTATAATAGGGACCAAGAGGAACAGGCCCAAAAGGAAAAGTGAGGTCAGAGAAAGGCTGTAGCCTTAGTCATGGCCCTCAGACAAACAAACCTTGGTGGTTCAGAGAGGACAGAAAATGGAGCAGGCCAATCACATGGTAGGGCTTGTTATCAGTGTGGTTTACGAGGACACTTTAACAAAGATTGTCCAACGAAAAATAAGCCACCCCCTCATCCATATCCGCTATGCCAAGGCAATCACTGGAAGGTGCACTGCCCCAGAGGACAAAGGTTCTCCGGGTCAGAAGCCCCCAACCAGATGATCCAACAACAGGACTGAGGGTGCCCGGGGCAAGTGCCAGCTCATGTCATCACCCTCACTGAGCCCCTGTTAAGTTTAACCACTGAGGGCCAGGAAATTGACTTCCTCCTGGACACTGGAGCAGCCTTCTCAATATTAACCTCCTGTCCTGGACAACTGTCCTCAAGGTCCGTTACCATCCGAGGAATCCTGGGACAGCCTGTAACCAGGTGTTTCTCCCACTACCTCAGTTGTAATTGGGAGACTTGGTCTTTTCACATGCCTTTCTTGTTATGCCTGAAAGTCCCACACCCTTATTAGGGAGGGATATATTAGCCAAGGCTGGAGCTATTATCTACATGAATATGGGGAACAAGTTATCCATTTGTTGTCCCCTACTTGAGGAGGGAATCAACCCTGAAGTCTGGGCATTGGAAGGACAATTTGGAAGGGCAAAAAATGCCCGCCCAGTCCAAATCAGGCTAAAATACCCCACCACTTTTCCTTATCAAAGGCAATATCCCTTAAGGCCTGAAGCTCATAAAGGATTACAGGATATTGTTAAACATTTAAAAGCTCAAGGCTTAGTAAGGAAATGCAGGAGTCCCTGCAGCACCTCAATTCTAGGAGTACAAAAACCGAGCAGTCAGTGGAGACTAGTGGAAGATCTTAGACTCATCAGTAAGGCAGTAATTCCTCTATATCCTGTTGTACCTAACCCCTATACCCTGCTCTCTCAAATACCAGAGGAAGCAGAATGGTTCACTCTTCTGGACCTCAAGGATGCCTTCTTCTGCATTCCTCTGCAATATGACTCCCAGTTTCTCTTTGCCTTTGAGGATCCCGCAGACCACATGTCCCAACTTACGTGGATGGTCTTGCCCCAAGGGTTTAGGGATAGCCCTCACCTGTTTGGTCAGGCACTGGCCAAAGATCTAGACCACTTCTCAAGTCCAGGCACTCTGGTCCTTCAGTATGTGGATGATTTACTTTTGGCTACCAGTTCAGAAGCCTCATGCCAGCAGGCTACTCTAGATCTCTTGAACTTTCTATCTAATCAAGGGTACAAGGTGTCTAGGTCGAAGGCCCAGCTTTGCCTACAGGAGGTCAAATATCTAGGCCTAATCTTAGCCAGAGGGACCAGGGCCCTCAGCAAGGAATGAATACAGCCTATACTGGCTTATCCTCATCCTAAGACATTAAAACAGTTTCAGGGGTTCTTTGGAATCACCGGCTCTTGCCGACTATAGATCCCTGGGTACAGCGAGATAGCCAGGCCCCTCTATACTCTAATCAAGAAAACCCAGAGGGCAAATACTCATCTAGTAGAATGGGAACCAGAGGCAGAAACAACCTTCAAAACCTTAAAGCAGGCCCTAGTACAAGCTCCAGCTTTAAGCCTTCTGACAGGACAAAACTTCTCTTTATACATCACAGAGAGAGCAAGGATAGCTATTGGAGTCCTTACTCAGACTTGTGGGACAACCCCACAACCAGTGGCTTACCTAAGTAAGGATATTGATGTAGTAGCAAAAGGCTGGCCTCACTGTTTAAGGGTAGTTGCAGCGGTGGCCATCTTAGTGTCAGAGGCTATCAAGATAATACAAGGAAAGGATCTCACTGTCTGGACTACTCATGATGTAAATGGTATGCTAGGTGCCAAAGGAAGTTTATGGCTATCAGACAACTGCCTACTTAGATGCCAGGTGCTACTCCTTGAGGGACTGGTGCTTCAAATACATACATGCATGGCCCTCAACCCTGCCACTTATCTCCCAGAGGATGGGAACCAATTGAGCATGACTGCCAACAAATTATAGTCCAGACTTATGCTGCCCGAGATGATCTCTTAGAGGTCCCCTTAGCTAATCCAGACCTTAACTTATATACCGATGGAAGTTCATTTGTGGAAAATGGGGTATGAAGGGCAGGCTATGCCATAGTTAGTGATGTAACCATACTTGAAAGTAAGCCTCTTCCCCCAGGGACCAGTGCCCAGTTAGCAGAACTAGTGGCAATTACCGGAGTCTTAGAACTGGGAAAGGGAAAAATAATAAATGTGTATACAGATAGCAAGTATGTTTATCTAATCCTATATGTCCATGCTGCAATATGGAGAGAAAGGGAGTTCCTAACCTCTGGGGGAACCCCAATTAAATAGCACAAGGAAATTATGGAGTTATTGCACACAGTGCAAAAACCCAAGGAGGTGGCAGTCTTACATTGCTGAAGCCATCAAAATGGGGAAGGAGAGGAGAGAACAGCACCATAAGCAGCTGGCAGAGGCAGGGAAAGACCAGCAGAAAGGAAAGAGAGAAAGAGACAGAAAGTCAGAGAGAGAGAGAGAGGAAGGGACAGAGACACAGAGGGAGTCAGAGAGAGAGAGACAGAGACAAAGAAGTCAAAGAGAAAGAAAGAGAGATGGAAGCAGTAAGAAAAAAACAGTGTACCCTATTCCTGTAAAAGCCAGGGTAAATTTCTGTCTACCCAGCCAAGGCATAGTCTTCTTATGTGGAACTTCAACCAATATCTGCCTCTCAGACAGTTTACAAGAAATAAAGAAATCTATCCTTACTCTACAATCCCAAATAGACTCTTTGGCAGCAGTGACTCTCCAAAACTGCTGAGGCCTAGACCTCCTCACTGCTGAGAAAGGAGGACTCTGCACCTTCTTAGGGGAAGAGTGTTGTTTTTACACTAACCAGTCAGGGATAGTATGAGATCCTGCCTAGAATTTACAGCCAAAATCTTCTGTATCAGACAACGTATTTCAAACTCTTATACCAACCTCTGGAGTTGGGCAACATGGCTTCTCCTCTTTCTAGGTCCCCTGGCAGCCATCTTGCTGTTACTCGCCTTTGGGCCCTGTATCTTTAACCTTCTTGTCAAATTTGTTTCCTCTAGAATCGAGGCCACCAAGCCTCAGATGGTCTTACAAATGGAACCCCAAATGAGTTCAATTAACAACTTCTACGGAGCACCCCTAGACTGCTGCCACTTTCACTGGCCTAGAGATTTCCAGCCTGGAGGACACTATAACTGCAGGGTCCATTCATCACCTCTATCCAGAAAGAAGTAGCTAGAGCAGTCATTGGCCAAATTCCCAAAAGCAGCTGGGGTGTCCTGTTTAGAGGGGGGATTGAGAGGTGACAACATGCTAGCAACCCTCGCTCGCTCTTGGTGCCTTCTTGGCCTCAGTGTCCACTCTGGCTGCACTTGAGGAGCCCTTTAGCCCACTGCTGCACTGTGGGAGCCCCTCTCTGGGCTGGCTGAGGCCAGAGTGGGCTCCCTCTGTTTGTGGGGAAGTGTGGAGGGAGAGGCACGGGCAGGAACTGGGGCTGTGTGCAGTGCTTGCAGGCCAGTTCAGGTTCCGGGTGGGTGCAGGCTTGGCCCCAGGCACTGAGGGGCTTAGCACCTGGGCCAGCAGCGGTGGAGGGTGCGTCAGGTCCCCCAGCACTGCCGGCCCACCTGCACCATGCTCAAATTCTCACCGGGCCTCAGCTGCCTCCTTGCATCATGCCCGAGCCCCCCCCCCCCCGGACGGTGGGCTCCTGCTTGGCCTGAGCCTCACCGATGGGCACCGCCCCCTGCTCCATGGCACCCAGTCCTATCGACCGCCCAAAGGCTGAGGGGTGCGGGAGCATGTGCGGGACTGGCTGGCAGCTCCGCCCATGGCCCTGGTGCAGGATCCACTAGGTGAAGCCAGCTGGGCTCCTGAGTCTAGTGGGGACTTGGAGAACTTTTATGTCTAGCTGGAGGATTGTATATGCACCAATCAGCACTCTGTGTCTATCTTAGGGTTCATGGATGCACCAATCAGCAGTCTGTATCTAGCTAATCTGGTGGGGACTTGGAGAAGTTTTATGTCTAGCTGGAGGATTGTAAATGCACCAATAAGCACTTTGTGTCTAGCTCAAGGTTTGTAAATGCACCAATCAGCACTCTGTGTCTAGCTAAAGGATTGTAAATGCACAAATCAGCACCCTGTCAAAACAGACCAATCAGCTCTCTGTAAAATGGATGAATCAGCTCTCTGTAAAATGGACCAATGAGCTCTCTGTAAAATGGACTGATCAGTAGGATGCAGGTGGGGTCAGATAAGGGAATAAAAGCAGGCTGCCCAAGCCAGCAGTGGGCAGCCAGCAGGGGCAATCCGCTCGGGTCCCCTTCCACACTGTGGAAGCTTTGTTCTTTGACTCTTGGCAATAAATCTGGCTGCTGCTCACTCTTTGGGTCCATGCCGCCACCTTTAAGAGCTGTAACACTCACCAGAAAGGTCTGCAGCTTCACTCCTGGAGCCAGCGAGACCACAAACCCACTAGAAGGAACGAACAACTCCAGACGTGCCGCCTTTAAGAGCTGTAACACTCACAGGGAAGGTCTGCAGCTTCACTCCTGAAGTCAGAGACCACGAACCCACCAGAAGGAAGAAACTCCAGACATATCTGAACATCTGAGGGAAGAAACTCTGGACACACCATCTTTAAGAACTGTAACACTCACCACGAGGGTCTGTGGCTTCATTCTTGAAGTCAGCCAGACCAAGAACCCACCAATTCTGGACACACTTTCCCTGGCGACCCCGGCGGTCAGTCTCTCGGCCCTGGGCAGCTGAGAAAGCACAAGATGGGACGAGTCGGCCTCTCTCCCTCTGCTATCCCTCTGTGCTGTGCCCCAGGTACCTCAACGTGACGAGAGCCTCCCCTTCTGCTCGCCACATTGGGCCAGTCTTTCGTGGATGCTCCAATGGGACGGAGGCCCATGGCAGGTTGTGACCAGTGAAGGGTGGCTGGTGGCGAGCTCTGCTGTGACAGCTTCCATTGGCATTTGCCATCAGTGCATAGGTGGTTCAGTGGTAGAATTCTTGCCTGCCACGCAGGAGGCCCAGGTTTGATTCCTGGCCCATGCAGCACGCCCTCCCATTTTGGTGCTGCAGCAGCACCAAGGCGTAGCTGCGTTCGCCTCTGCCGCCTCCTTACACTCGGGGCACGTGAGCTTGTCCTGCACTGGCTGCGCTCCCACGCATGACGCCCCTCTGCCCTTTCTTCCATGCCTCTCTTGACTGACTTAAGGATGAGGCTCTCCCCCACCCCCCCACCTGGGTAACAACAATCCCTCCAAACACAATAGTGCACCAGACACCAGCCCTTGACAGCCTCCTGGTCCTGTTTCTGTTCATTGCCCTGCCACCACCTCTGCCTGACGCATTTCACTTCAAGGAATACCGCCAGGCACCACAGGGCTTGTAGCCACTTGCCCCACCTCTTCTCTTCACATTTCACCACCTCGACCTCTTTCTCTCTCTCTCTCTCTCTCCCTCTCGCTGGCTCCCCACATCCAGAAAATGATGCCATGGTTGCCCTTCCAGTAGCAAGGAAGACGCGACTCTGGGGAGTAACTCATCACTTTCCCCTAGTTGGTCACACAGTCCTTAACGCGACCACGTGAGTGTGCACGTGGCATGTGCACCATCTATATTCAACGTGTTCCAGCTACTCCACACTCTCTCCCCTCATTCTGTCGGCACCACCACCGCCATGTCACAACTCCCAACCTAACCCCAATCCACCACTTTAGTCGAGGATGCTGCCTTGTTTCTCTCCCTTGGACCTCTTTTCATCTCAGCCCCAGACACATGCCTGAGACGTGAATGTGTATCCTGAAGACGGCTTACTTATGTCTCGGGTCCAGTTGCATTCCCTACCCCTTTGGGACGTGGGATGTCGCCTCCAGTCACTCTGTCACGATGTCTCTCCCACCCTGGGCTGCTTGCCACCTCACCCCAGCCCCACTCCATACTCTGACAGCCTAGCCCAAACAGCATCCCAGTCTCGCTGGTGGGGGTCCCCTTTGTCCACACAGACTTCATTCCTTCCCAGACCAACCCTCTGAAAAAGTACTGTTCCATCCAGCCTTCAGGCTCAGCCCTCCCTCCCCTGCCTTTGTCTCACCCCATCTGCTCTTTCACTCACACACAGACACACACACAAACACACACACACACACACTCTCTCTCTGTCTCTCTGTTTTTCTCTCTCACTCTCAGTGTCTCTCTCTCAGGCAACTCTCCCTCTTGCAGTCAATGACCCTGTCTCACATGACTCACATCCCCCAGTCCTGGGCTGCTTCAGGTTGTGTCACCAGCTGGCATCCCTCATACCGCACAGGTAGCCAGCACAGGCAGTTTGGAACATGCCCCAATGCCCTAGGCATGTGACCAACCTCCTTCTGGATGGACAGCCTCGGTCCCAGATCTTGCTAGTCAGCCTGTGCACCCCCTGGACACTCTGGACTCTTTCTCCCACCTCCCAGCATGTGGCATGCTTCTGTCCTTTCTTTGGTTTCAGCCCCTTGCCCCAGTGTGGGGTGGACTCCGGCCACAGGAATGGACACCTTCGTCCATCACTGTCACCCGTTGACATCCACCCACATCACGCTGGCAAGCAAGCTAGCCTCCCGTGGGGATGGCAAACATCTCTATCCCTGATCGGGTCTGGTCTCTGCGGGTGATCCAACTGTGCCAAGATCCCACGAATGACACGGGACAGGTTTGTGCAGTTGGTTGGGCGTCTACTTTGACCCTAAAGAGTGTTTTGGCAGTAAGTCGACTGAGCTCTGCTTTTTAGTGAGGGAATCAGCCCCACAAAAAGATCAATGCAGGGATAAATAGAGGGTTGGAGAGCTGGGCTGATCTGTTCCAAGGAGGGGATGGGAAGAAATTCCACAGCAAATATAGGTGTTGCAGATAGGTGCCATCTCCTTATGTTCCTTGCCATTTGGAGAGAAGATAGAGTAGGTGAAGAA
Source organism: Homo sapiens (assembly GCF_000001405.40). Lineage (NCBI taxonomy): Eukaryota > Metazoa > Chordata > Mammalia > Primates > Hominidae > Homo > Homo sapiens. The sequence continues at coordinate 161,482,532 of NC_000001.11, forward strand.
ATGGGAAATAAATGTCACCTAGATATCTATCTTGAACCCTGACTTTCCACACATGCTTTGGTTTGCTTGGCTGTTGGGTTTTCCCCAGGAGCTCCTGTATCTCCGTGCTTCAAAATCCGTTGCCAGGTTGGTCTAACTCTTGGGACTTCTCAAATTCATTTTCACATCCAGAATAGGTGAGAAACTTAAACTTGTCAACTGTAAGTGGGAGCTTGCATACATGCAGGAACTCTGCCTTGCACAAATATAGGCACAGACGCACGTGCAAACAGGCAACTGCTGGCACCTATGCACACCACCTAATCTTATTAGAATGTGTACAATAAACACATAGTAATGGCCAACTAACGGGTATATGAAGAAAATGCTCAGTATGTCCAATCATCAGGGAATGTAAATCCAAACCACGATGAGGTGTCATTTTATCCCAGCTAGGATGGCTATCATTAACCAGAAGGGAAACTAACTGAATTTGGACAGGAGGTCGATAAAAGGGAATACTTAGAAACCTATCTCAGGAAGAAAAATAAGTACAGCCATTAGTGTTAAGAAAGTGTGTTTATTTCCAAATGGCAGCATGTGCATTAAGAGCTAAGAAAGCATACGTGGAGTCAGTTTAAATGTTAGCTACCTTTCACTTGTTTAATTCTAGTGCTCTTGTAGGAAATATCAGTTTAGCTAGTTGTGTGCTTGTGCCTGGAGAGAGAAAGACACACGTTCCATAATATTTAGAGTGCCTGCTGCATATCCTGCCTGATGGAGTTCTTGCTCCACAAAGGAACTTCCGTCCTTGAAGAGAGTACAATCTGTATCTTCTAGAGGGGTTTCACTGAGATCCTCCCTGGCTGCAGAGGTCTGTACCACAACTTGCTCACAGTTATCTTTAGGTTTCCCAGTTTCCTAGGGATGGACAGCGGCTGGGTTTAGGTGAGAGCAAGTTTTTAACTGGATTATAGGCCCTTCTTACAGCAGAGCCTGATATTTAAAGAGCCGTCTGTCCATTAGCCAAAGGTTTCCCCTAGAGGACAGCAATCCTACTACATTACGTGGAGGTATAAAGAGTTCTGCCATTTCCCAGGGATAATTTGGTAGCCTCTGGTACCAGTAGGACCACTGCTGCTACTGCTCAGAGGCATGCTGGCCATCCTTTAGCTACCAAATCAAGTTTCTTACTCAGGTAGCCCACTGGTTGTTGAGATGATCTTTAGGCTTGACTTAAAATTCCCAGTGCCATTCCCTTCCTTTCTAATATATAAAGATTGAAGGCCCTCCCTATGGGAAGGCTGAGGGCTGGTGCCTTAAGTAAGGCTTGTTTTTGCTGGTTAAAGGCCTTTTGAACTTCAGGTTCCAAGGTCAGGAAATGAGTTTTAGCCAGCTGAGTTTCTTTTATGAGGTGTTATCAGGGGTGAGCTATCTCACCATACCCAGGTATCCATAGTCTGCAAAATCCTGTCATGTACCAAAATCCTCTTAGTTGCTTGAGGGTCTTAGGAAGGGGGAAGGAAGAAATGGGTTCAATCCTTTCTACCCCTAATGCTCTGGTCCCTTCAGACAACAGTAAACCTAGGTACTTCACTGAGGTTTGGCAAAGCTGCACCTTGGATTTTGAAACCTCATATCCTTTGTCAGCTAGGAAATTAAGAAGAGCTTCTGTGTCTTCCTGAGAAGCTTCCTCAGTTGGGGCACAGAGCAGGATGTCATCTACATATTGTGAGACCCTGACCTGAGGATGAGAAAACTCAGAGAGGTCCTTTGATAGTGCCTTTCCAAACAAGTGAGGACTATATTGAAATTCCTGAGGCAGCACCATCCATGTTAACTAGGTTGTTTGGCCAGAACTTAGAAGACAAACAGGTATTGAGAGTTAGGATATAATGGTATACAGAAAAAGGCAACCTTTAGATCTAGGACTGTGAACCATTTAGTTCCCTCAGGTATTTGAGTTAGCAAGGCATAGGAATTAGAGACCACTGGATGAATTGGGACTATGGCCTATTAATGAGGCAGAGGTCCTGAACTACTCTCCATTCCCCATTGGGTTTTTGTACTCCTAATATTGGGGTGTTGCAGGTGCTTTTACAGGGTTTGAGGAGGTCCTGCATTTTCAGGTTATTAATAATGGCTTATAGCCCTTTCCTAGCTTCTGACTTTAGAAGATATTGTCTCTGGTTAGGAAAATAAGTAGGATCCTTAGGGTTGATCTGGACCGGCCTAGTGGTTAAAGCTCGACCTTATTCTTCCTTCAGTTGCCCATACTTCTGTATTAATATTAGCTTCCACCAGGGGAAGACAAAGAGTTTCTTCTGGGGCTATAAGGATGCTGGTGGCCATGTGAACTAAATTGTCTCTACCTAGTAAAGGAGTGGGACTTTCAGGCACAATTAGGAAGACATGTGTAAATAATAGGTCCCCTTAACTGCAAGTAATGGGCTGAGAAAAATATTAGGTTAGAATCTTTCCTGAGATGCCCATCATGGTCATGCTATGGGAAGATGGGAGGCCTGGATTGGAAAGGAGAAGAGAGAGAGACTGGATCCAGTGTCCAGGGGAGGTCCACCCTCCTTCCTTCAATTTCCAGAATCACCTGGGGCTCCTGAGCAGAAATGGAAGTTTGAGCCTCTGGAGCCAGGGTTTTCAACTCTGGGACCCATCAGTCCTGTTGGAGCATCTGTGAGATTGGTTCTGAACCCAGTGACCTCCATCTCTGGGGACAGTCTAATCTCCAGTGGTCCCTGATATCAGCTGGGCAGGGTTGAGGTAGCTTCTTCTTGCTGCCTGGACAATCTTTCTTAAAGTGCTCTTACTTGCCACACTGGTAGCCACTAGTGGATGCACCTTGGGGATCCTGGACTTTGCAAGCTTGCAAAGCAGCTACTAGAAACTCTGTCTTTCTCTAGTGTTTTCTCTCTTTCTCCTGGGCCTTTTCCTGGTCCCTATTATAAAAGACCGAGGTGGCCACTCTCAGGAGGTTTTCCAATGTCCTATCTGGTCCTATAGCCTGCTTCTGCAGTTTCCTTCTAACATTGGGAGCTGCCTGTGTAATAAACTTGTTCTTTAGGATGAGTTATCCCTCGACTGAGTAAGGGGATAAGCAGGTGTGTTTATTAGTGCATCTCTCAGCTTTTCCATGAAGGCTGAGGGATTCTCATCTGGCTTTTTGTCTATTCATGAACAGTTTAGAGTAATTAAGAGGTTTGGCTCTAGTTCTTTGTAGGCCCTCCAATATGCACATTAAAAAGTGTTTCCTTTTCCATTCATCTTTGGAGTCACTGGAGTTCCATTCAGGGTTGTCAAGAGGTACCACCTCTCTTCCTATTGGGAATGATGATTCCCCTATTTCTTTGCCTTCCATATTTTCTCTTTTCCTTTTTGGCCTACTATAGGAGACATATTCCTCATCTCCAAACTTCTCTGCTGTCTGTAGAGCTGACTGTTTTTCAGCTGTGGTTAGGGTTTGGCTTAAGAGCAGCATAATGTCCCTTTATGTGAGGTCAAACACCTGAGTTAAATTTTGGAAAGTTTATATATACCTACCAGGGTCATTAGAGAATCAGCCTAAGTCTCCCTTCATTTGCCTAAGGTCCTGTAATGACAAGAGAACTTGAACCCTAAGATGGCATCACCTTCATTGGGCATTTCATGTAGGGGTAAGAACAAAGTTGGGAGAGTGGGGAGTTGTGGAGATGGTAGAACTGGAGGAGCTGATGAAAATGTTGGAGGGGGCTCTGAATAAGGGGGACAAAAAGGGCCAGGACACTCAATCACTGCCTCAGATGGTTCCCCCAGGAGTTGCTTCTCTAATTTTGGGGAATCATTCCCTTTGGGCCTGCCTGATATGACTACTAAAATAACTGGGTCGATTGTGCAGTGCTTGAAAAAGTCTAATAAGAAGGCCCTGCCCTTGTGCAAAAGCAGAGTTTCAGGGTCAAAGGAGTCTCAGTGCTTTAGAATACACTCAAAAGGAGTCCTTTGTTCCCTCCTTCCTTTGGAATGGCCCAAGGTTGAGAGGAAGACAGTGGGGGCATGCTCCCAACTGTTTTCCCTCCTTGGTTCCCTGGGCCCTGGCATCCACTAAAGGTGCCACCCATGGATGCAGGCATGACCTGCAGCCATGGATCCAGAGGAGCCAAATGATGGAGTTAGTCATGCTCACCCATGTGACTCTAGTCCGCTTGTGATTTCCCTTTGACTTCCTAGACTTGTGTGATCCGTATGGCTCCCCGATAGATAGACCTCAGGAAAGACTATGTAACAGTTGTATTTGGCAAGGCCCATTAATGAAGGGAATGTACTTAGTTGAGTTCTATAATCTGCTATTGTGGCCTAAGAATAAAGCATTTATTCTTAGGCAGTGGTTGTGGTTAACTTCTGGACATAAAATCTCCTTATTATTTAAGTACCATTTTAGTTGGAGGAAAATAGGTGTCTTAAAAGATTGTAGGGACCGAATGGCGGTTTTTCTGCTGATGTAACAGTATTGGGGCTAAAATTTGGTTTTAGAGGACATTTTTCTCTCATTGTTGAGTTTTCCTATTCATAGATGGGACATACAGCCTGGTCTCTAGTAGAGGGGAGCAAAAAGGGAGAAGAATTAGAAAATAGAGTGTTTCAGTAAAGGGCTTTGCCAAGATGGCTCATGGAGAGGATTTCTATTCCACTAGGTGGCGCTGTTTAAATACCATGTGCTCTCCAAACCAAGGGGAGAGAGAGAGATGTTCACTGGGGGCAAGGGTGGGGTGGTGGTGCGAAACTTTTTGTTCCTAGAAAAATCACAAAAATGGCATTCCCTTTAGCTATATTCCTGGTTACGATGGCATTTGTTGATCTTGACTAACAGGATTATTTTCCTGAGCTGTATGAATTCCCACAGCATTGCATACAGAGACTGGATAAGAGACATGGTGATTACGGACAAGAAAGCAGGAAAATTGCCATAGGAAAAGCTGGAGATCCTGTTGCTGACACCCAACAGTGTGGCAGTTGGAGGCTTGGGTTACTCCAGAAGCCTTCAGGTAATACAGGGGTGTGGCCCTTGCCTGGAACCATCAGTTGCCTCTGGACCTTTTCCAGCCCAACATGACAGCTAGGATCTCCATGAAAGGAAACTGGTTTAAACAGAGCGAACTTTCCCAGCACTCTGAGGCCACTGGGGTGTTTGCCAAGATCCTCCCACCAAGTGTGTCATCTGAGTCTTGAGATCCGTGGCCACCTTAAAGGTTTTAAACTGGCCATCAGACACTCAGTTTTTAGTTTAATTTTAAAATTGAGGGCAGAAGGCCCTGAAATGAAAGTAAATATTTGGAGTCTGCTCCTATCCTCACCCTTCTGATGAATCTACTTTGGATCCTAGATGGGCCCCCACAATGAAATGGCCTCATTGTCTGAGGTGATACCCAAGGTCCGTTGTCTCACAGTCAAGGAAATCAAGGACGTGAACACACAGAGAATGAGGTTAAGAGCAGAAGTTTAATGGGTGAAAGAAAAAGAATACCTGTCTGCTGGAGAGAGGGGTCCCAGAGAAATCAGTTTCCAGATCTGCAGTGAAATGCAGGGGGTTTTATAGATACCTGGTGAGGAGGCAGTGTTTGATTTACATGGGGCATTAAAGATTGGTTGGACTAGGTCTACCATTTGCATAGGGTGCAAAAAACTGGTTAGGACTAGGTGTGCCATTGCCTAGGATGCAAATTTCTGGCCGCTCCCACTCTAATCTTTTATTATGCAAGTGGGTCTTCTTCCTGAGCTGGGCCATGTCGCCTGTTCCTTTACTGTACATGTGGTAACAAAAAAAAACATAAAGGAAGATGGAGCCTGAATGTTGGATATGCCTGGCCCCCGGGTAGCCCTTTTCTATTGGCACAGCTGCTGGCATTCCCCTGTGCAAGCTTCCAGCTTGCTTATGTATGTTTGCAGCTCAATGTTTTAGGCTGCTCTTTGTTAGGAAAAAATAATTTCTTGGGCTGATTTCTCTTAAAAGGAAAGCTCTGCTGAGGACTCTTTTACCTTCACTATCTGCCTAAATAATTTCTTTCTGCCTCCTGTATCATCGTGGCCACCAGTGGACCCACCACAACCACCACCATCATGACCACTACCATCAGCACCACACACTGTCACTTGCATCTGGCCACTGAATGGGCCAGGTCTCTCCAGCAGCACTGCTTCCACAAAGCCAAGCCTGGTGGCTGATAGGCGGCTTCTCTCTCAGCTGGGAGAGATCTGTGCCTAATGGTTGGGCCACTTGCAAGAGCCACTCACGCCAGCAAGCTCTTTTCCAAGGCATACCAGACCCTGAGCCCAGGGTTCATGATTGGGCTCCACATGTGTCAGCAGCTTTGGCAGGGATGGCAGCAGAACTTGAGAAGCTGAGACCATGTGCTATGGTGCTGGGGAGGAGGAGATGTGAAAACAACTCTTTTAGCATCATAATGTTTTTCTTCATCTGGACATGATATTAATGAGATTCCTGTGATATGCTGTAACGTGTAGATTGTGTAGTGATCCAGTGAGGGGATATAGGACATCCATCCTGTGGGTATCTGTCATCTCTACCTGTTGGGAACATCTCAAGTGCTGTCTTCTAGCTCTTTGGAAACACACTCTAGTAGAGTTAAGTAAGTAGAGATAAGTAAGTAGAGATAGGTAGGGACAGACAGGGACAGATAGGGATAGATAAAGACCAGCAAAGACTTGGAATATAAGGTCAGTGCCCCAAAGAGGTACAAAAGTAGAGACTAGCAAAGACTAGCAGAGATTTTCAGGGACAGATAGGGACAGATAGGGTCCTATAGGGACTTGAATGAGGAAGGTCTGCTGGAACAGAAAAAATTAAAGAACAGAAAAAACTAAAACCAACCAGATAAATGAGAAATCCCGTTACAAGTCTGCCGGCAGCAACATAAGGTCATTGCTCTAAAAAGGTACTGGTCAGTGCCCTAGAGGTACAAAGAATGGGAATTTTTTTAATCAGGGTAACATGAGGAAGAATTTGGTTATTTCTTTTCTCTTTTTTGTTTGGAGTTTGGTACATACCATCTTCTTGTCATTATTTCAGGGTTTAAGATAATTGTTTTGCCCCACCTATAGCACCTATAGAAAGTAGTGAACAGGAGAGGGAGAATGAAAATTGGCTTGTACCATCTTTTATGGCTACAGAAAGGCTAACTTTAGCTTTGGCTTTCGTGGATTGTAAACGTGTGCTGGCACCTGTGAGGTGTGCAGAGGACTTGGGAGGTTTTCTCCGAGCTTGTCAAGAGGTGGGAACTGAGCTTCATTGCTCTGCAGTATTGACTCAGGAAATGGCTACTTTGGTAACTGACAGATCTAAAAGAAGCCAAGGGTCAAACCCTAAAGTGGGAAAGTGTTATAAGTATAGAAAAATTGGACACTTCAAAAAAGAAGGCTGCCAGACCTCTGGGAAAAAGGGATCTTATAGTTCCCATCTTAACAGAAAAAACACCAGGACTTTGCCCTCCTTGTAATAGTGGAAATCACTGGGCTAATCAATGCCACTCAAAATTTCATCAAAGTGGCATCCCCCTGTTGGGAAACGAGAAGGGGGTCTGGACCCAGGTACCTCAAACTATGAAGGCATTCCCTGTCCAGGCCACAACTTCATCTCAGGGTGGGTTTCCGGAGGCACATTGGTTCCCTCTCCCTGGGAACACCTGGAAACACAGTATTAGCTCTCCTAGATAGAGAACAAATTATGTTAACTAGAGGAAACAAACTCACTAAGATTCCCATTGGTATTTGGGGATCTTTGCCAACAAGATACATGGGATTGATTTTGGTAAAAGCTGTCTTACAGGCCCAGGAGTTGTTGATTTTGATCGTGAAGGAGAAATTCAGGTAGTGGTAATGTCACAAGATCTTTGGGTTTTTGAAACGGGAGAGTGTATTGCTCAGTTGTTGCTTATTCCCTGTAAATTGTATCGTTCTCTACCCAAGAAGAAAGAGGAGGTCAGGGATTTGGAAGCACACCTAAGAGATTTATCTATCACAATGCATAGCATCTCACAGACCCACTTGTGCAGTGTAGATTGAAGAAAAGTTTTGTGGGCTTATGGATACGGGAGCAAGAGACTGGTCTCTCGTGGTAATAGATCTTGAAGATTATTTACGAGAAGGAGAAGTCTTCATTTGCTTTTTCTGTGTCTTCTGTTAATCAGAAAGATCCTGTCTCTTCTGTGGAAAGTTTTACCCTGCAGTAATTAACCAAAGAGGCAGAAGCTGAGTTTTACAGCTTGTAGAACAAATGCTCAGCAACGGCATGCCTCCTGGCTACAGCCACAAGAGCCTTTGCCTTTGTTTCAGTAGATTTACTAACGTGGGGATGAGGGTATGCTTGTGTCCTTACAGAAGATGAACAAACCATGTGGGTGCCCTCAAGGTGTGTATGACCATGGAATGGGAGACTGGAAGGACCCATGGATCCCAACCATGGACCTGGTTCCCCAGTATGAGCCATGAACCACTTGAATTTGAATGCGAAGATGAAACGAGGACCAACCGGAGTCATGCTGACATCAACCCCGATAACATGGGGACAGATCAGGAAAACCACACAGGAAGCTGAGAAACTGCTGGAGTGCCAGGGTTTCACCTTTTGCTGGAACTCAGAGGTACGATCGATGCTTAACAGACCAATGCTTTGTGACTGAGCTCCTCTCTACCCTGAAAACAAGAGACCCTAATAGGCAGGAATATAATCACCTCTATTCAGCATGAAGAAGTTGCAGAAGATGGACCTTCATCCTTCTGCAACCCTTAGGATTAAGGGTCCTCTAGTAAAAGGGAAGGGGGAGATATGTAAGAAGCATTCAAACCAGAGCAACTCTATTTTGAATAAGGGCTAAGAAAAATGAAGCTGGATCACCAACCGGCAATTAAGGGTTACACAGCCTGCAATTGCCTTGCTCAATTAATTTAAAAACAAAAAGGAGATATTGGAGGCCGCACAAATGTTTCTTATGATTAGGCATAATTGAAGCCTGTCAGTAACAACATGAACCTGTGATCAGTTAAGCAGCCGACAAATCATTACCTCATCCTCCTTATCTTGTTACCCAATCAATACGACGGGCTGTAGAAACTCAGGGGCTGCCCTTGCTCACTAGAAGCAGGGAGCTCTCTTCTTCTTCCCCAGTTCCCCTTTCTTTAAGATCATTTCTTTTGTTTTTTATCATTTCTGTGTTTGTCCCTTTGTTCAGTTGTAATGATGGTCAAGTGGTAACCGTAGTAACTGCTGTACCTTTGGTCTCAAGCAGTAACAGTAGTAACTGCTGTAGTGATGGTCTCAAGTAATAACTGTAGCAGTCACAGGTTCATATTGTTACTGACAGGCTTCAATTATGCCTAATCATAAGAAATATTTGTGCAGCCTCCAATATCTCCTTTTTGTTTTAAATTAATTGAGCAAGGCAATTGCCACAAACCTCTCTTCACCACAGTCACCCATACACCCTCTCCAGCCTCTGGTATCTATTATTCTACTCTCTACCTCAACAAGGTGAACTTTTTGAGCTCCCATATAGGAGTGAGAACATGCCCTTTCTTTCTGTGCCTGGCTCATTTGATGTTACACTGTGACCTCCAGTTCCATCCATGTTGCTGCAAATGAAAGGATTTTGTTATTTTGTATGGCCAAATAGTATTCCATGGTGTATATATGCCACATTTTTTTTTTTCATTTCCTGACTGATGGACACTTAGGTTGATTTGATGGTTCTGCAATTGTGGATAGTGCTGCATTAAACACAGGGGTGCAGGTATCCCTCTGATATCTGGATTTCCTTTGTTTTGGATAAATACCCAGCTGTGGGATTGCCGGATTCAATGGTAGCTCTACCTTTAGTTATCAGAGTGGGCAGGGGTTTGTTTGTTTTGTTTTGAGAAATCTCCATGCTATTTTTCATGATGACTGTACTTATTTACCTTCCCACCAATGGTGTCTAAGTCTTCCCTTTTGTCTATCTGCTTGCCAGGATTGGTTATTTTTCCTTCTGTTTAATGATAGTCATCCTAATTGGGGTAAGATGACAGCTCATCGTGGTTTCAATTTGCATTTCCCTGATAATTGGTGATGTTGAGCATTTTCTTCTTACACGTATTGGTTGGCCATTCCTATGTATTCTTTGCCCACTTGTTAATGGGTTTAGATGGTATTTGTATGTGGTGGTGGTCAGCTGTGTGTGTGTGTGTGTTCCTGGGCTTGCTCACTGTTGATATGTTTGAGTTTCTTGTGTATTCTGGATGTGAAAATGAATCTTGAGAGTTCTGGCTAGTTAGACTAACCTGGCAATGGAGGTTGAAGTGTGGAGAGAGAGGATCCTTTGGGGAAAACTGAACAGTCAAACTGACCAGGAGTGTGTGTGGTGGGGGGATGGGCATCAGGATAGACTTCTAGCTGACATTTGTTTTTCACACAAAGAACAACAAGAACAACACACACACTAACAATGGATGTATGTACGCAGACAGAGACACTTATAGAGAATTGGCCAGGACTTTGCCACAGCAATCCTTCTGTCAATGGAATCTTTGTGACTGAAAGGTTACTTTTCTCTCTGCTGAGGGCATCTTTGTCTACTGGTTTTGCCACGTGTCAGAGTCTGTGATTTCTGAGGATAACACTTATGCCATCAAGTGCTCAGGCTGTTTCACTGGTTCCAGATCCTGAGCTGTGTGTATAAAAAATTGAGGTTGTGTACTCTCATTTATGTTTCAAAAATTTCATTTAATTTACATATATTTATAGTGAAATGAGAAATCTTACTCATTTTTGGGATGTTGATGTATTAGTCTTTAATCAGGTATTTCTGCAAATGAGAAATCTTACATACTCATTTTGGGGTCTTTGAAGATGTATTAGTCTTTAATCAGATATTTCTGCAAGCATTCAGTGTGTCTTATCATTTGCAGCTTGGTGGACAGCCTGTGGATAAAGTGAAGGTAAATGCTGTCTAAAATGAGGAGAGGACACACACAAACACACTGAAAAGAAGTCCGTCTGAAGGTGTAGACAGAGACTCAAGTCATGTTGCCAAAGACCAAGGAATGTCAAGGATATCTGGGAGTCAGCAGAAGGTAGGAGGAGGCAAAGAAGGATTCTTCCCTAGTGGAAGCATGGGAAGCCTTTAGTGGGAGCATGGTCCTGCTGACATCTTGATTTCACGCTTTTAATTTCCAGATCTGTGATAGAACAAATTTCTGTCATTTTATGCCACCCAGTTTGTGATAATTTGTTGCAGCCATCCTGGGAAACGAATAATACTTGCGAACTCATCTAGATTTTGTCTTTAACATCCTATTATATATCCTTTATCACATGTCCATCCATCTATGCAAACTTCTAATTTGTGATATTTTTTAGCCTTTGGTATTATTTTAAATATTTGGTAGTGCAGCATTGCTGAAGGTCTGAGAAAATGGTCACTATTATCGTTTTTTTTTGAATGTGAAATTATAGTACTGTTACTGCTGTTACTGTATGGGAATCCTAGGTTCTTCTTAACTTGGAAGAAGGAATGCAGCCAAGAGACGTATAGCAAGGGTTAAGTAGCAGAGTTTATTGAAGAAAGACAAAGTACATGCCTAGAGAGGAGTAGAAAACAGCTCCAAGCTGGCCTGGCTGAAAAAATAGTAGTAGTAGTATCTATTTAAGTAGACATTACACTCTGAAAGATGAGTCTGAGTGGGTTGCTCAAAAGAATAAGCCAGCAGCTGGTAGTGCTGGGTGACTCTCTCTATGAGAATCTTACATAATTATTCATGAAAGGGCTTGAGGGGGTGTCACTTGCAAGCATGTTTTGGGAGGTCCCTTTGGGCATGCATGCTCTGTGGTTGTACATGCTGGTATACATGTTGCAGGCCTAATTAGCATTTAAAATCTCCACCTAAGGGTGTGTTTTTACTGTTAAAATGAGCAAAAGTATAGTCTAGGGCAAGTTTTTGGAGGATTGCGTTTGCCAGTGGGGAAAATCCCTAGCATGGTTATCTCTAGCTAGGGCCTGATAAGTCCCCTTCAGGGCTGGAGGAGCCTAACCACAAGGCCAGATGTAGCCAATTTAGCCATTGTCTTTTTGGTGACTGTCCGTGGGCAGCACTGACTATAGTGGGCAGCATCTCCAGGACTTCTTTCTCCAGGGGGCTCCCTTGCCTGCTCATTTCCGGCTGTCTACCTAATCTAACACTACAAAGTTTTGGAATAAAAATTTGGAAGAATGCGTCTAAATCTTAATGTTTATTCTTAACCCTAACAATTCCACTCTAGATATTTATCTTACTCAAATATTTGCACCCATTGGCAAAGTTGTATCTTCATTGCTTCATTATCTCTAATATAGAAAATTAGGAAATATGCCACATATTTATAGTTAAGAGCCTGTATATGAGCTACATGACACTATGTGGCAGTTTAAAAGTATAAGGGAGGAGTAGGTAAGTACATATGTCAGTGATACTTTTGTGGTAGTCAACCTCTAAAACAGCCTCTAATTATCCCACCTTCTTATATTCATACCCCCTGCAGATCGCTCCCACATCATATCACAATTTGTCTTTGTAAAAATAGAATATGGCAAAAATGTAGGTACATCTCTTCTAATATTAGGTTGTAAAAGCCTATGGCTTCATCTTAGGCTCCCTGTCCCTCTTTCTCTGTCTCTCTCATAATCCACTTTTCACAGAAGCCAAACATCATTTTGTGAGGACACACAGGTACTTCGAAGAAGCCAGTAGACATTTTGTAGGACATACAGGCAGCCGATGGAGAGGCCCACATGTGGAAGAGCTAAGGCTACCTAAGTGAGCAACCACCAGAATGAGCTTGGAATGGCATGCTCCAGCCTCAGTTGAAACTTCAAATAATGGCAGCCCCAGCTAACAGCTTGACTGTAACCTCATGAGGACCCTGTGCCAGAACCATGAGGCTAAGCTACTCCTGATTCCTAACCCACAGAAACTGTGACATAATAAATATTTGTTAGCTTAAATTGGTAAGTTTTACAGTAACTTATTATGCAGTCATAGATAACTAATATAAGTAGTTCATTAGAAAAGTAAATGGTATCAAAGTATAATCATATAGGTGATAATAAATCATGTGTATGTATTTTTCACATAACCCCCTGAAATTCATGACATGATAATATGATGAGTAGGGATTTATGTCATTTGTCTTTCTGTATTAAATATTTTTACAATTAGCTTCATTTAACAGCTTTATTGACATGTAATCAACAAACAATAAAATGTACATATGTTGATGTTCTATCTCCTAGTACCTGCAAGTGTGAGCTTATTTACAAATGAGACTTCTGCTTTCTACATAGTTAGTTAAGATTAGGTCATATTGCAGTAGAGTGGGCCCCTATCTAATATGACTTGTGTCCTAATTTAAAAAGTGAAATTTGGATAGAAAGACAGACATACAGACAAGGAGAACACCATGAGAAGTTGGAGCTCTGCTGCCATATGCTGAGGAACTACCAGAACCTAGGAAAGTGGCCTGGAACAGATCTTTCCCTAGTGCCTTCACCCTACTGACACCTTGATCTTGGACTTTTGGCCTCCAGAACTGTAAGACAATAAATTTCTGTTTTTTAAGACACCTAGTTTTTGGTACTTTGTTACGGCAGCTCTAGAAAACTAATACATTGGGTTAAATAAAATATATTGTTAAAATTAATTTTAAAAATGTAAAATTGAATTTCTTATATTTCTATTGGTATATTTTAGAGGTATATTCTAGAGGTATATTTAGCAACAAATTTATCCTGTCAGGTTTAACAGGAAGTGATTTCTTCTCCAAGTGCTTTATGTGGGGACGCCTATTTACTTCACGTCCCCAGTTAATATAGAAAGTCAATCTATAATCAGCAAACAGCAAACAGCAACTGGTATTGCTTTGGTATTTACCTAGACACTCTTCCACTGATCTGTAATCCAAATCTCAAACTCTCAGGTCTCTCTTTTTCTTTTTTTTTTTTGAGACGGAGTCTCGCTCTGTCGCCCAGGCTGGAGGGCAGTGGCGCGATCTCGGCTCACTGCAAGCTCCGCCTCCCGGGTTCACGACTCTCAGGTATTCTTGATAATGTATTTGGAAAAATTATCTGTCTTTGACATCTGATACTCTCTCCTGAACACAATTCTTTGTTTGAACTTAAAATTCATGCACCTTCAGCTATAGAGATTTTAAAAATATTTTTAGAAAGCTATGATTTTTTAAATTTATTTTAAATTTTTTTCATGGATATTTTTGCTATCAACATACCAATAACCATCCATCATCCATGACCCCATAGAACCATATCAATTTGGCTGACCTGCTTGATTTTGATACTAGGGGTGGAGAACTAAACACAAGCTATATTGTTCAGAAAGCAGTCAATCAATGGGAACGTAAACATTGTTCTATGAGCCATGGTGAGCATTTTAGTACCAGTTGCTTTGACAATTTTCTAGGCAAATATCATCTTGACTGTATGCAATGGTATTAAACTTCAGGGACAAATTGTTGACTTATTTATAAGTTGATGAAGGTTCTGTGTGCTCTTTGAAGTTCTGGCCTGCAAGAACTTTCTCATCCTATCTTCTAATGAAACAATATAGAAAACTAAACTTTGGGGGAATATTTACCCCCAAAAATCACTTTAGAGAAGCTGATATTAGATAGATAAGCTGATATTACATAGAAAAATCAGTAATTATGATAAAGTCGGATGCTCAACAAATAGTATTCTTGTCTTCCTGTGCCCATTTACCCAATTCAGCAAAAATAAGTGTAATGAATCTATTAGAATTTCTGCCCTAGAGAAACTTTCATTCTGAAGGTCTTACTCTTGAATTATGGAAAAACTAACAACAGAGACAATTAGATACATGGACATGATAAAATATGTCTTGAGTAGGCAGTGCAGATAACTGAATGGAGACAATGAGGTAGAGTAGCATGGGAGAGGTCTGCCTTGGGTCAACTCACAATTCTTTTCTGAGCTGTGGTTTCCTTATTTGTAAAATGAAGGGGTTGGATTTCAATGTTCTATTCCTGTGATTTATAAATAAACCTTCTGCCCTTAAATTCTGATGTCAGCAGCTGGAATTAGCTGTCATCAGATGTCATCCTCCACATTTTTCTCTGTCTTTCCTTTTTTTTTTGGCAATGCATAAATCTATTATAAAATTTATCAAAAATTCAAAATTTTGAGACAAGATGCAGCACTTAAGTACTCTTGCATCCAGGGAGAATAAACATTCCTATGCTTATTTAGGTAATGTTAACTTGAACCCCTAGGAGCCAAACTATATTAGAAACAATTATGGTAAGGGATAACTATAGCTGTTAAGAGGGATTTTGGTAACACTAAACTAACAATTGAGGTTATGCTAATGAAATAATAAAAAATCGATTACAAAGAAAGTTGAGATGAAGAGATTTTAAGAGGGTGTTGAGTACCCCCTTGTACATGTGAAAGTTACCAGGTTACAGCAAAATAAAGGAATTTTGTTTGCAAACCTCTACCTACAAAAAACCTGGGGGCAGGGGCAAAGGCATTCAAGCTTGGAACTCTCAGAAGCCTAAGGGTTCTAGGATTTCTAACTCTCAAGAGAAATGATGAAACTCTGACCATATGGGGAAGGAGTGCAATGCTTCTAAGAAGGGTTCGGAGGGATCTCACACATGAGTTTCCAGATGTCTTCAGCCCCATCAAGGGTATAAGAGCAGCTCTGTCCAATACATATACCACATAAATCACATATATAGTTTAATATTTTCTAGTAGCCACATTAAAAAGAGTAAAAAGAACCAAGATAGTAATTTTATTAATATTTTATATAACCAACATATTCAAAATATCATTTAACATGTAATTAGTATAAAATATTAATGAGATATCTAATATTCATTTTTTCATACTGTTTTCAAAAGCCACTGTGTATTTTATGCTTATAGCACATTTCAGTTTGGACTAACCACATTTTTTAACCACATTTTTTAATAGCCATATGTGGCTGATGACTCCCATCATATTGGACAGCAAAGGTCTGGAGGAAGACAATGTATAAAATTACTAATTCCCCAAAAAGGTCAAGATTGGTCCCTGTTCCCTGGGACCAAGACCTTAGATTACCCAGGACTTCTACCATAACCCACTTTATCCGGGTCAAGAAAGGCCATATATTTGGAGTAATGCGTGGCTTCTCTAGGCAACCTCAATTCCATCAGCTGGGGTCAGCACACTCAGAATGAACTCAGGACTTACAACCAGTCTTTTGTTAACAGGCATCAAGAGAGAGCCCCAGATTACCACTGTCCTCTACATGCCAACACTCATAGCTTCACTGGCATTACTCATCTTGAATATCTCATGATATCCTTTATCCATGTTTATGCCAGTCAACACAAGAAGCATTATTCTCCCAGGTCATCTCCTGCATTCAAATCTGCATAAAACTCTACCACTGACTGCAGTAGCATCAAAGACCCCAAACAAAAATGCCCAACTGAGCCCAGTCAACCCACAGAAGAAGCATAAGAGATAATAAGAAATTGGTTGTTTTAAGCCATTAAGTTTTGGGGTGGTTTTTTAT
Source organism: Homo sapiens (assembly GCF_000001405.40). Taxonomy (NCBI): domain Eukaryota; kingdom Metazoa; phylum Chordata; class Mammalia; order Primates; family Hominidae; genus Homo; species Homo sapiens. The sequence goes on from NC_000001.11 coordinate 161,499,125, forward strand.
GGTGCAATAAACAACTGAGACATTTAGGTTAAAAATCTTGGACTCATCTCCTTCCCATATCTAGTCTTATCAGGAAATTCTGGTGGTTTTATCTTCATTTTATTTTTTTATTTTCATTTTCTTTTTGAGACAGAGTCTTGCTCTGTTACTCAGGATGGAGTGCAGGGGTGCGATCACAGCTCACTGCAGGCTTGATACCCCAGGCTCAAGCAATCCTCCGACCTCAGCCTCCTGAGTAGCTGGGACTACAGGCGTAGTCCTACCATGGGTGGCTAATTCTTTTGATTTTTTATAGAGATGAGGTCTTGCTATATTGCCCAGGCTGGTCTCAAACTCCTGGGCTCAAGTGATGCTCCCGCCTTGGCTTTCCAAAGTGCTGGGATTACAGGTGTGAGCCACTGTGTCTGGTTGTTCTGTCTTAAAACATGTATAGAATGTAGACTTCCTACTACCTCTATACTACTACCCTAGTACTAGCCTCCATCTTTTCATGCCTGGCTTGCTGCAACAGCGTCCTACTTGTCTCACTGCTTCTGCCCTTGCCCTGCTACAATCTTTTCTCAAGACAGCAATCAGAATGGTCTTTCAAAAACATTTCAGATCATATCATTCCTATGCTCAAAATCTCCCAAAAGTTCCCCATTTCATTTGTGTCAAAGTGAACAATCTCATGAGGTCTTGTGTGATCTGGTCTCTCATTTCCTCTCTGACCTCATTTCCTACCTCTCGCTCCCTCCCTCAGTTCCACTCCAAACAACTCCTGGAACATTCCAGGCATAAAGCAGTTTCAGTTCCTCTCCTGATTGTTCTGTCTGCCAGAAATGTTCTTTCACTAGATAGCCGCAAGCTCAGTTCCTTCATCTTTCAAATCTTTGCTCAACTGTCACCTTCTCACCGTACTTAAAATTGCAATCCACTTCTGCTTCTAATCCCCTTTCCCTGCTCTTTTTTCTCCCATACTTTGTATCATTTCATATAATATTATATACTTATTTAATATGTTTATTATTTACTTTATGTCTCTCTCCAATAGAATGGAAGCTCTCTGAATGCAGGGATTTTTGTCTGTTTTATTTACAAATGTATCTGAGGCATCTAGAACAGTCTAGTACCTGGTAAGCACCCAATAGATACTTGCTGAATGAATGAAAATCTGTTGTCTGGGTGCTCTGAGGCTGTTTCCCAGGCAATTCTCACAATTATACCTGAGGACACCCCTCTGAGGCTCTGTTTGCACTTTGTCATTCTAATGGGTCAGAGGCATATCTAATCACAGGAAAAATAACATTGCCCAATATAATAATGAGAGAAGATATTCTTTTCCAATGGCAGTTGTGCTCAGACACATTTTAACTCTCCTGCCTCAGGGAGCATTTCCTATATATGAACTTCTTCCACAGAAAGGGGAAGACTTTGTATCTTTGTTTTTGTGGGCCATACTGTTTCTATTCCTGATCTTGTTCACAGGTTATCATAATCCTTAAACTCTTTTAGGTCTTTTGCACTAAGTTTGAAATCCTCTTCAACACCACAGGAATGCTGCTCCTGAGATCTGGATGCTGAATAGAATTTCTATAAGTTCTGGAAAACGTGTTGGGGTAGGTGGTTAGGAAATCTTACAGCAGGATTGTTAAAAATCCAAGCCTCGTAGGATTTCCTCCTACAAAGGAACTGCTACAGTTCTGACCACTAACCTGAAATAACAGAACAAGTCACCAGGAGATGTGTGTACACAAGGGCCCTGAATCTTCTTGGAGTGAACTCCTCTTCCCCTGCCTATCATACATTTAAATATTAAATCCAAATACATATTTCTTCTCTCAAGAACTGTTCCTTTACAAAACCTGTCTATAAAGCCTGCAAAAACAACTAATCTTCTTAGGTTCTTTGTAAATTCTATTGCCTGCCTTTCTCAATATCAAAACAGACAAAAAAACAAAAATAAAACCTTGGGCCCCCCTAGAATATGGGATGACTCATGGTACTCTGCTAGGTCACATTTACACACACACACAGAGATACATACACACACAAACACATACAGATACATACACATACACACACACATGCACACATATACACATATATACACACACACATTTTTCTCTAGAAAAATATACCCTTTCCTAATTTTCCCTAGAAGGGGAAAAGTATACATCTATTGGCTTTTGATATGTCATTTAAATTTTTAGTAGGTTCCCTTTTATATTTCTTCCTCAAAAATGCCTTTTTCTTCTATTCTTGTAGTCTGAATTCCAATTTCTGTTCGGTCTCTACTTGCAGTGTGGTAAGACTATAGTGCACTCTCAGCACATTGTGAGTAGTAACAAGCCAAAAACCAGGGGTCATGTCCAGGTTCAGATGCTCATGTGGGAGAGGTAAAATATTGATATATAGAGGCAAAAGTGGAGTAAGGGGGAAGGCAAAGGCTGGAGCTGAAGTTTTGAAAGAAACATACCTTATTTAATGCTACTGACTGCTCAGAAGTCCTAGCATGTTTAATTTGCCAGAACTTCTTAATATCAAATTGCTCTTGTGTCTGAAATCCTGGTTCTCTTGAATTCTCTTTTTTTTTGAGACGGAGTCTCGCTCTGTCACCCAGGCTGGAGTCCAGTGGCACGATCTCGGCTCACTGCAAGCTCCGCCTCCCGGGTTCACGCCATTCTCCTGCCTCAGCCTCCCGAGTAGCTGGGACTACAGGCGCCCGCCACCACGCCCGGCTAATTTTTTTGTATTTTTAGTAGAGACGGGGTTTCACCGTGTTAGCCAGGATGGTCTTGATCTCCTGACCTCGTGATCCGCCCGCCTCCCAAAGTGCTGGGATTACAGGCTTGAGCCACCGCACCTGGCCGGTTCTCTTGAATCCTTTGTTGTGTAGTAATGAATAGTTTTCTATCTTCTTTAGTATTAAGAAATGGCTTTTCTGATCTTCTGAGAAACTAAAACATTATTTCTAATTTTAGATTTCCCCTCACTTCTCAAGGCCTCAAACACAATATCCTCTAATGACATTGTCTTTGGGGTGACCCAAAATTATCATTTATTTCTTACTTATGAGCAGAGAGTTTGCAGCTTTTACTTGCCTTGTCTCTTTTAATACCTACAGCCACCCCCTGGGAGCAGAGGAGGGAGTGTGTATAAAGTATCACATTTCCACAGTTTGCCATTTATTTCCACTTAAGCTGATTACAGGTTGTGTTTACTTTTCGTTATTCCACAGCATCTCTTTAGCTCTGTTTCAATAGTAAATCCCTCCAACGTGCCAGTCTTTCTCCCTCAACTGGATTCGATCTGAAAAGTAACTTAATAAAATCCTAACTGTAGACTCCCTCTCCCTTGGGGTCAAACTAGAACCCCACTGAGGAAGGAACTCCTACAAACAAAAAAGCAGGAGTAGCCCTTCTTGAGCTGGCTTGACATTATTGATTCTGCGTGGGTGCCAACATCCCAGTCATCTCAAAGAGGAGATTTTGTGAATGAAACAACATGAAGAGGTGAACTGTCTTTTGAGAACATAAGCCAGAGGTAGATGTCCTGGGAATGTGAGTGCTACAGCACTGGGTAGGTGAAAGGAGATGCCTACTTCCACACTCAAACAGAACACTGCACCTCATGATTTGCTGTGCAGTGGGAGTGGGTGGTTGACCTAGAGGCTTTGATTCAGACCCACATCACAATTTCCCTCTAGAATCTTCTTATTTAATAACTGCTGACCCTGCTATAATAGGTCTCTGGGGGATACACCAATTCTCTTTCAATGTTCTGGCCAAAGAGTGGACAAAAATCCCTTCCCTTGATTTCCCAAGACTTGGGACTCTCAAGATATTTTACTAAATGACAATGAAAAACAAATAAATTTAAAAAATTATAAAAACAATAATATCCATTGCAGAGGGTACAACAGTTACTTAGGAATGAGGAATACAAAGTATTGTGAAAAGTCTGAAGAATTGACAAATATTTGTGGCTGGTTTCTAGGAAATTTCTCCTTGCTGAGAATAGCTTTATCTGGCTACCCAGAAGGTTTAAGTCCCTTCCACAGAGTCAGTTCCTAGGAGTCACTCAGGATGTGGTCTTGGTGATTGGGCAGAATATATTGCTATAAAGTCTGAGAAAAGTTTTAGGAAAAGTGCTGGGCTCAGTGACTCATGCCTGTAATCCCAGCTCTTAAGGAGGCAGAGGTGAGAGGATAGCTTGAGTCCAGGAGTTCGAGACCTGCCTGGGCAATATAGTGAGCACTCATTCTCAAAGAAAAAAAAACATTTTAAGAAAAGTTTAAACATATTTGTGTTTTTTAAAGGCTACCTTAGATACAAAATCATTGTCCTGAAATTTTACAGTTGGACTGAGGTGGGGTATAGTATATCTCTTGGGTAAGCAGAGTATAGATGGCCTGAGAACAATTTGTTGCTCCTTCCTTTGCCACCTGCATATGTGAGGATAACATTCTTTTGCCTGTATAGAAATGAAGTGTGCATTTAATTTTCAGTGTATGGGTATTCCCCTAGGAATCTCTCTAGTCCTAGCCATGATCACAATGTCTGAATCTACCATAACCAGCCCCCTCTCAGACCCATATACCCTGTCACATTCTCTGTAAGATACTCTCCACAGAATATGTCTCTAGCTCTGCTGGCACCTCCCTGGGGGTCTTTACTAGCTTACTCCCAACTTGCCACTCCATGGAGCATACGTTGCTATACTTCCCACCCTGGACTGCATCCTGTATGCCTTGACTCTCAGGAGGTCCAGACTATGGGCATGATAACTAGCAACCACTATGGCGAGCAAGATTCCCACTGCACCAACAGTGGCTCTCCACCTGCTCTGGGAAACATTCTTCCTTAGGCACTGGGAATGAGCACCCTTTTCAGGTAAAATACCACCCACTAAATACAGGGGTGTCACTATCTTCTCACAGGCCCATCCATAAAAGAGTAGCATAAAGATAGTAATTAAATTATTTAACATTTTCTGATATTTTTGTTATTATTCTAAGTACTTTATACAATTAATTTATCTGACATTATTTAACCTTCAAAACAACTCTATAAGGCAGTTACTATTTTATTTTATTAAATTTACAAAAATAATAATTTTTTTATTTAATAAAATCCCCCATTTTATTTACTTTTTAATTAATTTTATAGAGATGAGATTTCACTCTGTTGCCCAGGATGGTCTTGAACTGTCTCTATTATCTTCTAATCTTGACTTTTTTCCTTATACGCTACAATACTCCAATGAATATTCTTGTTGATTTTTTTTTTCACACCTAAGTGTTTCTATTGGATGTATTTTTTGAAATGGAATTTTTAGGTGATAAGGCTTACAAATTTCAAATGTTTAATAGATAGTGCCTAAATCCCCTTCAAAAATGTTTGCCAATTTATAACCCCATTATTTGTGTTCCATTTTTGAAAGATATAAATATGTGTGCAAATCAACTGCTCCGCATGGGTAGTTCCTTACAATTTCTGTAATGGAAAACATAGAGGGAAAACTACTTGCAGTTTCAGTGGGAGAAAAGGTTCCCGTTTCAAGAAAAGAAAATTTCAGTAGGAGAAAATATTGTGAAAAACAAGGTAATTTTCTACTTTAAGTTTCTGTCCTATGGGTATAAAAAATAGCTGGACATTATCTTCTTCCCAGGCTCTTCTCCCCTCTTCTCCGTCAGGCTGCATTGCTGGTCATTTTTGGCTCCTGTTGGAAGCAAACTGCTCTAATGCCTTTGGATAAGATTTTAACCAGGAATTATCTTTTTTTTTTTTTTTTTTTTTTTTTTTTTGAGACGGAGTCTCGCTCTTTCGCCCAAGCTGGAGTACAGTGGCGCTATCTGGGCTCACTGCAAGCTCTGCCTCCCGGGTTCACGCCATTCTCCTGCCTCAGCCTCCCGAGTAGCTGGGACTATCTGCCACCGCGCCCGGCTAAATTTTTTTTGTATTATTAGTAGAGACGGGGTTTCACCGTGTTAGCCAGGATGGTCTCGATCTCCTGACCTCGTGATCCACCCGCCTTGGCCTCCCAAAGTGCTGAGATTACAGGCGTGAGCCACCGCGCCCGGCCGACCAGGAATTATCTTAAACAGAAAAAGAATACTCTAAGGAGGGGTATACCGGCCAGCAGAACAGTAACCCCTCCCCGGGGTTTTCACAAGGACACAAGCTGGTGTGTAATAGACTTATCTATAAAGCAGACTCAACTCCTAACTGGAATTGTTCCTGATTGGTTAGCAGAAACAGAATTGAGGACTGACGACAGCTGCACAAGAAGATGAAACCATTTCCTTCCTCTTTTCTAAGCTTGTCTCTTAAAACCCACTGGACGTTGGCACAGTGCTGGGATGACTATGGAGACCCAAATGTCTCAGAATGTATGTCCCAGAAACCTGTGGCTGCTTCAACCATTGACAGTTTTGCTGCTGCTGGGTGAGTGAGGGTCATTCTGAAATGGGGCAATTTCAGACACTCCTACTGCCTGGACTCCAGGTACCAGTGTGGTAAGGAGCAGGCCTGGGCCCTGGAAGCAGGGGATAGATTGAAAGAGGAGAGAGGACCCTGAATTCTTAAGTGTTCCAATGGTTCCTAAGGTCAGAACTCAGAGGTAGTTTCATAGTCCCTGGAAAGTCCATTCTGCACCAAACATTCATGTGTACTTTGTAGTCATGAGGAGGAACAGGAAATGAGATAAAGGGGACATATGAAGTGAATACTTTTATAAAAGATCAACTGGAAACAGGATCTTGAGATGGGTCCTGGAGAAGGAAGAGCCCAAGCTCACCTCCCCAGCATTTCACATACGCAGCTAAATTTGAAGCCGTGTTCTCCTGCTCGACGTTGATCCACTCTCTTCTCTTTTACAGCTTCTGCAGACAGTCAAGCTGGTGAGTATGCCCTTTGCTTCCTTGTATTGACAGTGTTGTATCCTCATAATATGATGCTGTGTTTGCTGGGGCGGCGGGGGGGTATGTCTATTCCACTGAAAATCAAGCTTGGGTTCAGCATGGGCAGTTCCCCCATTTTAGTGGGGTCTGGGATTTGCTTCTTAGATCCACTGAAGACCCAAGGGAATGAGGCCGCTGCAAGTACAGATCTTGAACTACATCTACAATAGGACTCTTGGGTGCCTGACCTCCCTTGGGAGCTCCTTTGGCATCCACAGTCCCTTCAGGGTTATTTATTCCACACCCCTTTCCACTCTGCCCCTCAGCAGCTCCCCCAAAGGCTGTGCTGAAACTTGAGCCCCCGTGGATCAACGTGCTCCAGGAGGACTCTGTGACTCTGACATGCCAGGGGGCTCGCAGCCCTGAGAGCGACTCCATTCAGTGGTTCCACAATGGGAATCTCATTCCCACCCACACGCAGCCCAGCTACAGGTTCAAGGCCAACAACAATGACAGCGGGGAGTACACGTGCCAGACTGGCCAGACCAGCCTCAGCGACCCTGTGCATCTGACTGTGCTTTCCGGTCAGTGGAGGAAGGCCCCAGGGTGGACCTGGGAGGGCCAGGACGGATGAAATCTGTTTACAGACAGAGGTTTGCAGGAAAGAGTGGGCGTGGACTGCTTACTGGGAAGCACTGTTGTGAGTTGCTCATTCATTCCCCATTTCACCCACCCTCTTTGCTTAGCATGCGTGGTGGGGGAAGGGGGAATTTCTAATAATTTTCTCAGCATGTGTTAGGTTGTTTTTGCCTCAGTCTTGATTGAGCAAGGGGGTTACGAGGCCACAAACAGCTGAGTGTGGGAGAAGCAGAAGGAAATCCCTACTTTAAAAAACTACCCTCCTCCTGTGGCAATGCGGTAAAGCAGAGAGGTTGGGGGAAATAGACCTCTAAAGGCTCTAAGGCAGGAGGCTGCCAGACAGGTGTGTGGAGGTGGGAGTGTAGAATTCAGTCTGGAAGATGAGGTCAGAGGTGAGGGGAGGGTGAAGGGTAGATCAGGCAGAGGCTGATAGGCTGTTGCAACTATTTTGACTTTTATTCCTGAGTGAGTTGAGATGGCTTTAATTAAAGGAGTCACGTGATCTGATTTAGCTTTATGTAAACATCTGACAGTGTTCAGTTTAATAGAGTCTGTAGAGAAAATGCTTCTAGATAGTATTTCTTTTTTTTTTCCCCCAAGTAGCTGGGACTCCAGGCACACACCACCATGCCAAGTGACTTGTTTTTATTTATTTTTATAGAGACAGGGTCTCAGTATGTTGCCCAGGCTGGTCTTCAGCTCCTGGCCTCAAGTGATCTTCCCTCCTCAGGCTCTCAAAGTATTGGGATTATAGGCGTGAGCCACCACGCCTGGCTTAGATACTGTTTCTACCTGCTTCCAATGTCTGAAAATATAAGCACATTTCTATTGTTGTTTACTTGAGCTGCACTCTTGGTGCATAAACCCTGGAGATGGTCACAGGTAAACATTCAGTGTTTTAGATTCTCCTGTTCAACACTGAAAGGGTGATTTGTTTTTGTGGTCCTTTAAGGCTGCTGCTGTACCAGAGAGATCCTGGCTGTGGAGTCGCTTTCTGTTGATGGTGCTTTACTGAAGGGGAATAAATAAATATTGAGTTGACCTCAAAAGCTGCCTAATGACATCATAGCTCCTCTCTGTATTGGCTTCCCAGAGACAGCCGATAGTAATTCTGACTCTTCTTATGAAAATGTAAAAATATAGATAATAAAAATTGAGGGCTGGGTGTGGTGGCTCATGCCTGTAATCCCAGCACTTTGGGAGGCTGAGGCAGGAGGATCACCTGAGGTTGGGATTTCGAGACCAGCCTGACCAACATGGAGAAACCCTGTTTCTACTAAAAATACAAAATTAGCCGGGCATGGTGGCGCTTGCCTGTAATCCCAGCTACTCGGGAGACTGAGGCAGGAGAATTGCTTGAACCTGGGAGGTGGAGGTTGCGGTGAGCCAAGATCACACCACTGCACTCCAGCCTGGGCAACAAGAGTGAAACTCTGTCTCAAAAAAAAAAAAAAAAAAAAAAAAAATTGAGATCTGAAGCATTGTTAGAGAGAAACTACCTAGTCCCACCTATCCATTGTACAAAGAAATGCAACTGATTAGACCCAAGAGCTCAGCAGTTAATGGCACAGCCAAAATCGCAATCCTGACTTTAGTTTCTGTTTTATGCCATCTCAGTAATGGTACCTGGCCTTTCATATACAGAATACTTTTTTTTTTTGGCCAGGCACAGTGGCTCATGCCTGTAATCCCAGCACTTTGGGAGGACGAGGTGGATGGATCACTTGAGGTCGGGAGTTCGAGACCAGCCTGGCCAACATGGAAAAACCCCATCTCTACTAAAAATACAAAATTAGCCGGGCGTGATGGCGCATGCCTGTAATCCAGCTACTCAGGAGGCTGAGGGAGGAGGATTGCTTGAACTTGGGAGGTGGAGTTTGCAGTGAGCCGAGATCGCGCCATTCCACTCCAGCCTGGGCAATAAGAGCGAAACTCCATCTCAAAAAAAAAAAAAAGAAAAAGAAAACTGTTTTTTTAAATGAATTTTTATTTAAATAAGATCGAATAAATTATATTTATTCCTATGATACAGCAATTTGATTTTCATCTTTATTAAGTCTATTGAAACTTTGTTAATAGATTTGTCCTCCGAGGTAGCTGAATTTTGGAATCTGATTACTCTGCCATCAGTGAAGGGAAGGAATTGTTGGGAGTGAGGATGTTTGTAGGCAAAAAGGAAAAAGTGATTTTAAATTTAAAATTTTTCTTGAATGCCCCTTTTATTCAGAGTCACAAATGAATACTGAATTCACCTGTGTGAATTCAAGTCATGCCTTTTTATTTCTTATGTGGATGGAAGATTTTATGCAGGGTACAGTATGGTCTGAATGTTTCTGTGCCCCCAAAATTCATATGATATGAATTAATCAAATAGCAACCCCCAGGGTGATGGTATTAGGAGGTGAGGTCTTTGGGTAGGTGATTAGGTCATGAGGGCAGAGCCCTTATAAAAGAGGGCCGAGGGAGCTCAAAGGCCTCTTCCGCCATGTGAGGACACAGTAAGAAGCCTCAGTTCTGTGAACCAAGAAGTAGGCTCTTATCAAAGAAGCTGTAAGCACCTTGATCTTGGACTTTCCAGCCCCCAGAACAGGGAGAAATAAATTTCTGTTGTTTATAAACCACCCAGTTTATAGCATTTTGTTATAGCAGCCAGAACAGACTAAGACAGGGTGGATGAGGGATGATTAAGGCTCTATTTTTTTTTTTTTTTAACCAGCAACAGCATGTGGAAAAAAGGGGGGAAGAAGGCTCTACTTCTTTGCTAATACAGTTCAAGGCTGCCCACCCTCACTTCCCAAAGCTTGTACAAAATTTACCATTAAATTAGTAATCCCCAGACCACAAAAACTGACGGCTTCAGGCCCTGTCGAGTAGCCTCTACAGTTACTGAAATGCGCTCATTTCTCTACTCAAACGTAGTATTTTAAATTCCTCAGAATTGTTTTAAATATCTGCTCTGCATCTTTGAAACCTCTGAAAACTTCTGCTTTTAGAAGTCCCACAGATATAATACCATATATTGCCTATAAGAGAATGCTCACATCTGTCATGAAGCATCTTCATTTCTGTCTGCCAGACATCATGTCAAGTTCTGTGAGTAACGTACCTCTGAGACTGAAAAACCCTTGGAATCTATCCTTACAACTTTTTCTTATCATATTTGTGTCTTTCAGAATGGCTGGTGCTCCAGACCCCTCACCTGGAGTTCCAGGAGGGAGAAACCATCATGCTGAGGTGCCACAGCTGGAAGGACAAGCCTCTGGTCAAGGTCACATTCTTCCAGAATGGAAAATCCCAGAAATTCTCCCATTTGGATCCCACCTTCTCCATCCCACAAGCAAACCACAGTCACAGTGGTGATTACCACTGCACAGGAAACATAGGCTACACGCTGTTCTCATCCAAGCCTGTGACCATCACTGTCCAAGGTATGGGGAGTCTGCCAAGATGTAGGGAGGGGAGAAGAGGGGATGGACAAGGGCTGAGGTCACATGGGCCTACATGGAGGTCTGAGAAAGCCCATAGCAGCAAAATTGGGCACTGGAGCAAAGAGGAGTGGGGTGGAAGCCTGGCTAAGTATTGACCAACAAGTAGGGGCCAGAGCTTGGAGCCCTCACGTCCCAGGTAATAGGTAGTCAGGCTGTTGTTTCACTTTGAAATGTAGGCCCCAGACTAAAGATGGCAGTGAAGCAGAGCTCCCTCATTGATGCAGAGGTTCCCTAAGCTCCTGGGCATTCCTAAGAGCTGAGGTTTGCCTCGTTTCTTCTCATGGCTCATGTTATAGCCATTCACTCCAGAAAGCCTGGCACGTCATGGACTGTTCAAGGCTGTGCTCCATAGAGTAATGATGCCTCCAGCTATGCGAGGCTTTGGGCCCACCCTCCGTACTGTCCCCAGGGGCTAAGGGGAATCCTTCCCTCTGCTCCTGCATGCTCACCAGTGTGCTTTCATTCATTTGGTGGAGAAACCTGGGTAGGGAGGAGGCACAAGTCCAGCCACAGAAACCCTGTGCCAGTGAGGCTGGGGATGTGGTGAATCTTGCATTGGTGAGTGACTCAGACACAGAAGAGCTTCAGGTGACAAGCACTGGGACATAGCATTGGAGGTGGGAGGTGGGACAGGGAGAATACAAACGTTGTCATTAAAATAGTAACCCCCCATCCTGCCCTAATGTCTGTCTTCCCTAGTGCCCAGCATGGGCAGCTCTTCACCAATGGGGATCATTGTGGCTGTGGTCATTGCGACTGCTGTAGCAGCCATTGTTGCTGCTGTAGTGGCCTTGATCTACTGCAGGAAAAAGCGGATTTCAGGTTTGTAGCTCCTCCCAGTCCCTTTTGTTATCAGTTTCCATTTGGCCCAGGGCCTAACCCCAGACATTGCCAGAATCCCGCTCTTAGGGCTAGATATGCATTCCGATCTAGGCCCACCTTTTATTTATTAGTTCATTTATTAGTTCATCCTCAACAAGAGCACTAATAGGAGTCACCTCACAGGGTTGCCATGGGGATGAAAGAGGCTGATGCTCTTACACCAGTGCCTGGTAGGCAGTAACAGCACACAAACAGGGCTGTTGCCATTCTGGAGGAGGTGGTATGTGAGGGCAGCGCTTAGCTAGGGAAGGAGGACTCTCCAGGCACTGGGCCAAGGCAGGGACTGAGGCTGGGTGGGGCTTATATGAGGGGGGAGTAGATAGGGTACTGCAAGCCTCTGAGAAAGAGAAATAATCCCACTAACACCTCACAAAGCACTTTGCAATTGGTTCATAGCCAACACCTCAGTTACTGATGATAAGTAAATACAGAGAAACAGAGAGAGAGAGAGGCAGACTGTGAGACACAGGGGTGTTTTTAAAAGGCAGAGCAAGCCTCAGACAGATGCCATGGCGTGGCCTTTCTGACACTCCTGGGCGTCCCCATGGGTGAGCTGAATTCTGCCTCTGGACTAGCCCTTTTCCAGGTGGGAGCAGCCCCTGAGCAGGGGAACTGGGGGTGGGAGGACAGGAAACATCTGCCAGAGGGAAGGCCTGAGCTGGTCCCATCCAATCCTGGCCCTGGTCCTTGGTCCTGAGGACTCAGGCCCCACTGCCTAATCCTGCTAACCTCCTGTGTGTCCCTCCCAGCTCTCCCAGGAGACCCTGAGTGCAGGGAAATGGGAGAGACCCTCCCTGAGAAACCAGGTGAATACAGAGTTGTCTCAGGGATTCAGTGATGGCTCACCAGGGCTGCCGGCTGGACCTGAGCCAGCGAGAAGGGGCTTGTGCGAGTTCAGCTGGGAGCCAGGGAGGGAGCAGCGATGGGGGGATGGCCAGGGCTCAAATCGCTTGGTCAACTCTGAGTCTAATTTCTGGGCCTAAAGAGGACCTCGCTGGAGATGAGAAGAGAAACACCAGTCCCAGATACAGAGGAGAGGGCGGTGTTCAAATTTCTAGGACCAGGAATCTGGTGATATTTCCAGAGCAAGAAATCAGAGATACTTTGGTCTTTCTGTGGAGCTTTGGCAGAGCTGGCAGAGGATGGGGTTAGGGGCTGTAAGACTGAGGCCAATCGGACGTGGGAGGCAGGAGTCTAAGGGGAAAGGAGGAGGAGGCCTGGAAACCCCTCAATTTGCTGAGGAATCTGCCTCTGTGGAGGGATGGGGTGGAGTGGCCAGGCTCAGCTGTCTGTGGAACACTAAGAGGAGGTTTGGGCTTGAGAAAATTCTGGGGGGCTAGGGGCACTAGTGGGCTCTACTCTGTGGGCAAAGCTCGGTTCCAATGCCCATGCACTCAAGGTTGACTGAATTTTGGCCTGGTTCTGCCCCCATCACACAGTGGAGCCCTGAGCAAGTCAGTCTCCCTGATGGGGTTCAGTCTCCTCACTGAGGAAATGAGTGGGTGGCCAGGGTGACCTCTCAGGCCTTCTAGGTCTGACATTCAGGTGGGAGTATGTAAAGGAACTTCCAGGAGGATGCCAGGCAACTTCCAGACTGTAGTTAAAGTCAGAGCATAAAGGAAACCAGTGCTTTCTCTGGGGGCTTCCATGACAGTAGGAACAGGCAGGAAAAAGGCTGTCAAAGACCGCACCTCAGATGGCTGGAGTATGATTTAGAGCAGAGCCAACAGATTTAAGAGCTTGAGCAAAATATCACTTGTTCAGCTGTGCTTGCAGCAAGGTTGCACGTCCACTGGCCAGGCCCAGTGGTGATAGGGGCCTGTGTTCACACCAGGGCCAAAGCAGATCTGGAAAATACAAAGTCCAAGCAACTGGATTATCCGTCTTGTTGTGTGGTTCTGTCTACACTGGCATAAGCACACTTCACGAGGCACTTTTGCAGCCAGGCATGGGGGCTGCATAAATGGTTTTTTAAAAATCCTTTCGCAAAAGGCAAAGCTGGGTTGCTGGAATTGTTGGGGAATGTATTAGAATGGGAATTCAGAATGTGGTTTGCTGCAGAATTTACAGCATGGCAATAAAGGCTCTCTGTGTTCAGGGGGTGAGAGAAGAGACTAGATGCATTGTCTCAGATGTCTCCCGACTTCCTGAGAAATGCCACTTTGCAAATACTGGGGCTACTTTTCACACTGGCCAAGTCAGTTTATGACAAAAACATGAGGCAATTAGGTGTGTTTTGGACACTAACCAGAGAAAGTCCTTCCTTCCCTCCCTTCCTCCCTCCCTCCTTCCCTCCCTCTCTCCCTTCCTGCCTTCCTTCCTTCCCCCTTCCCTCCCTCCCTTTCTCCCTCCCTAAGCTCCCTCCCTGCCTCTCTTTTTCTCTCTCATGTTACTTTCTCTTTCTGTCTTCCTTTTTAATGCCATGGAGTACTATATTCTTCAAAGTTCCAACAAAGATGCACTACATTTGGACAATGTGGAAATGGCCCTCAGCCTTCTCTTCCTGATGTGGTCAGCAAAAATCTGGACTTTACTTCACTCTGATGCTGAACACCCTGCTCCACGTCTTCCCCAGTATCTCAGATCCCCAAGCTGTCTGGTTTGCTTCTAGGAAAGCTCAGCAATTCCCTGAAAAGAGTGTGGCCCAAGTGACTGCTTCCCTCCACCAGTGTGGCCCATGGGGAAGGCTTGTGGCTGGGTGACCCCAAGGGTGGGTACATGAGGCCATATTTACTTAGCCCTTGGCCTTACAGGACTGTGTCAAGGGGTCAGCAGTCCTTGCTTTGAGTCTGGTTATGGTTTTGCAGCCTCAGCATCAGCGTGGGCAGGCCCTTTTCAACAGCAGTGCCCTGGCTAATCTTTTTCTTTTTCCCCACAGCCAATTCCACTGATCCTGTGAAGGCTGCCCAATTTGAGGTGAGTAATCCCAGCCATCTCCTTTTCCTCCTGCCTTGTCCCTTCTCTCCTGTTTCCTCTCATTTTTGCCTTTGTTAATGCAAAATTAAAATGGAGACTGGGCCTGAAAACTCCTGAGCAAACAAAGCCACCCAGGCCTTAGAAATAGCCTTATCATTGCTTAAACTGCAAACATAAGTGAAACTCAAGTTGGATTGTAACTAAAAATAGGTAATACTTAACTTGGATCATTTCTGGTAAATGTTTATGTTAGACAGAAATAAGATTTAACCCTAGCCAATCGTAAGCAGCCAACTAACATAATTATGTGACTAAGAACACTTCAGTAAGGTACCTCACCCAAAAGACAATTATGTAACTGCAAACCTATCAAATTTCTTTATTTTTCTTCCACATTTTCCAAATTAATACTTGTCTCTGACTTTCTGTCATTAAAACATTAGACCTCTTTTGGTTTGGTGTCACCCAATTCATGAATTGCTTCTTATTCAAATGAACTCTTTAAAATTGTATTGTGCCTTAGATTTTTCTTTAACAGTTTGGTGTCAGAAGTAGGATATAAAGTAGAATCTCCCCCAAAGATCCCTAAGAGCAATGGGTGACCAGGCATAGGTACCCATTAAGCCCATTGTGTTCACTGGTTTCTTCCTGCATTTGTGAGTCACTAGGTAAGTCCCTCTCAGATATCAGGCTTGCAACTTGTGTCCTGAGCTCTCTGAGTTTATTTGAGTAATTTTATTTCTCATTTGATTCAGCAGTTAATCTTGGTATTTGACAAGTTCATCTGTTTCCAACAGGAACTATACTAGGTCCAGTATAGTGTACTAGTTTCCAGACAAGGTCTGATTTCTGGATTGGGATCCAGAGGTCAAATTGGGTACTTGACAGATTGAACTAGGTGTTCAACAGAAACCGAACTGGGGGTCCAGTTGGAGTCCTCAGGTAGGTAAATTTCAGAAGGGCAAGATATTATGGCTTTGTCAGAATGTACAGAGTCTGGGACTCCTCCATCTGAAACACAGTGATTTCTATGTTCAGATAATATGGGCCCAGAACCTGTGACTTTCTAGAGAAATAGGTGTGCCTTACCTATTGAGCCTTACCAGAGATGACTTAAAGTTGCAATGGTCACAGTGAGGATGTTTAAATCTAGAAAAAATTGTTCATTTAAGGGATGCATTGGGAAAAAATGAGATCCCAAATGTCTCAGAAACAATGATAAATAATTTTGATTGGTATGTAAAGGTTTCTAAAAGAATGATTTAAAAAAATAGTCTCTCTAAGTAAATCTTTACAATGTGCTAATAAGAAAGTATTCTAAACCTATTAACCTCTTTGATTGCTTGCTTTTTCCATCTGAACCTACTCAATGCTAACGTCCTTAAAAAATTAGATCCTCAAATGAGCCAGGAGTATCTACAACAACTAAATTTAACTCTTGTTATTGCACACATGAACTATTATAAAAGCAACCACTAAGGCTAAAAATAATAAAAACTAATTGGAAATAGGCCAGATAAACTAGGTGTCTCGTTAGTCACTCATTTAAAATTTAATCCAGTCTCAATAAGATTGACTCCTAATAATAGGTGAAAATGCCCCAAAACTCCTTCTTGGAGAAGCTTCGTACCCTTTCTCTGGGCCTTTGAGTTGTGTAAATGTTTTTAAAACACAAGCTTCAGCAAAATGACTCATCAAAAAGAAAAAAGGAGGAATTTTTTAGAAACAAACTGGCAAATGAAAAATCTTAATAGTCCTCTCCACAAATATCAATAAAAAGTGCCAGCCATCAGAACAGCTAACTTTAACTAGAGGCTAGATCCAACTAATTAGTTTTATATTATTATACCTGGCACATGGCTAAAATTTCAGAACAAAAGCCATGAATTTCTGTTTGCATCTTTCTGTATGTTTACATATATCTACACATGTGTATGCTATTTGTACATAATATTATTCTACCTCCAGATGGTATTTATTAGAAACAGTATTAAAGGAGCTCAACTGGCCTAGAGAAAAATAAGCACTTATATAAATTACATATTTTCTCAGAAGAAAAGAACTTTGCCAAAATGCTTTTCAACTTCATATGACCTGAGTAATCTTTAATAAATGAGAATATTGGTATTAATGAAAGTGAATATTCCACCTAGTTTTACCCAAATAAGCTCATGTTGTCTGCTATACAATTTGTCAAAAAAATACCTTGAGATGACAGGTAGTTGGTTTTGTTAATATTATGTTTGCCACTTTAACTATGTTAAATGAAATGACAGGTATTCATTAAATATCTACACCATTTCCAGATAAGACAAACTACTAAAACAAAAATAAAAAAGTGTTCCACTTATCTTTTTCTCTCTACCTGATTGTTTCAGAATTTGGAAACTCTTATTAAGTATTTTTATTTTCAATCTGGGTATTTGCATAGGTTCAATAAGAATCTATTCTCCTTGTAACAGGACATAATTGGGCAAGTCCTTGGCTTGGCTTCTTAGCCTAGAGAGGCTTTTAAAGGTCTAATCTGAGATTTCTCAATTACTAGATAGTTTTTAAAAACTAAAGTTGACTGATAAAAAGTCAGTAAAGTCTCTTGGATATCACCAAAGCTGTGGCTAAAATATATTTTAAAATTACTGTTTTTATTATACCTATATAAATAATCAGGTCAAATTTAATGAAACTAGATTTATTTTTGCAAAAAAGTTAACTTTGATTTTCGGTAAAAATGGAAAATAAAAATATTTTTCTCCAGAATAAAAAAGATTATATTTTAGTAGAAAACTATTGTGCATCCATTGTCAAATTCTAGGCCTGTTCATTTTCTTTGAAGTTTTATTATCTCCCTATAAACCAGATTGACTCCTGAATTTTTGTTTTTTAGTTCCACTAAAAACTAAAACTGCCCTTTTCCAAAGCTCTGCAAACTGAAACTGGTGACTTTAAGCTTCAGAAAAATCACTGCAACAGAGCACTTATGCCTTAATGCCAATCTTAATGCCTGCTGCTATCTGGGTCACTCAGAGAGTTTACCAGAATGTTTAATGAAATAACCAGAGACATTCAAATTGCAAACCAGTAAAGCACATCACATTGCAACTGCTATCTTCAGTCTACCATTTAAACTTGCCTCAAACTCACCTCTAGAAATTGTTTCACCTAGCTGCCCTCTAAACTCAAAAACTAAGATCATAATTTGCTCCAAATATTAACTTTGTTTTTTTAATAGAAGAATACTCTGAATTCCTTTCAAGCAATACAATCTAAAATGAGCAAGTTAGCCTCAATAGCACCCCAAAATAGAAGTTCTTGATATCTTAACAGCTTAACAAGGAGGAGCTTGTGTTCCTACTGATGTCAAAAGAAATGGTTGAAGATCTCAGCTGGCTTTATGGTGATTCTAGAACTGGGCAACACTTGCCTCCTTAAATTAGAATAAGGTTTCCAATGAGTTACAGCAGAGGAGATTGGCTTCATAGACAGAAAAAGGTCTGAAGAAAGCAGAAACAAAGAATTTAAAGTGGATTGGCTATTTTAAAACTGGTTAAAGTTGCAAAAGACAGGAATAGGAAAACAGAATAATAAATAACTGGTTGGTTAACATCAGGTTACTCTTTTGTAAGGATGCCAATTGAAACTGGCCTGTTTGGGAAATTAGATTTTTAGGTTATTAGGTTATTATCTCTCTCTCCTGATTTTTCCAAAGGCCAGATAAGAATGTAGTTTCTGTTTGATGACTTGAAACTTTATCATGGGTGATTCCACTTTGATTTTTAGTCTGTTCTGTTTGGGCCTAGTGCAGGAGCTTAGTGCAAAACAATAGCCTCCTAAAATTTAAAAGACTTTAAAGAACATACATGAGTTTTTCATCAGATAATATTTATTTGTATTCATTAATTTATTTGATTGGTTAAGTCTTGGCTCCCGAGAATCTTTGCTCAGAGGAATTTTTCAATCCTTGGCTATTATTCTCCTTATAGTTATTGTATTTACCTCCCCGGTGTATTGAATTATCCTATGGGTTTTAAATGCTTTCCTGCAGCCACCTGGACGTCAAATGATTGCCATCAGAAAGAGACAACTTGAAGAAACCAACAATGACTATGAAACAGCTGACGGCGGCTACATGACTCTGAACCCCAGGGCACCTACTGACGATGATAAAAACATCTACCTGACTCTTCCTCCCAACGACCATGTCAACAGTAATAACTAAAGAGTAACGTTATGCCATGTGGTCATACTCTCAGCTTGCTGAGTGGATGACAAAAAGAGGGGAATTGTTAAAGGAAAATTTAAATGGAGACTGGAAAAATCCTGAGCAAACAAAACCACCTGGCCCTTAGAAATAGCTTTAACTTTGCTTAAACTACAAACACAAGCAAAACTTCACGGGGTCATACTACATACAAGCATAAGCAAAACTTAACTTGGATCATTTCTGGTAAATGCTTATGTTAGAAATAAGACAACCCCAGCCAATCACAAGCAGCCTACTAACATATAATTAGGTGACTAGGGACTTTCTAAGAAGATACCTACCCCCAAAAAACAATTATGTAATTGAAAACCAACCGATTGCCTTTATTTTGCTTCCACATTTTCCCAATAAATACTTGCCTGTGACATTTTGCCACTGGAACACTAAACTTCATGAATTGCGCCTCAGATTTTTCCTTTAACATCTTTTTTTTTTTTGACAGAGTCTCAATCTGTTACCCAGGCTGGAGTGCAGTGGTGCTATCTTGGCTCACTGCAAACCCGCCTCCCAGGTTTAAGCGATTCTCATGCCTCAGCCTCCCAGTAGCTGGGATTAGAGGCATGTGCCATCATACCCAGCTAATTTTTGTATTTTTTATTTTTTTTTTTTAGTAGAGACAGGGTTTCGCAATGTTGGCCAGGCCGATCTCGAACTTCTGGCCTCTAGCGATCTGCCCGCCTCGGCCTCCCAAAGTGCTGGGATGACCAGCATCAGCCCCAATGTCCAGCCTCTTTAACATCTTCTTTCCTATGCCCTCTCTGTGGATCCCTACTGCTGGTTTCTGCCTTCTCCATGCTGAGAACAAAATCACCTATTCACTGCTTATGCAGTCGGAAGCTCCAGAAGAACAAAGAGCCCAATTACCAGAACCACATTAAGTCTCCATTGTTTTGCCTTGGGATTTGAGAAGAGAATTAGAGAGGTGAGGATCTGGTATTTCCTGGACTAAATTCCCCTTGGGGAAGACGAAGGGATGCTGCAGTTCCAAAAGAGAAGGACTCTTCCAGAGTCATCTACCTGAGTCCCAAAGCTCCCTGTCCTGAAAGCCACAGACAATATGGTCCCAAATGACTGACTGCACCTTCTGTGCCTCAGCCGTTCTTGACATCAAGAATCTTCTGTTCCACATCCACACAGCCAATACAATTAGTCAAACCACTGTTATTAACAGATGTAGCAACATGAGAAACGCTTATGTTACAGGTTACATGAGAGCAATCATGTAAGTCTATATGACTTCAGAAATGTTAAAATAGACTAACCTCTAACAACAAATTAAAAGTGATTGTTTCAAGGTGATGCAATTATTGATGACCTATTTTATTTTTCTATAATGATCATATATTACCTTTGTAATAAAACATTATAACCAAAACATTCTGTTTACCTTTTCAGGGCTGTATTGATTGGGGTGTAGACTGAACTATCCGGGGTCTGTTTCTTTTCGGTGATGAAAGTCTTGAGAAGGTAGTAATGGATAAGATGTGAGGGAGAGGAGAGAGGGAGATTTGGAGTGTAGGGTGAGTGCCCCTCTTCTTAGAACTGAATACTCTTCTTCTAATGAACTTGTATTCTTGTTTCCATGTCTTCTTCCCTTTCCTTCTATAGCAAATAAAGCATTCACTTTGTTTTGGAACACAAGTTGTCAGAAAGGCAAACTTCAGGTGAATTGTCAGTGGAGACTGCTGACTTCCTGCACTGCTATTTTCCCAGTGCAGTTACCAGAAGGATGTGACCTTCTCAGAGAAGTCATTCCAGGCAGATTAGAAACATGACCCACAGTCTCCTTGATGGTTTGGTGAGTGCCCTTAAAGAGCCTTCCATTTTCCTGGGACACAGCATCACTGTGCACAATTCTTGCATTTGAAAAGTAGCAGCTTTCTCTGTTGGATAGTTTACATCGATTTTTAAGGAGGCTATGGAGCTTCCACCCACCCTTCCAAACTCTATGTATTAGTCTGTCTCTATGTATTAGTCTGTTCTCACGCTGCTATGAAGAAATACCTGAGACTGGGTTATTTATGAAGAAAAGAGGGTTAATTGGCTCACAGTTCCTTATCGCTGGGGAGGCCTCAGGAAACTTACAATCACAGCAGAAGGCAAAGGAGAAGCAGGCACCTTCTGCACATGATGGCAGGACAGAGTGAGTGCAAGCAGGGAAGGTGCCAGACACTTATAAAACCCTAAGCTCTCGTGAGACTCACTCACTATTATGAGAACAGCATGGGGAAACCGTCGCCATGACCCAGTTACCTCCACCTGGTCCCACTTTTGACAGATGGGGATTATGAGGATGACAACTCAAGACGAGACTTTGGGTGGAGACAGAGCCAAACCATATCACCCTAGACAGAGGCTCCTCAAATATGTAAAGCCTTGTTAAATCCTGCTTTTACATTAAAATGCACCCAACAATCTGACTGCTTCTCAGTATTCTACTCCTACCACCCTGGTCCAAGCCACCATCATTTCTCACTTGGATTACTCCAATAGCCTCCTGACTGGCCTCCCTGCACTCACCCTTGCCATCCTATAGTCTATTCTCACCATAACAGCTATTGTGATCTTTTAAAAATGTGTGTCATATTTGTCACTTCTTTTCCCCAAATCATATACTATCTTCCCCTTGTGGTTGGAGTAAAGGCTAGAGCTTTTCCAATATTCTACAGGATGCTACAGGATCTTGCTCTTCACTCTCTCTGACCTCATCTCCTACTGCTTTTCCTTGCTTGCTGTTGGTCACTCTTGCTCTTCCTTGAACGTGCCAATTATACTTCTGCCCAGAGCCTATGTTATTTCCTGTTTCTGGAATGTTCTTTCTCATAGACCCACATTATGCCTCATTATGTCCTTTAGGTCTTTACTCACATGTCACCTTATCAGTGAGGTCTCCTTGATCATTCGGTATAACCTGTCGCCCTCCCATACTCTTAATGTCCCTTTCCTTCTTCATTTTTCTCCATTGTGCTTATTACTACTGATGTACTATTAATATATGTTTACTGTTTGTTTTGTGTCTGACTTCCCCACTCCTCTCATTAGAATGTGAGCTCCAGGAGAGGTCTTTGTCTGTTTTGTTCACTACCACATACTCAGAGCCCAGGTCAGTGTCTAGTGCATAGTAAAGCGCTTAATAAATATGTGCGGAATGAGTAAATTCTTTGACGTTTGAAATCAGAGACTTTAAACTGGAAAGTCCTTAGAAACAATGTAGTCCAATCTCTTCATTTTAAAACGGAGGAAGCTGTGGCCCAGACAGGTGAAATGACTTGTTCAAGGACAAACAGGTAGTGGATGTCACTGACTTTTATATATATATAGTTTGGATTATACTACAAATTTTGTTCTATAGTGAAATGGTTTGGCTGTGTCCCCACCCGAATATCATCTTGAATTCCCACAACACATGGGAGGGACCCAGTGGAAGGTAACTGAATCATGGGGCAGGTCTTTCCCATGCTGTTCTTGTGATAGTGAATAAGTCTCATGAGATCTGATGGTTTTAAAAAGGGGAGTTTCCCTGCACAAGCTCTCTCTTCTCTTGTTTGCCACCATGTGAGACATGACTTTCACCTTTTGCCATGATTGTGAGGCCTCCCAGCCACGTGGAACTGTAAGTCCATTAAACCTCTTTCTTTTGTAAATTGCCCCGTCTCAGGTATGTCTTTATTAGCAGTGTGAGAATGGGCTAACACATACAACTTGCTTTTTTTTTGTACTCAATATTGAGTCGTGAGCTTTGCACCACATTAGAATGTCTATTTAAGTCATTACTTTAAGGTCGGTTCTATTTTTAAAGCTACTCAAACTAAGCTACTAAACATAAGTGGATATATTTAAGTGTATGTATAAAATTTATACTAGGCCAGCTGCAGTGGCTCATGCCTGTAATCCCAAAGCTGTGGAAGGTAGAGGTGGGACTGATTGAGGCCACGAGTTCAAGGCTGCAGTGAGCTGTGATTGCATCACTGTACTCCAGCCTGAGGGACAGAGCAGGAACCAGAAAAAAATAAAATAAAAAGAAACAAACAAAAAAACCCCCAACAACCCTACAGTGGCTCTTTTAGAAAAAACAAACAAACAAAACCAAAACTGTACTGCATGCATAAGCTCCCCTATGCTATGTTTGAACCACTCTGAAGAGATCAATTAAAAAGAAGTGAGTGATATTGGAAGCATGCCTCTGTGATGCTGTGGTAACATTCATAGGCTGCGTTAGGGCTATGCCTGTAACTCTTGGAGATGAGTGGGTAAGTGGGGTTTTGAGGTGGCTGGGGGCTGGAAGAGAAGGTTGGAGGAGCCCACACAAGACAGCCCCTTAACACGCCGGGGCACAGAACCCCAGGCTGGGCCAACTTTTCCCTGCTGAGGTGAAGACCCGTCTCTTGCAGGCCGTTGGCAAATGTCTTGACTCTGGCATCCAGGTGTGACCAGCTTAGACCCTGAGAGTGAGTGAATTTAAAGTTGACAGCTTCTTTCCCTTTTGGAATTATGAAATAGGTTACTTCTTTTCAAGGACAGTTTGATTTTCCACTGTGTAAGTCATATATTGCACATTTCTTTAAACATTCCCTTTTTTCCTGAACTGATCACCTTACCAGTACGGCTGATCCTCTCAAGCAGCAAACTCTACCAGCTGTCACTGGTGCTCTCGGAGAGACGATTAACCAAGGAACCCAGCCCGGGAACAGTACTGACCTCTACTTCTGGACTCCTGCCTCCCTCTTAAAAAGTCCCTTGAACTTCCTAGTGGGTTCTAACCTGTCAAAGGAGAAAATAGCCATCTATGGAGTAAGGGTTTTTAGTTTCTCTTTTTACAAATGGAAGTTTCCTCTGAATCAGGCAAGTAACGTTAAATAGAAGCCAACTTTTAAGTTTCTCTAACACACTGCTAAATTGTAACACCAGACTGTACCACATACTCTCCAGCTGCCAGCTATTGCAGTTGCCATCCTTGTTACTATAGTGGTGAGTATCTCTGCCTGTCATGCGTGAGAGAGGGGGTCGATTCCCCGACGGGGAGGTCACGGGAAATTGTGTGAGGATTTTGTCAACCTTCAGAAGTCTCAGAAATGTCTCCTTGTTTTGGCTTTCAGCGGAAATCCGAACGCCAGCAGATCTGAATGGAATGTTCTGGATTGAAGAAAGTGGGAAATGGCCTCAATTCACAAAGTCACAACCTGATAAAAACCAGTGTGACTTTACTGCCCAGTGAACCCATCTCGTCCTCCAGCCTTTAGGAGGTAGGTTGGACTGGAGCCTGCAGTAGTTTACTCTCCACCTGAGTCCTGGTCTCCAGCTGGGAACCCACTTAGGCCATAAAGAAAAACGCACACTGTGCCTCTCCACCGGGCCTCTGGAGACGAGGCTCCTCGGGGATACAAACAGTGGGGAGAACATGAGGGACATCCCGACCGTACTCTGCGTCCTCCTTTCCCAGGTGTTGCGTTCTCTCTTGGGCTGAGTGGCGAGGTCTCTCCCGAGTCCCAGGGCCACAGTGCAATGTCACATCTCCTTTGTGGAAAGTGACTGGTAAAGGAGAGAGAACAAAACTGGAGGAATGTAAAGTCTTCAGCCACCTGGTTTAATTTATTCAAGAGTGATTAATCCTAGATGAGAAAAAGAATTGAAATGGATCGGAAAAAAATGAAAGTGCATTGGCCGGGAATCGAACCCGGGCCTCCCGCGTGGCAGGCGAGAATTCTACCACTGAACCACCAATGCTACTGTCAGCTAAAGACCTGCAGTATTGTCTCTTAAAGCTCACTATCTCTGGCCATTCACTAAGGAACCAGGCACCGTCTTAAATCGCGGTTTGGAAAATATTTTGTTCAAGATAAAACTGTTTTAAGATATACGTGTATATATCTTATATATCTGTATTCGCATGGTAACATATCTTCGGCCTTCCTGAGCCGCTGGGCTCTCAGCGGCCCTCCAAGGCAGCCCGCAGGCCCCTGTGTGCCTCAGGGATCCGAC
Source organism: Homo sapiens (assembly GCF_000001405.40). Lineage (NCBI taxonomy): Eukaryota > Metazoa > Chordata > Mammalia > Primates > Hominidae > Homo > Homo sapiens. The sequence goes on from NC_000001.11 coordinate 161,524,173, forward strand.
CTCCCACAGCCCCGGGGAGACCTTGCCTCTAAAGTTGCTGCTTTTGCAGCCTCTGCCACAACCGCGCGTCCTCAGAGCCAGCCCGGAGGAGCTAGAACCTTCCCCGCATTTCTTTCAGCAGCCTGAGTCAGAGGCGGGCTGGCCTGGCGTAGCCGCCCAGCCTCGCGGCTCATGCCCCGATCTGCCCGAACCTTCTCCCGGGGTCAGCGCCGCGCCGCGCCACCCGGCTGAGTCAGCCCGGGCGGGCGAGAGGCTCTCAACTGGGCGGGAAGGTGCGGGAAGGTGCGGAAAGGTTCGCGAAAGTTCGCGGCGGCGGGGGTCGGGTGAGGCGCAAAAGGATAAAAAGCCGGTGGAAGCGGAGCTGAGCAGATCCGAGCCGGGCTGGCTGCAGAGAAACCGCAGGGAGAGCCTCACTGCTGAGCGCCCCTCGACGGCGGAGCGGCAGCAGCCTCCGTGGCCTCCAGCATCCGACAAGAAGCTTCAGCCATGCAGGCCCCACGGGAGCTCGCGGTGGGCATCGACCTGGGCACCACCTACTCGTGCGTGGGCGTGTTTCAGCAGGGCCGCGTGGAGATCCTGGCCAACGACCAGGGCAACCGCACCACGCCCAGCTACGTGGCCTTCACCGACACCGAGCGGCTGGTCGGGGACGCGGCCAAGAGCCAGGCGGCCCTGAACCCCCACAACACCGTGTTCGATGCCAAGCGGCTGATCGGGCGCAAGTTCGCGGACACCACGGTGCAGTCGGACATGAAGCACTGGCCCTTCCGGGTGGTGAGCGAGGGCGGCAAGCCCAAGGTGCGCGTATGCTACCGCGGGGAGGACAAGACGTTCTACCCCGAGGAGATCTCGTCCATGGTGCTGAGCAAGATGAAGGAGACGGCCGAGGCGTACCTGGGCCAGCCCGTGAAGCACGCAGTGATCACCGTGCCCGCCTATTTCAATGACTCGCAGCGCCAGGCCACCAAGGACGCGGGGGCCATCGCGGGGCTCAACGTGTTGCGGATCATCAATGAGCCCACGGCAGCTGCCATCGCCTATGGGCTGGACCGGCGGGGCGCGGGAGAGCGCAACGTGCTCATTTTTGACCTGGGTGGGGGCACCTTCGATGTGTCGGTTCTCTCCATTGACGCTGGTGTCTTTGAGGTGAAAGCCACTGCTGGAGATACCCACCTGGGAGGAGAGGACTTCGACAACCGGCTCGTGAACCACTTCATGGAAGAATTCCGGCGGAAGCATGGGAAGGACCTGAGCGGGAACAAGCGTGCCCTGCGCAGGCTGCGCACAGCCTGTGAGCGCGCCAAGCGCACCCTGTCCTCCAGCACCCAGGCCACCCTGGAGATAGACTCCCTGTTCGAGGGCGTGGACTTCTACACGTCCATCACTCGTGCCCGCTTTGAGGAACTGTGCTCAGACCTCTTCCGCAGCACCCTGGAGCCGGTGGAGAAGGCCCTGCGGGATGCCAAGCTGGACAAGGCCCAGATTCATGACGTCGTCCTGGTGGGGGGCTCCACACGCATCCCCAAGGTGCAGAAGTTGCTGCAGGACTTCTTCAACGGCAAGGAGCTGAACAAGAGCATCAACCCTGATGAGGCTGTGGCCTATGGGGCTGCTGTGCAGGCGGCCGTGTTGATGGGGGACAAATGTGAGAAAGTGCAGGATCTCCTGCTGCTGGATGTGGCTCCCCTGTCTCTGGGGCTGGAGACAGCAGGTGGGGTGATGACCACGCTGATCCAGAGGAACGCCACTATCCCCACCAAGCAGACCCAGACTTTCACCACCTACTCGGACAACCAGCCTGGGGTCTTCATCCAGGTGTATGAGGGTGAGAGGGCCATGACCAAGGACAACAACCTGCTGGGGCGTTTTGAACTCAGTGGCATCCCTCCTGCCCCACGTGGAGTCCCCCAGATAGAGGTGACTTTTGACATTGATGCTAATGGCATCCTGAGCGTGACAGCCACTGACAGGAGCACAGGTAAGGCTAACAAGATCACCATCACCAATGACAAGGGCCGGCTGAGCAAGGAGGAGGTGGAGAGGATGGTTCATGAAGCCGAGCAGTACAAGGCTGAGGATGAGGCCCAGAGGGACAGAGTGGCTGCCAAAAACTCGCTGGAGGCCCATGTCTTCCATGTGAAAGGTTCTTTGCAAGAGGAAAGCCTTAGGGACAAGATTCCCGAAGAGGACAGGCGCAAAATGCAAGACAAGTGTCGGGAAGTCCTTGCCTGGCTGGAGCACAACCAGCTGGCAGAGAAGGAGGAGTATGAGCATCAGAAGAGGGAGCTGGAGCAAATCTGTCGCCCCATCTTCTCCAGGCTCTATGGGGGGCCTGGTGTCCCTGGGGGCAGCAGTTGTGGCACTCAAGCCCGCCAGGGGGACCCCAGCACCGGCCCCATCATTGAGGAGGTTGATTGAATGGCCCTTCGTGATAAGTCAGCTGTGACTGTCAGGGCTATGCTATGGGCCTTCTAGACTGTCTTCTATGATCCTGCCCTTCAGAGATGAACTTTCCCTCCAAAGCTAGAACTTTCTTCCCAGGATAACTGAAGTCTTTTGACTTTTTGCGGGGAGGGCGGTTCATCCTCTTCTGCTTCAAATAAAAAGTCATTAATTTATTAAAACTTGTGTGGCACTTTAACATTGCTTTCACCTATATTTTGTGTACTTTGTTACTTGCATGTATGAATTTTGTTATGTAAAATATAGTTATAGACCTAAATAAGCTTTTAAAACTCCTTCTTGTTTTTCATTCCAACCAATCGAAGTACAAAAGTACCCAAAGGCTTTCAGAAGCAGAAAATGTTGGGGTGGGTGCTGAAGGAGGAATGTGAAGAATATTCCTGAGACCGTGTACATGATTCCTATAGGGGAAGGCAGGATTTGGAAAAGAATTTGAGGCCAATACATTGGAACAGTACTGAAGAGTTAGGGCTGGTAAAGAGGAGAGGATTGAGACTTACAATGCAGGAAGAGAGAGGGAGAGATGTGGAATTGGAAAAGCAGAGAATGAAGAGAAACTTAAGTACTGGCAGTGTTTCCATGTGTGATCCTATGATTCAAATTCTGTATTTTTGTCATAGGAACCTGGTTGAGTTTGTCAGTCTAGCTGTTTTAATAACACTAACAAATAGTTTACATGCTTATTAGCTGTTTGTAATCATGTCACTTTATCCATTGTTCTTTTAGAGAAAAGACTCTGAGTCCTGGACTCTGGAGGATGGTATATGTCAGAGGAAGTAGATCTGGTGGTACGATTAAAGTTACTATTGACTTTATCTATGTCAGAGAAATAGTATGATCCCATGTGGTTTCTGCCCATGGCATAATGAGGATGTTGGAACAAGACTCTATAGATTTTCAGCCCTGCCACTTTATATACTGTGCAAATTAAACTCTCCAAGCTTCAGTTTCCCCTTCCCTGCAGTGGGGATGATGATGATGATAACAGTACCAACCTCCAGACTGTTGTGAGGGTTCAATTAATTAATATATGTAAGAGGCAAAGAAGAAAGGTGTATAATATACTATCAACAAACATTAGCAATTACTATTAATTGTTAGTTGGGTGATAACTATGTATCAGGTACTTGACATACACAATCTAACTTAATCTTCACAGCAGCATTATGGAATACTATCTTCTTTTTGAAGATGAGCATTATGAGGTTCAAAGAGGTTAAACAATTTATTCAAAGACACAAAGCTATAAAGTGGGGACAGGAAGGCTGGAATGAAGAACCCTGTCCTGCCTGAGTCTAGAGCCTCAGCATGCCACCTTACAAATAGGCCATAACTCCACTTATTACCAGACCTTCCCCTAGATGTTTTGAAATTGGTCATATTATTCCTTTGAAACACAGCTGGATGCTGAGCCCCGTGAGAAAAAGTGTGCATTTTATTGTATACTTGCAGAGACAGAGTCTTGCTCTGTCGCCTAAGCTGGAGTGCAAAGGTGCGATCTCAACTCACTGCAACCTCTGCCTCCCGGGTTCAACCGATTCTCCTGCCTCAGCCTCCCCAGTAGCTGGGATTACAGTTGCCTGCCATCACACCCAGCTAAGTTTTGTATTTTTAGTAGAGATGGGGTTTCACCATGTTGGTCAAGCTGGTCTCAGACTCGTGACCTCAGGTGATCTGCCCACCTCAGCCTCCCAAAGTGCTGGGATTACAGGTGTGAGCCACCACGCCTAGCTAGTTGTGTGTTTTTTATAGCAAGTGACGGAATCTGCAAAATATCCTTAGGCACAACTTTACTGCCAGTTGAGTCAATGACAATATAAAAGCAAGGATATTTGCCTTTGCTTTGTTGGTGTAAACAAAATAATCAAAAGGATAAACTTGTGTTAGTTCCCAGTCAATCCAATCCAGAGTATATTTGCCCTATGGGCATTGGGAGATTTATTTTTATCTCAGAAATTATGGGAGAGCTTGGCTAGAACAATGCTACATTATACATTATATTTCTTAGGTTGATTTTTTAAAGACGGAGAGAAGGTTACACTAACAACTCACTTGTCCCTGGCTGTCATTTCACATTTTTAACTGCCCTCTTTTCCTGGCCCTGGCCCAAGTCTTACGCAGCCTGGCTTCACATGGAAGGAACCTGAAAAAAAAAAAAAAGAGAGAGAGAGATGGAGTAACACGTACATCCTGCATTACATTCTTCCTTTCCTGAATCTCATCTCAATTCTCAACATTGACCCCCCTCAACCTGTTTGAACTTCTCAAGAGGATTGATAGTACTCACTTTTTTATAGTTTCTTAGTATTTTGATAGTATGCCTTTTATCCTTTTAAAAAACCCAACACACACAGAATATAAGAAGAAAGATTTTTATCGTGTTTAGTTGTGACATCTCAGATCCTCCCATTTGAGTGCAATCTATTTTTCTATAGAGAAATATAAACAAACTTTATTTACTTTTAAACGTCTGTTGATCATTTTGGTTTAGTTTCTTTGGGGACTGTTTCTTGTATACTAGGTATCTAAAAATCCTTATATTGTATGTAGTCTTAGTTTGATTATTGTAATCACAACTATGTCACCCAGTTCCAAAGGGGGGGAAAAAAGTTTGAACAAATTAAATCAGAACACATGCCCATTATTAAAAAAATCAATTCTTGGTACAAGCAGTTTCTTGCCCCCTTCCCAGGTCCTACTCCTCACAGGCAACCACTTTCAAGTTGTTGGTTTTTTAAAAGAATTTTTGATTTTGCAATAATTTTAGATGAACAGACAAGTTGCAAAGATACTACATAAAGTCATTACTCTATATCCTTTCTACTTCCCCTAATGTTAAAACCTTACATAACCATGTTATATTTATCAAACCTAAGAAATTGGCATTGGTATAACATTAATGACTAACTGTAGATTTTATTCATGTTACTTTTTTTTTTTTTGGACACAGGGTCTCACTCTGTACGCCAGGCTGGAGTGCAGCCTGGAGTCAGCCGATCTCGGCTCACAAAAACCTCTGCCCCCTGGGCTCAAGAGATTCGCCTCAGGCTCCCGGAGTAGCTGGGACTACAGGCGCGAACCCCGGGTACTTGGGAGGCTGAGGCACGAGAACCGCGTGGACCGGGAAGACGGAGGCTGCAGTGAGCCAAGATTGAGCCACTGTGCTTCAGCCTGGGGTACAGAGTGAGACCCTGTCTAAAAAAAAAAAAAAAAAAAAAAAGGCTGGGGAGCGGGGCAAGGCGGTGGGAGAACCTGATCCTTACCAAAGTTTGACACTACTGCGTTAGCGTTAAAAAAAAAAACCCAGCTAAGACTGTAGAGCAAATTAAAGGATCCTGAGTTGAGGGCGTTCTCTTGTTTAGTCAAAGGAGATGGTATCTGCCTGCCTTAGTGTGCTTGACGCACAGAAAGGGCTCAACACATTGTTGTTGAATAAAAGAATGGATAAATTGACACTGGGAAGTTGGAGTCCAAAGTTAATCTTAGTCTCAACTGCTCCCTGATTTCATAGACCAGACTCCAGCCTACAATACAGGAAAAATAGATATAGTTCTATATGTGCAGAGAAGCACAAATAATTTTCGTAAATGTAGATACCTAGGATAAAAGGCAGTGTTGACCGATCGAAAAGTCTTTCTCTAAGAATTCAAACATAATTGCTGGTTGGTTCAAATCAGGAGGAAAAGTAAGGACGGAAAACACATATTGTCAGGAGTGGGATTCGAACCCACGCCTCCAGGGGAGACTGCGACCTGAACGCAGCGCCTTAGACCGCTCGGCCATCCTGACACATGTTTTACCATGCTTCCTAATTTCTCCTAATTTTATCATATACTGATGGTGCACGCTATCAGGTCACATTAATGTGTCTATTTACTGTTTCAAATAAAATTGTAACTCTCTCTAGACCTTGTCGCAAAGCGGGAAAAATGAAACAGGCTCCGACAGCTCTTTCCTCTTTCCTCACTACCCAAACTAATCCTTAAGGCTCCATTTTCCCTGGCGACTCTTCGAGCGCCCCTCTGCTTCTGTAGAGGGGTCGAGCCATGTCAAGGTAGACCCTGTGTCGGCCCGTCTCCCTCGGATCCTCCGCACCAATCACTGTTGCTGAATCCGACACCCGGCGGATCCAGTGCGGAGTCTCGAACAGCTGCGGAGCTGGGAGCTACGGGACATGAAGAGAGCGGGGTGGAAGAGAAGACGGCGGAGGAAAATCCCCCGGCGATGCTCAACTGCGGCTTTCTCTCTCGGCTGTGAGCCGGCTCCGCCCTCCAGCTTCCAGAGCCGGTGGCTTCTGCGTTCACCGCCCCGCGCCGTTTGCGGGGCGGGGCTGATTCATAAGAATCGGTTCTCACCAATGGAGGGCTTAGCTTGTTTAACCTCAGGATCATAAACAAAAGACACTGCTAGAACGGTCGGGAAAGTCATACGCTTTGCTTATCTTATATATAGATATCTAAAACTCCAAACCGGGTACGCGTTGGTGGTATAGTGGTGAGCATAGCTGCCTTCCAAGCAGTTGACCCGGGTTCGATTCCCGGCCAACGCAAGGGTTTTTGTCTTTCCTTCTACGAAAAACCTTTCTCAGTCAGAACCTATAACGCGCTGTGTATCCGTTTTACGCCTCAACGAAGTATCCGTTTTACGCTTCAACGAAACTGCAGCAATACCTCACTTTCCGTACTCGCTTCCTGTCTTTCCCCTGGCCTCTTTCTAAACCCAGGCGTTTTTTGAAGGGATTAAATTCTGATGGTTCTTTCCTCCCTTCCTTCCTTTGTAAACTTCCAACTCTTGAGGAATCTTTGGGATCATTTCAATCCTGGGATGAGTCTTAGCTTCAGAAAGGGGCTCTTGTGTCTTCACTTGCGAGGTTCATTCGCTAGCCACGCACTATTGAGCACGTGAACTTGGCTAGTTTCTCTAAGAAACTGCATTTTCAAATTTAGTCTTAGTAAATAAATCAATTGAAATAAAATTAATAAGTGAAAATTTTAAAATGGATACTTAATAACTCAACCATTGGAGAAGGTTTCAGTGCATTTGAAACAACGTGGCTATTGAATCTACTTTTTCAATTGTAAATTTTATGAAATCTAAATACGGATTTTTTTCCGAAGAAAATTTCCTTTCCGAGTTGAAATGTGCCGTCTTTAAGTGTAAAATACATAGCGATTTTTGAAGACTAGCTAAGAAAAAAAAAAACAGCCAATTAATATTTTTATATTGATTACTTGTAATATTTTGCATACGTTGGGTTAAAGAATAGGATTTGTTATTAAAATTATCACCTCTTTCTTTTTACTTTTTAATGTGACTATTAAAAATGACATGTGGGACTCGAATTATGTTTCTACCGTAGTGTGCCGGTCTAGAGAGTAGAAATATAACTTTGCCAACAGTCAGCGACTTTCCCTGAAAGCATGCTGGTAGCTTAGGAATATCTTTTTCTAAAAGACAATTTCCAAAAAAAAACGCAATATTCCCGGTTGTACTCGTTAGTATAGTGGTGCGTATCCCCGTCTGTCACGCGGGAGAGCGGGGTTCGCTCTCCCGACGGGGAGATTACAGTTGCTTTTTATTTTTTCTCCTCGTCTCTTCAGTCAAGAAAAAACAATTTACAAGAGCTTAAAAACCAAATTAAAATAATTAACAAAAAGAAACACAAACTCCAGTCCCAGTTAGCTACAATCCCTTTTTAATAAATTCCAGTCTTCATTTTAAACCTAGTTAGCTCCTAACACCTATTTTTCTTATATGCCTGTGTTAATGTTTAGGCCTTGTATACTCAATGCTGTAACCCAAATTGTTTCCTCTCGCCTAAAGGCTATCAAGCTCCAAAGGGCAATGCAATAAAACCACGCATAAATACGCCTTTCTTCCAAAAACCCTTCAACCTGCGCCCCCGCCCGCCCCGCAAAAACCTTAGCTGCTGTTCCCCACACAACACCCCTTTCCAGCAAAAAATTGCCAAAAAATTCAACACCCAATCTCCCTAACAGCAGTTAGGAGTGGAGACCCTAAGGGGGAACTGAAAGGAGTTAGTTAGCTTGGTAGATAGCAAGGGAAGTGTCTCTGGAGAGCCCCTGGCCCCACGGGTCAGTGCCTCATTCCCACATAACAAAAAAGCAGCCTGGGAAAAAGTCAAGCTTCGGGCAAACTAGCACCGGAGGTTGCGCCTGAAAACATGCCGGTGGCTGCACAAATAGGAGAGCCTCCGACTTTCTGAGATAAAAACTTGCACAAACCTCCAGCTCACTCAAATAAGGGAACAAGGCCTGAAATAGAAATGCCTTTGTTCTTTGTATAGTCAGCGGGCTCCCAGGAAAAAGTTCCTTCTCTTTTTGTAGGCATAGGCACAGTAGGCTCCAGTGGGTTCCAGTAAGCACTTTTCTTTCCTTTTTTTAAACTGCAAGTCCAGCCTCTATAAATCACAAGTTCAGCCCCTAATTGGTCCTGGGCAAGGTCCCGAGCCAAGCTTTCACTTCAGTTCCTTAATAGGTCTAGGGCCAAGCAAAGCAGCCTCTACAAATCATCACTTAAGCCCCTAATTATTCCCGGCCGAGGTCCTAGGCTAAGGTCCCGGGCCAAGCTTTCTAATTAGTCCCAGGCCAAGGTCCCAGGCCAACCTAAATCACGCATTCTCCAAAACAGCCGGCAAACTAAGCACATTCCTTCCCGTTTCCAGTCCATAAAACCCCCCCAAGTGGCCTCATAGTAAGCAACCCATTCGGGCCCCCCTCTCTGCTGGCAAAAGGCTCAGATGTACTGGACTGAGCATTTGATTTGGAACTGAGTTACATGGGAGAGAGGCAGGGATTCAGTTTGGCTGGGAATCAAACTCTTTTGATAATTTCCTAATAAACTGATAGTCATTAGATGACTTGTAGTCTCGATAAGTTGAAACTTTTTCCTAACATGCTGTTTATGATACTGAGTTCTTTGTCACCGGTTGAACTAACAGCAATTGTATTCACAAATTTTCCAGCCTTTAAAATACTGTCTGAGGGTTTTATGTATCCGTTATCTTTTATTATACAAAAGTCATTTATTGGAATGACATATATAATTAGATTGACCCTAACCATTCAGGCTGGATGAGGCAACACAGTGTGAAGATTAAGTGCATGGGCTCTGTTGTGCTTCCTGTGTTTGAATCTTGGCTCTCTTTGTCTCCATTTCCTCCTGTAAAAGAGGATAATGATGATAATTTTAATTCTTCAATGGGTTAATATATAAACATATATTACAAATGTATAAACATTGCCAGGAGGGTCCATTGTTAATGCCTGTAGTGGGATGATGTTTGAGATTTTAAGTCTCATTCCCTAAAATGGAGGTGAAATTCAACAGGGATGGGAAGAAAGGACATCTGCACCTCAGCCACCCTTTAGCTCCAAACCTCCCTTATGCTCTCATCTGCCCCACAGCCTCCATCCTGTAACAAGAGGACCAGCTGTGCCAGTGGAGGCCACAGCATCTAGCTTATGCCTTCAATGTAACCTGTTACTGCCCACCTGCTCTCCCTGATATTCTCTGACTCTTAGTACTAAGGTCCCACAGAGGCTGCAGTGCCCACGGGCAAGAAGAACCAAAGGGTAGTACTGACTGGTAGTGGCTAGCCACAGCTGTGTGGGGCCAGATTGACACTGCGCAATCGCTAAGTGGATCAGTGTTCAGGCTGCCCTGTCTTGGGAGACATATAGGGACAGGGACCTATAACCAACACCTGCCATAGGCTGGCTTCAGTTAGCCCTTCACGTTGGGATTCACTGAGTGGTTTTTCTGGAAGTGGCCACCTAGAGTTCCCTGTGGCCAGCCAAGGTATGGGGGCTGGCTTTTTGGGATGTCTAGGGAAAGCCAAAAGCAAAACCCAGAAGATAATTCTTTTTGTGGAGGAGTTAACAGATATAGCACTGACCAATCAGAATAGCCACTGGCTATACATTTCCCCATTATAACAGGATTCACTGCATTCCATAAATTTTGTTTTTTTAAATTTCCAAATATATGAAGGCTTTTAAAAGTTATTTTTTGTCATTGATTTCTGAGTTAAATTCCTTATGTTCAGAAAATGTGCTTCATATAGTACTGATTCCATGACATATGTTGAAGCTTACTGGCCTTAGCCAGGTGCAGTGGCTCAAGCCTGTAATCCCAGCACTTTGAGAGGCCGAGATGGGTGGATCACTTGAGATCAGGAGTTCAAGACCAGCCTGACCAACATGGTGAACCCATCTCTACTAAAAATAAAAAATAAATAAATGAAAAATATTAGCCAGGTGTGGTGGCACACGCACCTGTAATCCCAGCTACTTAGGAGGCTGAGGCAGGAGAATCACTTGCACCCAGGAGGCGGAGGTTGCAGTGAGCTGAGATAGTGCCATCATACTCCAGCCTGGGTGACAGAGCAAGTCTCCATCTCAAAAAAAAAAAAAATAAATAAATAAAAGAAACTTATCAGCCTCATATAAAGTCAGTTTTCATAATATCCCATGTGAGTTTGAGAAGAATGTACAACTAATAATTATTGATTGCAGTTCTATATATATATCTGTTAAATTGAGCTTGTTAATTGCATTCATATGCTTAATAAAAGTAAATAAGAAAAAGAGACACGCTTAATAATTTTTTTCTGTTTGATCTAGTAAAGGTTGAAGTATGCGGAATTCTCTCACTGTGGCGACGGATTTGTTCATTTTCCCTTGTAGGCCTAATTCTTGTTTTCATATTTTAATGCCATTTTATCAGTTACATATTCATCAGTAGTTTAATCTTTTATTATATGATGACCATCTTCATCCCTAATGATGCATTGTTTCTTAAACTTTATTTTGTCTGATATTGTATAGCTAAATGCCAACTTTCTTTTTGTTAGAATATTCCTGGCATTCCCTTTTCCATTTAGTCTTTCTGTTTCTTTACATTTTAATGTCATTCTTCTAAACAGAATAAAATTGATCTTAAAAATGCATTTTATCTTTTAACTGGAAGGTTTTGTTCAGTTGCATTATTATAATTACTGTTATAGGCCGGGTCATGGTGGCTCACACCTATAATGCCAGCACTTTGGGAGGCTGAGGCGGGTGGATCACTTGAGGTCAGGAGTTCAAGACCAGCCTGGCCAACATAGTGAAACCGCATCTCTACTAAAAATTAGGTGGGTGTGGTGGCATGTACCTGTAGTCCCCAGGAGGCTGAGGTGGGAGAATCGCTTGAACCGGGAAGGTGGAGATTGCAGTGAGCCAAGATGCCACCACTGCACTCCAGCCTGGGTGACAGAGACTCTGTCCACCCACCCTCCAAAAAAAAATAGCTGATATATTTGAATTTATTTCACCACCTAGTTTTGTACTTCTGACCTCAATTATTCTTTTATTCTTTAAAAATTCTTCCTTTTTACTCTCCTGCTTTTGCATTGCTGTCACATACATGTAAAATGTAGCATAGGAAATGTATACGTATTCACAATCAACTGGAAACTAATAACTTTTTATTTCTGCTGTCAATCCAACAATGGAGGTAAAGCACAGAGTGGTAGTTCCAAACTTGAACTTCACAGATGAACAAAATTTCCCCACAATGTTGGTTACTGGCCAGGCAAGGTGGCTCAAGCCTGTAATCCCAACTACTTGGGAAGCTAAGGCAGGAGGATTGCTTGAGCTTGAGAGTTGCAGGCTGCAGTGAGCTAAGATCGTGCAGCTACACTCCAACCTAGGTGATAGAGCAAGACCCTGTCTCTAATGACATCAGAAAAGTTGGTTACTAGTATAGGGTGGCCAACTTTTCATTTTGCCAAATTGCAAAATTCATAAAACAAATAGCCACAAAACTATCATCTATCCTAATTTTAATTTTAAAAAAGAAAGGACATTTAAAAACAACTTATTTTGGCAAATGAAAACTTATTACTATTGGGTTTTCACCATTAAAGCTGATGAGCTTGGTCTTTCCTCCTTGCTTTTGATAGGGCCAAAAGAGAGACATTGGCTACTTTAACAACTTTAAGGTGGACTCCAGGAATATCACCAACAGCATGACCTTTCCTGCCAAATCCAGCAACCAGAACTGTTGCAGGAAGTCAGGACCCTGAATGGAGGGACCAGCTGGAGTCGAGGCAGAAGAACATAAATTGTGATGATTTCATGGACATTTATCAGTTTCCAAAATTAATACTTTTATAATTTCTTACACCTGTCTTTACTGCAATCTCTGAACATAAATTGTGAAGATTTCATGGACATTTATCGCTTCCCCAATCAATACTCTTATAATTTCTTATGCCTGTCTTTAATCTCTTAATCCTGTCATCTTCGTAAGCTGAGGATGTGTGTCACCTCAGGACCCTGTGATGGTTGGGTTAACTGTGCAAATTGTAAAACATCTGTGTTTGAACAATATGAAATCAGTGCACCCTGAAAAAGAACAGAATAACAGCAATTTTCAGGGAACAAGGAAAGATAACCGTAAGGTCTGACTGCCTGTGGGGTCGGGAAGAATGGTGTCATATTTTTCTTCTTGCAGAGAGCCTGTAGATGGACACGTGAGTAGGAGAAATATTGCTGAATTCTTTTCCCCACAAGGAATATTAATAATTGATAGCCCTGGGGAAGGAATGCATTCCTGGGGGTAGGTCTATAGATGGCTGCTCTGGGAGTCTCAGTCTTATGTGGTTGATATAAGGACTGAAATACACCCTGGTCTCCTGCAGTACCCTCAGGCTTACTAGGATTGGGAAATTCCAGCCTGGTAAATTCTAGTCAGACCAGTTGTCTGCTCTCAAACCCTGTTTCCTGTTAAGATGTTTATCAAGACAATGCGTGCACAGCGGGATATAGGCCCTCATCAGTAATTCTAATTTTGCCTTGCCCTGTGATCTTTTATCGCCCTTTGAAGCATGTGATCTTTGTGACTTACTCCCTGTTTGTACACCCCCTCCCCTTTTAGAATCCCTAATAAAAACTTGCTGGTTTTGTGGCTCAGGTGGGCATCATGGAACCTGCCAATATGTGATGTCACCCCTGGCGGCCCAGCAGTAAAATTCTTCTCTTTGTACTCTTTCTCTTCATTTCTCAGACCGGCCGACACTTAGGGAAAATAGAAAAGAACCTACATTGAAATATTGGGTGCTGGTTCCCCTGATACAGAACTTCATCATTTTTTTCAATAAAATTCAAGCAATCATCATCAGGTACAAAGGCTGTGATTTTCTTGCTGTTCTCTCATCTGCCTCACAGCCTCCATCCTGTAACAAGAGGATCAGCTGTGCCAGTGGAGACCACAGCATCTAGCTTATGCTGGATGATCAGCTTGGCCCTGGCACACTTCTCAGTGGCAGAGCTGGGCTATTTGGCTCCAATCCCTACTTTTTCCAGCCCAATTCCCTTTGCATGAGAAGCACCTCCAAAAAGGCTGGTCTTCAGGACTGTGCCCGAATGGGCTTTCTTGTACCATTTACCATGCCACTTCTGATCCTGTCGGTGACAATGGAGCTTCCTGGCAGTAGACAGTCCATGACACTTGCCCATATTGCCAGCTCCACAGGTCTGAGCAAAAGAACAGAGACAAAAATTTAAAGTATAAAAGAAATGACTCTAGGCCTGGTACAGTGGCTCTCACCTGTAATCCCAGCAGTTTGGGAGGCTGAGGCAGGAGGATCACCTGAGGTCAGGAGTTTGAGACCAGCCTGGCCAACATAGCGAAAGCCCATCTCTACCAAAAATACAAAAAAATTAGCCGGGCGAGGTGGCAGGTGCCTGTAGTCCCAGCTACTCAGGAGGCTGAGGCAGGAGAATGGCGTGAATCCCGGGGGGCGGAGCCTGCAGTGAGCCGAGATCGCGCCACTGCACTCCAACCTGGGCGACAGCGAGACTCTGTCTCAAAAAAAAAAAAAAAAAAATACAAAAATTAGCCGGGCATGGTGGCCCATGACTGTAATCTCAGCTACTCAGGAGGCTGAGACAGGAGAATTGCTTGAATGTGGGAGGTGGAGGTTGCAGTGAGCCAAGATTGCGCCACTGCACTCCAGCCTGGGCGACAGAGCAAGACTCCATCTCAAAAAAAAAAATTAATAAAAAAAATAAATGACTCTAGTTTAAAGATCATTTGGCAAATTTATTTATTTATTTACTTATTTATTATACATATGATACTGTGTACATATAAACATATATGCATATATAATTTCTGCATATACATATCTATGTTTGCATGTCTTCTCATTTCACTGAACATCATTGAAAACTTCCACCTGCTCCTAAACTGGAGCCCACTGATGACAGAGGATGGCAGGGCAGAAAGAAAGGAGATTCTGTGTGGAGGCTATGGAGAGACCCTGGTTTTTGGGCAATATAGAAAATGGCTTTCGTCCAAGTGTTCTTATTGTTCAATTCCCACCTATGAGTGAGAACATGCGGTGTCTGATTTTCTGTCCTTGTGATAGTTTGTTCAGACTGATGGTTTCCAGCTTCATCTATGTCCCTACAAAGGACATGAACTCATCCTTTTTTATGGCTGCATAGTATTCCATAGTGTATATGTGCCACATTTTCTTAATCCAGTCTATCATTGATGGACATTTGGGTTGGTTCCAAGTCTTTGCTATTGTGAATAGTTCCACAATAAACATACGTGTGCATGGTAGGGAACATCACACACCGGGACCTGTCGTGGGTGGGGGAAGGAGGGAGGGATAACATTAGGAGAAACACCTAATGTAGATGACGAGTTAATGGGTGCAGCACACCAACATGGCACATGTATATGTAACGAACCTGCACCTTGTGCACATGTAGCCTAGAACTTAAAGTATATATATATATGAATAAAGTATATATACATATGAATTAAAGAAAAAAAAAAAGCCTTTTTAGACCCAGCACTGACGAGGTTCCCTAGGTCGATGGTGGTGGAATTAGGGGTCTCTGTCCTCAGATATTTGGATCTGGATATGTCAGCATGAAAGTCCTTAAGTTGCACGCATTTTTTAAAAAATATTTTTTATTTCCAAGCTGAATACCATTAATTGGAATGTTACAGGCTTTTTAAGCTCCGTGTTCTGTCTGCATGTCTAATATGCCGGTAGAAACCTTTCAAAACAGCGTGGGTTGAAGACTAATTTTGTAACACAAAACTCACTTACTTAGACATCACATTTTGCTGGACGTGATTGGACCTGAAAGAAAATATTTTTAATGCTCACGATAATAAGCTTATTATGAGTCAGCACTAAACGTGTGCACATGCATACATAAGTTGTCTACATCAGCAAAAAAAGCTTATCGTCGTACTTCTCTGACCAAAATCAACGGAACCCCCGAACCCACAGAGAGCATCCATTTTGGATTCCCCGAAGACCCTTCGTTCCTGCATTCTCTTCTGCTCTCCTTTTCTCAACCTCTTCTGCTGGAAGCTGAGTCCTGCTCCAGATCTAGGCAAGTGCTAGCGCAGAAAAAAGACCTGCCTCGCTCAGGGCTATGAGCCGCGCCCTGAAGCACGGAAAGCTAATTGTGTCACTGGTTTCAAATCAACCTCAATTTTTTTGGAGACGTGAGTGCTGAGCATTTTTTCTTCAGTGAAGTGACTTGGCAGCCAAAATCGCCAACGCCCGTCTCTGTGGCGCAATCGGTTAGCGCGTTCGGCTGTTAACCGAAAGGTTGGTGGTTCGATCCCACCCAGGGACGGAAGTCGCATTTTGTGAACCCTGGGTTTTTGAAACTTTGACTGAAAAAACTGCGTGCGATGCTATCCGCTGGGAGCGCTGGGGCCTTGGCGCTCAAAACCAGCCGCGGTGCTAACCGCAGGGAGCTCTGGTAGCAGACCTCCGCGTTGTGTGGTTCCCAATGTCCTCTTCTGCCTTAGTGCTGTACGGGTAATTTTGAGGTATTTGGTTTTTCCGACTAGGGTTGTAGTGATAACTCTTAGCTGCTTAACCACGGCAATTACGTTATGGAAACTGACACTTTAAGAAAATTTACTGACCAAAGGAAGTAAGTACTAATAATACCAAAACGAATTGTTTGTCTTTCCACCAAACCTGTACCTGCCTTGCCTTTCTATTTCCTAACTCAGAAAACGGGCACTATGTGTGGAACCTGGTCCTTAGTCACGCCGTGTACTGCTGGCTGCCAATTCTTGGAGAGTCGGCCTCCTAAATACCTTGTTGATTAAGCACCTTCCTCTCCAGCCTCACCGCCAGTTACTTCCTCATTGCTCCCTTTGGGTTACTGCATCCTGCCTTGCTGCCCTATTTGGCTTCTGGTCTTCAACTCTCCTGTCCCGTCCATCCATCAAGTAGTTGCGAGAGAATCCTTCTAAAATACTATACGGTACAAACCTGGTCTGCTTAAACTCTCTCAATGTATTGCAGGGTCTGATACGATCTCCTTAGTTTGGAAGGTAATGCCCTTCATGATCTGGCCCTGAAACTCTTTCCTCTCCCTCACCGACACAGAACCAAACTGCTTTCTTGAACTCACACTCTGGTTTTTGAATCTTTGCCTATGAACCTTGGGCTTTTCTTCTCTTCTTTGCCTGGCGAACTCCTACTCATCCTTCATGACCACACCCCCCAAATCAAGCCTCTTTTCTGCAGCCCTTTCTTCATTCTCTTCCTATTTAACTGTTTTTCTCACTAGAAATAAAGCTTCTCCAGGGAATGACCCTGTGTTGTTCATCTGGTATCTTCAGCACCTGAACTCAAGCTTGCACATTGTAGGTAGTAAATAAATGTGAGTTGAATGTCCAAGGTTTCCAAATGCACCTGTGTCGTGTCGGAATCTTATGTAATATTTATGTATGCAATCTAGCTTGAATCGTCTTGGTATATAGCTCATAATTCATACAATCAGGCTGACCCTCTACCTCTGCCCAGGCCTCTACCTCCTGTGTAGCTGTGCCTTCTCCTATCTGCCCCAATGCTCTAAAACGATCTCTAATGCTTATTCACCCTCCTATCCCATACTTCCCATAAGAATCCTCCTTAGCCCAATTGTCTCAGCAAGATTTGGAAAGCAAGCTGGCTAATTTATATGAGTTGTGGTGAGATGGTTGCTGGGAGGAGGGGGTGTTTCTTACCAATCCAAACCAATCTCTGTTACAATGTTGGACAAAGGGAAGAAGAAAGAATTTTATCATTCATATTTTATTACCATGGTTTTCCCATCTTCTATCTAAGAGTAGCATGCAAGATCTTGTAAAATGCTTTATTGGAACCAAGAAATGTTGCGCTTAAAGCTTACAAAACAGAGACAGCTAAAGCTTTCTTTCATAAGCAACAATTGTCTTCTCCATCCCCACCTCATTGGAACTGACATGATGAAGGATTTGAAAGTTTCATAACTTAACTCAGCGAAGCTCAGTAGTACATTTAGTATTGGTTATACAACATTTGTTTAATAAATGCAATGAACAAAGCTACACAGGAATTAGATATTGAAGCAGAAAAGGTGGTTTTACAGTCCCTGCATTAACCTCTAATTCTTACTACCCTGGCCAAGAAAGCATTTTCACCTCCTGCGCTTTCCTTCCTGTGTGCTTGTGGTTGGTTCTTTCTTCTCAGGCTTTCTCATTCTGATGCTGAGATAGTTCTGTTCACTTAGCAACTTGGGACAGTGACACAGGGTTTGTTCTGTACTTTCTTTTCCACCCCACCCCCCACCGCAATCCTCAGTCCCCTTCCTAGGACCATTTTCTACTCCTAGCATTAAGAGGACTCATCGTTATATACTTGGAGATGGTCCAGTTCTGATAGAGTCCCCTGGAAGACTCAATTCTACGTCACCCTCATGATTTCCTGTTAATTCCACTACGGCTAATGTTCTAGGAAGACACCCTTATCTCTGGGCTCAGATGGGAACACCTCCCTTAGACTATCCTGGACTACCTGCTATTTCTCAGCCATGCTTTCATTGGTCCCACTGAATTCCCTAGATCCCCAGCAGTTCCCACACTCTGTATGGTCCTGCCTCAACCATTAATTCTACTTATCCATTTATTTAGGAATAATTGTTTTTTTTTCCCCTCTAAACTGGGTAATTTATAACACGAGCAATTTTTGTATGTTTAAAGGATTACCATCCCTAGCCTGTATTGTTGCTTTGCTGTGAGGGAACGGTTGGGACAGAAAAAGTGTTTGTGTAGCTCTGAAACTTCAATTTCTAGGAATGCAGCTACTCACTGGGGCTTCCCTGCTTGAAGATCATGGGCTTTTCCCTTCCACTGGAGACCAAGGAAAAGTCGAGAGTTGGATAAGGGATCTGGCTCTGAGTTCTATGTTTCCTGCTGCTTGTAGAGAGGCCTGAGGATGATGGGGTTGCAAATCCAGAGAAATGTTCAGAGATGCTGCTGCTACTGCTCTTATTACCCCCATGGGATGGGGGTCATTTGTCTTGAGGGTCCTTTCTCCATTTAAATTTATGGTCCTTCCAGTCTCTTGTTGAGCTTCGAATGTTTGTCTTCACAGAGAAATATAGTCCTGTGTCCACTGCAAAAAGGAGTACCATCACCAAGCAGAAAGAGACTTGGTACCCAGGTGGAAAGAATGATGAGATGGTTGACACTGCCAAACCTATTAGGAGAAGTGGAGAGATGAAAAAAAATGACAGTCACTAAGGCAGATATTTGGAACAAACAGTGAGGTCACCAGTAGAAAGTCTTTGACAACAGCCAACAGGCAAGTGGTAGGAATGGTGGGGAAGTCTGGGGGAAAGTATTGCTTCCTCCCATTGGTTCCTGATCTTAGTGCTATCTGAGCAGAGGACAGCTCACCAAACACTGAGCAAAGGCTCCTGCTTGTTTGACAGAGATGTGACAGGGAGCGTTAACAAGTTAGGTTGTAAGCTGGGTTTTGTGTGACAGTTAAGAAATTGTCAGACAATGCTATGGTCTAGAAACTGGGACAAATTTGTTGATTTTGCATTTCAATTTTTTAAACTCTTGATTTTGATATATTTCCAAACTTAAAAAAAAAATGACCAGAATAGTTTAATCTCGTATATCCTTTACCCAGATCCACTCATTGTTTACATGTTACCCCATTTGCTTTATTTGCTCTCTTTCCCTAACCACTTGGGAGTATTTACTTTCAGTTTAAAGTGTCATGAAATTATTTTTGTACAAATTATGGCATTGTAGTGTCAAAATCTCAAAAGGTGTTTTGCTGCCTTTCTACATGCAAATTGTTTACAATTTATGTCTTGGGCTAGTTACAGATAGAAGTTCTGTGAAACTGGAAAGTCCAGGCACACCACTCTAGAGCTCTGATTCTGGAGGCTGGTGCTACAGAACCTAGAGATGTTTTGTGGATGACTTAATGGGATCATAGGATATTAGTGCTTGTTCAAATCTTTTACTTACTGGTTAAATATACAGGCTTTGAAGTCTTTGATGTGACCTTAGGGAAACTTATTTATTTATTTTTGCACCTCGGTTACTTCATCTGTAAAATGGAATATTACCTATCTCATGTTGTGAAGGTCTACTGTGATAGTCAAACCAGGTGCATGTAAAGAATTGTTTAGCACAGAGTCTAGCACACTGAAAGGTGCCCAATAAATGTCAGCTTATTTTTGTTACGGAAGAAGAAATTGGGGTTCAGAGAGACTAAGTGGCTCACCTCTGGTCAGATGGTTAATTAGCTGCAGGGCCAGAACCCAGGTTCTGGGCTCTTTCTGTGAGGGGATGAGGGGCTCCTGCCAGTTTGGATCGTGGCTAAAAGGCTTGGATAAGAAGGAGGCCAGCACGATAGGAACATATGACACCGTGGGTGTGATTAGCGTAAGGAAAGACAGAGGTATTTATTGGGGAGGAGATGTGGCTTCTGCTCCTGCCATCATGCTGCAGAGTGAATGACACCTCCTAGCTACCCCAAAAGAATGGACTGAAACAGAGCTGCAAACCTACCCTGCAATCAGGGACTTTTGGGGACCTCCTGGTGATCACCAGGAGGGAACCACATATGAAGAAGTGCGTGTAAGAATCAGGAATCTCCTCCCAACTCAACTTCCCAGTGTGATTGCAGGTTCCACACACAGGCGTCCCTGGGCATTCCAGGGTGGCACATGTCTCACCTTGAGTGATGGTGATGTTCACAGTCTCTGAAGACACATTTTTACTCCCAAAAAGCCCCCTGCAGAAGTAGGAGCCGCTGTCTTTGAGTGTGGCTTTTGGAATGTAGAAGTCAGAATTATGATGAAAATACTTCCTGCCTTTGCCATTCTGTAAATATGTGACCTTATGCAGAGCAGTGTTCTTCCAGCTGTGACACCTCAGGTGAATAGGGTCTTCCTCCTTGAACACCCACCGAGGGGCCTGGAGCAACAGCCAGCCTGAAAGACACAGACACCCCAGGCCCGGGAGGCCTCAGCTCTCAGTGCAGAGCTTTGTGAAGGGGCCACGTACCACCCAGATCCTGAGACATAAGGGAAAGCCAGATTGGGAGTCAACCCTGCATAGCTCCCTTTGGGGAAGAGCTGATGGGGCCCTGCAAGAGAACTGAAGTCATACCAAGACCTTTGTCTAATGGGGAAGAGGGACACACACACATGTGATCAACACACAGGGTTAGAGCAGAGGGACTAAGCAATGAGGTAAGTGAGAAGCAACGATGAGCATATCTGCAGGATCCTTAAGTGCTAGACTTAGATTTGCTGTGGCAGGTGACAAGGATTCACAGTAAGTTCTAGATCAGAGTAAAAATTGCATTTGAAAATGATGAATTGCCCTATTAGAGGAAAAGGTAGATTTCAGAAGGAATAGGCAATCAAAGGAATATTGAAAGACTCTTGTGGCAGTCAGGAATAAGGTGACGGTGGCCACGGAGTGGCTGCAGAAATTGTGAAGGAGAACTCAATGTAAACACCAGGGAGGGGAAGGGCGGGACTGGTATTGCTCAGCCTGGCAATTCGTGGTTTCTAAGGTGTCACAGGGCCTCGGTGAGACCAACTTTATTACTGAGCATGGCCTTCAAGAGAGGAAATTCTTGTATCGCCAGAGCTTATTCTCACGATCATGTCACCAAGTAATTTACTGAGCATGGCCTTCAAGAGAGGAAATTCTTATATCGCCAGAGCTTATTCTCACGATCATGTCACCAAGTAATCAGACTTCACAAAGAGAGAACATGAGGTCATGGTCGGGAAAGGGCCTGAATAATTAAAAAATAATGATGTTATAGGTAAGTATTATAATGGCATAAGAAAATATTCATGAGACAATTTTAAGTTAAAAAAGCATAATACTTCAAATATTTTAAAAAGTATTATGCACAGAAAAAAGAAGGATATGCACTTACATATTAACAGGGGTTTTCTCTGAAGGAGTGGGACTGAAGGACATTTTAAATTTCTCCTGTTTACTTTTATATATTTTTGAAATTGACCCCAAATGACTTTTGTAATAAGAACAAAACAAAATTTACAATAATTTTATTTTTTAAATCTACATTCTCAGCTTGAATTACTATAATTTAAAAAATCTACTACCTGATGCTAAACAAAATTGGTAGGACGTGTGTTGGTCATGATTCTCTACCACAAAGATTTGCCAAACAGAAAGTAATCTTCATTACCTATTAAGAGATATCATTTATCAAAAGAAGCCATGTGCCTATCTATCCACTTACTTTTTCAGCAGAGAGATGAATCATTATTAGCATAAAGTCATGGTTAGTATATAGTCTGGTGGCCTTTGGAGGAACATTCTTGTTCGAATCTATCCTGTCATGGACCCAGTGAATGTCCATATGTATATTCCTTCAAGTGATATTTCATCAAGCACTCACTATGTATGACACACTGTGGACTGGAGATACCCAGATGATGGGACATATAGTTCTCAGCCTCAAAGAATCTACAGTCTAGACATAGAAACATAAATATTCAGAAATAATCACAATACAATATGACAAGTGCTACAACAGGCTAAGAATAAAGGACTGCGGGGCTGACTAGATTGGAATAAAGAAATTCTGCCTGAAAGAAGTAAAAAATGCAGGCTGGGCGCGGTGGCTCACATCTGTAATCCTAGTACTTTGGGAGGCCGAGGTGGGCAGATCATGAAGTCAGGAGATCAAGACCATCCTGGCTAACGCTGCGAAACCCTGTCTCTACTAAAAATACAAAAAATTAGCCGGGCGTGGTGGCATGCACCTGTAGTCCCAGCTACTTGGGAGGCTGAGGCAGGAGAATTGCTTGAACCCGGGAGGTGGAGGTTGCAGTGAGCCAAGATTGCGCCACTGCACTCCAGCTTGGGTGACAGAGAGAGACTCTGTCTCAAAAACAAAAACAAAAACAAACACAAACAAACAAACAAAAAAAGAAGTAAAAAATGCTTCTCAGAGGAGGACATAAGTGAAATGGGTCCTAAAGGATTAAAGGATGCTCAGAAGTTTACCTGGTGAAGCTAATTCTCATGGTCACAGTTTAATATAGCCTTGATTGGCTAGACTTCTAAAGCCAGTTTCTAGAGCCAAGTTCAAGGCAAACTAGTAACTCTTAGACTTGATTTTTCTATTGCTTTCTCTTGGTAATTCCCCCATTTTATTTGGTTGTAGGTGGACATCTCTTACCTAGCTAGAAATGGACATATCTTCTTGTAGCTCTGGAGAGTGAAGACCATGTCAGTTGAGTGGTACTGTCAGAGGCCAAAGAGCCACAAAAATCAGTTTCAGAGGCCCAATTCCATGGAGCTCTCTTGCAGATCCACCTCCTTATGCCCTTCTTCCCCCAAAGCTTGTTCCACCCATAAACATTGTATGAATGGAACAGCCGTGGAAGTAGAGTTAGGTTTGCAGGGCGACACTGCAGGGACCAGCCTATGTGGTAAGATTGTAGGGACACCAGGAAAGACCTCTGCCTTCAAAATATTTCTCCTACCTGTGTCTGACGTCTATATTCTGTTAATAGTACACAAGAACTTTCATGTCATGATTAATGTGCAGGCTGAACATGTATCTGCCTCTATTGGAAGAGCTATCACATTACCAAATTTATGCTTAATTATAGGTTTGAGTATAGCATTGATGAGGAGACAGAAAGATATGATGCTAGGCCACTAGGATTGCTTTGGGAGGTGGCTTAGGGCATTACATGTCTGAGAGCGAGAAGGAGATTGAGGTCCTAACACCAAATTCATTAATTTATTCAATAAATATTATTGGCCAGGTGTGGTGGCTCACGCCTGTAGTCCCAGCACTTTGGGAAGCCAAGGCTGGTGAATCACCTGAGGTCAGGAGTTTGAGACCAGACTGACCAACATGGTGAAACCCTGTCTCTACTAAAAATACAAAAATTAGCTGGGCGTGGTGGCGGGTGCCTGTAATCTCAGCTACTCGGGAGGCTGAGGCAGGAGAATCACTACAACCCAAGGGGGCAGAAGTTGCAGTGAGCTGAGATTGCCGCATTGCACTCCAGCCTGGGTGACAGAGTGATACTCTGTCTCAAAAAATAAAATTAAAAAAAATGAAAATAAATATATAAATAACTATTATTGAGCATCTATGCCATGGCCTAACCTTCACATGACACATTCACATTGTATGCACTCCATATGGGGATTCTTGGAATTGTGCAATGCAGCAGTCCTATATCTACTGTCTGACAGGCTTTGACATTTTGCCCAAGACCTACTTAGAGCTAGGACTACAACTCTGATACCATTCAGTGGGACCACACATCATCTCATCTTAGCTTTTATCTCTAAGAATATCATCTCTGGCTCTTACCAAGTATTTCAGGACCCTTTGTTTCACCCTTTATTGGTGATTTTCCTCTTCCCCTTCATCAACTCACCGATATGGACTTCTAGCTGCACCGGGTCACTGAGGGTGGAGAGGTTTGTCTGGCACCTGTACTCTCCACTGTCGTCGACTGTGGCAGCGTCAATGAAGTAGCTCGAGGCCTGGCTTGAGATGAGGCTCTCATTGTGAAACCACTGTGTGGAATTGTCCTCAGGGGAGTAGGCTCCCTGGCACTTCAGAGTCACACTGTCCTTCTCGAGCACCCTGTACCATTGAGGCTCCAGGAACACCACAGCCTTTGGGAGATCTTCTGAGGAGCCAAGATAATGTGGGGTGAGGACAGGGAGAGGAGCAGGCTCTACACTGCCATTCCCAGGGAGCCTCAAAGCCAGAATGAGCTCATTGCAAACCCATGCTTGGTGGCTCAGTCTTAGAGCATCTTGGCCCCATTTTTGGCCTGTTCAGTATCTTAAGGAAAGCTGGCCAGAGAAGCACAGGGCCAAGTTCTGCTGTGTTGGAGGAACTATCCCTGCTAACCCCACATCAGCATTTTCCCATTCAACAAGCATTTCCCAATATCTTATGGCCTTTGTCCCCATATGTGCCCCACTGGGTCAATCCAAGACCATGAAGCTGACTCACCAGTCCGCATGCCAGCTGAAACTGCAAGAAAAAAGATAAATCAAATATTGAGTAGGGGCAGAGATCAGAGTGATTAGAACATAGAGTGAGTTTAAAACTCCCCTGCCCTCCTCTGCCCCAGGAGCCCAATTTTCCCAAGAATCAGGATGTTTCTGGTGGAAACCTTGCTACCTGCTCTCTGGTCTCCACTGTTCATGCCTCTTGCGCCACTGTCAACACAAATCCCTATTTTCAACACTGCTCCCTTACCCCTTGCTCCCTGTGCAAACTCACAAATTAAGGGTACAGGTTGAATTTCCCTGAACCAAGCTACAGAAAGAGCCTCAACCCATATCCCCACAAGAAAGGGTAGAAATTGAAAATCATAGAGGAGAACCCTGGAATGTCAAACTGAAAGAGACAGACCCTAGGGACCATCTAGTCGAAGCTCTTTGGTTCCACAGAGTGATTCTGGGACCCAGAGGGGTGAAGTGACTGGCCTCACTCATGAGTATGCCCCAATTGGAACCAGCATTCTCCTCATTTCTAGCCCCATCTTGGCTTGTCCTAGGAGCTCAATCCACAGCTATAGATGTGGTGAGGGGTCCCATCCCTTCGTGGGAGTCTCATTCGTAGCCTGAAAAGGGGTCTCTGCTGAACCCAAGGCATCTCAAACTTCTCCCTCAACCAGGGAGACCCTGACTTACCTAGAAGTAGCAGAGCAGTTGGGAGGAGCAGCTGCCACATGATGCCACACTGGAGTGGACAAGTCACCAAAGATATCCGGAGCCCTAAAGGGACCAAACCGACTAGACAGGAGGAAGTAAACAGCCTTTCCCCAGCCCCTCCACCCATCTCTGTCACCCACCAATTTCCTTTTCTTGAAACTTCATCTGACTTCTCAGTCTGAAGTCTGGCAAGGGAGCCCCACCATAGAACAGGACCAGGAAGGAAAGAGCCTGGAGGCAAGGTGGGTGGGTCTGCCCCCTTTACTCCCTCAAAGGTCTGTGGCTGAGCATCTGAGGACACACACAGAATCTGCCAGAGTGTGCCCTCAGCCATCCCAGGATGCTTGCCCCATCTCCTGGATTTGGATCCACCCAGCACCAAGAATGGGACAGTGAGACCCTGGGGATGAGATTCAAGGTGGGAGGAGCATTCTCTGAGGGCTTCCTTCATTTCACCTCAGAACTTGTCACTCTCCTGCCTCGCCCAGACCCATCTATCTCCAGCTGAGGCCCTGCCTGCACACAGAAAGTGGTCCTTTCAAATCTTCAGACCACTAGCAGTGTCTCTGCCTCAATATTATCTCCACGCAGAATTTCTTTCAAAATTCAAAATTCAAAATCTATATGCTCCTGGGATATGTAATCCACAGGAGCTACTGACTTTTTAGTGTGATTTGATCATTAGATTTCCAGGTTAGAAGAAACCCAGGTAGGGTAGAGAAATGGGCCCTGGAAGAACAAGTCACCAGCGAAAGGCTGAAAAGATCACAGAAAAGGTGGGGGTGGGGAGGGGCGAGGACAGGAACTCTTTACCTTCCTCGTGTTACCCAGGTCCTGCGGATTTAGCTCAGGCCCCTCCGGGCCACTGGATCTGGGCTGGTCTGTCAGCCTAGGAGCCGGGGCTCCAGGGCTCCTTACCAGAAAAGGTGGAGGGGGGTGGCCAGGAAGTGGGAGGGTTGTTAACCTCTTCTCTTCTCTCCAGATTCTCCCCCGTAACCCCACGTTGGTTACTCTCACAATGGTCCAGGTCCCAGGCAGAAAATCAGATGACTCTGCTTGATAGTGCCACTCCCCCAGTGGATTCGTGGACATCTGGGACAGGTCTCACCTGGCTTAGAAAAGCCCAGGAGGCGAGCAGCAGGCCCGTGTGGGCACCTGATACTTGTTAGGGGTGGAGTGGAGGCAGGGGCTGACACAGGTGCCCGCCAACCTTTGCTATAAATGAATGCTCTTTCTACTCCAGAATGACCTAAAAACCACTACTCAGGTTTTGTTTTTTATTTGTGTGTTTCATTTGGCTCCTGGGTGGAGTTAATTGATCCTCCCATTGCCATCCACGTACCCACCCCTCCCCCCGCCACACACAGAGTCTTGCAGCAGCCCCTTCTCCACAGGCCCTTGGATTGGACAATGGAAATGAACCCAGGCAGCCATTCCAGTTCTCCTTCTCAAGTGACTCATCTACGCCTTGCAAAATCCAGACAAGTATCTGGAAACTTAAAGTTCCTTGCTGTAGCACTTCGGATGCTTATCTGGGAAACCTAAAGCAGAAACAAAGCCTTCAGGGCTAAGGATGGTCTCTGAGGCAAAAAGCGGATATCCCTCAATTCTTTCTTCTTTTCAGATATCCAGGTGGCTTTCTGCCACGTGACTTCTGATGCAAGGCCTTCACTTTGTTTTCCTTCTTTGAGGTCTTATTTTCTTATTTGACTCCTCTTTGGTCTGTGGCTCTCCAATGGAGGGAGGAATTCTTAGCTGCCAAAAGGGTGGGCTAGATAGGAAGAAGAGGAGAGAGCACAGGAGGAGAGAAAGGGACTGCAACAGGATGGGAAGCTTTCAGGGGGTTTTCATTAAGTGGTTGTTGAACAATTCTCAAATTGAGTGTTGTTGGATTTCTAAGGGTTAATTTTACAGTAATGGATAAAATGCAAAATTTTGGCCTATGGTGGCTTATTGTAATCCCAGCACTTTGGAAGGCCAATGTGAGGTGGAAGAATTGCTTGAGGCCAGGAATTTGAGACCAGCCTAGGCAACATAGAAAGACCCCATCTCTACTAATATAGTAATAATAATAATAGCCAGATGTGGTGGTGCATGCCTGTAGTCCCAGCTACCCAGGAGGCTGAGGCAGGAGGATTGCTTGAGCCCCGGAGTTAGAGGCTACAGTGAGTTATGTTCATGGCACTGCACTCTAGCCTGGGCGACAGAGTGAGACCCTGACTCTTGGGGGGGAAAAAAAAAAAGCAAAATTTTTACAAAAGGGTAGATGGTCTTGGGATATCATATATTGAAGTGTTTATCTTCATGTTTGCTTTTCTTTCTTCTCCTTCCCTTTTTCTTCCTTCCCCTCCTCTTCTCTCCTTTTCTCATTGGAAGGCCAGGCACAGCAGAAGTTTCTGACTATGGAATTCAGTTGATTGTCATCCTCTAGGACTTACAGTTTCTTAGGGGGAGAACATCAGATAAGTATTTGAAGTGCTAGAGGGACTGTGACAGTATTTATGAAATGCTGTGTATGCACAAAGAAGACAGTGGCTAATTCTATCTGAGGGAGGAGTGTACATGGAAGAGAGAACACTTTAATTAGATCGCAAAATATTCAGCAGGAAGATTTTTGAGAGAAATAGGCATTCCAGGCAAGAGGAGCAGCATGAGCAAAGACTTGGAGTGAAGTAGACTGTCATGTTTGCAGAGCTGGCTGTAGTTCCACAAGTGTAGTTGGATGTAGTTCCACAAGTGTAGTGAGTACTACAAAGGAGAAGCACAGGTTCCAAAAGGATTAAGATGTCTGGGTCTCACAGGAATCTGGAGGAAATCCCAACTCTGCCACTTATTTAACCTTCTAGCCCTCAGTTTCCTTATCTGTAAAGTGAGGCTAACAATAATGGCACTCATGGCTTAAATGAGATAATGCAGATAAAATTGTTGGTTCCATATTTGGTACCACACCTGCTGATTACTATTGTAAATGCAAGATGGGAGGTTGAGACCTTCCTCAATTTTCTAAATTAGGTTCTGACCCCCAACCCCACCCCAACTCCTTTAGGAGCTTGTGCTTCTCCTCTGTAAACTCATTGCATTTGTGGACTGAAAGGTCTTGGAGAGCAGGGAAGCTGTTCACCTTGTTTACCCCTGTACCCTCAACATTTAGCACAAGGGCAGGCACATACTAGGCACTCAATTAGTATTTATCACGAAGAGTTTTGTGTGTCAGGATGAACAGTACATATTTTATTCTAAAAGGTAATGGGAACTAATAAAAAGGCTTTAGACTGGGGAATCACAAGATCTGTTTTATATTTTATGAAAAGTACTCTGACAGCAGTCCAAGGAATGAGTTAGAGGGGAGAGAGATGGAAGGTGGAGGGAAAAGTTGGAAGATTATTTCAACAGTCTAGTTGAGACAAGAGCCACTCTGTTTAAAAAGTGGATATGCAATGGAAGCATCCAGGAGAGAAGTTAGGAAGGAAGGATGGACAAGACTTGGTGAGTGATTGGCTGAGGGGTGATGAAGGGGGAGAGGTCTGGGTGATGCTCGGATTTCTAATTTGGGTGATAAGGAGGATGGCAGTAGCTTTCATGGACAAAAGAAAAATGGGAAGATGAGCAGGCTTTGGGAGGGAGAGACAATGATTTCAGCTTTTGATGTTATTGAGTTTGAGGTAGCTGTGAAGGTTTCAGGTGAAGATTTCCAGTAGGCAGTGAGACACATGGCCCTGGAACTCAGAAGACAGGTCTTGACAAAAGACACAATTTAGGAGGCACCAACACGGTTGAGGTTTCAAACCTCTGATAAAAACCTTTGGGCCTTCTCCCAAGAAAGGATGCAAATATACACATTATGTTTCCTTTAATTTAAGAAGCTCTATTTGAATCCATCCAGAGATCCTAGGTTAAGATAAAGTAAGGATAAGATCTCTGAAACTGTAAGAGTATTGAGAGAGAATTAAAGGGAAACAGTGAGGGAAAGGAAGGAGGGATTGAGAGGGAGAGGAGAAGAGGAGAGAGTCAATGACAGAAACTTGACATGCAAACATTTTTGAAGCGTGCACAGGAAAAATAGCTGACAAAGGAGTTTGTATAGGAGGGGCTGAAGAGGAGGGAACAAGGAAGTTTAGTGGGAACAGATCTTCAAGGAAGGAGTAGTCAACAGTAACAGTATTAATGTTGTAGAAAAGAATTCAAACAAGAGTTTGATTGAAATATGGCAATCAAGGAACTATTAATGACCTTTTCCTGAGCAATTTCAGGGGCTGGGGCTGAGAAACAGAAGTTTGACAGCTTTTGGTTGAAGACGGAGTAGGAATGAAAAAGTGTTTAGTCAAGTGCTTCTCCTCTTCAGAATCTCCATTATGAAGGAATAGTGCACATATCATCTGGCTGTCCAGGATCACTTCCTCCTCCCCTTCTTATTAGCATATCATTCTTTCTGGAGAAGCCCCACTGTGAGTACTTAATAGAAAGCAGTGATTGCTTTCTACTATGGAAACCCGAGGGTCCAGATCTTCCTTTTCCCCACTTTGGGGCACTATTAAGGACTAAATTTTGTCTCTCCCAGTTCATATGTTGAAGTCCACATGTGGAACCCCCTATACCTCAGGATGTGACTATATGTGGATATAGAGCCTTTAAAGAGGTAATTAAGTTAAAATAAAATCATTAGGTGGGCTCTAGTCCAATATGACTGATGTCCTTGTTAGTTGGGACACAGACCCATACAGGGAGAAGATGGACACCTACAAGCCAAGGAGAGAGGCCTCAGAAGAAACCAACCCTATGGACTCAAAGGAAGAACAACAGACACACTGGGGCCTACTTGAGGGTGGAGGGTAGGAAGAGGGAGAGGATCGGAAAAAATAACTATTGAGTAACTAGGCTTAGTACATGGGTGATGAAATAATGTGTGCAACAAACCCCCGTGATAGGAGTTTACCTATGTAGCAAACCTGCACGCATACCCCTAAATCTAAAATAAAATTTTTAAAAAAAAAATTAAAAGAAACCAACCCTGTCAACACCTTGATCTTGGACTTGCAGCCTCAAGAACTGTAAGAAAATACATTTTTGTTGTTTAAGCCACCCAGTCTGTGGTACTTTGTTATAAAAGTGCTAGCTAACTGATACAGGCAGACAGAGGACAGGCATATAACTGAGGTTTGGCCCATTAGAGTCTCTTCTGAGATGAATCCTGAATAAGTGACACTTGTTTACTCATAAGGGAGATTCACTTCTAGGAGAGGGAGATGGTTGGGTCCCAGTCATCACAGCAGTGGGATGGGCTCACCTCCTCTAGTTTCCATCCAAT
Source organism: Homo sapiens (assembly GCF_000001405.40). Taxonomy (NCBI): domain Eukaryota; kingdom Metazoa; phylum Chordata; class Mammalia; order Primates; family Hominidae; genus Homo; species Homo sapiens. The sequence continues at coordinate 161,555,023 of NC_000001.11, forward strand.
AAATCTTTTTCCTCTACTTAAAAGATCTGGATTCTGATAAAGTTGTTTATAACCCAGAGCCCTAAGTGACACAATAAGAAAGGAGAAGTGGAGGATGGTAACTAGACAGAGCTGATTCATCAAGACAGGGGAATTGCAATAGAGAAAGAGTAATTCATGCAGAGCTGACTGAGCCAGAGACTGGAGTTTTATTATTACTCAAATCAGTCTTCCAGAGCATTCGGGGAGCAGAGTTTTTAAGGACAACTTGGTTGGTGGAGGGGAAGCCAGTGAGCCAGGAGTGTTGATTGGTCAGGGATGAAATCACAGGAAGTTGAAGCTGTCTTCTTGTTCTGAGTCAGTTCCTGGGTGGGCACCACAAGATCAGATGAGCCAGTTTATTGATCTGGGTGTTGCCAGGTGATCCATCAAGTGCAGGGTCTGCAAAATATCTCAAGCACCGATCTTAGGATCAGTGCTTAGGAAGGGTCAGAATCTTGTAGCCTCCACCTGCATGATTCCTAAACCATAATTTCCAATCTTGTGGCTAATGTTAGTCCTACAAAGACAATCTAGTCTTCAGAAAAAAAGGAGGTCTGCCCTGGGAAAGGGCTGTTATCATCTTTGCTTTAAACCACAAACTATAAACTAAGTTTCTCCCAAAGTTAGTTCAGCCTATGCCCAAGAATGAGGAAAGACAGCTTGGAGGTTAGAAGCAAGATGGAGTCAATTAAGTTAGATCTCTCTCACTGTTTCAGACACAATTCTGCAAAGGTAGTTACAAGAGAATGGGAGTTTTTGTTTTCTTTTAAGTGAAAGATACGAGCTTGGTTATAGGTCTTTGGGAAGAAGCCAGCAGGGTGGGAGAAGTTGGATGCCTAACAGGGACGGAACACCTAGAGAAGCAAGTGTGGGTCCTGAGGAGATGGGAATGGGACATGGACAGGGAGTTGGCTGTGAACTGGATACGGATTACCTCTCGCTCTGAGCTGAAGGCAGGAGCTGAGGGGGTACATATGCAAATCCATTTTCAGATGTTGAGTGACCATCCACATCTGCTGGTCCTGATTTTCTTGGTTAAGGAGGAGTCAAAGACACTTGTCGAGAAAGAGTGGGTAACAGTTGTGGTGGGGGTTTGAGAACACCAGAGTTGAGAATGGCCATTGTGGTGCATGGGAGAAGGAGCCGACTGTTTGTATGTACAAGAATTACCAAGAATTCCAAACAGTTGTAAGGATTGCCAAGCAATGCCAAAGGTCCAGCTGAGGTGGGTCGCTGTGCATTTGTAGCTGGAGCAGTCTTCAGTGCTGATAACATTTCTCCAGTTGTACTCAGTGCCAACTGCTGTCTGATTAGCCTGCTGAAAACGGTCCTGAGCAGGAGTGGAGGGAAGTCCTACAACCTGTATTACCTCCAAAGCAGCTCAACCAGACTGAGGAAATGCTAGAATGAAGGTATGTGGGCTTTCAGTGAGCTCATCCAAGACAGGTAGTCAAGAAGGCTGTGAGAAAGGTAGGCTGGCCTGGCAGTCTTTGGTATAGTCCAGCAGTTGAATTCCAGTTACCTATTGCTGTAACTGTAGAAAAAACAAACTCAGTTCCTCCCACTATGCTCTCACAACACATTTCTGACAACAGATATGTGGGGATTTCTCTCCACTGGCAAGCAAGCAAGCAAGCAAGCAAGCAATTCAGCAGTGGGCACCAACTGGGTGTCTTCTAATCCAGTGGTCTCCAAAATTTTTGGCACCAGGGATTGGCTTCATGGAAGACAATTTTTCCTCGGACAGGGGTAGGGGGGTGGGGGATGGTTTCAGGATGATTCAAGTGCATTACATTTATTGTGCACTTCATTTCTATTATTATTACAGTGTAATATTTAATGAAGTAATTATACAACTTACCATAATGTAGAATCAGGGGGAGCCCCGAGCTTGTTTTCTTGCAACTAGACAGTCCCATCTAGGGTGATGGGAGACAATGCCAGGTCATCAGGCATTAGATTCTCATAAGGAGAATGCAACCTAGATCCCTTGCATGCGTACTTCACAATAGGGTTCATGCTCCTGTGATAATTTAATGCCACAGCTGATCTGATAGGAGGAGGAGCTCAGGCGGTGATGTGAGCCATGGGGATCTACTGTAAATACAGATAAAGCTTTGCTCCCCACCTGCCCCTCACTTCCTGCTGTGCAGCCCAGTTCCTAAGAGGTCACTGACAACTACAGGTCTGGGGATTGGGACTTCTGCTCAAATTCAATTGAATTCCAACACTATCTAACTGGAAATAGCATCAGGTGACACAAGTGAAGGGCTCAGTCTCACAAGACACTTCTGATACTCCAGGATGAAGCCCCAGGTTGTTTTACCTGTGCTTTTGACCAACCAGTTATAAATGGGGGTTCCCACCACCTGCATCTTGGGTTCAATTAATTTGCTAGAGTGGCTCTCAGTACTCAGGGAAACATTTACATTTATCAGTTTGTGATAAAGAATATTACAAAGGACACAAGTAAAGAGTACATAGGGCAAGACCTGTGGGAAGGGGCTTGGAGCTTCCATGCCCTCTGGTGCACTACCCTCCAAGAACCTCTCTGTGTTCGGCTCTCTGGAGGATCTCCAAACCCTGTCCTTTTGGGTTTTTATGGGAGCTTTATTACTTAGGAATGATTAATTAAGTCATTGGCTATTGGTGATCAATTCAACCTTCAGCCCCTCTCCACTTCCCAGAGGGAGTTTGGAGGGTGGAGCTGAAAGCCCCAATCCTCTGACCTTGCCATGATCTTTCTTGTGCCCAGCCCCTGTTATGAAGCTACCTAAGAGCTGCCAGCCATCAGTTACCTCATTAGCACACCAAAAGACATCACTTTGGAGATTCTAAGGATTTTAGGAGTTGTATGCCAGGAAAAAGGATGAAGACTGTATAAAGGACCCTTGACATAACTAACTCCATCTTAGAAAAAGACTCCATTTTATATTTCGTAGGGCATTTGGCCAACAAGATAAAATGTTCTAAGAAACAAATTAAAAATGATAAAGACTGCATCCGACCAAATAAGGCCACAGACAAGCACACTCTTCCAACTTTCAGTTCTTATCACAGGACTCCACGACTAAAAGAGAAGGCCTTCAGCAGCTTGAAATGGCTATCTTAGCTGACACTGTCTTGCAGTCACTCATGATGATAATTTGGCATCTGCCACTGAAGGCTCTGCCACCTCAGACTCTTCTTTGCAAGACCAACGGGTAGCCAGGCCCAAACCAGGCCTCCTTTGTTCTTCTTAGATCCTCATCAACAGGCTTATTAACCCTTTCTCCTGTCTCTTTTTCCTCTTGATGTTAAATAGTACTTAGTTTGTTGTGGAACGTTTAACCTATAACATTTATGTAAATGTTATAGGTAGAGAGGATTGCCATATTTGGGAGAGAGGGTCTCTCTCTCTCTCTCCCACTGGACGTGAACAAGGGCTCATTTTGTCCTAAGGTCTTGCTGGCAGCTATCCTTAAGACTTTATAACATTTAGGAAGCTATACAGCTTCTCTTTCTGCTGTAGTCTAATCACCAGAAGTTATAAGCCCACCCAGATTCAAGGGTAGAGGATGTAGGCCTCATTTCTTGATGGAGAGAGTGTCAAAGAATTTGCAGCCGTGTTTTAGTGCTGCCACAACTAGCTACTCTAATACACTTTAAAGATTTCTTGATTCTTCGGTGGTGTGATTAGAGTAAAATCCTGAAAAATAGAAAGGCCTGGGGGAAGGGGAGACTGTAAGATCTAGGGAAGGGAAGATTTTTTATCCTATTCTAAGAACAATCACAGGAAGAAGGGAGGTAGTTGGTACTAACTAGAAAGAAGCAAGTCAGACAGACATTATCCATTCATCCCCTCCCAGGTCCAAGAGTTTGCTTACGATTATAAACAGCAAGAAGACTGTATTTCGTGATGCTCTCTTAGCTCAGGGCTACAGAGCAATGCTGTTGTATGTAGGAAAGAATGATTTCTTGAACTTGAATCCACAGTAGGTTCTGAGTTTTTTCCAACTCAACAATTGCTATGACTCAGTTAACTCAACAAATAGAATATGATGTACTAGCCTGATATCCATCCCTCTCCCTCCCTTCTAATATAACCTTGATTCTATTCAGGAATCACCCTCATATGCAGAGGTGGATCTTGACTGATCTAAGCCACTCAGGGTGTAGCATTCCCCTGGCTTTTATTGGTTAAGTGGGAGAAGACGGAACTTTGTCCTAAATAGGGCCAATCTGGTAGAGGGGAGTGCCATGTTTGGGAGAGATGATCTCTCTCTCCCACTGTACATGAACAAGGGCTCATTTTGTCCTAGGTTCTGCTGGCAAAACCTAAGATTTTGAAGGCAGCCAGTCTGAGGTCAATGCCAAATAGCCAAGGAGGACAGAGTGGAGGGATAGAATATGGTCTTGGTGACATCACTGAGCTTCTAACGCAACCAACCCAGATTTCTTACAATTTCAAGTAAATTTCCCTGCTGTTTAAGCCAATTTAAGTCAGGGCTTGTTACCTTCATCCAAAGGCATCCTAGTGAATACCTTGGTATTTACTGAGTACCTACTAAAAAGATAAGAAACTCTCTTTCTGGAAGGAGCTAATAATGAACAGGGGAGGAAACTTGACATTTAATGAAGAAGAAAGAAATGCTGACCTGGAGACCAGGAGCTCTAGACCTAGCTATGTCACCCAGGGTGACCACCGATTAAATTGTCTAGATCTCAGTCTCTACAATCATGAAATGAGAAAGTGGAGTGTGGACTGTATGTTTGCTAAGATCTCCTCTGGCTAAATTACTGTGTCTTAATGTCAACTAGAGGAAATATGATGCCCCCACTTTTTTTTTTTTTTTTTTTGGTAAGCATCAGTGGTCCACAAAGAATTTAACAATTGGTACCAACAGAGAGGCAAAAAATACCTTTTTTTTTTTAGACAAAGCCTCACTCTGTCGCCAAGGCTGGAGTGCAGTGGCATGATCTCGGCTCACTGCAATCTCTGCCTCCCGGGTACAAGCGATTCTCCTGTCTCAGCCTCCCAAGTAGCTGGGATTACAGGCATATGCCCCCATGCCCAGCTAATTTTTGTATTTTTAGTAGACACGGGTTTTCGCCATGTTGGCCAGGCTGGTCTCGAACTCCTGACCTCAGGTGATCCACCCATCTCGGCCTCCCAAAGTGCTGGGATTACAGGTGTGAGCCACTGGGCCTGGCCAAGAAGGAATATAATTGCCTTTTAAGAAAATATTCTGCTTGCTTTCTTTTTTAGAGATGAGGTCTCACTGTGTCAGCCAGGCTGGATTAAAAAACTCCTGGACTCAAGCAGTCCTTCTGCCTCAGCCTCCTGAGTAGCCAGCACTACTGCCTGGCTTCTACTTGCTTATTTTAATATTAATAACAAAATATAGTAAGCTCTGAGCTTTAAATACAATAGATATCAAAATTATTTAATAAAAAATATTCATGGTCCCAGCATGGTGGCTCATACCTGTAATCCCAGCACATTGGGAGGCTGAGGCAGGAGCATTGCTTGAGGCCAGGAGTTCAACACCAGTCTGGGCAACCTGGCAAAACCCCATCTCTTAAAAAAATTCAAAATAAGCCAGGCCTGGGGCTACATGCCTGTGGTCCCAGCTACTTGGGAGGCTGAGGCGGGAGGATCACTTGAGCCTGGGAAGTGGAGGTTGCAGTGAACTGTGATCGTGCAACTGCACTCCAGCCTGGGCAACAGAGCGATACCCCGTCTCAAAACAAAACAAAACAAAATATTCACCATTATGTGTCTAGTAAAGTGAAGAAAAGAAATAGGAAAGGAAACTGTCAATATAAAAGAAAAGGGAGGAGAACAGGCAGAGTTAGAGACATAAAGACACAAAATGGGATGGGACTTAGAGGAAAACCAGTGAGAGAAAACTCAGAAAGACACAGTTACTGGGACAGTAAAAAACAAAACAAAACAAAAACCCACAAAAAACTGAGAGAGACACCCAGGTTTTCAAATATGGTGTCTTAAAAATAGATAGAAAATGCATGAAGAGCAAGGCATCTACTGAGAGGTCTGGAAACAGACACACCTCGAGATACATCATACAAAGGCAGTCATGGGACAAGGAGAGAACACTTTCACAAAACCAGGAAGAGATAGACAGACAACAAGGGAAAAAAAGCACATGGGATTGAAGCAGATTTTGTGGGATGACCTTAAGCTGCACCTGTTTTCTTTGGCTGTGGTTATTAAAATAATATGACCTGTTGACATACAAGAACTTTCTAAAATTTTATGCTATAGCCAAGAGTGAGTTTTAAATGCCCTGCCTTGTGCTATCTCACATCAGAACATGCTTAGATGCCTCCCAGACTTGCAAGTTTTTAAAGTTTCAAAAAGAGAGTGATGGCGATGTGTTATGGGAAGGATACTGGCCAAGGAGGAAGGAAATCTCAGTTTTGGTTTCGGTCTGACAGGGGTCAGTTGTCAAGCCACTTCTCTTCCCTGAACTTGTTTCCTCATAGCAAAGTGAGGTAATCGGGCTAGATTATATCTAACTCTTTCCATCTTAAATATTCTCTAATTCTGAATGTTGCCTTCCAGTGGTAATTTCTAGATATTGCAGAATGTAGTAGCCTTTGTCTTCTAAAAATCCTAATGAAGGCAGCTTTTGGGAGCCAAAAGGATTTTCTAGCAGAGCTAGCAAGTTATACTTCTAAGAGTTAAAAGTTAATTATAAAAACTAAATTCATGCTTCTGCTCATGTGCAAAATCTTCAGAATCTACCAGAACAATACAAGGTAACACCAAAAAGAAAACTTAGTTTTTGAAAAAGTTTTTGAAAAAGAAGTGGAAATACTGTTTTGTGTTGTTCTGTTTTTATCCGTGCCATCCCACTGGAGAAGAGAGAAAGGTTGGCAACATCATTGGGAGTATGAGCAGAGCTCAGAACCATCCCTAGAGACTCAGTCCTTGTCCCTTTCGCCAATATTTTGTTATTGTGGCTTTAAGCACTTTTTGGTTTGAAAATACACGCGTGATCTATATATGTTCTTGTTGCAAATAAGTGAAACAATTCGGACGTAAATAAAATAAAAGTAACAGTGAGATTTAATGACTCCCTCCCCCAATTTCACTCCCTTCCTCAGAGGTAACCCCTTAGAAGCTTGTAGTATATCTTTCCAGAACTTTCCCCATACACTTATATTCATATAAGCACACATCCACCTATATGTATTTATATTTTCTTCATTTTTGTTGTTATTGTTAGCATAGTACATAATGCATATTATTCTGCAACTTCCTTTTTTATAATGATTCCACATATACATAAACACCATGTTGTTTCACCATGTTGGCCAGCTGGTCTCGAACAACTGCAAACTCCACTCAACATCTTTCACATTTCACGTTAAATGGGAGGAGAAATGCTTAAAAAATGTATTTGAGGGTGTGTGGAAAGGAAGAAATGGTATTACTTTGACTTTCTTTTTTTTTAAAAAGATTTGGGTCATTTTGGCCACCAAAACAGGAACTTTATCCTGTATGGGCAGTTGCCTACTGCACAGCCATTTCTTCCCTTCTTCTTTGCTAACGGAACTTGATTTCGTTTAGCAATGTTGTGGTCATGAGCTGTAGAGAAGCCTAGACCTTTTCCAGCCTCAGTGTGTGAACTTTCAGTTAGTCTAAACCAGTGGTTCTCAAATTTGAGCTACATCAGAGCCATTTGGAGGGCTTGTTAAAAACACAACTTGGTGAGCTCTACTCTACCCTCCGAGTTTCTGATTCTGGTGGGGCTTGAGAATGTGCATTTCTAACAAGTTTCCAGGTAATGCTGATCTTGGCACAAGGACCACACTTTGAGAACTGCCGCTCTAAGCCAATTATGGTGTTCTATTGTCTTGCCATGCTTAGGACTAAGCATATGATACAGTTCTGGACAATTAATCCTCAGGGATAATCTGCTAGAGGGATTCTGGGACACAGGAAGTAACGAGTTCTTTCTCAGTCTTTGGACATGGTGATGCTTAAAGATGTGATGCTGGGAGCTACTACGGCAGCCAACTTGCTTCCAGAGAAGACTGGCTGACATGCTGAGAGTAGCAAAGCAAAGAGAGGGAAGAATCTGGGTTACTGATGACATTATTGTAGATTAAACAGCTCTGGAGCTGCCCTAACTTCAAGAAACTTAATATGTGAGATAGTAAAACATTTATTGTTATTTAAGCCATTTGAGCAGAATTTTCTGTACTTGCTTCAGAAAGCCACCTAACTGATTCATTCATACCCCTCTCTCTCAGTGCTCAGGGAGACTCCAGCTGATGTAGCAGCAGAGCAATTTACTTGAAGCATGATTTTGGATATTTTAGGTTGTTTCTAATTTTCATTATCATTCAGTAGCTCTGCAAAGAGTAACAGTGCTTTTGTATATTTTGGGATATTTCCAAAGGTCATTTTCCCAGAAGCAAAATTACAATGTCAAAAGTACATGAATTTCCAAGGTTTTGATAGTTTTTCCAAATCTCTTTCCAAAACAATTGTTTTAATTTCTACCCTATTCAGAAATATATGCAAGTTCATTTAATCACGTTCTTTTTTCTTAATTGTGGGCAATTTCATAGCTGAGAAATGGGGTCTCATAATTTTTATTTGCATTTATTTGATTACTAGTGTGGAATCAACATTTACCATGTGTCTGTCAACCAGTTGCATTTCCTCTTTCATATTGCTATTAGATGGAAAGCACTTAGCACCATGTCTGGCCCTCTTGGATATTTATTTTTTGTTTAACTAAATGTTTTTGGGTTTCTCTATTGATATCCCTGCCTTTGCCTATTTATCAAAACTCTATGTTCTTCTCATTAATTTCTTATATAATAAAAATACCCCTTTGCAGGGAGACATGAATTTTTACACATTTTTTTTCCAGTTTGCAGTTAGTAGTTTGTTTTTGGTTGGTTTTAGTTTTGTATCATTCCGAAATTTAAAAGTTTTATGAAGGTGTTTTCTTTTCTTTCTTTCTTTTTTTGTTTTTTTTTTTTTTTTTTTTTTGAGACAGAGTCTCACTCTGTTGCCCAGGCTGGAGTGCAGTGGCATGATCTCCGCTCGCTGCAACCTTTGCCTCACTTCCTGGGTTCAAGTGAGCACGTTCGGCTAATTTTTGTATTTTCAGTAGGGACGGGGTTTCACCATGTTGGCCAGCTGGTCTCGAACTTCTGACCTCATGTAATCCGCCTGCCTCCGCCTCCCGAAGTGCTAGGATTACAGGCATGAGCCACCACGCCTGGTCTCTTTTCCTTCAGAGAATTTACTCAAGATTCAATTCTATTATCCTCTGGTGTATCCATAGCTTGATTCGTGTGTTTCACTCTATGATCCTTATGAAACAGATTTGCTTGTATTCTGAGAGGAGCTGTCTGCTTAACAACTTGCCTGGCTCGAGGGGCTTACTAATGCCTTTTAGCTCCCTGCTTTTTGACTCTCTTTACAACTCTCCTTAGAACCCAACAAAAAGAGACATAAAATAAGTGACATAAAAATGTGAAATGCTTAAACCATTTATTTTACATTGCTGACTTTTTTCCATGTATCTTTCCTTTCTGATTAGTACTTAAAATCAAGGCAGAAGCACCTTAAAGATAGAAATGGCTAAATATTCTTGAACCTTTCAATCGTAGGATGCCAGAACAGGCCTCTAGCGTAGAAAATGTCTATACTGAGATCAAAGAGTCTCCCCTAGAGCAGAGTTTGTTGTATTCTGAGTATGAGGAGAGTAGGACAGTGTGATGGAGCTGCAGTGGAGTAAATGGGTTTTGGTATCACAGTGCTTTACAGAACACATTAAGGAGTTTGGGTTTTGTCGTGAGGGTGTGGGGAGCCACTGAATTATTTGAAGCAGGAAAGTGACATAATATAATTTGTACTTTAACAAAATTACTCTGGTTGCTGCTTGTAAATAGGCTGGAGGAGTAAGACTGGGAGCAGAAAGATGAGTTGGTCTCTTGCGGTAGTCATGGTGGCAGATGAAGATAGCCTCAGGCTAAGGTAATGGTGGTGGGGTTGAGATATTTAGCAAGGAGAACTGGCACAATTGGATGTGGGTTATGAAAGAGAATGTGGGAATCACAATGATATCCAGATTCCTGCCTTAGGAGGTGCCATTCCCTGAGGTGGGGAATATGATGGAAAGAAGCTTAGCTGGAAGGGGTTGTGGAGAGATGGTAAGTTCAGGTTTGGATATTCTGCGTTTGAGGTGCCTGTGGACATAGCAGGGGAGTGGTCAATATCAGCTGGGTAACTGGAAGGAGAAATCTGGGCTAGAGCTAGAGACACAGACTGGAGCTGAATTGTGCTTTTAGAAAATTAACTGGAAGCCAAAGAGATGACTCCTTATTTGCTGATACCTTGCAGCAGGTCTATTTCCAGTGACAAGGAGGCAAGTTTGAATTGGTTAGAGCCTCATTCACAGTTCTTCAAATGTTCTTGTCAAGTATTTACTTGCTACTAAGGAGGATGGCTTCAACCTTCCCCAGGACCATTTTCCAGCATCCTTCAGCATGTTTGCTTAGGACCAAGTTCCCACCCTACTGAATTTTACCCTTGCTGGAGACACATGCACTTGATACAGTTAAAGGGCAAAACAGGCCTGATGGGGAGGTTCCAACGCATTTGCGTTGCAGACCGTAGGCGTTAGAATCTAACTCCTAGTTTTCTACTACAACTTCAAATGCCACCCTCCTCACTAAGGGTCTAAAGCCAGAGTGCGGATGAATGAATCAAGCCTTTCTTTCTGAGTACCACTGTCTGAAGTCATGCTGAGGTCAAGAGACATTCAATCAGAAGAGCAGACCAAGTGGCTTAAGGTAAGTGCAGCCCCGGGTTCTCCTTGCTCTGGACTCTTTTTTTTTTTTTTTTTTTTTTTTGAGACGGAGTCTCCCTCTGTCGCCCAGGCTGGAGTGCAGTGGCGGGATCTCGGCTCACTGCAAGCTCCGCCTCCCGGGTTCACGCCATTCTCCTGCCTCAGCCTCCCAAGTAGCTGGGACTACAGGCGCCCGCCACTACGCCCGGCTAATTTTTTGTATTTTTAGTAGAGACGGGGTTTCACCGTTTTAGCCGGGATGGTCTCGATCTCCTGACCTCGTGATCCGCCCGCCTCGGCCTCCCAAAGTGCTGGGATTACAGGCGTGAGCCACTGTGCCCGGCCTGCTCTGGACTCTTAATCTCACTCCCCTAGACCATTAGTTGGCTGTTTGTTGCATTAAACCACTCAGATCTCTCTTTCATTTCCTTGTAAACTGGATTCCTTTGTCCTGCAGAAGAGATGTACACTGTCCACTTTTGTTTCAACAGAGGGCAGTAGAGAACAGCAAACAGTTTACATTTCTAAGCCCAGAAGAAACAAAACAAATCCATTTACAACATTCTCCCCAGGTCAAGGTACCCAAAATATGGCACACTGTGCTTCGTGTGTTCATAAATGGGGCATGTCTTTGTGAAAGTAGGGCAGATCCCGGAGAGTCAGCGACTCGTAGACGACTCTTCCTCTTGTGAACAACAGTTTAGTTATGTGTAACTCATGGAAGGCTTTATGGAGAAGGAGTTTGATCTTGAAGGATAAGTATGAGTTGGCAAGATAGCTTTGTTCACAGAAAGCAGCATGGGCTCAAACATGGCAATAGCATGGCAAGCTTGGGGAAGTTAGGAATAGGATTGGGCAGAATCTGACAAGACCGCAATATACCTCAAGACTCTAGGTGCTGGAATCTTCAGTATGGCACATAGCATCCTGTGCCGTGGGGCAGCTGTGATATTACATACACTCTCAGATGCTATGTGCCATCCCGAAGTGTTTGAATGTCACTTTGAAGGGTTTAATATCATCCTGAAAGCAATGTAAAATCATTGAAGAATTTTGAGTAGGGTGGTGATCTAACCTATTAGGCAATTTGAGATTTTCTTGTTTGTTTTTAATTGAGGTATATCATGGTCTTGTTAATCTTTTAAACTTTAGCCACCCAGGTGGGTATACAGTGATATTGTGTTTTTAATGTGCGTTTCCCTGATAAGTAGTGACTTATTATCTTTTTATGTGCTTATTTGGTCATTTGGATATCCTTTTTTATGATGTTTCTGTTTAAGTCTTTTGCACACTTACGAATTGGCTTATCTTCTTCTCATTGATTTTTAATAGTTTTTTATGTATTTTAGATATGTCTTTTGTCAAATATACCTATTACAAATATTTCTCCTACTCTGTGGCTTTCCTACTAACTTTTCAAATGATGTCTTAATTTTTTCTTTTTTTTCTTTTTTTTGAGGCAGAGTCTTGCTCTGTCGCCCAGGCTGGAGTGCAGTGGCGCAAGCTTGGCTCATTGTAACCTCTATGTCCAAGGTTCAAGTGATTCTCATGCCTCAGCCTCCAGAGTAGATGGGACTACAGGCACACACCAGCATGCCTGACTAATTTTTTTATTTTTATTTAATAGAGATGGAATTTCATCATGTTGGTCAGGCTGGAACTTTTTTTTAATATTATATTTCAATAATGATTATACCAAAAATATATTTTGTATTATTTGAGAAAATCTGTAATATATATTTGGGAGATTAATGAATACAATTATGAAGGTCACTGAAGCATGACTCTTCTAAAACAAGTTAATAATAATGACATCTTTTCATGAACAAGCAATTGATAAATCTTTTTGAAAACCCTATGAAAGATGAATTGGAATGCAGCAAGACTGAGGCAGGATGACTAGTTAAAGGCTTGTTTCAGCCCTTCTGCCATTAAAGGACACGGAAGCTACCATCTAAGAAGCAGAGAGCGACCTCTCACCAAAGAGTCTGCTGGCACCTTGATCTTGCACTTCGCAGCTTCTAGAGCTATAAGAAATAAACTTGTGTTGTTTATAACTAGGAGGCCGTTGTACTATTATTATTCCTATTTTATGGTTGAGAAAACCAAGGCATGGGGAAATTAAATGACTTGCCTGAAGGTTTTCTACTGCTAATAATTGGCAAGAGGAAAAGAAACGTGCAAGAACTTTATTGATTGGATGGGAATGGTAGATACATTAATTTGAAGGATTTTGTCTTAATAGATCTTAGAGAAAGAAGAGTACATTTGGGAGAAATAAGTGAATTTTGTTTTAGAAAAAAAATATGCGTATGTGTGTTTTATTTTTTAGACAGAGTCTCTCTCTGTTGCCCAAGCTGGAGTGCAGTGGCATGATCTCTGTTCACGGCACCCTCCATCTCTCAGGTTCAAGTGATTCTCCTGCTTCAGCCTCCTGAGTTGCTGGGACTACATGCCACCATGCCTGGCTAATTTTTGTATTTTTAGTAGAGATGGGGTTTTGCCAAGTTGGCCAGGCTGGTCTCAAACTCCTGACATCCTGGGCCTCCCACAGTTCTCGGATTACAGGCATGAGCCACTGTGCCCAGCCAAAAAAAGTTTTGAAGTGGAAATGCCTAATAGGTAGCTATCATTATATTATATATATTATATATGATAAATATATTAATGTATCTTTCTAGAGTTAAGTAGAAAAGTGTTGGCCGGAGATAAAGACTGAGGAGTCATCAGCATATAGGGAGTGAAGCAAGGCTGTCATTCTGAGCACTATTGACACATGGGGCCAGATAATTCTTTGTTGTGGGGGGCTATGCTCTCCACTGGAGGATATTTAGCAGCTTTCTTGGCCTCTACTCAATAGATGCCAGGGGAAGCCCTCTCCAGTTGTAATAGCCAAAAGTGTCTCCAAACATTGGCAAATGTCCCCTGGGAGCGGGGGGCAAAACCAACTCTGTTGAGAACCACTGGTGTAGAGGAAGCCAAGAATGTAGATAAAATCATTTAGAAGTAGTAAGACATATACAGGATCACGTTTCTTAGCCCTTTAAAGTTCATTTTCAACCTCTTTGAACATAAACATACTTTGTTTAATTTTATCTTAATTTTCATATCTAGTTTGTCAAGTTTACAAGTATTAAATTGTATTATAATGCTAAAAAGGCTTTTAAAATTACACCTCTACCTCTCCTTCCCCCTCCAGTTCTGATGCACCCTTTGAGGGGGTCTCTTCTCACTTAGAAAATTATTGATAGAGAATTATGTAGAGGACAGAAAGCTGAACAAACACCAATATTTAATGGACAGGTGAAGACAGAGGAGTGTTCAGGGAGAGTAAGGGGAGTCATCAGAGGGACACCAGGAGGGGAACCCAGGTAAGTCGTGATGAAACAGATGGTGAATGACTTCAGAGTATTTTGGCCCTGCAAACTGCAAGGGTACATTGTAAAAGACTGCATAGTGCCCCTGGGGTTCATAAATCACTTCTTAGAGAAGTGAGAGAATTCTGAGTTCTCCCTGGGCTTAGAGTAAAAAAGGCATTTCCAGTGATAGGGCCCAATGCAACATTTAGGACAACTCGGGGAAGAAAACTTTGAGATTCAGAAAGAAAAATGACTTCTTCTGCCAAGGGAGAGATAAGGAAAACTGCAGATGAGGAGATGGCCTGAGGTTTTGGTCTTGAAGGGAAGATCAGAAAACAAGGTCTGGGTTCCCGTTTATTTTGGAAGCAAAGTATTATCGTGCATTAGAAACTAGGCTCTGTACTCTTCTTTTGCTTATCTTCATATCTTAGAAAACTTTTCTTTTAAAATCTTCCAGCCAGTTTAGTTGGCCAAGAGAAAGATTTAGATATTTTGACATTTCCGCCAATATAACTTCTGATTATCTCCTTTGTGGCTGGCTAGAGTGGTGGCACTGGCATCCTAGCTCTCCAATCAAAATTTTTAAAATAAAGATCTGGCCGGGCGCAGTGGCTCACACCTGTAATCCCGGCACTTTGGGAGGCCGAGGGGGGTGGATCACCTGAGGTCGGGAGTTGAGACCAGTCTGACAACATGGAGAAACCCCATCTCTACTAAAAACACAAAATTAGCCAGTCGTGATGGCGCATGCCTGTAATCCCAGCTAATTGGGAGGGTGAGGCAGGAGAATTGCTTGAACCCAGGAGGCAGAGGTTGTGGTGAGCTGAGATTGCGCCATTGCACTCCAGCCTGGGCAACAAGAGCGAAACTCCATCTCAAAAACTGAAATAAAATAAAATAAAATAAAGATCTATGGGCATTTTAATAATGCTCTATTTATCTGTGATTTTCAGCAGTTTAAATATGATATGTTTAGGAGTGTGTGTGTGTGTGTGTGTGTGTGTGTGTGTGTGTGTATTTTAGTCTGCCTATGCTTCTTTGTCCTTCTTGGATTTGTGGTTTGATAACTTCCATTATTTTTGAAAAATTGTTGGCCATTTTCTCTTTAAATGTTTCCTCTCTCCCATTCTTTCTCTATTCTCTGGGATTTCAATTACATATATGTTAGGCCAGTTTACATTGTCCCACAGTTCTTGGGTGTTCTGTTCTATTTTCTTTTTTTTTATTCCTTGAATTTCAGTTTGGGTAATTTCTATGAACCCATTTTCAAAGTACTGATTTTTTTTTTCTCAGCTGTATGGCATCTACTGATGACCCTGCCTAATACATTCTTCTTCTCTTTTACTCTGTTTCAAAATTTGCTAATATTTCCATTTGACTCTTCGTATAGTTTCTATCTTTCTGCTGAAATTCCCCATCTGTTTATGTATGTTGTCTACCTTTTCCACTAGAGCCTTTAACATGTTAAATATGGTTGTAATTAATGGTTTGATTTTAAAATTCCCTATTTGATAGTACCAACATCTGAATCATCTTTTAGCAGTTTCTATTGCTTGCATTGTCTGTTGACAGGATTTTTAAACCTTGCTTTTCTGTGTTGGCTCATTGTTTTTATTGAATTCTGGACATTATATGTGGGACAGTAGGAACTGAGGTAAATTGCATTTATGATTAGAAATGAGAACCCGTCTTATTCTGGTAAGCTCTTAGTGTGGGCCAATCTAGTCAAGAGTTGAGCTGGGTTCGGGTTTTATTATTGCCATAGTTACCTTCAAATTCTTCTAGTGTTATCTTGTGCTTGGGTGGAGGCAGCATTTCAGTAGACCAAGAGCCGCCGGTACTCCTGGATGGTATTTTCTCAATTTTCCTGCACTACCCCAACTTTAGGACTTTCTAAAGTATGTGCCTGCACCTCAGAGATTCTCTCTTCAGTGGCAGAGTACTTTTGCTTCTTATTCAGTACTTGCTAGCCTGGGAGGTAGGGCAGAGATTTATCCATTGTGAAATTGCCTTTGCAGAATATATATATATAAATAAGGAGAGAAATCTGGCTGGGCGTGGTGGCTCATGTTTGTAATCCCAGCACTTTGGGAAGCTGAGGCAGGTGGATCACCTGAGGTCAGAAGTTCGAGACCAGCCTGGCCAAGATGGTGAAATCCAGTCTCTACTAAAACTACAAAATTAGCTGGGAGTGGCGGCAGGCGCCTGTAATCCCAGTTACTTGGGAGGCTGAGGCAGGTGGAGAATTGCTTGAACCAGGGAGGCAGAGTTTGCAGTGAGCCAAGATCCCACCACTGCACTCCAGCCTGGGTGACAGAGCAAGACTCCATCTCAATAAATAAATAAATAAATAAATAAAAATAAAAAATAAACGAATAAAGAGAGAAATCTAACATGACTGACTCCATCCTGCTTCTAACCCACAGGCGAGTTTTTTTTTTCTTATTCTAGCATGGAGGTCAAAATAGCTATGAGTGACGTTTATAGTTAAACTTTGAGTCAAGGGAAACTGAACTCCCTCCTTGTTCAAGATTGAAACTGCATTCATAAGACAAGGTTAAAATACGGTAGGGACTTTAACTTTGCTGAAGAATAGACTCAGTTAAACAATGACCTGCCATTGCTTAGTGTGTCTTCCTCACTTCCTTGCTTTCCATGTGTCCTTACAGTAGCATGTTGCTTACTGCACCAGAGTCACGTAACCGGGGATTGCAAAATTTATAACTTCCCCAACTACTCCTATAGATAACATCACTATTGTGAACCCTGAAGAACGAGTCTTCGAGGTATTTTTCAGATTCAACATTTCAGTAGACCAAGAGACGCCACTAGGTCCTGAGATCCACCCACTCCTGGGAACTGACTTGGCTGCGTGAAGACAGCTTTAGACACCCCTGTAATTTCATCCCCAGCCAATCGATTGTTCCAGTTTCCAAGCCTCCTGCCCACCAAAGTACCCATGAAAAACCCTAGTCTCTGAATTGTCAGGGAGATGTGTTTGAGAAATTGCTGCTTGCTCTCTTCACATGGCTGGCCCTGTGATTATTAAACTCTTTCTTTGCTGCAATAGCCGCTGTTCTTGTTGATTTTTTCAGGGCAGTGGCTAAGAAGAACGTGTGGGGCTGTGACAGCTGTTCTAGTCCCGCCTCAGTTTTAGTCGGGCCTTCTGTCCCTGGATCTTGAGGATAGGGCTTTTTCAGTGATCCTAGATCTCACTCAATGGTAGAAGACCTGTAATCATCTAGGCTTGGGATGGTTTCCAGCCCCTTCCCCAAGGGTAGAGAGTTGTTTTTTGTTGTTGTTGTTGTTGTTGTTTTTTCCTGTTCCTTTCCTCCAGGTGTAATGGGCTCTTTTCCTCTGCTCTGTGCCCTGGGCCCTTATTCTAGTGATTTAAGACATTTGTTCCTTAGAAAAAAGGATTCAGGTGGGCTTCATGCCTTTCCCAGAATGATGGCTGCTCCATTACCTAGGTATGTATTCCCTGGCCACAAGCTTTTCATGAGCTCTGGTGGAGGCCCATGAAGATGCTTCAAATGCGTAGGAATGGCCCTTGTATCATGAGCTCTCAGTTCTTGGCCACATCTGGCTTTCAGCGATTTATTAAAAATTTTAGCTGAATTCTTCTAACCCATTTGAATGGTAGCCCTGCCTTCCTTCCACGCTGTCTTACAGGTGAGCCTGTGCTCATATCCTAGCCCTCTTTAGAAACACCTGTCTTTTCTTAGATTTCAGGGTACTTGGTTGCCTCACTACCTCAGCACTCTGACGGGTTCAAGAAAAGTTATCACTTTGTGTATTATCTGTTTTTTTTCAGGTGTTTCTAATTAATACAGGTTTTTTTGGGGGGGTGTTTCTAATGAAAACATTTTAATGAGGCTGGTTTTCACAGCTGTTTTTATACCACAAATCAAAATGGCCAAGTCCAAAATGAAAAATCACCAGAATGGCAGGGCATAATGAATTTAAGCACAGAAATTAGATGAAGTTATCTGTTTCTCACATGACTTGATAATCTAAAAAGCAGAAAGTAAAATGGTATGTTTTAAAAGTTATCATCAAAAGTGTCCTTGAGGTCGGCACTGACTGTGTCCTGATGGCCATGCAGGCAGGAGTTGTGCTATGTAGGTAGGCTCTGCTATTTGCTCTTCACACGTCTGGTTAGTTTACAATCTCTCCTTGTTCTAAGTTTTCACCAAAGCCTGATACTGGCTTTTGTTTCCCTTGAGGCTATGTTGTTTCTCATATAAACATGATTTCCATTTTATGACTGTCCTAACCCTTCATGGTGCAAGCCTGTTTCTCTGAGCTACTATATTCTTCATATATTTATGTTATTACTTCTTACTATTCAGAAGTACCTTAATATTCAGAACTACCCTTCAAATTGGAGGGCTCTTTTCTGACCATATTCTCAGCTGTTGGACAGGGGACAGGGACCGATCATGCTGGGTGGTTGGAAAAGCCTATGGGAGGCCAAGTAGGGGAGACCTACTGCCAGGACTATCACTCCAAGCTCGATTCTTGGGCCTTCCACCTTCACATTCTAGAGGAAAGCATATTGCCACTCATCCAAGTTGTGTGCTGTGATTGCTAGTGAAATCTGATCAGCTCCGGGGGCTCTCAGCTCTTGGCTGTCAATGCAGGGTGATAGTGGGCTACAGGGGGAGGAGGTAAAGAAGAGAGATTATGCAGATATGTCTGAAATCACAATCTTTCTGATTAGATATTTTGGCTCTATAATCAATTGTTTCTTCTAACACTCACACTTTTCCTCAATTTTTATTTATTTATTTATTTATTTATTTTGAGACTGAGTCGCTTACTCTGTCACCCAGGCAGGAGTGCAATGGCGTGATCTCGGCTCACTACAACCTCCACCTCCCGGGTTCAAGCAATTCTCCTGTCTCAGCCTTCCAAATAGTTGGGATTACAGGCACGTGCCACAACCCCTGGCTAATTTTTTGTATTTTTAGTAGAGATGGGGTTTCACCATGTTTGCCAGGCTGGTCTCAAACTCCTGAGCTGAGGTGATCCACCTGCCTCGGCCTCCCAAAGTGCTGGGATTACAGGCATCAGGCATCGTGCCCAGCCTCAATTTTTAATTCTACGACTTTCTGCTCTAATTCAGGTGAAGCACAGGATAGGTTTGTATTGTTTTTATATCTGTCTCCTGCAAATATCCTATCTTTCCCATTGTAATGAGGGTTCCTCAGGACAGAGACCACTGTTCTTCTCATTTCTTCATTTCTTCCTCCCATCCATCCCCACCCCATCTTTCTTACCTAGCAGAGTCAACATTGGGTTAGAGCACTGCATATGGGTTGAGTAAATCAGTCACTAGTTGATCCCCATGAGTTATTGCTTTCCTGCTCAGAATTTGTTGCTATTGCCACTCTCAGTATCATTTCCCTCCAGTGATTCCTGAAGACCTCATTTTACTTCTGTAATTCTGCCAGGGACCAAGTTAACTGCAGCCTGCTCTTCTGCTCCAGTCACAGTAAACTCTTCTCCTAGGGTCTCTACTGAGACTGGAGGCCACAGGAAAGAACAGATGCTGAGCAGGAACCTCCACTGTCCTCTCGTACAAAATACTTTTCCCAGTTTCTAGAACGATAAACCGCGACCCGATTGAAGGGCTTTTCCATAAGACTACTCAACCAGCAGCAATACTTACCTTCATATTTGCAACTTTACTGAAATACCTTGGTCAGAGGAGATCTCCTTTTAATTTTTATTGTGTATTTATTTAGTAGAGGCAGAGATCTCCTTTATTTACATTCCAATCACTTTTAGGATCTGTCCTGCCTTATCAATCTGCCAATAAATGCACAAAGAGAAATGGATGATGGGAACTTGATGGTGGCAAGATTTGTTTCTTTTTTCTTTTTTCTTTTTTCTTTTTTGACAGAGTCTTGCTTTGCTGCCCAGGCTGGAGTGCAGTGGCATGATCTTGGCTCACTGCAACCTCCACCTCCTGGGTTCAAGCAATTCTCCTGCCTCAGCCTCCCAAGTAGCTGCGATTACAGGTGTGTGACACCACAGCTGGCTAATTTTTACATTTTTAGTAGAGATGGGGTTTTACTATGCTGGTCAGACTGGTCTCGAACTCCTGACTTCAAGTGATCTGGCTGCCTCAGCCTCCCAAAGTGTTGGGATTACAGGCGTGAGCCACCATGCCTGGCTGACACGATTTGTTTCAAACTGGCCCTGGACCCGGCACCCTCCCTTCTGCTTCTGACTCCTCACACATCAGTCCTTCTTCTTTGGATACCTGATTAATGGACATTTCCGGTTCTCGACCCTTCTGCTTTCTCTCCAGGGGATGGCTTACATCTTCCTTCCTGGCTAGCACCTTTTTAGGGTGGCACTTACAGTAAGCTATCTCTTTGTCCTCACCCTTCTGTGTGTTGCCCCAGAGATGAGCCTGCCCAGGGGTTACCTAAGATCTCAACTCTCTTCTGTCCCTGACAGGTTGTGGCAGACTGGGCACCCTCATACTGAAAATCATCATTGAAGAGAGAGTAGAATCTGGAGCTTCATAGAGGTGGAAAGTTGTGATAACTTTCCTTGCCCATCATGAGCGTCATAGCTGACACTCCTATAACAAAAGATGAGTTAGCAAGAGAAAAGTTTGTCAAAGTTTTATTTTATTTTATCAAAATTTTACATGATGCAGGAGCCTTCTGAAATGAAGACCCAAAGACTCAGGGAAGACTCTGTTTTTATGCTTAGGTTCAATGAGGAATGCCTAGCCCTGTAGAAATGTGACTGGATAAAGGGTAGAGTCTGATGCTAACAGACTGATGGGGAAAACTTAGCAAGGCCTGTGTGTTTAGATTCTTCTTGGCCTGTGTACCATTCCTTCCTCCTGGGTGTGGGGCAGTACTCCTCTGAAACGAGGGTCTTTAATGACTTTTCTCAGTTGCTTTGCATTTGCTTCTTTGTGAAAGATCAGTTGACTCTATTCATGTGAGCCTATTTGGGGGCTCCCTATTCTGTTCCATTAATCTATTTGTCTGTTCTTTCACCAATAATTGGATACTTTTTACAAGTTCTTCCTGGTTCTAACCACCATGTTCCTAATGATGATAAGCATTGACTAATTTCCAATTTTACCCAGTGTTGCCAGCTGGGGCACAGAAACAATACCCCAATATATGGCACTTTGGCCTGCTGAGTGCTTTGAACTAAGGGAGATTGGAAGACCTCAGAAGCAAGGTCTCTCTGACATTCTCTTGCCCTTCTGTCCTTTACCCTTCCTTCTCCCCTGAAGCAAGTCATAGAAACCAAAATCCCTCTTCCCCAAAGCAAGCCATAAAACTTAGAAATGTTACTCTCTCCCTCCTCCCTGGCTGAAGTGATCCACCCACTTTGGCCTCCCAAAGTGCTGGGATTACAGGTGTGAGCCACCACTCTTGGCCGGGTATTTGCATTTCTAATGGGTTGTTAGAGATGATGATGCTTTAACACAAAGACCTGAATTCCCTGAGGAGGTGTGGCTGATGCTTAGACCTGGCTGAGGCCTCTCCAACCAGAGCCTCCATCAGTCAATCATCCTTTTTGTTTGTTTTCCTGGTGCTTGCCTTCTCTGCCAGGCTTCCCTCTCCTTTGGGGTTGGCAGCTGACTGTAGTGCCTGGCTGTCTCAGCTTGTGGGGAAGTGGCTATAAGGAGGAAACTGTAGAGAGGATTGATAAAAACAACCACAGGGATTCACTGAGCCTGTGGTCAGGATATTAAGAGGAAGAGAAACAAAATTCAACCAAGCAGAACAAAAAGAAAGGAGTACATTCTGAATCAAGAGGCTGGAATCTGAGAGTATGTACAATTGGAACCATTTGAGTTTATAACATTAATCTGCCTTCCCAAAGTGGGTCTATAAACACTAGTCCCAACTGGAAGCAGAGACTAGATTCTTCTAGCCTTTTAATGATAATAATGATTAAGACTAAATTTATATGGCAGGTTCTGTGTTTAGCATTATTTATGGATTTTCTCATTTAATCTTCATGTTATAAGGTGAGTACTAATGTAATCTCCATTTCACAGATGAGACAACAGAGCTTACAAAGCATGAATAGGCCAGGCACGGTGGCTCACACCTGTAATCCCAGCGCTCTGGGAGGCCGAGGTGGGCAGATCACTTGAGGTCAGGAGTTCAAGGCCAGCCTGGCCAACATGGTGAAACCCCGTTTCTACTAAAAATACAAAATTAGCTGGGCGTGGTGGCACATGCCTGTAATCCCAGCTACTCGGGAGGCAGAGGCTGGAGAATCGCTTGAACCCAGGAGGTGGAGGTTGCAGTGAGCTGAGATCGTGCCACTGCACTCCATCCTGGGTGACAGAGCAAGACTCTGTCAAAAGAAAAAAAAAAGGATAAATAAGATATCCAAGACTGCACAGCTGATAAGAGACAAGATGAGGCTCTTGATCTGGGTCTGTCTCCAAGCATCTTCATTATGGGTTCTCATGATTTTTGAGTTATTCATACTTTTCCCCTTACCAGAATACACATTTTATATAAAATCGTCCCTTTCAAAGAATTCTCCTTTCTTTTCTTCCTTAGAGAAAAGTCTTGCTCTGTTGCCCAGGCTAGAGTGCAGTGACATGATCTCAGCTCACTGCGACTTCTGCCTCCCGGGTTCAAGCGATTCTCGTGCCTCAGCCTCCCAATTAGCTGGGACTAAAGGCATGCGCCACCACGCCCAGCTAATTTTTATTTTTTATAGAGACAGGGTTTCACCATGTTGGCCAGGCTGCTCTTGAACTCCTGACTTCAAGTGATCTGCCCACCTAGGCCTCCCACAGTGCTGGGATTACAGGTGTGAGCCACTGGGCCCCGCCCAAGAATTTTCCTTTCTGACTGACATATTTCAGTTTTAATAAATAGTGTGCCCCTCTATTTTAACCATTTTGTTTTAGAAATATCTCCTTGTATTTTGTGCTTTCCCTTTCCCAGCCGTGATGGGAAAAAGAGACTCATTTCTGTTTTGATTTAGTGTCCTTGGAAATGCCCTACCTGATTCTGTGTCTATCTCCTTTAATAAGTCATCTAAAAGATATTGTCTGGTTCTTTTGTCTCAGTCAAATGTCTAGTAGTGGTATTTGGATCCTGAGACAATTCAGGGAAGTAGCATGTGCACTGTGTAGGACTTCCTGATCATTTTTAAATCGTGGCACAGAGAAAACCACACAAGTAAAGTTATAAACAAATGAGGCTGCTTACAGCCAGGGGCAACTGGCCCTACCTGGCTATTCCTAGGCCTGAGAGCCACTCATTAGTTCTGTGTGCTGGTTACTCATACAAGGCATGTAGGTGGTCCCTGCATACTGTTTGTGAAGCTCATTTAGTGTTGTAGAAAACCTAAGTCTTTAGCGTCAGGCAGACTTGGTTTCATATTCTGACTCCACCACTTATTAACCATGTAGCTTTGGACAAATCATTTTAACTTCTCTGAATCTAAGTTCTTCATGTGCAAATGAGGGTGATAATACTTATCTTCTGGGATTGTTGAAAATTAGAAATAATGTGAGTCTAGTGCCTCCTCCATAGTAATAATGTGAAAGGAAAATAAAAACTCAGGATTCCAATACACTGTGCCAAAAGAAAAAACAAATTAAACTGAAAGCTGAGTCGTGCAAGATACTGACTTTCCGTTGGATCCTAAGCAGATAGCTACAGAGAAAAGATTAAAAATCTCCGTAGATGGCCAGGTGTGTTGGCTCATGCCTGTAATCCCAGCGCTTTGTGAGGCCAAGGTGGGTGGATCACTTGAGGTCAGGAGTTCAAGACCAGGCTGTCCAACATGGCAAAACCTCAGTTCTACTAAAAATACAAAAAAAAAAAAAAAAGAAAGAAAGAAAGAAATTAGCAGGGCGTGGTGGCAGATGCTTGTAATTCCAGCTGCTTGGGAGGAGGAAGCAGGAGAATCGCTTGAACCCGGGAGGCGGAGGTTGTAGTGAACCGAGGTCACACCTCTGCACTCCCGCCTGGGCGACAGAGTGAGACTCTGGCAAGAAAGAAAGTAAAGTAAAGTAAAGTAAAAAGAAAGAGAGACTCTGGCAAGTAAGAAAGAAAGAAAAAGAAAGAGAAAGAAAGAAAGGAACAAAGAAAGAAAGAAAGAAAGAAAGAAAGAAAGAAAGAAAGAAGGAAGGAAGGAAGGAAGGAAGGAAAAAAAGAAAGAAAGAAAGAAAGAAAGAAAGAAAGAAAGAAAGAAAGAAAGAAAGAAAGACAGAAAGAAAGAAAGAAAGAAAGGAAGAAAGAGAGAGAAAGAAAGGAAAAACTCCACAGGTTACTCGTTTCTACCTTATCTTACATGAAGTGCCAATTTACCGAGAGCAAGACAATACATAATCGACTATTCCCCTACCTGCTACTTTTCCCTTACAACACGTGGATTACCATACTCTTCCTCTTTCCCCTCCAGCCTGCTTTTCCTCTAAATATTGAAACCCTCAAATTCATCTTTGGAGAAAGTCACAGACCACATACTGTTTCTGTGATTCTGTGTTGTTTTCTTCCAGGCATGTCCTTAACCTTGGCAAAATAAACTTCTAAATTAATTGCCACCTGTCTCAGATACCCTTGGTTTTACAGTAAGAATTCACATGCTTACATAGTAACTATTAATTTTGGTTTCTTAGTGTGTTACCTATATATTGTATGCCTTTGTTTCTAATGATATTTATAAAGTATTGATGCCAGCTCATTGTTATCACATTGCCAGTTAAAAAAAAAACTAATTTTTAACCTAAAAATTAGATAAGAGCTGGAGATGGATCTGGGGGTAGAACGGGGGCAGTAGTAAAAGCACGCGTCAGAGTGGGTGGGGCTGTCGAAGGTTTCTGAAGACCACAGAGTGTGATAACAAGGTTTTACAGTGTCATTTCCTTAAGTATTAAAGTATTACAGCCTGCTTCCTGAGAAGGCATTTGGGAAAGAGTCCCCAGAAAGGGGCCCCAGGAGAGATTCCAGAGAAACTCGTGTTTTGGAGATGTTGAGGGTGAACAAATGGTAATGAGGATGATGACAGAACGCAAGAAAAGAGAACTAGCATTCACTGGACACCCACGATGTACCAAGCACTTTGCTAACCCTCATATTCTCTTTTACTTTCCAAAAACCTGTAGTACTGTGGTTCTCAGCCAGGGGCAATTCATCCCCTGGGGAACACTTGCTAATATCTGGGGGCATATTTGTTTTCACAACTGGGAGTGCCACTGGCATCTAACAGGTAGAGCCCAGGAGTGCTGCGGAACATCCTACAATGCTCAGGGAAGGTCCTCACAAGAATAATTTGGCCCACAATGTCCATAGTGCTCAGGCTGAGAAACCGTGCTTAAATGGTAGGCACAATAATCTTCACTTTTACAGATTGGAACCTGACACTCTGAGAAGCCACCTGGCATTCAACCCGAAACCTAACACAGCTCCAAAGCCCATGCTCTTTCACCATGCCGTTGCAGTGAGAACAGGGATGGAAATGAGGGTGGCAAAAATGACCAAGATACAAAACCAGGGCACAGATTGGTGCTCAATAGATACTTATTGGGATATTCATTAAATAGAAGAATGAATAAGAAAAAGAATGAATGAGGGCAGGGGAATAATGAGGATGAGTGTGGTCATTCTATTGCCATCCTGACATACCTCCTTGTCCTTGTTCCACAACTCAGCAGTGAGTCTGGGATTATGACAATAGAGAAAATTAAATGATGGTAGGTGGCCTGGAGTCCCCATGCTCAATTTCAAGAAGCATCCAGATTCCAGGGCCTGGGTCTCCAAATGGAAGTAGAAGTACTAGAAGATTGCTGGTGCACGCTGTCCTGCATCACCCTTTCTCAGGAGGATAGAGACTGAAACAGGAGGTTCTGAGCTGAGTTTTGGTGACCATTTCCCTCTTTCTCCCAGAGGCCCAGGCCAGCTGTGGCCTCAGAGGAAGAAGAAGGGAGTTGTTTCCCTAGTTTCTAAAATTTCTGTGAATTTGAACATGGGCTACACCAGATTTATTCTGGGAAGCTCTGAATCTTCTAGGAGGGAAAGACTGAGAGGAAAGAGGGTGGAAAGGGAGGAGCCTGTGATAAAACAGAACATTTCTTTTTCACTTCCCCTTTCAGACTCCAGAATTTGTTTGCCCTCTAGGGTAGAATCCGCCAAGCTTTGAGAGAAGGCTGTGACTGCTGTGCTCTGGGCGCCAGCTCGCTCCAGGGAGTGATGGGAATCCTGTCATTCTTACCTGTCCTTGCCACTGAGAGTGACTGGGCTGACTGCAAGTCCCCCCAGCCTTGGGGTCATATGCTTCTGTGGACAGCTGTGCTATTCCTGGGTGAGTCAGGGCCCCCAGGAGGGAGAGAGGAACGGGAACCTCAGTTGGGGATAACCCTGGGCAAGGATGAGGGGTGGCATGGGAAGACCGTCAGGACACCCAGGGGAGGGAAGGCAGGCTGGTGAAGATGAAACCCTGATGACTCTGCTGGCTTTGGAAAGTCATCCAATGTGGCAGAGTTCAGGGTTTTTTCAGTGTCTTTCACCCAATCTTACTGAACACCCAGACTCTTGATGTTCTGTTGCTTTCCACATCAGAACCCGCTCTGAGAAAAGTCTAGTAACCTATACTTGAATGATAAATGAATGGCCAGAGTGTTTGCCTTCTTTGAAATTTATGCTTCACAAAAGACCAAATCTTAGGCAGGAGGGCCAGTGCTGCCTTGGGTAAGGGGTAGGGAGGAAGTTGTAAGATGCATTTTTGGGAGGAGGTGGCGGTGGCCATTCTCTGTGCCCCTGAAACCACTTTGTGTAGCAGAAGCCTATTGTCTTCATGTGTAAGAATATTCCCCTAGGCAGAAGCACAGGGAGATCTGGGTTATCCAGGGAAAAGGGACTCTGAGAATACAAAAACCTGGGTAAGTCTGGAGTCATCTGTTGTGGGACCAGAGAAATCATGCATGCTGCTTTTGACCACACAGACCATGATGGGGAAGTACTGCATCTGATCAGCAAGAGAGACAGGGTCTTTGGCCAAAATGGAGGGCTCTTTTCTAACCATGTTCTCAGCTGTTGGATAGGGGACGACGACTGATTTTGCTGAGTGGTTTGAAAAGCCTAGGGGAGGCCAAGTAGGGGAGACTTACTGCCAGGACTATCTCTCCAAGCTCAGTTCCTGGGGCTTCCACCCTCACATTCTAGAGGAAAGCATATTGCCACTCAGCCAAGTTGTGTGATGTGATTACTAGTGAAACGTGATCAGCTCTGGGGGCCCTCGGCTCTTGGCTGTCAATGCAGGATGATACTGGGCTACAGGAGAAAGAGGTAAGGAAGACAGAGTATTCCCCCATGAATAGGATGGAATGGATTAAAGTAGAAGAGAAAGTGAAGTGAACTACCTCATTTGTCATGTGGGGAAGTTCAGGCCTAGAGAGGTGATGTGCTTCTCTACCACCTGGGCAAGACTCCTGGGAAAGATCTTTGGTATTTTTTCCCATTTGCCTTTTACTAAGTCATCAAAGATTTACCCCATTTTTTCCATTCTTATTGGGGCTGCCACATTTACGTCTTCATCACTTGATAACTCAATTTTTATAGCACCCTCTGATGGGGTCTTGATTGATCCTGTCTCCCCTCCCCTGCATCCATGCTGCCCACCAAGGCCACGGCATCTTCAGGTCCAGCTATGGCTGTGTCAGTGCATTTAATAAATGCCTTCCGTGCTGCTCCATTGCCCACTGCAAAAACTCTAATTCTGCCCTGCACACTGTGTTCTCCATTGCACCCCACATGAATCTTCTTCTACAGCCAGGCAGTATGTACACTGCACTTTCTGTTTTTACCACCTTTGCTCCTGCTGACTCTCCAAATTCTATGTGCAGGCACTGTTCTAGGACTTGGAGACTTATCAGTGAACATGACTGACAGCCTTCCTGACCGGAAATACGAGGTCAATGAACTTATTGTGAAGCAATAAGTACACCGGGTGGGAGGATATTTGGTATTTACTACTATTTATTAACTGTGGAATGGATACATAATTGGTGACTTCTCTCTCCTTTCCTCATCTTTTCCTTTTTTTTCTCTCGCTCTTCCTCTTCTTTTTTACTCTCTCTCCCACTACACCGTCCCCCTTGCCAATCCTACATACTCAGGTTTTTAGCTACCACTTCTATGTCAATAACTCCTAAACCTATTTCTCTTGCTTGCTTCTGTCAAGTATAATTTTATATTTCCACTGCTGGTTGGACACCTCTAAAATGATTCTCCAGCTCAAAAACAAAGCATATTCAAAATGCAACTTATCATCTCCTCCTTACAAATGTTCTCTTCCTCCTAACATTTGTATTTGCGTAAGCGCAGCCACCCTTTTCCTAGTTATCCAACTTAAATCACCCCCACAGTCTATTAAATGCCAACTTCTCTCTGCCACTTAAATTTCTTCTGCATCTGTTTCCTCTTCTTCACCTCCTATTGTCAGTACAACTTTGGGCTCTCTTATCTCCCACCTAGATTCAACCAGTGAATGATTTCCAGAGCAATGGCACATCAAATTAATATGGCTACTGCTCTCTTTGAATTTATATTCTACTGAGGGATATAAACGGTAAGTAAACAAACAAGAAGGCATAAGTACAAATGGAAAAGGGCTATGAAGATGTAAACGGGGTACTGTGATAAGATTAGTTGTGGGGAAGAGAAGAGAGCAGCCCACTTTAAACAGGATGTTATGTAAAGAGTTTTCTGAGGGGGTGACATTTAAGCTGAGACTTTCAACATGGTAAGGATTCAGCCATTTGGTGATCAAGGACGCATTTCAGGGTAGAGGGATTGGCATACAGAAAATCCCCAAATTTGAAGAATGCCAGGAAGGCCAGTGTTAATGAGGCTCAATGAGTAGGTGAAAAGGGATCTGAGCTGAGGCTGGAGAAGGAAGCACGGACCCAATTTGATAGGGCTTGCAGGCCATTTCCATTTTATTTTAAGACCAAAGAAAGGCAACTGAAGGCTTGTAAGTTGGGGAGTGATATCATCTGATTTCGTTTTTTTTTTTTTTTTAAGGAACTAGCTTCTTTATGGAAAATGGATTGTAGGGTGACCATAAGAAGTGAGGGGACAAATTAAGATATGGGAAAAAGCTGATGGTGACTTAAACTGAGTAGTGTCTATAAAGGGGGTGAAGAGAAGTTAGTGGGTGCAAGATCTAAGTTGGAAGCAGGATCAACAAGACTTCCTGGTGTGGAAGGGACTGGATTTTGGGAGACAGAGAGGTTAAAAGATGGCTTGCAGGTTTCTGGCCTATGTAGCTGGGTGGATAACGAAGATACATATTGACATGGGGAAGACGGAGAGAAACAGAATGTGTCCACTTGCTATGACAACATGAAGCCATTGGTGATTTTGACAAGAAAAGTTTTAGTGGACTGCTGAGGGCCGAGTCCAAATTGCAGAGAATTAGACAGTGAATGAGAGGAGAAGAAATCAGGACAGCCTATGTAAGAAAAACAATGGAGAAATTTAGTTTTGAAAGGGATGAGACAGGCCAGGCACAGTGGCTCATGCCTGTAATCCCAACACTTGGAGAGGCCGAGGTGGGTGGATCACTTAAGGTCAGGAGTTCAAGACCAGCTTGGCCAACATGGTGAAACACCATCTCTACTAAAAATACAAAAATTAGCCGGATGTGGTGGTAATACAAAAGTTAGCCGGGCGTGGTGGTGCATGCCTGTAATCCCAGCTGCTTGGGAAGCTGAGGCAGGAGAATTGCTTGAATCTGGGAGGCGGAGGTCGTAGTGCACTGAGATGGTGCCGCTGCACTCCAGCCTGGGTGAAGCAAACAACAACAACAACAAAAACCGAGAGAAATGGGGCAGTAGCTGGAATTATATGTGGTGTCAAGGAAAAGTTTTTTTTTGTTTTTTGTTTTTAATGGAAGA
This sequence comes from Homo sapiens, assembly GCF_000001405.40. Taxonomy (NCBI): domain Eukaryota; kingdom Metazoa; phylum Chordata; class Mammalia; order Primates; family Hominidae; genus Homo; species Homo sapiens. The sequence goes on from NC_000001.11 coordinate 161,585,145, forward strand.
TACTGAAATAAATTTACCATTGATGGGAAGATCCAGCTAAGAGAGAAACTGGTGATGCAGAGGAGAAAGTGAATAACAGAAAGGGAAATCTTTGAGAGGATTAAAGGGAATGGGATCCAGAGTACTTGCTTTGAGACTGACCATAGACAGGAGGAGAGATGCTTTCTCCAGTGAAATGCGAGGAAGGAGAAGACAGGTAGAGATGCAGAAAAGACTGGTAGATTTAGTCGGGGGACGATGTGAGATCTTCTGTGTAACCTCTTTTGTTTTCTCTGTGAAATATGAGGAAAGGCATCAGCTAAAAATGAGAGAGGACTGGAGGCAGAGGGTGGGATGAGAAAGCTTGGGGAATGAGGAAAAGATGAGTGTCACTACTCAGAGTAGCAGAGCAAATTTCTTGGAAAAAAGTGCCACAATGGCAGTTCAGTGTCCTTTTAAATGCGGTGATCGCACATTTACTGCGTCAACAGTTTGCCTTCTTGTGTGGTAATTTCAATAACACGCAGCTGAGCAAGTAAAGGCATGGCGAATACAGGTGCATTTGGTAGAGATAGAGAAAGGCAACGAAGTTAAGGGGATTTGCAAGGAGGTAATTATAATGATGCCTCATTGAATTCAAGCTAGATGGGGGAGGGTGGGAGGTAAAGGCAAACATGTGCTCAAGGATAGGCAGTGGTAAGATGGATGCTTTGGGGTTCTTGATAAGGTCAAAGATTATTCTGGTGGCTGTACTTGAGCAGAGAAAGTTCATCTCCAAAGAAAGAAAGTTTACTGATGATGAGCAGTTCAGGGAATGAAGAGGCCAGTTGTTTGATGGGTTATCCACATATTCTGGATCACTACAGTCATCTCTTTTTTTTTTCTTTTTCTTTTTCTCTGACCTCATTCTTCCATCACAATTAGTTTCTTTCTTAATTAAGCTCTTTGGCATTTGCCCTGTTCCAATCTATTTGACACTGCACTTTCAGCCCCAATTTGAAAATTCTAAGTGACTTCCCACTGTATACTGAACCAAGGAGTGAACTTATAAAAAAAAACTTAAATTTATTTGAAATTCACCATGTGTCATGTAGCACACTAAATGCCTTCTCTGGATTATCTCATTTAATCCTAACAACCACCCTATGAGGTAGATACTGCTGTCATTATCTTCATTTACAAGCAAGGAAACTGAAGCAGAGAAAAGTTAAGTAATTTGTGAAAGGTCACTTAGCAGTAGCGGAGTCAGCATTTAAACTCAGTATGTGCTTTCCCCCACTGCCACACCACCTGGCACTAGGAGCCCTCCAGAGTATGACTTCTACTTTGCTTTCCTGCTTTGTCCCTCATTATTGGAAGTGCTTGAGGAGAGACCAGAAATCAAGTAGAAGTTGGGCTGCAACTTGCTGGGAATGTTGCCAAGTACTTGCTGCTCCTTCCCATGGAATACCTTTTCCCTCTCAGCCAAAATCCTATCAGTCCTGGAAGGTCCTTGATGAACCTGAAAGGTCCCATCTTCTCCATAGGATTCCCCTCCTTATGAACCCCAAACCCTCCCAAACACAGAGCCCTGGGATCTTTTCTTTCTCTGAACCTCCATAGCATTTTATCCAAATTCCTCTAATGTCATCTCTTTTACATCAGATTACACATGTGCTTATCTCCACCGTTAGATTCTTGCCTTCAGTGGAAGTAGGGACTTAACGTTCTTTTCCCTTAGGTGAACTCAGCATGCATTGCAGGGCAGTAGGAAGCCAATGCAGGTTTGTTGATTAATTTTGGATGCAAAGGAAGGAAGTGATTGGTCCAAGTGTATATTTCGAGATATTGGAGCATCGGGACCAGAATCCAGTTCTGTAAACTTTGAAGCCAACACTTTCTCCACATTGCCCCCTTTTTACCTCTTGGTTCTGATTCCATTTCCTTCCGTACTTTTGTCCCTGAAAATATACATGCACTTGGAAGCTTCTTGACTTTCTCTCAGCCCAGATGCAAGAGAAAACCTTCACCCATGGACAGATGGACACACACACACATACACACACACACACACACAGAGCTCTGATTCACCTAAGGACCCAGCTTTGCTTCTTTACCCAATAACAGCACCCACAAATCTTTATCTACCCTAGCCCACACTTTGCCTCCACTACGGAAGCTCTTTTCTTAACCCAGTGGCATCCCCCTACCCCTGCATGAAGTCACAGATCTAGTGCCCTTTTGCAGTCTCTTCCTCCTTTTATCAGATATTTCTAATAGCAAAAATCTGGAAGACCTAAATGCCAAGCAAAAGAGTTGTTAAATAAATCACAGGACAGCCAAATAGTAGGATATAGTGTAGCCATTTAAAATGACAACATGGGCGGGGAACGGTGGCTCACACCTGTAATCCCAGAATTTTGGGAGGCTGAGGTGGGTAGATCACTTGAGGTCAGGAGTTCCAGACCAGCCTGGCCAACATGGTGAAACCCCTTCTCTACTAAAAATACAAAACTTAGCTGGGTGTGGTGGCGCGGGCCTGTAATCCCAGCTCTTGGGAGGCTGAGGCAGGTGAATCACTTGAACCTAGGAGGCGGAGGTTGCAGTGAGCCAAGATCGCGTTATTGCACTCCAGCCTGGTGACAGAGTGAGACCCTGTCCCCCCACAAAATGAAATAAAATAAAATAAAATGACAACATAGAAACAGATTCATCTTCTAGAACTTGCATTGCTCAGTGAAAAATCAGGTTAAAGAACAGTTTTTAGAGTATATCCTCATTTACACTTATGTATGTCTGTATGTGAACAGCGTGTGTCTGTGTGTGATCACAGAAAGAAATCCAACAGGATGTATGCCAAGGTGATAATATTTTGCTCCTGCGTATTTTCTATTTTTCTGTAGTGATCATGGATTACCTGTGCAATTTCTACCCCCTCCCAACAAAAGAACAAATCTTGCTCTCAGGATAAACTCTGGCAAAATTATTTATACTGATGCATAAATCATATGTAAAGCCCAACAGAGACCTCTTTCCAGAGGCATATTTATTTTAATCAGTCAAGAGGGGTAAGCCAAAGGAAAATGCCACAAAACAGGTGGAAGAGGGTGTTATATACTTTTATTTCATTTTTGTATGTTACTGGGAGTTCTCAGTCCTTTTAAAAGTGCAGCTCATCCAGGCAGTCCCAGGGGATATGGCCACGAGGGCTGTGCTGTAGGTGAAGGGCGCTCTGGGCCTGGGCAGTCTCTGGGCCAAAGTGGGCAGGTGTCAGTTCAGACACTCCACTGTGGGCTGATCTTTGCTTTCTGTCTTACAGCTCCTGTTGCTGGGACACCTGGTAAGTACTCCACCCACAGCCTTTCCTTCCCTCGGGTCCCCTTTTCCTCTCCTCCCAGTGCCCTGTCTGGAGGTGCTCTAAATGCACCAGCAACTGAGCCCAGTACCAAGTCAGGGCCAGGAAAGGGTAATTGCTCCCGAAAGATCCCCTCTCCCTCTTCCACTCTCCTCCTTCCTTTTCCTCCTTCCACGGAGGCAAGTGGTAGGCAGCCACGGTGTTCAAATGGGGGAGCTGTCACAGAAAATGAGAACTCTGATCTCTCTCTCAACTGCCTTCCGCTGTCCAAATAAAACCAAGGGCTTCCTCTCTCCAAATAAAATTCAGGCACATGCAAAATCACATGGCCTGCATATGTTGTCCCCCTGTGTTGCTAAATCCTTGACTGTGCATGTTTCTGAGAGCTCCAAGGCCTGTTCCCTGACAGAGTGGTCTCTGCATACCTCTGGCTACACTTTGCCGGGCACTTCTGTGTTTGTGCCACTCAGCCTCCACCGCTCCAGGACTGGCCCTCCGGCTTTTCTCCCTCTCTCTTTATCCTTCTGAGGCCAGAGAGGCTCGTGTATGCTTGGGTGTGAGGACGGGCCATCTTGACCTCGTTTTTAAAGTATACAGAATGACATTAGGTCAGAACGGAAACCTGATATCCAACTCCCATGCCTGCCATCTCCACCAGAGCCCCCACTTATCTTCAGCCAGCCCCAGGGGAAATTTATCCACTAGTGTCCAAATGCCTTTGTTTATCGGGGAGAAAAGTTAGTCTCGAAAGAGTATGTATGTATGGGGTGTCTGTGTGTCTGTGCTGGTGGGGAGAGGTTGGTGGGGAGAGAGAGAAGGAACTGGTGAAGATATCTCAGGTAAAGTATATGTATTTCGAGGGTGTTTCTCTTGCCTGCTCCCTCCTTCTTCCCTGTTGCCCTGTCTGAGTCCTGGGTTCCCTGGGGCCCTTGTGGTGGGATGTATGAGCAAAAGCAACTGCCTTCAGTTGCAGAACCATTCTGGGCCTGGCTCAGCTTTTGGTGCCCCCAGTAGGCCTACAGGTGCTTTTTTGTCTGAGATTCAGGGCCTCTCAGGCTCTTGGGCTTCCTCTTCCTCACACTACCTCCTCTCTCTGCCCCTCAGCAGCTCCCCCAAAGGCTGTGCTGAAACTCGAGCCCTAGTGGATCAACGTGCTCCAAGAGGACTCTGTGACTCTGACATGCCGGGGGACTCACAGCCCTGAGAGCGACTCCATTCCGTGGTTCCACAATGGGAATCTCATTCCCACCCACACGCAGCCCAGCTACAGGTTCAAGGCCAACAACAATGACAGCGGGGAGTACACGTGCCAGACTGGCCAGACCAGCCTCAGCGACCCTGTGCATCTGACTGTGCTTTCTGGTCAGTGGAGGAAGGCCCCAGGGTGGACCTGGGAGGGCCAGGATGGATGAAATCTGCTTTCAGGCAGAGGTTTGCAGGAAAGGAGGGTGGCCTGCTTACTGGGAAGTATCGCTGTGAGTTGCCTCAGCACATGTCAGTGGTTGCTTTGCCTCAGTCCTGATTGAACAGAAGAAGATTACAAGGCCAAAAACAGGCAGCCAAGTGTGAGAGAAGCAGAAGGAAATCCCTACTGCATAAAATCCATTTCCATTTTAATGGCAGAATTGAAAAGCACAGACCACAACTGAATCCTAGCCCTGGAAATGACTCACTATACAACATGATGAATTCATTTAACCCTTGAGTTTCCATTTCTTCACCTGCTCCGTGGGGCACTAACGCCTCCCTCAGAGGCTTCTGGTGAGAATCAGTGTTTCCCTGCCCCCGCCCCGCCCTCCATGCCCCTTCTCCACGTTCTCACTGTGCTAGGTGCTCTTCTCTGTCTTTCTCTTCCACCAGCCTGTGGGAAACCTGAGATGAAAGTCGTGTCTTACCCATCTTTGTATTTCCAGCATCTGAAACTGGGCAGAGCTTAATAAATATTTTGCTGGAGAGGTTGATGATCTTACAAAGCTCCCATTGAAAGGTGGCTCTCTGTAAAGCAAAGTTACAATGAGATTGTGATGAACATTGTCCTTGTGGCTTTTCACTTAGTCCCCTCCCTTCACCTGAAGAGCAAATTTTCCTCAAAAGTACACAGCAAACAAATGACCCACTGGTGACACTGCTGCCTTTAGACCCTGCTGGAAAGAATCTCCACATTTATTAACATTCCCAAAGTAAATTTATCAGGTAGCATTCATCAGGTAACATTTGTTGCACATTCATGACTTTTCTACTGTCCACAAAGGCATATGTCCTTATCATATGCAGACTCCTTGGCCACACTGGATTCCTCCTTCCCTCCTCGACATGGAAGAGATGGCATCTTAGGGTCTCTTGTGTTCTTCCTGAAGAGGCCTGTCGGGCAGGAAAAGGCTGCAGCTGCCTTCCTGGGAGAAGGAGGAGATGAGTGTATCCTGAACACCTATTATGTGCTAGGGGCTATTGTAGATACATGACATTATCATGCTCATTTTCACAAATGAGGAAACTGAGGCTCAGAAGACTTAAATTATTTGCCCAAGAGTTCATAAATGATAGAGCCAGCATTAGAGTCCAGGACTGTCTGATTTCAGACCTAAGCTGTTCCCTCTGCACATCATGTCCCACCAGTAAGGAAGATCTGGGTCTCAGAGCTGAGCCAAGACCTCCCGGGTCCTCTGGGGTTTTCTGTGTCTTTCAGAGTGGCTGGTGCTCCAGACCCCTCACCTGGAGTTCCAGGAGGGAGAAACCATCGTGCTGAGGTGCCACAGCTGGAAGGACAAGCCTCTGGTCAAGGTCACATTCTTCCAGAATGGAAAATCCAAGAAATTTTCCCGTTCGGATCCCAACTTCTCCATCCCACAAGCAAACCACAGTCACAGTGGTGATTACCACTGCACAGGAAACATAGGCTACACGCTGTACTCATCCAAGCCTGTGACCATCACTGTCCAAGGTATGAGGAGTCTGCCAAGATGTAGGGAGGGGAGAAGAGGGGATGGACAAGGGCTGAGGTCACATGGGCCTACATGGAGGTCTGAGAAAGGCCACAGCACAAAATTGGGCACTGGAGCAAAGAGGAGTGGTGTGGAGGCCTGGCTAAGTATTGACCAATGAGCAGGAGTAGGGGCCAGAGCTTGGAGCCCTCAGGTGATAGGTGACCAGGCTGTTGTTCCACTTTGAAATGCAGGCCCCAGACTAAGGACGGCAGCGAAGCAGAGCTCCCTCGTTGGTGCAGAGGTTCCCTAAGCTCCTGGGCATTCGTAAGAACTGAGGTTTGCCTTTATTCTTCTCATGGCTCATGTTATAGCCATTCACTCCAGAAAGCCTGGCACGTCATGGACTGTTCAAGGCTGTGCTCCATAGAGTAATGATGCCTCCAGCTATGCGAGGCTTTGGGCCCACCCTTCCCACTGCCCCTGAGGGCTAAGGGGAGCCCTTCCTTCTGCTCCTGCCTGCTCACCAGTGTGCCTTTATTAGTTCGGTGGAGAAACCTCGGTAGGCAGGAGGCATAAGTCCAGCCACAGAAACCCTGTGCAGATGAGGCTGGGGATGTAGTGAGTGCTGCAGAAGTGAGTGACTCAGACACAGAAGAGCTTCGGGTGACAAGCACTAGGACATAGCATTGGATGGGGGGGAGGTGGGACAAGGAGAGTACTGCCTGTCCTGATGTCTGTCTTCCCTAGCTCCCAGCTCTTCACCGATGGGGATCATTGTGGCTGTGGTCACTGGGATTGCTGTAGCGGCCATTGTTGCTGCTGTAGTGGCCTTGATCTACTGCAGGAAAAAGCGGATTTCAGGTTTGTAGCTCCTCCCGGTCCCTTTGGTTATCAGTTTCCACTTGGCCCAGGCCCTAACCCCAGACATTGCCAGAATCCCTCTCTTTGGGCTAGATACACATTCAGATCTAGGCCCGTATTGTATTATAGTCATTCATTCGTTTATTAGATCATTCATTTGACAAGACTTGAACAAACTAGCTTATGTGTCAGCCAATGCGTGAGACATGGTGGGTGATGCCAAGAGAAGTCCAGTCCCTGCCCTTGGGGAGTTCTCAGCATTGTGAGGAAGACAGGGTCATTATAATAAGATGGGATAAGAGCAATGATAGGGACATGAAAAGCCTAGGATAGAAGTACAGAGGAGGCTCCATAGCCCAACAAGGGCTGACGCAGTTGGAGAAGTTCTCAGGGAGAGCAGTGTAGTGTAGTGATGGAGTGCACATAGTGGGGCCAGACTGCCTGGGTTCAAATCTAGTTCTACAGCATACCAACTATATGACCCAAGTGAGTCACTCCACCTCTCTGTGCCTCAGCTGTCTCATGTGGAAAATGGGGACACTAACAGGACTTACCTCACAGGGTTGCCATGGGGATGAAAGAGGCTGATGCTCTTACACAGTGCCTGGTAGGCAGTAACAGCACACAAACAGGGCTGTTGCCATTCTGGAGGAGGTGGTGTGTGAGGGCAGCGCTTAGCTAGGGAAGGAGGACCCTCCAGGCACTGGGCCAAGGCAGGGATTGAAGCCGGGTGGGGCTCATATGGGTGTCGAAGGGGGAGAAGAGAGGGTACTGCAAGCCACCAAGAAAGAAAGAATCCCGCTAACACCTCACAAAGCACTTTTCAATTGGTTCATAGCCAACACCTCAGTTACTGATGATAAGTAAATACAGAGAAACAGAGAGAGAGAGACTGAGACACAGGGGTGTTTTTAAAAGGCAGAGCAAGCCTCAGACAGATGCCATGGCGTGGCCTTTCTGACACTCCTGGGCATCCCCATGGGTGAGCTGAATTCTGCCTCTGGACTAGCCCTTTTCCAGGCGGGAGCGGCCCCTGAGCAGGGGAGCTGGGGGTGGGAGGACAGGAAACATCTGCCAGAGGGAAGGCCTGAGCTGGTCCCATCCAACCCTGGCCCTGGTCCTTGGTCCTGAGGACTCAGGCCCCACCGCCTAATCCTACTAACCTCCTGTGTGCCCCTCCCAGCTCTCTCAGGATACCCTGAGTGCAGGGAAATGGGAGAGACCCTCCCTGAGAAACCAGGTGAGTACAGGTTGTCTCAGGGATTCAGTGATGGCTCACCAGGGCTGCCGGCTGGACTGCAGCCAGCGAGAAGGGGCTTGTGCGAGTTCAGCTGGGAGCCAGGGAGGGAGCAGCGGTGGGAGGATGGCCGGGGCTCAAATCGCTTGGTTAGCTCTGAGTCTAACTCCTGGGCCTAAAGATGACCTCTCTGGAGATGAGAAGAGAAACACCAGTCCCAGATACAGAGGAGAGGGCTGTGTCCGAATTTCTGGTACCAGGAATCTGATGATATTTCCAGAGCAAGAAATCAGAGATACTTTGGTCTTTCTGTGGAGCTTTGGCAGAGCTGGCAGAGGATGGGGTTAGGGGCTGTAAGACTGAGGCCAATCGGACGTGGGAGGCAGGAGTCTAAGGGGAAAGGAGGAGGAGGCCTGGAAACCCCTCAATTTGCTGAGGAATCTGCCTCTGTGGAGGGATGGGGTGGAGTGGCCAGGCTCAGCTGTCTGTGGAACACTAAGAGGAGGTTTGGGCTTGAGAAAATTCTGGGGGGCTAGGGGCACTAGTGGGCTCTACTCTGTGGGCAAAGCTCGGTTCCAATGCCCATGCACTCAAGGTTGACTGAATTTTGGCCTGGTTCTGCCCCCATCACACAGTGGAGCCCTGAGCAAGTCAGTCTCCCTGATGGGGTTCAGTCTCCTCACTGAGGAAATGAGTGGGTGGCCAGGGTGACCTCTCAGGCCTTCTAGGTCTGACATTCAGGTGGGAGTGTGTAAAGGAACTTCCAGGAGGATGCCAGGTAACTTCCAGACTGTAGTTAAAGTCAGAGCATAAAGGAAACCAGAGCTTTCTCCGGGGGTTTCCATGACAGTAGGAACAGGCAGGAAAAAGGCTGTCAAAGACCCCACCTCAGATGGCTGGAGTATGATTCAGAGCAGAGCCAACAGATTTAAGAGCTTGAGCAAAATATCACTTGTTCAGCTGTGCTTGCAGCAAGGTTGCACGTCCGCTGGCCAGGCCCAGTGGTGATAGGGGCCTGTGTTCACACCAGGGCCAAAACAGATCTGGAAAATACAAAGTCCAAGCAACTGGATTATCCATCTTGTTGTGTGGTTCTGTCTGCACTGGCATAAGCACATTTCATGAGGCATTTTTGCAGCCAGGCATTGGGGCTGCATAAATGGTTTCTTAAAAATCCTTTCCCAAAAGGCAAAGCTGGTTTGCTGGAATTGTTGGGGAATGTATTAGAATGGGAATTCAGAATGTGGTTTGCTGCAGAATTTACAGCATGGCAATAAAGGCTCTCTGTGTTCAGGGGGTGAGAGAAGAGACTAGATGCATTGTGTCAGATGTCTCCCGACTTCCTGAGAAATGCCACTTTGCAAATACTGGGGCTGCTTTTCACACTGGCCAAGTCAGTTTATGACAAAAACATGAGGCAATTAGGTGTGTTTTGGACACTAACCAGAGAAAGTCCTTCCTTCCCTCCCTTCCTCCCTCCCTCCTTCCCTCCCTCTCTCCCTTCCTGCCTTCCTTCCTTCCCCCTTCCCTCCCTCCCTTTCTCCCTCCCTAAGCTCCCTCCCTGCCTCTCTTTTTCTCTCTCATGTTACTTTCTCTTTCTGTCTTCCTTTTTAATGCCATGGAGTACTATATTCTTCAAAGTTCCAACAAAGATGCACTACATTTGGACAATGTGGAAATGGCCCTCAGCCTTCTCTTCCTGATGTGGTCAGCAAAAATCTGGACTTTACTTCACTCTGATGCTGAACACCCTGCTCCACATCTTCCCCAGTATCTCAGATCCCCAAGCTGTCTGGTTTGCTTCTAGGAAAGCTCAGCAATTCCCTGAAAAGAGTGTGGCCCAAGTGACTGCTTCCCTCCACCAGTGTGGCCCGTGGGGAAGGCTGTGGCTGGGTGACCCCAAGGGTGGGTACATGAGGCCATATTTACTTAGCCCTTGGCCTTACAGGACTGTGTCAAGGGGTCAGTAGTCCTTGCTTTGAGTCTGGTTATGGTTTTGCAGCCTCAGCATCAGCGTGGGCAGGCCCTTTTCAACAGCAGTGCCCTGGCTAATCCTTTTCTTTTTCCCCACAGCCAATTCCACTGATCCTGTGAAGGCTGCCCAATTTGAGATGAGTAATCCCAGCCATCTCCTTTTCTTCCTGCCTTGTCCCTTCTCTCCTGTTTCCTCTCTTTTTGCCTTTGTTAATGCAAAATTAAAATGGAGACTGGGCCTGAAAACTCCTGAGCAAACAAAGCCACCCGGGCCTTAGAAATAGCCTTATCATTGCTTAAACTGCAAACATAAGTGAAACTCAAGTTGGATTGTAACTAAAAATAGGTAATACTTAACTTGGATCATTTCTGGTAAATATTTATGTTAGACAGAAATAAGATTTAACCCTAGCCAATCGTAAGCAGCCAACTAACATAATTATGTGACTAAGAACACTTCAATAAGGTACCTCACCCAAAAGACAATTATGTAACTGCAAACCTATCAAATTTCTTTATTTTACTTCCACATTTTCCCAATTAATACCTGTCTCTGACTTTCTGTCATTAAAACATTAGACCTCTTTTGGTTTGGTGTCACCCAATTCATGAATTGCTTCTTACTCAAATGAACTCTTTAAAATTGTATTGTGCCTTAGATTTTTCTTTAACAGTTTGGTGTCAGAAGTAGGATATAAAGTAGAATCTCCCCCAAAGATCCCTAAGAGCAATGGGTGACCAGGCATAGGTACCCATTAAGCCCATTGTGTTCACTGGTTTCTTCCTGCATTTGTGAGTCACTAGGTAAGTCCCTCTCAGATATCAGGCTTGCAACTTGTGTCCTGAGCTCTCTGAGTTTATTTGAGTAATTTTATTTCTCATTTGATTCAGCGGTTAATCTGGGTATTTGACAAGTTCATCTGTTTCCAACAGGAACTATACTAGGTCCAGTATAGTGTACTAGTTTCCAGACAAGGTCTGATTTCTGGATTGGGATCCAGAGGTCAAATTGGGTACTTGACAGATTGAACTAGGTGTTCAACAGAAACTGAACTGGGGGTCCAGTTGCAGTCCTCAGGTAGGTAAATTTCAGAAGGGCAAGATATTATGGCTTTGTCAGAATGTACAGAGTCTGGGACTCCTCCATCTGAAACACAGTGATTTCTATGTTCAGATAATATGGGCCCAGAACCTGTGACTTTCTAGAGAAATAGGTGTGCCTTACCTATTGAGCCTTACCAGAGATGACTTAAAGTTGCAATGGTCACAGTGAGGATATTTAAATCTAGAAAAAATTGTTCATTTAAGGGATGTATTGGGAAAAAATGAGATCCCAAATGTCTCAGAAACAATGATAAATAATTTTGATTGGTATGTAAAGGTTTCTAAAAGAATGATTTAAAAAAATAGTCTCTCTAAGTAAATCTTTACAATGTGCTAATAAGAAAGTATTCTAAACCTATTAACCTCTTTGATTGCTTGCTTTTTCCATCTGAACCTACTCAATGCTAACCTCCTTAAAAAATTAGATCCTCAAATGAGCCAGGAGTATCTACAACAACTAAATTTAACTCTTGTTATTGCACACATGAACTATTATAAAAGCAACCACTAAGGCTAAAAATAATAAAAACTAACTGGAAATAGGCCAGATAAACTAGATGTCTCCTTAGTCACTCATTTAAAATTTAATCCAGTCTCAATAAGATTGACTCCTAATAATAGGTGAAAATGCCCCAAAACTCCTTCTTGGAGAAGCTTCGTACCCTTTCTCCGGGCCTTTGAATTGTGTAAATGTTTTTAAAACACAAGCTTCAGCGAAATGACTCATCAAAAAGAAAGAAGGAGGAATTTTTTAGAAACAAACTGGCAAATGAAAAATCTTAATAGTCCTCTCCACAAATATCAATAAAAAGTGTCAGCCATCTGAACAGCTAACTTTAACTAGAGGCTAGATCCAACTAATTAGTTTTATATTATTATACCTGGCACATGGCTAAAATTTCAGAACAAAAGCCATGAATTTCTGTTTGCATCTTTCTGTATGTTTACATATATCTACACATGTGTATGCTATTTGTACATATTATTCTATCTCCAGATGGTATTTATTAGAAACAGTATTAAAGGAGCTCAACTGGCCTAGAGAAAAATAAGCACTTATATAAATTACATATTTTCTCAGAAGAAAAGAACTTTGCCAAAATGCTTTTCAACTTCATATGACCTGAGTAATCTTTTATAAATAAGAATATTGGCATTAATGAAAGTGAATATTCTACCTAGTTTTACCCAAATAAGCTCATGTTGTCTGCTATACAATTTGTCAAAAAAATACCTTGAGATGACAGGTAGTTGGTTTTGTTAATATTATGTTTGCCACTTTAACTATGTTAAATGAAATGACAGGTATTCATTAAATATCTACACCATTTCCAGATAAGACAAACTACTAAAACAAAAATAAAAAAGTGTTCCACTTATCTTTTTCTCTCTACCTGATTGTTTCAGAATTTGGAAACTCTTATTAAGTATTTTTATTTTCAATCTGGGTGTTTGCATAGGTTCAATAAGAATCTATTCTCCTTATGACAGGACATAATTGGGCAAGTCCTTGGCTTGGCTTCTTAGCCTAGAGAGGCTTTTAAAGGTCTAATCTGAGATTTCTCAATTACTAGATAGTTTTTAAAAACTAAAGTTGACTGATAACAAAGTCAGTAAAGTCTCTTGGATATCACCAAAGCTGTGGCTAAAATATATTTTAAAATTACTGTTTTTATTATACCTATATAAATAATCAGGTCAAAATTAATGAAACTAGATTTATTTTTGCAAAAAAGTCAACTTTGATTTTTGGTAAAAATGGAAAATAAAAATATTTTTCTCCAGAATAAAAAAGATTATATTTTAGTAGAAAACTATTGTGCATCCATTGTCAAATTCTAGGCCTGTTCATTTTCTTTGAAGTTTTATTATCTCCCTATAAACCAGATTGACTCCTGAATTTTTGTTTTTTAGTTCCACTAGAAACTAAAACTGCCCTTTTCCAAAGCTCTGCAAACTGAAACTGGTGACTTTAAGCTTCAGAAAAATCACTGCAACAGAGCACTTATGCCTTAATGCCAATCTTAATGCCTGCTGCTATCTGGGTCACTCAGAGAGTTTACCAGAATGTTTAATGAAATAACCAGAGACATTCAAATTGCAAACCAGTAAAGCACATCACATTGCAACTGCTATCTTCAGTCTACCATTTAAACTTGCCTCAAACTCACCTCTAGAAATTGTTTCACCTAGCTGCCCTCTAAACTCAAAAACTAAGATCATAATTTGCTCCAAATATTAACTTTGTTTTTTTAATAGAAGAATACTCTGAATTCCTTTCAAGCAATACAATCTAAAATGAGCAAGTTAGCCTCAATAGCACCCCAAAATAGAAGTTCTTGGTATCTTAACAGCTTAACAAGGAGGAGCTTGTGTTCCTACTGATGTCAAAAGAAATGCTTAAAGATCTCAGTTGGCTTTATGGTGATTCTAGAACTGGGCAATACTTGCCACCTTAAATTAGAATAAGGTTTCCAATGAGTTACAGCAGAGGAGATTGGCTTCATAGACAGAAAAAGGTCTGAAGAAAGCAGAAACAAAGAATTTAAAGTGGATTGGCTATTTTAAAGCTGGTTAAAGTTGCAAAAGACAGGAATAGGGAAACAGAATAATAAATAACTGGTTGGTTAACATCAGGTTACTCTTTTGTAAGGATGCCAATTGAAACTGGCCTGTTTGGAAAATTAGATTTTTAGGTTATTAGGTTATTATCTCTCTCTCCTGATTTTTCCAAAGGCCAGATAAGAATGTAGTTTCTGTTTGGTGACTTGAAACTTTATCGTGGGTGATTCCATTTTGAATTTTAGTCTGTTCTGTTTGGGCCTAGTGCAGGAGCTTAGTGCAAAACAATAGCCTCCTAAAATTTAAAAGACTTTAAAGAACATACATGAGTTTTTCATCAGATAATATTTATTTGTATTCATTAATTTATTTGATTGGTTAAGTCTTGGCTCCCGAGAATCTTTGCTCAGAGGAATTTTTCAATCCTTGGCTATTATTCTCCTTATAGTTATTGTATTTACCTCCCCGGTGTATTGAATTATCCTATGGGTTTTAAATGCTTTCCTGCACCCACCTGGACGTCAAATGATTGCCATCAGAAAGAGACAACCTGAAGAAACCAACAATGACTATGAAACAGCTGACGGCGGCTACATGACTCTGAACCCCAGGGCACCTACTGACGATGATAAAAACATCTACCTGACTCTTCCTCCCAACGACCATGTCAACAGTAATAACTAAAGAGTAACGTTATGCCATGTGGTCACACTCTCAGCTTGCTGAGTGGATGACAAAAAGAGGGGAATTGTTAAAGGAAAATTTAAATGGAGACTGGAAAAATTCCTGAGCAAACAAAACCACCTGGCCCTTAGAAATAGCTTTAACTTTGCTTAAACTACAAACACAAGCAAAACTTCACGGGGTCATACTACATACAAGCATAAGCAAAACTTAACTTGGATGATTTCTGGTAAATGCTTATGTTAGAAATAAGACAACCCCAGCCAATCACAAGCAGCCTACTAACATATAATTAGGTGACTAGGGACTTTCTAAGAAGATACCTACCCCCAAAAAACAATTATGTAATTGAAAACCCATCGATTGCCTTTATTTTGCTTCCACATTTTCCCAATAAATACTTGCCTGTGACATTTTGCCACTGGAACACTAAACTTCATGAATTGCGCCTCAGATTTTTCCTTTAACATCTTTTTTTTTTGACAGTCTCAATCTGTTACCCAGGCTGGAGTGTAGTGGTGCTATCTTGGCTCACTGCAAACCCGCCTCCCAGGTTTAAGCGATTCTCATGCCTCAGCCTCCCAGTAGCTGGGATTACAGGCATGTGCCGTCATAACCAGCTAATTTTTGTATTTTTTATTTTTTTTTTTAGTAGAGACGGGGTTTCGCAATGTTGGCCAGGCCGATCTCGAACTTCTGGCCTCTAGCGATCTGCCCGCCTCGGCCTCCCAAAGTGCTGGGATGACCAGCATCAGCCCCAATGCCCAGCCTCTTTAACATCTTCTTTCCTATGCCCTCTCTGTGGATCCCTACTGCTGGTTTCTGCCTTCTCCATGCTGAGAACAAAATCACCTATTCACTGCTTATGCAGTCGGAAGCTCCAGAAGAACAAAGAGCCCAATTACCAGAACCACATTAAGTCTCCATTGTTTTGCCTTGGGATTTGAGAAGAGAATTAGAGAGGTGAGGATCTGGTATTTCCTGGTCTAAATTCCCCTTGAGGAAGACGAAGGGATGCTGCAGTTCCAAAAGAGAAGGACTCTTCCAGAGTCATCTACCTGAGTCCCGATGCTCCCTGTCCTGAAAACCACAGACAATATGGTCCCAAATGACTGACTGCACCTTCTGTGCCTCAGCCATTCTTGACATCAAGAATCTTCTGTTCCACATCCACACAGCCAATACAATTAATCAAACCACTGTTATGAAAAGATGTAGCAACATGAGAAATGCTTATGTTACAGGTTACATGAGAACAATCATGTAAGTCTATATGACTTCAGAAATGTTAAAATAGACTAACCTCTAACAACAAATTAAAAGTGATTGTTTCAAGGTGATGCAATTATTGATGACCTATTTTATTTTTCTATAATGATCATATATTACCTTTGTAATAAAACATTATAACCAAAACATTCTGTTTACCTTTTCAGGGCTGTATTGATTGGGGTGTAGACTGAACTATCCGGGGTCTGTTTCTTTTCGGTGATGAAAGTCTTGAGAAGGTAGTAATGGATAAGATGTGAAGGAGAGGAGAGATGGAGATTTGGAGTGTAGGGTGAGTGCCCCTCTTCTTAAAACTGAATACTCTTCTTCTAATGAACTTGTATTCTTGTTTCCATGTCTTCTTGCCTTTCCTTCTATGGCAAATAAAACACTCACTTTGTTTTGGAACACAAGTTCTCAGAAAGGCAAACTTTAGGTGAATCGTCAGTGGAGACTGCTGACTTCCTGCACTGCTATTTTCCCAGTGCAGTTACCAGAAGGATGTGACCTTCTCAGAGAAGTCATTCCAGGCAGATTAGAAACATGACCCACAGTCTCCTTGATGGTTTGGTGAGTGCCCTTAAAGAGCCTTCCATTTTCCTGGGACACAGCATCACTGTGCACAATTCTTGCATTTGAAAAGTAGCAGCTTTCTCTGTTGGATAGTTTACATCGATTTTTAAGGAGGCTATGGAGCTTCCACCCACCCTTCCAAACTCTATGTATTAGTCTGTCTCTATGTATTAGTGTGTTCTCATGCTGCTATGAAGAAATACCTGAGACTGGGTTATTCATGAAGAAAAGAGGGTTAATTGGCTCACAGTTCCTCATCGCTGGGGAGGCCTCAGGAAACTTACAATCACAGCAGAAGGCAAAGGAGAAGCAGTCACCTTCTGCACATGATGGCAGGACAGAGTGAGTGCAAGCAGGGAAGGTGCCAGACACTTATAAAACCCTAAGCTCTCGTGAGACTCACTCACTATTATGAGAACAGCATGGGGAAACCGTCGCCATGACCCAGTTACCTCCACCTGGTCCCACTTTTGACAGATGGGGATTATGAGGATGACAACTCAAGATGAGACTTTGGGTGGAGACAGAGCCAAACCATATCACCCTAGACAGAGGCTCCTCAAATATGTAAAGCCTTGTTAAATCCTGCTTTTACATTAAAATGCACCCAACAATCTGACTGCTTCTCAGTATTCTACTCCTACCACCCTGGTCCAAGCCACCATCATTTCTCACTTGGATTACTGCAATAGCCTCCTGACTGGCCTCCCTGCACTCACCCTTGCCATCCTATAGTCTATTCTCACCACAACAGCTATTGTGATCTTTTAAAAATGTGTCATATTTGTCACTTCTTTTCCCCAAATCATATACTATCTTCTCCTTGTGCTTGGAGTAAAGGCTAGAGCTTTTGCAATATTCTACAAGATGCTACAGGATCTTGCTCTTCACTCTCTCTGACCTCATCTCCTACTGCTTTTTCTTGCTTGCTGTTGGTCACTCTTGCTCTTCCTTGAACGTGCCAATTATACTTCTGCCCAGAGCCTATGTTATTTCCTGTTTCTGGAATGTTCTTTCTCATAGACCCACATTATGCCTCATTATGTCCTTTAGGTCTTTACTCACATGTCACCTTATCAGTGAGGTCTCCTTGATCATTCGGTATAACCCGTCGCCCTCCCATACTCTTAATGTCCCTTTCCTTCTTCATTTTTCTCCATTGTGCTTATTACTACTGATGTACTATTAATATATGTTTACTGTTTGTTTTGTGTCTGACTTCCCCACTCCTCTCATTAGAATGCGAGCTCCAGGAGAGGTCTTTGTCTGTTTTGTTCACTACCACATACTCAGAGCCCAGGTCAGTGTCTGGTGCATGGTAAAGGGCTTAATAAATATGTGTGGAATGAGTAAATTCTTTGACGTTTGAAATCAGAGACTTTAAACTGGAAAGTCCTTAGAAACAATGTAGTCCAATCTCTTCATTTTAAAACGGAGGAAGCTGTGGCCCAGACAGGTGAAATGACTTGTTCAAGGACAAACAGGTAGTGGATGTCACTGACCTTTATATATATATAGTTTGGATTATACTATAACTTTTGTTCTATAGTGAAATGGTTTGGCTATGTCCCCACCCAAATATCATCTTGAATTCCCACAACACATGGGAGGGACCCAGTGGAAGGTAACTGAATCATGGGGCAGGTCTTTCCCATGCTGTTCTTGTGATAGTGAATAAGTCTCATGAGATCTGATGGTTTTAAAAAGGGGAGTTTCCCTGCACAAGCTCTCTCTTCTCTTGTTTGCCACCATGTGAGACATGACTTTCACCTTTTGCCATGATTGTGAGGCCTCCCCAGCCACGTGGAACTGTAAGTCCATTAAACCTCTTTCTTTTGTAAATTGCCCCGTCTCAGGTACGTCTTTATTAGCAGTGTGAGAATGGGCTAACACATACAACTTGCTTTTTTTTTGTACTCAATATTGAGTCGTGAGCTTTGCACCACTTTACAATGTCTATTTAAGTCATTACTTTAAGGTCGATTCTATTTTTAAAGCTACTCTAACTAAGCTACTAAACATAAGTGGATATATTTAAGTGTATGTATAAAATTTATACTAGGCCAGCTGCGGTGGCTCATGCCTGCAATCCCAAAGCTGTGGAAGGTAGAGGTGGGATTGATTGAGGCCACGAGTTCAAGGCTGCAGTGAGCTGTGATTGCATCACTGTACTCCAGCCTGAGGGACAGAGCAGGAACCAGAAAAAAATAAAATAAAAAGAAACAAACAAAAAAACCCCCAATAACCCTGCAGTGGCTCTTTTACAAAAAACAAACAAACAAAACCAAAACTGTACTGCATGCATAAGCTCCCCTATGCTATGTTTGAACCACTCTGAAGAGATCAATTAAAAGGAAGTGAGTGACATTGGGAGCATGCCTCTGTGATGCTGTGGTAACATTCATAGGCTGCGTTAGGGCTATGCCTGTAACTCTTGGAGATGAGTGGGTAAGTGGGGTTTTGAGGTGGCTGGGGGCTGGAAGAGAAGGTTGGAGGAGCCCACACAAGACAGTCCCTTAACACGCCGGGGCACAGAACCCCAGGCTGGGCCAACTTTTCCCTGCTGAGGTGAAGACCCATCTCTTGCAGGCCGTCGGCAAACGTCTTGACTCTGGCATCCAGGTGTGACCAGCTTAGACCCTGAGAGTGAGTGAATTTAAAGCTGACAGCTTCTTTCCCTTTTGGAATTATGAAATAGGTTACTTCTTTTCAAGGACAGTTTGATTTTCCACTGTGGAAGTCATATATTGCACATTTCTTTAAACATTCCCTTTTTTCCTGAACTGATCACCTTACCAGTACAGCTGATCTCTCAAGCAGCAATCTCTACCAGCTGTCACTGGTGCTCTCGGAGAGAGGATTAACCAAGAAACCCAGCCCAGGAACAGTACTGACCTCTACTTCTGGACTCCTGCCTCCCTCTTAAAAAGTCCCTTGAACTTCCTAGTGGGTTCTAACCTGTCAAAGGAGAAAATAGCCACCTATGGAGTAAGGGTTTTTAGTTTCTCTTTTTACAAATGGAAGTTTCCTTTGAATCAGGCAAGTAACGTTAAATAGAAGCCAACTTTTAAGTTTCTCCTTATAACACACTGCTAAATTATAACACCAGACTGTACCACATACTCTCCAGCTGCCAGCTATTGCAGTTGCCATCCTTGTTACTATAGTGGTAAGTATCTCTGCCTGTCATGCATGAGAGAGGGGGTCGATTCCCTGACGGGGAGGTTACGGAAAATTGTGTGGGGATTTTGTCAACCTTCAAAAGTCTCAGAAATGTCTCCTTGTTTTGGCTTTCAGCGGAAATCCGAACGCCAGAAGATCTGAATGGAATGTTCTGGATTGAAGAAAGTGGGAAATGGCCTCAATTCACAAAGTCACAGCCTGATAGAAACCAGTGTGACTTTACTGCCCAGTGAACCCATCTCGTCCTCCAGCCTTTAGGAGGTAGGTTGGACTGGAGCCTGCAGTAGTTTACTCTCCACCTGAGTCCTGGTCTCCGGCTGGGAACCCACTTAGGCCATAGAGAAAAACGCACACTGTGCCTCTCCACCGGGCCTCTGGAGACGAGGCTCCTCGGGGATACAAACAGTGGGGAGAACATGAGGGACATCCTGACCGTACACTGCGTCCTCCTTTCCCAGGTGTTGCGTTCTCTCTTGGGTTGAGTGGCGAGGTCTCTCCCGAGTCCCAGGGCCACAGTGCAATGTCACATCTCCTTTGTGGAAAGTGACTGGTAAAAGAGAACAAAACTGGAGGAACCTAAAGTCTTCGGCCACCTGGTTTAATTTATTCAAGAGTGATTAATCCTAGATGAGAAAAAGAATTGAAATGGATCGGAAAAAACCAAGCGTGCATTGGCCGGTAATCGGACGCGGGCCTCCCGCGTTGCGGGCGAGAAGTCTACCACTACACCACCAATGCTAATGTCGATGAAAGAGCTGCAGTGTCATCTCTTAAAGCTGATTATCTCTGGCCATTCCTTAAGGAAACAGGCACTGTCTTAAATCGTGGTTTGGAAAATATTTTGTTCAAGATAAAACTGTTTTAAGATATATGTATATATATCTTATATATCTGTATTCGCATGGTAACATATCTTCGGCCTTCCTGAGCCGCTGGGCTCTCAGCGGCCCTCCAAGGCAGCCCGCAGGCCCGTGCTCGCCTCAGGGATCCGACCTCCCACAGCCCCGGGGAGACCTTGCCTCTAAAGTTGCTGCTTTTGCAGCCTCTGCCACAACCGCGCGTCCTCAGAGCCAGCCGGGAGGAGCTAGAACCTTCCCCGCGTTTCTTTCAGCAGCCCTGAGTCAGAGGCGGGCTGGCCTGGCATAGCCGCCCAGCCTCTCGGCTCACGGCCCGATCCGCCCGAACCTTCTCCCGGGGTCAGCGCCGCGCTGCGCCGCCCGGCTGACTCAGCCCGGGCGGGCGGGCGGGAGGCTCTCGACTGGGCGGGAAGGTGCGGGAAGGTTCGCGGCGGCGGGGTCGGGGAGGTGCAAAAGGATGAAAAGCCCGTGGAAGCGGAGCTGAGCAGATCCGAGCCGGGCTGGCGGCAGAGAAACCGCAGGGAGAGCCTCACTGCTGAGCGCCCCTCGACGGCGGAGCGGCAGCAGCCTCCGTGGCCTCCAGCATCCGACAAGAAGCTTCAGCCATGCAGGCCCCACGGGAGCTCGCGGTGGGCATCGACCTGGGCACCACCTACTCGTGCGTGGGCGTGTTTCAGCAGGGCCGCGTGGAGATCCTGGCCAACGACCAGGGCAACCGCACCACGCCCAGCTACGTGGCCTTCACCGACACCGAGCGGCTGGTCGGGGACGCGGCCAAGAGCCAGGCGGCCCTGAACCCCCACAACACCGTGTTCGATGCCAAGCGGCTGATCGGGCGCAAGTTCGCGGACACCACGGTGCAGTCGGACATGAAGCACTGGCCCTTCCAGGTGGTGAGCGAGGGCGGCAAGCCCAAGGTGCGCGTATGCTACCGCGGGGAGGACAAGACGTTCTACCCCGAGGAGATCTCGTCCATGGTGCTGAGCAAGATGAAGGAGACGGCCGAGGCGTACCTGGGCCAGCCCGTGAAGCACGCAGTGATCACCGTGCCCACCTATTTCAGTAACTCGCAGCGCCAGGCCACCAAGGACGCGGGGGCCATCGCGGGGCTCAAGGTGCTGCCGATCATCAATGAGGCCACGGCAGCAGCCATCGCCTATGGGCTGGACCGGCGGGGCGCGGGAAAGCGCAACGTGCTCATTTTTGACCTGGGTGGGGGCACCTTCGATGTGTCGGTTCTCTCCATTGACGCCGGTGTCTTTGAGGTGAAAGCCACTGCTGGAGATACCCACCTGGGAGGAGAGGACTTCGACAACCGGCTCGTGAACCACTTCATGGAAGAATTCCGGCGGAAGCATGGGAAGGACCTGAGCGGGAACAAGCGTGCCCTGCGCAGGCTGCGCACAGCCTGTGAGCGCGCCAAGCGCACCCCGTCCTCCAGCACCCAGGCCACCCTGGAGATAGACTCCCTGTTCGAGGGCGTGGACTTCTACAAGTCCATCACTCGTGCCCGCTTTGAGGAACTGTGCTCAGACCTCTTCCGCAGCACCCTGGAGCCGGTGGAGAAGGCCCTGCGGGATGCCAAGCTGGACAAGGCCCAGATTCATGACTTCGTCCTGGGGGGAGGGCTCCACTCGCATCCCCAAGGTGCAGAAGTTGCTGCAGGACTTCTTCAACGGCAAGGAGCTGAACAAGAGCATCAACCCTGATGAGGCTGTGGCCTATGGGGCTGCTGTGCAGGCGGCCGTGTTGATGGGGGACAAATGTGAGAAAGTGCAGGATCTCCTGCTGCTGGATGTGGCTCCCCTGTCTCTGGGGCTGGAGACAGCAGGTGGGGTGATGACCACGCTGATCCAGAGGAACGCCACTATCCCCACCAAGCAGACCCAGACTTTCACCACCTACTCGGACAACCAGCCTGGGGTCTTCATCCAGGTGTATGAGGTTGAGAGGGCCATGACCAAGGACAACAACCTGCTGGGGCGTTTTGAACTCATTGGCATCCCTCCTGCCCCACATGGAGTCCCCCAGATAGAGGTGACGTTTGACATTGATGCTAATGGCATCCTGA
This sequence comes from Homo sapiens, assembly GCF_000001405.40. Lineage (NCBI taxonomy): Eukaryota > Metazoa > Chordata > Mammalia > Primates > Hominidae > Homo > Homo sapiens. The sequence continues at coordinate 161,607,757 of NC_000001.11, forward strand.
GCGTGACAGCCACTGACAGGAGCACAGGTAAGGCTAACAAGATCACCAATGACAAGGGCCGGCTGAGCAAGGAGGAGGTGGAGAGGATGGTTCATGAAGCCGAGCAGTACGGGGCTGAGGATGAGGCCCAGAGGGACAGAGTGGCTGCCAAAAACTCGCTGGAGGCCCATGTCTTCCATGTGAAAGGTTCTTTGCAAGAGGAAAGCCTTAGGGACAAGATTCCCGAAGAGGACAGGCGCAAAGTGCAAGACAAGTGTCAGGAAGTCCTTGCCTGGCTGGAGCACAACCAGCTGGCAGAGAAGGAGGAGTATGAGCATCAGAAGAGGGAGCTGGAGCAAATCTGTCGCCCCATCTTCTCCAGGCTCTATGGGGGGCCTGGTGTCCCTGGGGGCAGCAGTTGTAGCGCTCAAGCCCACCAGGGGGACCCCAGCACCGGCCCCATCATTGAGGAGGTTGATTGAATGGCCCTTCGTGATAAGTCAGCTGTGACTGTCAGGGCTATGCTATGGGCCTTCTAGACTGTCTTCTATGATCCTGCCCTTCAGAGATGAAGGGCTTGGGGGGGTCTTCCCTCCAAAGCTAGAACTTTCTTTCCAGGATAACTGAAGTCTTTTGACTTTTTGGGGGGAGGGCGGTTCATCCTCTTCTGCTTCAAATAAAAAGTCATTAATTTATTAAAACTTGTGTGGCACTTTAACATTGCTTTCACCTATATTTTGTGTATTTTGTTACTTGTATGTATGAATTTTGTTATGTAAAATATAGTTATAGACCTAAATAAACTTTTAAAACTCCTTCTTGCTTTTCATTCCAACCAATCAAAGTACAAAAGTACATAAAGGCTTTCAGAAGCAGAAAATGTTGGGGTGGGTGCTGAAGGAGGAATGTGAAGAATATTCCTGAGACCGTGTGCATGATTCCTATAGGGGAAGGCAGGGTTTGGAAAAGAGTTTGAGGCCAATACATTGGAACAGTACTGAAGAGTTAGGGCTGGTAAAGAGGAGAGGATTGAGATATAATGCAGGAAGAGAGAGGGAGAGATGTGGAATTGGAAAAGCAGAGAATGAAGAGAAACTTAAGTACTGGCAGTGTTTCCATGTGTGATCCTATGATTCAAATTCTGTATTTTTGTCATAGGAACCTGGTTGAGTTTGTCAGTCTAGCTGTTTTAATAACACTAACAAATAGTTTACATGCTTATTAGCTGTTTGTAATCATGTCACTTTATCCATTGTTCTTTTAGAGAAAAGACTCTGAGTCCTGGACTCTGGAGGATGGTATATGTCAGAGGAAGTAGATCTGGTGGTACGATTAAAGTTACTATTGACTTTATCTATGTCAGAGAAATAGTATGATCCCATGTGGTTTCTGCCCATGGCATAATGAGGATGTTGGAACAAGACTCTATAGATTTTCAGCCCTGCCACTTTATATACTGTGCAAATTAAACTCTCCAAGCTTCAGTTTCTCCTTCCCTGCAGTGGGGATGATGATGATGATAACAGTACCAACCTCCAGACTGTTGTGAGGGTTCAATTAATTAATATATGTAAGAGGCAAAGAAGAATGTCAGGCGTATAATATACTATCAACAAATATTAGCAATTACTATTAATTGTTAGTTGGGTGATAACTATGTACTAGGTACTTGACATACACAATCTAACTTAATCTTCACAGTAGCATTATGGAATACTATCTTCTTTTTGAAGATGAGCATTATGAGGTTCAAAGAGGTTAAACAATTTATTCAAAGACACAAAGCTATAAAGTGGGGACAGGAAGGCTGGAATGAAGAACCCTGTCCTGCCTGAGTCTAGAGCCTCAGCATGCCACCTTACAAATAGGCCATAACTCCACTTATTACCAGACCTTCCCCTAGATGTTTTGAAATTGGTCATATTATTCCTTTGAAACACAGCTGGATGCTGAGCCCCGTGAGAAAAAGTGTGCATTTTATTGTATACTTGCAGAGACAGAGTCTTGCTCTGTCGCCTAAGCTGGAGTGCAAAGGTGCGATCTCAACTCACTGCAACCTCTGCCTCCCGGGCTCAACCAATTCTCCTGCCTCAGCCTCCCGAGTAGCTGGGATTACAGGTGCCTGCCATCACACCCAGCTAAGTTTTGCATTTTTAGTAGACATGGGGTTTCACCATGTTGGTCAGGCTGGTCTCAGACTCGTGACCTCAGGTGATCTGCCCACCTCAGCCTCCCAAAGTGCTAGGATTACAGGTGTGAGCCACCACGCCTAGCTAGTTGTGTGTTTTTTATAGCAAGTGACGGAATCTGCAAAATATCCTTAGGCACAACTTTACTGCCAGTTGAGTCAATGACAATATAAAAGCAAGGATATTTGCCTTTGCTTTGTTGGTGTAAACAAAATAATCAAAAGGATAACCTTGTGTTAGTTCCCAGTCAATCCAATCCAGAGTATATTTGCCCTGTGCACATTGGGAGATTTATTTTCATCTCAGAAATTATGGGAGAGCTTGGCTAGAACAATGCTACATTATACATTATATTTCTTAGGTTGATTTTTTAAAGACGGAGAGAAGGTTACACTAACAACGCACTTGTCCCTGGCTGTCATTTCACATTTTTAACTGCCCTTTTTTCCTGGCCCTGGCCCAAGTCTTACGCAGCCTGGCTTCACATGGAAGGAACCTGAAAAAAAAAAAAAAAGAGAGAGAGATGGAGTGACACGTACATCCTGCATTACATTCTTCCTTTCCTGAATCTCATCTCAATTCTCAACATTGACCCCCCTCAACCTGTTTGAACTTCTCAAGAGGATTGATGGTACTCACTTTTATATAGTTTCTTAGTATTTTGATAGCATGCCTTTTCTCCTTTTAAAAAACCCAACACACACGGAATATAAGAAGAAAGATTTTTATCGTGTTTAGTTGTGACATCTCAGATCCTCCCATTTGGGTGCAATCTATTTTTCTACAGAGAAATATAAACAAACTTTATTTACTTTTAAATGTCTGTTGATCATTTTGGTTTAGTTTCTTTGGGGACTGTTTCTTGTATACTAGGTATCTAAAAATCCTTATATTGTATGTAGTCTTAGTTTGATTATTGTAATCACAACTATGTCACCCAGTTCCAAAGGGGGGGAAAAAGTTTGAACAAATTAAATCAGAACACATGCCCATTATTAAAAAAATCAATTCTTGGTACAAGCAGTTTCTTGCCCCCTTCCCAGGTCCTACTCCTCACAGGCAACCACTTTCAAGTTGTTGGTTTTTTAAAAGAATTTTTGATTTTGCAATAATTTTAGATGAACAGACAAGTTGCAAAGATACTACATAAAGTTATTACTCTATATCCTTTCTACTTCCCCTAATGTTAAAACCTTACATAACCATGTTATATTTATCAAACCTAAGAAATTGGCATTGGTATAACATTAATGACTTTTTTTTTTTTTTTTGGACACAGGGTCTCACTCTGTACCCCAGCCTGGAGTGCAGTGGCACGATCTCGGCTCACTGCAACCTCTGCCCCCTGGGCTCAAGAGATTCGCCTCAGGCTCCCGGAGTAGCTGGGACTACAGGCGCGAACCCCGGGTACTTGGGAGGCTGAGGCACGAGAACCGCGTGGACCGGGAAGACGGAGGCTGCAGTGAGCCAAGATCGCGCCACAGTACTCCAGCCTGGGGTACAGAGTGAGAACCTGTCTCAAAAAAAAAAAAAAAAAAGCTGGGGAGCGGGGCAAGGCGGTGGAGAATCTGATCCTTACCAAAGTTTGACACTACTGCGTTAGCGTTAAAAAAAAAACCCAGCTAAGACTGTAGAGCAAATTAAAGGATCCTGTGTTGAGGGCGTTCTCTTGTTTAGTCAAAGGAGATGGTATCTGCCTGCCTTAGTGTGCTTGACGCACAGAAAGGGCTCAACACATTGTTGTTGAATAAAAGAATGGATAAATTGACACTGGGAAGTTGGAGTCCAAAGTTAAACTTAGTCTCAACTGCTCCCTGTTTTCATAGACCAGACTCCAGCCTACAATACAGGAAAAATAGATTTAGTTCTATATGTGCAGAGAAGCACAAATAATTTTCGTAAATGTAGATACCCAGGATAAAACGCAGTGTTGACCGATCGAAAAGTCTTTCTCTAAGAATTCAAACATAATTGCTGGTTGGTTCAAATCAGGAGGAAAAGTAAGGATGGAAAACATACGTTGTCAAAAGTGGGATTCGAACCCACGCCTCCAGCGGAGGGTGCGATTTGAACGCAGCGCCTTAAGACTGCTCGGCCATCCTGACACACGTTTTGCTAAACTTCCTAATTTCTCCTAATTTTATCATATACTGATGGTGCACGCTATCAGGTCACATTAATGTGTCTATTTACTGTTTCAAATAAAATTGTAACTCTCTCTAGACCTTGTCGCAAAGCGGGAAAAATGAAACAGCCTCCGACAGCTCTTTCCTCTTTCCTCACTACCCAAACTAAACCTTAAGGCTCCATTTTCCCTGGCGACTCTTCGAGCGCCCCTCTGCTTCTGTAGAGGGGTCGAGCCATGTCAAGGTAGACCCTGTGTCGGCCCGTCTCCCTCGGATCCTCCGCACCAATCACTGTTGCTGAATCCGACACCCGGCGGATCCAGTGCGGAGTCTCGAACAGCTGCGGAGCTGGGAGCTACGGGACATGAGGAGTGCGGGGGGGAAGAGAAGACGGCGGAGGAAAATCCCCCGGCGGTGCTCAACTGCGGCTTTCTCTCTCGGCTGTGAGCCGGCTCCGCCCTCCGGCTTCCAGAGCAAGTGGCTTCTGCGTTCACCGCCCCCCGCCGTTTGTGGGGCGGGGCCGATTCATAAGAATCGGTTCTCACCAATGGAGGGCTTAGCATGTTTAACCTCAGGATCATAAACAAAAGACACTGCTAGAACGGTCGGGAAAGTCATACGCTTTGCTTATCTTATATATAGATTTCTAAAATTCCAAACCGGGGACGCGTTGGTGGTGTAGTGGTGAGCACAGCTGCCTTTCAAGCAGTTAACGCGGGTTCGATTCCCGGGTAACGAAACGTTTTTGTCTTTCCTTCTACGAAAAACTTTTCTGAGCCGGAGCCTCCAGCGCGCTGTGTATTCGTTTTACGCCTCAACGAAACTGCAGCAATACCTCACTTTCCGTACTCGCTTCCTGTCTTTCCCCTGGCCTCTTTCTAAACCCAGGCTTTTTTTGAAGGGATTAAATTCTGATGGTTCTTTCCTCCCTTCCTTCCTTTGTAAACTTCCAACTCTTGAGGAATCTTTGGGATCATTTCAATCCTGGGATGAGTCTTAGCTTCAGAAAGGGGCTCTTGTGTCTTCACTTGCGAGGTTCATTCGCTAGCCTCTACAAATCATCACTTAAGCCCCTAATTATTCCCGGCCGAGGTCCTAGGCTAAGGTCCCGGGCCAAGCTTTCTAATTAGTCCCAGGCCAAGGTCCCAGGCCAACCTAAATCACGCATTCTCCAAAACAGCCGGCAAACTAAGCACATTCCTTCCCGTTTCCAGTCCATAAACCCCCCCCCCCAAGTGGCCTCATAGTAAGCAACTCATTCGGGCCCCCTCTCTGCTGGCAAAAAGCTCAGATGTACTGGACTGTGCATTTGATTTGGAACTGAGTTACATGGGAGAGAAGCAGGGATTCAGTTTGGCTGGGAATCAAACTCTTTTGATAATTTCCTAATAAACTGATAGTCATTAGATGACTTGTAGTCTCGATAAGTTGAAACTTTTTCCTAACATGCTGTTTATGATACTGAGTTCTTTGTCACCGGTTGAACTAACAGCAATTGTATTCACAAATTTTCCAGCCTTTAAAATACTGTCTGAGGGTTTTATGTATCCGTTATCTTTTATTATACAAAAGTCATTTATTGGAATGACATATATAATTAGATTGACCCTAACCATTCAGGCTGGATGAGGCAACACAGTGTGAAGATTAAGTGCATGGGCTCTGTTGTGCTTCCTGTGTTTGAATCTTGGCTCTCTTTGTCTCCATTTCCTCCTGTAAAAGAGGATAATGATGATAATTTTAATTCTTCAATGGGTTAATATATAAACATATATTACAAATGTATAAACATTGCCAGGAGGGTCCATTGTTAATGCCTGTAGTGGGATGATGTTTGAGATTTTAAGTCTCATTCCCTAAAATGGAGGTGAAATTCAACAGGGATGGGAAGAAAGAACATCTGCACCTCAGCCACCCTTTAGCTCCAAACCTCCCTTATGCTCTCATCTGCCCCACAGCCTCCATCCTGTAACAAGAGGACCAGCTGTGCCAGTGGAGGCCACAGCATCTAGCTTATGCCTCCAATGTAACCTGTTACTGCCCACCTGTTCTCCCTGATATTCTCTGACTCTTAGTACTAAGGTCCCACAGAGGCTGCAGTGCCCACAGGCAAGAAGAACCAAAGGGTAGTACTGACTGGTAGTGGCTAGCCACAGCTGTGTGGGGCCAGATTGACACTGCGCAATCGCTAAGTGGATCAGTGTTCAGGCTGCCCTGTCTTGGGAGACATATAGGGACAGGGACCTATAACCAACACCTGCCATAGGCTGGCTTCAGTTAGCCCTTCACGTTGGGATTCACTGAGTGGTTTTTCTGGAAGTGGCCACCTAGAGTTCCCTGTGGCCAGCCAAGGTATGGGGGCTGGCTTTTTGGGATGTCTAGGGAAAGCCAAAAGCAAAACCCAGAAGATAATTCTTTTTGTGGAGGAGTTAACAGATATAGCACTGACCAATCAGAATAGCCACTGGCTATACATTTCCCCATTATAACAGGATTCACTGCATTCCATAAATTTTGTTTTTTTAAATTTCCAAATATATGAAGGCTTTTAAAAGTTATTTTTTGTTATTGATTTCTGAGTTAAATTCCTTATGTTCAGAAAATGTGCTTCATATAGTACTGATTCCATGACATATGTTGAAGCTTACTGGCCTTAGCCAGGTGCGGTGGCTCAAGCCTGTAATCCCAGCACTTTGAGAGGCCGAGATGGGTGGATCACTTGAGATCAGGAGTTCAAGACCAGCCTGACCAACATGGTGAACCCATCTCTACTAAAAATAAAAAATAAATAAATGAAAAATATTAGCCAGGTGTGGTGGCACACGCACCTGTAATCCCAGCTACTTAGGAGGCTGAGGCAGGAGAATCACTTGCACCCAGGAGGCGGAGGTTGCAGTGAGCTGAGATAGTGCCATCATACTCCAGCCTGGGTGACAGAGCAAGTCTCCATCTCAAAAAAAAATAAATAAATAAATAAAAGAAACTTATCAGCCTCATATAAAGTCAGTTTTCATAATATCCCATGTGAGTTTGAGAAGAATGTACAACTAATAATTATTGATTGCAGTTCTATATATATATATCTGTTAAATTGAGCTTGTTAATTGCATTCATATGCTTAATAAAAGTAAATAAGAAAAAGAGACACACGCTTAATAATTTTTTTCTGTTTGATCTAGTAAGGGTTGAAGTATGCGGAATTCTCTCACTGTGGCGACGGATTTGTTCATTTTCCCTTGTAGGCCTAATTCTTGCTTTCATATTTTAATGCCATTTTATCTGTTATATATTCATCAGTAGTTTAATCTTTTATTATATGATGACCATCTTCATCCCTAATGATGCATTATTTCTTAAACTTTATTTTGTCTGATATTGTATAGCTATATGCCAACTTTCTTTTTGTTAGAATATTCCTGGCATTCCCTTTTCCATTTAGTCTTTCTGTTTCTTTACATTTTAATGTCATTCTTCTAAACAGAATAAAACTGATCTTAAAAATTCACTTTATCTTTTAACTGGAAGGTTTTGTTCAGTTGCATTATTATAATTACTGTTATAGGCCGGGTCATGGTGGCTTACACCTGTAATCCCAGCACTTTGGGAGGCTGAGGCAGGTGGATCACTTGAGGTCAGGAGTTCAAGACCAGCCTGGCCAACATAGTGAAACCGCATCTCTACTAAAAATTAGGTGGGTGTGGCGGCATGCACCTGTAGTCCCCAGGAGGCTGAGGTGGGAGAATCGCTTGAACCGGGAAGGTGGAGATTGCAGTGAGCCAAGATGCTACCACTGCACTCCAGCCTGGGTGACAGAGACTCTGTCCACCCACCCTCCAAAAAAAAATAGCTGATATATTTGAATTTATTTCACCACCTCGTTTTGTACTTTTGACCTCAATTATTCTTTTATTTTTATTTTTTTTTAATTGATCATTCTTGGGTGTTTCTCACAGAGGGGGATTTGGCAGGGTCATAGGACAATGGTGGAGGGAGGGTCAGCAGATAAACAAGTGAACAAAGGTCTCTGGTTTTCCTAGGCAGAGGACCCTGCGGCCTTCCGCAGTGTTTGTGTCCCTGGGTACTTGAGATTAGGGAGTGGCGATGACTCTTAACGAGCATGCTGCCTTCAAGCATCTGTTTAACAAAGCACATCTTCCACTGCCCTTAATCCATTTAACCCTGAGTGGACACAGCACATGTTTCAGAGAGCACAGGGTTGGGGGTAAGGTCATACATAGATCAACAGCATCCCAAGGCAGAAGAATTTTTCTTAGTACAGAACAAAATGGAGTTTCCCATGTCTACTTCTTTCTACACAGACACAGCAACAATCTGATTTCTCTATCTTTTCCCCACATTTCCCCCTTTTCTATTCCACAAAACCGCCATCGTCATCATGGCCCGTTCTCAACGAGCTGTTGGGTATAGCTCACAGACGGGGTGGCGGCTGGGCAGAGGGGCTCCTCACTTCCCAGAAGGGGCAGACGGGCAGAGGCACCCCCCACCTCCCGGACGGGGCGGTGGCAGGGCAGAGTCGCCCCCCATCTCCCTCCCAGATGGGGTGGCTGCCGGGCAGAGGCGCTCCTCACTTCCCAGACGGGGCGGCTGCCGGGCGGAGGGGCTCCTCACTTCTCAGACGGGGCGGCTGGGCAGAGACGCTCCTCACCTCCCAGACGGGGTCGCGGCCGGGCAGAGGTGCTCCTCACATCCCAGACGTGGCGGCGGGGCAGAGGCGCTCCCCACATCTCAGACGATGGGCAGCCGGGCAGAGATGCTCCTCACTTCCTAGATGGGATGGAGGCCAGGAAGAGGCTCTCCTCACTTCCCAGACTGGGCAGCCGGGCAGAGGGGCTCCTCACATCCCAGACGATGGGAGGCCAGGCAGAGACGCTCCTCACTTCCCAGACGGGGTGGCAGCCGGGCAGAGGCTGCAATCTCGGCACTTTGGGAGGCCAAGTCAGGCGGCTGGGAGGTGGAGGTTGTAGCTAGCCGAGACCACGCCACTGCACTCCAGCCTGGGCAACATTGAGCACTGAGTGAACGAGACTCCGTCTGCAATCCCGGCACCTTGGGAGGCCGAGGCTGGCAGATCACTCGCGGTTAGGAGCTGGAGACCAGCACGGCCAACACGGCGAAACCCCGTCTCCACCAAAAAAATACGAAAACCAGTCAGGCGTGGCGGCGTGCGCCTGCAATCGCAGGCACTCGGCAGGCTGAGGCAGGAGAATCAGGCAGGTAGGTTGCAGTAAGCCGAGATGGCAGCAGCACAGTGCAGCTTCGGCTGGGCATCAGAGGGAGACCGTGGAAAGAGAGGGAGAGAGAGACTGTGGGGAGAGGGGGAGGGGAGGGGGAGGGGGAGAGGGAGAGGGAGAGCTATTCTTTTATTCTTTAAAAATTCTTCCTTTTTACTCTCCTGCTTTTGCATTGCTGTCACATACATGTAAAATGTAGCACAGGAAATGTATGTGTATTCACAATCAACTGGAAACTAATAACTTTTTATTTCTGCTGTCAATCCAACAATGGAGGTAAAGCACAGAGTGGTAGTTCCAAACTTGAACTTCACAGATGAACAAAATTTCCCCACAATGTTGGTTACTGGCCAGGCGAGGTGGCTCAAGCCTGTAATCCCAACTACTTGGGAAGCTAAGGCAGGAGGATTGCTTGAGCTTGAGAGTTGCAGGCTGCAGTGAGCTAAGATCGTGCAGCTACACTCCAACCTAGGTGATAGAGCAAGACCCTGTCTCTAATGACATCAGAAAAGTTGGTTACTAGTATAGGGTGGCCAACTTTTCATTTTGCCAAATTGTGAAATTCATAAAACAAATAGCCACAAAACTATCATCTATCCTAATTTTAATTTTAAAAAAGAAAGGACATTTAAAAACAACTTATTTTGGCAAATGAAAACTTATTACTATTGGGTTTTCACCATTAAAGCTGATGAGCTTGGTCTTTCCTCCTTGCTTTTGATAGGGCCAAAAGAGAGACATTGGCTACTTTAACAACTTTAAGGTGGACTCCAGGAATATCACCAACAGCATGACCTTTTCTGCCAAATCCAGCAACCAGAACTGTTGCAGGAAGTCAGGGACCCTGAACGGAGGGACCAGCTGGAGCCGAGGCAGAAGAACATAAATTGTGATGATTTCATGGACATTTGTCAGTTTCCAAAATTAATACTTTTATAATTTCTTACACCTGTCTTTACTGCAATCTCTGAACATAAATTGTGAAGAATTCATGGACATTTATCGCTTCCCCAATCAATACTCTTATAATTTCTTATGCCTCTCTTTAATCTCTTAATCCTGTCATCTTCGTAAGCTGAGGATGTGTGTCACCTCAGGACCCTGTGATGGTTGCGTTAACTGTACAAATTGTAAAACATCTGTGTTTGAACAATATGAAATCAGCGCACCCTGAAAAAGAACAGAATAACAGCAATTTTCAGGGAACAAGGAAAGATAACTGTAAGGTCTGACTGCCTGTGGGGTCGGGCAGAATAGTGTCATATTTTTCTTCTTGCAGAGAGCCTATAGATGGACATGTGAGTAGGAGAAATATTGCTGAATTCTTTTCCCCACAAGGAATATTAATAATTGATAGCCCTGGGGAAGGAATGCATTCCTGGGGGTAGGTCTATAGATGGCCGCTCTGGGAGTCTCAGTCTTATGTGGTTGAGATAAGGACTGAAATACACCCTGGTCTCCTGCAGTACCCTCAGGCTTACTAGGATTGGGAAATTCCAGCCTGGTAAATTCTAGTCAGACCAGTTGTCTGCTCTCGAACCCTGTTTCCTGTTAAGATGTTTATCAAGACAATGTGTGCACAGCGGGACATAGGCCCTCATCAGTAATTCTAATTTTGCCTTGCCTTGTGATCTTTTATCGCCCTTTGAAGCATGTGATCTTTGTGACTTACTCCCTGTTTGTACACCCCCTCCCCTTTTAGAATCCCTAATAAAAACTTGCTGGTTTTGTGGCTCAGGTGGGCATCATGGAACCTGCCAATATGTGATGTCACCCCTGGCGGCCCAGCAGTAAAATTTTTCTCTTTGTACTCTTTCTCTTCATTTCTCAGACCGGTCAACACTTAGGGAAAATAGAAAAGAACCTACATTGAAATATTGGGTGCTGGTTCCCCTGATACAGAACTTCATCATTTTTTTCAATAAAATTCAAGCAATCATCATCAGGTACAAAGGCTGTGATTTTCTTGCTGTTCTCTCATCTGCCTCACAGCCTCCAACCTGTAACAAGAGGATCAGCTGTGCCAGTGGAGACCACAGCATCTAGCTTATGCTGGATGATCAGCTTGGCCCTGGCACACTTCTCAGTGGCAGAGCTGGGCTATTTGGCTCCAATCCCTACTTTTTCCAGCCCAATTCCCTTTGCATGAGAAGCACCTCCAAAAGGGCTGGTCTTCAGGACTGTGCCCGAATGGGCTTTCTTGTACCATTTACCATGCCACTTCTGATCCTGTCGGTGACAATGGAGCTTCCTGGAGGTAGACAGTCCATGACACTTGCCCATATTGCCAGCTCCACAGGTCTGAGCAAAAGAACAGAGACAAAAATTTAAAATAAAAGAAATGACTCTAGGCCTGGTACGGTGGCTCTTGCCTGTAATCCCAGCACTTTGGGAGTCTGAGGCGGGAGGATCACCTGTGGTCAGGAGTTTGAGACCAGCCTGGCCAATATAGCGAAAGCCCATCTCTGCTAAAAATACAAAAAAATTAGCTGGGCGAGGTGGCAGGCGCCTATAGTCCCAGCTACTCGGGAGGCTGAGGCAGGAGAATGGCGTGAACCTTGCGGGGCGGAGCCTGCAGTGAGCCGAGATCGCGCCACTGCATTCCAACCTGGGCGACAGCGAGACTCTGTCTCAAAAAAAAAAAAAAAAACACAAAAATTAGCCGGGCATGGTGGCCCATGACTGTAATCTTCTCAGCTACTCAGGAGGCTGAGGCAGGAGAATTGCTTGAATGTGGGAGGTGGAGGTTGCAGTGAGCCGAAATCGCACCACTGCACTCCAGCCTGGGCAACAGAGCAAGACTCCATCTCAAAAAAAAAAATTAATTAAAAAAAAATAAATGACTCTAGTTTAAAGATCATTTGGCAAATTTATTTATTTACTTATTTAGTATACATATGATACACATATATGTATTTTACATAAGATATAAAATATGTGTACACATAAACATATATGCATATATAATTTCTGCATATGCATATCTATGTTTGCATGTCTTCTCATTTCACTAAACATCATTGAAAACTTCCACCTGCAACTAAACTGGAGCCCACTGATGACAGAGGATGGCAGGGCAGAAAGAAAGGAGATTCTGTGTGGAGGCTATGGAGAGGCCCTGGGTCTTGGGCAGTATAGAAAATGGCTTTTGTCCAAGTGTTCTTATTGCTCAATTCCCACCTATGAGTGAGAACATGCGGTGTTTGATTTTCTGTCCTTGCGAAAGTTTGTTTAGACTGATGGTTTCCAGCTTCATCTATGTCCCTACAAAGGACATGAACTCATCCTTTTTTATGGCTGCATAGTATTCTATAGTGTATATGTGCCACATTTTCTTACTCCAGTCTATCATTGATGGACATTTGGGTTGGTTCCAAGTCTTTGCTATTGTGAATATTTCCGCAATAAACTTACGTGTGCACGGGTGGGGAACATCACACACCGGGACCTGTCGTGGGTGGGGAAGGGGGGAGGGATAACATTAGGAAAAACACCTAATGTAAATGACGAGTTAATGGGTGCAGCACACCAACATGGCACATGTATACATATGTAACAAACCTGCACCTTGTGCACATGTAGCCTAGAACTTGAAGTATATATATATGAATTAAAGAAAAAAAAGGCTTTTTAGACCCAGCACTGACGAGATTCCCTAGGTCGATGGTGGTGGAATTAGGGGTCTCTGTCCTCAGACATTTGGATCTGGATATGTCAGCATGAAAGTCCTTAAGTTGCAGGCATTTTTTAAAAAATATTTTTTATTTCCAAGCTGAATACCATTAATTGGAATGTTACAGGCTTTTTAAGCTCCGTGTTCTGTCTGCATGGCTAATATGCCCGTAGAAACCTTTCAAAACAGCGTGGGTTGAAGACTAATTTTGTAACACAAAACTCACTTACTTAGATATCACATTTTGCTGGACGTGATTGGACCTGAAAGAAAATATTTTTAATGCTCACGACAATAACCTTTTTATGAGTCAGCACTAAACGTGTGCACATGCATACATAAGTTGTCTACATCAGCAAAAAAAGCTTATCGTCGTATTTCTCTGACCAAAATCAACGGAACCCCCGAAATCACAGAGAGCATCCATTTTGGATTCCCCGAAGACCCTTCGTTCCTGCATCCTCTTCTGCTCTCCCTTTCTCAGCCTCTTCTGCTGGAAGCTGAGTCCTGCTCCAGATCTAGGCAAGTGCTAGCGCGGAAAAAAGACCTGCCTCGCTCAGGGCTGTGAGCCGCGCCCTGAAGCACGGAAAGCTAATTGTGTCACTGGTTTCAAATCAACTTCAAATTTTTTGGAGACGTAAGAGTGCTGAGCATTTTTTCTTCAGTGAAGTGACTTGGCAGCCCAGGTCGCCAACGCCCGTTTCTGTAGCGCGATCGGTTAGCGCCTTCGGCTGTTAAACGAAAGGTTGGTGGTTCGTTCCCACCCCGGGACAGAAGTCCCACTTTTGTGAACCTTGAGTTTTTGAAACTTTCACTGAAAAAAACCGCGTGCGATGCTATCCGCCGGGAGCGCTGGAGCCTTGGCTCTCAAAACCAGCCGCGGTGCTAACCGCCGGGATCCCTGGCAGCTGACCTCCGCGTTGTGTGGTTCCCAATGTCCTCTTCTGCCTTAGTGCTGTACGGGTAATTTTGAGGTATTTGGTTTTTCCGACTAGGGTTGTAGTGATAACTCTTAGCTGCTTAACCACTGCAATTACGTTATGGAAACTGACACTTTAAGAAAATTTACTGACCAAAGGAAGTAAGTACTAATAATACCAAAACAAATTGTTTGTCTTTCCACCAAACCTGTACCTGCCTTGCCTTTCTATTTCCTAACTCAGAAAACGGGCACTATGTGTGGAACCTGGTCCTTAGTCATGCCATGTACTGCCGGCTGCCAATTCTTGGAGAGTCGGCCTCCTAAATACCTTGTTGATTAAGCACCTTCCTCTCCAGCCTCACCGCCAGTTACTTCCTCATTGCTCCCTTTGGGTTATTGCATCCTGCCTTGCATGCCCTATCTGGTTTCCGGTCTTCAGCTCTCCTGTCCCGTCCATCCATCAAGTAGTTGCCAGAGAATCCTTCTAAAATACTATACGGTATAAACCTGGTCTGCTTAAACTCTCTCAATGTATTGCAGGGTCTGATACGATCTTCTTAGTTTGGAAGGTAATGCCCTTCATGATCTGGCCCTGAAACTCTTTCCTCTCCCTCACCGACACAGAACCAAACTGCTTTCTTGAACTCACACTCTGGCTTTTGAATCTTTGCCTATGAACCTTGGGCTTTTCTTCTCTTCTTTGCCTGGCGAACTCCTACTCATCCTTCATGACCACACCCCCCAAATCAAGCCTCTTTTCTGCAGCCCTTTCTTCATTCTCTTCCTATTTAACTGTTTTTCTCACTAGAAATAAAGCTTCTCCAGGGAATGACCCTGTGTTGTTCATCTGGTATCTTCAGCACCTGAACTCAAGCTTGCACATTGTAGGTAGTAAATAAATGTGAGTTGAATGTCCAAGGTTTCCAAATGCACCTGTGTCGTGTCGGAATCTTATGTAATATTTATGTATGTAATCTAGCTTGAATCGTCTTGGTATATAGCTCATAATTCATACAATCAGGCTGACCCTCTACCTCTGCCCAGGCCTCTACCTCCTGTGTAGCTGTGCCTTCTCCTATCTGCCCCAATGCTCTAAAACGATCTCTAATGCTTATTCACCCTCCTATCCCATACTTCCCATAAGAATCCCCCTTAGCCCAATTTTCTCAGCAAGATTTGGAAAGCAAGCTGGCTAATTCATATGAGTTGTGGTGAGATGGCTGCTGGGAGGAGGGGGTGTTTCTTACCAATCCAAACCAATCTCTGTTACAATGTTGGACAAAGGGAAGAAGAAAGAATTTTATCATTCATATTTTATTACCATGGTTTTGCCATCTTCTATCTAAGAGTAGCATGCAAGATCTTGTAAAATGCTTTATTGGAACCAAGAAATGTTGCACTGAAAGCTTACAAAACAGAGACAGCTAAAGCTTTCTTTCATAAGCAACAATTGTCTTCTCCATCCCCACCTCATTGGAACTGACATGAAGAAGGATTTGAAAGTTTCACAGCGTAACTCAGTGAAGCTCAGTAGTACATTTAGTATTGGTTATACAACATTTGTTTAATAAATGCAATGAACAAAGCTATACAGGAACTAGACATTGAAGCAGAAAAGGTGGTTTTACAGTCCCTGCATTAACCTCTAATTCTTACTACCCCGGCCAAGAAAGCATTTTCACCTCCTGCGCTTTCCTTCCTGTGTGCTTCTGGTTGGTTCTTTCTTCTCAGGCTTTCTCATTCTGATGCTGAGATAGTTCTGTTCACTTAGCTTAACTTGAGACAGTGACACAGGGTTTGTTCTGTACTTTCTTTTCCACCCCACCCCCACCCCAATCCTCAGTCCCCTTCCTAGGACCATTTTCTACTCCTAGCATTAGAGGACTCATCGTTATATACTTGGAAATGGTCCAGTTCTGATAGAGTCCCCTGGAAGACTCAATTCTACGTCACCCTCATGATTTCCTGTTAATTCCACTACGGCTAATGTTCTAGGAAGACACCCTTATCTCTGGGCTCAGATGGGAACACCTCCCTTAGACTATCCTGGACTACCCTGCTATTTCTCAGCCATGCTTTCATTGGTCCCACTGAATTCTCTAGATCCCCAGCAGTTCCCACACTCTGTAGGGTCCTGCCTCAACCATTAATTCTACTTATCCATTTGTTTAGGAATAATTATTTTCTTTTTTTCCCTCTAAACTGGGTAATTTATAATACGAGCAATTTTTGTATGTTTAAAGGATTACCATCCCTAGCCTGTATTGTTGCTTTGCTGTGAGGGAATGGTTGGGACAGAAAAAGTGTTTGTGTAGCTCTGAAACTTCAATTTCTAGGAATGCAGCTACTCACTGGGGCTTCCCTGCTTGAAGATCATGGGCTTTTCCCTTCCACTGGAGACCAAGGAAAAATCGAGAGTTGGATAAAGGATCTGGCTCTGAGTTCTATGTTTCCTGCTGCTTGTAGAGAGGCCTGAGGATGATGGGGTTGCAAATCCAGAGAAATGTTCAGAGATGCTGCTGCCACTGCTCTTATTACCCCCATGGGATGGGGGTCATGTGTCTTGAGGGTCCTTTCTCCATTTAAGTTTATGGTCCTTCCAGTCTCTTGTTGAGCTTCAAATGTTTGTCTTCACAGAGAAATATAGTCCTGTGTCCACTGCAAAAAGGAGTACCATCACCAAGCAGAAAGAGACTTGGTACCCAGGTGGAGAGAATGATGAGATGGTTGACACTGCCAAACCTATTAGGAGAAGTGGAGAGATGAAAAAAAATGACAGTCACTAAGGCAGATATTTGGAACAAACAGTGAGGTCACCAGTAGAGAGTCTTTGACAAGTGCCAACAGGCAAGTGGTAGGAATGGTGGGGAGGTCTGGGGGAAAGTATTGCTTCCTCCCATTGGTTCCTGATCTTAGTGCTATCTGAGCAGAGGACAGCTCACCAAACACTTAGCAAAGGCTCCTGCTTGTTTGACAGAGATGTGACAGGGAGCGTTAACAAGTTAGGTTGTAAGCTGGGTTTTGTGTGACAGTTAAGAAATTGTCAGACAATGCTATGGTCTAGAAACTGGGATAAATTTGTTGATTTTGCATTTCAATTTTTTAAACTCTTGATTTTGATATATTTCCAAACTTAAAAAAAATGACCAGAATAGTATAAAGAAATCTCGTATATCCTTTACCCAGATCCACTCATTGTTTACATGTTACCCCATTTGCTTTATTTGCTCTCTTTCCCTAACCACTTGGGAGTATTTACTTTCAGTTTAAAGTGTCATGAAATTATTTTTGTACAAATTATGGCATTGTGGTGTCAAAATCTCAAAAGGTGTTTTGCTGCCTTTCTACATGCAAATTGTTTACAATTTATGTCTTGGGCTAGTTACAGATAGAAGTTCTGTGAAACTGGAAAGTCCAGGCACACCACTCTAGAGCTCTGATTCTGGAGGCTGGTGCTATGGAACCTAGAGATGTTTTGTGGATGACTTAATGGGATCATAGGATATTAGTGCTTCTTCAAATCTTTTACTTACTGGTTAAATATACAGGCTTTGAAGTCTTTGATGTGACCTTAGGGGCAACTTATTTATTTATTTTTGCACCTCGGTTACTTCATCTGTAAAATGGAATATTACCTATCTCATGTTGTGAAGGTCTACTGTGGTAGTCAAACCAGGTGCATGTAAAGAATTGTTTAGCACAGAGTCTAGCACACTGAAAGGTGCCCAATAAATGTCAGCTTATTTTTGTTACGGAAGAAGAAATTGGGGTTCAGAGAGACTAAGTGGCTCACCTCTGGTCAGATGGTTAATTAGCTGCAGGGCCAGAACCCAGGTTCTGGGCTCTTTCTGTGAGGGGATGAGGGGCTCCTGCCAGTTTGGATCGTGGCTAAAAGGCTTGGATAAGAAGGAGGCCAGCACGATAGGAACATATGACACCGTGGGTGTGATTAGGGTAAGGAAAGACAGAGGTATTTATTGGGGAGGAGATGTGGCTTCTGCTCCTGCCATCATGCTGCAGAGTGAATGACACCTCCTAGCTACCCCAAAAGAATGGACTGAAACAGAGCTGCAAACCTACCCTGCAATCAGGGACTTTTGGGGACCTCCTGGTGATCACCAGGAGGGAACCACATATGAAGAAGTGCGTGTAAGAATCAGGAATCTCCTCCCAACTCAACTTCCCAGTGTGAGTGCAGGTTCCACACACAGGCGTCCCTGGGCATTCCAGGGTGGCACATGTCTCACCTTGAGTGATGGTGATGTTCACAGTCTCTGAAGACACATTTTTACTCCCAACAAGCCCCCTGCAGAAGTAGGAGCCGCTATCTTTGAGTGTGGCTTTTGGAATGTGGAAGTCAGAATTATGATGAAAATACTTCCTGTCTTTGCCATTCTGTAAATATGTGACCTTATGCAGAGCAGTGTTCTTCCAGCTGTGACACCTCAGGTGAATAGGGTCTTCCTCCTTGAACACCCACCGAGGGGCCTGGAGCAACAGCCAGCCTGAAAGACACAGAGACACCCCAGGCCCGGGAGGCCTCAGCTCTCAGTGCAGAGCTTTGTGAAGGGGCCACGTACCACCCAGATCCTGAGGCATAAGGGAAAGCCAGATTGGGAGTCAACCCTGCATAGCTCCCTTTGGGGAAGAGCTGATGGGGCCCTGCAAGAGAACTGAAGTCATACCAAGACCTTTGTCTAATGGGGAAGAGGGACACACACACATGTGATCAACACACAGGGTTAGAGCAGAGGGACTAAGCAATGAGGTAAGTGAGAAGCAACGATGAGCATATCTGCAGGATCCTTAAGTGCTAGACTTAGATTTGCTGTGGCAGGTGACAAGGATTCACAGTAAGTTCTAGATCAGAGTAAAAATTGCATTTGAAAATGATGAGTTGCTCTATTAGAGGAAAAGGTAGATTTCAGAAGGAATAGGCAATCAAAGGAATATTGAAAGACTCTTGTGGCCTTCAGGAATAAGCTGACGGTCGCCACAGAGTGGCTGCAGAAATTGTGAAGGAGAACTAACTCAATGTAAACATCAGGGTGGCGAAGGGCGGGACTGGTAGTGCTCAGAGTGGCAATTCGTGGTTTCTAAGGTGTCACAGGGCCTCGGTGAGACCAACTTTATTACTGAGCATGGCCTTCAAGAGAGGAAATTCTTATATCGCCAGAGCTTATTCTCACAATCATGTCACCAAGTAATCAGACTTCACAAAGAGAGAACATGAGGTCATGGTCGGGAAATGGCCTGAATAATTAAAAAAATAATGATGTTATAGGTAAGTATTATAATGGCATAAGAAAATATTCATGAGACAATGTTAAGTTAAAAAAGCATAATACTTCAAATATTTTAAAAAGTATTATGCACAGAAAAAAGAAGGATATGCACTTACATATTAACAGGGGTTTTCTCTGAAGGAGTGGGACCAAAGGACATTTTAAATTTCTCCTGTTTACTTTTATATATTTTTGAAATTGACCCGAAACGTAATAAGAGCAAAACTAAATTTACTGTAATTTTATTTTTTAAATCTACATTCTCAGGTTGAATTACTATAATTTTAAAAATCTACTACCTGATGCTAAACAAAATTGGTAGGACGTGTGTTGGTCATGATTCTCTAACACAAAGATTTGCCAAACAGAAAGTAATCTTCATTACCTATTAAGAGATATCATTTATCAAAAGAAGCCATGTGCCTATCTATCCACTTACTTTTTCAGCAAAGAGATGAATCATTATTAGCATAAAGTCATGGTTAGTATATAGTCTGGTGGCCTTTGGAGGAACATTCTTGTTCGAATCTGTCCTGTCATGGACTCAGTGAATGCCCATGTGTATATTCCTTCAAGTGATATTTCATCAAGCACTCACTATGTATGACACACTGTGGACTGGAGATACCCAGATGATGGGACATATAGTTCTCAGCCTCAAAGAATCTACAGCCTAGACATAGAAACATAAATATTCAGAAATAATCACAATACAATATGACGAGTGCTACAACAGGCTAAGAATAAAGGACTGCGGGGCCGACTAGATTGGAATAAAGAAATTCTGCCTGAAAGAAGTAAAAAATGCAGGCTGGGCGCGGTGGCTCACATCTGTAATCCTAGTACTTTGGGAGGCTGAAGTAGGCAGATCACGAGGTCAGGAGATCAAGACCATCCTGGCTAATGCCGTGAAACCCTGTCTCTACTAAAAATACAAAAAATTAGCCGGGCGTGGTGGCATGCACCTGTAGTCCCAGCTAGTTGGGAGGCTGAAGCAGGAGAATCGCTGGAACCAGGGAGGTGGAGGTTGCAGTGAACCAAGATTGCGCCACTGCACTCCAGCTTGGGTGACAGAGAGAAACTCTGTCTCAAAAACAAAAACAAAAACAAACAAACAAACAAAGAAGTAAAAAGTGCTTCTCAGAGGAGGACATAAGTGAAATGGGTCCTAAAGGAATAAAGGATGCTCAGAAGTTTACCTGGTGAAGCTAATTCTCATGGTCACAGTTTAATATAGCCTTGATTGGCTAGACTTCTAAAGCCAGTTTCTAGAGCCAAGTTCAAGGCAAACTAGTAACTCCTAGACTTGATTTTTCTATTGCTTTCTCTTGGTAATTCCCCCATTTTATTTGGTTGTAGGTGGACATCTCTTACCTAGCTAGAAATGGACATACCTTCTTGTAGCTCTGGAGAGTGAAGACCATGTCAGTTGAGTGGTAATGTCAGAGGCCAAAGAGCCACAAAAATCAGTTTCAGAGGCCCAATTCCATGGAGCTCTCTTGCAGATCCACCTCCTTATGCCCTTCTTCCCCCAAAGCTTGTTCCACCCATAAACATTGTATGAATGGAACAGCCGTGGAAGTAGAATTAGGTTTGCAGGGCGACACTGCAGGGACCAGGCTATGTGGTAAGATTGTAGGGACACCAGGAAAGACCCCTGCCTTCAAAATATTTCTCCTACCTGTGTCTGATGTCTATATTCTGTTAATAGTACACAAGGACTTTCATGTCATGATTAATGTGCAGGCTGAACATGTATCTGCCTCTATTGGAAGAGCTATCACATTACCAAATTTATGCTTAATTATAGGTTTGAGTATAGCATTGATGAGGAGACAGAAAGATATGATTCTAGGCCACTAGGATTGCTTTGGGAGGTGGCTTAGGGCATTACATGTCTGAGAGCGAGAAGGAGATTGAGGTCCTAACACCAAATTCATTAATTTATTCAATAAAAATTATTGGCCAGGTGTGGTGGCTCACGCCTGTAGTCCCAGCACTTTGGAAAGCCAAGACCGGTGAATCACCTGAGGTCAGGAGTTTGAGACCAGACTGACCAACATGGTGAAACCCTGTCTCTACTAAAAATACAAAAATTAGCTGGGCGTGGTGGCGGGTGCCTGTAATCTCAGCTACTCGGGAGGCTGAGGCTGGAGAATCACTACAACCCAAGGGGGCAGAAGTTGCAGTGAGCTCAGATTGCCGCATTGCACTCCAGCCTGGGTGAGAGAGTGATACTCTGTCTCAAAAAATAAAATTAAAAAAAATGAAAATAAATAAATAAATAACTATTATTGAGCATCTATGCCATGGCCTAACCTTCACATGACACATTCACATTGTATGCACTCCATATGGGGATTCTTGGAATTGTGCAATGCAGCAGCCTATATCTACTGTCTGACAGGCTTTGACATTTTGCCCAAGACCTACTTAGAGCTAGGACTACAACTCTGATACCATTCAGTGGGACCACACATCATCTCATCTTAGCTTTTATCTCTAAGAATATCATCTCTGGCTCTTACCAAGTATTTCAGGACCCTTTGTTTCACCCTTTATTGGTGATTTTCCTCTTCCCCTTCATCAACTCACCGATATGGACTTCTAGCTGCACCGGGTCACTGAGGGTGGAGAGGTTTGTCTGGCACCTGTACTCTCCACTGTCGTTGACTGTGGCAGCGTCAATGAAGTAGCTCGAGGCCTGGCTTGAGATGAGGTTCTCATTGTGAAACCACTGTGTGGAATTGTCCTCAGGGGAGTAGGCTCCCTGGCACTTCAGAGTCACACTGTCCTTCTCAAGCACGCTGTACCATTGAGGCTCCAGGAACACCACAGCCTTTGGGAGATCTTCTGAGGAGCCAAGATAATGTGGGGTGAGGACAGGGAGAGGAGCAGGCTCTACACTGCCATTCCCAGGGAGCCTCAAAGCCAGAATGAGCTCATTGCAAACCCATGCTTGGTGGCTCAGTCTTAGAGCATCTTGGCCCCATTTTTGGCCTGTTCAGTATCTTAAGGAAAGCTGGCCAGAGAAGCACAGGGCCAAGTTCTGCTGTGTTGGAGGAACTATCCCTGCTAACCCCACATCAGCATTTTCCCATTCAACAAGCATTTCCCAATATCTTATGGCCATTGTCCCCATATGTGCCCCACTGGGTCAATCCAAGACCATGAAGCTGACTCACCAGTCCGCATGCCAGCTGAAACTGCAAGAAAAAAGAGTAAATCAAATATTGAGTAGGGGCAGAGATCAGAGTGATTAGAACATAGAGTGAGTTTAAAACTCCCCTGCCCTCCTCTGCCCCAGGAGCCCAATTTTCCCAAGAATCAGGATGTTTCTGGTGGAAACCTTGCTACCTGCTCTCTGGTCTCCACTGTTCATGCCTCTTGCGCCACTGTCAACACAAATCCCTATTTTCAACACTGCTCCCTTACCCCTTGCTCCCTGTGCAAACTCACAAATTAAGGGTACAGGTTGAATTTCCCTGAACCAAGCTACAGAAAGAGCCTCAACCCATATCCCCACAAGAAAGGGTAGAAATTAAAAACCATAGAGGAGAACCCTGGAATGTCAAACTGAAAGAGACAGACCCTAGGGACCATCTAGTCGAAGCTCTTTGGTTCCACATAGTGATTCTGGGACCCAGAGGGGTGAAGTGACTGGCCTCACTCATGACTATGACCCAATTGGAACCAGCATTCTCCTCATTTCTAGCCCCATCTTGGCTTGTCCTGGTAGCTCAATCCACAGCTATAGATGTGGTGAGGGGTCCCATCCCTTTGTGGGAGTCTCATTCGTAGCCTGAAAAGGGGTGTCTGATGAACCCAAGGCATCTCAAACTTCTCCCTCAACCAGGGAGATCCTGACTTACCTAGAAGTAGCAGAGCAGTTGGGAGGAGCAGCTGCCACATGATGCCACACTG
Organism: Homo sapiens; assembly: GCF_000001405.40. NCBI lineage: Eukaryota > Metazoa > Chordata > Mammalia > Primates > Hominidae > Homo > Homo sapiens. The sequence goes on from NC_000001.11 coordinate 161,631,107, forward strand.
GAGTGGACAAGTCACCAAAGATATCCGGAGCCCTAAAGGGACCAAGCCGACTAGACAGGAGGGAGTAAACAGCCTTTCCCCAGTCCCTCCACCCATCTCTGTCACCTGCCAGTTTCCTTTTCTTGAAACTTCATCTGATTTCTCAATCTGAAGTCTCGCAATGGAGCCCCACCATAGAACAGGAATAGGAAGGAAAGAGCCTGGAGGCAAGGTGGGTGGGTGTGCCCCCTTTACTCTCCCAAAGGTCTGCGGCTGAGCATCTGAGGACACACACAGAATCTGCCAGAGTGTGCCCTCAGCTTTCCCAGGATGCTTGCCCCCATCTCCTGGATTTAGATCCACCCAGCACCAAGAATGGGACAGCAAGACCCTGGGGATGAGATTCAAGGTGGGAGGAGCATTCTCTGAGGGCTTCCTGCATTTCACCTCAGAACTTCTCACTCTCCTGCCTCGTCCAGACCCATCTATCTCCAGCCGAGGCCCTGCCTGCACACAGAAAGTTGTCCTTTCAAATCTTTGACCACTAGCAGTGTCTCTGCCTCAATATTATCTCCACGCAGAATTTCTTTCAAAATTCAAAATTCAAAATCTATATGCTCCTGGGATATGTAATCCACAGGAGCTGACTTTTTAGTGTGATTTGATCATTAGATTTCCAGGTTAGAAGAAACCCAGGTAGGGTAGAGAAATGGGCCCTGGAAGAACAAGTCACCAGTGAAAGGCTGAAAAGATCACAGAAAAGGTGGGGGTGGGGAGGGGTGAGGACAGGAACTCTTTACCTTCCTCGTGTTACCCAGGTCCTGCGGATTTAGCTCAGGCCCCTCCGGGCCACTGGATCTGGGCTGGTCTGTCAGCCTAGGATCCAGGGCTCCAGGGCTCCAGGGCTCCTTACCAGAAAAGGTGGAGGGGGGTGGCCAGGAAGTGGGAGGGTTGTTAACCTCTTCTCTTCTCTCCAGATTCTCCCCCGTAACCCCATGTTGGTTACTCTCACAATGGTCCAGGTCCCAGGCAGAAAATCAGATGACTCTGCTTGATAGTGCCACTCCCCCAGTGGATTCGTGGACATCTGGGACAGGTCTCACTTGGCTTAGAAAAGCCCAGGAGGCGAGCAGCAGGCCCGTGTGGGCACCTGATACTTGTTAGGGGTGGAGTGGAGGCAGGGGCTGACACAGGTGCCCGCCAACCTTTGCTATAAATGAATGCTCTTTCTACTCCAGAATGACCTAAAAACCACTACTCAGGTTTTGTTTTTTATTTGTGTGTTTCATTTGGCTCCTGGGTGGAGTTAATTGATCCTCCCATTGCCATCCACGTACCCACCCCTCCCCCTGCCACACACAGAGTCTTGCAGCAGCCCCTTCTCCACAGGCCCTTGGATTGGACAACAGAAATGAACCCAGGCCGCCATTCCAGTTCTCCTTCTCAAGTGACTCATCTACGCCTTGCAAAATCCAGACAAGTATCTGGAAACTTGAAGTTCCTTGCTGTAGCACTTCAGATGCTCATCTGGGAAACCTAAAGCAGAAACAAAGCCTTCAGGGCTAAGGATGGTCTCTGAGGCAAAAAGCGGATATCCCTCAATTCTTTCTTCTTTTCAGATATCCAGGTGGCTTTCTGCCACGTGACTTCTGATGCAAGGCCTTCACTTTGTTTTCCTTCTTTGAGGTCTTATTTTCTTATTTGACTCCTCTTTGGTCTGTGACTCTCCAATGGAGGGAGGAATTCTTAGCTGCCAAAAGGGTGGGCTAGATAGGAAGAAGAGGAGAGAGCACAGGAGGAGAGAAAGGGACTGCAACAGGATGGGAAGCTTTCAGGGGGTTTTCATTAAGTGGTTGTTGAACAATTCTCGAATTGAGTGTTGTTGGGTTTGTAAGGGTTAATTTTACAGTAATGGATAAAATGCAAAATTTTGGCCTATGGTGGCTTATTGTAATCCCAGCACTTTGGAAGGCCAATGTGAGGTGGAAGAATTGCTTGAGGCCAGGAATTTGAGACCAGCCTAGGCAACATAGAAAGACCCCATCTCTACTAATATAGTAATAATAATAATAGCCAGATGTGGTGGTGCATGCCTGTAGTCCCAGTTACCCAGGAGGCTGAGGCAGGAGGATTGCTTGAGCCCCGGAGTTAGAGGCTACAGTGAGTTATGTTCATGGCACTGCACTCTAGCCTGGGCGACAGAGTGAGACCCTGACTCTTGGGGGGGAAAAAAAAGAGCAAAATTTTTACAAAAGGGTAGATGGTCTTGGGATATCATATACTGAAGTGTTTATCTTCATGTTTGCTTTTCTTTCTTCTCCTTCCCTTTTTCTTCCTTCCCCTCCTCTTCTCTCCTTTTCTCATTGGAAGGCCAGGCACAGCAGAAGTTTCTGACTATGGAATTCAGTCGATTGTCATCCTCTAGGACTTACAGTTTCTTAGGGGGAGAACATCAGATAAGTATTTGAAGTGCTAGAGGGACTGTGACAGTATTTATGAAATGCTGTGTATGCACAAAGAAGACAGTGGCTAATTCTATCTGAGGGAGGAGTGTACATGGAAGAGAGAACACTTTAATTAGATCGCAAAATATTCAGCAGGAAGATTTTTGAGAGAAATAGGCATTCCAGGCAAGAGGAGCAGCATGAGCAAAGACTTGGAGTGAAGTAGACTGTCATGTTTGCAGAGCTGGCTGTAGTTCCACAAGTGTAGTTGGATGTAGTTCCACAAGTGTAGTGAGTACTACAAAGGAGAAGCACAGGTTCCAAAAGGATTAAGATGTCTGGGTCTCACATGAATCTGGAGGAAATCCCAACTCTGCCACTTATTTAACCTTCTAGCCCTCAGTTTCCTTATCTGTAAAGTGAGGCTAACAATAATGGCACTCATGGCTTAAATGAGATAATGCAGATAAAATTGTTGGTTCCATATTTGGTACCACACCTGCTGATTACTATTGTAAGTGCAAGATGGGAGGTTGAGACCTTCCTCAATTTTCTAAATTAGGTTCTGACCCCCAACCCCACCCCAGCTCCTTTCGGAGCTTGTGCTTCTCCTCTGTAAACTCATTGCATTTGTGGACTGAAAGGTCTTGGAGAGCAGGGAACCTGTTCACCTTGTTTACCCCTGTACCCTCAACATTTAGCACAAGGGCAGGCACATACTAGGCACTCAATTAGTATTTATCACGAAGAGTTTTGTGTGTCAGGATGAACAGTACATATTTTATTCTAAAAGGTAATGGGAACTAATAAAAAGGCTTTAGACTGGGGAATCACAAGATCTGTTTTATATTTTATGAAAAGTACTCTGACAGCAGTCCAAGGAATGAGTTAGAGGGGAGAGAGATGGAAGGTGGAGGGAAAAGTTAGAAGATTATTTCAACAGTCTAGTTGAGACAAGAGCCACTCTGTTTAAAAAGTGGATATGCAATGGAAGCATCCAGGAGAGAAGTTAGGAAGGAAGGATGGACAAGACTTGGTGAGTGATTGGCTGAGGGGTGATGAAGGGGGAGAGGTCTGGGTGATGCTCGGATTTCTAATTTGGGTGATAAGGAGGATGGCAGTAGCTTTCATGGACAAAAGAAAAATGGGAAGATGAGCAGGCTTTGGGAGGGAGAGACAATAATTTCAGCTTTTGATGTTATTGAGTTTGAGGTAGCTGTGAAGGTTTCAGGTGAAGATTTCCAGTAGGCAGTGAGACACATGGCCCTGGAACTCAGAAGACAGGTCTTGACAAAAGACACAATTTAGGAGGCACCAACACGGTTGAGGTTTCAAACCTCTGATAAAAACCTTTGGGCCTTCTCCCAAGAAAGGATGCAAATATACACATTATGTTTCCTTTAATTTAAGAAGCTCTATTTGAATCCATCCAGAGATCCTAGGTTAAGATAAAGTAAGGATAAGATCTCTGAAACTGTAAGAGTATTGAGAGAGAATTAAAGGGAAACAGTGAGGGAAAGGAAGGAGGGATTGAGAGGGAGAGGAGAAGAGGAGAGAGTCAATGACAGAAACTTGACATGCAAACATTTTTGAAGCGTGCACAGGAAAAATAGCTGACAAAGGAGTTTGTATAGGAGGGGCTGAAGAGGAGGGAACAAGGAAGTTTAGTGGGAACAGATCTTCAAGGAAGGAGTAGTCAACAATAACACTATTAATGTGTAGAAATAATTCAAACAAGAGTTTGATTGAAATATGGCAATCAAGGAACTATTAATGACCTTTTCCTGAGCAATTTCAGGGGCTGGGGCTGAGAAACAGAAGTTTGACAGCTTTTGGTTGAAGACGGAGTAGGAATGAAATAGTGTTTAGTGAAGTGCTTCTCCTCTTCAGAATCTCCATTATGAAGGAATAGTGCACATATCATCTGGCTGTCCAGGATCACTTCCTCCTCCCCTTCTTATTAGCATATCATTCTTCCTGGAGAAGCCCCACTGTGAGTACTTAATAGAAAGCAGTGATTGCTTTCTACTATGGAAACCCGAGGGTCCAGATCTTCCTTTTCCCCACTTTGGGGCACTATTAAGGACTAAATTGTGTCTCTCCCAGTTCATATATTGAAGTCCACATGTGGAACTCCCTATACCTCAGGATGTGACTATATGTGGATATAGAGCCTTTAAAGAGGTAATTAAGTTAAAATAAAATCATTAGGTGGGCTCTAGTCCAATATGACTGATGTCCTTATTAGTTGGGACACAGACCCATACAGGGAGAAGATGGACACCTACAAGCCAAGGAGAGAGGCCTCAGAAGAAACCAACCCTATGGACTCAAAGGGAGAACAACAGACACACTGGGGCCTACTTGAAGGTGGAGGGTAGGAAGAGGGAGAGGATCGGAAAAAATAACTATTGAGTAACTAGGCTTAGTACATGGGTGATGAAATAATGTGTGCAACAAACCCCCGTGATAGGAGTTTACCTATGTAGCAAACCTGCACGCGTACCCCTAAATCTAAAATAAAAGTTTTTTTAAAAAATTAAAAGAAACCAACCCTGTCAACACCTTGGTCTTGGACTTGCAGCCTCAAGAACTGTAAGAAAATACATTTTTGTTGTTTAAGCCACCCAGTCTGTGGTACTTTGTTATAAAAGTGCTAGCTAACTGATACAGGCAGACAGAGGACAGGCATATAACTGAGGTTTGGCCCATTAGAGTCTCTTCTGAGATGAATCCTGAATAAGAGACACTTGTTTACTCATAAGGGAGATTCACTTCTAGGAGAGGGAGATGGTTGGGTCCCAGTCATCACAGCAGTGGGATGGGCTGACCTCCTCTAGTTTCCATCCAATAAATTTGTTTCCTCTACTTAAAAGATCTGGATTCTGATAAAGTTGTTTATAACCCAGAGCCCTAAGTGACACAATAAGAAAGGAGAAGTGGAGGATGGTAACTAGACAGAGCTGATTCATCAAGACAGGAGAATTGCAATAGAGAAAGAGTAATTCATGCAGAGCTGACTGAGCCAGAGACTGGAGTTTTATTATCACTCAAATCAGTCTTCCAGAGTATTCGGGGAGCAGAGTTTTTAAGGACAACTTGGTTGGTGGAGGGGAAGCCAGTGAGCCAGGAGTGTTGATTGGTCAGGGATGAAATCACAGGAAGTTGAAGCTGTCTTCTTGTTCTGAGTCAGTTCCTGGGTGGGCACCACAAGATCAGATGAGCCAGTTTATTGATCTGGGTGTTGCCAGGTGATCCATCAAGTGCAGGGTCTGCAAAATATCTCAAGCACCGATCTTAGGATCAGTGCTTAGGGAGGGTCAGAATCTTGTAGCCTCCACCTGCATGATTCCTAAACCATAATTTCCAATCTTGTGGCTAATGTTAGTCCTACAAAGACAATCTAGTCTTCAGAAAAAAAGGAGGTCTGCCCTGGGAAAGGGCTGTTATCATCTTTGCTTTAAACCACAAACTATAAACTAAGTTTCTCCCAAAGTTAGTTCAGCCTATGCCCAAGAATGAGGAAAGACAGCTTGGAGGTTAGAAGCAAGATGGAGTCAATTAAGTTAGATCTCTCTCACTGTTTCAGACACAATTCTGCAAAGGTAGTTTCAAGAGAATGGGAGTTTTTGTTTTCCTTAAGTGAAAGATACAAGCTTGGTTATAGGTCTTTGGGAAGAAGCCAGCAGGGTGGGAGAAGTTGGATGCCTAACAGGGACGGAATACCTAGAGAAGCAAGTGTGGGTCCTGAGGAGATGGAAATGGGACATGGACAGGGAGTTGGCTGTGAACTGGATACGGATTACCTCTCGCTCTGAGCTGAAGGCAGGGGCTGAGGGGGTACATATGCAAATCCATTTTCAGATGTTGAGTGACCATCCACATCTGCTGGTCCTGATTTTCTTGGTTAAGGAGGAGTCAAAGACACCTGTCGAGAAAGAGTGGGTAACAGTTGTGGTGGGGGTTTGAGAACACCAGAGTTGAGAATGGCCATTGTGGTGCATGGGAGAAGGAGCCGACTGTTTGTATGTACAAGAATTACCAAGAATTCCAAACAATTGTAAGGATTGCCAAGCAATGCCAAGGGCCCACCTGAGGTGGGTCACTATGGATTTGTAGCTGGATCAGTCTTCAGTGCTGGTAACATTTCTCCAGTTGTACTCAGTGCCAACTGCTGTCTGATTAGCCTGCTGAAAACAGTCCTGAGCAGGAGTGGAGGGAGGTCCTACAACCTGTATTACCTCCAAAGCAGCTCAACCAGACTGAGGAAATGCTAGAATGAAGGTATGTGGGCTTTCAGTGAGCTCATCCAAGACAAGTAGTCAGGAAGGCTGTGAGAAAGGTAGGCTGGCCTGGCAGTCTTTGGTATAGTCCAGCAGTTGAGTTCCAGTTACCTATTGCTGTAACTGTAGAAAAAACAAACTCAGTTCCTCCCACTATGCTCTCACAACACATTTCTGACAACAGATATGTGGGGATTTCTCTCCACTGGCAAGCAAGCAAGCAAGCAATTCAGCAGTGGGCACCAACTGGGTGTCTTCTAATCCAGTGGTCCCCAAAATTTTTGGCACCAGGGATTGGCTTCATGGAAGACAATTTTTCCTCGGACAGGGGTAGGGGGGTGGGGGATGGTTTCAGGATGATTCAAGTGCATTACATTTATTGTGCACTTCATTTCTATTATTATTACAGTGTAATATTTAATGAAGTAATTATACAACTTACCATAATGTAGAATCAGGGGGAGCCCCGAGCTTGTTTTCTTGCAACTAGACAGTCCCATCTAGGGTGATGGGAGACAATGCCAGGTCATCAGGCACTAGATTCTCATAAGGAGAACGCAACCTAGATCCCTTGCATGCGTACTTCACAATAGGGTTCATGCTCCTGTGATAATTTAATGCCACAGCTGATCTGACAGGAGGAGGAGCTCAGGCGGTGATGTGAGCCATGGGGATCTACTGTAAATACAGATAAAGCTTTGCTCCCCACCTGCCCCTCACTTCCTGCTGTGCAGCCCAGTTCCTAAGAGGTCACTGACAACTACAAATCTGGGGATTGGGACTTCTGCTCGAATTCAATTGAATTCCAACACTATCTAACTGGAAATAGCATCAGGTGACACAAGTGAAGGGCTCAGTCTCACAAGACACTTCTGATATTGCAGGGTGAAGCCCCAGGTTGTTTTATCTGTGCTTTTGACCAACCAGTTATAAATGGGGGTTCCCACCACCTGCATCTTGGGTTCAATTAATTTGCTAGAGTGGCTCTCAGTACTCAGGGAAACATTTACATTTATCAGTTTGTGATAAAGAATATTACAAAGGACACAAGTAAAGAGTACATAGGGCAAGACCTGTGGGAAGGGGCTTGGAGCTTCCATGCCCTCTGGTGCACTACCCTCCAAGAACCTCTCTGTGTTCGGCTCTCTGGAGGATCTCCAAACCCTGTCCTTTTGGGTTTTTATGGGAGCTTTATTACTTAGGAATGATTAATTAAATCATTGGCTATTGGTGATCAATTCAACCTTCAGCCCCTCTCCACTTCCCAGAGGGAGTTTGGAGGGTGGAGCTGAAAGCCCCAATCCTCTGACCTTGCCATGATCTTTCTTGTGCCCAGCCCCTGTTATGAAGCTACCTAAGAGCTGCCAGCCATCAGTTACCTCATTAGCACACCAAAAGACATCACTTTGGAGATTCTAAGGATTTTAGGAGTTGTATGCCAGGAAAAAGGATGAAGACTGTATAAAGGACCCTTGACATAACTAACTCCATCTTAGAAAAAGACTCCATTTTATATTTCATAGGGCATTTGGCCAACAAGATAAAATGTTCTAAGAAACAAATTAAAAATGATAAAGACTGCAGCCGACCAAATAAGGCCACAGACAAGCACACTCTTCCAACTTTCAGTTCTTATCACAGGACTCCATGACTAAAAGAGAAGGCCTTCAGCAGCTTGAAATGGCTATCTTAGCTGACACTGTCTTGCAGTCACTCATGATGATAATTTGGCATCTGCCACTGAAGGCTCTGCCACCTCAGACTCTTCTTTGCAAGACCAACGGGTAGCCAGGCCCAGACCAGGACTCCTTTGGTCTTCTTAGATCCTCATCAACAGGCTTATTAACCCTTTCTCCTGTCTCTTTTCCCTCTTGATGTTAAATAGTACTTAGTTTGTTGTGGAACGTTTAACCTATAACATTTATGTAAATGTTATAGGTAGAGAGGATTGCCATATTTGGGAGAGAGGGTCTCTCTCTCTCTCTCCCACTGGACGTGAACAAGGGCTCATTTTGTCCTAAGGTCTTGCTGGCAGCTATCCTTAAGACTTTATAACATTTAGGAGCTATACAGCTTCTCTTTCTGCTGTATTCTAATCACCAGAAGTTATAAGCCCACCCAGATTCAAGGGTAGAGGATGTAGGCCTCATTTCTTGATGGAGAGAGTGTCAAAGAATTTGCAGCCGTGTTTTAGTGCTGCCACAACTAGCTACTCTAATACACTTTAAAGATTTCTTGATTCTTCGGTGGTGTGATTAGAGTAAAATCCTGAAAAATAGAAAGGCCTGGGGGAAGGGGAGACTGTAAGATCTAGGGAAGGGAAAATTTTTTATCCTATTCTAAGAACAATCACAGGAAGAAGGGAGGTAGTTGGTACTAACTAGAAAGAAGCAAGTCAGACAGACATTATCCATTCATCCCCTCCCAGGTCCAAGAGTTTGCTTACGATTATAAACAGCAAGAAGACTGTATTTCGTGATGCTCTCTTAGCTCAGGGCTACAGAGCAATGCTGTTGTATGTAGGAAAGAATGATTTCTTGAACTTGAATCCACAGTAGGTTCTGAGTTTTTTCCAACTCAACAATTGCTATGCTCAGTTAACTCAACAAATAGAATATGATGTACTAGCCTGATATCCATCCCTCTCCCTCCCTTCTAATATAACCTTGATTCTATTCAGGAATCACCCTCATATGCAGAGGTGGATCTTGACTGATCTAAGCCACTCAGGGTGTAGCATTCCCCTGGCTTTTATTGGTTAAGTGGGAGAAGACGGAACTTTGTCCTAAATAGGGCCAATCTGGTAGAGGGGAGTGCCATGTTTGGGAGAGATGATCTCTCTCTCCCACTGTACATGAACAAGGGCTCATTTTGTCCTAGGTTCTGCTGGCAAAACCTAAGATTTTGAAGGCAGCCAGTCTGAGGTCAATGCCAAAAAATCAAGGAGGACAGAGTGGAGGGATAGAATATGGTCTTGGTGACATCACTGAGCTTCTAACGCAACCAACCCAGATTTCTTACAATTTCAAGTAAATTTCCCTGCTGTTTAAGCCAATTTAAGTCAGGGCTTGTTACCTTCATCCAAAGGCATCCTAGTGAATACCTTGGTATTTACTGAGTACCTACTAAAAGGATAAGAAACTCTTTTTCTGGAAGGAGCTAATAATGAACAGGGGAGGAAACTTGACATTTAATGAAGAAGAAAGAAATGCTGACATGGAGACCAGGAGCTCTAGACCTAGCTATGTCACCCAGGGTGACCACCAATTAAATTGTCTAGATCTCAGTCTCTACAATCATGAAATGAGAAAGTGGAGTGTGGACTGTATGTTTGCTAAGATCTCCTCTGGCTAAATTACTGTGTTTTAATGTCAACTAGAGGAAATATGACGCCCCCACTTTTTTTTTTTGGTAAGCATCAGTGGTCCACAAAGAATTTAACAATTGGTACCAACAGAGAGGCAAAAAATACCTTTTTTTTTTTTTTTTAGACAAAGCCTCACTCTGTCGCCAAGGCTGGAGTGCAGTGGCATGATCTCGGCTCACTGCAATCTCTGCCTCCCGGGTACAAGCGATTCTCCTGTCTCAGCCTCCCAAGTAGCTGGGATTACAGGCATATGCCCCCATGCCCAGCTAATTTTTGTATTTTTAGTAGACACGGGTTTTCACCATGTTGGCCAGGCTGGTCTCGAACTCCTGACCTCAGGTGATCCACCCATCTCGGCCTCCCAAAGTGCTGGGATTACAGGTGTGAGCCACTGGGCCTGGCCAAGAAGGAATATAATTGCCTTTTAAGAAAATATTCTGCTTGCTTTCTTTTTTAGAGATGAGGTCTCACTGTGTCAGCCAGGCTGGGTTAAAAAACTCCTGGACTCAAGCAGTCCTTCTGCCTCAGCCTCCTGAGTAGCCAGCACTACTGCCTGGCTTCTACTTGCTTATTTTAATATTAATAACAAAATATAGTTAGCTCTGAGCTTTAAATACAATAGATATCAAAATTATTTAATAAAAAATATTCATGGTCCCAGCATGGTGGCTCATACCTGTAATCCCAGCACATTGGGAGGCTGAGGCAGGAGCATTGCTTGAGGCCAGGAGTTCAACACCAGTCTGGGCAACCTGGCAAAACCCCATCTCTTAAAAAAATTCAAAATAAGCCAGGCCTGGGGCTACATGCCTGTGGTCCCAGCTACTTGGGAGGCTGAGGCGGGAGGATCACTTGAGCCTGGGAAGTGGAGGTTGCAGTGAACTGTGATCGTGCAACTGCACTCCAGCCTGGGCAACAGAGCGATACCCCGTCTCAAAACAAAACAAAACAAAATATTCACCATTATGTGTCTAGTAAAGTGAAGAAAAGAAATAGGAAAGGAAACTGTCAATATAAAAGAAAAGGGAGGAGAACAGGCAGAGTTAGAGACATAAAGACACAAAATGGGATGGGACTTAGAGGAAAACCAGTGAGAGAAAACTCAGAAAGACACAGTTACTGGGACAGTAAAAAACAAAACAAAACAAAACCCCACAAAAAACTGAGAGAGACACCCAGGTTTACAAATATGGTGTCTTAAAAATAGATGGAAAATGCATGAAGAGCAAGGCATCTACTGAGAGATCTGGAAACAGACACACCTCGAGATACATCATACAAAGGCAGTCATGGGACAAGGAGAGAACACTTTCACAAAACCAGGAAGAGATAGACAGACAACAAGGGAAAAAAAGCACATGGGATTGAAGCAGATTTTGTGGGATGACCTTAAGCTGCACCTGTTGGCGTTGGCTGTGGTTATTAAAATAATATGACCTGCTGACATACAAGAACTTTCCAAAATTTTATGCTATAGCCAAGAGTGAGTTTTAAATGCCCTGCCTTGTGCTATCTCACATCAGAACATGCTTAGATGCCTCCCAGACTTGCAAGTTTTTAAAGTTTCAAAAAGAGAGTGATGGCGATGTGTTATGGGAAGGATACTGGTCAAGGAGGAAGGAAATCTCAGTTTTGGTTTCAGTCTAACAGGGGTCAGTTGTCAAGCCACTTCTCTTCCCTAAACTTGTTTCCTCATAGCAAAGTGAGGTAATTGGGCTAGATTATATCTAACTCTTTCCATCTTAAATATTCTCTAATTCTGAATGTTGCCTTCCAGTGGTAGTTTCTAGATATTGCAGAATGTAGTAGCCTTTGTCTTCTAAAAATCCTAATGAAGGCAGCTTTTGGGAGCCAAAAGGATTTTCTAGCAGAGCTAGCAAATTATACTTCTAAGAGTTAAAAGTTAATTATAAAAACTAAATTCATGCTTCTGCTCATGTGCAAAATCTTCAGAATCTACCAGAACAATACAAGGTAACACCAAAAAGAAAACTTAGTTTTTGAAAAAGTTTTTGAAAAAGAAGTGGAAATACTGTTTTGTGTTGTTCTGTTTTTAATCCGTGCCATCCCACTGGAGAAGAGAGAAAGGTTGGCAACATCATTGGGAGTATGAGCAGAGCTCAGAACCATCCCTAGAGACTCAGTCCTTGTCCCTTTCACCAATATTTTGTTATTGTGGCTTTAAGCACTTTTTGGTTTGAAAATACACGCGTGATCTATATATGTTCTTGTTGCAAATAAGTGAAACAATTCGGACGTAAATAAAATAAAAGTAACAGTGAGATTTAATGACTCCCTCCCCCAATTTCACTCCCTTCCTCAGAGGTAACCCCTTAGAAGCTTGTAGTATATCTTTCCAGAACTTTCCCCATACACTTATATTCATATAAGCACACATCCACCTTTATGTATTTATATTTTGCTCATTTCTGTAGTTATTGTTAGCATATTACATAATGCATATTCTTCTGCAACTTCCTTTTTTATAATGATTCCACATATACATAAACACCATGTTGTTTCACCATGTTGGCCAGCTGGTCTCGAACAACTGCAAACTCCACTCAACATCTTTCACATTTCACATTAAATGGGAGGAGAAATGCTTAAAAAATGTATTTGAGGGTGTGTGGAAAGGAAGAAATGGTATTACTTTGACTTTCTTTTTTTTTTAAAAGATTTGGGTCATTTTGGCCACCAAAACAGGAACTTTATCCTGTATGGGCAGTTGCCTACTGCACAGCCATTTCTTCCCTTCTTCTTTGCTAACGGAACTTGATTTCGTTTAGCAATGTTGTGGTCATGAGCTGTAGAGAAGCCTAGACCTTTTCCAGCCTCAGTGTGTGAACTTTCGGTTAGTCTAAACCAGTGGTTCTCAAATTTGAGCTACATCAGAGCCATTTGGAGGGCTTGTTAAAAACACAACTTGGTGAGCTCTACTCTACCCTCCGAGTTTCTGATTCTGGTGGGGCTTGAGAATGTGCATTTCTAATAAGTTTCCAGGTAATGCTGATCTTGGTACAAGGACCACACTTTGAGAACTGCTGCTCTAAGCCAATTATGGTGTTCTATTGTCTTGCCATGCTTAGGACTAAGCATATGATACAGTTCTGGACAATTAATCCTCAGGGATAATCTGCTAGAGGGATTCTGGGACTCAGGAAGTAACGAGTTCTTTCTCAGTCTTTGGACATGGTGATGCTTAAAGATGTGATGCTGGGAGCTACTACGGCAGCCAACTTGCTTCCAGAGAAGACTGGCTGACATGCTGAGAGTAGCAAAGCAAAGAGAGGGAAGAATCTGGGTTACTGATGACATTATTGTAGATTAAACAGCTCTGGAGCTGCCCTAACTTCAAGAAACTTAATATGTGAGATAGTAAAACATTTATTATTATTTAAGCCATTTGAGCAGAATTTTCTGTACTTGCTTCAGAAAGCCACCTAACTGATTCATTCATACCCTTCTCTCTCAGTGCTCAGAGAGACTCCAGCTGATGTAGCAGCAGAGCAATTTACTTTAAGCATGATTTTGGATATTTTAGGTTGTTTCTAATTTTCATTATCATTCAGTAGCTCTGCAAAGAGTAACAATGCTTTTGTATATTTTGGGATATTTCCAAAGGTCATTTTCCCAGAAGCAAAATTACAATGTCATAAGTATATGAATTTCCAAGGTTTTGATAGTTTTTCCAAATCTCTTTCCAAAACAATTGTTTTAATTTCTACCCTATTCAGAAATATATGCAAGTTCATTTAATCACGTCCTTTTTTCTTAATTGTGGGCAATTTCATAGCTGAGAAATGGGGTCTCATAATTTTTATTTGCATTTATTTGATTACTAGTGTGGAGTCAACATTTACCATGTGTCTGTCAACCAGTTGCATTTCCTCTTTCATGTTGCTATTAGATGGAAAGCACTTAGCACCATGTCTGGCCCTCTTGGATATTTATTTTTTGTTTAACTAAATGTTTTTGGGTTTCTCTATTGATATCCCTGCCTTTGCCTATTTATCAAAACTCTATGTTCTTCTCATTAATTTCTTATGTAATAAAAATACCCCTTTGCAGGGAGACATGAATTTTTACACATTTTTTTTTCCAGTTTGCAGTTAGTAGTTTGTTTTTGGTTGGTTTTAGTTTTGTATCATTCCGAAATTTAAAAGTTTCATGAAGTTCTTTTCTTTTCTTTCTTTCTTTTTTTGTTTTTTTCTGAGACAGAGTCTCATTCTGTTGCCCAGGCTGGAGTGCAGTGGCATGATCTCCGCTCGCTGCAACCTTTGACTCACCTCCTGGGTTCAAGTGAGCACGTTAGGCTAATTTTTGTATTTTCAGTAGGGACAGGGTTTCACCGTGTTGGCCAGCTGGTCTCGAACTTCTGACCTCATGTGATCCACCTGCCTCGGCCTCCCAAAGTGCTAGGATTACAGGCATGAGCCATCACGCCTGGTCTCTTTTCTTTCCTTCTTTTTTTTTTTTTCCTCTATTTTTTCCTAAGCTTAGAAATCTTTCTTCCTTCAGAGAATTTACTCAAGATTCAATTCTATTATCCTCTTGTGTATCCATAGCTTGATTCATGTGTTTCACTCTATGATCCTTATGAAACAGATTTGCTTGTATTCTGAGAGGAGCTGTCTGCTTAACAACTTGCCTGGCTCGAGGGGCTTACTAATGCCTTTTAGCTCCCTGCTTTTTGACTCTCTTTACAACTCTCCTTAGAACCCAACAAAAAGAGATATAAAATAAGTGACATAAAAATGTGAAGTGCTTAAACCATTTATTTTACATTGCTGACTTTTTTCCATGTATCTTTCCTTTCTGATTAGTACTTAAAATCAAGGCAGAAGCACCTTAAAGATAGAAATGGCTAAATATTCTTGAACCTTTCAATCGTAGGATGCCAGAACAGGCCTCTAGCGTAGAAAATGTCTATACTGAGATCAAAGAGTCTCCCCTAGAGCAGAGTTTGTTGTATTCTGAGTATGAGGAGAGTAGGACAGTGTGATGAAGCTGCAGTGGAGTAAATGGTTTTTGGTATCACAGTGCTTTACAGAACACATTAAGGAGTTTGGGTTTTGTCGTGAGGGTGTGGGGAGCCACTGAATTATTTGAAGCAGGAAAGTGACATAATATAATTTGTACTTTAACAAAATTACTCTGGTTGCTGCTTGTAAATAGGCTGGAGGAGTAAGACTGGGAGCAGAAAGATGAGTTGGTCTCTTGCGGTAGTCATGGTGGCAGATGAAGATAGCCTCAGGCTAAGGTAATGGTGGTGGGGTTGAGATATTTAGCAAGAAGAACCGGCACAATTGGATGTGGGTTATGAAAGAGAATGTGGGAATCACAATGATATCCAGATTCCTGCTTTAGGAGGTGCCATTCCCTGAGGTGGGGAATATGATGGAAAGAAGCTTAGCTGGAAGGGGTTGGGGAGAGATGGTAAGTTCAGGTTTGGATATTCTGCGTTTGAGGTGCCTGTGGACATAGCAGGAGAGTGGTCAATATCAGCTGGGTAACTGGAAGGAGAAATCTGGGCTAGAGCTAGAGACACAGACTGGAGCTGAATTGTGCTTTTAGAAAATTAACTGGAAGCCAAAGAGATGACTCCTTATTTGCTGATACCTTGCAGCAGGTCTATTTCCAGTGACAAGGAGGCAAGTTTGAATTGGTTAGAGCCTCATTCACAGTTCTTCAAATGTTCTTGTCAAGTATTTACTTGCTACTAAGGAGGATGGCTTCAACCTTCCCCAGGACCATTTTCCAGCATCCTTCAGCATGTTTGGCTTAGGACCAAGTTCCCACCCTCCTGAATTTTACCCTTGCTGGAGACACATGCACTTGATACAGTTAAAGGGCAAAACAGGCCTGATGGGGAGGTTCCAACGCATTTGCGTTGCAGACCGTAGGTGTTAGAATCTAACTCCTAGTTTTCTACTACAACTTCAAATGCCACCCTCCTCACTAAGGGTCTAAAGCCAGAGTGCGGATGAATGAATCAAGCCTTTCTTTCTGAGTACCACTGTCTGAAGTCATGCTGAGGTCAAGAGACATTCAATCAGAAGAGCAGACCAAGTGGCTTAAGGTAAGTGCAGCCCCGGGTTCTCTTTGCTCTGGACTCTTTTTTTTTTTTTTTTTTTTGAGATTGAGTCTCGCTCTTGTCACCCAGGCTGGAGTGCAGTAGTGTGATTTCGGCTCACTGCAACCCCCGCCTGCCGGGTTCAAGCAATTCTCCTGCCTCAGCCTCCTGAGTAGCTGGGACTACAGGCACCCACCAGCATGCCCGTCTAATTTTTGTACTTTTAGTAGGGACAGGGTTTTGCCATGTTGGCCAGGCTGGTCTTGAACTCCTGACCTCAGGTGATTCCCCCCACCGCCTCGGCCTCCTAAAGTGCTAGCATTAGAGGTGTGAGCCACTGTGCCCGGCCTGCTCTGGACTCTTAATTTCACTCCCCTAGACCATTAGTTGGCTGTTTCTTGCATTAAACCACTCAGATCTCTCTTTCATTTCCTTGTAAACTGGATTCCTTCGTCCTGCAGAAGAGATGTATATTGTCCACTTTTGTTTCAACAGAGGGCAGTAGAGAACAGCAAACAGTTTACATTTCTAAGCCCAGAAGAAATAAAACAAATCCATTTACAACATTCTCCTCAGGTCAAGGTACCCAAAATATGGCACACTGTGCTTCGTGTGTTCATAAATGGGGCATGTCCTTGTGAAAGTAGGGCAGATCCCGGAGAGTCAGCGACTCGTAGACGACCCTTCGTCTTGTGAACAACAGTTTAGCTATGTGTAACTCATGGAAGGCTTTATGGAGAAGGAGTTTGATCTTGAAGGATAAGTATGAGTTGGGAAGATAGCTTTGTTCACAGAAAGCAGCATGGGCTCAAACATGGCAATAGCATGGCAAGCTTGGGGAAGTTAAGAATAGGATTGGGCAGAATCTGACAAGACCGCAATATACCTCAAGACTCTAGGTGCTGGAATCTTCAGTATGGCACATAGCATCCTGTGCCGTGGGGCAGCTGTGATATTACATACACTCTCAGATGCTATGTGCCATCCCGAAGTGTTTGAATGTCACTTTGAAGGGTTTAATATCATCCTGAAAGCAATGTAAAATCATTGAAGAATTTTGAGTAGGGTGGTGATCTAACCTATTAGGCAATTTGAGATTTTCTTGTTTGTTTTTAATTGAGGTATATCATGGTCTTGTTAATCTTTTAAACTTTAGCCACCCAGGTGGGTATACAGTGATATTGTGTTTTTAATGTGCGTTTCCCTGATAAGTAGTGACTTATTATCTTTTTATGTGCTTATTTGGTCATTTGGATATCCTTTTTTATGATGTTTCTGTTTAAGGCTTTTGCACACTTACGAATTAGCTTATCTTCTCATTGATTTTTAATAGTTTTTTATGTATTTTAGATATGTCTTTTGTCAAATATACCTATTACAAATATTCCTCCTACTCTGTGGCTTTCCTACTAACTTTTCAAATGATGTCTTAATTTTTTCTTTCTTTTTTTTGAGGCAGAGTTTTGCTCTGTCGCCCAGGCTGGAGTACAGTGGCGCAAGCTTGGCTCATTGTAACCTCTATGTTCCAGGTTCAAGTGATTCTCATGCCTCAGCCTCCAGAGTAGATGGGACTACAGGCACACACCAGCATGCCTGACTAATTTTTTAATTTTTATTTAATAGAGATGGAATTTCATCATGTTTGTCAGGCTGGAACTTTTTTTAATATTATATTTCAATAATGATTATACCAAAAATATATTTTGTATTATTTGAGAAAATCTGTAATGTATATTTGGGAGATTAATGAATACAGTTATGAAGGTCACTGAAGCATGACTCTTCTAAAACAAGTTAATAATGCATTCTACAGAAAACCTTTTAGACATTACAACCTCTAACCTAAAAAATGGAACTCTAAATACCTTTTCACCATCTCAGTAGTAATTTCTGACACATCACTTTCAGAAGGCTCATAAGCCAACTCAGATACAACCGTAATATTAATGAGGAAAGCAGTTAGTGTCAAAGGAAGAGGATTGAAAGTAGAAGTGTTATGAAACTCCTCTTTTACTTTTTTGCATGCTATCAAAATCACTGCCAATAATATGAATGTCAGGTCAATTTCCATAGGTAAATCCGTTACCTTTTACCTCTTTAAAAGAAAAGTTTTGCAGAAGAGGGCTGAAAATTTCTTGAGCCATTTCAGCACAAAGAATGGAAGTTCATTTCTCACCATGATACAACTCTACCCTGCTGTCATCTTCATTGTGATGGTGGCAGAAGTTTAGCAGGGTGCAAGTGACCACTAAATGACATCTTTTCATGAACAATTGATAAATCTTTTTGAAAACCCTATGAAAGATGAATTGGAACGGAGCAAGACTGAGGCAGGATGACTAGTTAAAGGCTTGTTTCAGCCCTTCTGCCATTAAAGGACACGGAAGCTACCATCTAAGAAGCAGAGAGCGACCTCTCACCAAAGAGTCTGCTGGCACCTTGATCTTGCACTTCGCAGCTTCTAGAGCTATAAGAAATAAACTTGTGTTGTTTATAACTAGGAGGCCGTTGTACTATTATTATTCCTATTTTATGGTTGAGAAAACCAAGGCATGGGGAAATTAAATGACTTGCCTGAAGGTTTTCTACTGCTAGTAATTGGCAAGAGGAAAAGAAACGTGCAAGAACTTTATTGATTGGATGGGAATGGTAGATACATTAATTTGAAGGATTTTGTCTTAGTAGATCTTAGAGAAAGAAGAGTACATTTGGGAGAAATAAGTGAATTTTGTTTTAGAAAAAAAAATATGCGTATGTGTGTTTTATTTTTTAGACAGAGTCTCACTCTGTTGCCCAAGCTGGAGTGCAGTGGCATGATCTCTGTTCACTGCACCCTCCATCTCTCAGGTTCAAGTGATTCTCCTGCTTCAGCCTCCTGAGTTGCTGGGACTACACGCCACCATGCCTGGCTAATTTTTGTATTTTTAGTAGAGATGGGGTTTTGCCAAGTTGGCCAGGCTGGTCTCAAACTCCTGACATCCTTGGCCTCCCATAGTTCTGGGATTACAGGCATGAGCCACTGTGCCCTGCCAAAAAAAAGTTTTGAAGTGGAAATGCCTAGTAGGTAGCTATCATTATATTATATATATTATATATGATAAATATATTAATGTATCTTTCTAGAGTTAAGTAGAAAAGTGTTGGCCGGAGATAAAGACTGAGGAGTCATCAGCATATAGGGAGTGAAGCAAGGCTCTCATTCTCAGCATTATTGACACAGGGGGCCAGATAATTCTTTGTTGTGGGGGGCTATGCTCTCCACTGGAGGACATTTAGCAGCTTTCTTGGCCTCCACTCAATAGATGCCAGGGGAAGCCCTCTCCAGTTGTAATAGCCAAAAGTGTCTCCAAACATTGGCAAATGTCCCCTGGGAGCGGGGGGCAAAACCAACTCTGTTGAGAACCACTGGTGTAGAGGAAGCCAAGAATGTAGATAAAATCATTTAGAAGTAGTAAGACATATGCAGGATCACGTTTCTTAGCCCTTTAAAGTTCATTTTCAACCTCTTTGAACATAAACATACTTTGTTTAATTTTATCTTAATTTTCATATCTAGTTTGTCAAGTTTACAAGTATTAAATTGTATTATAATGCTAAAAAGGCTTTTAAAATTACACCTCTACCTCTCCTTCCCCCTCCAGTTCTGATGCACCCTTTGAGGGGGTCTCTTCTCACTTAGAAAATTATTGATAGAGAATTATGTAGAGGACAGAAAGCTGAACAAACACCAATATTTAATGGACAGGTGAAGACAGAGGAGTGTTCAGGGAGAGTAAGGGGAGTCATCAGAGGGACACCAGGAGGGGAACCCTGGTAAGTCGTGATGAAACAGATGGTGAATGACTTCAGAGTATTTTGGCCCTGCAAACTGCAAGGGTACATCGTAAAAGACTGCATAGTGCCCCTGGGGTTCATAAATCACTTCTTAGAGAAGTGAGAGAATTCTGAGTTCTCCCTGGGCTTAGAGTAAAAAAGGCATTTCCAGTGATAGGGCCCAATGCAACATTTAGGACAACTCGGGGAAGAAAACTTTGAGATTCAGAAAGAAAAATGACTTCTTCTGCCAAGGGAGAGATAAGGAAAACTGCAGATGAGGAGATGGCCTGAGGTTTTGGTCTTGAAGGGAAGATCAGAAAACAAGGTCTGGGTTCCCGTTTATTTTGGAAGCAAAGTATTATCGTGCATTAGAAACTAGGCTCTGTACTCTTCTTTTGCTTATCTTCATATCTTAGAAAACTTTTCTTTTAAAATCTTCCAGCCAGTTTAGTTGGCCAAGAGAAAGATTTAGATATTTTGACATTTCCGCCAATATAACTTCTGATTATCTCCTTTGTGGCTGGCTAGAGTGGTGGCACTGGCATCCTAGCTCTCCAATCAAAATTTTTAAAATAAAGATCTGGCCGGGCGCAGTGGCTCACACCTGTAATCCTGGCACTTTGGGAGGCCGAGGGGGGTGGATCACCTGAGGTCGGGAGTTGAGACCAGTCTGACAACATGGAGAAACCCCATCTCTACTAAAAACACAAAATTAGCCAGTCGTGATGGCGCATGCCTGTAATCCCAGCTAATTGGGAGGGTGAGGCAGGAGAATTGCTTGAACCCAGGAGGCAGAGGTTGTGGTGAGCTGAGATTGTGCCATTGCACTCCAGCCTGGGCAACAAGAGCGAAACTCCATCTCAAAAACTGAAATAAAATAAAATAAAATAAAATAAAATAAAATAAAGATCTATGGGCATTTTAATAATGCTCTATCTGTGATTTTCAGCAGTTTAAATATGATATGTTTAGGAGTGTGTGTGTGTGTGTGTGTGTGTGTGTGTGTGTGTGTGTGTGTATTTTAGTCTGCCTATGCTTCTTTGTCCTTCTTGGATCTGTGGTTTAATAACTTCCATTATTTTTGAAAAATTGTTGGCCATTTTCTCTTTAAATGTTTCTTCTCTCCCATTCTTTCTCTATTCTCTGGGATTTCAATTACATATATGTTAGGCCAGTTTACATTGTCCCACAGTTCTTGGGTGTTCTGTTCTATTTTCTTTTTTTTTACTCCTTGAATTTAAGTTTGGGTAATTTCTATGAACCCATTTTCAAAGTACTGATTTTTTTTTTTCTCAGCTGTATGGCATCTACTGATGACCCTGTCAAATACATTCCTCTTCTCTTTTACTCTGTTTCAAAATTTGCTAACATTTCCATTTGACTCTTCATATAGTTTCTATCTTTCTGCTGAAATTCCCCATCTGTTTATGTATGTTGTCTACCTTTTCCACTAGAGCCTTTAACATGTTAAGTATGGTTGTAATTAATGGTTTGATTTTAAAATTCCCTATTTGATAGTACCAACATCTGAATCATCTTTTAGCAGTTTCTATTGCTTGCATTGTCTGTTGACAGGATTTTTAAACCTTGCTTTTCTGTGTTGGCTCATTGTTTTTATTGAATTCTGGACATTATATGTAGGACAGTAGGGACTGAGGTAAATTGCATTTATGATTGGAAATGAGCACCCCTCTTATTCTGGTAAGCTCTTAGTGTGGGCCAATCTAGTCAAGAGTTGAGCTGGGTTCGGGTTTTATTATTGCCATAGTTACCTTCAAATTCTTCTAGTGTTATCTTGTGCTTGGGTGGAGGCAGCATTTCAGTAGACCAAGAGACACCGGTATTCCCGGATGGTATTTTCTCAATTTTCCTGCACTACCCCAACTTTAGGACTTTCTAAAGTATGTGCCTGCACCTCAGAGATTCTCTCTTCAGTGGCAGAGTACTTTTGCTTCTTATTCAGTACTTGCTAGGCTGGGAGGTAGGGCAGAGGTTTATCTGTTGTGAAATTGCCTTTGCAGAATATATATATAAATAAGGAGAGAAATCTGGCTGGGCGTGGTGGCTCATGTTTGTAATCCCAGCACTTTGGGAAGCTGAGGCAGGTGGATCACCTGAGGTCAGAAGTTCGAGACCAGCCTGGCCAAGATGGTGAAATCCAGTGTCTACTAAAAATACAAAATTAGCTGGGCATGGTGGCAGGCACCTGTAATCCCAGTTACTTGGGAGGCTGAGGCAGGTGGAGAATTGCTTGAACCAGGGAGGCAGAGTTTGCAGTGAGCCAAGATCCCACCACTGCACTCCAGCCTGGGTGACAGAGCAAGACTCCATCTCAATAAATAAATAAATAAATAAATAAAAATAAAAAATAAACGAATAAAGAGAGAAATCTAACATGACTGACTCCATCCTGCTTCTAACCCACAGGCGAGTTTTTTTTTTCTTATTCTAGCATGGAGGTCAAAATAGCTATGAGTGACGTTTATAGTTAAACTTTGAGTCAAGGGAAACTGATCTCCCTCCTTGTTCAAGATTGAAACTGCATTCATAAGACAAGGTTAAAATACGGTAGGGACTTTAACTTTGCTGAAGAATAGACTCAGTTAAACAATGACCTGCCATTGCTTAGTGTGTCTTCCTCACTTCCTTGCTTTCCATGTGTCCTTACAGTAGCATGTTGCTTACTGCACCAGAGTCACGTAACCGGGGATTGCAAAATTTATAACTTCCCCAACTACTCCTATAGATAACATCACTATTGTGAACCCTGAAGAACGAGTCTTCGAGGTATTTTTCAGATTCAACATTTCAGTAGACCAAGAGACGCCACTAGGTCCTGAGATCCACCCACTCCTGGGAACTGACTTGGCTGCGTGAAGACAGCTTTAGACACCCCTGTAATTTCATCCCCAGCCAATCGATTGTTCCAGTTTCCAAGCCTCCTGCCCACCAAAGTACCCATGAAAAACCTTAGTCTCTGAATTGTCAGGGAGATGTGTTTGAGAAATTGCTGCTTGCTCTCTTCACATGGCTGGCCCTGTGATTATTAAACTCTTTCTTTGCTGCAATAGCCGCTGTTCTTATTGATTTTTTCAGGGCAGTGGCTAAGAAGAACGTGTGGGGCTGTGACAGCTGTTCTAGTCCCGCCTCAGTTTTAGTCGGGCCTTCTGTCCCTGGATCTTGAGGACAGGGCTTTTTCAGTGATCCTAGATCTCACCCAATGGTAGAAGACCTGTAATCATCTAGGCTCGGGATGGTTTCCAGCCCCTTCCCCAAGGGTAGAGAGATGTTTGTTTTTTGTTGTTGTTGTTGTTGTTTTTTCCTGTTCCTTTCCTCCAGGTGTAATGGGCTCTTTTCCTGTGCCCTGGGCCCTTCTTCCAGTGATTTAAGACATTTGTTCCTTAGAAAAAAGGATTCAGGTGGGCTTCATGCCTTTCCCAGAATGATGGCTGCTCCATTACCTAGGTATGTATTCCCTGGCCACAAGCTTTTCATGAGCTCTGGTGGAGGCCCATGAAGATGCTTCAAATGCGTAGGAATGGCCCTTGTATCATGAGCTCTCAGTTCTTGGCCACATCTGGCTTTCAGCGATTTATTAAAAATTTTAGCTGAATTCTTCTAACCCATTTGAATGGTAGCCCTGCCTTCCTTCCACGCTGTCTTACAGGTGAGCCTGTGCTCATATCCTAGCCCTCTTTAGAAACACCTGTCTTTTCTTAGATTTCAGGGTATTTGGTTGCCTCACTACCTCAGCACTCTGATGGGTTCAAGAAAAGTTATCACTTTGTGTATTATCTGTTTTTTTTCAGGTGTTTCTAATTAATACAGGTTTTTTTGGGGGGTGTTTCTAATGAAAACATTTTAATGAGGCTGGTTTTCACAGCTGTTTTTATACCACAAATCAAAATGGCCAAGTCCAAAATGAAAAATCACCAGAATGGCAGGGCATAATGAATTTAAGCACAGAAATTAGATGAAGTTATCTGTTTCTCACATGACTTGATAATCTAAAAAGCAGAAAGTAAAATGGTATGTTTTAAAAGTTATCATCAAAAGTGTCCTTGAGGTCGGCACTGACTGTGTCCTGATGGCCATGCAGGCAGGAGTTGTGCTATGTAGGTAGGCTCTGCTATTTGCTCTTCACACCTCTGGTTAGTTTACAATCTCTCCTTGTTCTAAGTTTTCACCAAAGCCTGATACTGGCTTTTGTTTCCCTTGAGGCTATGTTGTTTCTCATATAAACATGATTTCCATTTTATGACTGTCCTAACCCTTCATGGTGCAAGCCTGTTTCTCTGAGCTACTATATTCTTCATATATTTATGTTATTACTTCTTACTATTCAGAAGTACCTTAATATTCAGAACTACCCTTCAAATTGGAGGGCTCTTTTCTGACCATATTCTCAGCTGTTGGACAGGGGACAGGGACCGATCATGCTGGGTGGTTGGAAAAGCCTATGGGAGGCCAAGTAGGGGAGACCTACTGCCAGGACTATCACTCCAAGCTCGATTCTTGGGCCTTCCACCTTCACATTCTAGAGGAAAGCATATTGCCACTCATCCAAGTTGTGTGCTGTGATTGCTAGTGAAATCTGATCAGCTCCGGGGGCTCTCAGCTCTTGGCTGTCAATGCAGGGTGATAGTGGGCTACAGGGGGAGGAGGTAAAGAAGAGAGATTATGCAGATATGTCTGAAATCACAATCTTTCTGATTAGATATTTTGGCTCTATAATCAATTGTTTCTTCTAACACTCACACTTTTCCTCAATTTTTATTTATTTATTTATTTATTTATTTTGAGACTGAGTCGCTTACTCTGTCACCCAGGCAGGAGTGCAATGGCGTGATCTCGGCTCACTACAACCTCCACCTCCCGGGTTCAAGCAATTCTCCTGTCTCAGCCTTCCAAATAGTTGGGATTACAGGCACGTGCCACAACCCCTGGCTAATTTTTTGTATTTTTAGTAGAGATGGGGTTTCACCATGTTGGCCAGGCTGGTCTCAAACTCCTGAGCTGAGGTGATCCACCTGCCTCGGCCTCCCAAAGTGCTGGGATTACAGGCATCAGGCGTCGTGCCCAGCCTCAATTTTTAATTCTACGACTTTCTGCTCTAATTCAGGTGAAGCACAGGATAGGTTTGTATTGTTTTTATATCTGTCTCCTGCATGTATCCTATCTTTCCCATTGTAATGAGGGTTCCTCAGGACAGAGACCACTGTTCTTCTCATTTCTTCATTTCTTCCTCCCATCCATCCCCACCCCATCTTTCTTACCTAGCAGAGTCAACATTGGGTTAGAGCACTGCATATGGGTTGAGTAAATCAGTCACTAGTTGATCCCCATGAGTTATTGCTTTCCTGCTCAGAATTTGTTGCTATTGCCACTCTCAGTATCATTTCCCTCCAGTGATTCCTGAAGACCTCATTTTACTTCTGTAATTCTGCCAGGGACCAAGTTAACTGCAGCCTGCTCTTCTGCTCCAGTCACAGTAAACTCTTCTCCTAGGGTCTCTACTGAGACTGGAGGCCACAGGAAAGAACAGATGCTGAGCAGGAACCTCCACTGTCCTCTCGTACAAAATACTTTTCCCAGTTTCTAGAACGATAAACCGCGACCCGATTGAAGGGCTTTTCCATAAGACTACTCAACCAGCAGCAATACTTACCTTCATATTTGCAACTTTACTGAAATACCTTGGTCAGAGGAGATCTCCTTTTAATTTTTATTGTGTATTTATTTAGTAGAGGCAGAGATCTCCTTTATTTACATTCCAATCACTTTTAGGATCTGTCCTGCCTTAACAATCTGCCAATAAATGCACAAAGAGAAATGGATGATGGGAACTTGATGGTGGCAAGATTTGTTTCTTTTTTCTTTTTTCTTTTTTCTTTTTTGACAGAGTCTTGCTTTGCTGCCCAGGCTGGAGTGCAGTGGCATGATCTTGGCTCACTGCAACCTCCACCTCCTGGGTTCAAGCAATTCTCCTGCCTCAGCCTCCCAAGTAGCTGCGATTACAGGTGTGTGACACCACAGCTGGCTAATTTTTACATTTTTAGTAGAGATGGGGTTTTACTATGCTGGTCAGACTGGTCTCGAACTCCTGACTTCAAGTGATCTGGCTGCCTCAGCCTCCCAAAGTGTTGGGATTACAGGCGTGAGCCACCATGCCTGGCTGACACGATTTGTTTCAAACTGGCCCTGGACCCGGCACCCTCCCTTCTGCTTCTGACTCCTCACACATCAGTCCTTCTTCTTTGGATACCTGATTAATGGACATTTCCGGTTCTCGACCCTTCTGCTTTCTCTCCAGGGGATGGCTTACATCTTCCTTCCTGGCTAGCACCTTTTTAGGGTGGCACTTACAGTAAGCTATCTCTTTGTCCTCACCCTTCTGTGTGTTGCCCCAGAGATGAGCCTGCCCAGGGGTTACCTAAGATCTCAACTCTCTTCTGTCCCTGACAGGTTGTGGCAGACTGGGCACCCTCATACTGAAAATCATCATTGAAGAGAGAGTAGAATCTGGAGCTTCATAGAGGTGGAAAGTTGTGATAACTTTCCTTGCCCATCATGAGCGTCATAGCTGACACTCCTATAACAAAAGATGAGTTAGCAAGAGAAAAGTTTGTCAAAGTTTTATTTTATTTTATCAAAATTTTACATGATGCAGGAGCCTTCTGAAATGAAGACCCAAAGACTCAGGGAAGACTCTGTTTTTATGCTTAGGTTCAATGAGGAATGCCTAGCCCTGTAGAAATGTGACTGGATAAAGGGTAGAGTCTGATGCTAACAGACTGATGGGGAAAACTTAGCAAGGCCTGTGTGTTTAGATTCTTCTTGGCCTGTGTACCATTCCTTCCTCCTGGGTGTGGGGCAGTACTCCTCTGAAACGAGGGTCTTTAATGACTTTTCTCAGTTGCTTTGCATTTGCTTCTTTGTGAAAGATCAGTTGACTCTATTCATGTGAGCCTATTTGGGGGCTCCCTATTCTGTTCCATTAATCTATTTGTCTGTTCTTTCACCAATAATTGGATACTTTTTACAAGTTCTTCCTGGTTCTAACCACCATGTTCCTAATGATGATAAGCATTGACTAATTTCCAATTTTACCCAGTGTTGCCAGCTGGGGCACAGAAACAATACCCCAATATATGGCACTTTGGCCTGCTGAGTGCTTTGAACTAAGGGAGATTGGAAGACCTCAGAAGCAAGGTCTCTCTGACATTCTCTTGCCCTTCTGTCCTTTACCCTTCCTTCTCCCCTGAAGCAAGTCATAGAAACCAAAATCCCTCTTCCCCAAAGCAAGCCATAAAACTTAGAAATGTTACTCTCTCCCTCCTCCCTGGCTGAAGTGATCCACCCACTTTGGCCTCCCAAAGTGCTGGGATTACAGGTGTGAGCCACCACTCTTGGCCGGGTATTTGCATTTCTAATGGGTTGTTAGAGATGATGATGCTTTAACACAAAGACCTGAATTCCCTGAGGAGGTGTGGCTGATGCTTAGACCTGGCTGAGGCCTCTCCAACCAGAGCCTCCATCAGTCAATCATCCTTTTTGTTTGTTTTCCTGGTGCTTGCCTTCTCTGCCAGGCTTCCCTCTCCTTTGGGGTTGGCAGCTGACTGTAGTGCCTGGCTGTCTCAGCTTGTGGGGAAGTGGCTATAAGGAGGAAACTGTAGAGAGGATTGATAAAAACAACCACAGGGATTCACTGAGCCTGTGGTCAGGATATTAAGAGGAAGAGAAACAAAATTCAACCAAGCAGAACAAAAAGAAAGGAGTACATTCTGAATCAAGAGGCTGGAATCTGAGAGTATGTAAAATTGGAACCATTTGAGTTTATAACATTAATCTGCCTTCCCAAAGTGGGTCTATAAACACTAGTCCCAACTGGAAGCAGAGACTAGATTCTTCTAGCCTTTTAATGATAATAATGATTAAGACTAAATTTATATGGCAGGTTCTGTGTTTAGCATTATTTATGGATTTTCTCATTTAATCTTCATGTTATAAGGTGAGTACTAATGTAATCTCCATTTCACAGATGAGACAACAGAGCTTACAAAGCATGAATAGGCCAGGCACGGTGGCTCACACCTGTAATCCCAGCGCTCTGGGAGGCCGAGGTGGGCAGATCACTTGAGGTCAGGAGTTCAAGGCCAGCCTGGCCAACATGGTGAAACCCCGTTTCTACTAAAAATACAAAATTAGCTGGGCGTGGTGGCACATGCCTGTAATCCCAGCTACTCGGGAGGCAGAGGCTGGAGAATCGCTTGAACCCAGGAGGTGGAGGTTGCAGTGAGCTGAGATCGTGCCACTGCACTCCATCCTGGGTGACAGAGCAAGACTCTGTCAAAAGAAAAAAAAAAGGATAAATAAGATATCCAAGACTGCACAGCTGATAAGAGACAAGATGAGGCTCTTGATCTGGGTCTGTCTCCAAGCATCTTCATTATGGGTTCTCATGATTTTTGAGTTATTCATACTTTTCCCCTTACCAGAATACACATTTTATATAAAATCGTCCCTTTCAAAGAATTCTCCTTTCTTTTCTTCCTTAGAGAAAAGTCTTGCTCTGTTGCCCAGGCTAGAGTGCAGTGACATGATCTCAGCTCACTGCGACTTCTGCCTCCCGGGTTCAAGCGATTCTCGTGCCTCAGCCTCCCAATTAGCTGGGACTAAAGGCATGCGCCACCACGCCCAGCTAATTTTTATTTTTTATAGAGACAGGGTTTCACCATGTTGGCCAGGCTGCTCTTGAACTCCTGACTTCAAGTGATCTGCCCACCTAGGCCTCCCACAGTGCTGGGATTACAGGTGTGAGCCACTGGGCCCCGCCCAAGAATTTTCCTTTCTGACTGACATATTTCAGTTTTAATAAATAGTGTGCCCCTCTATTTTAACCATTTTGTTTTAGAAATATCTCCTTGTATTTTGTGCTTTCCCTTTCCCAGCCGTGATGGGAAAAAGAGACTCATTTCTGTTTTGATTTAGTGTCCTTGGAAATGCCCTACCTGATTCTGTGTCTATCTCCTTTAATAAGTCATCTAAAAGACATTGTCTGGTTCTTTTGTCTCAGTCAAATGTCTAGTAGTGGTATTTGGATCCTGAGACAATTCAGGGAAGTAGCATGTGCACTGTGTAGGACTTCCTGATCATTTTTAAATCGTGGCACAGAGAAAACCACACAAGTAAAGTTATAAACAAATGAGGCTGCTTACAGCCAGGGGCAACTGGCCCTACCTGGCTATTCCTAGGCCTGAGAGCCACTCATTAGTTCTGTGTGCTGGTTACTCATACAAGGCATGTAGGTGGTCCCTGCATACTGTTTGTGAAGCTCATTTAGTGTTGTAGAAAACCTAAGTCTTTAGCGTCAGGCAGACTTGGTTTCATATTCTGACTCCACCACTTATTAACCATGTAGCTTTGGACAAATCATTTTAACTTCTCTGAATCTAAGTTCTTCATGTGCAAATGAGGGTGATAATACTTATCTTCTGGGATTGTTGAAAATTAGAAATAATGTGAGTCTAGTGCCTCCTCCATAGTAATAATGTGAAAGGAAAATAAAAACTCAGGATTCCAATACACTGTGCCAAAAGAAAAAACAAATTAAACTGAAAGCTGAGTCGTGCAAGATACTGACTTTCCTTTGGATCCTAAGCAGATAGCTACAGAGAAAAGATTAAAAATCTCCGTAGATGGCCAGGTGTGTTGGCTCATGCCTGTAATCCCAGCGCTTTGTGAGGCCAAGGTGGGTGGATCACTTGAGGTCAGGAGTTCAAGACCAGGCTGTCCAACATGGCAAAACCTCAGTTCTACTAAAAATACAAAAAAAAAAAAAGAAAGAAAGAAATTAGCAGGGCGTGGTGGCAGATGCTTGTAATTCCAGCTGCTTGGGAGGAGGAAGCAGGAGAATCGCTTGAACCCGGGAGGCGGAGGTTGTAGTGAACCGAGGTCACACCTCTGCACTCCCGCCTGGGCGACAGAGTGAGACTCTGGCAAGAAAGAAAGTAAAGTAAAGTAAAAAGAAAGAGAGACTCTGGCAAGTAAGAAAGAAAGAAAAAGAAAGAGAAAGAAAGAAAGGAAGAAAGAAAGAAAGAAGGAAGGAAGGAAGAAAGGAAAGAAAGAAAGAAAGAAAGAAAGAAAGAAAGAAAGAAAGAAAGAAAGAAAGAAAGAAAGAAAGAAAGAAAGGAAGGAAGCAAGAAAGGAAGAAAGAGAGAGAAAGAAAGAAAGGAAAAACTCCACAGGTTACTCGTTTCTACCTTATCTTACATGAAGTGCCAATTTACCGAGAGCAAGACAGCACATAATTGACTATTCCCCTACCTGCTACTTTTCCCTTACAACACGTGGATTACCATACTCTTCCTCTTTCCCCTCCAGCCTGCTTTTCCTCTAAATATTGAAACCCTCAAATTCATCTTTGGAGAAAGTCACAGACCACATACTGTTTCTGTGATTCTGTGTTGTTTTCTTCCAGGCATGTCCTTAACCTTGGCAAAATAAACTTCTAAATTAATTGCCACCTGTCTCAGATACCCTTGGTTTTACAGTAAGAATTCACATGCTTACATAGTAACTATTAATTTTGGTTTCTTAGTGTGTTACCTATATATTGTATGCCTTTGTTTCTAATGATATTTATAAAGTATTGATGCCAGCTCATTGTTATCACATTGCCAGTTAAAAAAAAAACTAATTTTTAACCTAAAAATTAGATAAGAGCTGGAGATGGATCTGGGGGTAGAACGGGGGCAGTAGTAAAAGCACGCGTCAGAGTGGGTGGGGCTGTCGAAGGTTTCTGAAGACCACAGAGTGTGATAACAAGGTTTTACAGTGTCATTTCCTTAAGTATTAAAGTATTACAGCCTGCTTCCTGAGAAGGCATTTGGGAAAGAGTCCCCAGAAAGGGGCCCCAGGAGAGATTCCAGAGAAACTCGTGTTTTGGAGATGTTGAGGGTGAACAAATGGTAATGAGGATGATGACAGAACGCAAGAAAAGAGAACTAGCATTCACCGGACACCCACGATGTACCAAGCACTTTGCTAACCCTCATATTCTCTTTTACTTTCCAAAAACCTGTAGTACTGTGGTTCTCAGCCAGGGGCAATTCATCCCCTGGGGAACACTTGCTAATATCTGGGGGCATATTTGTTTTCACAACTGGGAGTGCCACTGGCATCTAACAGGTAGAGCCCAGGAGTGCTGCGGAACATCCTACAATGCTCAGGGAAGGTCCTCACAAGAATAATTTGGCCCACAATGTCCATAGTGCTCAGGCTGAGAAACCGTGCTTAAATGGTAGGCACAATAATCTTCACTTTTACAGATTGGAACCTGACACTCTGAGAAGCCACCTGGCATTCAACCCGAAACCTAACACAGCTCCAAAGCCCATGCTCTTTCACCATGCCGTTGCAGTGAGAACAGGGATGGAAATGAGGGTGGCAAAAATGACCAAGATACAAAACCAGGGCACAGATTGGTGCTCAATAGATACTTATTGGGATATTCATTAAATAGAAGAATGAATAAGAAAAAGAATGAATGAGGGCAGGGGAATAATGAGGATGAGTGTGGTCATTCTATTGCCATCCTGACATACCTCCTTGTCCTTGTTCCACAACTCAGCAGTGAGTCTGGGATTATGACAATAGAGAAAATTAAATGATGGTAGGTGGCCTGGAGTCCCCATGCTCAATTTCAAGAAGCATCCAGATTCCAGGGCCTGGGTCTCCAAATGGAAGTAGAAGTACTAGAAGATTGCTGGTGCACGCTGTCCTGCATCACCCTTTCTCAGGAGGATAGAGACTGAAACAGGAGGTTCTGAGCTGAGTTTTGGTGACCATTTCCCTCTTTCTCCCAGAGGCCCAGGCCAGCTGTGGCCTCAGAGGAAGAAGAAGGGAGTTGTTTCCCTAGTTTCTAAAATTTCTGTGAATTTGAACATGGGCTACACCAGATTTATTCTGGGAAGCTCTGAATCTTCTAGGAGGGAAAGACTGAGAGGAAAGAGGGTGGAAAGGGAGGAGCCTGTGATAAAACAGAACATTTCTTTTTCACTTCCCCTTTCAGACTCCAGAATTTGTTTGCCCTCTAGGGTAGAATCCGCCAAGCTTTGAGAGAAGGCTGTGACTGCTGTGCTCTGGGCGCCAGCTCGCTCCAGGGAGTGATGGGAATCCTGTCATTCTTACCTGTCCTTGCCACTGAGAGTGACTGGGCTGACTGCAAGTCCCCCCAGCCTTGGGGTCATATGCTTCTGTGGACAGCTGTGCTATTCCTGGGTGAGTCAGGGCCCCCAGGAGGGAGAGAGGAACGGGAACCTCAGTTGGGGATAACCCTGGGCAAGGATGAGGGGTGGCATGGGAAGACCGTCAGGACACCCAGGGGAGGGAAGGCAGGCTGGTGAAGATGAAACCCTGATGACTCTGCTGGCTTTGGAAAGTCATCCAATGTGGCAGAGTTCAGGGTTTTTTCAGTGTCTTTCACCCAATCTTACTGAACACCCAGACTCTTGATGTTCTGTTGCTTTCCACATCAGAACCCGCTCTGAGAAAAGTCTAGTAACCTATACTTGAATGATAAATGAATGGCCAGAGTGTTTGCCTTCTTTGAAATTTATGCTTCACAAAAGACCAAATCTTAGGCAGGAGGGCCAGTGCTGCCTTGGGTAAGGGGTAGGGAGGAAGTTGTAAGATGCATTTTTGGGAGGAGGTGGCAGTGGCCATTCTCTGTGCCCCTGAAACCACTTTGTGTAGCAGAAGCCTATTGTCTTCATGTGTAAGAATATTCCCCTAGGCAGAAGCACAGGGAGATCTGGGTTATCCAGGGAAAAGGGACTCTGAGAATACAAAAACCTGGGTAAGTCTGGAGTCATCTGTTGTGGGACCAGAGAAATCATGCATGCTGCTTTTGACCACACAGACCATGATGGGGAAGTACTGCATCTGATCAGCAAGAGAGACAGGGTCTTTGGCCAAAATGGAGGGCTCTTTTCTAACCATGTTCTCAGCTGTTGGATAGGGGACGACGACTGATTTTGCTGAGTGGTTTGAAAAGCCTAGGGGAGGCCAAGTAGGGGAGACTTACTGCCAGGACTATCTCTCCAAGCTCAGTTCCTGGGGCTTCCACCCTCACATTCTAGAGGAAAGCATATTGCCACTCAGCCAAGTTGTGTGATGTGATTACTAGTGAAACGTGATCAGCTCTGGGGGCCCTCGGCTCTTGGCTGTCAATGCAGGATGATACTGGGCTACAGGAGAAAGAGGTAAGGAAGACAGAGTATTCCCCCATGAATAGGATGGAATGGATTAAAGTAGAAGAGAAAGTAAAGTGAACTACCTCATTTGTCATGTGGGGAAGTTCAGGCCTAGAGAGGTGATGTGCTTCTCTACCACCTGGGCAAGACTCCTGGGAAAGATCTTTGGTATTTTTTCCCATTTGCCTTTTACTAAGTCATCAAAGATTTACCCCATTTTTTCCATTCTTATTGGGGCTGCCACATTTACGTCTTCATCACTTGATAACTCAATTTTTATAGCACCCTCTGATGGGGTCTTGATTGATCCTGTCTCCCCTCCCCTGCATCCATGCTGCCCACCAAGGCCACGGCATCTTCAGGTCCAGCTATGGCTGTGTCAGTGCATTTAATAAATGCCTTCCGTGCTGCTCCATTGCCCACTGCAAAAACTCTAATTCTGCCCTGCACACTGTGTTCTCCATTGCACCCCACATGAATCTTCTTCTACAGCCAGGCAGTATGTACACTGCACTTTCTGTTTTTACCACCTTTGCTCCTGCTGACTCTCCAAATTCTATGTGCAGGCACTGTTCTAGGACTTGGAGACTTATCAGTGAACATGACTGACAGCCTTCCTGACCGGAAATACGAGGTCAATGAACTTATTGTGAAGCAATAAGTACACCGGGTGGGAGGATATTTGGTATTTACTACTATTTATTAACTGTGGAATGGATACATAATTGGTGACTTCTCTCTCCTTTCCTCATCTTTTCCTTTTTTTTCTCTCGCTCTTCCTCTTCTTTTTTACTCTCTCTCCCACTACACCGTCCCCCTTGCCAATCTTACATACTCAGGTTTTTAGCTACCACTTCTATGTCAATAACTCCTAAACCTATTTCTCTTGCTTGCTTCTGTCAAGTATAATTTTATATTTCCACTGCTGGTTGGACACCTCTAAAATGATTCTCCAGCTCAAAAACAAAGCATATTCAAAATGCAACTTATCATCTCCTCCTTACAAATGTTCTCTTCCTCCTAACATTTGTATTTGCGTAAGCGCAGCCACCCTTTTCCTAGTTATCCAACTTAAATCACCCCCACAGTCTATTAAATGCCAACTTCTCTCTGCCACTTAAATTTCTTCTGCATCTGTTTCCTCTTCTTCACCTCCTATTGTCAGTACAACTTTGGGCTCTCTTATCTCCCACCTAGATTCAACCAGTGAATGATTTCCAGAGCAATGGCACATCAAATTAATATGGCTACTGCTCTCTTTGAATTTATATTCTACTGAGGGATATAAACGGTAAGTAAACAAACAAGAAGGCATAAGTACAAATGGAAAAGGGCTATGAAGATGTAAACGGGGTACTGTGATAAGATTAGTTGTGGGGAAGAGAAGAGAGCAGCCCACTTTAAACAGGATGTTATGTAAAGAGTTTTCTGAGGGGGTGACATTTAAGCTGAGACTTTCAACATGGTAAGGATTCAGCCATTTGGTGATCAAGGACGCATTTCAGGGTAGAGGGATTGGCATACAGAAAATCCCCAAATTTGAAGAATGCCAGGAAGGCCAGTGTTAATGAGGCTCAATGAGTAGGTGAAAAGGGATCTGAGCTGAGGCTGGAGAAGGAAGCACGGACCCAATTTGATAGGGCTTGCAGGCCATTTCCATTTTATTTTAAGACCAAAGAAAGGCAACTGAAGGCTTGTAAGTTGGGGAGTGATATCATCTGATTTCGTTTTTTTTTTTTTTTTAAGGAACTAGCTTCTTTATGGAAAATGGATTGTAGGGTGACCATAAGAAGTGAGGGGACAAATTAAGATATGGGAAAAAGCTGATGGTGACTTAAACTGAGTAGTGTCTATAAAGGGGGTGAAGAGAAGTTAGTGGGTGCAAGATCTAAGTTGGAAGCAGGATCAACAAGACTTCCTGGTGTGGAAGGGACTGGATTTTGGGAGACAGAGAGGTTAAAAGATGGCTTGCAGGTTTCTGGCCTATGTAGCTGGGTGGATAACGAAGATACATATTGACATGGGGAAGACGGAGAGAAACAGAATGTGTCCACTTGCTATGACAACATGAAGCCATTGGTGATTTTGACAAGAAAAGTTTTAGTGGACTGCTGAGGGCCGAGTCCAAATTGCAGAGAATTAGACAGTGAATGAGAGGAGAAGAAATCAGGACAGCCTATGTAAGAAAAACAATGGAGAAATTTAGTTTTGAAAGGGATGAGACAGGCCAGGCACAGTGGCTCATGCCTGTAATCCCAACACTTGGAGAGGCCGAGGTGGGTGGATCACTTAAGGTCAGGAGTTCAAGACCAGCTTGGCCAACATGGTGAAACACCATCTCTACTAAAAATACAAAAATTAGCCGGATGTGGTGGTAATACAAAAGTTAGCCGGGCGTGGTGGTGCATGCCTGTAATCCCAGCTGCTTGGGAAGCTGAGGCAGGAGAATTGCTTGAATCTGGGAGGCGGAGGTCGTAGTGCACTGAGATGGTGCCGCTGCACTCCAGCCTGGGTGAAGCAAACAACAACAACAACAAAAACCGAGAGAAATGGGGCAGTAGCTGGAATTATATGTGGTGTCAAGGAAAAGTTTTTTTTTGTTTTTTGTTTTTAATGGAAGATACTGAAATAAATTTACCATTGATGGGAAGATCCAGCTAAGAGAGAAACTGGTGATGCAGAGGAGAAAGTGAATAACAGAAAGGGAAATCTTTGAGAGGATTAAAGGGAATGGGATCCAGAGTACTTGCTTTGAGACTGACCATAGACAGGAGGAGAGATGCTTTCTCCAGTGAAATGCGAGGAAGGAGAAGACAGGTAGAGATGCAGAAAAGACTGGTAGATTTAGTCGGGGGACGATGTGAGATCTTCTGTGTAACCTCTTTTGTTTTCTCTGTGAAATATGAGGAAAGGCATCAGCTAAAAATGAGAGAGGACTGGAGGCAGAGGGTGGGATGAGAAAGCTTGGGGAATGAGGAAAAGATGAGTGTCACTACTCAGAGTAGCAGAGCAAATTTCTTGGAAAAAAGTGCCACAATGGCAGTTCAGTGTCCTTTTGAATGCGGTGATCGCACATTTACTGCGTCAACAGTTTGCCTTCTTGTGTGGTAATTTCAATAACACGCAGCTGAGCAAGTAAAGGCATGGCGAATACAGGTGCATTTGGTAGAGACAGAGAAAGGCAACGAAGTTAAGGGGATTTGCAAGGAGGTAATTATAATGATGCCTCATTGAATTCAAGCTAGATGGGGGAGGGTGGGAGGTAAAGGCAAACATGTGCTCAAGGATAGGCAGTGGTAAGATGGATGCTTTGGGGTTCTTGATAAGGTCAAAGATTATTCTGGTGGCTGTACTTGAGCAGAGAAAGTTCATCTCCAAAGAAAGAAAGTTTACTGATGATGAGCAGTTCAGGGAATGAAGAGGCCAGTTGTTTGATGGGTTATCCACATATTCTGGATCACTACAGTCATCTCTTTTTTTTTTCTTTTTCTTTTTCTCTGACCTCATTCTTCCATCACAATTAGTTTCTTTCTTAATTAAGCTCTTTGGCATTTGCCCTGTTCCAATCTATTTGACACTGCACTTTCAGCCCCAATTTGAAAATTCTAAGTGACTTCCCACTGTATACTGAACCAAGGAGTGAACTTATAAAAAAAAACTTAAATTTATTTGAAATTCACCATGTGTCATGTAGCACACTAAATGCCTTCTCTGGATTATCTCATTTAATCCTAACAACCACCCTATGAGGTAGATACTGCTGTCATTATCTTCATTTACAAGCAAGGAAACTGAAGCAGAGAAAAGTTAAGTAATTTGTGAAAGGTCACTTAGCAGTAGCGGAGTCAGCATTTAAACTCAGTATGTGCTTTCCCCCACTGCCACACCACCTGGCACTAGGAGCCCTCCAGAGTATGACTTCTACCTTGCTTTCCTGCTTTGTCCCTCATTATTGGAAGTGCTTGAGGAGAGACCAGAAATCAAGTAGAAGTTGGGCTGCAACTTGCTGGGAATGTTGCCAAGTACTTGCTGCTCCTTCCCATGGAATACCTTTTCCCTCTCAGCCAAAATCCTATCAGTCCTGGAAGGTCCTTGATGAACCTGAAAGGTCCCATCTTCTCCATAGGATTCCCCTCCTTATGAACCCCAAACCCTCCCAAACACAGAGCCCTGGGATCTTTTCTTTCTCTGAACCTCCATAGCATTTTATCCAAATTCCTCTAATGTCATCTCTTTTACATCAGATTACACATGTGCTTATCTCCACCGTTAGATTCTTGCCTTCAGTGGAAGTAGGGACTTAACGTTCTTTTCCCTTAGGTGAACTCAGCATGCATTGCAGGGCAGTAGGAAGCCAATGCAGGTTTGTTGATTAATTTTGGATGCAAAGGAAGGAAGTGATTGGTCCAAGTGTATATTTCGAGATATTGGAGCATCGGGACCAGAATCCAGTTCTGTAAACTTTGAAGCCAACACTTTCTCCACATTGCTCCCTTTTTACCTCTTGGTTCTGATTCCATTTCCTTCCGTACTTTTGTCCCTGAAAATATACATGCACTTGGAAGCTTCTTGACTTTCTCTCAGCCCAGATGCAAGAGAAAACCTTCACCCATGGACAGATGGACACACACACACATACACACACACACACACACAGAGCTCTGATTCACCTAAGGACCCAGCTTTGCTTCTTTACCCAATAACAGCACCCACAAATCTTTATCTACCCTAGCCCACACTTTGCCTCCACTACGGAAGCTCTTTTCTTAACCCAGTGGCATCCCCCTACCCCTGCATGAAGTCACAGATCTAGTGCCCTTTTGCAGTCTCTTCTTCCTTTTATCAGATATTTCTAATAGCAAAAATCTGGAAGACCTAAATGCCAAGCAAAAGAGTTGTTAAATAAATCACAGGACAGCCAAATAGTAGGATATAGTGTAGCCATTTAAAATGACAACATGGGCGGGGAACGGTGGCTCACACCTGTAATCCCAGAATTTTGGGAGGCTGAGGTGGGTAGATCACTTGAGGTCAGGAGTTCCAGACCAGCCTGGCCAACATGGTGAAACCCCTTCTCTACTAAAAATACAAAACTTAGCTGGGTGTGGTGGCGCGGGCCTGTAATCCCAGCTCTTGGGAGGCTGAGGCAGGTGAATCACTTGAACCTGGGAGGCGGAGGTTGCAGTGAGCCAAGATCGCGTTATTGCACTCCAGCCTGGGTGACAGAGTGAGACCCTGTCCCCCCACAAAATAAAATAAAATAAAATAAAATAAAATAAAATAAAATAAAATAAAATGACAACATAGAAACAGATTCATCTTCTAGAACTTGCATTGCTCAGTGAAGAATCAGGTTAAAGAACAGTTTTTAGAGTATATCCTCATTTACACTTATGTATGTCTGTATGTGAACAGCGTGTGTCTGTGTGTGATCACAGAAAGAAATCCAACAGGATGTATGCCAAGGTGATAATATTTTGCTCCTGCGTATTTTCTATTTTTCTGTAGTGATCATGGATTACCTGTGCAATTTCTACCCCCTCCCAACAAAAGAACAAATCTTGCTCTCAGGATAAACTCTGGCAAAATTATTTATACTGATGCATAAATCATATGTAAAGCCCAACAGAGACCTCTTTCCAGAGGCATATTTATTTTAATCAGTCAAGAGGGGTAAGCCAAAGGAAAATGCCACAAAACAGGTGGAAGAGGGTGTTATATACTTTTATTTCATTTTTGTATGTTACTGGGAGTTCTCAGTCCTTTTAAAAGTGCAGCTCATCCAGGCAGTCCCAGGGGATATGGCCACGAGGGCTGTGCTGTAGGTGAAGGGCGCTCTGGGCCTGGGCAGTCTCTGGGCCAAAGTGGGCAGGTGTCAGTTCAGACACTCCACTGTGGGCTGATCTTTGCTTTCTGTCTTACAGCTCCTGTTGCTGGGACACCTGGTAAGTACTCCACCCACAGCCTTTCCTTCCCTCGGGTCCCCTTTTCCTCTCCTCCCAGTGCCCTGTCTGGAGGTGCTCTAAATGCACCAGCAACTGAGCCCAGTACCAAGTCAGGGCCAGGAAAGGGTAATTGCTCCCGAAAGATCCCCTCTCCCTCTTCCACTCTCCTCCTTCCTTTTCCTCCTTCCACGGAGGCAAGTGGTAGGCAGCCACGGTGTTCAAATGGGGGAGCTGTCACAGAAAATGAGAACTCTGATCTCTCTCTCAACTGCCTTCCGCTGTCCAAATAAAACCAAGGGCTTCCTCTCTCCAAATAAAATTCAGGCACATGCAAAATCACATGGCCTGCATATGTTGTCCCCCTGTGTTGCTAAATCCTTGACTGTGCATGTTTCTGAGAGCTCCAAGGCCTGTTCCCTGACAGAGTGGTCTCTGCATACCTCTGGCTACACTTTGCCGGGCACTTCTGTGTTTGTGCCACTCAGCCTCCACCGCTCCAGGACTGGCCCTCCGGCTTTTCTCCCTCTCTCTTTATCCTTCTGAGGCCAGAGAGGCTCGTGTATGCTTGGGTGTGAGGACGGGCCATCTTGACCTCGTTTTTAAAGTATACAGAATGACATTAGGTCAGAACGGAAACCTGATATCCAACTCCCATGCCTGCCATCTCCACCAGAGCCCCCACTTATCTTCAGCCAGCCCCAGGGGAAATTTATCCACTAGTGTCTAAATGCCTTTGTTTATCGGGGAGAAAAGTTAGTCTCGAAAGAGTATGTATGTATGGGGTGTCTGTGTGTCTGTGCTGGTGGGGAGAGGTTGGTGGGGAGAGAGAGAAAGAACTGGTGAGGATATCTCAGGTAAAGTATATGTATTTCGAGGGTGTTTCTCTTGCCTGCTCCCTCCTTCTTCCCTGTTGCCCTGTCGGAGTCCTGGGCTCCCTGGGGCCGTTGTGGTGGGATGTATGAGCAAAAGCAACTGCCTTCAGTTGCAGAACCATTCTGGGCCTGGCTCGGCTTTTGGTGCCCCTAGTAGGCCTACAGGTGCTTTTTTGTCTGAGATTCAGGGCCTCTCAAGCTCCTGGGCTTCCTCTTCTTCATGCTACCTCCTCTCTCTGCCCCTCAGCAGCTCCCCCAAAGGCTGTGCTGAAACTCGAGCCCCAGTGGATCAACGTGCTCCAGGAGGACTCTGTGACTCTGACATGCCGGGGGACTCACAGCCCTGAGAGCGACTCCATTCAGTGGTTCCACAATGGGAATCTCATTCCCACCCACACGCAGCCCAGCTACAGGTTCAAGGCCAACAACAATGACAGCGGGGAGTACACGTGCCAGACTGGCCAGACCAGCCTCAGCGAC
This sequence comes from Homo sapiens, assembly GCF_000001405.40. Classification (NCBI taxonomy): domain Eukaryota; kingdom Metazoa; phylum Chordata; class Mammalia; order Primates; family Hominidae; genus Homo; species Homo sapiens. The sequence continues at coordinate 161,671,625 of NC_000001.11, forward strand.
CCTGTGCATCTGACTGTGCTTTCTGGTCAGTGGAGGAAGGCCCCAGGGTGGACCTGGGAGGGCCAGGACGGATGAAATCTGCTTTCAGGCAGAGGTTTGCAGGAAAGGGGGGTGGCCTGCTTACTGGGAAGTATCGCTGTGAGTTGCCTCAGCACATATCAGTGGTTGTTTTTGCCTCAGTTCTGATTGAACAGAAGAAGGTTTCAAGGCCAAAAACAGGCAGCCAAGTGTGAGAGAAGCAGAAGGAAATCCCTACTGCATAAAACCCATTTCCATTTTAATGGCAGAATTGAAAAGCACAGACCACAACTGAATCCTAGCCCTGGAAATGACTCACTATACAACATGATGAATTCATTTAACCCTTGAGTTTCCATTTCTTCACCTGCTCCGTGGGGCACTAACGCCTCCCTCAGAGGCTTCTGGTGAGAATCAGTGTTTCCCTGCCCCCGCCCCGCCCTCCATGCCCCTTCTCCACGTTCTCACTGTGCTAGGTGCTCTTCTCTGTCTTTCTCTTCCACCAGCCTGTGGGAAACCTGAGATGAAAGTCGTGTCTTACCCATCTTTGTATTTCCAGCATCTGAAACTGGGCAGAGCTTAATAAATATTTTGCTGGAGAGGTTGATGATCTTACAAAGCTCCCATTGAAAGGTGGCTCTCTGTAAAGCAAAGTTACAATGAGATTGTGATGAACATTGTCCTTGTGGCTTTTCACTTAGTCCCCTCCCTTCACCTGAAGAGCAAATTTTCCTCAAAAGTACACAGCAAACGAATGACCCACTGGTGACACTGCTGCCTTTAGACCCTGCTGGAAAGAAGCTCCACATTTATTAACATTCCCGAAGTAAATTTATCAGGTAGCATTCATCAGGTAACATTTGTTGCACATTCATGACTTTTCTACTGTCCACAAAGGCATATGTCCTTATCATATGCGGACTCCTCGGTCACACTGGATTCTTCCTTCCCTCCTCGACATGGAAGAGATGGCATCTTAGGGTCTCTTGTGTTCTTCCTGCAGAGGCCTGTCGGGCAGGAAAAGGCTGCAGCTGCCTTCCTGGGAGAAGGAGGAGATGAGTGTATCCTGAACACCTATTATGTGCTAGGGGCTATTGTAGATACATGACACTATCATGCTCATTTTCACGAATGAGGAAACTGAGGCTCAGAAGACTTAAATTATTTGCCCAAGAGTTCATAAATGACAGAGCCAGCATTAGAGTCCAGGACTGTCTGATTTCAGACCTAAGCTGTTCCCTCTGCACATCGTGTCCCACCAGTAAGGAAGATCTGGGTCTCAGAGCTGAGCCAAGACCTCCCGGGTCCTCTGCGGTTTTTTGTGTCTTTCAGAGTGGCTGGTGCTCCAGACCCCTCACCTGGAGTTCCAGGAGGGAGAAACCATCGTGCTGAGGTGCCACAGCTGGAAGGACAAGCCTCTGGTCAAGGTCACATTCTTCCAGAATGGAAAATCCAAGAAATTTTCCCGTTCGGATCCCAACTTCTCCATCCCACAAGCAAACCACAGTCACAGTGGTGATTACCACTGCACAGGAAACATAGGCTACACGCTGTACTCATCCAAGCCTGTGACCATCACTGTCCAAGGTATGCGGAGTCTGCCAAGATGTAAGGAGGGGAGAAGAGGGGATGGACAAGGGCTGAGGTCACATGGGCCTACATGGAGGTCTGAGAAAGGCCACAGCGCAAAATTGGGCACTGGAGCAAAGAGGAGTGGTGTGGAGGCCTGGCTAAGTATTGACCAATGAGCAGGAGTAGGGGCCAGAGCTTGGAGCCCTCAGGTGATAGGTGACCAGGCTGTTGTTCCACTTTGAAATGCAGGCCCCAGACTAAGGACGGCAGCGAAGCAGAGCTCCCTCGTTGGTGCAGAGGTTCCCTAAGCTCCTGGGCATTCCTAAGAACTGAGGTTTGCCTTTATTCTTCTCATGGCTCATGTTACAGCCATTCACTCCAGAAAGCCTGGCACGTCATGGACCGTTCAAGGCTGTGCTCCATAGAGTAATGATGCCTCCAGCTATGCGAGGCTTTGGGCCCACCCTTCCCACTGCCCCTGAGGGCTAAGGGGAGCCCTTCCCTCTGTTCCTGCCTGCTCACAAATGTACCTTTATTAGTTTGGTGGAGAAACCTCGGTAAGCAGGAGGCATAAGTCCAGCCACAGAAACCCTGTGCAGATGAGGCTGGGGATGTAGTGAGTGCTGCAGAAGTGAGTGACTCAGACACAGAAGAGCTTCGGGTGACAAGCACTAGGACATAGCATTGGATGGGGGGGAGGTGGGACAAGGAGAGTACTGCCTGTCCTGATGTCTGTCTTCCCTAGCTCCCAGCTCTTCACCGATGGGGATCATTGTGGCTGTGGTCACTGGGATTGCTGTAGCGGCCATTGTTGCTGCTGTAGTGGCCTTGATCTACTGCAGGAAAAAGCGGATTTCAGGTTTGTAGCTCCTCCCGGTCCCTTTGGTTATCAGTTTCCACTTGGCCCAGGCCCTAACCCCAGACATTGCCAGAATCCCTCTCTTTGGGCTAGATACACATTCAGATCTAGGCCCGTATTGTATTATAGTCATTCATTCGTTTATTAGATCATTCATTTGACAAGACTTGAACAAACTAGCTTATGTGTCAGCCAATGCGTGAGACATGGTGGGTGATGCCAAGAGAAGTCCAGTCCCTGCCCTTGGGGAGTTCTCAGCATTGTGAGGAAGACAGGGTCATTATAATAAGATGGGATAAGAGCAATGATAGGGACATGAAAAGCCTAGGATAGAAGTACAGAGGAGGCTCCATAGCCCAACAAGGGCTGAGGCAGTTGGAGAAGGTCTTGGGGAGAGCAGTGTAGTGTAGTGATGGAGTGCACATAGTGGGGCCAGACTGCCTGAGTTCAAATCTAGTTCTACAGCATACCAACTATATGACCCAAGTGAGTCACTCCACCTCTCTGTGCCTCAGCTGTCTCAAGTGGAAAATGGGGACACTAATAGGACTTACCTCAGAGGGTTGCCATGGGGATGAAAGAGGCTGATGCTCTTACACAGTGCCTGGTAGGCAGTAACAGCACACAAACAGGGCTGTTGCCATTCTGGAGGAGGTGGTGTGTGAGGGCAGCGCTTAGCTAGGGAAGGAGGACCCTCCAGGCACTGGGCCAAGGCAGGGATTGAAGCCGGGTGGGGCTCATATGGGTGTCGAAGGGGGAGTAGAGAGGGTACTGCAAGCCACCAAGAAAGAAAGAATCCTGCTAACACCTCACAAAGCACTTTTCAATTGGTTCATAGCCAACACCTCAGTTACTGATGATAAGTAAATACAGAGAAACAGAGAGAGAGAGACTGAGACACAGGGGTGTTTTTAAAAGGCAGAGCAAGCCTCAGACAGATGCCATGGCGTGGACTTTCTGACACTCCTGGGCATCCCCATGGGTGAGCTGAATTCTGCCTCTGGACCAGCCCTTTTCCAGGCGGGAGCAGCCTCTGAGCAGGGGAGCTGGGGGTGGGAGGACAGGAAACATCTGCCAGAGTGAAGGCCTGAGCTGGTCCCATCCAACCCTGGCCCTGGTCCTTGGTCCTGAGGACTCAGGCCCCACCGCCTAATCCTACTAACCTCCTGTGTGCCCCTCCCAGCTCTCCCAGGATACCCTGAGTGCAGGGAAATGGGAGAGACCCTCCCTGAGAAACCAGGTGAGTACAGGTTGTCTCAGGGATTCAGTGATGGCTCACCAGGGCTGCCGGCTGGACTGGAGCCAGGGAGAAGGGGCTTGTGCAAGTTCAGCTGGGAGCCAGGGAGGGAGCAGCAGTGGGAGGATGGCTGGGGCTCAAATCGCTTGGTCAGCTCTTAGTCTAACTCCTGGGCCTAAAGACGACCTCTCTGGAGATGAGAAGAGAAACACCAGTCCCAGATACAGAAGAGAGGGCTGTGTCCGAATTTCTGGTACCAGGAATCTGGTGATATTTCCAGAGCAAGAAATCAGAGATACTTTGGTCTTCCTGTGGAGCTTTGGCAGAGCTGGCAAAGGATGGGGTTAGGGGCTGTAAGACTGAGGCCAATAGGACGTGGGAGGCAGGAGTCTAAGGGGAAAGGAGGAGGAGGCCTGGAAACCCCTTGATTTGCTGAGGAATCTGCCTCTGTGGAGGGATGGGGTGGAGTGGCCAGGCTCAGCTGTCTGTGGAACACTAGGAGGAGGTTTGGGCTTGAGAAAATTCTGGGGGACTAGGGGCACTAGTGGGCTCTACTCTGTGGGCAAAACTCAGTTCTGATGCCCATGCACTCAAGGTTGACTGAATTTTGGCCTGGTTCTGCCCTCATCACACAGTGGAGCCCTGAGCAAGTCAGTCTCCCTGATGGGGTTCAGTCTCCTCACTGAGGAAATGAGTGGGTGGCCAGGGTGACCTCTCAGGTCTTCTAGATTTGACATTCTGAGAACCAGGGGCCACCCAAGCCCTGGCCCAGGTGGGAGTGTGTAAAGGAACTTCCAGGAGGATGCCAGGCAACTTCCAGACTGTAGTTAAAGTCAGAGCACAAAGGAAACCAGTGCTTTCTCTGGGGGCTTCCATGACAGTAAGAACAGGCAGAAAAAAGAGGCTGTCAAAGACCCCACCTCAGATGGCTGGAGTATGATTCAGAGCAGAGCCAACAGATTTAAGAGCTTGAGCAAAATATCACTTGTTCAGCTGTGCTTGCAGCAAGGTCGCATGTCTGCTGGCCAGGCCCAGTGGTGATAGGGGCCTGTGTTCACACCAGGGCCAAAACAGATCTGGAAAAAACAAAGTCCAAGCAACTGGATTATCCATCTTGTTGTGTGGTTCTGTCTGCACTGGCATAAGCACATTTCACAAGGCACTTTTGCAGCCAGGCATTGGGGCTGCATAAATGGTTTTTTAAAAATCCTTTCCCAAAAGGCAAAGCTGGGTTGCTGGGATTCTTGGGAAATGTAATAGAATGGGAATTCAGAATGCGGTTTACTGCAGAATTTACAGCATGGCAATAAAGGCTCTCTATGTTCAGGGGGTGAGAGAAGAGACTAGATGCATTGTCTCAGATGTCTCCTGACTTCCTGAGAAATGCCACTTTGCAGATATGGGGCTGCTTTTCACACTGGCTAAGTCAGTTCATGGCAAAATATGAGGGAATTCAGTGTGTTTCAGACACTAACCAAAGTCCATCCTTCCTTTCTCCTTCCGTCCCTCCCTTCCTCCCTTTCTCACTCACTCTCTCTTTCTTTTTAATGCCATGGAGTACCATATTTTTCAAAGTTCCAACAAAGATGCACTACATTTAGACAATGTGGAAATGGCCCTCAGCCTTCTCTCCCTGAAGTCTGTGGCCAGCAAAAATCTGGACTTTACTTCACTCTGATGCTGAACACCCCCCTCCCCCACCTCTTCCCCAATATCTCAGATCCCAAGCCTCCCTGGTTTGCTTCTAGGAAAGCTCAGCAATTCCCTGAAAAGAATGCAGCTCAAGTGACTGCTCCACTTTTTCACCTTGGCCTTTGCGGAAGGCTGTGGCTGGGCTACCCTATGCATCGATCAATGAGGTCATATTTACCCAGTGCTTGGCCTAGAGGCCCAAGACAGGGTCAGCAGTGCTTGCTTTGGCTCTAGTTTGGGCGTTGGTTTTGCAGCCTCAGCATCAGCACAGGCAGGCCCTCTTCTCCAGCAGTGCTCTGGCTGATATTTCTTCTTTTTCCCACAGCCAATCCCACTAATCCTGATGAGGCTGACAAAGTTGGGGTGAGTGATCCCAGCCATCTCCCCCTCCCTTCTCCCCTGTTGCCTTTTCTGTTGCCTTCTTTCCTAGGCCCTCTCTGTGGATCCTTACTGCTGGTTTCTGCCTTCTCTAGGCTGAGAACACAATCACCTATTCACTTCTCATGCACCCGGATGCTCTGGAAGAGCCTGATGACCAGAACCGTATTTAGTCTCCATTGTCTTGCATTGGGATTTGAGAAGAAAATCAGAGAGGGAAGATCTGGTATTTCCTGGCCTAAATTCCCCTTGGGGAGGACAGGGAGATGCTGCAGTTCCAAAAGAGAAGGTTTCTTCCAGAGTCATCTACCTGAGTCCTGAAGCTCCCTGTCCTGAAAGCCACAGACAATATGGTCCCAAATAACCGACTGCACCTTCTGTGCTTCAGCTCTTCTTGACATCAAGGCTCTTCCGTTCCACATCCACACAGCCAATCCAATTAATCAAACCACTGTTATTAACAGATAATAGCAACTTGGGAAATGCTTATGTTACAGGTTACGTGAGAACAATCATGTAAATCTATATGATTTCAGAAATGTTAAAATAGACTAACCTCTACCAGCACATTAAAAGTGATTGTTTCTGGGTGATAAAATTATTGATGATTTTTATTTTCTTTATTTTTCTATAAAGATCATATATTACTTTTATAATAAAACATTATAAAAACAACATTCTGTTTACCTTTTCAAGGCTGTATTGGTTGGAGTGTAGACTGAACTGCCTGGGGTCTGTTTCTCTTCAGTGATGAGACTCTTAGGAAGGCAGGAATGGATAGGATAGGGGGAGGAGAGGAGAGATGGGGATTTAGAATGTAGAGTGAGTGCCCCTTTTCTTAAAACTGAATACAGTCACGCACCACATAATGATGTTTAGTTCAACAACAGACTGCATATATGATGGTGATCCCATAAAATTATAATACCATATTTCTATTGTACCTTTTCTATTCCTATGTTTAGATATATGAGTACTTACCATTGTGTTACAATTGCCTAAAGTATTCAGTACAGTAGCATGCTGTACAGGTTTGTAGCCTAGGGGCAATAGGCTATACGCTACAGCCTAGGTGTGTAGTAGGCCACACCATTTAGGTTTGTATAAGTACCTGCTATGATGTTCACACAACAAAATTGCCTGCATTTCTCAAAATGTATCCCCATATTTCAACAATGCATGACTGTACTCTTCTGCCAATGACCTTGTATTCTTGTTTCCATGTCTTCTTCTCTTTCCTCCTATGGCAAATAAAACACTGTTTTGCAACACAAGTTCACGGGAAGTCAAACTTCAGATGAGCCCTGAGTGGAGATTGCTGACATGTCCTGCTCTGCTATTCTCCCAATGTAGTTACCAGAAGGATGTGACCTTCTCAGAGAAGTCATCTCAGGCAGATTAGAAACATGACTGGCAGTCTCCTTGAGGGTTTGGTGAGTGCCCTTGGAGAGGCTTCATTTTCCTGGGACTCTACGCAGTAACATCGTGCAACATTTGTTGCACTTTTTATGGTAGGATAAAAAGTACTCACTTTTTATGGTCCCACAATCAGATTTCATACACACTTATTGTTTTAGTAATAAGGGATAATAATTAAAATTACTGCGTTATTAAGGACTTACTTTGTGCCATATAGTTTGTGCCAAACTATATGCTTTAGAATTTAGAGAATTTACGATTAGCCTTTTATATTTCCTCTTTTGTGAGTTTCCTGTGTATTTATTCTTTGCCCATTTTTGTAGATACAATGTATGTCCCTTTATTTATAAATTGCATAGTAGTAACTTATTTCCTTTTATTTATATGTAAATTATTTCACTACACTAATAATGTATTCTTTTTATAAAATTAAGATACAGATAGGGAAAACAAAAAAATTAGATCGCCCATAAATCCATAAACCAGAAATAATTAATGCTAACATTTAAGGATATCAATCCATATTCCTGTCTGTGGCAGTGTGTATTTGTGTTTTAAAAATTGGATCTAATCCCAGCTACTCGAGAGGCTGAGACAGGAGAATCGCTTGAACCTGGGAAGCAGAGGTTGCAGCGAGCTGAGATCGCACCATTGCACTTCAGCCTGGGCAACAAGAGTGAAACTCTGTCTCAAAAAAAAAAAAAAATTGGATCATATCATATATTTTACATGTTAATAAATACACTCAGGCAAAAATGTATGCTCATTGTAAGCATGTAAGCCCAAATAATACAGAAAGATAAGGAGTAAAAAGTAGAAGTTCCATTTTGTCATCAGTTCCCTCTATCCTCTTCCCTTTTCTTTCTTTCTTTTTTTTTTTTTTTTAAGAGATAGGGTTGTAGTCCAGGCTGGAGTGCAGTGGCAGGATCACAGCTCATTGCAGCCTCAAACTCCTGGGCTCAAGTGGTCTTCCCACCTCAGCCTTCCTAGTAGCTGGGACTACCACACCTGGCTAATTTTTAAGAATTTTTTGGCCGGGCATGGTGGCTCACGCCTGTAATCCCAGCACTTTGGGAGGCCGAGGCGGGTGGATCATGATGTCAGGAGATCGAGACCATCCTGGCTAACACAGTGGAACCCCGTCTCTACTAAAAAAAATACAAAAAAAAAAAAATTAGCTGGGCTTGGTGGCGGGTGCCTGTATCCCAGCTACTCGGGAGGCTGAGGCAGGAGAAGGCGTGAACCCGGGAGGCAGAGCTTGTAGTGAGCCAAGATTGCACCACTGCACTCCAGCCTGGGCGACAGAGACTCCGTCTCAAAAAAAAAAAAAAAAAAAAGAACTTTTTGGCTGGGCGCGGTGGCTCATGCCTGTAATCCCAGCACTTTGGGAGGCAAAGGTGGGTGGATCACCTGAGGTCAGGAGTTCAAGACCAGCCTGGCTAAAACGGTGAAGCTCCATCTCTGCTGAAAATACAAAAATTAGCTGGGTGTGGTGGCTCATGACTGTTTAGTCCCAGCTACTTGGGAAGCTGAGGCACGAGAATTGCTTGAACCTGGGAGGCGAAGGTTGCAGTGAGCCGAGATCATGCCATTGCACTCCAGCCTGGGGAACAGAGAGAGACTCGGTCTCAAAAAAAAAAAAAATAGTTTGTAGAGACGGGGTTTTGCTATGTTGTCTAGGCTGATCTCAAACTGTGAGCCTCAGGCGATCCTCCCCACTTAGCCTCCCAAAGTGGTGGGATTACAGGTGTGAGCCACGGTGCCTGGCCCTGACATGCTACCTAAAGTCTGAAACTTGACTCCTGATCCCCAGGGTCAGTTTCTTTACTGATAGTTTTTCAATAAGCCATTTAGATAGTTGGCATGATTACGTAGCCAGAGGGGGCATAAAAATCCCTCTAGGAACTTCTGCTTTGAGCTCTCCCATAGCCAAGATTCCTTGTATGGATCCCGGTGGTTTAATCCAGACAAAAAGCGTAAATAAGTTACGGTAACTATAAGGATGCTAGGGAGCTTGCACATGGAATCTCTTGGACTCCCAGTAATTGCCTAGACTTTCTTTCTCTTGCTATACTTTTAAATAAGCACTTTGTTTGAGCATGCTCGGTAGAGTTTGATGAGTTCTTTCAAATATCCTCTTCAGGAAGGACATCCCTGACTGCACTTCCCCTACTGCTATTCCTCTGCTCTTATTTCCTTCATGGTATCTATCACTGTATGTAATCATGCATTTTTTTGCTTAAATATTTACTTACAAGTTCTAAAATGTAAGCTCACTCTGGGCAGGATGTTTGTATTATTCACTGGTGTATTCCAGAGACTAGAACAATGCAATCACTATTTATTGAATGAGTTAACGAATGAAATAATATTATATTTATCTAAAACTCTTAAATGCTTTAAATAGATCTTTACTATATTTGGAACTTATTTTTGGACTTGGTGTAAGGTGAGAACCTAATATAATTTTTCCATATGAAAGTCAGTTGTTCCAATATCATTTGTTGAACAGTTTAATAATTTGAAATCCTAATTTATCACCTAAATTCCCACTCATAGGTCTATTTTTAGCCTCTCTTCTATTACATTGTTCTATTTGTCTATTTCTGCATCAATACCACATTTTTAGTTATTGCAACTTTATAGTGTACTTTGATATATAGAAGGTCAAGTTTTCTCTCATTCTTTTGTTTCAAGGTTTTCTTGGCTACTAATGTGCTGCTTCTCTTCCAGATGTACTTAAGAATTCCATAACACTATTATGATATTGGTAGAATTGCATTGCATTTATAGATTATTTGGGTAAGGTTTGACATCTGTGTCATATTGAGGCTTCCTAAGTTACAACTCTTCATTCATTCAGACTTACAGAATTTTCCTATAATATCATATGAGCTTGGCACATTTTTTTGTGACAGATCTTTGACAGACTTTTCTTTCTGTCATTTTTGGTCTGGTTATGATTTTCTCTCTCTCGGGAGTCAATTTTGAAAACTTTTGCTTTCCTAGGAATCATCCATTTTATTGGTATGCAGTGGTACATCGCACTTTTCCCCTATTTTTTGGTAATAAGTTGTGTGTTTGTGTTTATGTCCCTCCTCTCATTCCTAGGTTTTGGGTTTTCTTTCTTTTATCAGTTAGGATGACTTCAGTTGGAAATAACAGGAAATCGTGATTCAAATTGGCTTAAACATTAAGGAAATGTATTATCTCACATAACAAAAAGTCCAGAGACAGACAGTTTCTAGCACATCAGAACTCTTGGTCCACTTTTCTACAATTCTGTGAGCACTGCCCTTGAGCTAGCAGCAAGATGATTATAACGGTTCTAAGCAGCATCATACCCAGACCACTATAGAAAGAAAGGGACTAACTATTCCTTTTATGTGTAGCCTTTTTTTTTTTTTTTTTTTTTTTTGAGACAGAGTTGCAGTGGCGCAATTTCCATTTACTGCAATCTCTGCCTTCTGGGTTCAAGCAATTTTCCTGCCTCAGCCTCCTGAATAGCTGGGATTAAGGCATGCGCCACCACACCCAGATAATTTTTGTATTTTTTAGTAGAGACCAGCCAGGCTGGTCTCAAACTCCTGACCTCAGGTGATCCACCTGCCTCGGCCTCCCAAAGTGCTGGGATTATAGGCGTGAGCCACTGTGCCTGGCCTTGTGTCTCTTTTTGACAATGAGGAACATTTTCTCAGAAGTTCTGCAACCATCTTCCCATCATATCATATTGGTCACGACTGGGTCACATGCTCATTCTTAAAACCATCACGAGAAAGGGGACTGAGATGACCATAATTCACTTAGCTTAATCATTTGGAGAGTCACCCATCCTGACACTATCTCTTTGTTCATCCTAATCAGACTTACCAAAGGTTTGCTTTATTAGTCTTGTATCAGCTTTTGACTTCTGGCTCAAGTACTTTGCCTTTTGCTTGTTTTCTAATGTATTATTTCTTTCTTAGATTTCATTTATATTTACTGTATTATTCATTAATTTCTAAACTTCTTGTTTTGAAATAGATTCACAAAAGGCTATACCTTTTCCTCTTCTGCCATTTTGACCACACCCATTAGATTTTGAGATATATGTATCCCTGTCATTGTTGTTTCTAAACAGTCTGTAACTTTAGTTTTATTTTCTTCTTAACTCAAACTTTATTTGGAAGGGCGTTTTGTTGTGTTTGTTTTGTTCAAGAGAAATGAGCGCTACCTTTTTTGTTTTCTATTTTATTGCGGGACGGTCAGTAAATGTGGTCTGTATGATTTTTCTGTATGTGAGTATCTTTAAGTATATGTATGAAGACAATATTTTCTTTCATTTTAAAATAAAGTTTTGTTTTTTATTATGGCAACACACACCCTTAGTTTACATAGTATAATGGAATAGAAGGCATATAACAAGAAATAGCTGTTTATTGCCCCTTCCCTCACATCTCAGCTCTACTTCTCAGAGGCAACCATGTTCAATTCTTTCAACTATGTCTTCTGCTAATTTACCTCCATATTTCCAAACAAGACAATACGCTGCTATTTCTTGATTTTTCAATATTAGACATTATCTATTTGATTTCCTACTATAGAATACAAGGACTATTCTTATTATACCGTGCTTACTTACTTCCCACTTTTCCTACCATGTGCTCCAACATAGCTTTATCACAATTTATGATTACTCCTTGTTGCTGAGACAAATAGTGTTGTCTGCTTATATTTCCCTTCTTGAACAATCTTTTTTTCCTCTAGATATAATAAATGCCTCATTTTCATATATTTTTTAGTTGTCTATGTGTTTATTAGCTTTTCCAAAGATTTAAAAAAAGTTCTAAAGCAGCTTAATACTATTTTCCATAGTAGTCAAATGCACCATGTAGCTTTTCAGTTTTTCTTCCTTCTTTTTTTTTTTTCCATTAGCAAGATGTCCCTCCTTTTTTGACACTGTTTTCGGTCATTTGATCTCTGGACCTCTTGCACAGCTGTTGTCCTAGGACTTCTCTATCTTTTATATGAAATCCTGTTTCCTGAATCTTATGTCTTCCTATTTCTTGGTTTCTTCCTTGTGTGGCTGCAGCATGTTTGCCAGGGCATCCTGAGAAAGGGTTTGCAGGTGATATAGTGGAGGCCATAATGCCTCACCTCATACTCACTCAACTCACCTGAATTCACCTGCAGCTGCTGGCTGGGTCAATTTCTCCTGAGAATTAAACTATGACAGGGAAAAATTAGTCACCTGCAAATAGTCACCCTGGGTAGGAGAGAGGCCCTAAGAGTCTAACTTCTCCTTATACAGAGTTTACAATTATCCTCTCATTTTTAGAATCATTCTTTAACCATATATTTTGTTGTACATGATTCCTCCAAATTCCTGGACTTTTTCTAAGATCTTCCAGGAAAATTAGCTTGCTTTTCATTAGCATTCCTTTCTTTAGGGAAATAAACTCAATTCCCTATTACCCAATTTTCTATAACAACATGACCAAGATTTGTGGTTATCCCAATGTTACTTCTTAGATATTAGACAAAAATAATGTTAAATGGTTAAATAAAAGAGACATCTTTATATCTCTGTTTATCTTAATTAGGCTTGTCAGAAGTCTTTTTTATTGGTCTTTTCACAGAATTAGTTTTTGATTGTTTGATCACATCTTCCTTCTGTTTGCAATCTTGTACATTGTAATCTCTTCTATTTTGTAACATTCTTAGTCTTGAATAATACAAAAAAAAGTATATATTTTCCCTACCACACTAGTCTCTCTGTTTACTGTACTCCTGTGCCCACTGGAATGAAATGTTCCTTAATTTTTCTATTTTTGCTGAAAACCACAATTTCAACAGATAATTTAAATTATACAAATTGTTATCTCAACAAGATTACTTAAGACTTGTCAAACACATTGTAGCATACATTTCTGTAACTGTTGTTAGCCAAATAATTAAACTCTTCAATCTGCGATTTCTACATATCCAACGAGAACCTATGTCTTTTTTTTTTTGAAGGCAATTTTATAACTTTATTTGATGTATTTGACGATCAGCGATTAGTTCTCATCCACATTGACTGTAGATTTTCAAAAGTGGCAACAGGTACATAGGTAACCAAAGTATAGAGCTTATTTGGTGAATCTTCATCCTCATTACGTTTTCGGGACAGCCGCACACGGATTCGGTATGGGACATTCTTATTCCTTTGGCCCAGACAGCTTTGTTGAGCCTGATATCAATGCGCGCATCTGGAGTTCCCATCTCCTTCATGCCAAATTTCCGAAGCTCTTTGAGTGCCCGAGGGGCACACTTCTTGAAGCCCACTCCATGGATGTGCTTGTGAATGTTGATGGTGTATTCTCGGGTCACCACCTCGTTGATGGCAGAACGGCCCTTTTATTCTTGCCACCCTTCTTTGCGGGAGCCATTCTGCCGGGTCCAAGTTGGAAAGGAAGAGCGCGAGGGATTGAGGGAGAAGGAAAGCCGAGAATCTATGTCATTTAATAGATCATGCTTTGGGTGTCAAGTCTAAGAATTCTTTGGCTAGTCCTACGTCCCAAAGAATATGTTCTCCAGTTTTGTTTTGTTTTTTTAAGTTTTATAGTTTTACTTTCCACATTTAAACCCAGGATCACCCAGGCACAGTGGCTCACACCTGTAATCCCAGCACTTTGGGAGGCCAAGGCAGGAGGATTGCTTAAATCCAGGAGTTTGAGACCAGCCTGGGCAGCATAGTGAGGCTTGGCCTCTAAAAAAAAAAAAGTTACCTGTGAAGTCTCAGCTACTTGGAAGGCTGAGGTCGGAGGGTCGGAGGGTTGCTTGAGTACAGGAGGTCAAGGCTACAGTGAGCTATGATTGCACCACTGCACTCCAGCGTGGGCAACAGAGTGAGACCTTATCTCAAAAATGTACATGAATTAGTAAGTACATAAACCCAGGATCCACTTTGAGTTTATTTTTTATGAGCTATGGTACTTAAGTTAAAGTTTATTTTTTTTTCCTATGGATGACCAATTGCTCCAACAATCATTTGTTGAAAAGGCCATCTTTCCTCATTGAATTGGTTTTGCACCTTTGTCAATAATCAGTTGGGTGTATTTGGGTGGGCCTATTTCCTGTTCTCTATTCTGTCCCATTATTCTGTGTCTATCACTCTGCCAATACCACACAATCTTGATTATTGTAGCTACATTGTAAGTTTTAAAATTGGTTAGACTGATTCCTCCCAATATTCTTCTTTTTTCAAGATTTTTAAGCTATTCTAGTTCCTTTGTCTTTCCATATACATTTAAAAATAATATTGCCTGCATCTATAAAAAATCACGCTAGGATTTTGACAAGAATTGTGTTAAAGGTGTACATTAGTTTGGGAAGAATTGACTTCTTTACTATATTAAGTTTTCCAATCCATAAACACGATATGCCTCTCCATTTATTTAGATTTTTACAAACTTTCCTTCATCAGTGTTGTGTAGTTTTTGTCATACAAAACCTATACATGTTTTGTTAGATTTATACCTATTTCTTTTTTCTTCTTAGTATTGTAATTGTAAATGATACTATTTTAAATTTCAGAGTCCACATGTTCATTGCCAATATGTAGAAATACAATTGATTTTTTATCTTGTATGTTTATCTTGTATGTTGCAACCTTGCTGAAGACTCACTTATTAGTTCTAGGAGTTTTTAATGTATTCTTGGGATTTTCTAGGTAGACAATCACATCATATATAAGCAGGGGCATTTTATTTCTTTCTTTCCTACCCATATGCCTTTTATTTTCTTCTCTTATCTTAGTGAACTGGCTAGAACTTCCAGCATTATGTTGAATAAGAGTGGTACTAGCAGACATCTTTACTTTGTTTTGATTTTAGGGGGAAAGCATGCAGTCTTTCATTGTTGAGTATGTTGTTAGCCAAAAGTCTGTGTAGATGCTCTTTATCAAGTTGAGGAAGTTTCCCTCTATGCCCTCTCCTTTTTGCTTGTTTCTTTTTTTAATTTTTTTTTAGACTTTCCATCAGGAATAGGTGTTAATTTTGTTGATTTTTTTGCATTGATTGACAGGATTTTTTATGGTTTGACATGATTTTTGATGTGATTTTTCTTCTTTAGCATGTTAACATGATGGATTACATTGATTGATTTTGAAATATTGAACCAGTCTTGCATTCCAGGAATAAACCCCACTTGGTCATGGTGTATAATTCTTTTTATATGTTACTAAATTCTATTTGCTAATATTTGGTTTAGTATTTTTGCACCTATAGTCATGAAAAATATTAGTCTGTAGTTTTCTTGTGTGTGTGTGTGTGTGTGTGTGTGTGTCTGTGTGTGTGTATTAAACCTGTATGTGTCTTTAGCCCAAGATATGATATGTCCATCTTGGTATATGTGTCATGGGCACTTAGAAAGAATGTGTAGTCTTTGTCTGGCTTTGGTATCAGGATAAACTAACTTTGTAAAATGAATTGGAATGTGTTCCTTCCTATTCTATATTCTGAAAAACATTGTATAGAATTGGCTAATTCCTTAGCCGGGCGCGGTGGCGGGTGCCTGTAGTCCCAGCTACTCGGGAGGCTGAGGCAGGAGAATGGCGTGAACCCGGGAAGCGGAGCTTGCAGTGAGCCGAGATTGCGCCACTGCAGTCCGCAGTCCAGCCTGGGCGACAGAGCGAGACTCCGTCTCAAAAAAAAAAAAAAAAAAAAAAGAATTGGCTAATTCTTCTTCAAATGTTTGGCAGAATTCACCAGTAAAACCATCTAGGACTGGAGATTTCTTTTTGGGGAGTTTTAAAATTATGAATTCAATTTCCCTTATAATTACACAGCTACACAAGAATCCATTTCATTCTGGATGAACTGTGGCAGTTTGTGCTTTTTGAGGAATTATTTCATCTAAGTTGGCAAATTTATGTGTTTAAAATTATAGGCCAGGCACAGTGGCTCATGACTGTAATCCTAGCACCTTGGGAGGCCGAGATGGGAAAACTGCTTGAGGCCAGGAGTTTGACACCAGCTTTGGCAACATAGTGAGATTCCCATCTCTATTTTTTAAAAAATAAATATGGGCCAGGAGCAGTGGCTCACTCCTGTAATCCTAGCACTTTCAGAGGCTGAGGCAGGCAGATCACCTGAGGTCAGGAGTTTGAGACCAGCCTGACTAACATGGTGAAACCCTGCCTCTACTGAAAATACCAAAATTAGCCTGGTATGGTGGGGTTTGCCTGTAGTTCCAGCTACTTGGGAGGCTGAGGCAGGAGAATCACTTGAACCTGGGAGGCGGAGGCTGTAGTGAGCTAAGATCACACCACTGCACTCTGCCTGGGTGACAGAGGGATACTCTGTCTAAAAAAGTAATAATAAAAATATATATAATAAAAATAAATACATAAAATTATAGTATTCCCTTATTCTCCTTTTGATATCTGCTGGTTTATTGGTAACTTGTATCTTTGCTCTGTCAGTCTTGCTTGAGGTTTGTCAATTTTATCTTTTCAATGAAGATCAATTTTCTCTATTTCTTATTTATTTTCTCTATTGTTTTTCTGTCATCAATTTCACTGTTTTGTGTGCTTATCTTTATTCTTGCCTCCCTTCTGCTTGCTTTGGGTTTATTTTGCTCTTCTTTTTTTAGATTCTTGAGGTGGGAGCTTAGATTATTGATTTGAGATTTTTCTCTATGCAATTAGTGCTATAAATTTCCATTCCAATACTGTTTTAATTGTGTCCCACAAATTTTTATATGTCGTATTTTCATTTTTATTCCATTTAGTGTATTTTATTTTATTTCCCTTGAGACTTCCTCTTTGACCCATGGATTATGCAGAAGTATGTTGTTTGGTTTCCAGGTACTTAGAGACGTTCCTGTTATCTTTCTGTTATTGATTCTAGTTTGATTTCATCGTGGTTGGAAAACATGCTCTGTATAATGTTGAGTCTTTTAAATTTGTTGAGGATTTATTTTGGCTTAGCATATGATTTATCTCAGTGAGCACTTGATAAAAATGTGTGTTCTGCTGTTTTTGGGTGGAGTGTTATATAAATATTGATTAGATCATGTTGCTTGATGGTGTCATTGAGTTCTTCTGTATTTTTGCTGATTTTCCATCTAGTTGTTCTATCAATCATATTGAGAGAGGAGCGCTGAAGCTTCTAGCTATAATTGTGGATATGTCAACTTCTACTTTTAATGCTATCACTTTCGCTTCACTTATTTTGTAGCTCTCTCGCTTGGTGAATTTACATTTAGGATGTCTTTTTGGTGGATTGGCCCTTCTATCATTAAATAAAGTCCTTTTCTGTCTCTGGTAATTTACTCTGCTCTGTGGTCTACTTTATCTGATGCTGTTTTGGGTGGTGGTGGGGCCACAGTTTGTTTTTTGTTTTTTTTTTCCTGTGGTATTGCTAGACTAGTGCATTTACTATCTAAACATTTTCAGTCATGCTAGGCTGCCCCTTTCCTTGTCTTCTGGGGAGGAAGAGAAGGATTTTCCCGAGGCTTTTTTTCTCTATACCTTTGGCATTTCTGGGTTGCTGGCTTTTTCAGCTCCAGATGTAGCATACATGAAACAAAAAGAAAACCTACGGAACTCATCACCATTTTGTTCCCCAGGTTCCAAGGTCCCTTGCTCATCTGCTTTCTTTTCTCTTTTCTCCATTTTTAAGTCTTCTTATTTCTGTTTTATATATAATATCTAGGGTTTTTAGCTGTACTTAGCAGGAGGAATAGGGAAAAGTACCTCTATTACATATTTTCAGTAGTCTGGAAGCTGCGTGTGTGTGTGTGTGTGTGTGTGTGTGTGTGTGTGTTTGAGACAGGGTCTCACTGTGTCACATAGGCTGGAGTGCAGTGGTGCAATCATACTTCACTCTAGCCTCAAACTACTGGGCTCAAGCAATCCTCCTGCCTCAGCCTCCCACCCAAAGTGCTGCAGTTACAGGCATAAGCCACTGAGCTTGGCATATTTTTATTTATTATTATTATTAAGATGGGGTCTTGCCCTGTTGCCCAAGCTAGAGTGCAGCGGTTTGATCATGGCTCACTGCTACCTTGACCTCCCAGGCTCAAGCTGTCCTCCTGCCTCAGCCTCCCAAGTAACTGGGACCACAGGCCACGCACCACCATGCCCAGCTAATAATTAAAAAATTTGTGGCGATTCCTCAAATACCTAAATACAGAAATACCATTTGACTCAGCAATCCCATTACTGGGTACATACCCAAAGGAATAGAAATCCTCTTATTATAAAGATACATGCACATGTATATTCATTGTAGCACTATTCACCATTGCAAAGAGATGGAATCAACCTAAATGCCCATCAATGATAGACTGGATAAAGCAAATGTGATACATATATGCTGTGGTATACTATACAGCCACAAAAAAGAATGAGATCACATCCTTTGCAGGGACACAGATGGAGCTGGAGGCCATTATCCTTAGCAAACTAACACTGGAACAAAAACCACATACCTCATGTTCTCATTTATAAGTGGGAGCTAAATGAAGAGAACACATGGACACAGAGAGGGGAAAAACACTGGGGCCTACCAGAGGGTAGAGAGTGGGAGGAGAGAGAAAATCAGGAAAAATAACTAATGAATCCGAGGCTCAGTACCTGGGTGATAAAATAACCTGTATAACAACCCCCCATGACACAAGTTTACCTATGTCACCAACCTGCACATGTATCCCTGAACTTAAGATAAAAGTTAAAAAAAATTTTGTGAAGATGGAGTCTCACTATGTTGCCCAGTCTGGTTTTGAACTCCTGGGCTCAAGCTATGCTCCTAATATTTTTAATATACATATTTGCACTTATATTTTCATCAATACATAGAGTTAGTCATAGTCTATATTTCCCCCTTGAACTTTTTGGGGGATAAAAAGCACCCAGATAAAAATAAGCCAAACTAACCATAGGAGAAGTCTCTAGGTGAAGGACTTATGGATGATTTTTTAATTTCCTTTTTCCTTCTACCATTAGTATGTATTGTAAATAACATTTGGAAGCTCAGTGTTCTATGCACCTTATTTTACTATTATTAAGTAAAATCCTGTTTATTTCTACATCACTTTTATGAATAAAATTGAGTTTTATAGGCCTTCTTTTTGCTTATTTGCTAACCAATAAAATTGCAGGCTTTAACTTTAAAAATGCAAGTTTTCATAAGAAATATAAGGAGTCTCAGAAAGAGATGTCCCCTCTCCCTTTGATTAACAGAGGAGGACTATCCTTCTATGTCATAAAGCTGCTTCAAGAATCCAATTTGATAAGGTGTTAAACTGAAGCGTTTTATTAAAATATCAATATTGCTTTCTTGGACAAAATGGAGATGTGTGGATATTCATATTTGTTTGCAACCTGTTCTGTTGATAACAATCTGTCCTTGGAAGTAAAATTTGAGCAATGAGAACTTGCAGAATTCCTTTAAAAACTGCCACATCCTGTGAAAATTATCTTCAAAAATAAATCCATTCTTCATTTTGATATTATTTCAAAATCTGTCGCCTGAGCAATAATGTTTTAATTTACATCTATATACTCCTGCACAAAATAAATACTTGTAAAATTGCTCTGTCAAATTGGAAGTGGATCACTGATACCTTCATTTTCTCAGTTATTCATGTTAGGGGAAAGAAGCTCATGGTTCTGTAAGATATTCTACTTCAATGCAAAAATTGGGAGAATTATTTCAATTAATTAACAAATCCATGGTGAGCTGAGAGTTGAAGGCTGTGCCCTATGCTGGCAGTCTCAAATAAAGCAGCTAAGAGAGAGGAGAGAAACCTTAGGCTCCAGCAGAAGCCTTCCTGTCTCTGATATACCAGCTCAGGATAACTCTGTTAAGGAGTCATTTTGCTGAACAAATCTGCAGAGCCATCACAAAGAGAGTAAGAAAAAAAACATACACCTATTTTAAAAATTGTTTGTGGCCTAAGAACCTCAAGCAATTTCAATTTCCAAGGGAAGGAATTCAGGGCACTATACTCCATAAATTCTTAAATATTTTATTTGCTGCTAGCAGTCAGGTAGAAAAAATAGCCCAGGACACTGTCTTCCAGGAATATGTGAGTTTTCTTTACGAAAATGAGGCCCACCTGGCAGTAGAATGAGCTTCCCATAATTCCAGTGACCTGAC
The DNA here is from genome assembly GCF_000001405.40 of Homo sapiens. Lineage (NCBI taxonomy): Eukaryota > Metazoa > Chordata > Mammalia > Primates > Hominidae > Homo > Homo sapiens. The sequence goes on from NC_000001.11 coordinate 161,691,927, forward strand.
GGTAAGGGATTGGCTTTCCTTAGAAACTGGGGCCACTCCCTGGTGCGTGGGAGATCTGGTGCATGGGAGAACTCAGAGCATCTTTGTGTATGCTTTCTGAATGTGTATTCTAAAAGTTTAACAGGTGATGAAATAGGTACCCAGAAAGGGGCATGTCAATTCATGTCTAGCTTATGTGGAGACTTCCAGCTTCTACCTGAACAACCTGAAACTGGTTCTGAGTGAATTCTTTCTTTCTCTTTCCCTCTCCCCTTCCTCTCTCCATCCCTCTCTCTGTGCTTCTCTTACCTTCCTTTTTTTTTTGTTTTGTTTTTTTGAGACGGAGTCTCACTTTGTCGCCCAGGATGAAGTGCAGTGGCTCTATCTTGGCTCGCTGCAACCTCTGCCTCCCGGGTTCAAGCGATTCTCCTGCCTCTGCCTACCCAGTAGCTAGAACTATAGGCGCCCGCCACGACCAGCTACTTTTTGTATTTTAGTAGAGACGGAGTTTCGCCATGTTGGCCAGGCTGATCTCAAACTCCTGACCTAAAGTGATCCACCTGCCTCAGCCTCCCAAAGTGCTGGGATTACAGGCGTGAGCCACCATGCCTGGCCTCTTTTTTTTTTTTCTCTTGGAAGAAATACACAAATAAGCTAAGTCGAGGTGTGTGGAATAACTTTGTGTCCTGCAGTGCATTTTTAAATCTTAGGAATGAGACAGGTGACATGACTATAGATTTGCAATTAGCCGTGCTAGTATTCAAAAGCCATCAGTACTGCTATAGACGGTAAATAGATAATAAACGAATATTATGAAAAACTTTATATAGATAAATATGACAACTTAGATAAAATGGACAAATTCCTTGACAGCTGCACACAAACTATCTAGGTTCATTTAAGGAGAAATAGCCTCAATAGCCCTATATCTATTAAAGAAATGGAATTTTCAAGGGGGGAGGGGCCAAGATGGCTAAATAGGAACAGCTCTGGTCTGCAGCTCCCAGCGAGACCAACTCAGAAGGCTGGTGATTTCTGTATCTCCAACTGAGGTAACCAGTTCATCTCACTGGAAATGGTTAGGCAGTGGGTCCAACCCGTGGAGAGCGAGCAGAAGCAAGATGGGGTGATGCTCCACCCAGGAAGTGCAAGGGGCCAGGGACCTCCCTTCCCCCAGCCAATGGAAGCTGTGAGGAACTGTGTTACCCAGCTGGGTTACTACGCTTTTCCCACGGTTTTTGCAATCTGCACATCAGGAGATTCCCTCGTGTGCCTACACCACTGGGGCCCTGGGTTTCAAGCACAAAACTGGGCAGCTGTTTGGGCAGACACGGAGCTAGCCGCAGGAGTTTTTTTGTACCCCAGTGGCTCCTGGAACCCCAGTGAGACAGAACCATTCACTCCCCTGGAAAGGGGGCTGAAGCCAGGGAGCCAAGTGGTCTCGCTCAGCAGGTCCCACTCCCACAGAGCCCAGCAAGCTAAGAACCACTGGCTGGAAATTCTCGCTGCCAGCACAGCAGTCTGAAGTAGACCTGGGACAATTGAGCTTGGTCATGGGAGGGGCGTCCGCCATTACTGAGACTTCAGTAGGCGATTTTTCAGACAGTGGTTAGGAGGCTGGGAGGTCTGGGCTGGGCGTGGCAAAGCGGCTGTGGCCAGACTGCTTCTCTAGATTCCTCCTCACTGGGCAGGGCATCTGTGAAGGAAAGGTAACAGCACCAGTCAGGGGCTTACAGACAAAACCACCATCTCCCTGGACAGAGCACCTGAGGGAAGGGGCGGCTGTGGGCACAGCTTCAGCGGATTTAATTGTTCCTGCCTGCTGGCTCTGAAGAGAGCAGCTGATCCTGACTAGCGGGATTCTCCCAGCATAGCGCACCAGCTCTGCTAAGGGACAGACTGCCTCCTCAAGTGGGTCCCTGACCCCCGAGTCTCCTGACTGGGAGAAACCTCCCAACAGGGGTTGACAGACACCTCATACAGGAGAGCTCTGGCTGGCATGAGGCTGGTGACCCTCTGGGATGAAGCTTCCAGAGGAAGGAGCAGGCAGCAGTCTTTGCTGTTCTGCAGCCTCCACTGGTGATACCCAGGTGAACAGGGTCTGGAGTGGACCTCCAGCAAACTGCACAAGAGGGACCTATTAGAAGAAAAACTAACAAACAGAAAGCAACAACATCAACATCAACATAAAGGAACCCCACACCAAAACCCCATCCAAAGGTCATCAGCCTCAAGGATCAAAGGTAGATAAATCCATGAAGATGAGGAAAAACCAATGCAAAAACACTGAAAACTCCAAAAACCAGAATGCCTCTTCTCCTCCAAATGATCACAACTCCTCTCTAGCAAGGGCACAAAACTGGAAGGAGAATGAGAATGACGAATTGACAGAAGTAGGCTTCAGAAGGTGGGTAATAACAAACTCCTCTGAGCTAAAGGAGCATGTTCTAACCTAATGCAGGGAAGCTAAGAACCTTGATAAAAGGTTACAGGAACTACTAACTAGAATAACCAGTTTAGAGAGGAACATAAATGACCTGATGGAGCTGAAAAACACAGCACGAGAACTTCGTGAAGCATACACAAGTATCAGTAGCCAAATTGATCAAGTGGAAGAAAGGATATCAGAGATTGAAGATCAACTTACTGAAATAAGGCATGAAGAAAATATTAGAGAAAAAAGAATGAAAAGGAATGAACAAAGCCTCCAAGAAATATGGGACTGTGTGAACAGACCAAACCTATAATTGATTGGTGTACCTGAAAGTGACGGGGAGAATGGAACCAAGTTGGAAAACACACTTTAGGATATTATTCTGGAGAACTTCCCCAACCTAGCAAGACAGGCCAACATTCAACTTCAGGACATACAGAGAACACCACTAAGATAATCCTCAAGAAGAGCAACCCCAAGACACGTAATCTTCAGATTCTCCAAGGTCAAAATGAAGGAAAAAATTTTAAGGGCAGCCAATGAGAAAGGTCAGGTTATCTATAAAGGGAAGCCCCTCAGACTAACAGCAGATCTCTCTTCAGAAACCCTACAAGCTAGAAGAGAGTGGGGGCCAATATTCAACATTCTTAAAAAAAGAACTTTCAACCCAGAATTTCATATCCAGCCAAACTAAACTTCATAAATGGAGAAATAAAATCCTTTCCAGACAAGCAAATGCAGAGGGATTTTGCCACCACCAGGCCTGCCTTCCAACAGCTCCTGAAGGAAGCATTAAATATGGAAAGGAAAAGCTGGTACCAGCCACTGCAAAAACACGCCAAAATATAAAGACCAATGACACTATGAAGAAACTGCATCAACTAATGTGCAAAATAACCAGCTAGCAGCATGATGACAGGATCAAATTCACACATAACAATATTAACCTTAAATGTAAATGGGCTAAATGCCCCAATTAAAAGACACGGGTTGGCAAATTGGATACAGAGTCAAGACCCATTGGTGTGCTGTATTTGGGAGACCCATCTCACGTGCAAAGACACACATGGGCTCAAAATAAAGGGATGGAGGAATATTTACCAAGCAAATGGAAAACAAAAAACAAAACAAAACAAAAACAAACAAACAAAACTGGGGTTGCAATCCTAGTCTCCGATAAAACAGACTTTAAACCAACAAAGATCAAAAAAGACAAAGAAGGGCATTACATAAAGGTAAAGGGATCAATGCAACAAGAAGAGCTAACTATACTAAATATATATGCATCCAATACAGGAGCACCCAGATTCATAAAACAAGTTCTTAGAGACATACAAAGAGACTTAGACTCCCACACAATAATAGTGGGAGACTTTAACACCCCACTGTCAATATTAGACAGATCAATGAGACAGAAAATTAACAAGGATATTCAGGACTTGAACTCAACTCTAGACCGAGTGGACCTAATAGACATCTACAGAACTCTCCACCCCAAATCAACTGAATATACGTTCTTCTTAGCATCACATAGCGCATATTCTAAAATTTAATACATAATTGGAAGAAAAACACTCCTCAGCAAATGCAAAAGAACAGAAAGCATAACAAACAGTCTCTCAGACCACAGTGCAATCAAGTTAGAACTCAGGTTTAAGAAACTCACTCAAAACTGCAAAACTACATGGAAATTGAACAACCTGCTCCTGAATGACTACTGAGTAAATAATGAAATTATGACAGAAATAAAGAAGTTCTTTGAAACCAATGAGAACAAAGAGACAGCATACCAGAATCTCTGGGACAAAGCTAAAGCAGTGTGTAGAGGGAAATTTATAGCACTAAATGCCCACAACAGAAAGCTGGAAAGATCTAAAATCACCACCCTAACATCACAATTAAAAGAACTGGAGAAGCAAGAGCAAACAAATTCAAAAACTAGCAGAAGACAAGAAATAACTAAGATCAGTGCAGAACTGAAATATATAAGAGACATGAAAAACACTTCAAAAAATCAGTGAATCCAGGAGCTGGTTTTTTGAAAAGATTAACAAAATACATGGACCACTAGCTAGACTAATAAAGAAGAGAGAGGGGAATCAAATAGATGTGCAAAAAAATGATAAAAGGAATATCACCACTGATCCCACAGAAATACAAACTACCATCAGAGAATACTACAAACACTTCTACACAAATAAACAAGAAATTCTAGAAGAAATGAATAAGTTGCTTGACACATACACCCTCCCAAGACTAAACCAGGAAGAAGTTGAATCCCTGAATAGACCAATAACAAGTTCCGAAATTGAGGCAGTAGTTAATAACCTACCAACCAAAAAAAGCCCAGGACCAGACAGATTCACAGCTGAATTCTACCAGAGGTATAAAGAGGCTGGTACCATTCTTTCTGAAACTATTCCAAATAATAGATAAAGAGGGACTCATCTCTAACTCATTTTATGCGGCCAGCATCATCCTGATACCAAAACCTGGCAGATACACAACTAAAAAAGAAAATGTCAGGCCAATATCCCTGATGGACACCGATGAGAAAATCCTCAATAAAATGCTGGCAAACCAAATCCAGCAGCACATCAAAAAGCTTATCCACCATGGTCAAGTTGGCTTCATCCCTGGGATGCAAGGCTTGTTCAACATACACAAATCAATAAAGGTAATCCATCACATAAACAGAACCAATGACAAAAACCACATGATTATCTCAATAGATGCAGAGAAGGCCTTCGATAAAATTCAACATCCCTTCATGCTAAAAACTCTCAATAAACTAGGTATTGATGGAAAATATCTCAAAATAATCAGAGCTATTTATGACAAACCCATAGCCAATATCATACCAAATGGGCAAAAGCTGGAAGCATTCCCTTTGAAAACCAGCACAAGACAAGGATGCCCTCTCTCATCACTCCTATTCAACATGGTATTGGAAGTTCTGGCCCAGGCAATCAGGCAAGAGAAAGAAGTAAAGGGTATTCAAATAAGAAGAGAAGAAGTCAGATTGTCTCTGTTTGTAGACGACATGATTGTATATTTAGAAAACCCCATTGTCTCAGCCCCAAAACTCCTTAAGGTGATAAGCAACTTCAGCAAAGTCTCAGGATACAAAATCAATGTGCAAAAATCACAAGCATTCCTATACACCACCAACAGAGAGACAGCCAAATCATGAGTGAACTCCCATTCACAATTGCTACAAAGAGAATAAAATACCAAGGAATACAACTTACAAGGGACATGAAGGACCTCTTCAAGGAAAACTACAAACCACTGCTCAAGGAAATAAGAGAGTATACAAACAAATGGAAAAACATTCCATGCTCATGGATAGGAAGAATCAATATCATGAAAATGGCCATACTGCCCAAAGTAATTTATAGATTCAATGCTATTCCCATGAAACTACCATTGACTTTCTTTGCAGACTTAGAAAAAACTACTTTAAATTTCGTGTGGAACCAAAAAGCAGCCCGTATAGCCAAGACAATCCTAAGCAAAAAGAACAAAGCTGGAGGCATCATGCAACCTGACTTCAAACAAAACTACAAGGCTACAGTAACCAAAATGCATGATACTGGTACCAAAACAGATATGTAGACCAATGGAACAGAACAGAGACCTTAGAAATAATGCCACACATCTATAACCATCTGATCTTTGACAGACCTGACAAAAACAAACAATGGGCAAAGGATTCCCTATTTAATAAATGGTGCTGGGAAAACTGGCTAGCCATATGCAGAAAACAGAAACTGGACCCCTTCCTTACACCTTATACAAAAATTAACTCGAGATAGATTAAAGACTTAAATGTAAAAATCTAAAACCATAAAAACCCTAGAAGAAAACCTAGGCAATGCCATTCAGGACATAGGCATGGGCAAAGACTTCATGACTAAAACACCAAAAGCAATGGCAACAAAAGCCAAAATTGACAAATGGGATCTAATCAAACTAAAGAGCTTCTGCACAACAAAAGAAACTATCACCAGAGTGAACAGGCAACCTACAGAATGGGAGAAAAGTTTTGCAAGCTACCCATCTGACAAAGGTCTAATATCCAGAATCTACAAGGAGCTTAAACAAATTTACAAGAAAAAAACAATCAAAAAGTGGGCGAAGGTTATGAACAGACACTTCTCAAAAGAAGACATTTATGGGGCCAACAAACATATTTTAAAAAGCTCATCATCACTGGTCATTAGAGACATGCAAACCAAAACCACAATGAGATACCATCTCACACCAGTTAGAATGGTGATTATTAAGAAGTCAGGAAACAACAGATAGAGAAACAGGAGCGCTTTTACACTGTTGGTGGGGGTGTAAATTAGTTCAACCATTGTGGAAGAAGACAGTGTGGTGATTCCTCAATGATCTAGAACCAGAAATACCATTTGACCCAGCAATCTCATTACTGGGTATATACCCAAAGGATTATAAATCATTCTACTATAAAGACACCTGCACACATATGTTTATTGCAGCACTATTTACAATAGCAAAGATTTGGAACCCACCCAAATGCCCATCAATGATAGACTGGAGAAAGAAAATGTGGGACATATAAACAGTGGGATACTATGCAGCCATAAAAAAGGATGAGTTCACGTCCTTTACAGGGAAATGGATGAAGCTGGAAACCATCATTCTCAGCAAACTAACACAGGAACAGAAAACCAAACACCACATGTTGTCATTCATAAGTGGGAGTTGAACAATGAGAACACATGGACACAGGGAGGGTAATATCACACACCAGGCTCTGTCAGGGGGTAGGGGTAAGGGGAAGAAGAGCATTAGAACAAATACCTAATGTATGCGGGACTTAAAACCTAGATAATGGGTTGATAGGTGCAGCAAACCACCATGGCACTTGTATACCTATGTAACAACCTGCACTTTCTGCACATGTATCCCAGAACTTAAAGTAAAATAAAAATTAAAAAAAAAGAAATTGAATTTATTATCAAAACTTTCCTGCAAAGAAAACTTAAGGTCCAGATGGTTTTACTGCCAAATTCTAACAAACATTTAAGGAATAAATAATACCAATTCTATACCAAGTCTTCCAGAAAATTAGGGAGAAAAGAACACTTTGCAACTCAGACATCCAGGCAAAGGCATGAAAAGAAACCAAACCTAGGCTGTTCCAAGTGCAGTGGTGTTTACAACTAATTGATCATGACCATTAACAGATTTCTTTGTTCCTTCTCCACTCCCACAGCTCCATTTTAATAGCCTTTAAATAAAAAGTATTTTAAAAAATAAAGAAGAGGCCAAGTGCGGTGGCTCACGCTTGTAATCCCAGCACCTTGGAAGGCCAAGGCGGGCCTATCACTTGAGGTCTAGAGTTAGAGACCTCGCCAACATGGTGAAACCCCATCTCTTCTAAAAATACAAAAATTAGCCAGGCGTGGTGGCAGGCACCTATAATCCCAGCTACTGGGGAGGCCAAGGCAGGAGAATCGTTTGAACTTGGGAAACAGAGGTTGCAGTGAGCCGAGATGGCACCACTGCACTCCAGCCTGGGTGACAGAGTGAGACTCTGTGTCAAAAATGAATAAATAGAATAGAATAAAAATAATAAAAAATAAGAAACAAAGCCTAGAGACCAATATCTCTTATGAACATAGATGCAAAAAGTTTTACCAAATTTTAGCAAACAAATTCAATATTATATAAAAGGATAATACATGTTGACCAATACAAATTTGGACCAATTCAAAACCAATGAATGTAATTTACCATATTAACAGATTTAAAAAGAAAAAAAACCCATCATTTCAATAGATGCATAAAAGCATTTGATAAAGTTCAATACCCATTCATGATAAAACAAACAAAAATACTCACAAACTCTCAGTAAACTAGGAATAGATGAAAACTTCCTTAACCTTATAGGGGACGTATACAAAAAACACATCTAACATCATACTTAAGTGAAAGACTGCAGGCTTTCTCCCTAAGACTGGAAACAAGGCAAAGAAGTCTGCTCTCACTGCTCTTATGAGCATAGTTCTGAAAGTTTTAGCCACTGTAGTAAGGCAATAAAAGAAAATTTAAAAGCATACAGATCAGAAAGGAAGAAGTAAAACTGTCCCTATTTACAGGTGATATGATGGTCTATATAGAAAATTCCAAGTAATCTATTTTGAAAAACTCCTATAACTAGTAAGTGAGTTCAGCAAGGTTACAAAGTCAATATACAAAACTCAGTTCTATTTCTGTATACCAACAATGAACAATCAGAAATGCATTTTAAAAATATCATTTATAATAGCATCAAGAATATAGAATACTTAGGGGATATATTTGACAAAAGATGTACAAGACCTATATGCTGAAAACTGCTGAAAGAAATTAAGGAAGACTTAAATAAATGAAGAGAAATGTTGTTTTCATGGATCAGAAGATTTGGTATTGTTATGGTGTGAATTCTTTCCAAACTGATCTATAGAATCAAGGTAATCCTAGTCAACGTCCCAGCAGGCTTAAAAAAATTGACATGCTGATTTTCTTTATCTATTTATTTTTATTTTTTTTGAGATGGAGTCTTGCTCTGTTGCCCAGGCTGGAGTGCCGTGGCATAATCTCAGCTTACTGCAACGTCCATCTCCTGGGTTCAAGCAGTTCTCCTGCCTCAGCCTCCCAAGTAGTTGGGATTACAGGTGTACGCCACCATATCCGGCTAATTTTTGTATTTTAGTAGAGACAGGATTTTACTATGTTGATTAGGCTGGTCTTGAACTCCTGACCTCAAGTGATCCACCCACCTCAGCCTCCCAAAGTGCCGGGATTAGAGGCGTGAGCCACCACGCCCAGCCATGACATGCTGATTTTAAAATTTTATGGAAGTACAAACGTATTTATATGAAAATTTAAAATTCATATGGAATCGCTTTTTTAAATTCTGAAAAAGAAAAACAAAGTTGAGGAAGAACGTCTAGAAATAGGATCAAATATATATGATCAATTGATTTTTGATAAAGATGCTAAGGCAATTCAATAAGGGAAGTATAATCTTTTCAACAAATCGGTGCTGGAACAATTGGTAGCCATATGTAAAAATTAAACCTCAACCCTTAACTCACATCATATATGAAAATTTACCTGAAATGAATCATATATTTAAATGTAAGAGCTAGACCTGTAGAAAATGGTAGGAAATCTTAGTAACCTCAGCTTTGGGAGAGATTTATTAAATAGGAAACAAAAATCATGATCTGTTAAAGAAGAAATTGATTAATTGGACTTCATAAAAATGTAAAATGTGGCTGAGTGCAGTGGCTCATGCTTGTAATCCCAGCACTTTGGGAGGCTGAAGCAAGAGGACCACTTGAGCCCAGGAGCTCAAGACTAGCCTGGGTAACATAGTGAGATTCCGTCTCTAAAAAAAAAAAAAAAAAACAGGTGTAGTTGTGTATATATGTGGTCCCAGCTAATCAGGAGGCTGAGGTGGGAGGATCACTTGAGCCCAGGAGGTTGAAGTGGCAGTGAGCCATGATCATGCCACTGCACTCCGCCTTGGGAAACAGAGCAAGACCCCGTCACACACACACACTCACACAAAGATTGTTTTTTAAAAGATAATGATAAGAAAATGACAACACAAGTCACAGACTGAGAGAAAATATTTGCAGAACATCTATCTAACAAAGGACACATATCTAGAATTTTTTTTTAAAAAACCTCAACTCAATAAGAAAACAACCCAGTTTTTAAACACTGGCAAAAGATTTGAATTGATTCTACCCCAAAATATATATGCAGTTAGTAAATAAATACATGAAAAAATAAACATCCTTATTCATTAGAGAAATGCAAATTAAAACCAATGAGCTGTAGGAAACACCAGTTAGAATTGCTAAAAGTAAAAAGACTGACCATACCAAGCATCATTGAGGCTGTCTAGCAACTGGAGCTCTCATACACTGCTGGTGGGATTGTAAAATGGTTCAACCATTGTAATGGTTAACTATGTGTCAACATGACTGGATTAAGAGACGCTCAGACTGCTGGTAAAACACTATGTCTGGCTGTGTCTGTGAGAATGTTTACGGAAGAGGGCTGGGCGCAGTGGCTCACGCCTGTGATCCTGGCACTTTGGGAGGCCAAGGCAGATGGATCACCTGAGGTCAGCAGTTCGAGACCAGCCTGGCCAACATGGTGAAACCCTGTCTCTACTGAAAAGTACAAAAATTAGCCAGGGTTGGTGGCGGGCGCCTTCAATCCCGGCTACTTGGGTGGCTGAAGCAGGAGAATTGCTTGAACCCAGGAGGTGGAAGTTGCAGTGAGCCGAGATCACGGCTTTGCACTCCAGCCTGGGTGACAGAGTGAGACTCTGTCTGGGAAAAAAAAAAAAAAAAAAAAAAAGGAATATTTATGGAAGAGATTAGCATTTGAATTGGAAGAGTGAATAAAGATCTGTCCTCACAAATGCATGTGGGCATGATCCCACCACTCAGGGCCTGAATAAAACAAAAAGATGGAGATAGGGCAAATTTGATCTCTCTGATTGAGCTGGGACATTAACTGCCCTCAGACACCAGCCCTCTTGGTTCTGAGTCTTCAGACTTGGACTGAGACTTATTGACTCCACTGATTGTCAGGCCTTTGGACTTGAACTGAATTACACCATTGGTTTTGTTGGTTCTCCAGCTTGTTGATAGCAGAGGGTGGGATTTGTCTGCCTCTAAAATTGCCTGAGTCAATTCCTGTGTTTCCTTGTATGCATATATTAATTCTGTTTCTCTGAAGAGCCCTGGCTAATACAACCAATTTGGAAAACAGCTTGGCATTTTCTTAAAAAATTAAATATTTTTAATTTTTAAAGAAAAATTAAATTACCTACATAAAATTTAAAAAACTACCTAAAAATACACCTACACCTATATGATCCAGCCAGTCCACTGCTAGGTACCCAAGATAAATGAAAGCCTGTGTCCATACAACTTGTACATGAAAGTTTATAGTACCTTTATTTGTAGTAGCCGTAACTGGAAGCATCCCAAATATCAAACAATAGGTGAATGGATAAACAAAGTGTGGTACAGTCATGTAGTGGAATATTACTCTGCAATAAAATGGAAAGAACTGTTGATAGACACAACAACATGGACTAATCTGAAAATAATTATACTGAATGAAAGAAGACAGACAAAAAGAGCACATGCTGTATGATTTCATCTATGTAAAATCTCAGTAAACTATAGAAAACTTATCATGACACAAAACAGATTAGTGGTTGCCTGGAGAAGGTGGATAGAGAGGAAGGGATTACAAAAGTGCACAAGTAAATTTTCAGGAGTAATTCATCTGCTTATTATCTTGATTGTGGTCATGTTTTCATAGGTACACACTTTTGTTAAAATTCATCAAATTGTACAATTTAAAGATGTGCATTTAGCGTATGTCATTATTTCTCAATAAAGTGATTTTACAAACACAAAATGAAAAGACAAGCCATAAATTGAAAAATATTTGTAACAAATATGACTGACAAAAAATTTATGTTTAGGACATATACAATCTCTTAAAAGTCAATAAGAAAATTCCATTCATATATGTACCTTCGAGAAACTCTTATAATAACAAATTATGTACATGAATAGATGCATGGTTTTTGACAGCAAAAACCTGAAAATAACTCACATGTCCATTGTCAATAGAATAATTTGTGACATGATCACATGATGAAATACTTCACAGCAATACAATTAGTTAACTATAGCTACACAGAACATCAGGTTGTATTTCAGTTGAGTTAAACGAAAGCAAGTTGGCTGGGCAAGGTGGCTCACCCCTGTAATCCCAGCACTTTGGGAAGCCGAGGCAGGTGGATCATGAGGTCAGGAGTTCGAGACCAGCCTGGCCAATATGGTGAAACCCCGTCTCTACTAAAAATACAAAAGTTAGCCGGGTGTGGTGGCACACGCCTGTAGTCCCAGCTACTCAGCTACTCGGGAGGCTGAGGCAGAAGAGTCGCTTAAACCCGGGAGGTGGAGGTTTCAGTGAGCTGAGATCAAACATACTGCACTCACTCAACAGAGTGAGACTCCATCTCAAAAAAAAAAAATAGAGAAAGCCTTAGAATGATAAATACAGTACAATTCCACTTACTAAAAGTTCAAAAATACAAAATGATTACTACATAAAATAAAGAGAGTGATAAATATAAGGTAAAGATTGTGGTTGATGATGGTGGGGAGGGAAGACAGTGTAATCGGACAGGGATCTATGCAGTACTTCAAGGATAACAGTACTAGTCTGTTCCTTCAACCATATAAGGTTTCAAAAGTATACACTGCATTATTTTTTACACCTTCACATTTTTAATAAATATTTTTATCTACTCAATTAAAAATAAAGAAGAGATAAGCATTAGTCCACTAGTGACAAGCCAGGAATGGCAAAGGAGGGCATCCACCACCTAATTGGTCTTGGGATGGGATGAGAGCTGGGATTTGTCCCATCTCCCCCTGAGTATTCTGAGGTGATCCTGATGGAGGAACTTACTCAATAAACCGAATCTCAGTCTCCATGAACAAACAGCAGACCCAATGTTGCTTTTTCCTCGCAGTGAATCACATCTATTCTAAATAGTTCATTGATTAAGCTTCAAGCGAGTAAATTTTCCCAGCAGCTTAATGGAAATTTCAGTGTAAAGAACTTGATAGCTTCACCCCAAATCTTCAGAAGGCCCCTTGCCTTCCATATTGACAGTGGGGTCCTGCAAGGATTGCTGCAGATGGTATAGGGGAGGGTCTCTATCCAGGTAAGATGCTATGGTAAGGACAGTAAAGGAGAAAGGGTGACATAAGAAGAGAAAGATATCATGATTTGTTTAGAAGCCCCTTAGCCTCTGCCTAACCCTGAGGGTCTATGTTTTATGTAGTTTTAGGAGTGGCGATGCATCTAAACACATTTTATTTGTTTAATTCGTACACCTGTAATCCAGCACTTTGGGAGGCCGAGGTGGGCAGATCACGAGGTCAGAAGATCAAGACCATCCTGGCTAACAGGGTGAAACCCCATCTCTACTAAAAATTCAAAAAATTAGCCGGGCGTGATGGCACGCTCCTGTAGTCTCAGCTACTCGGGAGGCTGAGGCAGGAGAATGGCTTGAACCCTGGAGGCAGAGGTTGCAGTGAGCCGAGATCGCGCTACTGCACTCAAGCCTGGGCAACAGAGACTCCATCTCAAAAAAAAAAAAAAATTATTAAGGCTAGCTAGGCTTTTCTTCCTCTTCTGAGGCTTCACATCACATCAGCTGCAAGGCTTACTGCCTCACTGCCTTCCCCAGCACCCATATTCAACCACCCCTGGACTCCCTGGGGCCACCTGCACAGAAGCGTATGCCTCTCGATAATGGAAATTTTATTCTAAATGCTTATTTTAGACTCAGAAAGATCCACTCTCTTATGCCCGTGTGGTTGATATGTCTGCTCTGACCTGTGGTTTTTGCACAGTTGAAGGGTCATACTGTCCCTCTCTCTGCCTTCAAGGAGGACCAAACTACCTTCCCCCATTTCTCTCTCTCTCTTTTTTTTTTTTTTTGTGAGATGGAGTCTCGCTCTGTCACCCACACTAGAGTGCAGTGGTGCAATCTTGGCTCACTGCAACTTCTGCCTCCTGGGTTCAAATGATACTCATGCCTCAGCCTCTGAAGTAACTGGGACTACAGCCATGCACCACCATGCCCATCTAATTTTTTTTTTTTTTTTTCAGTAGAGATGGGGTTTCACCATACTGGCCAGGCTGGTCTTGAACTCCTGACCTCCAGTCCAGTGATCCGCCCACCCTGGCCTCCCAAAGTGCTGGGATTACAGAGGCATGAGCCACAGTGCCTGGCCTACCTTACCCCATTTCTGATGGCTCATTTCATCTCCAAATAACCTACTGGAGGCCTGGTGGGTGTTATGATGACAGAAAGGGGAGGAATGTGGCCACTGTGAAAAGACACATGGGCCCTACCATTAAGTAGGCCTCAAACAAATAGCAAACATTCAGAGGCAGGGACAATGGTTCCCAGGAGGCCATCTGGAACGGAAGGGAGAGGCTGTAGCCTCTATATTGCTCCTATTCCTGAGTCTCCTCAGGTTTCTCAAGATATCGGATGCCTCCTATCTCTAATTTCCTCAGGATCAGTGGCCTGAGCTTTGGCTATGAGCCTAAGCCCTGAGCTGACTGCTGGATCCTCTGGGAATAGATTTTCTTTTTCCTCTACTCTTTCCCAGTGGATTCTCCCTGCCTTGTACTCATATTTCCACTGAGACTGAGCAGACTTAGTCATGCTCCAGAAATAGAGAGCTGACACGAGTCTAGAGAAATTTGCATGCAAATTTGTGTGGGCTTTGGATAGTCAGAGCCTACTAGAGACTAATCTGATATCTAACTTGGTGCCGTGACTAATCTTCCTTCTCTGTCTCGCTACCTTCTAGTCACTAGAAACATATAAGTGTTGGAATGGGCAGGACATTTGAATTCTCATCATTGATTCTCCAGTGATTTTCTATTGGCCTTCAAACAACATCCCACCTTCTGTCCCCAGTTGCATCACCAGTGAAAAGGGTGGTTGTTGCACTGACCTTTCCCAGAGTGTACATGAAGGCCAGCTGGCTATCAGACAATGACATGCTTTGACAGGCCCCTGAGCTCTGTGAGTAAATTCTTGAACAGCTGAGAGTGCTACCATTTTGTCATAGCCCTAAGGGTGCAGATGATGCTGAAAGCGTGTTGGCCAAATCTGAATGATGAAAGCCAATTACAAACTAGAAAATGAAAACAGACCCCAGATGCAAGGAGATGAGACAGTTAAATTTACTTCCTCTTTTCTAATCTGAGAGGTTTCATGTTGAAGAAAATCAGTGTTGGGGTTGCAGGAGACCTAAACACAGTCACCATGAAGCTGGGCTGTGTCCTCATGGCCTGGGCCCTCTACCTTTCCCTTGGTGTGCTCTGGGTGGCCCAGATGCTACTGGGTAAGTAAAATATTTGAATATTGGTGTGGGAATGGAGCTTTGCTTACCTTGGGAGAAAGGACCAGAAGGAAAGAAACATGGACTAATTCTGGCCCTCCAAAGAAGCAGTATTCAGGTGGAATAAGAAGGGTAGGTATAAGAAAGTTTGGTGTACAGGATTGAATTACTTTCTGAATATAAAAATCTTCCATCCTGAAAGTCCCCTCTGATCATGATATCCTCTCTAGCTCTAATCTCAACTCTTTTCTTTCACTTGTGAGACAAGTTTTCTTAAAAGAATAGTTTGCACTTGCTATCTCCACTTCCTCACTTCTCACACGCTCCTCAATGCTTGCAGCCTGGCTTCCACTGGAATTGGTTTTGTCTAGGGCACAACGATCTCTATATTGACTGGGTTATGGCATGCTTTTCAGTTCATATCCTGCTGGACTTCTCTGCTGCACTGGGCTCTGTTGATCACTTACTCCTTCTTGCATTCTCTACTACCCTGGCTTCCATGGCACCATTTTCTCCTTGTACTACATGGACTTCTCTTGATCCCTTAATAGCTTCTCTTCTCTTCCCCTTAAACACTAGTGTTCTCTATAGTTATAGCCTTGCCTCTGTACTCCTCTTTCTTTACACAATCTCCTTCATGAGCTTATTTGTCTGTTTAATTTTTGCCACTATAACTCTGTATTTAAGAGTCCCAAATCATATCCCCAACCCTAACCATGCTTTTGAGCTTCACATTCAAATATCAAGCTTCATACCAGACATATCTACCTACATATCTCACAAGTGTCTCTGCACCATGTGACTAGAGTTGAACTTATCTGTCCTTTTGGCCCCTGCCTCATCTAATTCATTTTCCACTTTCTGATCTCAGCTAATGACACCAGCATCTACCCTTACAAGGCCATAAACCTCAGAAACAACCCAGACTCTTCCTTCTTTTTCATTCTCTAAATCTGATCAATCATTAGGTTTGGCCAATTTTACCTTCTAAATTGTTCATAGAAGCAGTCCCTTGCCTGGATCATCACTAATGTCTTAGGACAAGCCCTCATCCTCTATGACTTGGGCTATTCCAGTAAATTCCTAACTAATCTCCTCGTCCAAACCTTGTGTTCTTGAAATGAATTCTGTACCCTGCAGACAGAGTAATTTCTAAAACTCAAGTTTACCAGCCCAAATTCTTTATCATGGCACAAAAGGCCAAGCAGCCTCTACTTTTACCCTCTCAGCCTTGTAACTTATGCTCTAATAAATCTCAATCAGTTCATATTTACATACTCACACACCAGACTCTTGCCTGTCTCTAAGGCTTTGCTTATACCACTATCTCTACCTGAAATGAGTTCTTTCCATGGCACCCTACTCTCCTTCTCCTTGCAAATGTGTAGGTACCCCTAAAGACTCAGCTTAAATGGTATCTTTTCCAGGTAGCTTTTCTTGAATGCTTCTTTCTGCTCCAATGGCTGCTTGCGATACATTTTTCTTATTATAATATTTTCCTACTTATGCTGAAATAATATTTTCATCTACCTGTGTCTTCCACTAAATTGAGAGCTATTTGTGGGTAGTGACAATGTTTTTTTGTTTTTGTCTTGTGATAAGAACTGCAGACTTGGAATCAGATACTCCTGTTTCAAGCCCCTCTTCTATTTACCAGCTCTATGTCACTTTAGAAAATCACTTTTTCTATTTCTGGTTCAGTTTTCTCATTTGTAGAATGAAAATAATAATACCTACCACCTAAGGTTTATTGAGTGAGTTCCCAGTAACCCAACAAGATTTTATTTTATTTTATTTTATGTTTTGAGACAGGGTCTCGCTCTGCCACCCAGGCTGGAGTGCAGTGGTGCAATCACTGCTCACTGCAACCTTGACCTCTTGGGCTTAAGCAATCGTCCTATCTCAGCCTCCCAAGTAGCTGGGACCACAGGCAAGTGCCACCAGGCCTGGCCAATTTTTTAAAAAATTATTTGTTGAGACAGGGTCTCTCTATGTTCCCCAGGCTGGTCTCAAACTCCTGGGCTCAAGGGATCCTCCCACCTCAACCTCCCAAAGTGCTGTGATTATAAGCATGAGCCACCACGCCTGGATAAGATTTTATTTTTAAAAAGAAAAAATGGAGAGGAGGCAGAGCACAGATGAGTGACAGTGGAGGAACTGAAAAGAGGTAGCATTACAGTGAAGGGAGCGGAGAAAGGATGGAAAGAAAACACCTGGTACTGATGTGATGAGAATTAGGAAGTAGGGAGGGGTCTTGGTAAGGGACATGACAAAATCAAAGAAGAACGCTGGGCTATTGGGAGTGGAAGAGAATAAAGGCAAGTGGGGCACGAAATGACAGTCAGATGGAGTGAAGAAGTATGCACATGTGAATGGCCATGAGGCTGGAGGAGGGGGAGAATAGTTAGGGAGATAAAGAGCAGTCCCAGAGAAGGGAGAAATGTCACTTCCCTTGCCTAGGTCTACCATGAAGGTAAGAGATAGGTTGAGGAGATGTGGTGAGAAATGGATAATTCTAAATTTCAATCTGGAGCAAAGAATTGTTCCACAGTTACTAATATGGACTGGGAGGAGGGGAAAAAAGACAGAGAAAGCTCTGTGCCACTGCCAGGGAAAATTCAAGTGGCAGAGGACATTAAAGTAAAGATGGCTGAAAAGTGAAGACCTGCAAGGGGGAGGAAGAAAGGAGGAGAGACACTGCTGGGTACTGAAAGCTCTTTGTTAGATAACATATTCAAGGCTGAGGAGCCAAGTGAAGTTTGGGAAAATCAGAATATGAAAGAAAGTCCCCGAGGAAGGTCTGAGGACTGAAGTAGACCATATTTGCACAGTGAAGTAAAAAGAACATTGATTTTGGACTCAGACACACCTGCCTTTCCCGATCCATTGCTTAGTCTCTTTTTAAGCTTTGGGTATGTTAATTTGGTTTTCTAAGTGTGTTTCTTTAAGATTATAAAATGAGGATAAAGTCACCTACCTGGAAAGTTTGTGAGGATGAAGTTAGATACTGCACACAAGTGCTAGCAGGGTCTGGCACCCAGTGAACATTAGAATCTGATGTCTCCCTTTCATTCCTGTCCTATGCCTCCCTGCTTCGAGTTACCATTGTCTTTGCTCCTGGTTTCCCGTACCAGCAGCTGGATGTCATGCCGGTGAGTTTCACCATTCTTTCATTCTCTCCCCTCCCTCTTCTCCAAACCACAGTGCATTTGCTGAGAGCACCTGGACGCCAGTGAATCAAGGTCAAAACTATCCCCCTGAGACACTCTCAGGGGTCTTTCCGAAAAAAAAAAAGGTTTTGATGTCTTACTAGTCTCATTCTAAAAAGGATGATTATCCTGGGAGATGGAGGAACCCTGTCCTCTTTCTCCAAGTTGCATCATCATTTTCTGGTTCTCCCTGGGCCATGCCCTCTTCAGCTGCCAGTTTTGAGACGCTGCAGTGTGAGGGACCTGTCTGCACTGAGGAGAGCAGCTGCCACACGGAGGATGACTTGACTGATGCAAGGGAAGCTGGCTTCCAGGTCAAGGCCTACACTTTCAGTGAACCCTTCCACCTGATTGTGTCCTATGGTGAGGTCCTGGGAAGGCCTGAGCAGTGCCCCAAACCCCTTCTTTCAGCCTCAGAGCCCACCCAGGAAAGTGTCCCTAGGAAATTGGCTATGGGATGAGGTACTTCCTTCCCAGTCTTCAGCCCACAGCAACCAGGGTGCTCTAAGTCCTAGGCCCTAGGGAAGTTGTCCCATACTCCCAACCAGGGGTGAGAGTTTACCTGGACCCTCAGAGAAAGTTTAGGGGAGTAGGCATGCTTGGGGGTGGCCCCCAAGGGAGGCCCTGGGTGACACTCAGCTCTTTCTCTGGACCATAGACTGGCTGATCCTCCAAGGTCCAGCCAAGCCAGTTTTTGAAGGGGACCTGCTGGTTCTGCGCTGCCAGGCCTGGCAAGACTGGCCACTGACTCAGGTGACCTTCTACCGAGATGGCTCAGCTCTGGGTCCCCCCGGGCCTAACAGGGAATTCTCCATCACCGTGGTACAAAAGGCAGACAGCGGGCACTACCACTGCAGTGGCATCTTCCAGAGCCCTGGTCCTGGGATCCCAGAAACAGCATCTGTTGTGGCTATCACAGTCCAAGGTGAGAGCTAGAAGCAGCATTGTCATGGCAGGGGAGGGTAAGGAGAGACAGGGAGCCCAAATTGTCTTTCTTTAGCCTGGAGGTAGCAAGATCATCAACAGACTATGGAGCAGGTTGCTGGCAAATGCCCAAGTTGGGCTTCGAAAGGGACGAGACCTCAGCCTTTTGAAGTCATCCAGCCCCACTCAGAGTCCAGCATAGTTCCTACCACCCAGATCTATGCTTCCTAGTGCTCACTGATTGGGTGTCTGGACAACTATCAGATTTGCCCATCTGTGGATCTTTCCTAGTCCTGTCTACTTACAGAAAGAACTTGACAGATTCAAATGGAATCTAAGAGAGCCCATTCCTGCTGGAAACAGGGGAAAGGAAGTATGACTCCCCAAGTCTCTTCACCTGCATGTGTCTACCTGTATATAAGATGGCTGAGCTCTTCTTTCCTGCCTATCTTTTTCCCAGAACTGTTTCCAGCGCCAATTCTCAGAGCTGTACCCTCAGCTGAACCCCAAGCAGGAAGCCCCATGACCCTGAGTTGTCAGACAAAGTTGCCCCTGCAGAGGTCAGCTGCCCGCCTCCTCTTCTCCTTCTACAAGGATGGAAGGATAGTGCAAAGCAGGGGGCTCTCCTCAGAATTCCAGATCCCCACAGCTTCAGAAGATCACTCCGGGTCATACTGGTGTGAGGCAGCCACTGAGGACAACCAAGTTTGGAAACAGAGCCCCCAGCTAGAGATCAGAGTGCAGGGTGAGTTCGCATCAGAGTGCAGGTTGTCTGTTTGGCATGCGTGTGAGTGAAAAGGAGGGATAGGATAAATTGACCTGTGAGCTGGGGTTCAGTGTGAGCAGGTTAAGAAGGGACACAGAGGGGGCAGGAACAATGGGCCAGAATCCCTGATGATGAGAGACAGCACAAATAGAGAACTTCTCCCTCAGACTGTGGTGCACACCTCACCAGACCAAGAGCTGAGCCAGCTCCACACCTGCTGCCCCACAAGCCTTAGCATCCCCCCCAACATGCTCTCTGGGCATTTATAGGAATTTAATATCTGGAATGAAGATGGGATAGTCTGAAGTCTATGTTCAATTCTGGGAGCCACTGTTAAGAGGCTGCACTTGACCTGAAACACTCCCAGAAGAGGTGTCCAGGGTGATAAGGGGGCTTAAAGTCATGTCATATGAAAAATAATGGAAGGGGCTGGAGATGCTATCCTGAAGAGGAGGTGACTCAGAGGCCAGCAGAGGTGTCCTCAAAAAGCTGAAGGCTGGCATTAGCACAAGGAATTGGACTAATGTCTTATATAATAAAGAGGCTGACCTAGAACCAGTTACCACATTCATGCTTCAGGGAATTAGATTCAGCCTTGATAGAGAAAGAACTGGCTAATAGTTATAGCTGTCCAGTGGTGAAGCCTCACTGCTGAAGAATTTCAAACAGAAGTGGCCAAGCTTCAGATTAAAATTTGGACCAGGAGGGACACTAGAGTCCTCAAGTCCCTGCTGCCATTGGGCCCCACAGCCACTTTCAGAGAACAAGAAAGATTGGCCAGGGATGGGAGGGAAGGGCCAGAGTCAGACTTCACTCTTGTATGTGCCTCCTGCCCCATAATTCAGGTGCTTCCAGCTCTGCTGCACCTCCCACATTGAATCCAGCTCCTCAGAAATCAGCTGCTCCAGGAACTGCTCCTGAGGAGGCCCCTGGGCCTCTGCCTCCGCCGCCAACCCCATCTTCTGAGGATCCAGGCTTTTCTTCTCCTCTGGGGATGCCAGATCCTCATCTGTATCACCAGATGGGCCTTCTTCTCAAACACATGCAGGATGTGAGAGTCCTCCTCGGTCACCTGCTCATGGAGTTGAGGGAATTATCTGGCCACCGGAAGCCTGGGACCACAAAGGCTACTGCTGAATAGAAGTAAACAGTTCATCCATGATCTCACTTAACCACCCCAATAAATCTGATTCTTTATTTTCTCTTCCTGTCCTGCACATATGCATAAGTACTTTTACAAGTTGTCCCAGTGTTTTGTTAGAATAATGTAGTTAGGTGAGTGTAAATAAATTTATATAAAGTGAGAATTAGAGTTTAGCTATAATTGTGTATTCTCTCTTAACACAACAGAATTCTGCTGTCTAGATCAGGAATTTCTATCTGTTATATCGACCAGAATGTTGTGATTTAAAGAGAACTAATGGAAGTGGATTGAATACAGCAGTCTCAACTGGGGGCAATTTTGCCCCCCAGAGGACATTGGGCAATGTTTGGAGACATTTTGGTCATTATACTTGGGGGGTTGGGGGATGGTGGGATGTGTGTGCTACTGGCATCCAGTAAATAGAAGCCAGGGGTGCCGCTAAACATCCTATAATGCACAGGGCAGTACCCCACAACGAAAAATAATCTGGCCCAAAATGTCAGTTGTACTGAGTTTGAGAAACCCCAGCCTAATGAAACCCTAGGTGTTGGGCTCTGGAATGGGACTTTGTCCCTTCTAATTATTATCTCTTTCCAGCCTCATTCAGCTATTCTTACTGACATACCAGTCTTTAGCTGGTGCTATGGTCTGTTCTTTAGTTCTAGTTTGTATCCCCTCAAAAGCCATTATGTTGAAATCCTAATCCCCAAGGTGATGGCATTAAGAAGTGGGCCTTTGGGAAGTGATTAGATCAGGAGTGCAGAGCCCTCATGATTAGGATTAGTGCCCTTATTTAAAAAGGCCCCAGAGAGCTAACTCACCCTTCCACCATATGAGGACGTGGCAAGAAGATGACATGTATGAGAACCAAAAAACAGCTGTCGCCAAACACCGACTCTGTCGTTGCCTTGATCTTGAACTTCCAGCCTCCAGAACTATGAGAAATAAAATTCTGTTGTTTGTAAGCTATTCAGTTTGTGTATTTTGTTATAGTAGCCCAAATGGACTAGGCAGTTGGCCTCTGCCACATGACTGAGTTTATGATATGTTAAAAATACTCATAAAACAGTGTCTTTGTCTACAGAGGGCTTACACTGTGGGATAGAAGGGAATAGTACCCCATCCTATAACACAATTAAAGCAGGGTATATAAAAATTTCCCACAGGATCCTACTGGGCTCAGAAATAAGTGACCGAGTATAATGTTGCCAGAGTTGCAGATATTTGTTTTTAATTCATCGGTCTCTGAAATCTTTCTCTTTAATAACACATAATGACTCCGTTTTAGTCTCATATTAATACTTTTTTCTATGCTTGGACTTCTATTGTACATTCTCAGCCAATGAGAGCTGGCCTGGCAGGCTCTATAATAACCTTAACTCAATCAGTTAGCACATCATTTTATCATGACCTCAGCCAGTGGCTGTTCTACCATGTTATTCTGAATTACATGGTGTGATTTTCTCCACTGTGGCCTTTCTTTGTGCCATTTATTCCGTGCAGTTTTGACCCAAAATGATTTACAAGAGACATGCACATGATCATTCTAGACATACCACAAAGAAACAAAGACATAGAATCATGCCGATGGTAAAATGAGAGTTTTATGGTAGTTCTTGCCACCTTCGAGGGAAAAAAAAAAAAGATCAGGAGGCATCTGGGAATTGGTAGAAGTCTGTAAACAACACTACAGCCTGAGAGGACTGATTTACAATTGTGTGAATGGGAGTTGCAAGAATGACCAGAACTGTCATGACTTTGATGGACTTGAAAAAATGGAAGCTCAGTTGCCAATGTACCATGGTGGATGTGTCTCCAAAGATACTATGTTATAACCACTCTACATGGAGTTGATTTCAGCTAATGCTCGCATTTGCATGAATGCATCCTGCAAGCTCCTGCTAAATGGGGAATTCATTTACAGATAGTAGAAGCTATCAGAGATCTGGGAAAGAAAAGATGGATGCAGCTGGCTGAGATAAATGTAATCTCTGTACACCTCATCCATGTGTATCTGTGCACCTCTATCACCACACTGCATTTTAATTTTTTATTACTCATTTTTGTTCACCAGAGGGTGAGGTCTTTGAGAATACTCCTGAGCTCTTTGTTCCATGTTGTGTCATTGATGTCTAGTATAATGAGGCATATGTAAGTTCTCAGTAAATTTTGTTTAGTTGAATCGAGTTGGGCCAGCAAAATAAGGGAAAACATCTTGAAGAGGATGGGAATGAAGCTGGACCTTAAAGGATGAATGTCATGTCTGGCATCAGCTAAATCTCCAGACTCTATCCAGGGGACCCAGCCTCAGTCAAGGACTTAGAAACCTCAGGGAGAGGATCTATCAACAGGGATGAGGAAGGCAAGAACAGAGCTAAAAGAATGAGAGAGAGAGATAGGGAGAGCAAGCATTTACCCGTCTCTTTCTGTCTAGCCTGGGGAGGTTGGAGAGGGAGTAGGGAAGAGGAATCGTTACAATGGATCTGGTTTATGGCTTGTGCCATTTAGGATTCTGTAATTGACAGAGGTCCCAATGCAGCTATGCTCAACATTGTCTCTGAAATAAACATTAGATAGCAAGCACATGAAAAGGAAAACTGTTCTCCGCTCACAATACCTCTGACATGAAACATATGGATTCCCATACCAAGTTTTTATCTGCTTCTCAGTGGAAACCAACTAGATGTTCTACAATTTATCGATTCTGGCTCCAACTACCCAGAGTCAGCACAGACCCCATAGGTTAAGGGGTCAGTCCCACATGACTGCTCTCACTTCAAAAGCCAATTGCAAATCCCAGGCTTCTGGTACTTGACACCGACCAGCTATAAGTCAGAGGTTCTCACAACTCCTTGGGTTCAATAATTTGCTAGAATGGCTCACAAAACTTGGGAAAACAGTTTACTTAACAGCCAATGACGATATACATAGGGCAAGGTATGTGGGAAGAGGTGCAGAGTTTGCACGCTCTCTGGGTGTGCCACCCTCCAGCTTCTCCGTGTGTTCACTGATCTGGAAGCCCTTAGAACTCCACCATTTAGGGTTTTTAATGAAGGCTTCATTACACAGGCATGATTGATTAAATCATTGGCAATTGGTGATTCACTCAAACTCCAGCCCTTTTCTCCTCCAGGAGGTCAAGGTGAGTTTTCCACACCAAGCAATTCTCTAATTCTCAGCAGAAACCAGTTAGATGTTGTGTAATTTACCAATTCTTACTCTAACTACCCAGAGTTAGCACAGACCCCTGAAAGTTCCAACCCTCTAATTGCAGAGTTAAGAGTCACCTTATTAGCATAAACTCAGGCATGATTGAAGGGGCTAATTATACATAACAAGAAATACTCATCTCATCCCTATCACTCAGGAAATCCCCAGGATTTTGGTAGCTCTCTGCCAAAGAGCTACCCAAAGGGGCAGAGAAAAGTACATATTTCTTATTGTGTTACACACGTCCATTATCTTGTAAGTTGAACAGTGCATCTGCATACTCTGTAACCCAGAACCCCATGCCTAGGTGGATGCGCCCAAGAGAAAACTTAGCATATGCACGCCAGAAGACAGGTGTGATAACGTTTACAGTAACAAAGCTTGTAAAAGCAAAATTTGGTACTGAAATGCCTTTCTTTTATTGAAAAGAAGTCAGTGCAGATGTCCACCAACAGGAAAATGAGTAAATTACCATGTTAATTTGTTTCAAACCATATTAAACACCAAACTCTATATAAATAGGATGTTGTACTACCAGCTATGCACTTGGAAGTGGGGATGATGATGAACAAGACAGGAACTCAGGGAATAGATCGCTCACTGGGGACTGGAGTGTTCAGGTGCATCTCATGAAGAAGATAATACATGGGTGGGGCCTTGAAAAACATGACAGATCTACAGAACAGGAGAAGAGAGGAAAGGACGTTCCAGAGTGGGATGATGTAAGCAAGGGCATAAAGGGGAAAACTGGCATGCAGATGTCAGGGAAAAAGAAGGCAAATCCTTTGAAACAGAGTTCAGCGGAAGGAAATAATAATGGAGAAGTAAATAGACTACAGAGGCTCTTAAATGTGCTATAGAGGCTCTTTAAATGTCCATAAGAAAATTGATCGAATTCTGTAGGTAAATTTTGAGTAAAGGAGGAACTCGTGAAAAGTGATGTTTAGGATGATTATTCTGGCACTCTGGTATAAGGTGAATGGGGCGACTAGAAGAGAGGTTGAGGGAGGTGGATTTGAAGGCTGTTGTTCTCATCCAGCCTTCTGAGACAAGGGCCTTGGCTAGGGACAGGAGGAATAGAGAGTAATGATCTGAGAGGTGTTAACAGGTCTGGGTGATCAGATATGGAGTAGCATTGCACCTCCCAAACACAAAGCTCTCTGTACCCAGCCCAGTAGCCCAAGGTAGAAAAACTTGGTTCAGTTACAACTTAGAAGAGACTAGGGAAGGGATAAAATGACCTGCTAGAATCATAGGAGGAAGTTTAAGGAGGGTGTGTTGGGATAGGCCTCACCCTAGTCCTGTCTTCTTAAAAGTTTTCTTCCCTCTTGGTATCAACCTTCTCCCTTCCCACTGGACAAGAGGAGATGTGGAGAAATACGGAGAGTTACAGCACAGCCTTCCTGCCAGAGTTCCTTCAGACAGGCACTGTTAGTTTTCATTAACTATGTGTGAATTTCTCATAAAGCTAAAGACATTCAATGTAAAGAAATACTCTGCTCTCTATTCTGAAATTGTCCTTTGCACTCCTTTGGTATCGAAATGCCTTCCTTTTGCTGAAAAGTTTACATTAAAGAATATAATTTTATGCCGGGCACGGTGGCTCACGCCTGTAATCCCAACACTTTGGGAGGCTGAGGCGGGCGGATCACCTGAGGTCTGGAGTTCGAGACTAGCCTGACCAACATGGAGAAACCCTGTTTCTACTAAAAATACAAAACTAGCTAGGCATGGTGGCGCATGCCTGTAATCCCAGCTACTCGGGAGGCTGAGGCAGGAGAATTGCTTGAATCCAGGAGGCAGAGGTTGTGGTGAGCTGAGATTGCACCATTGCACTCCAGCCTGGGCAAGAAGAGTGAAACTCCGTCTAAAAAAAAAAAAAAAAGAATAGCAATAGCAATTTTAAAAAATATATTATTATCAGCCCTATCCTGGGTTACAGAAAATAAAATAAGAATAATTTTAAATGTTCTTATTTAGGAAAAGAAAAATTTGTTTGATAAAATTACAAAGGTAAGAAACACTGAATATTGATGACAAGAGGGAATGGGAGCCACGTGAATTGCTGGTGGGTGTATAAGCTTCTGCAGCCACTTTTGAGAGTAATATCACGGTATTCAATCTCTTCCTTTGTTTATGCCACAAATACTTACACAGCACGTGCTATGTGCTGTCACTGCTGTAGGTGATACATCAGCAAAAAAGAAAAAATTCCTGCCTCAATGGAGCTTACATTCTAATGGGGGAACCTACCACAAACAAACAAATACAATTCCGGGTGGTGACAAGTACATTGAAGAGAAATAAAGCAAAATATGGAGCCAGCAAATGACAGTGAGGAGATACTATTTTAGATAGCACGGTTAGCGACCATCTCTCTGAGGAAGTAATATTTGAGTGAAGTGAGGAAGTGAAACTTACAAAAATCTGGGAGGAGAATAAGAATCTTTCAGGCAGAAAGAACAGCAAGTGAGGCCCTGGAGCAAGACTAAGCATGGAATGTTCCAGCAACTGTTCTAAACACAATGTGGCTAGATCAGAGTGAGTGAGGGGGAGAGTTGTAGGAAATGAGGCCAAGGGTCAGAGAAAGGCCCGATTTGTAGGGCCCTGTAGACCATGGGAAGGTGTTTGGAACTTATTCTGAGGGTACCTATGGGGAATTTTGAGAGAAAGTAACACAATATGGTTAACATTTTAAAAGTATCTCTCTAGCGACTCAGTGAATAAATTACTGTACAAAAAGATCAATGTAGCAGGTAGAGTCATCAGGACTTGCTGATGAATTAGATTTGAGTTTTGGAATGAGTGTGCATGTAACTCATGAACATAATTCTGCAGTCTTGCTCTCAGGTGTGTATCCCATAAAGGCGCTTCAGGGCTCTGTAGGGAAGCATCATGTCCTTACCAGTACTAACTTACATGAAACTTCCTATGTGCCAACCCCTGTTCTAAGCCCTTTACATATGTTAATTCATCCAGCCCTCACAATATGTACCAAGAAGTCCATTGTGGAATTGTCTGTGGTAGCTGAGGGTGGGCAGCAACTAGGATGTTAGGGGAATGGACAAGTGCAGTGTAGCAGAAGCATAGAATATTAGGGCAGTCATGGCTGGGCGCAGTGGCTCATGCCTGTAATCCCAGCACTTTGGGAGGCTGAGGTGGGTGGATCACCTGAGGTCAGGAGTCCAAGACCAGCCTGGCCAACATGGTGAAACCCCATCTCTGCTAAAAACACAAAATTAGCCAGGCGTGGTGATGCACGCCTGTAATCCCAGCTACTCAGGAGGCTGAGGCAGGAGAACTGCTTGAACCCAGGAGGTGGAGGTTGCAGTGAGCTGATATCATGCCATTGCATGCCAGACTGGGTAATAAGAGCAAAACTGCGTCTCAAAAAAAAAGAATATTAGGGCAGTCAAAAGCAATAAACATGATGCATGTAGAGCAATCTGAACAAATTTGAAACATCTGGGATTAATTTTTAAAAGTAGAAGTGAATATAATATCTAGAACACAATGCCACTTATGTAAATTAACAACACTAAATATTTCTCAAAGCTAAAAACTGCATGTTATACCTAATGTAAATGACGAGTTAATGGGTGCAGCACACCAACATGGCACATGTATACATATGTAACAAACCTGCACGTTGTGCACATGTACCCTAGAACTTAAAGCACAAAAAAAAATAGCATGTATATGGGAACACACAGTAAACATTTTACAGTGGGTGCTTATGTGGAGGGGAGGAGGACAATAATGTGGGTGAAAGTCAACAAGGTAAGACAATAAGAGGGGGAACTTGCAAAGACCAATAATGACAGCCGGCCATGAGCAGCATCTTGAATCCCTGACAATCAGAGAGATAAGAGAACAGATTTTGGAGACAGACTTCTATTCAAATCCCAGTTTCATCATCTCAGTTTCCTCATATGCAAAATTGGGATATTAATAATTCTTCCTCAAAGGGCCTTACAAGAATTAAGTGCAGTAATATCTGTGAAGCACTTAGCATAGTGCCTGCCACATGCCGAGACACTAAAGTGAGCTGTCATCAGCAACAACAGCATTAGTTCATTACTGTAATTATCACTGAGAACACTTTATCACCAGAATGCTTATCAAATGGTGACATATATTGTCCAGATGTTATGTTGTGATAGGCCTCAAATAATTGCTCAAGTTACAAATGATAATTTCTAAATTTTTCTGCATTGTAAAGGAGTGAAGAATTAGAAATTCTGGGGAAAAGTCCTAGATGGAGTAAAAAGACTCACTTTGGGAAAAACTTAGAGGAGAGCCTAGAATAAATAAATATTTCGTGGGAAATTTTTCAAGTCAAATTCTGAGCACTGTATAATATGAACAGTATGGATGGTTCCAGAGGTTTCTAGGGACGACTATACAGTTCACAAAGTTTTGGTGTACTAAGGTTTCTTCTGAATCGAGTAAAGGGGCTGAGATCTGTGCTCTGGGGGATGAGAAGCCAAAATAGAGCCAGCTTGTGTTGCCTAAGAGGACAGCTGACAACTGCATTGCATTCTTACCATTGAGGTGGTGGCTTGGTGCAGAAGTCAGACCTCTGTGGCAGGCTGTGGATCATGTGGGAAGCCACACACTGGCCCTGAGACGAGGAATTATTAGGATGGAGGGGAAGCACAAGAGTGCTGGTCAGCCCAGGCACTCCTAAAGCAGGCAGGTGATCATCCCTGTTCCCAGTAATTAGTTCTTCTCTGCCTCCCCTACTCTTGGGCACATTGTCAAATATGTCCCTACTTTGTTTGAAATCTACAGGACTCTATCTCTTTTATCAAAACCTGCACTCAAAACATGATCTGAAGTGACCAGCATAATTTAAATGACCAGTCACATTTTCCTAAGAGGCATTTGCATTTTTAAAAGGGGCTAGTCCATTAAGCAAAATATGAGGGGACTCTCAGAGTGGAACTTCAGGCATCAGCAAGAGGGGAAGATACTATCTTCCTGGGAGTTGACAGTACCTGATAATTGATCTCCTTCCCATCAGATTTCCAAGGGATCAAGGTGCCCCGGTTCTAAACAACCACAGGTAAGGACAGGATAGAGTCCAAGGAGACACACTATCAGGCTGGAAAATTCATTAAGTATTTACATGAAAATTCAGGTTCTCCTCATTGCTCAGGTACGGTCACATGGCTCAGAAAGCACAAGAAGTAGAGCCCCGAGGTCAGATCTGAGAGGCTTCTGAGGGGCCGATGCAGTGACTTCTCTGCTGCAGGTCAGGAGTTCTGGAACTGGGGCGTGGCTGGGGAGGGGTTGCAGGGAAGGGTGGGAGGAAGGAAGAAAAGAACAAGTGATTGGAAGTGCCACAGGATGAGCTCATTGGGATGGGTAGGAAAGAAGAGTTTTCTAACTTCTTAAGAATTTAAGAATTTATGAGAACTCAAGATTTCAGGAAGGGAGGAAGAAGAAACACATTGCATTTCTATCCTTGACTGGGGAACTAGATGATAGGGATGTGAAGGGTGGTTGGTGAGTCATGCCTTTTCGTCTACTCATTGTGGCAGGATGTGAGCTCTGGGGGCAGGCAACCGAACACTGACCTCTCTAGGTCTCATGCCAATGTCTGTCATCAGGAGTGAGCAGGAAAAAGGTCCTTAAGGACATGAGGCCGTGTCTTCCTCAGCTGAGCCTTGCAGGGCTGGCTGGAAGGTGGAGAAGGGATGGGATGGGAGTGGGATGTCAATGGGAGCCTGAAGATGGCGGGGTCATCTGCTGGAGCCTGGGGTTCTATGGGGCTCTCTTGTGCTGTGGAGGGCACAAGTTCTGCAGGCCTTCCTTTCAGTAGTCAGGGCTGGCCTGAGCTGTGAGGTGGCTGTAGATGCGGTAGATGAGACAGTGCCTGGCACTTGGGATACCTGATATTCAGCCTGTCTCCCACTGGTTCTGGTCTGCTATCTTCAGGAACTAGGAGTGGGTGGGAGAAGCAGCAATGTCTCCTAGTACTCAGTGGCATCCACTGGCCACATTCTTTCTCTCTGTTCCCCATCTCATGCCAGTGCATCTCCATCCTTCTGCAGCTGCTGCAGTCAGATCCATCATGTGGCCACTGACAGCCCTTCTGCTCCTGGGTGAGTCCACAGTGAGGCAGCAGAAGAGCTTTGGGTGGTGGAGAATAGGGTGGACCAAGGTATGGGGAGAGGAGGGTGGGTATCCAATCCTCAGTTTCCAAGTGGTTCATTATCTTTTTTTGGAGGGGTGAAGAAGAAGGGGCTTTCTCAGAGCTTGGGAAACCAGGGGCAGAAGAAGAAAAACAGGTTTTGGGACCATTCAGCCTTTCTTGTCGTCAAGAGTCTCTCTCCTCTCATCGCCAATATTCTCCTTCTCCTTCCTCTTCCTTCTTTCCTGTTCTGCAGTTCCAAGCAGTGGGCAAGCTGGTGAGTCTTATAAATTTCTCATCCCAATTTTCTACAGCTTCCACTCCAACCCCCTAAGTGACCTTTTCAAGTAGACTCCTCACTTCTTGGCTGCGCTGGGATAGTGTCTCTTCCCACTCTCGTCAACCCCTGGGACTAAATTTGCTTGAAGGCATTTAGAAATGGGTGCTGGCTGATGGACTGGTAGTCTGTAACCCAATGAATGTGATCTCCTCTCCTGCAGGGATGGGTTAGTACATGGGCTGGGGCCTGCGAGCTGGGGTTTCCTAAGATTTCCCAAACTCAGGTCGTTTCTTTGGGCACCTCACCTTGATTCTCTTTGCATGCTGCCCCCTCTCACCCCACTCCCCACCCCAGCTACTCTGGAGAAGCCCATATTGTCTCTACATCCACCTTGGACCACCATCTTCAAAGGGGAGCGGGTAACTTTGAAGTGTGATGGATACCACCCACTGCTCCTGGAGCTCCAGCCCATCAGCACTCTCTGGTATTTGGGCCACCTACTTCTGCCCTCTCACAAGAAGAGCATTGAGGTGCAGACACCAGGGGTGTATCGATGCCAGACACGGGGAGCACCCGTCAGTGACCCCATCCACCTCTCTGTATCCAATGGTGAGTGGACTGAGCACGAGGGGAGGGGGAGCACGTGTCTCCTCTGGCAATACTAGTCCTCTGGTGGGAGGGAACACTGGGCCAATCCCAAGGTGCAGGAAACAAGGGCCACACTGGGGCCTATCTTAAGTCTCTGGAGCAGGTAGGGACCTGCACGGCACTATGCGAGAGATGCAGTAAGGCATGCCTAGCCCCCAAGGTCCCCTTACCCTCCTGCCATAGTGTGAGGCACAGTGTGAACATTTCTGTTTGTTTCTGAGACCAGCTCAGAAGAGCAAAGGCTCCAAGGACCTGGAGTGCTGGACAGAGAACTTTAGGGGGTTGGGGAGGGAGCAGTAAAGGAAATTCACCAAACAGGAAAGGTGAGTTTCCCTGGCAGTCTGAGCATAGATCAAGGATCTACTCTCAGTTGAACAGTGTGATGCTTCTCTGTGCCTCAGTGTCCACATCTGTAAAGAAGGGACAATAATAGTATGTATCTCTTCGGCTGCTCTGAGGATTAAAAGTGAATTATGATTTGCTAAAGAAAAAAAGCAGCAATTGAACTGAGCACTTACTCAAAGTTTTATTGCAGACGTGTATATGTGTACACAGGAGTCAGCTGAGAAACTGATTCTCGAGATGCTTGAAGGGTTTTAAAACAGGATAAGAAAAATAACAATAATTTGTTCAATAAAGTACAGGATTGCTGGGCACGGTGGCTCAAGCCTGTGATCCCAGCACTTTGGGAGGCCAAGGCGGGCAGATCACCTGAGGTCAGGAGTTCAAGACCAGCCTGGCCAACATGGTGAAACACTCTCTACTAAAAAAAAAAAAAAAAAAAAAAATAGCTGGGCATGATAGCGGGTGCCTGTAGTCCCAGCTACTCAGGAGGCTGAGGCATGAGAATTGTTTGAACCTGGGAGGCGGAAGTTGCAGTGAGCTGAGATCGTGCACTCCTAGCCACAATTTGTATTCAGAATTTAAAGCACATCACTCAATGTTCAGATTAGCACTTACACACACTTCATATTCATACTCTGTGGTTTCTTGTTCGGAAATCATTGGTGATAGCAATAATTATACTGAGTACTATAGGAGTAATTACTGCTTACAGATTGGGAGTGCATGTGGATTGTGGCTATTACTTGCAGGATTCTTTCTCAATGTACAACACCTAAAATGGCATCTGCTCTGTGCTAGGGCTATGTAAGCGTGCTATAATGATCACAGGGTAATTATGAGGTGCTGTAGGAGATACCTAAGGCTCTCCTGGGGTGTCAGGGATGTTTTCTGGAGGAGATAAGGTCTAAGCCTAGACATGCAGGACAAGCAGGTGAACTTAAACAGGTGAAAGAGAGTCTTCTTGGCTGAGGAAATAGCAGGTACAAAAGCCTCGGGCTCAGAGCAGGGCCAGTTCTCTCAACAGTTCAGTATGGCTGGAACTTATCCTGTTAGGAGTGGAAGATGAGGAAAGTAGAGAGGAAATGGGGCAGGAATGAATACTGCCATGGTGAGGGAGAGGTAAGCAGGACCCAGTCAGGAGGACTCTGACACCATCCTAAGGAGGTTATAGTTGATTCTCATGGTCAAAACCCTTTGAGGGTGGAGCCAAGTCTCTGGCATCTTTGCTCCCTGGCTAAGTGAAAGACCAGCCATCCCCCTTCCTTCCCACTCACCTACAAATATATCTTGCACTATGAGGCTGCTGGGTGCCAACCACCAGGGAAGGCCTGTCCGCTCAAGAAAGCAGTGGGAGGCCAGGCCCGGTGGCTCACGCCTGTAATCCCACCACTTTGGGAGGCCGAGGTGGGCGTATCACCTGAGGTCAGGAGTTCAAGACCAGCCTGGCCAAGATGGTGAAACCCTGTCTCTACTAAAAAATGCAAAAATTAGCTGGGTGTGATGGCGCCCACCGGTAATCCCAGCTACTCGGGAGGCTGAGGCAGAAGAATCGCTTGAACCCAAGAGGTGGAGGTTGCAGTGAACCGAGTTTGTGCCACTGCACTGCAGCTTGGGCGACAAGAGCAAGACCATGTCTCAAAAAAAGAAAAAGAACAAGAAAAAAAGAAAGAAAAAGAAAAGAAAAGAAAGCGGTGGGAGATGGCGGGGAAGGGAGGGAGAGGAGTTAAGAGGAGAAAGCTGGAAGGCTGTGAGAGTGGGAGATCTCCAGGGCTGGACTTTCTGTGGAGTCAAGCGTGTCTGTGGTGTCTGTCGCAGATTGGCTGATTCTGCAAGTGCCCTATGCGCCAGTGTTCGAGGGTGAGCCGCTAGTCCTGCGCTGCCGCGGCTGGTACGACAAGGTGGTCTACAAGCTTCACTACTACCACGACGGCCAGGCCGTGCGCTACTTCCACTCCAGCGCCAACTACACTGTGTTACAGGCGCGTGCCAGCGACAGCGGGCGCTACCAGTGCTCGGGCACCATGCGCATCCCGGTGGAGAGCGCGCCCATGTTCTCCGCTAAGGTGGCTGTGACAGTGCAAGGTGGGAGAGACCAGGGGCCCCGGGAGGGAGGCAAATGAGCATTGAGAAATTCTGGGACAGGAGCTCGGCGAGAAAAGAAGGGGCGGAAGTTCAAATAGCTGCCACTTGGAGGGTTTCTCTTAGACTATGGACGCTGTCTCCTCTCCTTTGCCGTGAAGCAGCGCTTGATCCGCCGCCTGCTTGGAGGCTGGTCCCTTTCCCCGACGCACATCCTGGCTTCTCACTCTGGCTGGGGACTCCCACAGAGAGGGCAGCTCTGGCAGGGGCAGGGGCCACTGTGGGACTGGGACGAAGGAGCGACTCCCTAGCGTCCTGCAAGGCAGGCGCAGCGTCTCCTATTCTAGGCTGCAGAACCCGAGCTGAGTGTCAGTCGGGATGTGACATGAAGCGTCTGGCCTGGTCCCTCTTCCTTTCAAGCTTTCCCCGTCCCTCGTGGACTCGGTCCCCCTGCCCCACATTTCAGAAGGCTCCCCTTCCCCCTCCACGTGGACACACGGCCTCCTCCCCTCCCCCCTTGGTCTGTGGGTCTGCAAGGAGCCCTCGCGGGAAGCAGGAAGGAGCGGGGTCGCGGAGCGGTGGACAAGCCGGCGCCGTTGCTCCCCGCCCTCTCCGTAGAGCTGTTCCGGGCGCCGGTGCTGAGGGTGATGGGTCCGCGGGAGGCCCGCGGCGCGGCGCTGGGTGGGGTGGTGCTGCGCTGCGACACGCGCCTGCACCCGCAGAAGCGCGACACGCCGCTGCAGTTCGCGTTTTACAAGTACAGCCGCGCGGTGCGCCGCTTCGACTGGGGCGCCGAGTACACAGTCCCGGAGCCCGAGGTCGAGGAGCTCGAATCGTACTGGTGCGAGGCGGCTACCGCCACCCGCAGTGTCCGGAAACGCAGTCCGTGGCTGCAGCTCCCGGGGCCGGGTGAGTGCCTGCACACCCTCCCGGACGCCGACCCTGGCGGTCAGCCCTGCTTCCGCCTCTCGGCACCCACGAATCACCCCCGCCCCCTGGTTCCCGTCCCGCCCCCCGCCTTTCCCATCTCCCCTTCGCCGCCCTCCTCCTCACCCCTCTTCCGGCCTTCCCCATCCCCGCCCACCGCCCTACGCCCCTCCCCCAGCCCAGCGCCGAGAAGAACCATGCAAGCCGCGCGTGACTGGGCGTAATGCATTCACAGGTTCTCCCCTGGACCCGGCCTCCACCACCGCCCCAGCTCCATGGGCCGCAGCCTTGGCTCCTGGTAATAGGCCGCTTTCCTTCAGAAAGCCCCCGGTGTCCAGATCGGTCCCGTTGGTCACCTCCGTCCGGAACACCACCTCCACCGGGCTGCAGTTCCCGGCGAGCGGCGCCCCGACTGCGGGGCCACCCGCCTGCGCTCCGCCGACGCCCTTGGAACAATCGGCTGGAGCCCTGAAACCCGACGTGGACCTTCTGCTCCGAGAAATGCAGCTGCTCAAAGGCCTTCTGAGCCGGGTGGTCCTGGAATTAAAGGAGCCACAGGCCCTCCGGGAGCTCAGGGGAACGCCCGAGACCCCCACCTCTCACTTTGCTGTGAGCCCGGGAACCCCAGAGACCACTCCTGTGGAGAGCTGAGGGGGCGGCTACCGTCCCCTCTGCAGGCTCATTCCTCCTTGGTCTCCTGCTTCCCCTCACGCGAATTTCTTTCAAAGCCATCTGTTTGCATCCTTGTGTTTTGCTGTGGTTTTTAAAGGAGCGCCCACGAAGTGTAGTGGCTGACGATTTCAACCTCACACAGCAGTTTGTAACCGCAAGCATTCTCTTTGAATTCTCACAGAATTCAGCAAGAAGTAGAAACCTGTTATTTACTACATTGTGATTTAACTTTGGATGTGAATTTAGTCACCCTTAGCCCTTCAGATAAGCCTAGCCAGTACATATTTCAGCACAGGCAGTTTTTTTGGTATTTAAGTACATTGAGGTAACTGAGCACTTGAGAATATTTTAGGGTCAAAGTGTAATTATTCATAATGAATTTACTCTGTTGATATTAAAAAGACGTTCAGTCCTATTACTGATGAGTTTACATCTTCAAATAAATCCTGGGTTCTATTTAGTTTTGGCGAGAGAAAGTTGTTTGTGTGGGCCTCCCATTCCCTGGTTAAAAGGGTCAGAGTCTTTGGGAGGCTGAGGCGGGGGGGG
Source organism: Homo sapiens (assembly GCF_000001405.40). Lineage (NCBI taxonomy): Eukaryota > Metazoa > Chordata > Mammalia > Primates > Hominidae > Homo > Homo sapiens. The sequence continues at coordinate 161,728,230 of NC_000001.11, forward strand.
GGGGGGAATCACCTGAGGTCAGGAGTCCGAGACCAGCCTGGCCAACATCGCGAAACCCCGTCTCTACTGAAAATACAAAAATTAGCTGGGCATGGTGGCAGGCGCCTGTAATCCCAGCTACTTGGGAGGCTGAGGCAGGAGAATTGCTTGAACCTGGAAGGCGGAGGTTGCAGTAAGCCGAGATCGTGCCATTGCACTCCAGCCTGGGCAACAAGAGTGAAACTCCATCTCAAAAAAAAAAAAAAAAAAGGGTCAGAGTTCTGTTAGACTTAACCCAGGTGCACCCCCTGCCCCAGTGCAGCTAGACAGACTGATGGGCTGTGGTAGCAGCAGGCAGACTATGCTAACCTTAGCCGTATATTAAATAAGTGTACCATTTGCATTGAGAAATCTTTTTGAAGAAACTTTAAGACAAATCCTCAAAATTGAGTTCTCATTCTTAGCAGCTTTTTTCTTAAGAGCCTTTCCAACATGAATACACCAAGATACACACATGCACAGATCAGTATGCCATCCTGCATGGTGACTTTACTCTCACTTAGTTAAAAGAAGAAAAGTGAGAAGCCATTTCAATTGCAATTTCATGGTTATGTTCCTGGAAAGTCCCATTTTGATGGGTTTTCCCATCTGCCTACTGGAGCCATCAATCCTCTGCAGAGCTAGTGTGATTTGTCCTCAGGAGGCCTCGTTCTCATCAGGTCCATATCCTTCTTCAGTTAAGTTTCACTGTTAAGGCTTAGAGCTGTAACAACTGTACCCTCTCATCCTTTACTTCTGCTTGATAGATGTTGCGTCACAACCCGATTTTCCATTTCTTTCTGAGTGATTAACCAGAATAATATCAACAGCCTTCATCCTATTCTTCTTAATATTGTTCTTCACCATATTATTATTACAAAGCCACTGAAATTATACAGAGAGGCAGGCAGGCAGGCAGGTGCACACATAAATTACACTGCAATGTGATAAGTGCTCTATGAAACATGATAGGAATTCAGAGAAGAAAGTTGAATTTTTAAGGAAGAGCAAGAACTACCACATGGAGATGTGAGAAAGATTGAGGGTATGGCAAGTAGGCTGAGGAAGCAAAGACACAAAGAAATGAAAGACTGTAGCGTGTTTATGGAGCTACAAATAATTGGGAGTGGTTGGAGAATTATGTGTGTTTATGTGTATCTGTGTAGGTGTATTTTAGGGAGGAGGTGACAGAGATGAATATGGGGAAGTAGGAAGGAATCAGAACATGAAAGTCTTGTTAAGAAGTGCTTTAGCCTGTTGGATACTTGGGATGGCTATCTGAAAGCATTCCTGACATGAAGGCATCAATATGTCTAATCTGAGGAAATGCTAACTTAAAATTAGACAAGAAGAATCAAACTTATCTCAGTGGATCTTTGCTTAACTCTGAGAGATATGTCCAGGTGCCTATAATTCAGTTCTGGGGTCTTGGTCTACAAGGGCCTTTGTGGCTCTGATTTCCAGCTTTCTGATGCAGGCTCATCTCACTTCTCAGAACTCTCTTCCAAGGCCACCTTTCCTAGCTAACTGCACTCTATTTCAGTGCCCAGGCTCTTTTCCCCTTCTGATTTTGTTTCCCTGAGATTTCTGCTTTTTTTTTTTTTTTTTTTTTTTGAGACGGAGTCTCACATCTCACTCTGTCACCCAGGCTGGAGCAATCTCAGCTCATTGCAACCTCCGCCTCCCAGGTTCAAGTGATTCTTCCACCTCAGCCTCCCCAGTAGCTGGGATTACAGGCACCTGCCATCATGCCAGGCTAATTTTTGTATTTTTGTAGAGACGGGGTTTCACCGTGTTGGCCAGGCTGGTCTTGAACTCCTGACCTCAGGTGATCCACCTGCCTCAGCCTCCCAAAGTGCAGGGATTACAGGCTTGGGCCACCGCGCCCGGCCGGTTTCTGCCATCTTGATATAGACAGGAAGTGACTAACATTAGTGGCAAGAGGCTTAGTAATCAAAGAATCTCAGGTCATTTAAAAAATCAGTTGATCATTTTTTAAGAGTACAAAAAAGAGAAATAGTTACTCAAAGGAGAGCTAGGGCAGCAGTATCTCTTTCATTCACACCTTTTTGGCAACATCAACATCCTTGTTCTTGTTTTGCCATCTACTTCCATTTAGAACTAGGATGCGGGGGGATGGGGAAGAACAAGGACTTTTTGGTGAGAGTGAAAATCATTCATGACTCAACTTTCTGGTGTAGGGGAGAGGAATTGACTCATATGGCCTGTAGACTCCACTGTCTTCTTCGTGTACCCCAGCTTTTAAGAGGAGGGCAGGATCAAGATGATCTTCTAAGATATCTGTTATTGATCTCCCAGGAAGACCTGCATTAAGGAAATATCAGCTTCATCTTCATCCCTTTTGTTTGAGGTTCCTACATGCATTTAGGGAAACCAGAAGGCTAGCTAGCCCAGGTTGTCCAAGGGGACTCTCAGAGCTCATTCCCAAACAGCAGGGATGGCAGAAAAATGCTGGAGAAACCTAGGGAGGAATCTGCTTCTCTCTGATACTCTGATCAGTTTGGTGTCTCAGACTTAGGCTGCAAACCCTAATCCTGCGGCTGTCCATAGCAGATGCCAGACAAGGAACCCCAATGTCCGCTATCAGAGAGCAGAAAAAATTCTGTCGCATTCCCTTTGGATTTCAGCCTTACTCTTTAAACTGTTCTCCTTGAGTCTCAGTTTTTACTTGACCTTACACTATGAAAGGGGGATCTCTTTGGGTTTGTAAACCAAAATTAAAATTCTAAGCCCCCCCAATAGACTGAATGGACCCCCCTCACAACCAAGAAGATTTCAAAGAAACCTGAAAAACCAGTTTAGTCCACGAAGGGAAGTGGGGGATTGGACATGCCTAATTATACCCTCCCCCTTTTGGAGTTTAGCACAACTGACCAGCATAACATTAAAATAGAGATCCTAAGACTGACAGAACTGACTATGTAGCAATAAGATACCAACTCCAACCTGACTCTGAAAATCAAAGTATTTTACCCCAAACTATATTTCTTTGACATATTTTGAAATGGCCCTGCAACGTTGTCTCTTGTGGGGGAAATTTACATTCCGTAGAGAATCCTCTTCCCTCTCCAGGTCTTTTCCTGATCCAGAAGAGATGTAACTAAGAGTCTGACATCTTTTAAGGTCAGATAAGAGATATTCACTATCTATTCTCTCTGAAGTCTGGAGGTTTCACCTACATGAGAATAACCTTGGCTTCCAGAACCGCTCCCTTCCCTTAACTCAAGCTGACTTCAATTCTTCAGGCATAGCTTATCTCTTTCAACGAATTGCCAGTCAGAAAATCTTTGAATCCACCTATTACCTAGAAGTCGCCCCCTCAACCCGACTTTGAGATGTCCTGCCTTTCCAGGCCAAGCCAATGTATACCTTACATGTATTGATTTATGTCTTTGTTTGTAACTTCTGTCTCCCTAAAATGTATAACACCAAGCGTAGCCCAACCAAATTAGGCACATGTTCTGAGGAATCCCTGAGGCTGTATCACGGGCTATGGTACTTAACCTTGGCAAAATAAACCTATGAACTGATTGAGACCCGTCTCAGATGCTTTTTGGTTTATAGGTTTCACACTCATGGCTTTTTTCCTAAGAGATTGAATTAAATTCTCTAGGTTAAAGTCCAAACTTCCCATCACAGTATATTGAGCCCATTCATCATATATTATGGCCACAATGACCACCTGCTCTTTCCCCAACACACCACCACCTTTCATGACTTTATTTTTGTATATATTTTTGCTTCAACTGTTGTAGAAGGGCTGCACAGGCCTTCTGAGCCCAAGATTCCTCATTTGCAAAGTGAGGGAAATAATAGTAACCTCACAGGGAGAGACAAACAAACAGATCCTTTCATCATTAGAGGTTTTAAAACAGTTGATGATAAGAAGCACAGAGGAGAGATACTAAGCCCAGTGTGGGGGTCCAGGAATCAACTTCCTGCCAGTCCCCACCGATAAGCTATTTGTTTCTAAACTTGTGCTGTTTTAAATTATGTTGCAATGAATATCTTTACATCTGTATCTTTACGCACATATCTGAATATGTCTGTAGGATAAACTCCTAGAAGTAGAATTGTTGCATCGAAGGATATGTGTCTTTTTAGAATTTTAATAGATGTTGCAAATTATTTCTCAAAGAGAATGTACCAATTTGTGCTTCTACTAATTATGAAGGTGAAAGCTTGTTTCTCTTACCTTGGTCAAGAGAGCATATCATTGTACTTTTATTTTTTAATTAAACCCACGAAAACCTTTTGACTATCCAGTGTTGAGTGTCCCTAGTCAGATCCCGATAGATTTACTATCCTGTGCCATACAGCAGTCCAGTGGTACAGTCCCCCAAGGGTCAGTGCACTTATTTGTAATGCTAACCCATCCAACTCCTGAATTCCTTGCTAGCTGTTCTGTAGTTAGCTCAAAGAACTGCACTTCTGACTGTAATTCCTTATTAAATACCCGTTTTCTGTCCATTAGAGCTCTTATTCCAAGCTAGATCATTGTAGTCCTTCGCGAGATTTTCAGCATGTACTATAGTTAGCCCATATTGGTTTAGTTTGTTCCCTAGTCACTCTACCTGCAAAGATAATTGGTTTCAATGTTTGACATTCTACTTATAATGAGAATCCTCATATAAATGTACACGCCTGATAGAGCTGAGACTAAAAAATTGGTACAACACACTACTGTCTTTTTCAGTTCAAAGGCGTCAGTCTCACTGCAGTGTGGGAGATGATCATTCTCTCATCTCTTAACAGTAAATATACCCTAGTGCATCATGTTAAGTTGTAATAGCCAAGCTAATTAGCTTTGGACCTAGAGATGGCAGAGTTGTATAAAGTTAAGAGTCTTGGCTCAGGAGTCAATAGACTTGGGTTCGAATGTTGCTTTTACTACTTAACAGCTGTGTAGCTTTGGGCAAGATACATTGTCTCTGAAATTCTGTTTCCTCTTTTGTAAAACGGAATGATAATAGTACATGCCTATAGAATTGCTAGAAGGATTAAATGAGATTTGTAAGTAGTACATCTAATACATAAGAAGCAGTAAACTGTTATTATGACTGTAATTCATTGAATCTAAAATGATATTAATTATAGGATACACCATTAAAGAAAGCATAAGAAAAGGGAAAACATGGCTAAATAACTACACAATGTCTTTTAGACTTAATTAAAATAGACTTATAAAATCATAAATAATGAATAAACAGGGAAACATATGTGAAATAAATTGGGTAAGATACTTCTAAAATGTTTTTACATTCAGATTCTGACTTTTCTGAATCACTTTCCAACTCATATTTATCAGTGCCCATGTTTCCTCACTCCTGTGACATCTTTTCTATGAAAATCATGGGAAGTGCTGCATTTCTTAAAGGAAGTCATAAAAAAGTAACAGTCGTTGTTGCCAGACTTTTAAGCTGGTTTTATAATTATCTGGAGCTAACTTGCTTTTGACTTCTGCTCCAGGAATGTTGCTACACAAGTCTGATTCACCACCCACCCCATTTTTCCCACAACTAACAGTTGCTTCACTGTTGTCTCTAGAAATTTTCTCCAAGCTGCTTACACCATTTTGTAAATTTTGATGCTGGTATTTTAATGTTCATATAAGCAATGAAAACTATAACAAGACAGCAATTATTAGATACATCATGATTTCAGAGATGTTAAAACATTGTTTAAAAAAGTCTTAGAATATATAAAATAAAATAAAAAATCCTGAGCTCTAGGCAAACAAACTTCAAAATGTCTAGGAAAAAAAGTTACATATAGTCCTACATGTGGCCAGAGACTAAAGGTGGACATCTTTCAGGATGAATTGGAGGTCCTCAAAAAATCTGAAGGGGAAAGTAAAGACTGTTTAGTTCAACCAAGAAACCATTTATTGAGATGCTTCAGGCTGGGCATGGTGGCTTATGCCTGTAATCCCAACACTTTGGGAGGCTGAGGTGGGCAGATCACCTGAAGTCAGGAGTTTGAGACCAGCCTGACCAACATGGTGAAAACCAGTCTCTACCAAAAATACAAAATTAGTGGGGCATGGTGGCACGCACCTGTAATCCCAGCTACTTGGGAGGCTGAGGCAGGAGAATTGCTTGAACCTGGGAGGCGGAGGTTGCAGTGAAGCGAGATCTCCCCATTGCACTCCAGCCTGGGCAACAAGAATGAAACTCCGTCTCAAAAAAAAAAAAAGAGATGCTTCTAAATTTTTCCTGCCATGTGGCCACGCAGCTGTGCTTGACTTTTTGTGAGAATGTGGCCTTCCATTACTTCCCAAGGAAAGCCCACTCTTATCTTTGGACAGCTCTAGAAATTAAAAAGTTCTTCCTTACTATAATGAGCAAAATGATTTTGTTGTAACTTCTACTCACTGTACCCCCTTGTGTTACACAGAACAAATCTAATTTCTGGCCCTCTTGACAGGCCTTCAGATAACTAAAGACACTGCTTAGCTCATGCCTATGTTTTCTTAAAGGTATACTATTTCATTCGAATTTTTTTTTCCTCAGGGTTTTTAACTTTTTCAAATTTGGAATTCCTTCTCCATCCTGGCCTTTTTATTTTTATTTTTATTTTTGCTGTTAACCTATTTTTATTTTGTTTTATTTTTATTATATTTTAAGTTCTGGGGTACATGTGCAGAACGTGCAGGTTTGTTACATAGGTATACATGTGCCATGGTGGTTTACTGCACCCATCAACCCGTCATCTGCATTACGTATTTCTCCTAATGCTATCCCTTCCCTACCTCCCTAGCCCCCAACAGGCCCCAGTGTGTGATGTTCCCCTCCCTGTGTCCATGTGTTCTCATTGTTCAACTCCCACTTATGAGTGAGAACATGCGGTGTTTGGTTTTCTGTTCTTGTGTTAGTTTGCCGGGAATGATGGTTTCTAACTTCATCCATGTCCCCCCAAACCACTCGTTTTTTAAATAGCATATCTCCAGTTTTAAAATTTGGGACCCATGACTTACTTACCATGTTCCTCAGATGGATGTGTCCAGGGAGAATACGGCAGGAAGGCAGGGTTTTATTTTTATTTTGTACAATTAAACAATTGTACTTGTGACAGGATGTCAGAAATGATATTTCAAGATACAGTGGACATGAAATTCTGAAGCTGGATCATCATATGAAGAATTTACAAAGGAAATGGTTGAGGATCTATCTGTTCCTTGACTTTTGGACTCTGAAATCATGTCAAGGGATAAAAAGGGGCCAGGATATGGAGAGGAGAGAGGATCTGTGAAATGATTTATTTGCCATATTTCCCCTTCATAGTGGGGAGGCATGGGAAGCTTACCTCCTCATTCTCAAGCCTAATGAGAAAGATACCCATGGAATCACCCAGGTAGGTCTGAAATGTATTCTCTGCAGTAGGGAGATACAGGGAACTGGGCCTGACTTAGGCTTGAGAAAGTTAAAGTGAGCTATGGTGGTAGGATAGAAGAGCCTATTTTAGGATTAGCCAGCCCTACAAAAGATCCAGGAGCCACATCTATATATATTTCTGTGGCCTATGAAAAACAGAGTGCTTGCTGGGCACAGTGGTGCATGCCAGTAGTCCCAGCTCCTCAGGGGGCTGCAGTAGGAGGATCGCTTGAACCCAGGAGTTCTGGGCTCTAGTGCACTATGCCCATTGGGTATTCATACTAAGTTCGGCATCAATATGGTGATCTCCTGGGAGCAGGGGATCTCTAGATTGCCTAAGGAGAGGTAAATGGCCCGGGTGAGAAATGGAGCAGGTCAAAACTCTGTGCTGACTAATAGTGAGATAGCACCTGAGAATACCCACTGCACTCCAACCTGGCCAACACAGAAAGACACTGTGTCTTTATAAAAAGAAAGAAACAATAACAATAAAATTAAGAAGAAAGAGACCTAGTATGGGGTTGCCTTGGTTCCTGTACTATAGGGTCACCAGGAGGGGCAGATAAAGGCACCAAAAAGCTGGAGTTGCATCTATATTCCTAGGGGCAGAGGAAAGAGGTGCACTGGAACACCTGGAGGAGAGATGCATCTGCCTTGAGCACAACACCCTAAGGAAACAATTCCCAGAAATAAACATCCAAAAAGTCTACAAAAATGCTCATGGGAGAACAAGTTAGCTTTAGCCACCTGTCAAATTCAGAGAGTAGAAAGCAGCTCAGCCAAATAACTTTCTGTTCCCTTACCTATTCTCCCTTTCTTCCCTCTGCTCTCCTACTTTGGCCTACGTGAGAAGCAAACAGACGCTAATGAGAGGAGGAGGGGATGTGGAGAGAGAGAGAGAGAGGGAGAGAGAGAGAGAGAGAAACACCAATCAAGTCCCTTCCCCAAGTCAACACCTTAAATGGATAAGTAAGAAGACAGACTTACCTTTGGATAAAGACTGGAGGTCTGATTAACATCTAGAATGGGCATCCTGATTTAGAAATTGAAACTATACTTGTAGCCTAAAGTCATTATAAGACTCTCCATTACCTAAAGAAGCAGAAAAATCATGGCTATTTGCAAACTTTAATGTACACATGAATCACCAGGGCGCTGGGTGATTCATGTGTACATTAAAGTTTGCCAATATCCACGGCAAATGCAGATTGTGATTCAGTGGTCTGGGGTGGGGCCTGAGAGTCTGCATTTCTGAGAAGCTTCTAATTGATGCCAATGTTGAAGGTTCTTGGGCCACACTTTGAGTAGCAGGGTGCTGTGAGCCAGGGAGGATTACCCACACTGAATACATTTTAAATTGATTTTGAAAGATAAAAGAGCTACATTTTGATCAGGTAATGAATTGTGCTTTTAACATACAAGTTACACTTTATTTAATTTTTCAAACATTATTATGAATATAGTCTATTTGAAAACTTCATACTGTATTAAAAAAATGTTAAGCCTATTTTTCTTGCCATCCTCCCACCCACTCCCTCAGTGGGTTATAGATGTAACCACTATTTAACAATTTGATGTGCACTCTTCCAGGCCTTTTATTTTAAAAAAGAGCTTTTTAAGTATATTATTATATTGATCAGGATTCAATTTCAGAGAACAGAATTAACTCTAGCTGGATTAAGGAGGAAGGAATTTATTACACAGTATTTAATAGCTTACAAAATGGTTGGGAGAGATGAAGAGACAGACTGTAGTTTGTGTTCTCAGCAAAGTTTCCCAATATCAGTTCAACAAGGGAGTTGCTGCCTCTTCTGAGATCAGAAATTTGCCAGCCTTGGGTCACACAGCCATTGCTATGATTAAGAAAACAGTCACGATAGAAGAGACACTGCTATTGCTACGGTGCCAAGACCATACCTGTCTTCTATGGTCCAAGGAATGGATGCTCAGGGCCCTGCCCCTAGCAACACAAAGCTAGATCCTGGACACTAGGTAGGTACTATTGCTGGTAAAGAAAAACCAAAATCTTTCTCAACCAGGTTTCCAGAAGCAACATCAGCTGCAGTAGTACAGCCTCCGCTTCACTTTTACCTTCCATGTGTTGTATAAGGGCTTCTGAATGGCCAGACTTAAATTACACCAAGCACCTCACTGCAGGGGAGTCACGGTCCCTTTTACATTTCCAGGCTCTGCAGTTCAGAAAGGCACTTGAGATGGTAATGAGTGGATGTTGACACCACCTCTACAGACAACAAAGGGGTTAGTCCTAGAATTTTATTGCTGGAAAAGACTTAGGGATTTAGTCTAACTTGTTAATTTGAGAGAAAGGAAATTGAGACCCAGAGAGCTGAAATGACTTGATAGTGATGGAATAGAAATAGAACTCCAGCCATTTACATGGAGTTGAATGTAGCCTAACGAGATAGCTTCCTCTCCAGGACTCGTGATATTCTCCAGCCCCATTGGGCTTATTGCCTATAAACTTACCAGAGAGATTGTTTTCATCTAAAGCACACCTCTTTGCTCCCCAACTTTTGTTTATGCAGTTCATTTTGGGGACCAAAATGCAAAACCTTATACCTTATATTTATCTCTTTTAAATTATGTCTTTGTTAATGTAATAAGACAATTTTTGATCCCAGTACAGTCCCTCCCAGCTTGTAACACATGCATATTAGGTAAGCATATCTTTATGCTCTAATCAAAATTACTTTTTTAAAAAATTGAATAAAGCAGATGAAAGAAATTTGGGTGGAGCTCTATCTCACTAGAAATCTATTTCTTGATCGCTACCTATCTGTGTTGTACTCTTTTGGTATGATTGTTTGACCAATTACCAGCCTAGTTGACTGTTCTCTCTCTATTTTTTTTGTATTTTTTTTTTTTTTTTGAGACAAAGTCTTAATCTGTCACTCAGGCTGGAGTGCAGTGGCACGATCTTGGCTCACTGCAACCTCTGCCTCCTGGGTTCAAGCAATCCTCCTGCCTCAGCCTCCAGAGTAGCTGGGATTACATGTGCTTGCCACCATGCCTGACTAATTTTTGTATTTTTAGTAGAGACAGGGTTTCGCCATATTGGCCAGGCTGAGTAGTTGACTGTTCTCATATTGAGCTCATAATTATCTCCCTTGTCCACAAGGAGGTCTGTCCAGAAGCCTAGGGAAGTACCCAGTATATGAACATTTCCCTAATCTGCCTGTCTACTCATCCTGTCAAAAAAAAAAAAAAAGAAAACCAAAAAAACAGACTATCAGGGCAAGACCATTCTTGGTAAGCTCATGCTGGCACCTAGTGGACACTGCTTCTTTTTAGGAGCATTTACAAGCCCTTCCTGCAGTCATCTGCCCTGAGAATATCATTTTGGATTGGAGGCAGCCTTAAGGTTTGATAGCCTGAAGGTATAGAAGCAGGTGGGACTTGCCCATGGAGTACCCCTGTAGCCCCAGTAAGGGGATTTGAGATCCTCTGTGAGAGGGCTGTGAACATGAAGCCTGTGAGGGACAAGGACACGAGACTGCAGGAGCCCTGGCCTATGACAGCACTGCGACTCTGTGGCCACCATAAGGGCGGATGTGGCCAGGGTGACTGAACACATGTTCCAAGACAGCTTGCAAAGTCTCAAAACTAATTCTCCTTTTTGCCTAGACATGCCAGGCACATTGAATAAAACAACTTCAAGTGTCTTAGCCTTCATGTCTCTGCCACCTTTGCCTCATCGCTCTTTCTACCACCCTTTCCAGGCCCTTATCCCTCATTTCTTTCACCCGTGGGAAAGACCCAGCTTAAAGTCACCTATTCTAAGAATTTTTCCCAGCTTCCTCCAGCTAAAATGAATTATTTCTTTGTCCCAGCCGCCAAAGTATTTTGTTTGTACTGTCAATTGAACGTATGGTTTGAGACATCTGGGAGAAAGAAGGGGATATATTTGGTGGTAAGGAGATATGTTTGTTGGCATGACATCTTAAAGGATTTGGAAATAATCTGTGGACTAACCTAAAGTTTACAGGACTTCTGATTTTTCTAGTTCAAAAATCCTTTAGGGAATATTAGAGAAGGCATTATTGGCCTTAACTTTTTTTGGATAGGGGCACAGAAGTTCAGAGAGCTTAACTGGCTGGGCCAAAGTTATTTAACTACTACGTGACAGAACCAAAATTTAAATCTAGGGTTTGTGCATGCAAGTCCAGAGCTCTTTCCACTATAACACACTGGCCTAAGTGCAGGCAGCAAAAGCTCTCCAAGGTTGTGACGGGACCCATGGCCATTCTCTGCATTTTGTCTGTCCGGGGAAGAATGGAGGGAGAGGGTTTGTGCAAAGTGTCACTCAGCAAACCCTGATGTGGAATGGGGAACATCTGTGGTCTCCCTTGCCCCACTCATCTGACTCTCTGTTTACCAATTTCTTCTTGAATCAAAAAAGGAACTGAGAGCATGGCCCAAATGTCACGAACCGGTTCCTGCCCCAGCATTTCTCAGAAGGACAGATAAACAATGTGATGGATGTGCTAATGTTGGGTTGGGTGGGGAGGGTCGGAAGTTGGGCAGGAAGAGTTATTTGCTCAGTTGGCCAAGTTATTCCTACGCAGTGAGAGGGCTTCAACTACCAATCCATTATCGCTGGTCCTAGGGTTCTGTAGAGCTGAAGTTATTGCCTCAGAATCTTGATAATAGGTGCTACAGAAGGAGGACACATCTTTACAAAGACGAGCCTCTAAATGAATATGCAGACTTAGGGATGTGGTTGTGGCAGGGTAGATGATTAAGATCTACTTTTCTCTAAGTTCTCATGGCCATTGAATTCCTGGACTGGTTGTGTAGTGATTTATCTCTGCCCAACAGCTTTTCTCACCAGTCACCCATAGCCATTTCTCCAGGCCACTTCTTCACCATAGCTCCAGCCTCTCCTGTTCTGCATCCTCTCTGAACTGCCTCTAGTGCAGTGGTTTAACTTAGAATTTCTTTATCGCACTAATGAGATATGTTGTCCATTCTTACTACGGCTCTGCAATGTGCCTATACTTATTCCTATTTTACATATTAAGGAGCTGAGACTTGGGAAATCAAATAACTTTTTAAGAGTACACGATTACCTATTAGTAAGTAGCAGGCCCAGATGCAGCTTGGGATTCACTTCTAGGTTTTCTCTGGCCTCAGACTATGTGCCTCAAAGACAGTGCTAAATTTGAACTCATCACGTCCTAGGTACCTACCTTCTATAGAATCATGTTATTATTCTTCCATTTATATTTTTGTTCGACATTGTTATTTGGGAGCCTCAAAGTATATTTTCACATCTGTCCTAGATCTTAAGTCGCATTAAGAACATAATTGTAAAAATTGACAAACAGTTACTGATAACTCACGGATGCAGGAGGGCACTGGTGGCAATGCTGGAAATATTAATAGAAAGAGGAACTTGTATTTGGACCATGATGAGGAGGTGATGAGACAAAAGAAGGGAAATTTCTCTGTGACTGCTCAGCAGAGATCTGCACTTATAGTAAATGTTCTATAGATGATAATTATAAATCACAACTGTGACTATGCTCTAGAAGCCCACAAGTTTTGAGAAACAACTAGAGTAAGAAGACTGGGGTCATGTGTATCCGCATGCGGTCAGCCTTGTTACATAAAATGGGTGCCTTCTCAAAAAAGCAAGCCATCGCACACTTGACGATCTCTTAGCATTTATAAGAAATTTTTGCTTACTCAATATTCATCAAGATTGCAGTTTTAATGGTGATAAAAACAAATTGTGGCTGTGTGTGTGTGTGTGTGTGTGTGTGTGTGTGTGTGTTTGTGTGTATCTACTAATCCTAAAACAGAGAGCCTCTTCTCCTTTCCTTGACGGGAAAGCAACCCAGCTCCCTCTCTAAAGATAGCATTTCCTTCCTTGGGCCTAACATCCTGATTATGCTCTTACAGGGCTTCCATATTCATTTTTCCTTTTTTCAAGACAAGTGCAGAGAAAACGTATTTTACCAAAAGGCAAATAATGCCCCCTAGTGGCTAAAATCCTAAATACAGAAGCTGTTAAATTCACTCCCAGTTAGATATATACTGAGCCAGCCTCTGCGGGCATTCAGTAACAATCGAGATGTGTCTCCTGCCCCTATCCTTGAAGGAACTTATGCAGTAATTTTAGGGAATTGAGAAGGGAAATCTCACTTCTAAGGATACCATAATAAAATGTCAGTAAATGAACCCTTACGTTTCACCTCTTTTCCAGAATATAAATATCTATTATTCTTCATGGTGAAGAATTTTAATAATACTAGTTGAAATAGATAAATAAAAACTATATAAGAAGAAGTACATAATGCATTTCATGTAAGTCTCTCTCATAATGCCCACTCCCATAAATAACTAGTTAATGGTTTTATATACCATCTATCTTTCAACATTTTTCATATATGTGCATACATATATGTATTTTTAAAGTAAATGTGCTCAGACATTTCTACTTGTAAACCAGCTTTTTAAAACTTTATGATATAACCATACAATCCAGCAATCCCACTGCTAGGTATATACCCCAAAGAAAGGAAATCAGTATGTCAAAGAGATATCTGCACTTCCGTGTTTGCTGCAGCACTATTCACAGTAGCCAAGATATGGAAGCAACCTATGTGTCCATCGACAGATGAATGGATAAAGAAAATGTGGTACTCATGTGATAGAGTACTACTCAGCCATAGAAAGAATTAGATTCAGTCACTAGCAACAACATAGATGGAACTGTGGATCATTATGTGAGTGAAATAAGCCAGGTAGAGAAAGACAAACATCGCACGTTCTTACTTATTTATGGGATCTAAAAATCAAAACAATTGAACTTATGGAGATAGAGAGTAGAAGGATGGTTACCAGAGGCTGGGAAGGGTAGCTGGCGGTTAGGGAGGAGGTGAGGATGATTAATTGTTACCAAAAGAAAAAGAAATAGAATAAGGCCTAGTATTTGATAGCACAACAGGATGACTATACTCAATAATAATATAATTTTACATTTAAAAATAAGTAAAAGGGTGTAATTGGATTGTAGCACAAAGGATAAATGCTTGAGGGGATGGATACCCCATTTTCTGTAATGTGATTATTACACATTGCACGCCTATATCAAAACATCTCATGTACCCCATAAATATATACACCTAGTATGTACCCACAAAATAAAAAAATATTATTTTAAAAAACTTTCTGATATAGCTACCACATCCCTCTTTGTTATATTTCTTAGTAGTTGCCTAGTATTTCACTGAATTGATAAAACAACCCATTTAACCAATCTATTACTTGTAGTCATTTAGATGTCTCCAGTTATTCAATATTATAGACAGTGGATGCTGTATCGGCAGTCACCAAGATCATCCTCAGGCTCCCTCAGGCTCCCTCAGGCTCACTGATTTACTAGGAGGATTCACAGAACTCAGAAAAGCTGATATACAAAGTTATGGTTTATTAGAGTGAAAGGATACAGATTAAAATTCAGCGAAGGGAAAAGGCCCAGGGGTGAAGTTCAAGAGAAACCAGGTGCAAGCTTCCAGGTATGGCCTCCCAGAAGAATTTGTACAGAGATGTGCTTAATTTTCCCAGCAATGATGCATGGCAACATGTGTGAAGTATTGCCGAGCAGGAAGCTCACCCAAGCCTTGGGTTTTTATTGCGGGCCAGTTGCATGGGCATGCGTCACCTGCATGACTGACCTTACCTACTCAATTTCCAGCCTCCCGGAGGTCAAACTGATACAGCATGGCCCAGGGCCTCAGGCATACGGAAACAGGCTTTACCATAGTCACGCTGTTAGCATATCTAGTCAAACTGATATAGTGTGGCATGAGGAGTTGGTCAAGGGCCAGTCCTCCCGAAGACAGACCATTCCTTGAACTTGCAGGGCTTGAGCAATCAGAACCTGCAGAGTTAACCCTTTACTACACATACGTCTTTTATATTTATGATCTGAACACTGACTAGGCCTTCAGCAGCCCGTTCCCACAGGTCTGCTTCCATGTATGCTCTCCACAGAGAGTATTCACATATTCGCCACTCTCCTCAGGCAATTTTTCCTCAAACTGGCTATTCTTCTCACAGCTCTATCCTCACAGCATATAAACTAGGTTTTTATTTCACCCAGAAAATAGAAACCATCAGAAGAGAATGCCTTTAACTTCTTGCCGCCAAAACTCCTGAGCCTCCCTTCATCCCCACCCATTATTTTCTTCTTTCCTCTGGTTACCATGGAAAAGGTTAATCATCCACTGGGCTTTGGATCCCATTCCACCCCCTAATTAATTCAAGGACTCCTTTTCTCCTGTATCTTTAACTGTTTTCCCTCTTCTGATATGTCTACAACTTTTCCTATAGAAAAAAGAAAAAGAAAAGAAACACCTCCCTCTTGCACACTTCCCTTTGGGTATGGTCTCTCCTTTCTTTCATCTTGAAAGTTGAGTCCACACCTACCACCTCCATTTTCCTGCTTTCCACTTCCTCCTTGCCTCCTGCAATCAGGTTCCATTTCCCCAACCCCACTCCCAACAATCTCACCGAAACTACTCTCGCTATGGATACTAAGACCTTGTGATTGTTAAACCTGATGAAAGCTTTTAGTCCTCACTTTATTTGGCCTCTCTAGTATGACTCATCCTTGGTTTCTAAGATACCAAATTTTCTTATTATCTGTTCCACTATGACTCAGTTTCTGTTGTGGGTTCCTTTTGCTTATGTGTCCCTTAAATCTTATTTTTCCTCAGCAATTGCTCAATTCTTTTTGTATTTTATTCTCTCATCCTAGGCAATCTCATCAATCCTAGTTCATTCATAAAATGATGACTGGGGCTGGGCATGGTGGCTCACACCTGTATCCCAGCACTTTGGGAGGCCGAGGCAGGTGGATCACCTGAGGTCAGGAGTTCAAGACCAGCCTGGCCAACATAGTGAAACCCTGTCTCTACTAAAAATACAAAAAAAAAAAAAAAAAAAAAAAATTAGCCAGGCAGGGTTGTGCGCACCTGCAATCCCAGCTACTTGGGAGGCTGAGAATATCTTGAACTGAGGAAGAAGAATAGCTGAGGCAGGAAAATAGCTTGAACCCAGGAGGTGGAGGTTGCAGTGTGCTGAGATCGCACCACTGCACTCCAGCCTGGGCGACAGAGCAAGACTCCATCTCAAAAAGAAAAAAAAAAAATGATGATGATGATGATGATTGGATCTCTTTTTTATCTCTTTTCTGAGGGTCATATCCCAGTCTCCAGCCAGCCCAGCCAATGATGACATTTACTTTTCTCCAAACTGTCCCTCCTCCTTTGTTCCCCATCTTGGTGAATGAAATCATCATCCACTCAATCACTCAAACTAGAAATAAAGTTATCTCTTATTCCTCCCTCTTTCCTCTCTCATATCCATTTGGTCTCTAAGCCTCCTCCCTTCTGCCTTTTTAATCGCTCTTAAACACATTCCCTTCCTCTGTGTTTCCTCTACCAGCACCCTTCATTCCTTGACTCAATTATTGCCTTAATTCTTAACCAGACTCTGCCTCTAGAATTGTCCTCCCAGCCTATTCCACACACTGTAGTCAGGGTTGTTTTCTAAAATACAAATCAAGTGGCATTATTCTGCTGCTTAAACTTCTTTAGCATTTGCACGATCTTTAGGAAAAATTTAAAACTTCTTAGCAAGGCATACGTTGCCCTTATGATCTGGTCATGCCTATCTTTCCAGTGTCCTGAAAGCAACTGTGAACACCATCTGCATCATCCTTCTTTCTCCCTTTTCCAACAACACATTTACACTTCGATGGGGCTTTCTGGCCTTTGTGCCTTTGAAGATGTTGGTCCTTCCGGTTAGAACTTCTTTCCTCATCTCCCTCCTTTTTCCCTGACAAATTCCCACTCATCCTTCAAGATGCAGATCAAGCATCACCTCCTCTGGGAGGCCATCCCTAATTACCCTCCTTCCATTAGGATTGGATGCCTCCATGTGCTCCCTTAGTACACGGCCCTTGCCTCTACTATAACACTAATTAGCTATTTACTTACTTTCACTCCAGCATTTCACCAAGTTCCTTGAGGGCAAAGACTGTCATACATCTTTATATCCTCAGCATCTACAGTCGTGCCTTATTTTACTTAGCATAATGTCCTCAAAGTTTTTATTGTTGTTGAGATGGAGTCTTGCTCTGTCACCCAGGCTGGAGTGCAGTGATGCGATCTCGGCACGCTGCAACCTCCACCTCCGGGGTTCAAGGGATTCTCCTACCTCAGCCTCCTGAGTAGCTGGATTACAGGCATGCACCACCATGCCCAGCTAAGGTTTTGTTTTCATTTTTGTTTTTTAGGATGGAGTCTCGCTCTGTTGCCCACGCTGGAGTGCAGTGGCATGAGTTCAAGGGGGTTCAAGTGATTCTCCCGCCTCACCCTCCCAAGTAGCTGGGATTACAGGCGCCTGCCACCATGCCTGGCTAATTTTTGTATTTTTAGTAGAGATGGGGTTTCACCATGTTGGCCAGGCTGGTCTTGAACTCCGGACCTCAGGTAATCTGCCTGCCTTGGCCTCCCAAAGTGCTGGGATTACAGGTGTGAGCCACTGGGCCCCGCCTTTTTTTTTTTTTTTTTTTGTATTTTTAGTAGAGACAGGTTTTCGCCATGTTGGCACGGCTGGTCTCAAACTCCTGACCTCAGGTCATCTGCCAGCCTCAGCCCCACAAAGTGCTGGGATTACAGGCATGAGCCACCGTGCCCGACCTCAAAGATAATCTATGTTGTAGCATGTGACAGAATTTCCCTCTTTTTATATGGCTGAATAATAGTTCATCATATGCATATACCATCTTTCTTTCTTTCTTTCTCTTTTTCTTTCTTTCTTTCTTTTCTTTTTCTCTTTCTTTCTCTCTCTCTTTCCTTCCTTCCTTCCTTCCGTCTTCCTTCCATCCTTCCTTCCTTCCTTCCTTCCTTCTCTCTCTCTCTCTCTTTCTTTCTTTCTTTCCTTTTTGGAGACAGAGTCTCGCTCCATCCCTTAGGCTGGAGTGCAGTGGCATGATCTTGGCTCACTGCAACCTCCGTCTCCTGGGTTCAAGCGAGTCTCCTGCCTCAGCCTCCCGAGTACCTAGGATTACAGGCACCCACCACCATGCCCAGCTGATTTTTGTATTTTTAGTAGAGATAGGGTTTTGCCATGTTGGCCAAGCTGGTCTTGAATTCCTGGCCTCAGGTGATCCACCTGCCTCGGCCTCCCAAAGTGCTAGGATTACAGACGTGAGCCACCGCGCCCGGCCCATACCACATTTTCTTTATCCATTAATCCATGATGGACATTTGGGTTACTTCTACCTTTTTGCTATTGTGAATAATGTTGCCATAAATATGGGTGTGCAAATATCTTTGAGATCCCACTTTCAATTCTTTTGGCTATATAACCTAGAAGTGAGATTGCTGGATCATGTGGTAATTCTATTTTTAATCGTTTGAGGAAACTCCGTACTGTTTTCCCTGGTGGGTGCACCATTTTACATTCCCTTCAGCAATGCATAAGCGTTCCAATTTTTCCACATCCTTGCTAACACTTATTTTCTGTGCTTGAAAAAAATACTAGCCATCCTAATGGGTGTAAGATGATATTATTATTGTAGTTTTGATTTGCATTTCTCTAATGATTAGCAATTTGAGCATCTTTTCCTATGCTTTTTGGCCTCTTGTATATCTTCTTTGGAGGAATGTCTATTCAGGTCGTTTGCCCAGTTTTTTGAAAATTGGGTTACTTGTTTTTCTGTTGTCGAGTTGTAGGAGTTTTTTATATGTTCTGCATATTAACGTATCAGATATATGCTTTGCAATTATTTTTTCCCATTCCATACAAATTCCTTTTCTCTCTATTGACTGTTTTGCTTGATATGCAGACACTTTAAAATTTGATATAGTCCCATTTGTCTATTTTCGCTTTTGTTGCCTGTGCTTTTGGTATTTTATCCAAAAAATTGAGGGAGAAGAAAAGGAAAAATCAGTTAGGTAGACAGCTAAGGCTAGCCCTTGGAGAAGCAGTCTGCCTGAAAAATCACAGCTACAAACAAAATAGAGCAGCTTAGGCAAAACTCAGGCTGCACCTGCACAGATAAGCAGGTAGGGTCCAGCACAGACGCTTTTCATTCTTCGTGTAATTGGCGAGCTCCCAGGAAAAACTTTCCTCCCCTTTTCAGGTATATACACAGTGGACTCCGTGGGAACTTGCACAGGAAGGAGGGGGGCTTACCTAAAACAAACCTACAGTGATACAAACAAGAGAACCCACGCTTTGTGCTTGCCTAGAGACATACCCACATCGGCAGAAGATAAGGGAAGTTGCACAGACAGATTTATTCATAAGAGAAGTTACTCAAACAACTATAGAGATGAGAGGAGTTTCTTATAATAGGTTTTGAATTCAGCTGTAAAAATGGCACCCCACTTGGGCTCCCCTCTCTGCTGTGGAGAGCTTTCTTCTTTTGCTTATTAAACTTTTGCTTCAACCTCACTCTTTGTGCCCATGCTCCTTAGTTTTCTCGGTCGTTAGACAAGTTCGGATAACACCTTAGACAATGAGACCATTAACCCTTACCTGTTTCAACATTTTTATCAAATCCAAGGCCATGAAGCTTTCCCCCTATGTTTTCTACTAAGAATGTTATATTTTTAGGTCTTTAATCTATTTGGAGTTATTTTTTGTGTATGGTCCAAGGTAAAGGTCCATCTTCATTCTTTTGCATGTGGATATCTAGTTTTTCCCAACACTGTTGAGGAGATTGTCCTTTTTCCATTGTGTGGTCTTGGCACTCTTTTTGAAGATTATTCTAACATATATGCAGTGTTGCAGGTGATTAGCAGCTTTCTGGGCTGGTGACATGGGTGGTAGGAAGAATTTACCAACACAGTTGTAGGTAAAGAAAGGCAGGTTTATTAGATAAAGTATGAAAATACATTGCAAGGGTGCAACAGGCAGGTCAGCAAGAGAGAAGCTGACTGCTAGGAAACAAAGGCTTGCTGGGGATTTTGTAGAATGGTGCTTATGTTGTGGGTGGAAGAGGGCTTTGTGCAGTACTAATAATGCCAGGGTTGCAGTGAACTAACTTCCATTTTTCTATCAGCTGAGGGTCTGGTGATGGCTGGGCACAGGCAGATTGTGAGTTATTTGCACAGCAGGGCTATGTGTCCTGGACCACGAAGAAAGGCAGACTTATGGCTTGTCTGCTTTCTCCTTTTGCTTCCCTTCGTCCAGCCAGCCTGACTCCTTTTCCCTAATTAGGACTCCACACGCAAGGGTTTGTTCTGTTCCAGAATAGAGACACGTCGATGTATCTATCTTTATACCAGTACTATAGCTGCTACTTCTTGACCAATTACAGCTTTAGTATCTCTCTCACCTGTCCTCCCTATACAAAAGATATATAAAATATACTCACTGTACTGAGTATCTTCCTGCAGCATTCAGTCTGGAGCAAAGCCTGCTTCCTTCAACCCTTTCCAAAATCCCCAAATAAAAGCCCAAAATCTGTAGAGGATCTTCCTAACATCCTCGTGCTGAGATGCCCTGAAATTCTCCATAACTCATGACTGAGTAATAAAACCAACTTGCTTAATTAAAGTTGGTTTCTTGTAGTCCTGGCCGGAGGACATTGACTTACAAAAATATAGGATTAGTATCTTCAAAATAAATAGACAGTAAACATCAACAAGGATTCACACCCCAATAATGAAATTGGGCAGAAAAAGGAAAAATAATCATGAAATGCACAGTAAAGATGGCTCCATAATATTGAAAAAAATTTTACTTCAAATGCATAAAATGATGCTTCTGATTCAGCTGGTGCGACATTTATTTCACATTTGAGTTCAGCTGCTCCTGATGTCTCTTTCCTGAAAATTTCAATACTAAGAGCTCGAGAAACCCTGTATTTGGGGAAGCTTATCCTTCACCATCAACTTTGGGGGTAGGGGTCAGAGGGAACAAGGGTGGAAAGGCCGCGCTGAATGGGGCCGAAGCTCCGCCCCTCAGCGATAAGTCCAGATTCCTGCGGCCGACGTGGTCCTCCGAGGGAGCAGCAGAGCCGCCGAGGCTGGCGAGTCCCAGGGGAAGGATGTTCTAGCCGGAGTCTACTCGATGGTAGGGCAGGAAGCCGCCTTGTCTCTGGGCGCGGCCATGTTGGAGGCTCCGGGCCCGAGTGATGGCTGCGAGCTCAGCAACCCCAGCGCCAGCAGAGTCAGCTGTGCCGGGCAGATGCTGGAAGTGCAGCCAGGATTGTATTTCGGTGGGGCCGCGGCCGTCGCGGAGCCAGATCACCTGAGGGAAGCGGGCATCACGGCCGTGCTAACAGTGGACTCGGAGGAGCCCAGCTTCAAGGCGGGGCCTGGGGTCGAGGATCTATGGCGCCTCTTCGTGCCAGCGCTGGACAAACCCGAGACGGACCTACTCAGCCATCTGGACCGGTGCGTGGCCTTCATCGGTCAGGCCCGCGCTGAGGGCCGTGCGGTGTTGGTGCACTGGTGAGTGGCCGGGTCAGTGGGTGACGTGCCCCGCCAAGCTTCCAGCCGGCCCCCGTCGCCCCTTACCTTCCGAGGCCGTCGGGAGGACAAGAGCGCGGTCATGCCGCGTGAACCTCCTCCCGCTGCCTCCCGCAGGAGGCGTGTTTCCAAGAGAGGAGGAGGGTTGAGGCGGGCCCCTGGTGTGTGCAGGCTTTCATTCATTCATGCTTTAGTTGGTTCTTCCTGCAGCAGCAGAGGGCGGGGGAGGTGTCATCTGATAAATGACAAATTACCTACACCCTAAGGAGTTTACAGCTCTGTTGGAGAAGCTAGACACCCACCCCGATTATTGTAATGCAGATTAGGTTGCTTGGTGTCTTGTAAACGGGATTTACAAAGATTTAGGGTTAAATGTTTTTGTTTGGGATGGGTGGCGGGTGGTTGATGAAGAGATGAATTGGTTTGGATCTAAAGGATCCCTGGGCTTTGCCTAGGGAGGAGATGGTTGCAGCAAAGACAAAAAGAAAATGGGAATCCCGCAGGGCGCGGTGGCTCACGCCTGTAATCCCAGCACTTTGGGAGGCAGGAGGATCACAAGGTGAGGAGTTCGAGATCAGGCTGGCTAATATGGTGAAACCAAAAATACAAAAATTAGCCGGGCGTGGTGGCTCTCGCCTGTAGTCCCAGCTACTCGGGAGGCTGAGGCAGGAGAATCACTTGAACCTGGGAGGCGGAGGTTGCAGTGAGCCGAGGTCATGCCACAGCACTCCAGCCTGGGCAACAGAGCGAGACTCCATCCCTCCCCCCAAAAAAAGAAAATGGGAATCCCTAAGCAGTTCTTGGTTGGATTGGAGTATAATAATCGTTTAAATTTATTGAGCACATAAAAGAAGATAGTGATGAAATCAAAAGAAGTCTGGGACCAGATTTTGAGGTCCCTGAATGCTAAGATGAAAGGAGATTGGATTTGTTTTTGTTTTGTTTTATTTATTTTTATTTTGATATAGGGTCTTGCTCTGTCACCCAGGCTACAGTGTAGTAGCGTAATTACGGCTCACTGCAGTCTCAACCTCCCAGGCTCAAGTGAACCTCCTGCCTCGGCCTCCAGAGTAGCTGGGACTACAGACCCCACCACATCCGGCTAATTTTTTGTAGAGGTGGGGTCTCACTTTGTTGCCCAGGCTGGTCTCCAACTCTTGGACTCAACCAATCCTCTCACCTCGCCTCCCAAAGTGCTGGGATTTCAGGCGTAGGTAAGCCACTGTGTCTAGCCAGGAGTTTGGATTTGTTCTGAGCCATTATAAAAATTTTAAAAATTACTGTTATTATTTTTGAATAGGTAATAGATTCACGTGGTTCAGAATTCAAAAGGAAAAAGGAATAATTATTTTGTACCTTGATAATATTTCAGAGGCAATGGGCTTATTTGAGAAGCAAAAATGAAGTGGGCCTAAACTTTACTATTAATAGGGGGCTGGGCTTTGTGTGTTTTTTTTTTTAATTGTTGCTATTTGCTGTTTTATTTTAAAGGTCTCTTTTTCAGTCATGCAGGAGTCAGTCGAAGTGTGGCCATAATAACTGCTTTTCTCATGAAGACTGACCAACTTCCCTTTGAAAAAGCCTATGAAAAGCTCCAGATTCTCAAACCAGAGGCTAAGTGGGTTCTTTTTTTATAGTAATAATTATGCTTTTGTGATATAATTTTAAGAAAATGAAACTTTATATTTCTTTATCATTACAGGATGAATGAGGGGTTTGAGTGGCAACTGAAATTATACCAGGCAATGGGATACGAAGTGGATACCTCTAGTGCAATTTATAAGCAATATCGTTTACAAAAGGTTACAGAGAAGTATCCAGGTAAGTAATAATTGCTAGTGTGTAATGGGCTTTCTAGATGACATTTACTTTAGCATTGTATGCTTTACCTTACTTCCAGCAATCCCTGAGAAACTATTGTTTCTTTTTGAAACTGATTTAGCCAGAAATAACCTATTCAAAATCACATGGTTTATAAATGGCAGGGTCAGGATTTGAATTCAGGCAGCCCGTGCCCAGAACCTAAGCACTTAAATCACTGTCCTCTCCTACCTTAGCCTGATTTCTCAACACTGGAATTTGATTTTTTTTTTTTTTTAATTTTTGAGGTTAGCACTTGTTGCCTCAATTTGACATTAACTGAATTTATCTGAAAATGCAGAGTTGATTTTGACAAATAAATACATTTTAATTATGTCATATAGAATTGCAGAATTTACCTCAAGAACTCTTTGCTGTTGACCCAACTACCGTTTCACAAGGATTGAAAGATGAGGTTCTCTACAAGTGTAGAAAGTGCAGGTAAACTATTTTATATCCTTTGGATATTTTATCTTGTCTCAGTAGCTGAAAAGTACTTAATGTTTTATTTTCTTAAATTTCTGTAGGAAGATTTTGTTTAATTGAAATTTTTAGTTCAGATCTGTTTTCAGAAAGAATATAAATTCTTAAAAAGAGAAATAATCAGATTGTAAGGGTTATTGAAAATTTAAGTAGTGTAATCAATGTTACATTATTTTGTTCTCTAAGCAATATTGCACATTTTGCTGGGCGCAGTGGCTCACGCCTGTAACCCCAGCACTTTGGGAGGCCGAGGCAGGCAGATCACCTGAGATTGGGAATTTGAGACCAGCCTGGCCAACATGGTGAAACCCCGTCTCTATTAAAAATACAAAAATTAGTTGGGCATGGTGGCTGGTGCCTGTAATCCCAGCTACTCAGGAGGCTGAGGCAGGAGAATTGGTTGAACCCAGGAGGCGGAGGTTGCAGTGAGCCATGATCACGCCACTGCACTCTAGCATGGGCGACAGAGTGAGACTCTGTCTCAAAAAAAAAAGAAATACCGCACATTTCATCCATGTTTTCATCCTTTTGGAAGTCATTAATGCTTTTGTTTGTTTGGGGGTTGCAGGCGATCATTATTTCGAAGTTCTAGTATTCTGGATCACCGTGAAGGAAGTGGACCTATAGCCTTTGCCCACAAGAGAATGACACCATCTTCCATGCTTACCACAGGGAGGCAAGCTCAATGTACATCTTATTTCATTGAACCTGTACAGTGGATGGAATCTGCTTTGTTGGGAGTGATGGATGGACAGGTGAGAACACATTTTATTTTCTACAATTTTATTTTATGATCTATATTTTATTCCTTCTTGCATTTTAAGCTCTATTTTAACTAGTGTTTTGCTCCATTTCTTAATTTCTTTATTTCTGAAGATTATATCTTTCTAGTGTAGATAAGACTATCAAAAATAAAATATTTTTCAAAAACCAGCTGATCCAACATAGTGAACTACTTCTGGTTGAGAGCCCTGGTCTAAGTTAATAAATTTCCTTTAAGGCTATTTATATTTTTTTCAAATATAAGACTAACATTTATTTTTAAACTAATTAGAATATATTGGCTGGGCACTCTTGCCTCATTAGCTCATGCCTGTAATCTGAGCACTTTGGGAGGCTGAGGCGGGAGGATCACTTGAGCCCAGGGTTTCGAGACCAGCTTGGGCAATATAGTGAGACCTCATCTCTATAAAAGAAAGTAAAAAATTTTTAATAAGAAAAAAAGAAAAGAAAAAATGTATTAAACAAAATTTGAACTTTGTAACAAGATAGGGTAAATCAGGGATTTTAAAATTAGGTTAAAAATTCTGTCTTTCTTTTTCTCTGTTGGCTTCCTGTATGTGTCTTTCTCTTTTTTCTTATCTTTTAGGAGAGTGAAATTTAGTTTGTTTTGCTATGAGATTCTTTTTCATTTCCAGTTAAATAATGCAGCTCATCCTATTGCTCCTGTAACCAGTGGGTAGGGAAATAAAAAAAGAATGCAGTTCATGTGACATTTTACATAAAAAAGTGTTTAACTTGGTTGGAGTGTGCCATGACAGCCACATTTCTCCTTTAGGTTTACTTGATATTAATGTGAAGGTATTCTATAATAATCATCTTAATAATGATTTTGAAAGTTTGTATGGTTTGTATAAAAGTTTGTATAGTGGCTAGTTTATGAAACCCTTTCACTGTATTATACCATTTGAAGAATGCCATAGCTTTATAAAATAGGTAGAGCAGTTATATTCACGTGTTGTGCATGAGGAAACTGTTTATGAGTAGTGTCTTGCCTAGAAAGTGGTACCATATAATCAAACTCACATTTTCGGATAATGCTGCTTTTTTTAAAAAAAACAGCCTTATTATAGTATAATTCACATAACATGCAATTTACCTATTTAAGGTGTATAGTTCAGTGGCTTTTAAAGTGTATTCACAGTGGTTTTTGCAACCATCGTGTATTAGTCTATTTTCACACTGCCATAAAGATAGTACGTGAGACTGGGTAATTTATAAAGGAAGGAGGTTTAATTGACTCATGGTTCTGCATGGTTGGGGAGGCCTCAGGAAACTTATTATCATGGCAGAAGGGAAAGCAGGCCACTTCTTCACAAGGCGGCAGGAGAGAGAAGCATATGTGAAGGAGGAACTGTCAAACACTTATAAAACCATCAGATCTTATGAGTGCTCATTCACTATCACGAGAACAGCATGGGGGTATCTGCCTCCATGATCCAATCACCTCTCTTCTTCCACACTTGGGGATTACAATTTGAGATGAGATTTGGATGGGGACACAGAACCAAACCGTATCACATCACAATTCACATTCCCACTCTTCCCATTCTTTTTTTTTGAGACGGAGTTTCACTCTTGTTGCCCAGGCTGGAGTACAATGGCACAATCTTGGCTCACCACAACCTCTGCCTCCCGGGTTCAAGTGATTCTCCTGCTTCAGCCTCCTGAGTAGCTGGGATTACAGGGATGCGCCACCACGCCTGGCTAATTTTGTATTTTTAGTAGAGACGGGGTTTTTCCATGTTGGTCAGGCTGGTCTCGAACTCCTGACCTCAGGTAATCCACCTGCCTCAGCCTCCCAAAGTGCTGGGATTACAGGCGTGAGCCACCATGCCCAGCTGCAATTCCCATTCTTGATGGTATTATTTGTAGCAGTTAGAGATTTTAATTTTGATGGTATCTAATTTATCAGTTTTTCTTTTTTGTGGCTTGTGATTCTGGCTTTCTAATTTTACTTAACCTGGGAAACACACACACACACTCCAGCCAAGTTAAATACATTTTTATGTAAGATTCTAAATCCTGTGCATACTTATTTGTATACATATTTGATTTTTTTCTGTAGAATATGTACCTAGAAGTGGAATTCCTGGCTCGAAGAATGTATTTTAAATATTAGTGATATTCCAGGCTGATATTCAAAATGCCCATACAAATTTGGTTTTCAGTAACTGAATGCATGTACCCGTTACTCCATATCCTTGACATAATAGATACTATAAAACTGGTAACATTTTGTCAGTCTGTGGGGTAAAAAATGTTAATCCTAAAATGTTTAATTGGAATTTTATGAAAATAGTCATCAACCACCATCTTTATATATTTACCAGCCATTTACTGTTTTCTTTTCTATAAATTGCTTTCATATTCCTAGGCCCATTTGCCTATGGGTTTTGTCTCTTTCTTACTCATTTGTAGGACCTCTATATATTCTAGATGTTAATAGTTCATCTAATATATTGCAACTATTTTCTTCAGTCTATTGCTTATCAGATTTTTTATGTTTTGTCATATTAAAATGAAGGATATTTACATAATAAAATTTGTTAGTTTTTTTATTTATGGCTTCTGAATTTCTTTTTTTTGAGACGGAGTCTTGCTCTGTTGCCCAGGCTGGAGTGCAGTGGTGTGATCTTGGCTCACTGCAACCTCCGCCTTCTGGGTTCAAATATTCTCCTGCTTCAGCCTCCCAGGTAGCTGTGATTACAGGCATCCGCCACCATGCCCAACTAATTTTTGTGTTTTTAGTAGAGACGGGGTTTCACCATGTTGACCAGGCTGGTCTCAAACTCCTGACCTCAGGTGATCTGCCCGCCTTGGCCTCCCAAAGTGCTGGGAATTACAGGTATGAGCCACCACACTCAGCCTGCTTCTGAGTTTTATGTCTAGTTTTCTATAGCTCAAGATTAAAAATAAAAACTCTTACCTTATACCATGCATAAATCAAAGAGCTAAACATAAAAATTAATGCTATAACTAACTACATTAGAAGAAAATGCAGTTGCCTTATTAGGCTTTTTTGATTTACCTATTTTCCTGGAATATCAGTTTGTCTTTAAATAGCTAAGAATCTGACTTATATGCTGTCAATACACACAGTTAGTAATACAGCATGAAAATCCTAACATGCTTTTCTATACTTTAGCCGTGATCATTTTCATTTGAAGTCCTAAATTACAAACTGATTTAAAAGCTATATATATATATATATATATATATATATATATATATGCCACATCCATGAAACCTTCCTTAATCAAATCTCAAGCTTCACTTTTCTCCCTTCAAGCTCCCTGAATACAACATTCTTCCTATGAGATAATTGTAGTCTACTATCTATTACAGTAAATTTCCAATGCATTTTATCTCACTGATTAGATTATAAACTCAACGTGGGGATCGTGTCTTGTTTTTATATCCTATATTGATTGCCAAAGATAATGATTTGTTTTGTATAAAAGTGAATGAATAAAGTAACACATTTGCTTTATTTCAGCTTCTTTGCCCAAAATGCAGTGCCAAGTTGGGTTCCTTCAACTGGTATGGTGAACAGTGCTCTTGTGGTAGGTGGATAACACCTGCTTTTCAAATACATAAGAATAGAGTGGATGAAATGAAAATATTGCCTGTTTTGGGATCACAAACAGGAAAAATATGAACATGATATTTTATAGCTTGGGAAGAAACTTGCAGATGATATGTGCTGCCTTTGCTTCTTATCATTCATGGCAGATTGTTTGTGCTTTCAACATTTCATTTGAAATGGGAGAAGATAAAATCACTTGATGTAACCTGGAAACTATGCTTTACATGGCAATCAAAGCCTTTTGATCATGTACATTTTATTTGATATTAAAATCTTTTATAACCAGATACTGTCTGTGTTTCATATATTTTTAAAAGTTTTGATTGTTGGAATGTTATATGATCTTAAGGTCTGTATAGACAAAATTATGTACAAAAATTTGAAACTATTATATTTAAATGGGTATTCTTTTATTTCCAGACACATAAAGCAGATTTGTTTGGACATATTTTGGAATTATTTCACTTTCTTTCTTTTAAGGGACATTAGTAAACCCATACATGTCTGGATTTTTTTCTTGGAAATGGAAAGGCCATTAGTAAAACGCTGATTAAAAGGCAATTTTCCTATTACTGTTCAGTAATCCCAATTATCTATATTTTTAGAAAAGTGTTTGAGATCCCTTTTGAAGTGATCTACATAAAGAAATACATAAATGTTAGATGTGTTTCTAATGATGAAGAAAACAAATGTAGAGTTACTATATATCAAGTCATTTTGTAGCCCAATATGTGAGTATTGGAAAAGGTAATACGTCCAGATTAGTTTTTTAACCTGATGTATAGAAACTAGAATTATTTTACTCATTATTAATAATTACAATTGGACCTAATTAGATATTTGAACATTTACAAGAATCAGAATTAACTAATAAAGGCCAGGTGCAGTGGCTTATGCCTATGATCCCAGCACTTTGGGAGGCCAAGGCAGGCAGATCATTTAAGGTCAGGAGTTCAAGACCAGCCTGGCCAACATGGTGAAACCCTGTCTCTACTAAAAATAAAAAAATCAGCCAGGCATGGTGGCACACGCCTGTAGTCCCAGCTGCTTGGGAGGCTACTCCAAAAAAGAACAAGAATTAATAAAGAAAAATATTCTTTATTTTTGTTGTAAATTAAGTTGTAAATTCACTAGTCATGCTCCCCACCATTTGCAGGGTTCCAACAATAGTACACATTGAGGCTTATATACATAAACACCGTAGTGGGAGTAATTTTTAAATGCAAAAATATGTTGTGAATAATGATCCTCTTAATAAATGCCTAGCTCAGTTTTTTAAAGGTATAGGAGTGTTATGGAAAATTCTTGAGAAAAATCTTAACATTGGACCTGAAGGCTTTGGCAGTTTCCATGTAATAATTTTTCTTTCTATTTTTTTTTTTTTTTTTTGAGATGGAGTTTTGTTGTTGCCCAGGCTGGAGTGCAATGGCATGATCTCGGTTCACTGCAACCTCCACTGCCCAGGTTCAAGCGATTCTCCTGCCTCAGCCTCCCAAGTAGCCACCACATCTCGCTAATTTTGCATTTTTAGTAGAGATGGGGTTTCCATATGTTGGCCAGGCTGGTCTCAAACTCCTGACCTCAAGTGATCCACCCACTTCGGCCTCCCAAAGTGCTGGGACTACAGGCGTGAGCCACCGCTCTCTGCCATAATTTTTTCTTTTGAGAAAAAATTACTCCATTTGTTTTAGCTTTCATAAAATCTACTTTTTTGCTTCATACTATTATTCTCTATTCATATATTATTCTCTAGAAAGTTTTAACAAACAGGTTGAGGAGCTCAGGTGTGGTGGCTCATGCCTGTCCCAGCACTTTGGAAGACAAAGGAGGGTGGATCATTTGAGGCCAGGAGTTCAAGACCAGCCTGGCCAATATGTGAAAACCCCGTCTCTATTTAAAAAATAATAACAGTTTGCGGCACATGAAGTTACCCCTTTTGTAGGTAAAAAGTAGTTACATAGCTGCAGTTTAATATGACTCAATGCCTATCCATCATACACTGTTGATCAGATTATAAAATCAAATAGTATGGATCAAATGCAATGTTAATTAAGTTGTAAATTCACTAGTCATGCTCCCCACCATTTGCAGGGTTCCAACAATAGTACACATCGAGGCCTATATACTATTTGTCTTAACTTTGTTTTTGTTTTTGTTTTTGTTTTTTTTGAGACGGAATCTTGCTCTGTCGCCCAGGCTGGAGTGCAGTGGCGCAATCTCGACTCACTGCAAGCTCCGCCTCCCGGGTTCACGCCATTCTCCTGCCTCTGCCTCCTGAGTAGCTGGGACTACAGGCGCCTGCCACCACGCCCGGCTAATTTTTTTGTATTTTTTAGTAGAGACGGGGTTTCACCGTGGTCTCGATCTCCTGACCTCGTGATCCGCCCGCCTCGGCCTCCCAAAGTGCTGGGATTACAGGCATGAGTGTCTTAACTTTTAAAACATAAATTGGCCGGGTGCAGTGGCTCACGCTTGTAATCCCAGCACTTTGGGAGGCCAAGGGGGGTGGATCACTGCAGGTCAGGAGTTTGAGACCAGCCTGGCCAACATAGGGAAACCCCATCTCTACTAAAAATATAAAATTAGCCAGGCATGGTGGTGGGCCCCTGTAATCCCAGCTACTTGGGAGGCGGGGAGGCAGGAGAATTGCTTGAACCTGGGAGGCGGAGTTTGCAGTGAGCCGAGATCGCGCCACTGCACTCCAGCCTGGGCGACAGAGCAAGACTCTGTCTTAAAAAAATAAAATTATAAATCAAGCTATCTGTTAAATAAAATGTTTTATTCTATTATCTTGACAAATATCCCTTCATAATGACCTGTCAGACCAGGTTTGAATTCAGAATTCTCTGATTTTATCAGATTCCATGACAAAGCATGGCAATGCAGGGAGAGGTGGCCCCCGCCCACTGGGTGCCTCCTTTATTTCCCCACCCCTTGATTTGTTCTGCATCATGAAGAGCCTGGTGCATATATATATATGTGGGTCCCCCACCTATATGTATAAGATCTGGCTACAGCCCTGGTGTATACCATTAGCCCATTTCACTCGTAAGAGGTATGAGGCCAGAGCAAGCCCTGGAAGCCGGCTTGGAGCTATTTGGGCTATTTGGGTGTTAGATGCACTTCTAGAAGGGGGCATCTGTTCTAGCTGGGCACATCACGTTGGCAGTATGGATTCTTATCCTGTGGGGCAGAGCCAGAGGTCAGAGTAAAGTCTTCTAAAGTGTCGGTCCAGGGTAGGGGCTCCTCTTACCTAGACCAAAGAGTGGTATTGTCTCTAGACATAAGGTTCTTTTTCAAATTGTATTTCTATTCCAAGGGTTTAAGTTGAAAATGAATGAGTAGATTCAAGAAAAAGAATTCCATAACATCCAACATTTAATGATTTAAAAAGAAAAGCCTGGTAACTAGAGTGGAAGGAAGCTTCCTTAATCAGAGCAGCTGTGAAAAATATATGGGAAAAAATCTTATTTAGTGGTAAAACTTTTCAAACATTCACATTAAAATTTAGAAGTAAGTTAAAAGATGTCTAGCCCCTACCTTCTGTATCGTATTAGAGGGCCTAACCATTGCAGTAAAACAAGGGGCTAAACAGTTTAAGACGTAGGAAAAAAATCTGAACTCACTAATAAATCTCGACATCTCTAAAAGTGGGACAGTATGTATATGCCTTCTGCTATGATGCAAGGAAGTACCTATGAAGTATTCTTGCAAAAGCAAACAAAAAACCAAAAACTAATCAAGCCTCTAGATGTCACTGGCAGTTTCTGGAACAAATTAAGCATCACCATGAAGATGTAATCAGCAGAATCATGAAGTGGGAAATTCTATAGGACCAATGACTTAGATTCTTCAACAAATGGCAGGGGGGAAGAAATGGAGAGGGAATTGTCATGTGAACTAAATGCAATGTGACAATCTTGTTGGATCCTGATTTTAACTAACTGTGGAAGGAAGGGCATTTTTGAGACAGAAAACTGAACATGGAACAGGTATCAGATGATATTAAGGAATTATTAATTTTGTTGGGTATGATAATGGGATTATCAGTATGTTTTTTAAAAATAAGAAAAGGCAGGCTAGGTGCAGTGGCTCATGCCTGTAATCCCAGCATTTTGGGAGGCTGAAACGGATGGATCACAAGGTCAAGAGATCGAGACCATCCTGGCCAACATGGTGAAACCCCATCTCTACTAAAAAAATACAAAAAGTAGCTGGGCGTGGTGGCGCGCGCCTGTAGTCCCAGCTACTCGGGAGGCTGAGGCAGAAGAATCGCTTGAACCCAGGAGGCAGAGGTTGCAGTGATCACGCCACTGCACTCCAGCCTGGCGACAGAGCAAGACTCCATCTCAAAAAAAAAAAAAAGGCCTTGTCTCTTAGAGATATACATTGAAGTATTTATGGGTGAAATAATATATCTAGATATGCTTTAAAATACTCCAGGAAGGCTGGGCAAGGTGGCTCACGCCTGTAATCCCAGCACTTTGGGAGGCCGAGGCAGGTGGATCACCTTAGGTCAGGAGTTCAAGACTAGCCTGGCCAGCTTGGTGAAACCCTATCTCTACTAAAAATACAAAAATTAGCTGGGCATGGTGGCAGGCACCTGTAATTCCAGCTACTTGGGAGGCTGAGGCAGGAGAATCGCTTGATTGTGGGAGGCAGAAGTTGCAGTGAGCCGAGCTCACGCCATTGCACTCCAGCCTGGGTGACAGAGAGAGACTCCGTCTCAAAAAAAAAAAAAAATTCTGGGAAAAACACAGAACAAAATGAAAAAAGTTGTGGAGAGGAGAGGTAGGATAGATAAAACAAGAATGGCAAATTGTTTAAGCTGAAGCTGGATGATAGGAACACAGGGATTTATTATATCATCTCTTGTATTTGTTTGAAAATTTTCATACTAAGTTTATTTTACAAATTAAAACATTAAATAAAATAGAATTTAAAAGGTTGGTGTTTGCATAATGTTCTGCTAAATAAAAAATCCTAAAGAACTTTAGACAAATTTTTTTAAAGTCATTTTTATTTTATCACATACTAGTTTCCATCTACCATAATATGATTTTTTTTTTTAGAGACAGAATCTTGCTATATTGCCCAGGCTAGCCTTGAACACCTGGGTTCAAGCAATCCTCCTGCCTCAGCCTCTCAAGAAGCTGGGATTACAGGTGTGTACCACTGTTCCTGGCACAGACAAAATACTAGAATAACAGAATTCAACAAGGTTTTTGGTACAAGATTGCTGTACAAAAATCCACAGTGTTGCTATACCCCAATAATAGCCAAATAGAAAAAAAAAGATGTGAAAAACAAAACTATAAAACTATGAAAATGAAAATGAAAATCTTAGTGACCTCAGGAGAGGGAAGGATTTCTTAAGAAAGCTACAAGTCAGCTATCATAACAACAGATTGATAAATTTGACTACATTGAAATTAAAATCTAGAGAACAAATCACCGTAAACAAAGACGACAAGTGTCAACCTGGGAGAAGGTATTTATAACATATACCAAGCGTTAACTTAAAAAAGCCCAACAATGGGCTGGGTGCGGTGGCTCATGCCTGTAATCCCAGCACTTTGGGAGGCTGAGGCAGAAGGATAGCTTGAGCCTAGGAGTTTGAGACCAGCCCGGGCAACAAAGCGAGACTCTGTCTCTCTCTCTCTTTTAAAAATGTATATATTAAAAAGCCCCACAATGAATAAATTTAGAAAAGAAGGGGAGACTTTATGGCCTGCAAGGTGGCCATCCTGCAGGCTGGGAAGCGTGCCTCCAGAAACAGGCGCTTTGAAGGAGGAGGGCTTGGAGTGTAGTTCAGGCTGAACAGGTTGGCTAAACCTACATTTTCACCAGGTTACAGGAAGAGCTATGAATATTCATGAAAGTGGTCCTGACACATGCGTATTGAACAAAAACTCATGTAACATATGACCCATATTCACTTTGGGATGGAGACTTAACTTTTTTGTTGTTGTTGTTCAGACGGAGTCTTGCTCTGTCACCCAGGCTGGACTGCAACGATGTGATCTCAGCTCACTGTAACCTCCACTTCCCGGTTTCAAGCGATACTCCTGCCTCAGCCTCCTGAGTAGCTGGGATTACAGGAACCTGCCCCCACGCCTGGCTAATTTTCGTATTTTTAGTAGAGATGGGGTTTCCCCATGTTGGCCAGGCTGGTCTCAAGCTCCTGACCTCGTGATCTTCCCACCTGGGCCTCCCAAAGTGCTGGGATTACAGGCGTGAGCCACCACACCCAGCCAAGACTTAACATTTAAATGTATTACGAGCCCTATACGTCAAAAGGTCTTTCAGGACATGAAGCCATGCAAATGTGCGACCTCTGTAGACCAGCCAGAACCAGTCCATGGCCAGTGGTCTTCTTACCTGGAGAAAGTTACTGAAATCAACAAAAAGTTGTCCAATGAAAGCTGTAGCTATGGCTGGTGGAACGGGGACTGGGGGTCAGTAAGTCAGCATCTCGTGGAGCTGCACATTATTTTAATATTGTTTATCTTTAGGCCAGTACTTGTTTAGCTGCTAGAGAAGAATCTTGTGGCAGTTAGAACACAGTTTATTCTTTAAGTATAGGGGTGTGGGACTAAAACCTTGCCTGGAATGGCTTTAGGTCTTTTTTATAATTTGGCATCTTATTGCCAGAGTCTGTTCTGTCAGTCTTATCATCTCTGTTTTAACATTAATGCTGGCCAGTTGTTGTGTTAAACTACAAAAGGGAGGGAGTATAACAAGGTGTGTCTAACCTGTCCCATCGTGGTCTAGAACTCAGTTTTAAGGTTTTCTAGGATCCCCTTGGCCACAAGGGGGCCTATTCTGTTGGTGGCGGACTTAGGAGTTTAGTTTTACTTTATACAGGTGAATGAATAGAGCAGGCTATCTAATGACGTACACATCATTTGTGAAAGAAAACTCCATAGCAAACTTTATAAAAGGTAAGAGTGGACAGTTCACAGAAGAGGAAATAAGGTTTCATAAGTATGGAAGAATGCACCACTTTGTTAGGGAAATGTAAATTGCAATTTTCACAGCGGTAAAAATGGTAAGAGTCTGACCATATCTTGTGTTGGAGAGAATGTGGAACAAAGAGAACTCATCAATGCTAGTGAGGGTGTAAACTGATAAAATAGTACATACATTATTTAAGACATTCTTGAGGCTGGGTGCGGTGGCTCACGCCTGTAATCTCAACAGTTTGGGAGGCAGAGGCGGGCGGACTGCTTGAATTCAGAAGTTTTGAGACCAGCCTGGGCAACATGGTGAAATCCTGTCTCTACAAAAAATACAAAAATTAGTCGGGTGTGGTGGTGGGTTCCCGTAGTCTCAGCTATTGTGGGGAGAGGCATGAGGATCGCTTAAACCTGGGAGGTCAAGCTGCAGTGAGCTGAGATGGCTCCACTGCAATCCAGCCTAGGGGACAAAGTGAGCCCCTGTCTCAAAAAAAAAAAAAAAAAAAAAAAGAGGGAGAGAGAGAGAGAAATTGAGATTCATTCAAGGAAATACCATGGGTAGATCCTTAATATCCAATAAGAAAAATGATTTGGAGAACATTAAAGTTTACATACATTAAAAAAACCCAAATGACACTAAATGCATGTGTCTATAAACATGTTTAAGCACCGTAAAACTAAAAATAAAAGTGGACTAGAATTACACTTTTATTTTTATAAAATAAAATTTTATACCCATAAAATTCATGGTAGAAGTGGCCTACGCCAAGGGAGGAAAATGAAGCAGGGAGGAAAGAGGAATTCAATTCTGTAGTATTTAATTTCTTATGAAAAATCTGGGACAAAAATGAAAAATGTTAAATTTTTAAATTCTTGGTGATAGGTCACAAATGTTTGTTTCATAATTACTTGCACTTTTTGAATAAAAATAAAATCTTTTGGAAATTAAAAAAATTGGCGATTTGTCATGGTGATTTTCTTAAAAGACTAAGGTGTCTAGTGGGATACAGAAGACTCGATGATTTTATTTTATTTTAGGTTTTTTTTTTTTTTTTTTTTTTGAGACGCAGTCTCGCAATGTCGACCAGGCTGGTGTGCAGTGGTGCGATCTCCGCTCGCTGCAACCTCTGCCTCCCGCGTTCATGCGATTCTCCTGCCTCAGCCTCCCGAGTAGCTGGGATTACAGCTACTTGCCCGCCACCACGCCTGGCTAACTTTTTGTATTTTTAGTGGAGACAGGGTTTCACTATGTTGGCCAGGCTGGTCTCGAACTCCTGACCTCGTGATCCGCCCGCCTCGGCCTCCCAAAGTGCTGGGATTACAGGCGTGAGCCACCGCGCCCGGCCTTATTTTAGTTTTTTATGTCAATTTTTGAATTTGTAATTGGGTGAGAATTAAAGTGTTATAAATTTCACCTTAAGTGAAAATTTATTAGTTTTCTAATGACAAAAGTAGTTACATCTGACGTAAGGGGATTTAATTATCTTTTTCTGGGCTTGCGTCCCGGAACGCTGCTGCATTATGTAATCTGTAGTAATATACCCACGAGCAGTTTGGAGGGTTCTGGGAAGCACATTTGTTTTGCTTACCTACCATGGGAAAGATTCCACGTGGTCCTAGAAGCATACGTATTCGTCGGTTACAGTATTTTAAATATTCACTGGCCGCTGAAATTTAAAATGGATGAAAAAGAAATTCTCTTAAGTAGCGTTCTTGAAACTGCTTTATCAAACTCAGTTCATATTTTCAGTTGGAGTTCGTGATGTATGTGATTTTCCTTTAAATAAAACCCGAATCTTTAGTAATACAAATATTGGGAACTTCGATTACTGTAGGTCTTAGGGTAGACTCGCTTGGACTTTGACTAAATACTATGCTTTAGAAATTTATCTTTAGGAGATAAATTTGGGGGGTTTATCTTTTTATATTTGCTTTGTTTCAATTTATTTAAATAAAAGTAGTCTTTCTAGAAGTATGTTTTATAGTACCACTTACCTCGGTTACTGTCCCAGTTAAGCAGTTTTCACGAATGTGGAAAAATAGTAGTGTTTTTCTTTCATACACGCGTATATGAAAAATTTTTACATTGATAGAGAATTATTCGTAAAAATTAAAGTAAATTTACTGTTAGTCTCTAATTTTGTTCTGAGATAGCCACGCTGTGGCATTAAGAAGGATAATCAAGGAATAAGCCATAATGTTCAGAAAGGGGCTTTACTTTTTATTTTTAATATTATTGATAAACTTTGTTTAGTCGAATTGATGTCTGCGTGTCTTCCCCCGCCTTCCCCATAAAACAGCGGGACAGAAAGTCCTGAAAACTCCAAAAGGGAAATATTTACTCAGAGGTCTATTCAAATTTGCTTAGTCTCTGACGTTTTCCTGTGTCGTACAAATCCCTCGTGCGGCAAAAGTAGTTTGTCTTTACTAGGCCACCGTCTCGTCAGCGTTACGGAGTATTTTGTCCGCCTGCCGCCGCCGTCCCAGATATTAATCACGGAGTTCCAGGGAGAAGGAACTTGTGAAATGGGGGAGCCGGCTGGGGTTGCCGGCACCATGGAGTCACCTTTTAGCCCGGGACTCTTTCACAGGCTGGATGAAGATTGGGGTGAGTGGGATCTGAGAATGTACCAGGGTGGCTCGGGTTCGCGTCTAAAGGTTTCTTCCTCCCTACTTCCGCCCACTCGTGGTGACAGGTGTGGACCAACCCTGCCTGGGGAGTGAGGCCCCTCGTCACTCCTGTTCGTGCCCCTGGAAGAGTCTGGGAGTATCGTTCGGCTTCTGTCCTGGCCACAGGGAGAGTAGAATATTGTCTAACTGGAGTTAACTGTCGTTTTTCACTATTCCCACTGGGGAAGTACCGGGTGATCTTTTTGTGTGGCTAACACTGGACGTCTTTAGGAGGTTTAGAGCAAAATGGCTGGGACCGCCAAAAAGGCTACAAGCTATTTCCTGAGTGTGAAATGTGGGCGGTGAGCACAATGGAGTGGGTTTTTGTGTGTTTGGTGTATATGAGAGAATGTGGTTATATACAAGAAATTCTAATCTTACAGCTTTTACTATTGGTTTAAGCCTGATGTCCGTCTTGGCAGAAAAGCAAAACACCCAAGCACCTGACCTCGGGTCCCTGCTTAGCTACACCTAATACTTATGGTGTAATCCTGACTGCTCTCCAGATACAGCTCTTAATTTTCTTGTTAATGGATATTTTGTTTGGTTTTGGTGGTCAGGAAGGGTGGAATGGGATGAAGTGGAAATGAGAATGAAGAAACTTTGTTATCTAAGTATTTAGAGGAGACTTTTATTCTCCTCTTGATTGCAAGATATAATAGTAATATTGTTCTTAGGTTCCAATATGAATTTGGGATTGTGTAGGTTCCCAAATGGGCCCGCTAGTGAGCCTACACCACTCATCAGCCTTGGAACTGGGGGGAACCCAGTTTATCTTTCTCCCTTGGATCAGCATTCTCAATAGCAGGAGTGGAAGGAATCTCAACTTTTTATTGAACAAAGTCATTTAATTGTTTCAAGGACAGATGTTCTCTAAAACTATATTCTATTGGAGATTTATTTTAATCCTTGGGTAGATTTTTTAAGAGTTGCTGGAAAACTTAAGATTTTTTATTCCCATTTTCCCAAGCCAAATGCATTAGTGACAGTAACCATTTATTTAGCTCTTTGTGTCAGGGACCCTGTTAAACTCTTGACATGAAGTATTTTGTTTAATCCTACCAACAGTCCAATGAGGTACTGTTTATTTTAGAGATGAGGAAACTGAGGCTAACAGAATTTGTGCTCAGATTCTTAGAGCTAGTTAGTGGCAGAAGAAGGATCAGACCAGGTTTTTCTACCTCCAAAGTCTGTACCCCTAGCATCTATTCTATAATGCTTTCCTAACTCATGTCTACAGATTTTATTCTTCCTAAGATCCCTGGTTATTAATAAGACTACTTGAATATATTGGGTAGTTATGATTTATTTTGTCAGCTAGTCAGCTATTATATTTTCATGACATTTCTTTTCTTTACCTCTTTTTTTGAGATGGAGTTTCGCTTTTGTTGCCCAGGCTAGAGTGTAATGGCGCAATCTTGGCTCACCGCAACCTCCGCCACTCGGGTTTGAGCGATTCTCCTGCCTCAGCCTCCCGAGTAGCTGGGATTACAGGCATGCACCACCACGCCCGGCTAATTTTGTATTTTTAGTAGAGACGAGGTTTCTCCATGTTGGTTAGGCTGGTCTGGAGCTCTGGACCTCAGGTGATCCGCCCACCTCGGCCTCCCAAAGTGCTGGGATTACGGGTGTGAGCCACTGTGCCCGGCCAGTGACATTTCTTAAAGTATAACTGTGGGACACTTCCTGGTAGCATAATTTTATGTCGTCTTCTGATACCCAGGCTGCATTTTCCAGACTTATCTGATCACTTGACTTAATGTTCTCTAACAGAGCATTCAGTTCTTTGTAGTCAGTTCACCGACTCACTTCTATCGGGTATCCTGCCCTGTCCCTCCCTGAATGTGCCCATTTCCATTGTTTTCCAGGTTTCCCTTTTCAAACTGTTAACAGTCTTCTCTTCTTTGAAGACTTTAATTTAATTCCTTAGGTGTTCAGTAAGTAGGATAGATTTTGTTGGCAATAGAGTGAAACACTACTGTCTGATAGTGTTTCGTTCTGTGACAGTTGCTGTTTTGGATGTTCAAGTACTTCACTGATTTACTTGATTTTGTTGTTGTTGTTGTTGTTTCTTTTAGAGACAGGGTCTTGCTCTGTCGCCCAGGCTGGAGTGCGGTGATGCAATCATAGTTCACTGTGACCTGGAACTCCTGGGCTCAAGTGATCCTTCCATCTGAGCCTCCTGAGTCGCTAGGACTACAGGTGCACACCGCTACCATGCCTGGTTAATTTTTAATTTTTGAATTTTTTGTAGAGACAGGGGTCTTGCTGTGTTGCCCAGACTGGTCTCCAACTGGCCTCAGTCATCCTGCCTCAACCTCCCAGGTGATGGGATTACAGGCTCAAGCCACTGTGTCTAGCCTTGATTTTTTTTTAATATTAGACACTATCTAGTTAAAATTTAAAAATCAGATTATGTAATTAGTATGTCCTGTGATTTTAACAACTCTAAATAATTTAAATAAAGTGATTAACTCAGAACAGCCTGTGAGGGATGTGCTTTCCTTTTTCTTTTTAACTTAGGTAATGAAATTTAGAGCAAGAGTCTTCAAACATTTTCTGTAAAGGTTCAGATAGTAAATATTTTAGGCTTTGTGATTACATGGTCACTGTTGCAACTACTCAAGTCTGCTGTGATAGTGCAGGAGCAGCCAGAGACAGCATAAACAAGTGAGCATGGCTGTGTTTCTATAAAGCTTTATAGACACTGAAATTTGAATTTCACATAATTATTTTAAATAATAAGCCTACTTTTTTAGTATAATTATAGATTTACACAATAATTGAGCAGATAGTACAAAGAGTCCACATACTTCCCCTTCATCCCCAGCTTCTCCTATTGGTAACATCTTGCATTAGTGTGGTACATTGGTTACAATTGATGAGCCAGTATTGATACATTATTATTAACTAAGCCCATCATTTAAAGTTCACTCTGTTGTACATTCTATGGCAGGGATCCCCAGCCTTTTGGCACCAGGGACTGGTTTCATGAAAGACAATTTTTCCACAGGAGGTGGGGACAGGGAGGCACAGGAAATGTTTTCAGGATGATTCAAGTGCATTACATTTATTGTGCACTTTATTTGTATTGTTATTACACTGTAATATATAATGAAATAATTATATAACTCAACATAATACAGAATTAGTGGGAGCCCTGAGCTTGTTTTCCTGCAACTAGATGGTCTCATCTGGGGGTGATGGGAGACAGTGATTAGATCATCAGGCGTTAGATTCTCATAAGGAGCGTGCACTCTAGATCCCTCACATGTGCAGTTCACAGTAGGGTTCACACTCCTATGAGAATCTAATGCTGCTGCTGATCTGACAGGTCGTGGAGCTCAGGCGGTAATGCAAGTGATGGGGAGTGGCTGTAAATACAGATGAAGCTTCGCTCACTCACCCACCTGCTGCTCACCTCCTGCTGTGTGGCCTGGTTCCCAACAGGGTTGGGAACCACTGTTCTATGGGTTTTGACAAAGGTATAATGACATGTATCCATAATTACAGTATTATATAGAATAGTTTCACTGCCCTAAAAAAGCCCTATGCTCTACCTATTTTTTCCTCCTTCCTCTTCCCTACCTCTGGTCAGGTAACCACTGATCTTTTCACTGTCTCCATGGTTTTGCCTTTTGCAGAATGTCATATAGTTGGAATCATACAGTATGTAGCATTTTTGAATTGGCTTCTTTCACTTAGCAATATGCACTTAAGGTCCCTCCATGTCTTTTCATGGCTTGATAGCTCATTTCTTCTTAGCACTAAATAGTATTACAAAAATACTATTTACAGTGTTACAAAAAATAGTATGTATGTTCTATAGCCTATTAGTCTGCCTAGGCTGCCATAAGACAACACCACAGACTGCGTGGTTTAAACAATGGAAATTTATTTTCTCCCAGTTCTGGAGGTTAGAGTTCAAGATCAAGATGGCCGCACCTTCAGGTTCTGGTTAGGGCTCTCTTCCTGGCTTGCATGCACATGGCTGCCTTCTTCTTGTGTCCTCACATGGCACTGAGAGAGAGAATCTTCTTCTTCTTATAAGGCCACAGTCCTATCAGATTAGTGCCCCACTTTAATGACCTCATTTAACTTTAATTACCTCCTAAAGACTGTATCTCTCGATATAGTAATATTTGGGGTTAGGGCTTCAACATACGAATTTTGGAGGACACAGTTTAGGCCATAAATTCACAGTTTGCTTATCCACTTACCTATTGAAGCACATCTTGGTTGCTTCCAACTTTTGGCAATTATATATAAAACTGCTGAAAACATTTGTGTGCAGGTTTTTGTGTGGACATGCATTTTCCAATTGTTTGGGTAAATATCAAGGAGCACAATTGCTGGATTGTGTGGTAAGAACATGTTTTTTGTTTGTTTTGTAAGAAATTGCCAAACTGTCTTCCAAAGTGGCTATACCATTTTGCATTCCCGCTAGCAATGAATGAGCATTTTTGATGCTCCACATCCTTGCTAACATTTGGTGTTGCCAGTACTTTGGATTTTAGTCATTCTAATAGGTGTGTAGTGGTATGTTTTAATTTGCAGTTTCCTGATGACATATGATGTTGAGCATCTTTTCATATGCTTATTTGCCGTCTGTATGTTTTACCCTCCTCTCTCCTTCTCTCTTCTCTTTTACTCTTGCTTGAATTTGTGCAAAAGCTGCTTTATTCTGCTTTCTTCTTTCTTCCCTCCTCCTCCTCCTTTCTCCTTTCTCCTTTTTCCTTCTCTTTATTCTTCTGTCAGCTGTACTTAAGATATGTGTATCAAGATCAGAAGCTTTCGTCTGCCACTGTGGTTTCGTTTATGTCTTCAGTCTCTTCTGTGAAGGTTCTCTTGGCTTTCTAGCACTAAATCAAAATCTGGTGCTCCTGGATGACACAACTTCCCGTAATGCCCCGGTGAACGGTTGCTAATTTTATTCTCAAAACCTTTTCACCATAGGGCCTCTGTTGGTGGGATAGGTGTCTCCATTGTCCTTCACTGCTATTCTCCTTTCCTCCTCCCTAAAAATATCTAAGTTGAAATCTCATTTTGTCACAATATCCCATCCTCTACCTCTCCTGATTCCTGGATCACTCTCTTTCACTTTTCTTTTTTTCTTTTAGAGATGGGGTCTTGTTCTCTTGCCCAGGTTGGAGCTGGAGTATGCGGTGGAGCAATCACAGCTCACTGCATCTTCAGACCCCTGGGGTCAAAGGATCCTCCTGCCTCAGCCTCCCGAGTAGCTGGGACTACAGACACATGCCACCATGCCTGGCTTCTTTTTGGCTTTTTGAAAACATTTTGCCACTAGCTTACTGTTACTTTCTTCACCATTACTTCCATCATGATTCTTGGATGATTTCAGTATCCTTAGAGAAGATCCTTCAGATACACTGACCTGTCATTTTCTGGACCTCCTCTTTATCACTGATCTTACCTTTTACCCAGTCTCAGCCATTTGCTTTCCTGATCATAAGCCTAAGTCTTGTCACTACCAATAACATCTCACTTTCAAACATCCTGCTCTGACTGCCTTCGCCTGTTTTACCAGCTTACTTCCTTTAGTATTCCAGTTTCAATAGTTGTTCAGTCCTTCTGAGATTTTGCCATGTTTCCAGTGTCTCTCATTCTCTTCAGTTCATCACGTCCCTCTTACCCAGTTTAAATACCATGGACAGTCATTGTCACTATTTCCTTCCTTTCACCTTTCATATTCATGTCTGTCTCTTTTCTGGTAGGTTTCTCTTGGATAAACCTATTAGTTAAATTCAGTTTTGCCCACTTCATGCCTGTCCTAGTATAGCTGAATCAGCTGAAGAAAACACTTCAACTGTCCTGACTGGTCTCAATTTAAGTGTTGCCAGACCAATCATATTTCCCTGGTCCTCTCACTGTCCCATTCTGATGATTGCTTTATAAAGTTTCTTCTATCTTCAAACCTCCAACATCTCTCCCATCCTTTGAATCAGAAGAGAACTTCTACAGTCTCCCACTACCTCATTTACCCACCTATCAACATGTTTGCTTTCTCTTTTGTTGGTGAGAATGAGTGGCTTCTTGCTCCTAGCTAGAGCCAGTCCTTCCATATGTGCTTTAGATTCTTCCTGTTTTGTTCAAGAATATTGCTCAAGCTATTCTTCCTCCTGTTTCCTGCATCAGCATTTCCCCTCTCTACTAGATCATCTCTGTCAGTAAATGAACATGTTGTTGTTTCTCCTAGAAGTACTGTTTCTATATCTAGATAGTACTCTAGCTAGAGTTAAAAAAAAAAAAAACAAAACCAACAAACTCAAAACTCTCTTCAGATGTTACTTCACCTCTTGCTGTTACTGCATTTCTCTACTGTATGTTACAGCAGAATTCCTTTTAAAAAATGTCCACGTTCACTGACTCTAGTTTTTTATTTCTCCTTGTCTCTTGAACCCAGTCCAGTCAGGTGCCACCACTCCACTGAAACTCCTGTTTTTT
Source organism: Homo sapiens (assembly GCF_000001405.40). Lineage (NCBI taxonomy): Eukaryota > Metazoa > Chordata > Mammalia > Primates > Hominidae > Homo > Homo sapiens. The sequence continues at coordinate 161,772,970 of NC_000001.11, forward strand.
TTTTTTTTTTTTTTTTGAGACAGAGTCTTGCTCTGTTGCCCAGGCTAGAGTGCAATGGCACGATCTTGGCTCACTGTAACCTCCACCTCCTGGATTCAAGCGATTCCCGCCTCAGCTTCCTGAGTAGCTGAGATTACAGGCGCCTGCCACCATGCCCGGCTACTTTTTGTATTTTTTTTTTTTTGAGACGGAGTCTCTCTCTGTTACCCAGGCTGGAGTGCAGTGGCTCACTCGGCTCACTGCAAGCTCCACCTCCCAGGTTCACGCCATTCTTCTGCCTCAGCCTTCCGAGTAGCTGGGACTACAGGCACCTGCTACCACACCTGGCTAAATTTTTTTTTGTATTTTTAGTAGAGACGGGGTTTCACCGTGTTAGCCGGGATGGTCTTGATCTCCTGACCTCATGATCCGCCTGCCCACCTTGGCCTCCCAAAGTGCTGAGATTACAGGCGTCAGCCACTAATTTTTGTATTTTTAGTAGAGATGGGGTTTCACCATGCTGGCCAGGCTGGTCTCAAACTCCCGACCTCATGTGATCCACCCGCCTCGGCCTTCCAAAGTGCTGGGATTACAGGCGTGAGCCATCATGCCTGGCCTGAAACTGCTGTTTTTAAGGGCACTACTGATTTCCACATTGCTAAACCCAGTGACTGTGTCTGATCTTATTAAACTTATAAGGAGTAAATGAATAAATAAATGGGCAAGGTGGAGGTGAGGTGGGAAAGTTTGTTGAGTACACTAAAAATAGTAACTACCATTATTTACTACTGTTGAGGGAAATCTAATAGTGTGGGACTGGTGCAAAGGATATAGAAATAGGCAATAGGTTTTAGGATACTTTGGGGTAACTGATGCTAACAGTTTCTTATGGATTCTTTTGGAATGTTCTATAAATATACGAGTATATTTATCAACCCACCTTCAGTTATTTTTTTAACCACAGAAAAGTCAAAAGATCAGTACACTGATAAACGTGCGTTTTCCTTATCTAGATTTACCAACTGTTAACATCGTGCCACATTCACTTTATATCTTAATATTACCCACACTTTCCTCCTTTTTCACATCTGAAAGTGGGCTGCAGATAATATGAAACTCCTAAACACTTCACCATGTATTTCCTAAGAATGAGGAAATGTTTATTTTTAAAAAGCATCAATTCATTTTAATATGCTTTATACTTCAAAGCTAACATCACAGGGTTCTTTTTCACCTTCTTGCACCATATGCTTGTATTTCTCTTCTGCCGCTATGAGAATCCTGATTCCCAATAACATCCTTTGTTTTTATAGGCTCACTTCAGCAGCTCTGTTGGAAATAAACTGAAAGAGGGGCAAGGGCAGAAGCAGGGAGACGTTTTGGAGGCTGTTATAGCAATCCCCATGAGTTACAATAGTAGCAGTGGAGTAATGAGAAGTAGTTGGATTATGGATATGTACACACACACACACACACACACACACACACATACACACATATATATACATACATTTTAAAATTTTGAAATAGTTTGAAATCTATAGAAAAGTTTTAAGAACAGTGCAAAGAACTCTTGCATGCCTTTTACACAGACTCCTCAGTTGTTAAATTTTACTGCATTTACTCAATTTCTCTCTTTCTCCCTTTCAAGAGAGAGAGATGTGTTGACCCATCACCTTTAAATACTGTAGTGTATACTCTCTATCCTCCTGCCTCCCAAAAGAAGGCCACTTTCCTCTATTACTACCCTATATTTCTTCCAGTCAGGAGATAAACATTGATACAACAGTGTCATCCAATTCAAAGACACCATTCAAAGTTTGCCATCTGTTTCAATAATGATTTGCTTTTCTAGTCTAGGATTTTACTTGCAAACACTCATTGCTTTTACTTATCATGTCTCATCAGTGTCCTTTAATCTGGAACAGTTCTTTAGTCTTTTCCTGTCTCTAATGTCCTTGACAGTCTTAAAGAGTAGAAGTCTTTTATTCGACAAGATGATCCTAAACCACTAAGGGGTTCCTTGGAAAAATGACCAATTCCAGGGCTGGGAAAGTGCAGGGAAAGTGCAAAATAAGCCTGGAAAATCTTGGGCCAGAAATTCTCAGCAAATGAACATGTTAAAAAGAACAAAGGCCCCAATATGAATGAACTCCCCGTGGTCAAATCTGGGAAAATTTGGCATCAGAATAAAATGAGGGTATACATTATAGTGTAAATACTATGCGATGTTCCTATGCCATCATATCATCCTGTGATATAGTCACATGATCACTTGGTCAAGTTGGTATCTTCTAGGTTTCACCACTGTAAAGCCACTGCTTCCCATTTTGTATTTTATTGCTATTTTGGGGGAGATAATCTGACATAACACCAATATCCTTTTCTTATTAAACCTCTAACCACGAGCCCTAGCCTCATTAATAACCCCAATCTATATCAGTTACCACTCTAATGGTTGCCAAATGGTAACTATCTAACTCTATCATTCTGTCTATCATTCTATCATTGTTGATTGACATTGCACTATAAGAACCAACCTACCTACCTACCTTCCTTCCTTCCTTTGTTCCGTGATGAACTCATTGATTCCTTTTTTATTTGGTGGTTGGTAAACCGCTACTCTCATTTTATTCTGATGCTCAGATTTTCCCAGATTTGACCACTGAGAATTCATTCATATTGGGGCCTTTGTTCTTTTTGACATATTCCTGTCATTTGCTGAGAATTTCTGGCACAGCAAGATTTCCAGGCTTATTTTGCACTTTCCCTGCTGCAAGCCCTGGAATTGGTTATTTCTCCAAGGAACCCCTTAGTGGACTTCTGTTTGGTGGAAGATGGTATTTAGTATCCAAGATCTGGTCACCCAGTATTTTCATTGCTACTGGGATGTCATTGCTTCTAGGACCTCTTAGCAGACAGAACTAGGAAATATATATACATGTGTGTATATATATATATATGTGCATGTGTATATATGTATATATGCATAATACAAACATCTGCATATGTGTGTACATATATATATACTTCCACAGCTATCTGTATGTGTTATATTTTAAATGAGTTTATTTACTAATACTTCTAGTTCTAATCCAACATCTTAGGATTCTTTTAGTCTCCCGACTCTTTCCATGCTCTTAAATCCTTTCTCAGACTGTGAGAAATCTGACTCCAATTATTTTAGTAAAAGGCAAAAGATTCATTCGTTCTGAAGAGAAACCAGAGCATTCTAATTATTTTAGATATATTCAACCATTTGCTCAGTCACCTAACATATTTGTTCAGTATGACCACTCTCCTAACCACTCAGCCTGCGTTTTCCATCTGCTACTCCATTCCCCCTCCCACTGGGCTGGGGCATGCTGGCATCTTTGCTGGGCAATAGTCTCTCCCACACCATCCTATTTCCTTGGATATGAGGCATATTGCTGGAGATGACTGTGCACAAAACCCCATCACCTTTGTTGCCCTGCTTCTTTGGAAGCTGACATCTCTGTGTTGGGAGGGGTAGGGAAGAAAAGGAAGGTTGGGAAGGGAAGGAAGAATGGGAGGAAAGGTAGGAAGCCACATTACAGATATATATTTTGAGAACAGAGCTGACAGAATTTTCTGGTAGATTGATTATGGAGAGTGAGGAAGAGAAGTAAATAATTAAGTAATAATGATCCCAAGGTTTTTGGCCTGAGCAACTGGGAAAATCCAATTGTCATTAACTGAGATGAGGACAAAGCAGTAGGAGGTTTGGTGGGGTTGATGAGGAGCTCATTTTGGATATGTTAGGTTTGACATGCCTTTTAAACATCTAAGAGGAGATGTCATACTCACTGCACATGCATCTTGAAGTGTGGGTTGGAGATGTATATTTGGAAATCCTTGGTATATAGATTTTATTTAAAGCCGTGAGCTCAGCTGAGATTACCAAGGAAGTAAGATAGATAGAAACGTTTATGCTGAGCCCAGGGACAAATTTGTGTTAGGGAGATGAGGAAGAACCAGCAAGGTAGGTCAACCACTGAGGTGGGAGGAAAACTGGGTAAGTGTGATATTCTGGAAGTCAAGTGAAGAAAATGCTTCAGTTAAAATGAAAGGATCAACTATGTTAATGCTGTTGATAGGTCAAGTAAGATGAGGACTATGAGTTTACCATTGAATTTAGCAATATGGAAGTCACTGGGGACATTAATAATTATGTGTATGTGGAGCGGGGAGCTTGATTGGAGCAGGTTTAGAACGAATGGGAGGAAAGAAATGAGAGAGCCAGATAGAGAACTCTTTAAAGGAGTTTCAGCCTATATATAAGCCGCAGTCCTCTGCTTATATGTTTCTTGGCTCTGCACCTGAGTAGTCTTTTCTGAGAGTCATGTGAGTAACCTTTTGTTATTACTACGTATACATTTTTTTGCTAAATACTATTTTGTCTTAGGCGGTGAAATGTTACTGTAATTGGTCAGGTTAATAACAGACTGACAGTGCAGTTCCTACACTTGTGCACTGAGGAAATCATCAGAGCAGTTTCAGCAGCATAAAATAGGTAGAGAGTACAAAGGAAGACCTAGTTTTGAAAAACTCTTCAAAGTGCTTAAAGTTTTGAAAGTGTCAGAGGAAATAGGAACTTCATAGATTCTATGGTGAGGAGCCTTCTTGGGCCTTGGTCAACACCTTAACCTTTCTTTACAAAAAGTTTTCAGTATAGTGTATTGAAGAATGTTTTCTGTATCCACATATTTCTTGATTTGTAATGAAACCTCATTAGGAAATTGGAATATAGTTAGATTTGCTGAAATGAATTTGATGGTTTAGATGAATGAATCCTTTATTGTCTAGATAGAAAATTGGTTGCACCCTTAACTTAAGGCATGGATAACAAATACGCAGTGTGTATATACTTTCCACAGCCCTCTCCTATTGCTTATGAACCATGTCTACTTTCCACAGTTGTCTCCTATTACTTATGAACCACATTAACTCTTCATGCTGAACCCAGATGTAGCATCAGAATTCTTGTTAGTAATGTTCCATAAAGCCACTACCAATTAGTCTTACATGACATATGACATAAAACCTTTTTTGATCCCTGGTGTAAGAATTCAGTTCACAAGATAAAAATTATGCAGAAAACAACACATAAATTGGAAATGAGCATTGAATTGCTTATTCACATTACTGGAGTTTATCAATAATAGTAATGGCTAATGAGAAACCTTAATAGAGGTGACATAGGGACACAGTGCTTGTTTCTTTGTCAAATAATTGAATTGACAGTTCATTTCTATTCTTTTCCTTTGTCCAAAGATTCTGCTCTCTTTGCTGAACTCGGTTATTTCACAGACACTGATGAGCTGCAATTGGAAGCAGCAAATGAGACGTATGTAAGTATTTACTAAGGTTGAATAATGTGATATTTAGTCTTTAACCCTAATTATTGCAAGAAAGTTTCAGGACAACAGGTTCAGGCTAGTAATTTAAGTTACATACTTAATGGTAAATAGCTTCTACCATTAAGTATGAAAGTTAGTAGCCATTTTGTAATCAGTAAATGTAGGACAGTAGAAATTGCATTGTATTGCAATTCTAGGCCCACCTTTGGCCCTAGGGATGGGTGACTTTGGAAAAGTCACTAATCTGCCTACCTGGTTTTTACAGATACTTTGCTACATAAGGGAATTGGCAGGTGACTTTGGAAAAGTCACTAACCTGCCTACTTCTTGGTTTTTACAGATTCTTTGCTTTTAAAAAGGAAGTTGGTAAGTTCTGCTTGACTAAGTTAGTCCTTTTTAAAAGTTGTGTATTCATGTAGAAAGCTCTGAAAAGTAGGTGTATCCTTACCTTTGATTGGTTAGAGGTCTGTGTGAAAACTATTATAACACTGAGTCCCCGAGAATATCTTAGATTTTCTTTTCTTGATTAGTACATATAAAACTCTTTGCCCTATAGAACTTTGATTTTGTCTTATTCTTTAATGGATGAGGTGCTGTTTCACTTAAGAAGTAATTCAAGTGAGCAGAGTAATTTGTCAATCAGGTTGAATATCACATCATTTTAGGCTCTTATTAACTTGAGTACAAAATATGTAAAGATTGCTTAGTGAGTTTCAGACATTTCTTAAACAATGATTTAGCAGTTGTTTTTACCATTAATCGACAGAAGAGAATGAAGGACATGATATATTTTAAAAAATCAGTACTAGGGATTTTAATGGTTTCATTTACTCCATGAGATACTTTAGAATGTGGCCCATTGATTAAACTGCCTTTTAATATTGGCTATTTGAATAAGCAACTGATACTCATATTTCATAACATCTAGAATCCTAAAAGAAAATGTTTCTTTTAAACTATGTCAAGAAACTGTGTGCTCAATTGGAAAGATTAAGGGAAATATATTCCTGATTTTACAACTAACATTCTATTATTTTATGCAAATCACTCAATCTTTCAGTTCCTTAGTTTTTCTAGTATGACATGAAGGGATTGAATCTCTGAGACCCCTCATGTCATTCTTCTTCCAAACGGCAATAGAATTTCCCATGCTAAATCACTGAAGAGTTAGAGTATATAAGTGCCAGTATGTTTCATTTTGCATGAACTGGGCCTGTTAAATTTCTGATGTGATAAAATCTTTATGCTGTAGAAGGTATTTGACTTATTTGGCTGAAGATTGAGTCAGAAGTTTCCTCAAGTAGATCATGCCCTTATTTAAAAGTGTTGCTGGCACTCAGGCAAGCAACATTGGTAACTTTACTTAGATTAAGAAAGTTTAAGGATTTTTTGGTTGCTAAAACAAGGCTGCTTAATTTTTTTTTTTAAGACAGAGTCGCACTCTGTTGCCCAGGCTGGAGTGCAGTGGTTTGATCTCGGCTCACTGCAACCTCTGCCTCCCAGGTTCAAGCGATTCTCATGTCTCAGCCTCCTGAATAGCTGGGACTACAGGTGCATGCTATCACGCCTGGCTAATTTTTGTATTTTTAGTAGAGACGGGGTTTCACTACATTGGCCAGGCTAGTCTCAAACTCCTGAGCTCAAGTGGTCCACCCACCTCGGCCTCCCAAAGTGCTGGGATTACAGGCATGAGCCACCACACCTGGCTAAGGCTGCTTAATTTTTTGATGTGAAGATCCAAATAAGAGAAAAAAGTGAAGGAGATTGATTTTTTAAAAAATGGTTTTTTTATGATTTAAATACTTTTTTTTCATGTGCACTTTCACATGTTCTCTTTATGTACCTTGTACTAATATTTACTCAGTTATGGGCATCATAAGAAAATAGTTTCCCTTCTGTGTTTCTGTTACATTCTCAATAAAAATGAACCATATAGTAGTCATTTTGAAATGATAATATTCTTCTAGAAATTGTTAACAAATGGTCGTTACCAATTACTAGATACATTTTTACTTTTTTTGCCTGAGGTGTATTTTTTTATTTTTATTTTTATTTTTTTTTTGAGACGGAGTCTTGCTCTGTCGCCCAGGCTGGAGTGCAGTGGCGCAATCTCGGCTCACTGTAAGCTCCACCTCCCGGGTTCACACCATTCTCCTGCCTCAGCCTCCTGAGTAGCTGGGACTCCAGGCACCCGCCACCACGCCCGGCTAATTTTTTGTATTTTTAGTAGAGATGGGGTTTCACCATGTTAGCCAGGATGGTCTCGATCTCCTGACCTCGTGATCCACCTGCCTCGGCTTCCCAAAGTGCTGGGATTACAGGCGTGAGCCACTGCACCCGGCCGAGGTGTATTTTATTGTTGCTGTTTTTGTTGTTGTTGTTGTTTTGTTTTGTTTCTTTGACAGGGTCTGGCTCTGTCTCCCAGGATGGAGTGCAGTGGCATGATCTTGGCTCATTGCAGCCTCCATCTTTTGGACTCAAGCGATCTTCCCACCCCAGCCTCCAGAATAGCTGGGACCGTAGGTGCACGCCACTATGCCCAGCTAGTGTTTGTATTTTTTTTCTTAGGTAGAGATGGGTTTTGCCATGTTGCCCAGGCTGGTCTTGAACCCCTGGGCTCAAGCAATCCTATTGTTGCTGTTTTATCATTTGTGACATTAAGTTAATATTTACTGCCTTTTGACTTTATTGCATTATTTATGTATTAAGTTTACTTTTCTTTTTGTCTCTGTGACTCCAGACACTTAATTTAAAATAGTACTGTTTGGTACTAACTTGATCTCAGACTTACATGAGGACTCTGAAATTATGTGACACTTCTTTATTCATGTATATAGTATAAGGTGGTTATCTGGATGACCCAGAATATGCTTATATTTTGGTTAGAAAAACCACCTAAATGAAAAGAACTTAATGCAGGCTTTAAGAAGTTTGCTGGACCCTGTTTTAGAAAATTAGTTTTATTTTATAGGATTAAAAAGTGGTGTTTTTTTTGATTCATAAAAGTTTTAGAAATTTAAGAAGTATAGAACTGTAGAAAAAAGGAAAATTACTCAGTGATTCATAAAAGTTTTAGAAATTTAGGAAGTATAGAACAGTAGAAAAAAAAGAAAATTACTCAGTGGTAACTATCCTCTTTATGATTCTTGCCTGTCTTTTGGATATATCTATATTCTTTCTATTGTATATAGAGATTATATTATGAATAGCATTTACTTTGTCTTGTTTTTCTTAATGGCAATGGGAAAATGTATTTTGCTGGATTTCCCTTAAGATAAAAGACACATTTTTGACTCCTGTAATGGTCATTCTCATAGAAAATAATGAAGCCAACTAAATGTTTTAAATACTGAATCCCTTACCTCTTTCCTAGTTGTTGCTGCTGTGCTTCAAGTAACTGAATTGATTTTATCTCTAGGCTATCCAAGATGTATTCTCATACAAGACTGACTTAGAGTATTCTTTTTACTAGGTTGGCTAATAGCAGTTAAATTATTTGTGCCAAATTGTGTCTCACAGTTTGATTTTAAGATGTGTATGTTTTATTCTTTTAATATTCTTTTGCTGATTTGAAACCTACAGGAAAACAATTTTGATAATCTTGATTTTGATTTGGATTTGATGCCTTGGGAGTCAGACATTTGGGACATCAACAACCAAATCTGTACAGGTAATTATGTGTTTCACTGGTAAAAGTTTTAAAAAGATCAATTTTATTTTGTAGTTTGGTCATACTCAAAATTAGGTGGGGTTATTGGGCTATTCTGGTAGGTTAAAAGATTCCTGGTGTTATGCATTCTACTTCTGGTATGGCAATTATGTAAACAAATTTCTTGCCAAAAATGGATATGAGGAGTTTCATAGTTATGTTTCAGTAGTGTAATGAATGAACAGTTCATATCAGAAATAGAAATAGTGATTTTGAATTATGAATAATGTCTCTGTATAAGATTAACCTGAGAACCAGACAGGGCTTAGGGAATCAAAGGGAAGAGCCTGGGTTACCAGAACCTAGGAACTTGGTGGAGGAGTCCCATGCATTTAATACATGTACTTCTAAGAAGGGGCAGCACCTGGCTGATACTAATATCTTTAAGGGGGCCTGATGAGGTCGGGGTTGAGTATACTGAAAGAAGCCAGAACCTGGAGCAAATTGCCAGTGCTGGGATACAGCTGATGGTAGAATGAAGAAAAATCCCTTCTCCTCCCTTCTAGCTTTTTCTAGTATCCCCTATTGACAGGACCTAAAAGGATGCCAGCTGGGAATAATTTATATCACCGATTATAGAAAGTGGACTTAGTGCTGAGAGACAGTGAATAAATAACCAGCACATTCTCCTATCTAAATTCCTCTCTACCTCTGCACTACCTATTCCTCTTCATTTTATGTATTTACTTATACTGTTTCATGCCTGTTTGCCTTCATAGAATGTGGGATACACAAAGTCAGTGTTCTGGTTTTATCGTTTGACAAACTAAATCTTAGTTGCTTAAAGCAACAACCATTTTATTAGATTGCTAGAATCTATGGGTCACGAATTTTGACTGGGTGCTTACGAATTTTGACCGGGTGCTCCAAGGATGGCTTGTCTCTGCTCCATGATGTCCAGACCACAACTGGGGAGATTTGAAGATTGTAGTAGCTTGACATTTGGGGGCTAGAATCATCTTGAGGTTTCTTCACTCATATGTGTGGCACCTGGGGTGGAATGACTTGAAGACTAGGACTACTAAATGGAGTGCCTGCATAGGGCCTCTTTGTGTGGCGTGGTGTTCTCAGTCATGGTGGTCTCAGGGTAGTCAGACTTCAAAGGCTCCAAGTATGAGTGTTCCAGCACACAAAGCAGAGGCTGCATTTCCAGCTTCAGAATTCACATAGCATTACTTCTATCTTCTCTTGATTGAAGGAGTCAAGCCCACCTAAATTCTTGGGGAGGGGAAATCGACTCTACTTCTTGGTGGGAAAGTGGCAAGATCACATTGTAGAAGATCATGAGGGAAGATCATGAAGGATGGTAGATATCGTATGGCTAATTTTGGAAAACACAGTCTGCCATCCCCACCCTATTCTATCTTTGACACCAAGGGATACTGCCTGGGCCATAGTTGCTCAGTACATTTTTATAGGATAAATTAATAGTTTAAAAGATATGAACATTTTTTATGAGTTTGAATTGTATTGTCAAAAATGCTTTCCAAAATATTTCCTGTTTCTTATTTTTTTAAATTTTTTGGGAAGCTATAATATTTTGCATATGGTAAAATATTCAAAAGGTACAAAAATCTGTATAGTAGAAAAATGTCTCCTGCTTTTATTCCTCAGCCAACAAGTTCTATTTTCCAGAGACAACCACTGTTACCAGTTTCTTCTGTTTACCCTTCCAGAGAATTAGTGCAGATGCAAGTGTACACATATATATACACACACACACAGACATACATATATACCCCCTCCCCACATATATATATAATTTGTAACACAAGTGGAAACATACTAGATATATTGTTTTCTGCATCTTTCATTTTCACTCGTTATATTTTGGTGACCTTAGCTTCCATATCTGATTGAATTTTAAAAGTAGATTTTACCTTCTTTCTTGTTCATTTTATTATAAGTTTTTATTGTCCAGTGGGTAAAACCTTTCCTCCATGTTTTCCAGTTAAAGATATTAAGGCAGAACCTCAGCCACTTTCTCCAGCCTCCTCAAGTTATTCAGTCTCGTCTCCTCGGTCAGTGGACTCTTATTCTTCAACTCAGCATGTTCCTGTGAGTAGCCAGTCTTTTACAATGATTTTGGTTATAATATGCTATCTGGAAAATATGTATATGGAGGAGGCAGTTAACATTTATTGAATACTACTATGAGTTATATTGTCTCATTTATTGAGGGAACTGAGACTCAAGAAAGAGCCTTGTGGGAGCTAGAAAGTTGTTAGTGCCTTTGGTTTTGCTCTCTTTTCCCCTCTGTTCATGCCTCCATAATTTCATTGTTTCATTTGTTTCATTGCATTTTAACAGTATCCAGTATTTGTTTATTGGCTTACTGTCCTTTCTCCCACCCTTTCTTTCTCCTCCCTATTAGGATATACATTCTTTATATATGGACATAGAAGAATGTAAGATGGTCAGTTTTTATATCTCTTTAGTCACAGCATCTAGAATGATTGCCTTAGTTTGGGAATGCCTAGTGCTACCTTTTGAAGGGGCTCACGTTTTTATAGAAGTCTGGTAGCTCTTTTAAGAACACTTCTGCTCTGTGTCCAGACAAAAGCCCTGAGGCCAGGAAAAGGAAGTACCTGATTTAGGTACTTTTTAGAATGGGGAAAGGGAAAGTATAAGAATAAAAAAATCAAATAATATTTTAGTATATTATATGTGCTATAAATTGTGGTATCTTTGTTCCTGCAGGCTCTACATTTAGTTACTAAATCCTGGTGGTTATATGCACATATTAATTCAAGGATTTATCTTTTCTGCCCCTGCCAGGCCATCACTATCTCACCTGGATTAAGTCAATAGGATTTTAACTGGTCAGCCTTACAACTCCTCAAACCTTTCTTAGCAGTGGAATCTTCAAAGAGAAATCTTTCAGTGTCACAAGCTTTACTGTATCAGTCATTTGCTTAAAACTTTTTAGTAACTTCCCAGTCCTTACAAGGATGAAATTTAAATTCCCAGAGTACTAGGCTTTCCATGATCTGGCCCCCATTTACTTTTCCAGTCTCTTTTCTTGCTATCCCCTCCTACTTCCACATTCCCCTTAATTTGAGCCCTGTGAGAGTTCCTCTCTGAGAGCTCCTATGCACTCTACTCATTCAACCGCTGTGCCAGGCACTGTTCCAGATGCTGGCAGTGAACAACAGCAGTGAGATTGCTGCTGTTACAGTTCTAGGTTTTTGCACATCCTCTTTCTTCTGCCTAGAATAGCCCCATTTTTTTCTTGTCTTGGAAAACTCATCCTTCAAGTCCCAGTTCAAAAACTACTTCCTTTATGAAGCTTTTCTCTGATTGCTGCTATTGGTAGCTCTCTGAGGTCCCACAATTTCTCCAAATGATTTAATTTTTTAAAAAATTAATAATTACAAAAGGTAGCATACTGTATACCCTGTCCTGTACCTTGTTTTTTTAGCTTAGCAGGATAACTCTTAATTTCAGAGTATATAATTTTCCCATTATGCTACATAATGTTTCATTGCATGGCCTTATCATGCTTAATTTAGTGATTTCCTTATTGATGAGTATTTGTGTTGTTTTTAGTCTTTTCCAGACCCAATTAACCTGTACATAAGTCTTTTCCAGACTCAAATAACCTATAGTAAATAACCTGGTACATAAGTCACTTTATATTTTTACCAGGATATTTTTGGGATATATTTCAAGAGGTGGGATTGTTGACACCAAGGTAAATACACTTGAATTTTGCTAGATACTGCCAAATTTCTCTCTATAGGGGTTGTAAAATTTTACATCCTCATCAGCAGTATGTAAGAGGGCCTGTTTTCCCATCATCACTCCACAATAGGTTTTGTTTTATATCTCTTTTATTATAAGTATGGTTAAATAATATCTATTCATATGTTTTATATGTTTAAGGCCTATTTGCATTTCTTTTTAAAAAATGAACTGTCATTTCAAATTTTTGTTCTTTTTTTTTTTTTGGAGATGAACTCTCTCTCTTGTCTACCAGGCTGGGGTGCAATGGCATGATCTCGGCTCACTGCAACCTCCGCCTCCTGGCTTCAAGCAATTCTCCTGCCTCCTCAGCCTCCCGAGTACCTGGGATTACAGGGATTACAGGCACCTGCCACCACACCCGGCTAATTTTTGTATTTTTAGTAGAGACAGGGTTTCACCATGTTGGCCAGGCTGGTCTCGAACTTCTGACCTCAGGTTATCCACCTGCCTCGGCCCCCCAAAGTGCTTGGGATTACAGGTGTGAGACACTGCGCCCGGCCGTTCATTTTTTAATTGAATTGTATTGGTCTTTTTCTCTTTAATATTTTAGGTGCTTTATTATATATTAGGATTATTAGTCCTTAGTTTGTGAAATAAGCTGCAAATATTTTTTCCCCAATTTTTCTTTTGTCTCTTTGCTTTATTTCTGGTGTTTATTTTTCCCCAGGTGTACTGTTTTCTATAGCCAAATTATTGATCTTTTCTTTAATTGCTTTTTTGTTCACTCAAAGGAAGGTTTTCACCACTGAGAGGTTATAAAATAATTCACTCATATTTTTACTCTTTTTTTTTGCTTATGTTAATTTTTTGTTTGGAACAATCTCAAATTCACAGAAGTGTTGTGAGTACCTTGCAAATAACTTGTTTTTTCCTTATGCATTTCAGAGTAAGTTACCAGTCCGATGCCCCTATCACTCCAATACTTTAGTGTCTACTTCCTACAAGCACAGATATTTCTTAGCCATAATACAAGCACAAAATCGGGAAATAAACATTAATATGTTACTATAATCTAACCTTCAGCTCTCGTTTAAATTGTGCCAGACATCCCAGAGGTGTCCTTTAGACTATCAAAAGGACCCAGTTCAGAATCAAGCATTGCATGTGGTTATCTTGTCTTTTTAATCTTGTTCAGTATGAAACAGTTCTTCATTAATCCTTGACTTTCTTCACCTTGTCACTTTTGGGGATTAGGAGTTAGTTATTTTGAAGAGCATTTCTTAGTCGGGTTTGTCTGATGTTTCTTTAGGATCATATTCAGGTTTTATATCTGTGGCAGGAATGTCACAGAAGTGCTGTCTGTGTCCAACTTTTGATGACCCAATTTTGATTTTTTCTAATACTGATTATTTTCACTTTGATCCCTTCATAGATGTTATCTGCCAACCTATTCCATTGTGAAGTTGCTTTTTCTCTCTATGCCATACATATTTTGTGAGAAAGATACTTTAAGACTATGTAAAAATATCCTGTTCATCATCACACTTTATATTTGTTCACTTATTTGTTAATATCTGTATGGATTCATCGTTTCTTATTTTATTCAACAGATTATAATCCGTTACTATAATTATTTATTCTGATTCTTACATTGTTCTGGATTTGGCCAGTGGGGGTCCCTTCACACCAGCTCTTATGTTCTTTTAACATGTCTCCTTTGGGCTCTGATGTCCTTACACTAGGCTGTCTTCCCATGCGGATGCCCTCCTCACTCTGCTGTGACTCCTCATGCCAGGCCGCCTGCCATATCAGTGCCCTCTCTACCCTTCTTGGACCCTGACATTCCACCAGGCTACTTCTCTGCGTGGATGGTGGTCTTGCTTTACCCCATCTAGTGGCTTAGGATAAAATTATTCAGGAAGGAATATTTTCTAAGTGACTATGAATAAGTATTTATCATGAGATATTATTTTTAGTGTTTAGATCTCGGATCCATTTGAAATTACCCTTGTGTATTATATGAGATACAAATCCAATTTTATGTTTTTCCAAATGACTATCAAAATGATTATTCTAGTACCATTTATCAAAAAGTTCATCTGATTTCAATTATATGCATGTATTTTAAATTTATGTAAATGGCATTATAGTAGATATCTTTATATTATTTACTTTTAAAAATCAGCACAGTGTTTTTAAGATAAATTCCTATTGCTCTGTGTACATCAAATCTGTTGCATCTAACTCTGTACAACATTCAAGTATGCATTCACTACATTTTTACCTACACCATAATGAATATTTTAAAAAATGTTCCCTTGCGGACCCATGTGAGAAATCCTTTAGAATATATGCCTAGAATTGCTGGGTAGTAGAATGTGCAGGTATTTAATTTGACAAGTGCTTCCATATTTCTCTCCAGGATCATCATAGTACTCTGTGGGCTGGCAGCAGTGCCTGAGGATCCCTGTGACTTCTCTCCTGATACTTGGCATTGTCTGCCTTTTTAATTTTTACTCCATGGCACAATGTGTTTTTTTGTTGTTTGCTTTTATTTTGTTTTACTTTGTATTTCTTTGGTTATTGTTTTCAACATTTATTTACATTCTTATGAGCTTTTTGGACTTTTTTTCTTTTATACATTGTTTATTCCTGTCCTTTGCCAGTTTTTCTACTCAGTTGTTGTCTTCTTGTTTATCAGCAGGAATTCCTCATATACTTGAAATAGTAAAACTCTTGTTGGATTTAGACATTCAAATTGCCTATATCTTTTCCCTTTCTATTATCTATTAACTTTGTAGTCTTTATTAAGTATAAATAGTTAATTTTCAATTACTCAGGCTTATCTTTTTTTTTCTTTTCCTTTATGGCTTATTTAAGAAGTCCTTCTATGCTTTTAGAGCACAGAGGTATTCTGCATTTTCTTTTATTAACCATATGGTTTACCTTTCACATTTAGGTTTCTTAATACTCTTAGACACCACTTTAATATGTGGTATTATGTAGGGATCTAGCACTAGGTAGGGATCTAATTTTAATTTTCTCTATAAAATGAATCAGTTTTCCTAACTGTATTGTCTTTATAATCACTTGTAATCACTCTTTTCAACAATATTGTATATCTCTCTGTTTACTGAAATCTTTTATGCCTTAGTTCAGTTGTGTAGTTTTCTTCATATGGGTCCTGCACATTCCTTAGAAAATTTCTAGGTATTTTGTAATTGTTATTGCTATTGTGAGTGAAATATTTATTTATTTGTTTTATTTAAATCTTTTTTATTTTTAACTTTTTTTGGGTACATGGTAGGCATATATATTTGTGGGGTACATGAGATGTTTTGACACAGGCATGCAATGTAAAATAATTAGATCATGGAAAATGGGGTATCCATCCCCTCAAGCATTTATCCTTTGTGTTATAAACAATCCAGTTACATACTTTTTGTTATTTTAAAATGTACAACTAAGCTCTTATTGAGTATAGTCACCCTGCTGTGCTATTAAATAATATGTCTTATTCCTTCTCCTTTTTTTTTTTTTTTTTTTTTTTTTTACCCATTAACAATCCCCATCTCACTACCAGCTTCTCAGTACCCTCCCCAGCCTCTGGTAACCATCCTTCTACCCTATGTTCATGATTTCAATTGTTTTGGTTTTTTGATCCCACAAATAAGTGAGAACATGTGATGTTTGTCTTTCTGTGCCTGGCTTGAAATATTTATTTTTTATTATGTTTTCTAAGTGTATATTAATACAATATTTTCAAGTCAAATTTTTTTTTCAGTGGATTGTTACATGTGCTTCAAGTATATAGCATATTACCTTGCTAAAAGGCACGCTGTCTCTTTTGTTTTAATGTTTTTTAAATTTCTTCTTTTAGTGTAATTATACTAGAATTACAGAAAAAGCAGGTATCTATTTTTTATCCTGACTTTAATTGTAATGCATTCAGCATTGGACTTGGCTGTATAATTACTGATAGCTTTTTAATGTTAAGAAAGTATTCCTCGGATCCTTGTTTTCTAGGATTTTATTGAGGAATACTTGTCGAATATTATCAAATACCTTTTAAGCATCAAAGGCCGTGAAGATAATAGTCTCCTCCCGTGTTACCTTGTACTCTTTGGTTTCTTGGAAATGTATTTTAATACACTCTACATATTGCTCAGCTTACATGCTGAGTAGGTGTTAAGGATGAAGGAAGATGCAATTGTCACTTGTCACTCTCACCAGTGAGACTGAGAGCATTTCTTTCTCCCATATCCTCTCAAGGTCATTTAAATTTTTTTTTATGATAAAAAAAGTTTAAATTTGCCTTTGACTACCATTTGCGTTTCCTTTTCAGTGAAATGGCTGTTCCTGCCTTTTGTCTATTTTTCGCAAATATTTTCTACCAATATATATCTTTTAACTTTGTTTATGGTCTAGTTTTTATTGTTAAATAGTTTACTTATTATTTGTTCAAATCTATTTCTTCTTCCTTTGTGGCTTCTGTGTGTTCTGACTTAAGAGGGTCTGCAACACCCTGAGAGTAAACAAGTATTCTCTTAAATTTTATTTTTATATTATAATCTTATAGATTATTTTGAAGATGTTATGAAGTAGAGATTATGTCTATTGCGTGATCATGCATGCCATCTTTTCTGTCTGAATTGAATTGCTACTTCTATGTTGTTTCTTTATTCTAACAAAATGAGATAGATTCACTGAATATTAAAAGACTTTGGGAAAATGCGAATGTTATCTTTATGTATCTCAATCATTATGAATTCACCTACTAAATTAAAGAAAATAGCACTGTTGGCTGGGTGGGGTGGTTCACGCCTGTAATCCCAGCACGTTGGGAGGCTGAGGTGGGTGGACCATATGAGGTCAGGAGTTTTAGAGCAGCCCAGCCAACATGGTGAAACCCCCTCTCTACCAGAAATACAAAAACTTAGCAAGGCGTGGTGGCACACATCTGTGGTTGTAGCTACTCGGGAGGCTAAGGCAGGAGAATTGCTTGAACTGGGGAGGCAGAGGTTGCAGTGAGCTGAGATTGCGTCACTGCACTCCAGCTTGGGCAACAGAGTGAGACTCTGTCTCAACAACAACAACAACAACAACAACAACAACAACAACAAAGCACTGCTCCATTCATGCATCTTTCTTTTACAACATTTGGAACAAAGGCAGTATTACAAAATAGAAAACAGAAAAGAATACAAATAAAATTATTTTGCTTTTGATATTCTTTTAAGACCAAATAAGAGAGATTATGGAGAAAGGATATTGGCATTTTAACTGCAACCTTATACTGATACTGAATGTTTGTATGACTACGAACCAAGTTTTATATGTGTGTGTGTGTGTGTGTGTCTCTGTGTGTGTGTGTGTGTCTCTGTGTGTGTGTGTGTGTGTGTGTGTGTAGTTTGTAGGAAGAAATGTAGCAACAGATCAATGATTCATATCTTTAACAGGATGGCATAGACTTACTCTGCATTTTGAGTTATTTTTCCTTTGGTATAGATGGATCATGCTGATAGTCACTTATTACTTAATATATATATACAGTTTCTAATATACCTTTCCTTTGAAGTTACCCTGAAGTGTTTTTCTGTTTATATGTGGGTCTCCTCCTTTTCTATGCAATTTGCTGCTTAAGGATTATACTCATTAATTTTTGTTTTTATTATGCTACAGGAGGAGTTGGATTTGTCTTCTAGTTCTCAGATGTCTCCCCTTTCCTTATATGGTGAAAACTCTAATAGTCTCTCTTCAGCGGAGCCACTGAAGGAAGATAAGCCTGTCACTGGTCCTAGGAACAAGACTGGTATTACTCTATCTCCTAACTTCTGTTATTTCTATTTCAGATTGAGCTTAGGTTCCATTTCTTAAAAGAAAATGCTGGATTAAATTTATGTTTATTAGGCTGGCTTGCTGTTTTTTAATTGGTGGACCTATATTGTTTGTTGTGAGTGATTACCGTGGAGAGGAAAGGGGAGAAATAATCTTTGGTTGTCTCTGTCTTTACAGGTGAAAGATACTTTAAAATAGACTCAGACCCCACCATCTTCAGGAGAGATTTCAAAGTTTCAGTTAAAGATAACTGAATGGAGCTATGACATTTGTTACCTCATTAATCTCTGGGTGTTATCCCGTGATTTTAGCAATTCTCCTTTACCAGTTAGTGTGTCCCATTCCCAAAACTGCAGCTTGGTTAGAAAAGGAGGTAACAGTTTAAGTACTTTTCTTCAGTTCATTCAGGTATATGTACTGTAGCTATGCTTAAACTCCAGTTAAAGATTGTTAATCGAAGTTAAGATAATGTGTAGAGAAAGGTGTGTGATAGAATCTGTTTTTTAGGGCTTGCGTAATTGCTTTCACATTGACTTGTGGTTTGTCTGGTTTTTCTCCAGAAAATGGACTGACTCCAAAGAAAAAAATTCAGGTGAATTCAAAACCTTCAATTCAGCCCAAGCCTTTATTGCTTCCAGCAGCACCCAAGACTCAAACAAACTCCAGTGTTCCAGCAAAAACCATCATTATTCAGACAGTACCAACGCTTATGCCATTGGCAAAGCAGCAACCAATTATCAGTTTACAACCTGCACCCACTAAAGGTACCTGAGCAGAATTTAAGGCTGTGTAAATTTATTTGGAGGGCAGTAAGGGTTGTGTCATATGATTTGTTTTAATTCAGGTTATAATTTCTGAGCACGTGCTGTTTGTCAGGAATGTCTTTGGTTATGAGGACGTTGCAGAGATGACTAATGTGTGGTTCCTGTCATAACAAGGGATATAGCTCTCCAGACCAGTTACATCTGATGGTTATTTTGAAAATCTGGGACACTTTCTTGGTGCCATTTTATTCTGGTGGATAAAATACAGGAACACAAATTTTAAGCTAGTTGAAGGCAGAGTTCAGGTCAGCCAGATTTTTGTGGCTGTGAACTTTTTTTGTTTTGAAGGAATATTTAAAATAATAGGGTCCATTTCAGGTGTGTTATAGCAATAGAATCACACCCTTAATCTCTGAGGAGGCTGCATGGTTTAGTAAACAGTATATTGACCTGGTCATGAGGAGACCTGAACTCTGCTTTCAACTAGCTAAGAATTTGTGTGTTTCGTATTTTATCCACCAGATGGCCTCATACACTTGTGATTCTATGAGAGGTTTATGTCATTATTGAAAGAAGTTCAAGTCTGAGGATTTGGTACTATTCAGATATGGGAGTCATTTCCGTATGGAGATCTCTTAGGTAGATTAGTCATCATTGTACTCATACTGATATCTGTATACACTGGGTACAAGAAAACTTTTGCAGCATTCTTATCTCTGGATTTAGTTTGTTGGCACCAGATATGACTAGGCGATAATGGGGTATGGGTTGTAAATAAACACCAATGTTACATTTGTACTGTATCTCCAATTGTGAATAGGTAGCTCGTTTTTTGGAGCATAGTTTTAATGAGGGTAAATTTGATAAATTTAATTTCCAGATACTCTTTTAGCTTTGTTCTATTACATGGTCATAGACAATATGACATTGATAAAAAGAAGACCTAGATGAGAGAATGGATGAATCAGTGAAAATTCATCCATCAGTCCCACCAAAAATAAACAGACAAACAAACAAACAAAAACCAGTTTGAAATGCCTGCTCTCTCAGTACAAAGTCAGAACTGCTGCCTTTTCCATCTGAAAAGTAGCATTCCTATAGAATAGGTATTCTTGTGATTTATAAATGTGTATTAAGGGTTCATGAACTCCTTGAAACAAAATGCAGGATTTAATGTATGTTCATATGTGGATTATTCTAGGGATAGTCTCCAAAACTTTCATTAGGATCTCATAAGGATCTGTGCCTTCCCAAAGGCTAAGAATTTAAACTAATGAAGAACCTCATTGTAGTTCCCATAAGCTATTAAAATACGTCTATACAAAAAGTCTGACATTAATATGACTAGCGTATAAAGCAGGGGTATTCCTAAGAATTTGCCCTTAGCAGATCATTGACTATGTTTGAGTGATGGAAGATCTTACCTATAATAAGAAGACAAACTGTTCTTTTCTGAGCAGTTTATCAGTTCCAGAAACCTGAATTACACATTATTTGAAACTTCAATACTTTCCTGTCATCTGAAGACTATAGTTATTTTTTTGTGAGCATGTGCTAATATGAGGAACTGCACCTTGCCTGTTTTTTTTCTTTTATTTGAGACAGAGTCTCGCTGTGTTGCCAGGCTGGAGTGCAGTGGTGTGATCTTGGCTCACTGCAACTTCCACCTCCTGGGTTCAAGTGATTCTCCTGCTTCAGCCTCCAGAGTAGCTGGGACTACAGGCACGTGCCACCATGCCCAGCTAATTTTTATATTTTTAGTAGAGACAGGGTTTCACCATGTCGGCCAGGATGGTCTTGATCTCTTGACCTCGTAATCGCCTGCCTCGGCCTCCCAAAGTGCTGGGATTACAGGTGTGAGCCACCGCGCCTGGTGCCTTGTCTGTTTTTATAGTACAATCTAAATAGGTGGTATTATTATAATAACATACAGATTTAAAGTATGTTTTTCATTTATTTGAGAATGGGGAGGAAGAAGGGAAGTATGGGCAAGACATTATACAGTTAATCATGTTAATACTAGTAGTAAATATGTTACCATTGAAAAAGAAGAGGTAATTTCCACAGGTTTAAGACTGAGATTCTCTAGCTTGGAATGTAAAACTCTTCACAATTTGGCTCTAGTTTAGTTTTTTGTTTTTTTGTTATTGTTGTTTGTTTGTTTTTAATAGAGACAGGATCTCACTATATTGCTCAGTCTGGTCTCGAATTCTTGGGCTCAAGGGATCTACCCACCTTGATCTCCCAAAGCTCTGGGATTAAGGCGTGAGCCACCATGCCTGGCCTCCTAGTTTAGTTTTCGAACTTTATAATATTACTCTTTTCTATAAATCCCTTCTTCTAGCTCAACTAATCTGTCATTGTCCTTTGAATTCTCTTGTTTTTCCTAGTTTTTTGGCTCACCATTTTCTACCAACCAGCAACAACTTATGCCTACTTCTACTTCTCAGTCCTCCATGTCCTTTAAGACTGTTTTGAGTAGTGTAGATGAGAGATAATGAAAGCCTGGAATATCAATGAAAGTGGAGAACCAGGATGAAGAGTAGAGATGTTAAAAGTGTAGAATCTTAGAGATTGGTAATTGGATTGTGTAGAAGGAGGCTGAACGATAGAGAGGAAGGTGTCTAGGATGACTTCCGTTTTTCTATCTTGGGGCTTTTTGGGTAGATGATGGCGAAAATTATTGAAATGGGAGACAGAGGTAAAATATGTTGCCCAGATCACTCTGCTAATAAGAAGTGGAGCCAGAACTTGAGCCCAGGTGGTCTGGCTCGGAGTCTATGTGAATAATCACTATACTGTATCGCCTTAAAAAAAAAATGACAGATGTATTCCTTGCTCTCAAGAATTCTACACTTTAATTGGGGGATTAAATTCACATAAACAGTTAAATAACAGTCACTGTGATAACTAATAAATTAATAACTCATGCAGTGCCCTTATGGAAGCTATTATTATATAGAAAAGGAGATTAATAATAATAATAATTGCATTTAAGTTCTTACTATGTGCCAGACACTCTTCTAAGTGCTTAAGTGCATTATCTTATTTCAAATAATATTTACACATTATTTGAAACTTCAGTATGTTTCTATGATTTATGGTGATGGGTTGTGATATCTCCATTTTTTAGATGAGAACGCTAAGTACAGATTATTTGCCCTAAGTCACACACCGATGCTGTTTCAGACAAAGTAGGCATTCAATAAATGTTTGATACATAGTTTAAAATCTTTGAAGAAAGTTTAAAAGAAAGAACTATCAAAATCAGTGAGTTACACATAGTCAAAAAAATATATGGCATTGAATCCAGCCATGTTCCGTTAAGGGGGATTTGCATGTAATGCCAGAGAGGATTTTGAGCATGCTAAAATGGATAAACAGCCTTTGGAATGTCCTTTTTAACTGTTTCCACACTAGGAACAGTAGTAACTATGTTCAGCTGCTATTTAAGGCCCCAAACAATTCTTTGCATTGTAGTTTGTGGCCTGGTCAGCATTTACCAAGTCACCATGAGAGTTTTTTGTTCTTTCACTTGAACATATTGTCATAGAAATTTAGTTGTTTCCCCTCATTCTGTGTTGAACCCAAACATGCCTAGAATATTTAGAGTATCCCTGATTTAGCTGCTGGGTAATTTGAGGATAGTTGGGTACTCTGGGATGAAAAGGCTTGATACAATATGGGAAAAAAAGGAAGCAGCAGTGGCTTGGTAGGACTCAAGCCACATTTGGCCTTGCCTTGGTATTCTTCCATCTCCTTTGTGTGATGCGGTCGTCTCAGCAAGGAGACAGTGGTAATTACACAATTGGTAGTACAGATTTGGATTATTTTTCTTAATTAGTTTAAGAAATATTACAAAGCCCTCTGTACATGTTATCTGCTAGGGCTTTAAATCTGTAACTGTAGCTAGAAATAGGATTCTTTCTTATAAGTTGCCTAATTCATTATATTTACACCTCTTCTGTTCTTTAAAATAGTCCCAAAGTTCCCTGAACAGTGTTTAATTTTGGGGAGGGATCTTTTAATCATAATTTTAAACTCAGAGGATGTAGAACATGGCTTCCTATAATACTCTTCTCAAAGTATTGGTTTAAGTCAGTGGTTCTCAGTCTGTATATTGTGGACCCTGGGATGTGGGTGATGGGGGTAGTAGCTTTATGGCATTTTGCAAAGCATCTGCAAATCCATACTTGAAGCAAGCATTTTCTGTAGACCAAATAATTTATTTCATATATCTTTGTACAGCTCTTCAAATTTTTATAGCTATACTTCTGACTAATAAACTCCAAGTTCATTTTAAATCTTCACTAAATTCTTAGCAGCCTTTTTCCATCATGTATTTTCTCAGTACACAGAAGCTGAAAGGACAACCTTGATGGTTTTGGGTGACCAGGATATTATTTTATATTAAAAGAGAGCCCTTATATTCAGGAGCCTTTGGGGAGAGACTATGGGTTTTCTAGGTGTAGAATTATATCATCTGTGTGAGAGATGGTTTGACTTCCTCTCTTCATATTTGGATGCCTTTTATTTCTTTCTTTTGCCTGATTGCTCTGGCTATGACTTGAGCACTTGGGAATTCTTGTTTTTTGGTTTTTTTTTTCACATTATGATAAATATATATTTTCATAGTGCCAGATTTACTGTAATTTCTTATTGTTATTAAAACCTAACACTTGGTCATATGCTATTTACTTTATGTGTTTCTAATTTTTATTTGCGTATTTGGCCTAAGCATGTTTATATCTGCTTCTGAGTAATTTCTGCATTTTATATGTTTTTACTTCATAAAAGATGGAGGCCACCTCAAAACAAATTAGGCATCAAAGGAACATACCTCAAAATAATAAGAACCATCTATAGCAAGTCCACAGCCAACATTGTAATGAGTGGGCAAGAGCTGGAAGTACATTCCCTTTGAGAACCAGAACAAGACAAGGATGTCCCTCTCACCACTCATATTCAACATAGTGCTGGAAGTTGTAGCCATAGCAGTCAGGCAAGAGAAAGAAATAAAAGGCATCCAAATAGGAAGAGAGGAAGTCAAACTACCTCTCTTCACAGACGATATGATTCTATACCTGGAAAACCCATAGTCTCAGCCCAAGACTCCTAGATCTGATAAACAACTTCAGCAAAGTTTTAGGATACAAAATCAATGTACAAAAGTCAGCAGCATTTCTATACCCCAGTAATGTCCAAGCTGAGAGCCAAATCAAGAATGCAGTCTCATTCACGATAGCCAAAAAAAGAATATAAAGTACCTGGGAATACAGCAAGCTGGGGAGGTGAAAGATCTCTACAATGAGTTACAAAACACTGCTGAAAGAAATCAGAGATCACACAAACAAATGGAAAAACATTCCATGCTCATGGATAGGAAGAATCGATAGTGTTAAAATGGCCATACTGCTCAAAGCAATTTACAGATTTAATGCTATTCCTATCAAACTATCAATGACATTTTTCACACAATTAGGAAAAACTATTCTAAAGTTCACATGGAACTGAAAAAGAGCCTAAATAGCCAAAGCAGCCCTAAGCAAAAAGAACAAAGCCAGAGGCATCAAGCTACCTGATTTCAAACTGTACTACAAGACTACAGTAACCAAAACAGCATGATACTGGTATAAAAACAGGCACATAGACCGATGGATTAGATTAGAGAACCCAGAAATAAAGCTGCACCCCTGCAACCATCTGGTCTTTAACAAAAACAAACAGTGGGGAAAGGACTGCCTATTCAATAAATGGTGGTAAGATAACTGGCTAGCCATATGCAGAAGATTGAAACTGGATCCTTTCCTTTCAGTGTATACAAAACCCAACTCAAGATGGATGAAAGACTTAAATGTACAGGCTCAAATTATAAAAACCCTAGAAGAAAACCTAGGAAATATGGTTCTGGACATAGGCCTTGTCAAAGATTTCATGATGAAGACTCCAAAAGCAATCGCAACAAAAACAAAAATTGACAAATGGGATCTAATTAAACTAAAGAGGCTGGGCGTGGTGGTTCACACCTGTAATCCCAGCACTTTGGGAGGCTGAGGGGTGCATCACTTGAGATCAGGAATTCAAGACCAACCTGGCCAATATGGTGAAACCCCATCTCTACTAAAAATACATAAATTAGCCAGGCATGGTGGTACATGCTTGTAATCCCAGTTACTTGGGAGGCTGAGGCAGGAGAATTGCTTGAACCCAGGAGGCGGCAGGTGCAGTGAGCTGAGATTGTGCCACTGCACTCCAGCCTGGGTGACAGAGCTCAAAAATCAATAAATAAAAATCAACTAAAGAGCTTCTGCACAGCAAAAGAAACTATCAACAGAGGAATAGGACAGCCTACAGAATGGGAGAGAATATTTGCAAACAGTGTATCCAACAAAGGTCTAATCTCCAGAATCTACAAGAAACTTAACAAGCAAAAAACAACCCCATTAAGAAGTGGGCAAAGGATATGAACAGACACTTTCAAAAGAAGACATAGACATGGCCAATAAGCATATGAAAAAATGCTCAACATCACTAATCATTAGAGAAATGTAAATCAAAACAACAGTGAGATACCATCTCACATCAGTCAGAATGGCTACTATCAAAAAGTTGAAAAATATCCGATGCTGGCAAGATTGCAGAGAAAAGTGAATGCATATACATTGCTGGTGGGAATGTAAATTGGTTCAGCCACTGAACGTAGTTTGTAGATTTCTCAAATAACTTAAAGTAGAACTACCATTTGACCCAGCAGTCCCATTACTGGGTATATACCCAAGGGAATATAAAGACACACGCACACATATGTTCATCACAGAACTATTCACAATAGCAAAGACATGGAATCAACCTAGATGCCCATCAGTGGTGAACTGGATAAAGAAAATGTGGTACATATACACCATTCAATACTACACAGCCATAAAAAAGAATGAAATCATGTTCTTTGCAGCAACATGGATGGAGCTGAAGGCCATTATCCTAAGATAATTAATGCAGGAACAGAAAACCAAATACTTCATGTTCTGTCTTATAAGTGGGAGTTATACATTGAGTACACATAGACATAAAAAGGGGACAATAGACAACAGGGGCTACTTTTGAGGGTGGAGGATGCAAGGAGGGTGAGAATCTAAAAATTACCTGTTGGGTACTGTGCTCATTACCTGAGTGATGAAATAATCTGTATGCCAAACACCTGTGACATGCAATTTATCCATGTAACAAACCTGCCTGTCTACCCCCTGAACCTAAAATAAAAGTTGGGGGAAAGAAAAACTGAATCCAAGGGAAAACGAGAAGGTAAAAATGTTTAATGATCATTTATGCCGAAGTATTAATACATTGTATCTACTCCAAATCCATGAAATTATTTTTAGATCTTCTTATCTGGGATAAAATGCTGTTTATTGAAATTCTGCTACTTTCAGTGTGTTTTTTGAGGCCATCTGAAACAAGGGCTTTGCTTTTATAAGTTATCTTTTTTAGCCAAGACAGATGTTCTTGACAAACAGGTGTTCTGAAGCTTTATTTTGATTTTTAGTTTTCCCCGATCCTTTGAAATATTGAGCTGAGTTTTACATGGGTCAACCTGTCTGAAAGCATAATGCTTTTTTTTTCTTAAACAAATTATAAATTTACATGATATTTTAGTTGCCAGTTATTTTAGTACCTTCATTTTGTTAGATAGGCTCAAGCAGCTGTGGATGTTAGGCAAGGCTTTCAGCACCTTATAAAAATCTGCCAGATCTGAAAGGAAACACTTAGCAGGCAAGTAAAATTTTTAATAGATTAGTGTTATGAGTTGTATAAGTCTTTAGGTTAATGGTACAGGTTTAGTACCCCTTAAATGAAATGCTTGGAACCAGAAGTGTTTCAGATTTTGGGTACTTTTGGATTTTAGAATATTTGCATATACATAATGAGATATCTTGGGGACAGAACCCAAGTCTAACATGAAATTCATTTATGTTTCATGTATATCTCATACACATAGCCTGAAGGTAATTTTATATAATATTTTAAATAATTCTCTGCATGAAACCAAGTTTGCATACAGTGAACCATCAGAAAGCACAGTTGTCACTATCTCCTGTGGACAATCTGTAGTTGTTTGGCACCACCATCATTCCTGGCTCTGAATTCATATGCTACTGACAAGCAATCATTTTCTTACACTTATTCACAAATTCACACCTAAGAACTTAACAAAAATTATGACATACCATTAATACAGTGAAAAAATAATGTGTGCAGAGTAACAAGGCAGGACAGTAGAATCACCAGAATACCAGTGTCAGCTACTACACAACAGCAACAACAAAAAATGGCAGCTTTCAGTCTCTGCCTTTGATGCTGTTTTCATTAAAAGCCTACTGTACCCTCTATTTTATGTCTTCAGGTGAGAAGAAACATCAGAAGCAGTTGAGAGACTGGAAGTGGGTCCTCTAGGGATGAGGAGGCATTCTGCTGGATGACTTCTAAAAATGTTTTCTATGGAGTCATCTGCCTCATTAACAAGTTTTTGTTTTAGAAGTCTCTTTTTGATTTTGTAAACTGACATGATTTCTTTTTCTGTTATGACTGTATGCTGCTTTAGTCCTTCACTAGGCCCATCACACATTTTTACCATGTCATCTATAGGCACTTTTTCTGCAGCGTTAACAGCATCATCTTCATTGTCATTATTATAGATTGAGTATCCCTTATCCAAAATACTTAGGACCAGAAGTGTGGAGTTTTCCACTTGTGAAGTTGTGTCAGCACTCAAAAAGTTTTGGATTTTGGAGCATTTTGGATTTTGGGTTTTTGGATTAAGGATGTTCAACCTCTAATAATTCTCGTCAGATTAGCATAAATTTAAAATAATGATACCTCTGAATACTCAGAAAAGAATTGAAGGCCATTTTTGGGGGAAGAGGGAAAGGGCTGGTATCATCTACAGACTATTTTGAATCACAGATTTATGTTTACCGTGATTGTTAGCTAAGATTTAATCTCAAATGGTTTTAAGTTTTTTGGTATTTGTAGTCTTTTTTTTTTTTTTTTTTTTTTTGTCCTTTTTAGGGATCTGCCTGCCTCAGCCTCCTGAGTAGCTAAGACTCGAGGCACATACCACCATACCTGGCTAATTTTTAAATTTTTTTTTGTAGAGACAGGCTATCACTATGTTGCCTTGGCTGGTCTCAAACTGCTGGCCTCCCAAAGCACTGGGATTACAGGTGTAAGCCACAGTGCATGGCCTGTAGCTCCTTCTTCTTCTAATATTGAGTTACTAAGTTTATGTTCAGATATTTTTGGTATTGTATGCATTTGTAAATCCTATTAATTTAGAATACATGACTCTCCATATTCAGTGTAAAAGATTTGTTATTTATAATAAGACAAATCCTTTTAGCACTAATAAATTTCAGAGGTTAATTCTTAGAAATCTAGGGATTACAGCAAATTTGATAGCTGTTTAGTTGAGAAAGATAAATAAGAAAGTATATTAAAGTATATTGTTAATGATAACTCAAAGAGATGAATTTAGTTGGTCACATTAAAAACATAACAAAGTCACCATAAGCGTGTGCTGCTATTGATCCAATGTTTTAATTGATGGTGTCCAATCCCTTGGTGTTGATCTTACCCATTACGTCTGCAGAAAAGACCTAATTATAAGCTGCTTCCCCTGCCACAGTAGTTGTGTACCCTTTGATTCCTTTTCTTTTTTCTAACGCAGGCCAGACGGTTTTGCTGTCTCAGCCTACTGTGGTACAACTTCAAGCACCTGGAGTTCTGCCCTCTGCTCAGCCAGTCCTTGCTGTTGCTGGGGGAGTCACACAGCTCCCTAATCACGTGGTGAATGTGGTACCAGCCCCTTCAGCGAATAGCCCAGTGAATGGAAAACTTTCCGTGACTAAACCTGTCCTACAAAGTACCATGAGAAATGTCGGTTCAGATGTAAGTTTTGAAACTTAGTGCTTCTCTTAATGCCTGATTTAAAAACCAACAAAAAAACACCTTTTGCTTTTGTTGCCTTGTTTTTGTTTTTTTTAGAGTTTCTTATATTGCATCAAATAAAAGAGTGTGCTGAATTGCACATCTAGTCTTTGGAGGAAAATTAGGGTAAGGCTTACTACGTTAGAATCTAAGTGAAAAGGTTTTTGAAAGTGAAGTGGTTTGATGAAAAGCAAAGTATGCATACCTCCCTCTTCTTTACTCCTTCTTTAGAACCAACCCTCTTATTATTCTCTTCAAGCCCTTACACCCTCAACCCAGTCATCCACTAATATTTTACAGATTCAACGTTTCCTGATTGAAATGTTTTAGCGATCTTCAGATAAGAGTCTATAGATTACTTTTTAGGTAGGTTTTATATTTAGCTTTCTTCCTTGCCGTTTTGAAGTATTTTCACCACTTCATAATGATGACTAGCTACTCTTAGGAATTCTGTCTCTTAGTGATTATTTGGTACTTTCCCATTTTTGCAAACCTTTAAATTTTCTAGCATGTTGTAGGGATTTCTTATAATTTATAAATCACATAGTTTCCTAAGACCTGTCACTCTCTAAAGCCAGTTACTGCACTTGCCAACTAACTCTTGCTTTCTTTCAAAATGATTGGAAATAACTTATGTATTAAATTGAACATCTTGGTCCTAAAATTTAATGAATGTTAAAGCTATATAGTCAAACAGTGGATTCTCTAAAGTTACGATTGGGAAAGCAAAGTGTGTATGTTTTCTTTAAAATAAAAATGGATACTACTAGTTGTTAATATTACTACTTCATCCTTTCTTTAGGTAGAATGCATTTGAAAAGTAATTTTAAAATCCTGTGGGTTATGCAAGGTTGTTTATCAGACTACTGTCTGATCTGTCTGCCAGAATTTATTAACCAGCATGTCAGTGACCCATTTAATTATAAAATTGCTCCACAGTTGCATAAACAGTAATCTCAGCCAGCAATATTGTAAAAATTCATAACAAAGGAATATTGTCTGGTGAAAGTAGAACATCCAGTTTCTAGAATAAGAGTCCCATCGTTTGTATAGGTATTGAAAACAATGCATGTCAAGACATGGAATAGGAAAATTAGTGTTGCTATGAGACTAGAGACCATGGACAGTACAGGATTAGGCTTGACTGTTATGTTGGTTTGTTTTGAGGACTAGAAGAGGTAAGCACAATGCTTATGGCATAATAGGCTCTAATACATAGCGTGTGTTTCAGTTGAAGATGAAACAATGTTGCTGGGATGGGAAGGTGGTGAGCACAGGATAGAGGCAACTGGATTGGCAAAATGTTGATAATGATGGAAGCTGGGTGTTTATTTTTCTATCCTTTTGGTGCATGGAAAAATTTCTACAATATGTTAAAAAAATGACAATAACAAAAATCCAAAAGCTTTCTGTGATATTTTCAATTAAAAAGTTGTGTGACCAATAAGAAAAGAGTATGATTTTCATGGGAGACCAACCAGGTTAAGAATGATGAAAAAGGATTTTTAAAAATAATGCTTTGAAATTTCTTTTTTTTTGTTTTATTATACTTTAAGTTTTAGGATACATGTGCACAATGTGCAGGTTAGTTACATATGTATACATGTGACATGCTGGTGCGCTGCACCCACTAACTCGTCATCTAGCATTAGGTATGTCTCCCAGTGCTATCCCTCCCCCCTCCCCCCACCCCACAACAGTCCCCAGAGTGTGATGTTCCCCTTCCTGTGTCCATGTGTTCTCATTGTTCAATTCCCACCTATGAGTGAGAATATGCAGTGTTTGGTTTTTTGTTCTTGCGATAGTTTACTGAGAATGATGATTTCCTTTTAATACTCTTTTAAATTATGAACTTGAATGTTTCTTATATAATACCCCCAAATGAAACTTATAATAGAAAATATCCAAAGTTGCCTTTATGTAATATGTTAGGACATTTAAAATATTTTTATGAAATATTTTAGACATGAAAAAAAGATAAAGACTAATTAGAACTTTAAAAATACATAGGTCAACAGTATATCACTGTTGTTAAAAAATATTAACAATATTAATCTAAGTCATCCCAAACATGGAAAAGTCCAGAAAAGCATAGCTAGGATGGGGAGAGTATCTAGAAACCATGGGGTAGAGGAGTGGGTTAAAGGTTGGAATGATTCAGTAAACTGAAGAAGAGAGGATGGAAAGTAGACCTGGGAGCCATCTTCCAGGAAAGGAAGGTTGTTATGTGGAAAATAGAATTGTTCTGCTTGTTCCAGAAGAGTTATCTGGAACAGGTGCAGGAAAAATATAGAAAGGTTTCTTCTAAACATAAGGTTTTTTGATACAATCATTGTATTTAAAAACCAGAAGAGCAACCCCCCTGCCTTTTTTTTTTTCTACTTTTAGGCTTACTATCTGAATAATGAGCATCTTAATGTTGACAATCATCACTGTATGCCATTGACCCATTTTATAATCTCTAAACATATTCCAATTAATTATATGTTGGTCTATTAGTCAGACATCCTTTATTAGTTCTCTGGTGTGAAAGACTGTGTCTGTTCAGCTTTTGTACTCTTAAGGGGGATCTGTAAATTTAAAGTATTTTTAATGAAATATTTTAGACATGAAAAAAGATAAAGACTAATTAGAAGTTAAAAAATATATAGGTCAAGAGTATGTCACTGCTAAAAATATGAGAAAATGTAGAACCAATAAATACTGCTAGAAACAAAAGCTAATACTTATTGGTTCTATGTTTTCTCATCTCACACATCCCCCAGTTCTTCAACGTTAATTGAGACTTTGTCAGCAAAGTCTCAATGTATGAATGTCTACATTTATTGTATGAATGTATATTCAGATGAGGTTAATTTTTTTAACAATGATATACCGTTGACCTACATATTTTTAAAGTTCTAATTAGTCTTTATCTTTTTTCATGTCTAAAATATTTCATTAAAAATACTTTAAATTTACAGAGCCCCCTTAAGAGTACAAAAGCCAAACAGACACAGTCTTTTTGAAGTTTAGAATTGACAGGATTATAAAGAAAGATTCAAACACTTTATGTTTAATGCAAAGAGACCTAAGGACAATTAGAATAATTTTCTAGTCAACCTGCATTGAGGTTTTTGTGCTTATTTTTACTTGGCCAGCACATCGAGACGTGAGCCAAGCCTTTCAATATGAGTTTTTTTGGTAGAAATTTTGACTGAATGTTTATTTCAAGTAAAGAAGCATTAGTCTGTCCTAGCAGCAGGCCAACCCACTCAGGAACCCAAAGTAAATCTGTTCCAGAAGGAGTTGCAGAGAAGAACTTTGATCAGCTTGTATAGCCTTCTGTGTTAGTAACTTGGTTGACCTCAGTATTACATGTGTCTGTTAAAACACAAGTCCTATTAAATTAGGATAAATTAATATAAATTCCTAATTTAAAATGATCAAAAAAATATTTTTTATCATATACCTTTTGTGCCTTTAAACCAAAAGTATGGTGAAAGAATTGTAATCCACCAAAAAAAAAAAAATCATATCAGTTTTTTTGTGGCTTTGTAATGCTGACATGGCTTCTTTTTCTACCTTTTTTAGTTCTTTTGTTTGGCTGGTTTCACTCTCCAGAGGCCTGCTACAGCCATAAGTAGCGTTTTTAGCATACCATATTCTGCAAACTGCATTAAATGCCACATTTTCTGTTATGAAACAGTTTGCCTGGTTCAAATTATATCTTACTCTTCCTGTCTTTTGCTGGTAAATCTGTTTTGTTTAACTCTTGGAGACCTCACCTAAGTTTTCAAGAAATATGGTTTGTTTTTGGCTGTGATCCTGATGGAAAAAATGAACATGATCTCTCATTTCAGTGTAGAAGTTCTCTGTGCAGTTTCTTAGTAAATGGCAATCTTGGAACTACAAAGTTGACTTTATAGGACAGCATGCTTATCTTTCTTTAAAGGGCTATTTAGTGTTGCCACACATCAAACCAAGGGCTTAAAAACAAGCAGTCTGTTTAAATCTGCATTACACTCACTACTTCCACCTACCCATCATAATCGCATAAACTTTATGAAACATTACTGCCCTTGTTTTAAGGTTAT
The DNA here is from genome assembly GCF_000001405.40 of Homo sapiens. Taxonomy (NCBI): domain Eukaryota; kingdom Metazoa; phylum Chordata; class Mammalia; order Primates; family Hominidae; genus Homo; species Homo sapiens. The sequence goes on from NC_000001.11 coordinate 161,806,388, forward strand.
AGGAATTACATTGTTTTAGTTATTGGAACAAAAGACCAGAAAAACAAGTGGTAAAATTCTACATCTTCCACAGTGGGCCACATTGGAGCAAATACTCTTAGTGGAAATCAGTAGGTGGGAATAATGGAAAGAAAAGTATCCAGAACTGATATAGAACTATAAATAACCTCAGATGTGAGGTTGATGAAGGGATACAAACTACTGTTAGGAGTCTCCTTCCTTCCGGCTCAGTCACCCCACTGAATATCTTCCAAACTCTGTATCACCTTTTACCCTGTTTCTAAATCCTATAGTTAGGAAACTTGATCCCTTCCATCCCAAAATGACTTCCCTTTGGGAGTCCCTGTCTTGGGTTCCTAGAGTCATCATGAGAAGGTAGGTGCTGGGGGGAATCCTTTGCTACTGGTTTGCAGGTATTAGAAATGGTGCGAAGGGGATTCTCCTGTCATACCAAATTAGAACTTTGTATTTCCTTTCTCTAGAATTGGTGTACAGTTAATTTAGGGATTTCAGGTATTTTTAGTATTGTTCTATGGGAGTGATGTGACATGGGCCTAGATGGATGCCCTGCACACAGTGTTCCTCTCTTGCAGTGGAGGAACATGAGCTTGGAGAATCTACCATGTGTATAGCAAGCAGAAAGCAAGCCTCCTCATTGTCTAGAGGGAGATTTTATCTCATCCTTCAAGGTTGCTTGTTGGAAACTGAACCTTGAGAATGGCCTGGGAAAAGAGTGGTCCGGACCTTGCATTCTTTGCATACCCAATAAGACGTGTAGGAGCAAAACTCATAAGAGACTCCCTGGAGGTGTGTTTCTCAAGAAAAATATGTCTATAATAATCTATTTGCAATGCATAGCAACTCAGAAAAACAGAGACTGCCTATGTTCTATTTCAGAAAAAAAGCAAAACTTCAATAGACGTTGAAGTTGCTTATCTGTAACATCCAAGAATAGGACGCTGGTTAGGTCAAAATGTGAGCTGAATCTCCTTAAATTATGTGGCTAGCTTAGATCTCAGAAGATAAATAATGAATAGGCACTTCTTAATAACTTCTAACAACAAACAAGTTGAGATCATGATATTTCTTTAGGCTGCAAAGTAGAGGAATCTATCAGAACAAATCCAATAGGAAGGATTTGGAGAGCTGGAGTTATCCAGGGTTTAGTAAAAAAATTACTTCTGTGCTGACTGCATTGTGGCTTTGCTGCTACCAGGGACTCTGCAAATAAAAGAAAATATGCTTTGTTTAAATATTTGCAGTATCTCTTTAAATGTAGGTTTGGAGCTTCTAAAAATTTATCTTGAATAGCAGTTCAGTTTCATTTGAGGTTACAGTAGCTTTGGAAGGGGAAGTGAACAGCTTTTTTTTGTTGTTGTTTATTTTTCCTTCCTGATGCATTGCATTAGGATAAATTTATGTTGTGGCAACCTCAGCATTCTTTATTCTGTACTTTTTGTACTTTTTAGTTTGTCATCTTTTTTTTTTTTTTTTTTTTTTTTTTTTTTTTGAGACAAAGTCTTGCTCTGTTGCCCAGGCTGGAGTACAATGGCACGCTCTTGGCTCACTGCAACCTCCACCTTCCAGGTTCAAGCGATTCTCCTGCCTCAGCCTCCTGAGTAGCTGGGACTACAGCTATGTGCCACCACACCCAGCTAATTTTTGTATTTTTAGTAGAGATGGGGTTTCACCAGTTTGGCCAGGCTGTTCTCAAACTCCTGGCCTCAAGTGATCCACCTGCCTCGGCCTCCCAAAGTGCTGGGATTATAGGCATGAGCCACTGCGCCCAGCAGTTTGGCATCTTTATAAGAATAATAAATAATTATTTTTAAGGATTCTGATTTTTATCTTAATAAACAATGAAATACTTCTCTCTCCTTTCTCTAATTTCCCTTCTCAAAACCTTGTGGGGACTCATTCTAGGGAGACAGTCCTTTTATACCCCAGAGACTTTCTTGCAAATCAGTTTCCTTGTCTGGTAGTCATTCTTACTAGTTTTGTGTGCATTCTTCTGGAGACAGTTCTTTAATATGTAAGTACTTATAGTTTTATTTATTGACCTATTTCATAGAAAAGGTAGCATACTGTACATGTCATCCTGCAACTTGCTTTTCTCACTTATACCTTAGAGATCTGTTCAGATCAGTACTAAAAACTTTTCTCATTCCTTTTTTAAATTTTTATTTATTTATTTATTTTTTTAAAGACAGTCTGTTGCTCTGTTGCCTAGGCTGGTGTGCAGTGGCATGATCATAGCTCACTATTGCCTTAAATATCTGGGCTTAAGCAATCCTCCTGCCTCAGGCTCCTGAGTAGCTAGATGTGTGCCACCTGGCTAAATTTTGATTTTTTTTTTTGTTTTTGTAGAGATGGGGGTCTTGTTGTATTGCACAGGGTGGTCTTGAGCTCCTGGCCTCAAATGATCCTCCTGCAGTGGCCTCCCAAAGTGCTGAGATTACAGGCATAAGCCACCATGCCTGGTCTTTTTCTTATTCTTTTAATAGCTGCATTTTAATGGCTACATAGTAACCTACTTCATAGGGGTGCCATAATTATTGTAAAATTTTGCAGTCCTTTTCATTATAAACATTTCTTCATTGAATAACTTGGTACTTATTTCATTTTGTTCATATACAAATATATCTATGGGAGAAATTTTATTTTATTTTTATTATACTTTAAGTTCTAGGGTACATGTGCACAACGTGCAGGTTTGTTACATATGTATATATGTGCCATGTTGGTGTGTTGCACCCATTAACTCGTGATTTACATTAGGTATATCTCCTAATGCTATCCCTCCCACCTCCCCCAACCCCACGACAGGCCCTGGTGTGTGATGTTCCCCTTCCTGTGTCCAAGTGTTCTCATTGTTCAATTCCCACCTATGAGTGAGAACATGTGTGTTCGGTTTTTTGTCCTTGTGGTAGTTTGCTGAGAATGATGGTTTCCAGCTTCATCCATGTCCCTACAAAGGACATGAACTTATCCTTTTTTATGGCTGCATAGTATTCCATGGTGTATATGTGCCACATTTTTTTAATCCAGTCTGTCATTCATGGACATTTGGGTTGGTTCCAAGTCTTTGCTATTGTGAATAGTGCTGCAATAAACATAAGTGTGCATGTGTCTTTATAGCAGCATGATTTATAATCCTTTGGGTATATACCCAGTAATGGGATGGTTGGGTCAAATGGTATTTCTAGTTCTAGATCCTTGAGGAATTGCCACACTGTCTTCCACAATGGTTGAACTAGTTTACAGTCCTACTAACAGTGTAAAAGTGTTCCTGTTTCACTACTTTGTAATGATTGCCTGTTTCCTGACTTTGTAATGATTGCCATTCTAACTGGTGTGAGATGGTATCTCATTGTGGTTTTGATTTGCATTTCTCTGATGGCCAGTGATGATGAGCATTTTTTCATGTGTCTGTTGGCTGCATAAATGTCTTCTTTTGAGAAGTGTCTGTTCATATCTTTCGCCCACTTTTTGATGGGGTTGTTTTTTTCTTGTAAATTTGAGTTCTTTGTAGATTCTGGATATTAGCCCTTTGTCAGATGAGTAGATTGCAAAAATTTTGTGGGAGAAATTTTTAGAATTGGATTTGCTGGGCCAGAAGGTATGTACTTGTTCAGTTTTGATAGGTTTTACCAAATGGTCCTCCATTGAGGTAGTTCTAATTGAGAAGTCAGTCACAGGGCTTAATGGAGTCCTTGGGTGGGTTTCAGTGTTTCCATAATCAGCATCCTATATTAGTCAGTTCTCACACTTCTATAAAGAAATACCTGAAACTGAGTGATTTATAAAGAAAAGAGGTTTAATTGTCTCATGGTTCTGCAGGCTGTACAGGAAACATGGCTGGGGAAGCCTCAGGAAACTTACAATCATGACTGTGGGTGAGGGGGAAGCTGGCACATCTTACATGGCTAGAGCAGGAGAAAGAGAGAAAAGAGGGAAGTGCTACACACTTTTAAACAACCAGATCTTATGAGAACTTACTATCATGAGAACAGCAAGGTGGAAATCTGCCTCCATGATCGAATCACCTTTCACCAGGCTCCTCCCCCAACATTGGGGATTACAATTCGACATGAGATTTGGGTAGAGACACAAATCTAGATCATATCACACCCCTTTACCCCACCTCACCTCATCCCTCATATAGTTGTTAGCAATGTGCAAGTGCATTTGTCTGGGGAGTCCATAAGCTCTTTTGTTGTCTTTTTTTTTTTAACAGCTTCATTGAGATAAAATGCACATTACATAAGGATCACCCTTTTGAACTGTACAATTTAGTGGTACCATCACTGCTGTCTAATTCCAGAATATTTTTGTCACCCTAAAAAGAAAACCCCATAGTCATTAGCCATAGTCTTTCCTCATTTCTCACTCCCTGCAGCCCCTGGTAGCCATTTAATCTGTTTTCTGTGTGGAGTTGTCCCAGACATTTCATATGAGTGGAATCATACACTATGTGCCCTTTTGTGTATGGCGTCTTTCACTTACCATATTTTTTTCAAGCTTCAGCCATGTTGAAGCATGTGTCAGTGTTTATTCTTTTTTATGACTGAATAATATTCTATTATATGGATATACCACATTTTTGATAATCCATTCATCAGTTGGTAGACATTTGGCTTGTCTCCACTTTTTGTCTGTTATGAGTAATGCCACTTTGAACACTCATGTACATTTTCACAGTCTTTTAAGAACGATTTTTAATATATAGAGTATAAATCAGTGAGAAAAATGCAAATTAATTCAACCATCAATGGACAATATATACGAATAGATAATTCACGAAGAAGAGTGGTAAATTTTAAAAATGAAAGTATCAATGGCTGTGTATTCCTGAAGGGATATTCCCTCTGAAAGATTACTATTTTATAACTATGTGAAAGAATATTAATTGTTAGCAGGAGAGATCTTGTGGCTGGTTACAGGTAGTTCGAGAATGATATTCAAGAATTTAAAGTGTTATGGTTAGACTTTTCTGTGGCTCTTACCTCCCTTGAGTATGAGATCTAAAGGAAAATGTCTTATGGCTTCTTATAACTTCCCAGTGTGTATACACTGCGGTTGTGTGTGTGTGCTGACACATGTTAAACTTTGGTTATTGTATGGGTACACATGTTAAACTTTATATTTAGTTATAATTTTAAATTTCAAAAAGTACAAAAACAAAAAATAGTACAGAGAACACCCAGGTATTCTTCAGCCAGATTCACCTGTTGTTAACATTTTACCCAATTTGCTTGCTTATTCTTTATCTACCTACCTACCCATCCATCCATCCATCCACTATCCATCCATCCATCCATCCATCCACTATCCATCCATCCATCCACCCACCCATCCACCCACCATCCAACCATCCATCCATCCATCCATCCATCCATCCATATACACACACAATTTTTTTCCTGAACTATTTTAGGGTAAGTTACATACCTCACAGTATTTTACCCCTAATTTTTTCAGTGTGCATTTTCTAAGACTAGGTACATTCTTTTATTAACTTCAATAATTTACATTAATAAAATAGTTCAATCACCTGTCAATATTACAATTCTGTCAGTCGACCAAATATTTACTGGATTTTCACAAAGTCTTTGTGAAGGGGACATTATTTATTCCCATTTTACTACTGAAGGAATCAACTAGCTAAGTGATTCAACAAATGTCATATTGCTAAGATGGCTAATATTAATAAAGTACTATGTGCCAGGCACTTTTCTAAGTGCATAACTTGTAAATACTCTCTTTAAATCTTATAACAGCTCTTTGAAATGAATCAGGGCCCTGAGGAATACAGAGTAAGGAACAGACAGAGTGCTCAGAGGAATGTTAAGTTTTAGGCTCTTTTTCTGCTTCTTTAGTGATTAAATAACATTTCATGCTTTGTGTGTGTGTGTGTGTGTGTGTGTTTTAATTTTAAAACTTAAAATCTGAAAATGGGAGCTGGAATGGGAGCAGGTATTTTCTTTTTTTTTTTTTTTTTTTTTTTTTTTTTTTTTTTTTTTGAGACGGAGTCTCGCTCTGTCGCCCAGGCTGGAGTGCAGTGGCGGGATCTCGGCTCACTGCAAGCTCCGCCTCCCGGGTTCACGCCATTCTCCTGCCTCAGCCTCCCAAGTAGCTGGGACTACAGGCGCCCGCCACTACGCCCGGCTAATTTTTGTATTTTTAGTAGAGACGGGGTTTCACCGTTTTTAGCCGGGATGGTCTCGATCTCCTGACCTCGTGATCCACCCGCCTCGGCCTCCCAAAGTGCTGGGATCACAGGCGTGAGCCACCGCGCCCGGCCAGGAGCAGGTATTTTCAATATTGCTTTAGTTGCATGGTATATCAGAGCAGCTGTGAGGTACATTGTTGATGGAAGTAATAATTTTGCCTCCTCTGTGTGTGTGTGTGTGTGTGTGTGTGTGTGTGTCACATAATTTTCCTGAAAGCCATATTTGTATGGTACATTATAGCTTACAGAGAACCTTCATGTCTGTTACACAGTTGATTCTCACCCCAATCATTTGACCACTTATAATTGAGTTAGGATTCAAGCCTAGCTCAATTATAACTGGTCTTCTCCTAATCCAGTGGTGTCATCATTACTCTGTGCTCCATTAATAGAGCCTTTACTTTCAAGGTAGTCCTGATGCAGCTCAGACTTTAAATTACCCACGTCCTTTGCTTACAACTTTATGGGAAAAGAAAAAAGAAAAAAAAAGAACAAATTACCCAAGTCTCGAAACTTGCTGATACCTTTTTTCTCCCTTTACAAATGTTTTTTCTTAATTTATAAAAATTAAGATAGTTTTAAGATTTAATTTTTAAAAATTAAGGTAGCAGATAGTTTTAAGTCATGAGGGACAAAGGTTTAGAAAGATTGACCTTATTTGAATAATTTGGTGGTATCAAATGAAACCTGTAGCAAAAATAATCAGATCCATATTTCATTATATAGTAGTCATTATTGTGCTATGTCGTTGTGCCAATTAAATTAAGTGTATCTATTTAGCATCAGCCCCAGAATTATTTTGTTTTTGGATTGGATGAGACCTTTAGAGGACTAATGAAGTGGCTTTAAACTTTTTTGTACACAGTCCACAGTAAGAAATGTATTTAACCTCTCTTTCTCTCTTATACTCAATCTCATGAAACAACTCTTACTAAATATAATGCACCCTTTTTCTTTTATTCTGTCCTGTGCTTTTCTGTCAAATTGTTTTTGAAGGCTGTGGTGATTTACTAAATTGATAAACCTGATATTGGGTTATAATAATGTCATAAGCACTATTCTGGTCTAACTCTCTCTTTTTACTAATATGTAAATACACCCTACAAGGTGACGTGATTTATTTTTATTTTTATTTTTAGATTTTCCAATTAATTCATTGCAATGCTGGGCCAAGAATTAAGGACTCCTAACTTCCAATTTTGTATTTTCATTTAATGACTTAAATTACTATTACTTTTATTTAGTTGCATCAAGTATTTCTTTTCTTTCTTTTTTTTTTTTTGAGATGGAGTTTCACTTTTGTTGCCCAGGCTGGAGTGCAATGGTGTGATCTCGGCTCACCACAACCTCTGCCTCCCAGGTTCAAGCAATTCTCCTGCCTCAGCCTCCCGAGTAGCTGGGATTACAGGCATGCACCACCACTCCCAGCTAATTTTTTTGTATTTTTAGTAGAGATGGGTTTTTTCCATGTTGAGGCTGGTCTCGAACTCCTGACCTCAGGTGATCCGCCCGCCTTGGCCTCCCAAAGTGCTGGGATTACAGGCGTGAGCCACCGCGCCCGGCCTCCATCAAGTATTTCTGAAGACACGTGAAGCAGTGGAGTCATTAACTGAAATAACAGGAAACCATTTTGAGGCTCCTTTGAAGATCCCTGTGTTCAGGACTTGGGTCCCTCTATTCTTCAAGAGGCTGTGCCCATGGTGTGGCTTTGCTGAGAGCATCTGGTGCATACTTCTGCTTTTACCTCTCTTTTGGTTGTTCTTTATCTTCATTCAGAAGATGAGATTGGTAGGGTTTCCCCATCCTATAACCTAGCAGGGACTTTGTCTATTATCTGTTCTCATTCTGGAAACTATACTACATATCAGAAGGCATTCTTCATTTTAAAAAATAGAAGGAAATAGTTTGCAGGATGAAGATTATTTCCTTGATAATCTGCCAAATAAATGGTTCAGGTTGCCAGTATGAAGCTTCTTTAATTTTTGGCAAATGGGAGCTGGTTATATGCATACATACACACAAAACTTAATAGAAAGAGTAAAATAAAATTTTGACTGTCATGAGATTGAGAAGAGTAGAGATAGTGAAAGTCTAAATTTTCTCTTTTTTTCTGCTTTAAACAATTTAATGAGAAAAATAAGTGTACGTAAGATTCTTAACAAAAATCAAATTAAGTTTTTTAATGTATTTGAATATTTAAAGTAGGATTGCCACAAATTAAATTTGCCAATGATTTTAACTATGTGTGTTTTTTAAGAATGTATCTATAAATATGTTTACTGCAATACATATGCAATAATGTATGTTATGTAATTTTTATTTAATTGAAAGATTGTATTTTTATTTTTGGTCAGTTACAGTGAAGAGGTTAATCAGTAATGGCTTCCACTTTATCTATCAGTTTAGAGGGCAAGATTCAGCCAAATGAGAATAAGAACTGTTAGAAAGATGTGCAGCAAGTCAATGATTACCATGTGATTCATCCATAGGTTATCAATACTTGATCTGACTTGAGTTTACATGAGATATTCGAATGTATTTCTTAGCATAAAAATCCCATTTTAATTTTTTTTTTTTTTTTTTTTTTTTTGAGATAGGCTCTTACTCTGTCACCCAGGCTGGAGAACAGTGATGCGATCATGGCTCACTGCAGCCTCAACCTCCTGAGCTCAAGTGATCCTCCTGCCTCAGCCTCTAGGGTAGCTAGGACTACAATTGTGCACCACGATGCCCAGCTAATTTTTTAATTTTAGCAGAGACGAGGTCTTCCTATGTTTCCCAGGCTGTTCTCAAACTCCTGGCCTCAAGCGTTCCTCCTGCCTCGACCTACCAAAGTGTTGGGATTACAGGTGTGAGCCACCACTACTGGCTCCTATCTAGTATTATATCTAATTTAATTTATGGTCATTGAGCTCATTTCTTAGCAACATCACAGAAACAAGGCTTTAGTCAATTTTATTAATAAAAAGAGACTATAATAACTTACAGTGTTTATCAATCAATAAGGTTTTTAGTTTTAAAAACCTTATTGATTGATAATTAAATTGATAATTAAATTAAAACAAGCTGGGCCAGCACTTTGAGAGGCTGAAGCAGGAGGATTGTTTGAGCCCAGGAGTTCAAGACCAGCCTGGGCAACATAGAGAGATCCTATCTCTACAAAAAAATAAACTAGCCAGGCACGGTAGCATGCACCTGTAGTCCCAGCTACTGGGGAGCCTGAGGCTGGAGGATCTGTTGAACCTGTGAGGTTGAGGCTGCAGTAAGCTGCAATTGTGCCACTGCACTCCAGCCTGGGTGACAGAGTGAGATTCTTTCTCAAAAAATTAAATTAAATTAAACTAAAAACAAAATGTGGACGTACTTGAAACTTTGACTCTTACATTGATTCAACCTTCAAAGGAACTTGTCCATTTGTGAAAGTTTTCCTTTTATATAAGTCTTTCTTACAGTCAAATAAGTGTTTACTAAGTGAAATACTACATTTTATAGTGCAGTGGCACTCAAAGGAAACTATTTTGCAGCTGTAGAGTTTTTTCTTTTGTCCTTTTTACTTTTTCCAAGGCAAGATGCCTGGTGGGAGAGTTGTCTGGAGGCAGGATGATCAGAAGCAGGACCTGGCCAGCTGTTCGCTTATTTCAGTCTGTATGAAATCATCTGATATGCCCATAAGAGAGATGTGTCAATTGGCTAATGGGTCAGAGTATTGATTTTATGTTTTCAGATTGCTGACAGAGAGATTAGGCTTCCAGATACAAGCAGTTCCACAAGTCTCTGTTTTCAGACAGGCACATAATTAAAGTAACCACACAGTTCTCTGAGGTTAGAGTTCCATGCTGTGATGCAAGCCTCTCTATTTGGTATTTAAAAGCAGTTTGAAGCTGTTGTGTAAGTATCACTGGACTTGGAGTCAACTGACCTAAGTTCTAGCCTTGGCCCTTCTACTGTCTTAACAGTGGATTAAATGATGAGGCTTATTTTAAAGAATCTTGAAAACTATAGTAATTTCAACAAGAGGAGATTAATTGAATATATTATGAAACATCAAGATAATTGAAAATCTGTGCTGCCATTATTGCATGTCAAAGGTCATTTTGATACACTGTATGTGCAAAAGCAGTTTACCAAACAGAATTACATACAGTGTAATCCTTTTTTTCTTATATAGGAAAATACCCACTTCCCCCCACTTAAAAAAATACCAAACACCACAATGTGTGTATGTTTAGCCTACAAATCATATTTTTTTTGCCTAGGAAGTATTGAATAATTTAAATATTTTATATTCAGATAGCTAAAGATGGCTTGCTGAGATAAAACATTGGAGCCCTGTGTTTGGTGATAGCCGTGGGTTTCATTTATTTTTACTGTCTTTATCCTCTGTATTTATTGATAGTATTGAATATTTATTTTCAGAACTATTATAGTGTATCTGTTTCTATGGGAAGAAATGAATATTTGACCACAGATGGTTTTCATTTTTTTAGTATGGGGCACGTGGATTGACAGCCTTTGAAACTTGAATGCTGTGTAATATTCAGGTGCTTTTATTGTTTATAGAAATGCCTAATCCTTGTTTGAAATTTATTAAATGGTATGCCATCTGTAAGCCCCTCTAAATTCCACAGATTAATTAGCCTTTAAAGTAAGGTTGCCTTTTGTCTAACTTTTAGTATAAACTCTTCCATCTGGGAACTTTCACTTTTATGTCCCTGTTCAGTGTTCTGTGTACTTCAGCACTCTAGTATTAATTATGGACACTGGCATTCTAAGTAACATGAAGAACACTAAAAATAAAAGTAGACTGAACAAAGTGGCAATGTCCGGAGAATAGTTTGCATTTGGTGAATAATCAATCCATCATGGCTTTGCCATTGCTCTTTGTATGTGCGTGCGTGTGTGTGTGTGTGAGTGTGTGTGCATGTGCGTGTTTAGCATTACTTAAGAGTGAGATAGTTATTCTTCAGGGAAATTTTTACAGATGATGGTTTCACAAAAATCAGCCTTTTTGTAGTTTAAATAAAAAAACACCCTTTTTGACATTTCATGTAACATTTCCTTGTGGGTTCTGATTTAAAGGTTGTTGAAAATATTTGGTGTTGGCAGATCACTTGGTTGGCTTTGGCATACTTCTCTTTCTAGGAAATGTAGTATCAGGGTGGGAATTGTGTTGTTGTTTTAAAAGAAATAGATTACAGGCTGGCACGGTGGCTCACACTTGTAATCCCAGCACTTTGGGAGGCCGAGGCGGGCGGATCAGGAGGTCAGGAGATTGAGACCATCCTGGCTAACACGGTGAAACCCTGTCTCTACCAAAAATACACAAACAAAATTAGCCAGGCGTGGTGGTGGGCACCTGTAGTCCCAGCTACTCGGGAGGCTGAGGAGGGAGAATGGTGTGAACCTGGGAGGCGGAGCTTGCAGCGGGCCGAGATCTCCCCACCGTACTCCAGCCTGGGCAACAGAGCAAGACTCCATCTCAAAAAAAAAAAAAAAAAGGAAATAGATTACATTCTTTAACTTTATTTACTGGTCTCAGTAAGAGTTATTGAACACTCTAGAGTGTTTACTTTTTAAAGTCCATTGCAAAATATATAGAAATTAGTAATTCAACCATCTGTGTACTCATACTAATCAATGTAATATAGGTTGGCGCTTTTTATGCACTTAATTTTGCCACCTCTCTCACTTCCCCAAAGAAATTAGACTAATGTATAACAATAGGCTTCATAACTTAATTTAGAAAACATAACAAAAATAATTTCGCTCAGTAAGTTTCTGTTGTAGTAGATATTGTTGGTATTAAACAAAAAAGTAGGATCAGATGTGGTTTGGCTTTCAAGGTATAAAATCTAGGTGGGGAAAGAGAGAGAGAGTTAACATTCTTGAAACAATTGAGAGCATTAGAGTGTTCCAGTATATCCTCCAAATTCTAAGGGTATAAGATGTTCAGAGAAAATAAAAAATCAGGGTGGGTTAGAATAATTGAGTTCAAATGGACCTTGGAATTAGGTTAGTGGAGGAGATAGCATTCCAAATGGAAATAAACAATGCGAATAAGGAAACATGTTAGACATGTATGGAGATTATGAAGTAGCCTTAAATGATAAGATTGGAGGAGTGTGGCTTGAATAGCTGTAGATTTAGGGCAGAAGGTCTGGTTAGGCCGTGGGAGGTCACAATATGGAAGACCTTAAAAGAAAAGATGGGTAGCAGGGATACATGACTAGCTTGTTTTTGCAATTGAGTAGTAAGATAAAAATATTTTCTTAGGAGAAGTTATCTTAGAAATGGTGGACAGGATGAGATGGAACACAATTGAAATAGGAGTCTGTTGCAGTAGTATAGGGATGAGTTAATGAGTGCCTGTATTAGGAGAGTGGAAGAGGGAATAGAGAGAAAGTAATTACTGAGACACATTTTCACTGGAATAAATTTGGTCATTAGTATATACTTTTAACATATTCAATGAGTGAATGAGGGATTGAGAAGGACTGAATATAGTGAATAAAGTAAAATAATAGTTACTATTGATAGAAAATGGATAGATTTTTAAACAATCTAGTTAGAGGGAGATAGTTCAGTTTGCACATAATGAATTTGAAGTGGTAATAACTGTAAGAAGTGGCCTTATAATTAATTGAATATATGGTTCTGGGGCATAGCCATTTAAGGGCCAGAGATACAGATTTAAGATGTATGTATATATGCATATATATTTAAAGATACTTTCTGAGGGAGTTTCTAAGGGGAAAATTGGAAGATTAATAAACGAGCCTTAGAAAACATAAGAAGAAATTATTTAACATTTGGGTTTTAGAAGGCCTTATTTAATCATTTGATTTTAACTTATTTAGTTTGAGCAGTGTGTTTTCAAACCTCTTTTGAAACAACTAGTAACCTATGCTTTGAAAAAATTGTTGGTTAAAATAATTGTAAAAATGAGTATATTCTGATCTATTTTGATCTGATTTTAAAACCAGGGTATTCTGATTCATTATAACTTTTTCTAGATTGCTGTGCTAAGGAGACAGCAACGTATGATAAAAAATCGAGAATCCGCTTGTCAGTCTCGCAAGAAGAAGAAAGAATATATGCTAGGGTTAGAGGCGAGATTAAAGGCTGCCCTCTCAGAAAACGAGCAACTGAAGAAAGAAAATGGAACACTGAAGCGGCAGCTGGATGAAGTTGTGTCAGAGGTAAGTGTTAGTAATACGGCTGAGTCGAGATGGGCTAAAGTATCCTCTGGATTAATAAATAGAGAAACTTTTACATTTTAAATTAAATTATGTAAAATAATAGTGCTAGGAAAAGGAGGGTATAATAAGTCCTAAAACATTTGCAGTAAGGATAAAGCATTTGAAGGGGACCCTTTGAATTGTACTCCCCAATCTACATAGAAAAGTTGTCTCCTTTTCCTAGGTTTCTCCTCATTCATTGCCTTAGCACCCTCTTTTCTGGCTAAGTGAATCACACTGAGGCTTCTAAAGTGCCCTGCCATATTTTCCCTTTTAAAAAAGAAAACAATATAAAAGTGTTTTTATTTTTTCTCAGTCCACCTAACAACTAATGTGATTTTTGCATTCTGTTACTATGCTGACTCCAAGAGGTTTTAATCTCCTCAGTTCTATTCGGGAAATTTGCTGTTTTCAGAATTTCTCACTGCAGTGCTGAACCATATAGATGCCTACTGAATGGGGCTTCTTACACTCTTTTTCTCTTGGCCCTGAGTACATGGGAATACTCCTATATTTTACTGAAAACAATGATTTAAAAGGTTAGGGAGGCAAACTATAGAAGTGACTCAAAATTCTTTGGGGATCCGTAAAAATATAAAAAATGTTGAATTCTGGTCGGGCGTGGTGGCTCACGCCTGTAATTCCAGCACTTTGGGACGCTGAGGCAGGCGGATCACAAGGTCAGGAGATCAAGACCATCCTGGCCAACATAGTGAAACCCCATCTCTACTAAAAATACAAAAGTTAGCTGGGTGTAGTGCACACCTGTAATCCCAGCTACTCGGGAGGCTGAGGCAGCAGAATCGCTTGAACCTGGGAGGCGGAGATTGCGGTGATCCGAGATGATGCCACTGCACTCCAGCTTGGCGACAAAGTGACACTCCGTCTCAAAAAAATATATATACATATATATATTGAATTCTTTCCTCTTGGGTGAAGAGGCAACTGCAATGGAGTGGCTGCTGTGTTTTTTTCTCTTCTGCTTCTCTCCTTTTCTCTCCCTGCTGGAAAAGGGAACCTGGAAGTCTCTGCTCTAGTCTTGAAAAGTGTTATTTCCTCACCTTTGATTTTTTTTTTTTTTTTAAATAAGACAAGGTATTTGTAAGACAAGAGATTTACGTAACCGGTAAAGAGGAAAATTCTAATCTTAAGCGTTGCTTTTTCTGAAATCGATGTTAGTTTAATTGTATTTAATGTGGTCATTTCCTTTAGAACCAGAGGCTTAAAGTCCCTAGTCCAAAGCGAAGAGTTGTCTGTGTGATGATAGTATTGGCATTTATAATACTGAACTATGGACCTATGAGGTAAGTGAATAGATATTTATTTTGGACACTAATGCTAAAAACTTAAATTCTCATTATTCTTTAGCTTTTGTCATAAACTAGAGAAAAAATGATTTGTTTTTCAAGATGTGTAAAGAGTAATGAGACAGGAGCCATGCCTTCAAAGATCTCATGATCCAGCTGGGAGGAGAGACAAGTAGAAGGATGACTATGGTATAATGTGATGAACATAATAATAACAGTGTGAATGAGTCCTAACATAATATAGAGTACGAGTTCCTTGAGGTGAAGGTTCTTGTCGTATTGATGGGTACTCGATACATTTTTTGTTGAGTGACTGAGTTATAAGGGAGATACCTACGAAGGAAGCTGAACATTGAACTGTAATATCAGTTTGCCATGTGCAAAGTATGAGAAAGGCATGCCAGGCAAAGGGAACAGCATGTTTAAAGGCACAGTTATGAAATGGCATGACATGTTCATAAAAAAGTGAAAAGTTCAGTGTATCTTGTATATGTGGGGAGTGTGCCTGAGGCTAGATATATGGTTAGAAGTATAGGTGCTGCTGTGTACAATGAGGCATCCCTAGCTTTTAGGTGGAGGGTAACATAATCAGCTTTGCATATTAGGAAGAGGACTTTGTGTGTTGTATTGAGTATAGACTGCAGTGAGGAGAAACTATTGGCAGAGAAAGCATTAGAAGACTATTGAGGTGTTTCAGGTAATAAATGAGAGTCTGAACTTACACTATGGTTATAAAAAGGATGAGCAATCTTAGGGTACCTCTCTGATGTAGCTTTTGTGGGATTTGTTAACTGGTATAATGTGGGACATGAGGAAGAAAAGAGGGAAGTTAAGGATAATTCAAAAATTTCTACCTTGAGGGACCGAATGGTGGTGCTGTCATCGGAGGAAGCAAACATAGACAGATGGATAGTTTTATGAAGAAAGACAATAGTTTTTATTTTAAGTATAGGAAGTTTGTGGCACTGACTAGATATTGAGAATTAACATTATAGATAGGTAGGTAGACTGACAGACAGATAATGTTAGTGGTGTAGATGAGATTATCCAAGGAGAACAAGTAGAGGAAGGAAAGTAACAAGAATCTGGGGGACACCAGTATGAATAGTAGATAGCCTTGGGAAAAGAAACTCACAGCATATTAGGGGCAGAACTGAAAGAAAGTAGCTTTTTGAAGCCAAAGTAAAAAGAGCTTCAAGCAGGTCTTGGGCAGTGGTATCACATGCTGCTGAGAGCTTGGGAGATGTAGAAAGCTGAATTTGGCAATTATCAGGTCAGTTGTAATCTTGGAAAGCAGATTTAGTAGGGGTAGGCATGAAGTCTGTATTAAAATTGGTTGAGAAATTGAAAGGAGTTAAAATTGAATGATCTCTTTTTTAAAAAAAAACATTTTTTATGAAGATTTTCAAACATATAGGAAATTTGAGAAAATAATATGATCAACCCCTTGCTCTCATGAAATTTATAATCTAATATAGGTGACATATACTAATCAAAATGATCACACAAATAAATGCAAAATTGTAACAATGTTAGGTGCCATGAAGGAAAGGTACATGATATCATGAGGCCACATAATAGGGTCACTTGACCTAGTTAGGGAAGTAAGGCAAGGTTTCTCTGAGAAAGAGGTGATTGTGTTAACATCTAAAAGAAGATTAGGAATTATTTAGGTAAGATACAGGAAGAACATTTCATATAGAATATATAAACATCTATTCCCACATTTGTGTTGTGTCTTTGTGTTTATATGTATTTAGTTTAAAAATTTTGGTTTTACATGAAACAATTATATACAAATTGTGCTTTCTTTAAAATATGTGAATACATTATTCTCTTTTAATACTACATAGTTTTTTGTAGTGTAAATGTGCCATAATTTAGCAATTCTCTTTAGGTCTTGGGAACCCCTTTGTACCCTTAAAAGTTACCAAGGATCCCAAATAATTTTTGATTTTGTGGTTTATATATACTGATATTTATTATATGAGAAATTAAAACTTTAAAAATAAAAAATTTTTAATTCATTTAAAAATAATAAACCGTAAACCATTACTTTACATGTTAACATAAATAACATGTTAATGAAGAATAATTATATCTCCCAAACCTCCAAAAATTTAGTGAGATACAGAAGAGTGGTACTACTTTATAGTTTTGTAAAAATATTTTTTTTGGGGGGAAGCTCAAATACATCAGTTTTAGTTTTTCTCTATATACACATTTATTTGCTACTAAAAATTGAAATAGCATATTGAAATTTCCTTTTGTTGCAATCCAAAATTTTGAAAACCAGAAAACCAAATTAATTATTATTATGCTGTGGCCAGACTACTCAGTATTTTCTTTACATTCTTTCCTCCAAGTTACTTTCCTTCAAATTCTTAATGTTGGGTTTTATCTCACTGACTTCAGGCTTCTAAAACACATGGGGATACTTGAGACCTATTGTTGCTTCTTTAGGTCAAATCAATAGTTTCATAAAAATCTTTGATGTCCGACTTAACAGGATCTGGCAGGATTATCTGTTTTTTCATGTAATCTGTTATGATATATTGTTTGGGTTGAAATAAATGAAGAAAATTTAGACTCACATCGGTATGCAGTTGGAAAAGGGAGAACTTTGCAGACTTTGAAAGACTTTTAGGATCCCCAGAGTTCCTTGGACTGCTTAAAACCCCAGTGCACACTTGCCCAACTGCTGCCGTAATTTATTTAACCATCTTTTGATAGGCAGCTAGGGTATTTCCAGTTACTTGTTGATATGTGTACATAAAATGTATTTCCATATATTTATGTGTCTGTATGTGTATGATAGAATCTAGACTAGAGCTAGAGGTTACGATTATCTGAAATTGTGATAGAGTTTGCCAAATTGCCTTCCAAAAAGACTGTATCCGTTTACATTCCCACTAGCAGGAGAGAGGAGTATCCATTTTCTCGCATTTCCTAACACTGGATATTGTATTTTTAAAATTCTTGCCTATCTTGTGGATCAAAAATGTTATTGTTAGCCTGTCACATTGGCCTGTGTGCTCTTCCTCAAACACTCTAAGCCTGCTAGCACTTCATGGTCTTCACTTTCATTCCCACTGCCGGCAGTGCCCTTCCCTCAGAGATTCTTTCTGTCAGGTGTTAAGCTCAAATACCATGTACCCCTGAGCTTCAAATAAAAGTTTTAAAAAAGTGATTAAAAAACATCAAGTTTTTTTGGTCAAAATTAAAAAAAAAAAAAAAAGCTCAAATGCCACCCCTGTGAGGCTTTCCTGGACTACCTTTTCTAAATGTCTATCCCAGCTCCTGCCATTGCATTCCCTATCGCCTTTCTTTCTTCATTTTTCTACATAGCACCTCTCCCCTTCAAGTATGCTATGTAACTTATTTATTTTCTTTCTCTCCCTGGAGGTATTTTTATCTCTTTTGTTTTCCAGTGCTTAGAACAGTGGCTGGCACATAGTAGTTACTCAATAAATACTTGTAGTATGAATGAATGTCTCCCTCACCCAATTAGTAGGAATTATATATGTTCATAAACTATTTCTCAAAAAACTGTGTGTTCTTTTAGTTCCTCATTTCTTATCTGGTATACGTGGTACTTATTTATTTAGTCAGACATACAGCAAATATTTATAGAGCACTTAATGTTTGCCAGGTACTGAGCAAGGAATCAAGGATGCAAATATGAATAAAAGTACAGTCTAGTAAGAGAATCAGATATGTAAACAACTGTTGTATGAGAAAGAATTATATGGATGTCATATAAACATATAGGCATTAAAAAAATGAAAAACTTTTTGTTTACACACTTCTGACACCAGATATGTGGATTTTCTACACTGAGCAATTCTCCAATTCTCTGGACACCAACTGGATGTCCTACAATTTGACTCAATTCTTTTTTAAATTTTAATTGTAAAATATTTTTTATTGAGACAGGGTCTTGCTCTGTTGCCCAGGCTGGAGTGCAGTGGTGTGATCGTAGCTCACTGCAGCCTCCATCTTCCAGGCTTAAGCAATCCCCCGATCCTCAGTCTCCTAAGTAGCTGGGACTACAGGTGCACCTCACCACACCTGGCAAAGTTGCTCAGGCTGGTCTTGAACTCCTAAGTTCAAATGATTCTCCTTCCTTGGCCTTCCGAAGTGCTGGGATTACAGGTGTGAGCCATTATATCTGGCCAATTTAAGTCATTTCTGACACTACCTGGAGCTAGCACAGGCTCCCACAGGTTAAGGGCTGAGTATCCAAAGACTGCCCCTGACTTCAGTCACCAGTTGCAAGTCCCAGGTTGTGACCTGTAACTTCTGACTAAGTGGCTATAAGTTGAGGGTTCCCACAATTCCCTCTTGAGGTTTGATAATTTTCTAGAATGGCTCACAGAACTCAGGAAAACACTCTATTTACTATTACTGGTTTTATTATAAAGGATATGTGGGGCAAGCTAAATGGGAGAGACGCATAGGGTAAGGTATAGGGGAAGAGTGCAGAGCTTTCATGCCCTCTCCAGGTGCACCACCCTCCTAGTACCTCCTTGTGTTTGCTAACCTGGAAGCTCTCCAAATTCCATTGTTAGGGGTTTTTATGGAGCTTCATTAGGTAGGTGTGATTGATTAAACCATTGGCCATTGGTGATTGCACTTAAACTCCAGCCCCCTCTCCCCTACTTGGAGGTTGAGGGATGGGACTGAAAATCCCAACCCACTAATTATGTGGTTGGTTTCTCTGGCAATCAGCCTCCATCATCCAAGAGTCACCTCATTAGCATAAACTCAGGTCCAGCTGGAAGGGGCTTATTACGGATAACAAAAGATGCTCTTCTTACCCCCTATCACTCAGGAAATTCCAAGGGTTTTAGGAGCTCTGTGACAGGAACCAGAATAAAAACCAAATATATTATTTCTTATTATATCGCAAATTCACAGGCATATTCTTGAGGGAACATAGAAGTAACCAGTAACGCTGCTAGTGGCAATCATGGGAGGCTTTATGCAGTAGTACTCGATGAAGGAATAAAGAGGATTAGATTATGCTACAGGAAGTGACAGTGGGGTTAGGGGGGACATCTCATTGTGGAAGCCCTCATGAATCAATAGAATTTTAGGAAAGAAAAGACTGGAACAAAAAAAATTTTTTGAGTGCCCCCACCCACCAGACAAAAAATTTTTAAAAATGAATTAATGATCTTCACAGCTGCTGAAGTAAAGGTGGGGATGGATCTCATTTCCATGGTAGATTGATTGATTATGAAAGGAAGAGATGATGGTCCCTATTTTATCAAGAAGTGGTTTGTGTTCAAAAAGGAGTTAGTAGAAAGAGGGGATTAAAAATCGGAGAAAGCTTAAATATTTGAAAATCTTGAGGATCAATCAGTTAAGATCTGTATCTTTCTCTGTGTGATGCTTTAGGAACAGCCAGCGAAGAAGTAGTGGGAATATTAGGAACTATTCAAGTTAAAAAAACATGTTAAAAGGCTTAACTTGAAGAAAAGCATCAAGGAGAAAAGCTGGAAGGAATGAGGAAGTGTAGGAAAGTATCTTAACAAGTCAGAATATCTTTGACACCAACAAGGAAATATGGAGGAAACTGGCTGTGAAATTTATAAAAACCAAGAACTATTTCTTGTAGACAAAATTTGGCATGAACAGTGAAATATTAAAGCCCAGAGAACAACAGTGATTTGAAAGACTGAAATTTGTCCCTGAATCAAATGTTGGGAATTGAGATGTTTCATCATTTGTGTTATTCAAAAGAATTTTTTGATTGGCCCCATTTTTTTTTTTTTTTTTTGAGATGGAGTCTCAGTCTGTTCCCCAGGCTGGAGTGCAGTGGTGCGATCTTGGCTCACTGCAACCTCTGCCTCCCAGGTTCAAGCGATTCTCCTGCCTCAGCCTCCCGAGTAGCTGGGATTACAGGCACCTGCCACTATGCCCAGCTAATTTTTTGTATTTTTAGTAGAGACAGGGTTTCACCATGTTGGTCAGGCTGGTCTCGAACTCCTGACCTTGTGATCTGCCCACCTCAGCCTCCCAAAATGCTGGGATTACAGGTGTGAGCCACTGCGCCTGGCCTGTTTTCAGTCTTTTTACTGCAAGGCTATGATCTTCTCTGGTCCGGGAGTCTGCCAGAGGAGCAGGAACTTCCCAGTTGAACCTTATTAGTAACCACCTGGAAGATATTTATTGAACAAGTGTCACATCTGTAGTCTTGTGTATCTAGAAACCTTAAGCATGCATTATTATGTTTTAATTGGAAAATGCATAGGCTTTAAAAAAAAAGATTGTGAGCTCTATCTGAACTTTTGTTAAGTACCACAAAATTAAGTTTGTCAGACAAATAGACATTTGAATCAGAGATTTCCAAAGTATTTTAAATTTAGGAACCTAAACTCTTTTAGAACAGATCACATTACCGAGTAAAGTGATTAATGTGGTTTCAGATGTTCAGCGTAGAACTGAATGTTTGTGCCTTATTGGTATGGGCCAAATGAAAAAAAAAAAATAAAACACACAAGTTTGCCAAATATTGGTATGCCTTAAACATTTCCTGAAGGCATTTGGTGATGAAATATAAATATATCTAATGTATAAAGTAAGAGAGTTTTGTCAAAGGTAATATGCAGCAAAGCTGACTAGTTTGAAGAGGTTTGGGTTACTGAATAGACGTCACACAGGAAAAAAAAATAAACTAAATGGACTTATAAGGGTTAATTTTTCTGACCTTATCGATATTTTGTGGATAGTAAAGAAGTCATCTAGCTATTTTTGGCATAGGATTCAAGGAGCTGGCCCACTCTGGGTGGTCTATAAATAGTAACTCTAGGTAGCAGGGACTGGCTAAACAGGACAAATGTGAATTGGTTAAAAAGAAAATCCTCTTCTTATTACTCATTGGGGTTAATTCTATGATTATTAGTCATATTTTATTGTTGAGAACCTGAAATTTAACCCAGGTTTTTTTTCTTTTTTTTAAATTATCACTACAGACTCTGCCTTTTCTACTATGCTGTAAAGTGTTACTTTATTTTATTTTTTCTACCTTAAGGTTAAGGAACCTTAACCTTTTGTTTTTGGCAATATGGTAGGCTAAAGGTACAGGAAACTCATTGCAGTTTAGCACACTAAAAAATGATGGATTGAAAAAATAAATCAAAACTCTTATTTCCTGGCTCCACTGGAGACAAAGTAAGGGCTTCTCAGAGGCCAGAAATAATAAAAGATAAGATGAGTCTATAATGATAAGCTAGCATTGGAAGTGGTGCTTGTTCTGGATATAGTTCCTGATCCTTGCGGCGTAGTGTCTGGGGATGGGAAAGAAAGCTGTGGACCCAAGTGAGGTGGGAAGTCACAACTGAGGCCTCCCTTTTCCTCTACCCAAATAAAGCCAGAACTTCCAAAGAATGACACTCTTGGTTGCCAAAAGAGGGGAACAAAAGTTGCCCTACCACTCAGGGAGACTGTTATTAAGTACCTATCTTGGTTTTGGCTTTAGTTAGAGTGGAAACAAATGAAAAGTCTTTCCTGATAATTCTTTACTCAAAGCCCCTACCTAATCAGGTTAGAGCCTAAATTTATACTACTAGTGTGATCCCCCCAAAATCAAGACAAAAATGCAGTTTAGGTGGGCTTATGTTGGTGGTGCCTGTAGGCACCTGAGGGAATTGAATGCAAATTCTTCTCAGAAGAGACACTTTATAAAAGAAAGTGTCCATCCTAGAAAAACTGGAGACCCATCTCATATGCAGAGACACACACAGGCTCAAAATAAAGGGATGGAGGAAGATCTACCAAGCAAATGGAAAACAAAAGGCAGGGGTTGCAATCCTAGTCTCTGATAAAACAGACTTTAAACCAGCAGAGATCAAAAGAGACAAAGAAGGCCATTACATAATGGTAAGGGGATCAATTCAACAAGAAGAGCTAACTATCGTAAATATATATGCATCCAATGCGGGAGCACCCAGATTCATAAAGCAAGTCCTTAGAGACCTACAAAGAGACTTAGACTCCCACACAATCATAATGGGAGACTTTTTTTTTTTTTTTTTTTTTTTTTGGTGAGACGGAGTCTAGCTTTGTTGCCCAGGCTGGAGTGCAGTGGCGCGATCTCAGCTCACTGCAAGCTCCGCCTCCCGGGTTCATGCATAATGGGAGACTTTAACACCCCACTGTCAACATTAGACAGATCAACGAGACAGAAAGTTAACAGGGATATCCAGGAATTGAACTCAGCTCTGCACCAAGCAGACCTAATATACATCTACAGAACTCTCCACCCCAAATCAACAGAATATACATTCTTCTCAGCACCACATCGCACTTATTCCAAAATTGACCACATAGTTGGAAGTAAAGTAGACCAATATCCCTGATGAACATCGATGAAAAAATCCTCAATAAAATACTGGCAAACTGAATCTAGCAACATATCAAAAAGCTTATCCACCATGATCAAGTGGGCTTCATCCCTGGGATGCAAGGCTGGTTCAACATACACAAATCAATAAATGTAATCCAGCATATAAACAGAACCAAAGACAAAAACCACATAATTATCTCAATAGATGCAGAAAAGGCCTTTGACAAAATTCAACAGCCCTTCATGCTAAAAACTCTCAATAAACTAGGTATTGATGGAACATATCTCAAAATAAAAGAGCTATTTATGACAAACCCACAGCCAATATCATACTGAATGGGCAAAAACTGGAAGCATTCCCTTTGAAAACTGGCACAAGACAGGGATGCCCTCTCTCACCACTCCTATTCAACATAGTGTTGGAAGTTCTGGCCAGGGCAATCAGGCAGGAGAAAGAAATAAAGGGTATTCAATTAGGAAAAGAGGAAGTCAAATTGTTTGCAGATGACATGATTGTATATTTAGAAAACCCCATTATCTTAGCCCAAAATCTCCTTAAGCTGATAAGCAACTTCAGCAAAGTCTCAGGATACAAAATCAATGTGCAAAAATCACAAGCATTCTTATACACCAATAGCAGACAAACAGAGAGCCAAATCATGAGTGAACTCCCATTCACAATTGCTTCAAAGAGAATAAAATACTTAGGAATCCAACTTAAAGGGATGTGAAGGACCTCTTCAAGGACAACTACAAACCACTGCTCAATGAAATAAAAGAGGACACAAACAAATGGAAGAACATTCCATGCTCATGGATAGGAAGAATCAATATCGTGGAAATGGCCATACTGCCCAAGGTAATTTATAGATTCAATGCCATCTCCATCAAGCTACCAATGACTTTCTTCACAGAATTGGAAAAAACTACTTTGAAGTTCATATGGAACCAAAAAAGAGCCTGCATCGCCAAGTCAATCCTAAGCCAAAAGAACAAAGCTGGAGGCATCATGCTACCTGACTTCAAACTATACTACAAGGCTACAGTAACCAAAACAGCATGGTACTGGTACCAAAACAGAGATATAGACCAATGGAACAGAACAGAGCCCTCAGAAATAATACCACACGTCTACAACCATCTGATCTTTGACAAACCTGACAAAACCAAGCAATGGGGAAAGGATTCCCTAAGTAATAAATGGTGCTGGGAAAACTGGCTAGCCATATGTAGAAAGCTGAAACTGGATCCGTTCCTTACACCTTATACAAAAATTAATTCAAGATGGATCAAAGACTTAAATGTTAGACCTAAAACCATAAAAACCCTACAAGAAAACCTAGGCAATACCATTCAGGACATAGGCAAGGGCAACGACTTCATGTCTAAAACACCAAAAGCAATGGCAACAAAAGCCAAAATTGACAAATGGGATCTAATTAAACTAAAGAGCTTCTGCACAGCAAAAGAAACTACCGTCAGAGTGAACAGGCAACCTACAGAATGGGAGAAAATTTTTGCAATCTACTCGTCTGACAAAGGGCTGATATCCAGAATCTACAAAGAACTCAAACAAATTTACAAGAAAAAAACAACCCCATCAAAAAGTGGGTGAAGGATATGAACAGACACTTCTCAAAAGAAGACATTTATGCAGCCAAAAGACACATGAAAAAATGCTCATCATCACTGGCCATCAGAGAAATGCAAATCAAAACCACAATGAGATACCATCTCACACCAGTTAAAATGGCAGTCATTACAAAGTCAGGAAGCAACAGGTGCTGTAGAGGATGTGGAGAAATAGGAACACTTTTACACTGTTGGTGGGACTGTAAATTAGTTCAAACATTGTGGAAGACAGTGTGGCAATTCCTCAAGGATCTAGAACTAGAAATGCCATTTGACCCAGCCATCCCATTACTGGGTATATACCCAAAGGATTATAAATCATGCTGCTATAAAGACACATGCACACATATGTTTATTGTGGCACTATTCACAATAGCAAAGACTTGGAACCAACCCAAATGTCCAACAATGATAGACTGGATTAAGAAAATGTGTCACATATACACCATGGAATACTATGCAGCCATAAAAAATGATGAGTTCATGTCCTTTGTAGGGACATGGATGAATCTGGAAACCATCATTCTCAGCAAACTATCACAAGGACAAAAAACCAAACACCACATGTTCTCACTCATAGGTGGGAACTGAACAGTGAGAGCAGTTGGATACAGGAGGGGGAACATCACACACTGGGGCCTGTGGTGGGGTCGGGGGAGGGGGGAGGGATAGCATTCAGAGATACACCTAATGTAAATGGCGAGTTAATGGGTGCAGCACACCAATGTGGCACATATGTATATATGTAACAAACCTGCACGTTGTGCACATGTACCCTAGAACTTAAAGTATAATAAAAAAAAAAAAAGAAAGAAAAATTTCCAGAGATACAGAGCCAGTTGAACATGAGCACATGTCTGCTTCTTTCCCTCAAAAGTCATTAAACACACCAGGAAACCATACCACCATGAATAAGAGTTAGAAAAAATAAACTACAGAATCACACTCTGAAAGACTATAGATATTTGAATTATCAGATAGAGAATATAAAATATATTAAAAGACAGAATTAAAGTCTGGTAAAGGAACAAAAGACTACCAGAATTGGCCAGAACATTTTGAAAAAAAATCTGGAAATAAAAATTTAAGTTAAAATTATAAAAACAATGACCAGGTTAAGACAGCAAAATAGGTATACTTGGAATAGGAACAGCTCCAGTCTACAGCTCCCAGCGTGAGCAATGCAGAAGATGGGTGATTTCTGCATTTCCAACTGAGGTACAGGGTTCATCTCACTGGGGAGTGCCAGACAGTGGGTGCAGGACAGTGGGTGCAGCGCACCGTGCATGAGCTGAAGCAGGGTGAGGCATTGCCTCACCCAGGAAGTGCAAGGGGTCAGGTAGTTCCCTTTCCTAGTCAAAGAAAGGGGTGACAGACGGCACCTGGAAAATCGGGTCACTACCACCCTAATACTGTGCTCTTCCAACGGGCTTAACAAACAGCACACGAGGAGATTATATCCAGCACCTGACTTGGAGGGTCCTACACCCACAGAGCCTCGCTCATTGCTAGCACAGCAGTCTGAGATCAAACTGCAAGGCGGCAGCGAGGCTGGGGGAGGGGCACCTGCCATTGCCCAGGCTTGAGCAGGTAAACAAAGCAGCTGGGAAGCTTGAACTGGGTGGAGCCCACCACAGCTCAAGGAGGCCTTCCTGCCTCTGTAGGCTCCACCTCTAGGGGCAGGGCACAGACAAACAAAAGACAGCAATAACCTCTGCAGACTTAAATGTCCCTGTCTGACAGCTTTGAAGAGAGTAGTGGTTCTCCCAGCATGCAGCTTGAGATCTGAGAACGGGCAGGCTGCCTCCTCAAGTGGGTCCCTAACCCCCGAGCAGCCTAACTGGGAGGCACCCCCCAGTAGGGGCGGACTGACACCTCACACAGCTGGGTACTCCTCTGAGACAAAACTTCCAGAGGAACGATCAGGCAGCAGCATTTGCAGTTCACCAATATCCGCTGTTCTGCAGCCACCGCTGCTGATACCCAGGCAAACAGGGTCTGGAGTGGACCTCCAGTAAACTCCAACAGACCTGAAGCTGAGGGTCCTGACTGTTAGAAGGAAAACTAACAAACAGAAAGGACATCCACACCAAAAACCCATCTGTACGTCACCATCATCAAAGACCAAAGATAGATAAAACCACAAAGATGGGGAAAAAACAGAGCAGAAAAACCAGAAACTCTAAAAATCAGAGCGCCTCTCCTCCTCCAAAGGAACGCAGCTCCTCACCCGCAACAGAACAAAGCTGGACGGAGAATGACTTTGACGAGTTGAGAGAAGAAGGCTTCAGAAGATCAAACTACTCCGAGCTAAAGGAGGAAGTTCGAACCAATGGCAAAAAAGTTAAAAACTTTGAAAAAAAAATTAGATGAATGGATAACTAGAATAACCAATGCAGAGAAGTCCTTAAAGGACCTGATGTAGCTGAAAACCATGGCACGAGAACTATGTGACGAATGCACAAGCCTCAGTAACCAATGCGATCAACTGGAAGAAAGGGTATCAGCGATGGAAGACGAAGTGAATGAAATGAAGCATGAAGAGAAGTTTAGAGAAAAAAGAATAAAAAGAAACGAACAAAGCCTCCAAGAAATATGGGACTATGTGAAAAGACCAAATCTACGTCTAATTGGTGCGCCTGAAAGTGATGGGGAGAATGGAACCAAGTTGGAAAACACTCTGCAGGATATTATCCAGGAGAACTTCCCCAATCTAGCAAGGCAGGCCAACATTCAAATTCAGGAAATACAGAGAACGCCACAAAGATACTCCTCGAGAAGAGCAACTCCAAGCCACATAATTGTCAGATTCACCAAAGTTGAAATGAAGGAAAAAGTGTTAAGGGCAGCCAGAGAGAAAGGTTGGGTTACCCACAAAGGGAAGTCCATCAGACTAACAGCTGATCTCTAGGCAGAAACTCTGCAAGCCAGAAGAGAGTGGGGGCCAATATTCAACATTCCTAAAGAAAAGAATTTTCAACCCAGAATTTCATATCCAGCCAAACTAAGCTTCATAAGTGAAGGAGAAATAAAATACTTCACAGACAAGCAAATGCTGAGAGATTTTGTCACCACCAGGCCTGCCCTACAAGAGCTCCGGAAGGAAGCACTAAACATGGAAAGGATTTATAATCCCAAAGGATTATAAATCATGCTGCTATAAAGACACATGCACACGTATGTTTATTGCGGCACTATTCACAATAGCAAAGATTTGGAACCAACCCAAATGTCCAACAATGATAGACTGGATTAAGAAAATGTGACACATATACACCATGGAATACTATGCAGCCATAAAAAAGATGAATTCATGTCCTTTGTAGGGACATGGATGAAACTGGAAACTATCATTCTCAGCAAACTATTGCAAGGATAAAAAACCAAACACCGCATGTTCTCACTCATAGGTGGGAATTGAACAATGAGAACACATGGACACAGAAAGGGGAACATCACACACTGGAGACTGTTGTGGTGTGGGGGGAGGGGGGAGGGATAGCATTAGGAGATAGACCTAATGCTAAATGACGAGTTAATGGGTGCAGCACACCAACATGGCACATGTATACATATGTAACAAACCTGCACGTTGTGCACATGTACCCTAAAACCTAAAGTATAATAATAATAATAACAAAACAAAAAAATAGATATACTTGAAGAAAGAAATAGTGAATGGGACGATGGATCTGAAGAAATTATATAGAATGTAACACAGGGAGACAGAGAGATAGAAAATGTGAGAGATATTGGACAAGAGGTTATGCCACCATAACTAAGGAATAAAGTAACATTCCCAGTCATGAGACATATTGACATCTGCAGCTCCTGATGGGATGCACTGAGAAGGGCACAGTATCACTTCTATGATGTTCTTGTCCCAAAAAATGTATAACCTGAATTGTCTTTAATTTTATTTTTTATTTTTATTTTTAGAGACAGGATCTTGCTTTGTTTTCCAGGCTGGAGTGCAGCAGCATGATCATGACTCACTGCAGTCTTGAACTCCTAGGCTCAAGCCTCCTGAGTAGTTAGTACTCTAGATACACACCACCGTACCTGGCTCATTTAAAAAAGTTTTTTTGAAGTGATGACATCTTATTATGTTGCTCAGGCTGGTCTCGAATTTCTGGGCTCAAGTGATGCTCCTGCCTCAGCCTCCTTAAGTGTTGGGATTGCAGATGTCAGCCAGCATGCCCAGCCTTACTCTGGAATCTTAAAAATATTGCTAACTGAGCCCTACCCAAGACCTATGAAGTCTGATAGGGTAGGTCAAAGGCATTTGTTTGTAAACCAAACATTTTTCCCAGGAGATTCTGAAGTATGTCTAGGGTTGAAAACTGTTGTGTGTAGTTTTGTATTTCTTTCTTCCTATACATTGTTTTGTATAGTTTTGTATTTCTTTCTTCCTATACATTAGCCACTATGGAAATTGTAAAAGCACTTATTCATTAGATTATAAGATAATGTACGTAAGGGAAGTTTTTATTAAAATGTCTCTAGACAGACACCTCTGTATAGATAGGTTTGTCTCATATACTTGAGGACATTTATGGACCTCTGTTTTGGACAGAGTAGGGGCCACAGCATAATCTGTGAAGGGAACTTCTTCCTGGCACATAGGATTGCAGATTATAGATTCCTTTGTTATGTTTTCCCCTTTCTATTTTAAAGGTCACTATAGTCATCCTCCTTTGCTGCAAATCATAAATGAACATACTAAGGAGGTTTTAAATATGTTTTAGTTAGGTCTTAAAAAAATTAACAAATGTTTGGAATTGACAGTGCTTTTACCCTGTTTTTGTTCTGGGTTAATGCTGCGCCCTCACTAGGTCTGGAATCTTTATAGTTTGAGACATCAGACTTGGATGAGGAAGGGTAAATCATGCTACTAGTGGGCCAGTTACTCTGTGGTTTTCTTATGAGACTGTGCTTTAAGGAAAAGGTAACCACGGAGCATATGGCATTGAGTTTGAGTCATGTGGAACTGGTTAGAAGTAAAATGTTTCTATTCCAGCATTCTCTGAGTTTGTCAGCTTTTCATTATTTTATAGGAAGAATTCTAGCTTCTTATCCTGAGATGAGCTTGTCTCCAAATCTGGTTCCAATTTTTTGTTGTTGTTGTTGAGCACATTTCGCCATATGATATCACTATTGGCTGTAGGTTAAAAGTTACCGTGTAACTTAAACGTCAGAATTCAAACCACCAAGTATACACGGTTTTGTTCAGCCAGATTTTTAAATGAAATCTAATTTGAGTTTTTGGCTAAAAGTACTTTCCACATTTATCAAAGTGACACATGAACTGAAGAAATACAATGTATCTGAGTACCAGGTGTTACTGAATCTGGAATTGCAGGAGGGTAACAGAGCCAAAGGCAGTCCTTTCCTCAAATAGTCTTAACGTATTCATGTTTGTCAAAAATGTGTCTACACAAAGTAATTGGTTCTCTTTTCTCTGTAGATTTCATCCTTTGTTGAAAAAGATGTCTTAGAACCTATCAAGTGCAGAGCTGGGTTTTGAGGGCATGGAAAATTCTGTTGATGCTTTTCTCTAGTTTTGGCTTTCATGTGAGTTGTACATAGGGAGGCTTATAAGGAGCATCCTAGTGGCTTTACCTTGTATCACTTGGCTACTTTTTCCCCACACTTCATTGTTGTAATGAAGGGAAAGGCAGCTGAAACCAGAAACCTACATCCCTTGCCAACTTAAGAGATAAAAGGAAATTTATCTCTTCTGCTTTCTACCTAGTGAGAAGGGGTCGGTGAGAAACTAGGCCAGGTGAGAAAACTACTATCAGAGTTTAAGTTGAGTACTTCGATATGTTCTTCAGACCATACATCTTAGTTAACATAAAACAAGGACTAGTGGATAGTTTGTGTGAAATAGCATTTTCAACCACCATTTTCAGTACTTAATATAGCTGGGTGGAATCATGCTGTGTAAGTGCTGCAGAACATAAATAATAAAGGAAATAAACATCTTAATTTTGTAACAAGTGAAGGTCTAGGCTAATATTAAGGGTAGTATAGGATACTTTTGAAGCTTTTGAATGTACAGAAGTACATATGTAATTATTATATATTGCTTAGACTTCTAGGCAGTTTGCCATTCATGTCTTTTTTGTCTCCAGATTGAGCTGTTTTGTCACATTAGTGAGCATTTGAAACATAATTTTAAGTGTCATTCTACAAATGGTTCTTAATTGATTTATGACTAATGTCAGTATGAACTGCAGGTGTGTGCCGTGCCTTTGGACTTTTTGGTGTCTGTGTGTTCTGAACATAAATTGGCCTTAGTATGTTATGCACACTGTCAGTTTATCACAATCCATGGCCTCTGAGGAGCCAGAAGTACGGAATGTACAGACGATCTATGTACCTTATATTATTTTCTGTCTCAGCCCTTTCCCAGAATTCCCAATAAAGCAGATTTCTCAATTACTTGCTTTTATTTTTCCTTTCTCCCATTTTTTTTTTTTTGGTAAATTAACAATGAGAGATAAATGGAAATAAGGCAGTTGGAAGAAAAGAGGATGAAAACAGGTGAAGATTCTTAGTTGTGGAATAAGCTAGGTTGGCTATGGGTTGATACCATGTGTGCTTGGGTAGTAAAGGTAGCTAGTTTTTTCTGCGTGTTGTATTAAGCCATTATTTATCAAATACTAATTACGTTTTATGCACTAAATACTAGTCCAAGTATTCTATTTGATATATGGATTAATTCATTTGTTCCTCCTAGTGCCATGAGGCAGGTATTATTATTCCTGATTTACAGATGAGGAAACCGAAGACACAGCTAATATGTGGCAGAGATCAGAATCACAATCTGCCTCTGGAGCCTTGGCTTAATCACTGACAGAGCAACAGCCACTCAGGCAGAGAAAAAGGAGTTGGCATTTACAGTTAGAGGAGTTAGGACTTTAGTAACTCTGCCCGTTTCCCTAAAGCTTAGGATTGGCTGTGATAGGGGAAAGTAGCTTATGAATTGACTGGATTGATGTAAGTATAACAGAAAAGAGAGATTGTACTCAAATTTACAGCCATGTTTTTTGACATTTAGAATAATCAGAGGATACTTTTCTGTAGTGAGAAATATACAAAGAGTTGTTCACACACACACCTTTTATATTAAACACTGACTCAGTGATGTCAGCAATCTAATTACTATAGAGTATCAGTTATCTAATACTGTGGAACAAACCACCCCAAAACCTAAACGCTTAAGACAACAGCAGTTATTATTTTGGTAAAGAAATCTGCAAATTGGGCAGAGTTCAGGACAGACAGTTCTTCTTTGCCTCCGTGGAGTGTTAGCTGGGGTGGCTTAGGTTGGAGGACCCACTTTCAGATTGGCTCATTCACATGGCCAGTAAGTTGGTGACGGCTTTCAGCTGGGACCTGAGCCTGGGATGTGGGCCAGGGTTCTTGGTTTTTCTTCATTTGGACCTCTCCACAGCTGCATGGGTTTCCTCACAGTTTAGTGTCTGGGTTCCAAGAATAAGCATCATCTATTAGAATAGTGCTTGCTTTATAATTGCTTATTGAATGAATGAAAGAATCTCAGGTTGTTTTCTTGCTCATGTTGGCCCATTTGGCAAATAGCCACTGTAAAGTGCAGGTTTCTTCCCAGAGCACGGTAATCCCTGGCTCTGAGAACTGCTATTTAGAGGGTTCTTTTATCTTGACTTGAAGGTCTATTTCTTCATTTAACCACATTTATGTTTCTAATAAATTACCCCCAGTTACTACTAGGCTGCAAAAATCATCTCTGAACCATTCAATAAACAGAGAAAAGAAAACCTTTTTAAAATTTGGAAACTACCTTGAAAACTCCCCATTTTTTCCTCCTTTTAGTCTCAGTTGCATTGAAAGTTAACATAATGTTCTGTTCCTGGATCTGGAAATGGTGTAATAGTGACTTCACCACCTGCCATTCTTGAGTTGTGGGTTAGTTTCCCTAAAATGTAGATCTTGACAAGAGGCAGATGGTGCATGAAGTTTATTTATTTGTTTATTTTTTGAAAAAGGAATACCTCTTATGAACCAGGAACTAGAACACCCCTTAGCTTACATTCTAACAAGAAGAGAGACAATAAACATAAGTAAAATGAGAAAATTATAAATTCTTTGGACAAAGGGATAAAGTATAGTAGGGTAAATGGTTTTACATGTTGAAGGGTAGTTGTTGGGACTGTAGTTTTATTTACTTATTTTTAATTTTTTTTGAGGCAAGGTCTTGCCCTGTTCCCCAGGCTGAAGTACAGCAATGCAATCACGGCTCACTCAGCCTTGACCTCCTGAGCTCAAGCGATTGTTCCACCTCAGCCTCCTGAGGAGCTGGGACCACAGGCACACTCCACCACACCCAGCTAATTATTGTATTATGATTATTATTATCGTAGAGATGAGGTTTCACTGTGTTGCCCAGGCTGGTCTCAAACTGCTGGGCTGAAGCAGTCTGCCCACCTTGGCTTCACAAAATTCCGGGATTACAGGTGTGAGCCACTGTTCCCTGCCAGGACTGTAGTTTTAAATGGTGATCACTGTAAGGCAGGTGTTTGAGCCAAGGCTTAAAGGAGAGGAGAGGGTTAGCCATATGGATATCTGAGGAAGAACAGCATTCTTGGCAGAGGAAACAGCCATTGCAGGGATCCTGGGGTGGAAATGTGTCTTGCATGTTCAAGGAAAAACAAGGTGGCTTTGCTAAAGAGAGAGTAGTAGGAGATGATGTCAGAGAGGTGAGATACAGGGAGAGGTCAATTGAGGTA
This sequence comes from Homo sapiens, assembly GCF_000001405.40. NCBI lineage: Eukaryota > Metazoa > Chordata > Mammalia > Primates > Hominidae > Homo > Homo sapiens. The sequence continues at coordinate 161,839,924 of NC_000001.11, forward strand.
AGACTTCTGTCGTTTTAAAGATTTGGGCTTTTACCATGATAGAAATGGGAAGCCATCAGAAGGTTTTGAGCAGAGGTGACATAATAATCTGACCTAGATTTTAAAAGGATCACTTTAGTTACTATGTTGCCACTAGCCTGAACCTGGTAGGCAGGAAGACAAGTGTCCTGCTCTGTGTCATCTTTGGGCTTTATAAACCATGTTCCATCTGTTGTCTCATTTGAATCTCAGGAAAACCTTGTGAAATATTTGTTATTTTTCATGTTTTACATGTGAGGAATTGGAGGCTTAGAGAAGTTGACCAAGTATCCCAGACATACTCAAGTGAGCAGTCTCAGAGTAACATCTTGAACCCAGATCTCCTGTCTCCAAATTTTGTGCTCATTCCACTATTTCACATTAAAACCTGAAGATCTCCCTGCTCTTTTCATCTTAACGTAATTTCAGCTTTTTGTGTGTGGCTCTCCAAGCCACAGAGCAGCAGCAGCTTTTGAGGATAAGAAGCAGTTTCTTTTAAGGATAAGAAGCAGTATGGTTCTTACCTGGTAAGATGGCTTGAATTCAAAATTGACCTACTTGTACCATAAGAAAGCAGGTTTGCAAGGAGTAGAATAGACTTGGAGATATGCCATTTTTTGTTCAGCTACTTGGTATGAAGACTGAGTATCTGAAACCACACTGTAAGGATTAAGTGGCTTCATAAATAATCTAAAACAGTTGTTGGCTTTTAGAATTTAATAAATGAAAAAGTAAGGTAACAATTCTTATAATACTTTTTCCAGACTTTCGGGGAAATTGAAATCATTTGTGTTTTATTAATCCATGCTTTTCAGGACCAATGGCCCATAATGTGAGCAAGGTTTATTGGTGTAATGATTATTTTGTGGCCTAAAACTACTGTGACTCTTTGGACTAGCATGTTTCTGATCATAGAGACAGCTAGAGACTTCTTCTTTTTTCTTAATATTTGTAGCTTGTTTTAAACGTACTGAGTAGAACCTGATTTAAGCAATTATACAAAGTTTGGTTAGATTGCTTTATTAATATTATGAACTAGAAACAGTCACCAAATGCGCATTCATTATACTAATCCTTACTATGATTGAGTCATTTCTTTGAGTTCTTGGAAATCTAATTTTTCTAAAATTAACAAAAGGGGACATTTGAATGATGCAAAAGCACTCATGGCAAGAATCTAAAAGTTCATATAAATAATAATTTTCTCATACTCTTTTATACATTTGACCATTACAAGATCTGTCAAATTCCTTTCAATATTTGTGATGTCACAGTCGTACTAAAACAATCTTGAATTCTGGCAGCGAAATGAAGTTCTTACCTGTCTTTCAGATGTTAATAAAAATAAGGGAAATACAAACCTGTAGTTATTCAGATGGTTAAAATTAGTTTCTGTGGGTCATTTCATAGAGTTCAAGTATTTAAATGTTTTTTTAGCTGAATTGGACAATCAACTTGTCTGTAATTTAGCTTAAGAGAAATTCCATTTTAAGACAAAAAAACTACAGGGAATGTAGGCCAAAAAATAATAACAACCAAAAACAAACAAGTGAAAAACGTTAAAAGATTCTTAGCAGAATTTATTAATATATTACCTCTTCAAAATATATTCTAGCCAATGGATAGATAATAAAATTGAGACCCACAGACTATTTGGATCCTAAATTTTGTTTCATCATGACTCCCTTGTTGAAAATACTTTATTGACTCTGTGTAATGTAAATAAGATAATTTTTGTGAAGCTCATTGAATGCGTCTGAGCTCCTTAACTCAAAAAAGGCTAAAAGTTACTGAAATAGCTATGGTTAAGGGTATATTGTCATTACAATGTGATAATCATTACCAAAGTGGGCACTTGGAAAAATAGTGACCACTTATGAGCCAAACCAATCAACATTAAAACTGATTTCCAGTAAGTACAGCTGCCAAGTGATTATAGAGCAGCCTGGATACAGATGGGATAGACTACAAGGATAGTTAAGCTCAAAGCATTTGCCTGTTAACAGCCATGAATTGTGAGGTGAAATGCCAGTTTACATAGTGTTAGTAAAATCATTAAAAGAACAATGATTAGTAGAAGAATTCTTTACAAACCTTAAAGTATCAATAGTTCTGAATTAATTCAATTTATAAATTATCCATAAGTCATACAAATAGCCACTTTGTACTTTTTCATGTCCCTCCAAACTCCCCCAGTCCCTATTTCCAAACTGTCCACTTCTGTTGAATCTATTGTAAAAATGTGTACCTTTTAGGGAACTGAGATAGGAAAGATGTGAAAAACAGGATTAGTTTAGAATAATGGTTCTCAAACATTGGTAAAGTCACCTAGACTAGTACAACCACTGCGGAAAACAGTGTGGAGATTCCTTAAAGAACTAAAAGTAGAACTACCATTTGATCCAGCAATTCCACTACTGGGTTTCTACCCAGAGGAAAAGAGGTCGTTAAACAAAAAAGATATTTGCTCATGCATATTTATAGCAGCAAAATTTGCAATTGCAAAAATGTGGAACCAACCCAAATGCCCATCAATCAACAAGTGGATAAAGAAACTGTGGTATATATATATGATGGAATACTACTCAGTCATAAAAAGGAATGAATTAATAGCATTCGCAGCAACCTGGATGGGATTGGAGACTATTCTAAGTGAAGTAACTCAGGAATGGAAAACCAAACAGCGTTATATTCTCACTCATAAGTGGGAGCTAAGCTTGGGATATAGGTGCACCAAAATATCACAGATCACCACTAAACAACGTACTCATCTCACCAAATGCCACCTGTTCCCCAAAAACCTATGGAAATAAAAAATTTTAAAAAAAGATAATTATTAATCCAGTTTTTGGTGAATCAGTGAGTGACAGTGGTTATAGTAGTGGTGGTTTAAATCAAGGAATAAATGTTTTCAAAGTGAAAGGAGCACATCCTACCACACAGTTCAAAAACAATCACAAATATGGCAGGCTTGCTGAGAGCTTTCATACATCATTTATTGTCATGCACTTGTATGATTATTGTATACTGTACACATTTTTATTTTACAATGATTTGTATTTTCCAATGCGTTTATTGCAGTTCAGTGTGGTAGATGGCTGGAGCCTATCCTGGTAGCTCGGCGCACAAGTCAAGAATTAACCCTGGACAGGGTGCCATCCCTTTGAAGGGTGCACTCACGCATGTTCCGCACACTCATTCAGACTGGAGCCATTTAGACGTGCCAGTTAACTTAACATGCACATCTTTGAGATGTGGGAGGAAACTGGAGTACCCACAGGAAACTCATGCAGACTTGGGGAGAGTATGCAAACTCCACACAGACAGTGACCTTGGCTGGGAATTGACTTTTTTTTTGTCATCAGTGTTATCACAAAATGACATTGCATGAACCAGCATTGTTTGAAGACTTGCTGTATTCTGATTTTTTTTATCTTTCATCTTTGAGTCATTAGCACCAAATATAGTTCTTGGAACATAATAGGTATTTACTACATGAATAAATTAATGGATGAATCATTCATTCTGGGAAATGTTGTCAACATAGTGCAGTGATGGAATTCCAATCCTGAATCCAAATCCTGACTTTCTTAGTTATTTAGAGCATAAACTTGGGCAAACTGTTTAAACTCTTTGAGCTTCAACTTCCTTTGAGCCTTCATTTCCTTAGTACATAGTAGGTACTCAAAAGTGGTAGCTACTGTTAAAATATACTGTATTTGCATCTTAGAAGAGCATTTAACATTCTTGTGATATCTTTATGGTCAAGATGGGAAATTTTGACCTAGGTGGTATTTCAGTTAATTCATAAGTAGATAAACCTACGTTTTTACAGATTTAGAAGGAGCTTTTTATTTTAATAACAACTCAGTACAGGATATTGATGGCATGCTGATACTTTCTTGGAAGAATTTCTTTTGCTAATGAGGAGCCTAAAAGTTCTTGATTGATTAGTAGGTAAGTGTTTTTAAAGGAATTGATATAAATTATTCAGCTGGATCCTAAAACTCAGTTACACAAATTCAGAGTTGAGGTGGGATAGGAAGAGAAGCAAAAGTAATGGTTCAAAATCGATTTGTGTGAAAGGACTTAGGGTTTTAATTACACTGGGCTCAATATAAATAGAGTGTAATATAACTGCCAGGAAAGCCTATGCGATATTAGACTGCATCAGTAGAACAACAGTGTCTAGAACAAATGGAGGAATTATCCTTTTCCATTCTGTAGTGGTCATACTACCTAAGAAGTACTGTGGCCAATTCTGGACATTACCTCTGAGAAGCATGTTTATAGGACAGTGATCAAATATGCTAAAGGAACTTCAGACTATGCTGTAAAGAGGAGCATGTGAAAGAATCAAGAAACTATAATCTTGAAAAAGAAAGCCTGGGGTAAGGGGGATGTTAGATGTCTTTGGACATTAGAAGAAGGCTTACTTAGACTTGTTCTGGATAGCCACAGAATCCAGAACTAGTATCAAAAGGTGGAAGTTTTTTTGTTTTTTGTTTTTTAAAAAGGAAGCACATTTCTAGTTAAAACAAGGGGAAACTCTTAATAATTAGGGTGGTAGAGATACTGGAGGGATCAGGGAGTGAGTACTTCCACCAAACAGGAACATTAGTATATGGATATTTCACTAATAACAATAGCGGGGTCAGTAGGGGTTGAATTAATTGAGATTCTCTAAACTTAGGGGAAAGTTCTTAACTTTGATTTTATTCATAGCTTACTTTCATAATTAGAATTTTTGGCACCATGCTTGAAAGAAAAAGTAAACACTTTTTTTTTAAAGTTAGTTTCCTAAAGAAGAAATAAAATTTCTTAGTTGTCATCACACTCTTCATTTGACTTCCCTCCCAAATTGCTATTGTTTTCTGCTTCTCTCATGTTTTCTTAAATACTCATCAGGGTGACTTTTCTTAAGTTTAGACAGACATTCCACTAGGTCTCTTACCTCATTTGTGGCAAGGTTTATATTGATGTGTGACTGCTCAGGTAAACCTTTAGTCTGAATGATACAGCTATGACAAAATATAGCCTCAGTTGTAGCAAAATTAAATGTTACACAATGGCTTTAATTGGTGGTACACCTTTGAAGAGTTTGCAGTATGCCCAAGTGCTAAAGCATACCATGTGAGAATCACTGGGTAGCAATGATTTCTGGGGGTGAAGAATTGAGGAGAATGGAAAATATATTAAGGGATCAGAAAAATATTCTAGAGAGGTGTGTCTGCTCCCCGTTTTCCCCCAACACTGATTTCCCCAAATTTGGAGACAAACTACTATTATCTCAAAGAACCGCTTTTCCTTTAGAACCACAGGCTCCTTAACTACCCTTTTTCATTAGCCTTACTTTCCTCTTGCATTTTATCCCTCCAAATAGAATCTTTTGTGCTTCTCTAGGGAGATTCCCTTTGTGTTGAATTTTATGAGTAGTGTAAATTGTGTGGGTTGCATCATAAAACAAAGTGCGAACACACACACAAAGTCTTATTGATGAGCCAAGTTCCTAAGCACTATTAATGAGTTAAAAGTGTTAATTAAGGCTGGGCGCAGTGGCTTACATCTGTAATCCCAGCACTTTGGGAGGCCAAGGTGGGAGGATAGCTTTAGCTCAGGAGTTTGAGACTAGTCTGGGCAACATAGTGAGACCTCATTTCTACTAAAATTAAAAAAAATAAAAATTAGCCAGATGTGGTGGCACATGCCTATAGTCTCAGCTACTCAGAGGGGCTGAGGTGGGAGGATTGCTTGAGTCCAGGAGGTCAAGGCTTCAGTGAGCTGTGATTGTGCCACTGCACTCCAGCCTGGGTGACAGAGTGAGACCCTGTCTCAAAAAAAAAAAAAAAAAAAAGTTAAGTAGGCAGTATTTGCTTATATGTATATATTTTGTTGTTTTCTCCAAATGCTTATGCCTCTGAAGAGGATATACATTGATGAGTGAAGATATTAGGGAGGGTAGGGAGAAAGAATAGAAGTTTTTACATATAAATACAAATAGAAGTATTTAAAAAATTTTTTTTTCTTAGCTTTATCTGATAGCCTGCCTTCTGGAATTGTGAAAGGCTAACAATGAATTTGACTTTTATTCCTACTTCATTTGAAGTATTCTCTCATTGAAAACACCAGTTTGCACCATCCAGGAGGCCTTCTTATTTCAGTTATTATTGGAGTTTAAAATTTGTTTTTAGGTGTGTCGTATTTATTTCTACTTCATATATACATGTAATTATCAAGTTTTTAAAACATATAGAACACTACTATTGTTTAAACAGTTTATAAATAAGGTACTTTTATACTTAGAAAAATTGTTTTTGATATGTGCAGGTTACCATGCTAAGGATTTGAACACCTTCAGTACCCTATTTGTACTTGCGTCTATGCCTAGCATTTTTGTTACGTGCATGGATCTGCAAAGGAATTGTGGTTTGTTTCACAGCTGCATGTAGCAGGCATATGTGTGACATATTTTTATTTCAGCTATTATTTCCTGTTTTTTATTTTCAGCATGTTGGAACAGGATTCCAGGAGAATGAACCCTAGTGTGAGCCCTGCAAATCAAAGGAGGCACCTTCTAGGATTTTCTGCTAAAGAGGCACAGGACACATCAGATGGTATTATCCAGAAAAACAGCTACAGGTAAGATGGCATGCATCTATCTTTTGGCCTAAGTGATTTAATGAAGCTGAAACAAGAGAATTATCTGTAGTATAACATTGCATCTAAATTGTTCGTGTATATTTTGAGTAGTAGAACACATAAATTACTGAAACCATTAATACATTTTACTTTTAATATTGTAAAATTAAATTTACTTTGAAACCTTTTGTAGTTTTAAAATTCCTATAGAGATGTAATCTTAAAATCTCAGTTTGTGTGCATTAATATACATATTGAAATATATACATATTATATATAATGTCTTTAATAATTATTTTATCTATCATGTGTTTATACATATAATACATCTAATATTTGTTACTGTCTCACCTGTGGATGGATATGATATGGTGGAATAACATGATTGAACCTATTTGCAGTCATTAGGTAAAATCATTTATACTCATTTATTGTGATCTTTGTTGAATCCCTCCCTTGTTGCAATTTAATAATGACTTGATAAATTTCCATATTGCTTGTCAATAGCAAAAGGCTTTAATTGTATAAAAATGCAATTTCTATATTATGTTAACTAGAAGAAGGTATAGTGGACATTTTTATAGTTGTATACTTTTTGATAAACATTTCCCTGTGTTATTTAGAATTTGTATTAGAGCCAAATGGAGCCAGGTCCTTGACTAACAAGGCAAAGGGAGGTCACAGTATGGTAACTATTGCACAGTATAATGCTTGAAAATTATTACAGATTTGTTTACTTTTATCTCTTTAAGGATTTGTAGGTTGAGGGCAATCTTTCTTCCTGATTTTTACTGTGTTACATCCATACTGTTGAAAGATGATCACCACAATCCTGCAGGCTTGTCTCCACTTAGCCTTCCTGAAAAAACTGTTATTTTTGTGGAGTACAGTATGCCAAGTCAGTGGAGGACCCAAAGGATTTTATGGCAGTAGCTGCAACGCAACATAGCAATGATAGATGTCATAATGTTGGAAAACATAGCATTTCCTGCTTTTTTACATGCCAAAATTCATCATACTTCTTAAAATATTCACCTTGATGATCTCTTAACGGTGCCCCTGAATATTGGTAGAGTTTAATAGTATATTTAATTTTCATAAGTAATTTGTGCAGGTTTGCCCTACGTGTTCTATAATTTTGAATTCTGTTAGTGTCCACATAAGATCCATCAAAAATTAAATTTAAATCTAATAGCCTTTGGATTTACGAGAGTTGAGATAGCGTCTTGCTAAAGAATAGAACAAGTTATGGATTGAATGCTTGAAATTACAGTTCAGGTAAGCTTTACAAGAATATTATTTATTCTGCACTAACTGCAGCAAGTAGAAGCCTTCCACATTAGCATAAGATAACATGGTGGCTCCCAGAAAGCATAGTAGTCTGATCATACTAGTTCAAACTAAAAGTCTGAATGACTTTCTGGCTGAAATTTATCAGCTTTCAGAGTAGTACATGGGATGCAAGCTATTTTTTCCCTCCCTTCTCCAAAGTCACCATTGAGTGAATAATCTGGGTTACTGGTCTTGGGGAAAAAAAAAAACCAAAAAACAACCCAGGAAAGATTATGGATTCTTGATTCCATGCAAGTCCTTTGAAATATTTTTCAGCAACTTGAGAGATTTAAATAAATGTCAGTCCATTAATTTGATGTTCTTGATTTTATCAGTATAAATACTGAATAAAAGATACCAAAAAATGTTTGTGAAACATTTGAAAGCACCTAATATTACTTTGTTCTGTGTTCTGAACTGAATTTTAGATGTTTTATCTATTTTCAGCCGTGATACCTATACATTTTTTTTAATGCAGCTTACTTTATGTTTCTTTTTCTAAGGAGAGCTATGAGACATGGTTCAAATAAAAAATGAGTAGATTCTAATCCCATAGTTTATAATATTGTATTAGCCTATCATTTAGTAATTAACTGCTTATATTTTTTCAGTCATAGAAATGTGTGGCATATAAATAGTATGACCATATAATGTTCTATCAAACTGGGACACTCTTAAGAAGGAAAGGTAGTGCTAGTAATAATTACATCAGAATACCAGTACTGCTGTCTTGGATAAATGAGAAAGGATGGTCACCCTATATAAGATGTCACCCAGAACTGATCTTTACTCCAAGAATTCTCATTAACTCTAGCTCCCTAGCACTGTCCTTTACTTTATTTACTTTAATGATTTATTTGTTGAATTTTTTTCTCTTGGCATAAAATGTTTGCAAGCAGACTCGAACTCTGACTGTTCCTGGGCTAATGTTGGTCTAATTGTCTCCAGATTGTATGTTGGCTGATTTTCTCTCTCCTTTAACTCCACCCAATCCTTGTCCTGGTATTTCTCCTATCAGACTTTTTTTTTTTTTTTCCAAAGAATATTTTTGGCTGATAGAACAAAGCCAGTTAGCACAGATGTGCAGAAATCATTACTAGAGTTCAGATCACAAATATATTTTCAAAAGCAGTTTTGGACTTTTCTCATGGACTACAGTGTTTGTATTTTTCTAAGTATGCAGGCATGATTTTTAAAATAATGCGTATGTCATAGATTTATAAGAAGAGGTGTTAAGCAGCCTCCTCTTAGAGGCATTCAGATTTATCAAACACAAGACAGATACTTTTTTTCCTTCTCACTCAATGCTTCATTTTAGGCTGATCCTTTTGTGTTTGCATTCATTACCTGTGCACCAACATGTCTGTTTTATTCCAAACAACTTAAACCTACTTAACCCTTACAGCCACAAGAGAGGACATTGAGAATATTCCTGGTGCAAGTTGCAGGGAAGAATGTTCTATATATCCTCTGCTATTGTTTCTTTTCTCTCGTGTGTGGCATAAATAGCTATCTCTAACTTTTAACTTGAAGTTAGCCTTCCACTCTGCCAGAGTTATTTCTGTTAAGGGGCCAGTGCTTTCTGCCATCTTACTTGCCCTTTCCTCAGCATTTGGCTGTGTGGGTCATTTGCTCCTTGAAAGACTTTCCTTTTGTGTTACTATGGTTTTTTAGTTTCCTTTTTTTATTGGCTGCTGCTTCACAGTAATCTTTGTGGGCTCTTTTTTTACCCAACTCTCAAGGTTTGGAACTGTAAACTTTTTTTATTTTCTTTCTGCCTAGGTGACTCATCTATAATTTCATGCACAGTTCATATCTATATGTCCTGATGACTCTCAAATTTATGTTTTCAGTCCAGACTTCTCTTCTGAGTCTCCAGAGTCACATATCCAATAGTCTCTTTGACATCTCTGTTTTAACATTTCAAACTTAACATGTGCACTGTGGAACTCAGTTCCTCTCCCTGTTTTACTTCCAACCAATTTTCTACAACTGTGTTTTTTCCTTTCCATTGCTTAAGCCAGAAATCCTGATTCCTGTCTTTCAACAAGTGTTGTTGATACTCTTCCCCAAAATTGTCTTGAATTGGTCCACTCCTCTCCGTCTCTGCTGCCACAAACCTAGTCCATGCCATCATCAGTTCTTGCCAGGATTGCCATAGCTCTTTCCTAATCAGTGTCTCAGCTTCCCCTTTTGCCTCCATTGAGTCCATTTTTGGTACCATGGCAAGGTATGAATGTAAATTGAAATATATCACTTCTTTATTTGAAACACTTTTATGACTTCTTATTACATTTAGTAATTCCTTATTATGACCTGGTCTTTTATTATGACCTTATTATGATTCCTTTCCAGCCTCATCCTGTTCCCTCTCTACCTCCCCACTTGCTTGCAACTCTTCAGCCAGTGGTCTTTTTAAAGTTCTTTGAGCCCACCTTTCCCCCACCTGCCTCTTTTATGCCTAGAATGCTCTTACCCCAGTTTCTATAGAGGCGGCGTCTTCTCATCATTTAGGCCTTGATGTAACTACCATCTCCTTCTCGGACCATTTTATCTAAAGTATATACTACCATTGCTTTTCCATTTCAACCATTTGTTTGTTTCTTTCATAGCACTTACTAGAGTTCGGATTATTTTATGCATTTATTTTCTTCTATTTGGTCCATCTTCCCCATTAAGGTCTTTGGGGACAGAAACTTTGATTCTCTCATTCCCTACTGGATTCTCAGCACCTAGCACAATACCTGGTGCACAGTTGGTATGCAGCAAGTATTTGTTGAATGAATAAATGAAAAGTGTGAGTCTCACTATGTTCAGTTTTATATGTTTACATGTTTTCTTTTGAGATATTAGCATATCTAGTTTTCTAAATCCAGATCATCCTATATAAAGAAATTCAAGAGAGATGCAAGCTTTGTTAGTGAGAGAGATTAAGATTGCAGACTGAAGAGCATAAATAACAGTAATATCCCCATCTCAAATTCTAACTTTCAACTCCAGTTTTGCTCCCTACGTCACACCTTGGATATGAATTCACATGATCTACATCAGTGCGATGGCTAGGAAAGTATATATTTTTGAAGCAAATGGAGTAACTAGTTAATGTCAGTCACTCTGTTGTTTTATTAGTGATTCACATTCTTCCATGATCCCATAGTTTATATTCGGCTTTTCAACTCTTTCACTTTTCTCCTGCCAAGCATTTTATGTCTCACCCTATCCTTAACATACACACACACACACACACACACACACACACCCCTACCTGTTTTACAGATACTATCCAGTTTTATCATAGAATTGTGTCTCACCCTATCCTTAACACACACACACACACACACACACACACACACACACACACACCCCTACCTGTTTTACAGATACTATCCAATTTTATTATCATAGAATTGTGAATGACCCCTAAACTTTAGTCTGGTCACATAATACCACTTGATTTTCGCCTCAATTACCCCGTTACTGTGTTACTACCTCTGTACCAGCAGCATTGTGCATGTCTTAAGCTCATTGAAGATATGATGAACCATGTGTTATTGTATCGCTTATTCCAAATTAATTGCTCAATAAATGGTGATTAGACAAATGTGAATTACCATCCTGTCTCTGTAGAAAATCAGAAAATGACATTTCATGTAAAATAAGGTTTTGTATTTTATACTTTATCTTGCAGTATATTCTGTTTACTATATTTTTGTTTCCATGAAAAGTTAACACTAATGATGATTTTCTTATAGCAAACTTCTTAGGAATTTAAGATACAAGGAAACAAATTTTGTGCATCCATGTTTCAGATATGATCATTCTGTTTCAAATGACAAAGCCCTGATGGTGCTAACTGAAGAACCATTGCTTTACATTCCTCCACCTCCTTGTCAGCCCCTAATTAACACAACAGAGTCTCTCAGGTGAGTGTTGTAGATTATTGCAGAAACATCTGAGTTGGTTCCCATGTTTAGTTTTGGAACCTAGACAAGTAATTGGTCAAGTTCACTAAGTGACTGAGAGAATCTCTGAATTATTTGTGGATAACTGTAGGCATATTAGTTGTCCAGTTTCTCCACCAACCTCATGGAGATGGTGATGGGTCTATTTTATGTGATAGTTGCTTACTTAAATATGTCTTCTTTAAAAACTACAGAATGAAATTAATATTAAAATTTCATGGTGTTAGGCTTACAGTTGGTAACATTCATAGCAGAAAGTACCTTTTTCTTCCAATTAGGAAGATAATAATTTGTGGGTATGTGATTCTGGAGATACTTTACCGTTAGTACACACTTCTTTATCAATTTTTCCCTTGAATTTTTTTTTCCTGTGATTTTGGACCTTACCCTTAAAACCTCAAAAACTACCTCAGATTTTTTGTGATATGTAGTAATCAACTACAGTTAAACATAGTTTAACATCTTCACAGCTGCTGTAAAAAGTAAGCAAAATAAGGGAAGTTATATATGAGCTATGCTTTTATTTCGTGTGTTGAAAAATTTGAATTTTTTTTTACCCCAGGCAATTGAGTTCATTCTTTTTCTTCTCCCAAAAGAGCATGATTTTCAAGAGGTTTTAATGCATCTATTTGTTGTTAGGGGTCCTATGACTTGTTAAGTTCTCTACAATGTGTCTCAAATGTTTGTGTTTATATAGCCCAAGAACAGAAATAGGAAATACTTTTTATTTTGTTTTGTTTTATTTTATTTTATTTTTAGACAGGGTCTTGCTCTGTTGCTCAGGCTGGTGTGCAGTGGCTGGATCATAGCTCACCGCTTCCCCAAACTCCCAGGCTCAAGTGATCCTCTTGCCTTCGCCTCCTGAGTAGCTGGGACTACAGGCACATGCCACCATGCCCAGTTAATTTTTTAAAAAAATTTTCTGTAGAGACAGGGTCTCACTGTGTTGCGCAGGCTGATCTCAAACTCCTGGGCTCAAGCAGTCTTCCCACCCCAGCCTCCCAAAGTGCTAGGATTACAGGTGTAAGCCACTGTGCCTGGCAAGGAAATACTTTTTTTGGTGGAAAAACCTTAGCATCCAGTGTTTATATTTGGGAGGTATTTAGCTGTAGTTTTCTTTGAAGTTTGAATGCATGGTTGACAGGTTTACCATGTAAAAATGCATGTCTTATTAAAAACAACGTTAAGTGTCAACTTTTTCAAATCAAAAAGCAATATTGAGTCATCAGGCACTTGGAATGCTCTTTGGAACCTACAAATGATTAGATTCATTTCCACCCACAGGGTGAAACATCCATTTCTATGTTTAATTAATTTCTATGTTTAATTAATTAAACTATATTTTATAGGTTAAATCATGAACTTCGAGGATGGGTTCATAGACATGAAGTAGAAAGGACCAAGTCAAGAAGAATGACAAATAATCAACAGAAAACCCGTATTCTTCAGGTATGTTTCTGTTTGTCTTTGAACAATAGTTGGCGTATTTGTTGGAAGGCTTCTCCCAGCTGGGTTACTCTCTTCCCTAGAAGGTTGGTAAACTTGAGCTTTAGCCTCTTCCCACTGTCTCCTGCTGCTTCCGATGCAGCTATCATTGCCACTGAAGTCCTCCTCCCAGGTTTTATAGCACTAGTTTAGGTTTTATAGTATTAGTAGTTCCCTGATCAGGCATCGTGCTATTTCTTGCTCTCACCTTCAAATTTGCTTTCAAGCCAGGAGTTCCTATGCATGGATATCTATATCAAATGTCTTTGTCACAATGGTATAATAAATAATACTGCTTATCTCCTCTTTTCTTAGAGCTTTTCAAAAAGAGAATGTTAAGACCTGGGGCAGTTTGGAAATGAAGACATCCATTTCTGAACTTAGACATTTACTACTATGGTTTAATGACAGGTCTTACTTAGAATCTGTTAAGTGGGGGTTCCATCTCAATGTTGTTTGCCACAAAACACCATTAAGTCATTCCGTCATTCATCAAATATTTGTTGTTAGAATTTAGACTAGCAACTGGCATCTGCAAGTTCCCAATAATGAGCCAAGGACTGTTCTTGATCCTGAAATAAAGTAATGGGTATGATAAAGTCCCTACCTTAATGGAGCTTACACTCTAGTGCAGAGCTAAACAATAAGCAAATAAATAAATACACAAATACACTGAAAATTAGAGCTAAGTTCTCTAAAGAAACACAAAGCAGCATAGGAGGTTAGAATTTGAATTGAGAAATGAGTGACTAGACTGAGTGGTCAGGGAAGGCTTCTCTGAAGAAGTTCCACTTTAAGACAACATTGTTAAGGTAATTAATGCTAGCTGTTATAACAGCCCCAAAATCTCAGTAGCTTAATGGAATAAAATTTTTTCACTTGCACAAAATTTGACTTCACTTTCTAGGATTGCTTTTCTCCAAGCAGGGAGTAAGGGATCCAGGTTCCTTCTATTGTGTAGCCCCAACAACTTGAAATTCTTTGCTTCTTGCTTGAGATGTTAGGGAAGAAAGAGTTTGGTGGATTGTGCAAAATGTTTTAAGAATCAGGCCTGGCTTTTAGCCAATGTTTAGTTGGCTAAAACTCTGTCACTTTGCCCAAACTACTGTTAGAAAGACTGGGATCATGTATCTTTCTGTGTGCTCGAGAAGAAGACAAGGGTTTGGTGAGAACATTGCTTTTGCCATAGGCAGAAAAGTCACTGAAATAACAATGTAAAGATTTAGGGGAGGCTGGGCGTGGTGGCTCACGCCTGTAATCCCAGCACTTTGGGAAGCTGAGGCTGGTGGATCACGAGGTCAGGAGATCAAGACCATCCTGGCTAACACAGTGAAACCCCATCTCTACTAAAAAATACAAAAAGTTAGCCAGGCGTGGTGGCGGGTGCCTGTAGTCCCAGCTACTTGGGAGGCTGAGGCAGGAGAATGGCATGAACTTGGGAGACGGAGCTTGGAGTGAGCCGAGATCACGCAGTCCAGCCTGGGTGACAAAGCGAGACTCCGTCTAAAAAAGAAAAAAAAAAAGATTTAGGGGAAAATCTGGAGAAAGAGCTTCCAGACAGAGGGAACAGCAAATGTAAAGACCCTCAGGAAGGAACATGAAGAAGCTGAGTACGACTGGAATGCAGGGGCTGAGGGGAGAGTGGTAGATGAGATTGGAGAGGCAGCAGATGTAGGCTCATAGCAAACTTCATAGGCTTTGATGAGAACTTTGGGTTTCATCATGGGTTTGAGGGGATGCCATTGAAAGGTTTGAGTAGGGGAGTGACTTGATATGATTTATATTTTAAAAAATTAGTAGTTGCTACATAAAGTGGACCATGGTGGGGAGTATGACTGGAAGTAGGGAGACAAGAAGCCATTTTAGTGGGCTAGGTGAGAGAAATTGTTGTGGTCCATACTGGTGTGGTAGTCGTGAAGGTGGCAGAAAGTACCTGGATGCCAAATATATTTTGAAAGTAAAGCTGATGGAAATTGTTGATATAATGATAAATCCTATGCTTAGGTACTGGATGATTGGTGATACCATTTACTGAGACCAGTACTGGGGAAGGAGCAGTTAGAGGTGGAAGTCAAGAATTTTAAGTATGTTAAGTTTGTTATGGCTATTAGGCATTCAAGTGGAGAAGTCAAGTGGACAATCAAATATCTGGGTCTGGAGTTTAGGAGAGAGGTTGAAACTGGAAGTTTAATTTGTGGTGCTACTAGCTAGAGAGAAATAAAGAGGAAAGAAAACAGAGTGAGGTACCAAGTTCTGGGCCATCTCCAACATTACAGGTTGAAAGAGAAAGAGGAACCAGTACTTGAAAAGGAAGAAGAGTAGCTGGCCAGTAAAATAGGAGAAATTGTAGGGATAGTGGTGTCCCAAAATTCAAGCAAAGAAAGTTTTTAAAGAAGGGGATGTAACAGTTAATTACAGGGGCTAAGAGAGCTAAGAGATGCTGATTCAGATAAAGAGTGAGAAATTACTTTTGGAATTGACCATCAGAACTTGTTAGTGACCTTCGTGAAAGTTCTTTCATTGGAGTGGTGATGGCAAAAGCCAACTGAAGTGGATTCAGGGAAGTAATAATAGAGGGGGAAGTGAAGAAAATTATTTCAGGGTGATCCCTATACATGGGAATAGAGAAATGGAGTAGCTACAGGAGTCAAGAAAGAGTTTTATTTTTGGATGGGAAATATTTCACCAGGTTTACATGTTTACATGCTAATGGAAACATCTTAAACTATTTAATTATTTCCTGACTAATTGGAAGCAGTATGTGTTATGTTCTAAAGTACATTAAAAGGATAACAAGAAACATGGGTTTTTAACCATTATGGAACTGTTTTCATACATAAAATGAGGGCTAGTCTAGGTGAGCTCAAACTCTGACATTCTGAAATTCTGTAATTATCTACTGTGTGCTTCTCTTGGCCTCTCCAACTTTTTTCACCTACTATAGTAGGCAACTTTATTGGTTGTTAATACTAATAGAGGCTGCAGACAGTCATTAACAATGTCACATGTACCCCAAAGTCCCAAAGCTGCTTATTGGCATTGGTATGTGGAGCCTAGTACTTCAAAAATTCATGTCTGCCAAAGCCTACACGTCAGCTGCTACCATGGTCAGAGGAAAAATGGACCCTCTCTCCCTTCTGCTTTCCACATCTGAAGCAAGTGCATCTTATTGGCAGAATCTAAATTATATCCAGAGCTCTGGTGGCAAAATAGTTTGAGCGATATAGGTTTCAGGCTTCCATCCTTTGCTACACAGAGGAAGAGCACAGGAGTCAGGAATAGATCATTGCCAGTAGGTAATCCCACACAGCTAGTATAATTAACTTAATGAAAAATTAGATTAAAATTCTTGCCCTAAATGCTTTTTTTTTGGCCTTATCATTAGATGGAACTTGTCATGTTTTTCTTTCCTAGTCATTAAATGAATAGAGCATTTACTGTGGAAGGGGTGCTTGGTATTCTTTATTCTTAAAGGAATTCCAATGCAAGAAAAAGAATTTTGTTTTAATTTTACTGTCTTTGTTCATTTGGAGATGTGTAGTTTAAAGTCTTATTTCATTCTGTGCTATTTTGGGTACACTTCTTTCTGTAGGGAGCTTAGATATGCTCAGAAATGTGAGAATCTTAGCTACTATAGAAGGGAATGATGGGGAAGAATCTGTATTTGTCAGTAGTATTTGTCAGTAGTAAAGAAGTTCCTGGTTAGAGGAAGGAGAAGAATTATTCTGCTTTTATGCTGTTGTCAATGCCAAAGCATATCAAGATTTTAAAAAAATTCTGTTTCTTGGTGTAAAGAGCCTGTAACTGCTCTCCTTTTTCTTTTCTCATTTCAACCTTTTTTTCTTCCGGTTACCTCTTTCAGTTGCTAAGAGTATCCCAAACTCTTATAAAATATTCTGTAATTTTAGTGAACTGACATTTCTTTGAAATATCTGTTGTATTTAAGCATTATGTCTTATAAAATATTCTGTAATTTTAGTGAACTGATTTCTTTGAAATATCTGTTGTATCTAAGCATTATGTCTTTGATTTGACTTGTCCTGTTTCATAGTTCTACCCTCTTCCTAGACTTTGAGTTTTTAGAGAAGGTAAAGGGGAAAATTAATGAAATATCTTTCAAAATGAAGGCAAAATAAGGACATTTTCACATAGAGAAAACCAAGGGAATTTGTCTCCAGAAGACCTGTGCTATAAGAAATGCTAAAGATATTTTTTAAAAGACTTGGGTAAATGATACCAGATAGAACCCCAGATTAGCAGGAAGGAAGAGCATCAGAATGGGCAAATATTTGGGTAAAAAGAACAGGACTTTTTAAAAAGAAACTATATTTATCTTATGTGTGTGTATTTAAATGTCTTTAAAAGACTATTGTCTTTTTAAAGCAATAATAATGGCAATTTATTATGGGGTTTACAGCTTATATAGAAGTAAAATATAAGACAATAAGAACACAAGGGGGGGAGGGATAAATGGAATAATACTCTTAATAAAATTTTTATGTTGTTCGAATAATATTTCAAGATTGACTGCAGTAACTGATATCAAAGTATAATCTCTAGAGCAACTACTAAAAGCTAACATAAAGAAGTACAGCTAGAGCCAGGCACGGTGGCTTGTGCCTATAATCTCAGCTACTAGGGAGGCTGTGGCAGGAAGATTGCTTGAGTCCAGGAGTTTGAGAAGCTGCGGTGAGCTGTGATCACATCATTGCTCTCCTGCCTGGGCAACAAAGCAAGACCCTGTGTCTTAAAAAGAAAAGAAAAAATATAGCTAAAAAGACAATGTAAGAAATAAAAATGGAATACTAAAAAATATGCAGTTCAGTGAAAAGAAGACAGGAAAAGAGAAACACATAAAGAACAAATAGAATAAATTAAAAATGCATACCAAGATGGTAGACTTAAATCCAACCATATTAGTAGTTAAATTCAGTGGGCTAAACACATCAATTAAAAGGAAGAAATTTTCAAACTAGATTTTTTTAAAAAGGAAAGATCCAACTATATATTGTTTATAAGAAATAACACTTTAAATATGAAGACACTGACAGATGGAAAATAAAGGTGAAAAAGGATGTATGCCATGCAAACATGAAGCATTAAAAAGCTGACATGGCTATATTAATCAGAAAAAGTAGACTTCCAAACAAAGATTATTCTAAGAGACAACAAAAGAAATTTTTTATTGATAAAAGGAGCATACAAGGAAGATAAAACAATTCTAAATGTCTAGGCCCCTAATAACAAAGCTTCAACGTACACAAAGCAAAAAGTGACAGAACTTGAGAAAAAGATCTACAGCATAACTGGAGATTTTAACATCCTCTCATTTCTGTGTAAATGCCTCTCACATTTTTGTCAATTATGATCTTTTGCTAAACCCATACAGCTGAAAATGCAAAAGCTCATGACTAGTTTTTCAGAGGTTCCTTAGTTAATTGGTATAAATCTTGGATAGGTAAACGGAATATCTGTTTTCTGTTTGCCTGATATCTCTGTAACTTGGCTTTTCCTAAGGCCTACCCATTGCTTTCTGAGACTAGGGAAATAAGTCTGGCTTCTTTCAAACTTCTTTGCTCATTTCATATGGGCCAAAGTAGCACTAATCATTTAAAATTCACCAGTTAATCTGTTCATTTTCAACCTTATATTTATCAACTAGCTATAATTTAGTTTTGGTTTTATTTACTACTTACTGGATAACTATGCCAGTAAGTATAGTATTTTATTATTTAACTGTGTTCTTCTTTTCATTTTATTGGTGATTTTTTTCATTTGTTGTTAAACAGAGCATTTATTGAACACCTACAATATACAAGACCCACATTAGATTTTTATAAAATGAGATCCTTGACTTGTTACAGAGCCAGAAGTGGGAACCCCTATATTCATCTCTGCATATTGGTTCCATCCACCAAACAAAATTGTTTCCTTTTCTTTTCTCCCTTAAACTTCTGTACATGCTTCTGTTTTAGCGCTTATCGCATTGTATTGTTTTCCTATATCTGTCTTCCCAGTTAAACTGCGAGCTTCTTAAAGGCAGAAGTCAAATATTTAATTTTGTAGCTTGGGCACATGTAGGTGCTTTGATTACTGAAAGATGGATATATGGACACAGTAATGAACAAATGATTAAAAAATTATTTAAACCATTGTTTGACAGGGTAAGATTACTTTCTAATGAAATAGAACTTGGTAATATGCCCTTGAAGTCTGATACCCTGACAAACCGCTTCTGAAAATCAGCTTACATAACTACCAGGGAGAATAAAAAGGCATAGTGCAAAGCAAATGCTGTGTGAAAGACAGGTTTCCAGTGTAGCATATGTGGGCCACTAATGGGTGTAGATTGAACTGTTCTCTTGCCAAGAGTCATCAATAAGAACTCTTTAATGATGGCTTAGTTCATAGATGTATTTTGGCATGAAGATCTCTGTGTTTAACTCAGTAAACAATAGGATCTAGTTTCATTATGGACTTTTCATACTTCTTAGGAACTTGTCATTGGGAAGATAATTATTTTAGACAAGCAGACATTGTTATATGTTCAGTAACACTTATATAGCTTGGTCATAAAATTTGTGGTGCTTGGACTAGCTTTTGGGCTCTTTCTTTAAACTTAATGGAAAGTGCCTTAAATGCCTTAATCTCCATAAGACACTTCTCCCAGACTAGAATGGACCTAAAGAGTTCTAATATCTGTCAGTGTTTAATTATTTGAACTGAATATGTCAGAAATCTTAGCAATGGAAGTTTAACAAATTTAAGTATAGAATGAACCAGTATAGGAAGATTTCATATAATTTTGTGATACAGTATTAAACTTTTTTTTTTTTTAATATTCCAGGGTGCTCTGGAACAGGGCTCAAATTCTCAGCTGATGGCTGTTCAATACACAGAAACCACTAGTAGTATCAGGTAAGACAGTGCAGAAGCTCTTGGCCAAGGAATTTAAAATAGCTGGTATTTTAAGAAAGTTGAAATTCACACTTCCCTTTCACCTTAAATTTGTTCTCATCTATGAGTTTTATATTAGTCATATACTCTAAGATATATATATATATGTATATATATATATAACATACTACTGAGCAGTTGGAATAAAGCCAGATAATTTCAAAAGTTCAACTCTCCCAAATCCCTTAAATACAAATTTAGTCAGAATGCTGTTCCATCATAATTTTGATGAAAATCTTGAATACCCATAGCTTTCTTGCCCTTGATTTGCATCTGTTTCATGAACCTAGGGAAGGGAATGTTATTTTTTGAGTGCTCTGTACCAGGTGTCCTGCTGAGTGTTTTACATGTATTTTATCTTTAAATCCATGTAATAACTAAAAGTTTATTTTATATATAGAAAAACTGGTCAAATCATTTATTTTTTTTGTAATTTTCAGAGTCATAAGACCTAGTGGTAGACTCAGAATTCAGATCATAGCTGTTTTACTTACAATGCATTTTTCACTACACAATAATACTTAAGATTTTGAAAGATTTCAAAGAGAATGCTGTATCTACAGGTTTAAATGTCTTCAAAGGGAAATATAATATGGGAAGCAATATGGTGTCATGGTTAAGATGCTAGCTTTATTTGCCCTGTTGGGCAGAGTTCAAATTATAACTCTACCTCTTACTTTGTGGGCTCAAGCAGATTACATGCAATTGAAGTTTTCTCATCTACAAAATGCTGGCTGCACAGAGTTGATATAATGGTTAAATTAGATAATATATTTAGAGCACTTAGCATGGTACATAAGTGCCCCCCAAAATGGTAAATGATAATGATGTGATGTCATTGACAACAGTATCACTGAAGTGAAATTTGAGGATCTCAGCTTCTATCTGTAGCTCTACCACACATTTGCAGTTCACTTATATGAATTTAACATTTACTTAGAATATACTGTGTGCCAGTGTTCTAGGCACTGAGAAAAAAATATAGATAGATAGATAGATAGTAAAAATGAAGTCAAAAGCTATTTTATTCATTATACTAATAACTGAGAATTCCTATTAAATGACAATGAGCAGCATATCAGCAATCATGAATGTTTAAAATCCTGAGATTGTATTATCCTGTTGAAATTGATAATTCAAATATGTTTAAATAATAACTAATCATTCTCTGCTAACCAGAATATATCATTCAATTACATTTATTTTAAAAATATATCAATTTTTGGATGCATGGTTATAATGGCATGGTATTTCTTCATTAGTTAAAATGTTTTAGTGAATTACAGCCAATTTTCATTATTTGTGGATTCCATATTTGCTAATTCACCTACTAAAATCTGCTAAAATGTATTTGTAACCCCTAATATTAGCAGTGCTTTTGTCATCATTTGCAAACATGCGTAGATGCTCCCTGGTGAGGTTGAACAAGGCAGTGTTCTGCCTTTTAGTCTCAGCTATATAAACAAGGTCCTTTTCACAGTCCACATTTTTCATATTTTTGTGCTTTTTGTTGGTAATTTTGCTGTTTGAAATGGCCCCGAGGCATATTGCTGAATTGCTGTCTAGTGTTGCTAAGCCGAAGCGGGCTGTGATGTGCTGTGTGGAGAAACTACGTATGTTAGATAAGTTTCATTCAGGCATGATTTATAGTGCAGTTGGCTGTGAGTTCAAGTTAGTGAATGAATAATATATGTTAAAGAAGGTATCTCTAAACAGAAACACATAAATAAGGTTATATATTTATCACTTAACAGAAATATTGTAACCAGAGGCTTGCAGGAACCTAACCCTGTATTTCCCCCAGGAGGATGGTTTAGGATTCACTAATTCATTGCTGGCAGTGACTTTTTAGAACATAACTATCACAAAATAGCAAGAAGCGACTATATATTCAAAATATTGTAATCAGAAATGGCCTAGTGAACAAATGGAGTTATTTCAAAGGAAATTCTTATGACTCATTTATTACTTCCATTTAGGTCAGTCTTTTTCTCCTCTTAATAATATTTGATTGATACATACAAGTTTTCTCTTTGAGGAAAAATGAAGCATTTTTACAGGATCCCTTTAACTCTTCCAGATATTGGTCCTAAACCCTAGAAAATCCTGAACACATTAAGAACTCTATTAGAATCATTTGACTGTATTTTTTGGGGCATGATGTGGTTTGAGGTATTATCATTTTAGTTTTTAATTTTAGTAAGGCACATACATGGTACTTTTAATATCAATGACTAGCAGTTGTTGAGTGACTCCTATGGGACAGGATCCATGCTTGGCACTTGACATATAACATCTCCAGTAACAGTCCTACAAGGGTTGTGTGGTTATACTCTTTTTATTGAGGAGGAAACAGTTTGTTCATGGAGGGCAATTTCCCCAGGAGTGCCCACTTGAGAAGTGAAGCAGGAATTCTAAACCAAGTCTGCTTGTTTTCAAGTCCTAAGCTTTTTCCACCTTTTTGCACAGCCTCGTAGGCAAGCATACCTTCATATATTCGACAGGGTGGTGAAAAATGACTTTTCCTCAGATTTAATTTGTATTACTAAAAAAATTAAAAATCGTTCAAACCTATGCAGAAATCTCTCTATTTTCTGATACTTTCATTATTTTTACATGCTTTGCAATGTACTTGACCATCTAGTACATTTTAGAGCCTTGATTCAGAAATCAGAATTTTAGCATAAGTGAATGGGTTCTTATAAAATATCCTGATCCTTGGGCTTTGCAAAATATTGTTATAAAAATTACTGCCAAAGTGCAACTAATATTTTGGTTGAGAGAGATTCTTAGAATTCAGACATAGCCTTAGAATGGGAAGTATTTTGGGAAAACAGGAAACTTTTTATTTTAGTAATACCTTATATTTTTCTTACTTTAGCAGGAACTCAGGGAGTGAGCTACAAGTGTATTATGCTTCACCCAGAAGTTATCAAGACTTTTTTGAAGCCATCCGCAGAAGGGGAGACACATTTTATGTTGTGTCATTTCGAAGGGTAAGTTCATCTTGAAAGAATAGAGCAAATATTTTTGAGTGCTTGCCGTACACAAGACATTGGGCTGAATATTGTGGAAAATACAAAGATGTGAGAAATAGGAAGCAATATAAAATAAATTATGTGAGTGGAACAGTCTAAGTACTGTAATATATGCTTTACTTTGAGCTGTTGAGTATTATAAAGATGAACATGGAATTGGTGTCAGACTATGAGTTTGTATTTAGGAAATATAAACTACTTGTTGATTTTTATTGTTTGTAATCCTGATAGCCATGCTGTTTATAAAAAAAGGAAAAGTAAAAACATAAAAATATTCTATTTAGGCTTTTCCTATTTAGGCTTTTAAACCAATTCCCATTTGGTTATTGAGAAACAGACTTCTGAAATGTAGGTTTGAGATGGATCATGGGCTGATTATTAATTGTGGAATGTTTGGATCTATGTTCCTAAGAATCTCTATTCCTCTTTTATCTCTTCTTAATTAAACATTTGGTTGGTGAAGAATGTGTTAGATAATCAGTTAGCTTATGTAAAAGTAAATGTTTATACTAGCACTTTTGAATGTTATGAATGTTAGGCTAAATGGAAAAAATGCATAGCTGTTTATATTTCATCTACTTTTTCTATAAAATGAAAATATTTTCTTCATAGAATTGCCATGTGAATATCTCTGTTAGAGTGCTGTAGGTTAACCCAGGAGCACATGAATGAATTAGAATTCCTCAGTGGTGGTTTCTATCCCAAGCTGTTTTTTCTTTCTTTCTCTCTGTTTTTAAACAAGAGAAGGGACCTCACTGTGTTGCCCAGGCTGGACTCAAACCCCTGGGCTCAAGTGATACTGAGTAGCTGGCTTTCTTTTTTTTTTTTAAGAATACACTGGGTATGGTTAGAAGTAAGTACAGTTGACCCTTGAACAACACAAGTTTGAATGAAGCAGGTCCATTTATATGTGGATTTTTCTCAACCTTAGCAGGATGCCAAACCCACTTATATGCAGGGCCAACTTTTCACACATGTAGATTCCACAGAGCTAACTGTGGGACTTGAGTATGTACAGATTTGGAGTTATACAGGCGGCTCTGTAACCAGTCCTCCACATATACAGAGGGATGAGTGTCTATACTAACAATAGAATGAGCAAATTCATTCTCTGATTATTACCACTCACTGTCACTGAAATTCTCAGTTAACTAGTTAATTCTTTTCCTAAGGTATAAATATCTAGCAGCTCAGGTTTTTAGGACCAGAGAACTTTGATACTTGAAAACTAGGGAGATCAAACATCTTATATATTTTCAGTTATTAATCAAACATGCTAAGAGATTTGGAACACTTTAGCCATAGCGTCTCATGATCACTGCCTTTTCACAAAATTCCCTGTGTTCACCTTACTCTATCAGACATAACTGGTATGTTTCTGTACAGGACCAGCCTCAAAGTTTCTTTTCAGCAGCAAGGGGGCAGCTGAGAACAATGTTTCCTGCAAGGCTCCAACTGTACTGGTCTATGAAAACAAAGTATTTCCCTTACTATTGACACAATTATGTTCAAAGTAGGAGAAAAAAAGTAAACTTTTAAGAAGATTCAGTACTATGAAGAAGAAACCTGCTGGGTGTTAAAATGATTGTGTTGAAGTATATTTTATGGAAGTTACTGTAGGAGAATGTTTTTAACACTCAAATAGACAGTTTTTCTGAGGTTCAGGATAATTACTGTATTATTTGATCAAAACAGTATAACAGATATTAGAAGTAACACTTGTCAAGCCATGGATTGAAGTCATGGTTAGTAATGTTTTTCTAAGGGAAGAGAACAAGTATTTTTTATAGAGAAGACAATCCTAGCTTTTTTTTTTTTCTTTTGAGATGGATTCTCTCTCTGTTGCCCAGGCTGGAGTGCAGTGGTGCCATCTTGGCTTACTACAACCTCCACCTCCCAGGTTCAAGTGATTCTCTTGCCTCAGCCTCCTGAATAGCTGGGACTATAGCCGCATGCCACCATGCCTGGCTAATTTTTGTGTTTTTAGTAGAGACGGGGTTTCACCATGTTGGCCAGGATGGTCTCCATCTCCTGACCTTGTGATCCACCCGCCTCGGCCTCCCAGAGTGCTGGAATTACAGGCATGAGCCACCGCGCCCAACCAATCCTAGCTTTAAACAGACTGTATTTTTATAAAAGACAGTGAATGGCGGTTTAAAAAATATATATGCATTGCATTTTTTTGCATTTGTAAAAAGTGATTTCTCATTAGTTTGCTATAAAAGTGCTGTTAGAAAATTATTGATTTCCACTCCTCCCTAGTCCCTTGATGTTCATTCAGGAAGACTGTTAGGACTGGCTCTCACACAATTACTATTAGGAGTATGTCTAACATTCTGTTTCGATTTTTCATTTTCAAATTACTGATTTATCACATTTTGGTGTTTTATATCAAGGAAGAGTAAAGACAAATGAACTGAATTAGATAATAGTAATTAAGATAACATCCTTTTTATTTTTTTTGTTTTGTTTCAATAGTAGGGAAAAGGAAGTTAATTTTATCTTGATGACTGTAAACTATGTTATGGGACAGGAATTTTGTTCTTTAATACCTGGATTGTTCTTTTTGCTCTTGCTGAAATGAAAATGAAATAATAAATTACCTCATGCTTGGTCTTCTTTCATCTTTCAATATAAAATATTCTAACAGTTTCATTAAAAAGGTGAGTGGCATCATTTCTTGTGCAGAAGGATGTAGACTTTTTCTCCCACTTAGGTTCTTAATTTTATTGGCAGAAATTATTATAATTGATACTACATTGGAAATTCAGAAGAAGATTCCAGAGCCCCAGGTTTCGGCTTAGCATGAACCAGACATTTATAACAAAGCCAATAAGCAAGCTATGTTATTTTATTTTATGAATGGACATGTATTTAACAAAATATTTTAATATCTAAAGATGTAGAAGTAGCCATTGACTGTTTCGTACTGTTATTTAAGCCACTCTCTCCCAAACTTACACTCCCTCACACCCTGCATTCCTGTACCTTTTAATCTCTTTACAGTTGAGCGGTTGAAATTATTTTCTCTAAAGCAGACACACTCTTGGATAACTACTGAGTTCCTGTTATAGCTCAGCAAGAAAAAATGCTTATGATCCCAGTACTCCAGACAAAGGTCCAAAGTGCTTCTGTTCTTTTGACTCTCCTTAAAGAGTTTTTACCACCAACATAGTAATCTATTCGGCTTTCTTTGCTTAGTTCCAGTTATTTGTAGCTTATTTTCCTGTAAATACTTTGCCTTTTTCTCCTCTCTTTGATTTGTTTGTTTTAGTATGATTTGGAGAGGGAGGTTGGAGAATAACTTTTTCTCAAACTTCCAAGTCACTTTGAGTGTAGAATAACTGATACATTAATAAGAAAAAAATCCAATTAAGTTTAATGCCTTTTTTGTTTGTTTGTTTGTTTGTTTTAAGAGACAAGGTCTCTGTTGCCCAGGATGGAGTGCAGTGGTACAATTATAGTTCACTTCAGCCTCCAACTCCTGAGCTCAAACAGTTCTCCTGTGTCAGTCTCCAGAGTATCTGGGACTACAGGAGAGTGCCACCACATCCAGCTAATTTTTATTTATTTTTTGTAGAGATGGGGTCTCACTTTGTTGCCCAGGCTTGTCTTGAACTCCTGGACTCAATAATGCTTATTTTAAAAATACTTTTGTGGCCAGGCGCGGTGACTCACGCCTGTAATCCCAGCACGTTGGGAGGCCGAGGCGGGTGGATCACGAGGTCAGGAGATTGAGACCATCCTGGCTAACACGGTGAAACCCCGTCTCTACTAAAAATACAAAAAAATTAGCCGGGCGTGGTGGTGGGCACCTGTAGTCCCAGCTACTCAGGAGGCTGAGGCGGGAGAATGGCGTGAACCTGGGAGACGGAGCTTGCAGTGAGCCGAGATCGCGCCACTGCACTCCAGCCTGGGTGACAGAGTGAGACTCCATCTCAAAAAAAAAATGCTTTTGTATGATAGTCTATTTAGGGAGGGAGGGAGGAGGTTGATTAAATAATATAACAAAATTAATTCAAGAGCTAAGACAGAAACAAATACTCAGGAAAGCTCAAATAAAGTTAAGAAGAAGATGATTTTAAAAGGGCAGAAAAGAAACATTGAGAAGAAAGATTGGGAAATGATATTAATTTATTATTTCAATACACATTTAAATACCATCCTTACATGTAGCTGTCTCATCCACTAATATATAAGGAAAGAATTTCTTCCTGGGGCAGTTTTTCATTAAAAACAGGTTCTCTTTGAATCAGATGGCTGTGAATGTCAGTTTGCCATATTATCTCTACTTGTTTAATATTTTTCTTTTGCAAATGAGATGGATGCCTACTTTGGGAACATTTTTTATTTCTATTACATTTTCTGTTTTCAGTACCTGTCTCAAATTGTAAGTAAACACGTAAAGTGTCTTTTCATCAGTTTCAAATACATACATAATATTACAGAAGAATCTGAGCTATAGCCATATGACTGCCTGAGAGATGTCTCTTTCTCCTCTCTTTCCAAGTATTTTATATATTCTAGCAATAGTACCATATTTGGGTATGCACCCCTTACTGGTCCCTTATAAAAATTATTAACACTGTCATATATACGGCATGGATTATAAGGGTAGCCTTAAGTAATAGGGACTTATTGTAAGTTATGTGAGATTAAAGAAGCACAGGAAACTGGCTCAGAATCCAAATAATCCCTCTGTGCTTGTGCTTCATTGGGTGGAATGTATACTAGTCTTCATGGAGAATTGGAATAGTGGTTTATTGTCATTTCTGATTTGACAGCAGCTCCAGTGATTCCACTTTAGTCTTTTTTTTACACTTTACTGATTCATACTCCTCAAACACAAAGATCTGATTGGGTAGTTCTGGTCACCATCTCTTACGCAGAGAATTACTATGGCAGCTTTGGCTTATGATCCACAGTTATTCATTTGTGACAAGAGAAAAACCTGGGGCCACTCTTCTGAGAAAATGACTTTGGCAGGCACTGGGAGCTTCATAAACTACTATACCACACAGCCTGTTTTTTTTAATTATTATTCTTTTTTCCCCGTTCTTAGTAAGTGTGCATTAAATTCTTTCTTGTATTGGTTCCTAATTGTTTGATCTAAAAGGCCCATCTTCTCATCTATATGATAAGCCTTTTGAAGGCAGGAAATATCGTATGCTTTTGTGACTACCCCTGACACTCAGCAATGCCTACCACTGAGTGCTTACTGAACAGAATGGTTTTAGACATGAGCCATTGAGAGAAGTCACAGTGATGGAAGTTTGTTGTTTTTCATAATCATTTAAAAGGTTTTTTTTTTTACATTGTTTTGCTTAAAGAAATTGGAATCTATTTTACTGATCTAAGAAGTAATATAAGCTGTGCTGAATGCCAGTAGAAAGTTTAGTTAAAGATGATCTCTGTTTTGTCCATTTATGATTTGCACTAGCCAGATATCATCAGCTTATTCTTGTCTCTGAATCTAAGCTGTAGAGCTAAATAATTCACCTGAGTGTAGTGTTTAACAGCTTTCTATGTCAGTAAGTAGAACTTTGAGATACTTGCATCTTCATTTAAAATTATTTGTTGGCAGCATTTTGGAGTAGATTGTTGTTAGACCTCACTGATTTCTTTTTTGGAGAAGGGATGGGTTCTACTATTTGTACAGATTCAAGCAGTAGGAGCCAGAAACTTGAAACTTTGGAAACACTGTAGGAAATACTGTGATTATTGCAAAAAAAAAGGTTGACTAGTGGTGTTATTTGTTCAAAATGTTTGCCAGAGGTTTAGTCCCACGGATGGGCATAAAAACGAATTTCAAAAATAGCAATGATATTTTCTAACTTAATACCTAGATTAATACCTAACACATGAAGAATGGCATATTTTCTTAATGCCTGTTATTTATTTCTTAGAAATTTATGTTTAGTTTATATGCATATATAAAAATTCAACATATGTATATATATAAAAATTCAATTGTATGTATATATATAAAATCTTCAGAGGCAGGAGGAATTTCTTTAGTATCAAAGGAAATTCATTTATAAAGTCTACTTCAAAAGGGTACAGCTCCTTCTTTTGTTTCTGAGACCTCAAAACTTGAGTGTACACATAGATGTTGGAGTTTGGCCATTTTCTTATCTCCACTTTCATGGCCTTTGAGCCAAATTCTAGCTGGAAAAAAAAGTGAATAGATGAGTTTGGAAAGATACTTGCATTTTAGAAAAGGGTCTTATCTCAGAAGAGAGATGTTTTAAAAAACCTTCTTTTAGAAGGCTTTTTAAAATTAATTTTTAGCTTTAAAATATATTCTCATTCAGGTCTAAAGCACATTATAAAAAAATAGAGCAGAGTTGACTGAGTACCCTAGGTTAATAAACTTAACCTAGATTTATTTAATCATTATGCCAATAATGTTCTTTTTATATGTCCATTTTCTATTTCACTTTATTATATACAAATATTAACACTTCAATGTATACTACCTTTGTAGTTTACAAACCTCTTTCACATACATAATCTTAGCAATTCCTTACATATAATCACAAGTATTCTTAGTCCTATTTTATGGCTGAAAAAGCTGAAGCAAAGAGAGATTAAGTAGCTTATCTAAGGACACAAAAATGGTAAGCATTAGAACTAGGGCAATAATTGATAGATTCTAATTTAATACAGTGATTTTTTTTTCTTTACATTGTTGTGCTTTTTTCTTTATATCTGGCACTTTTAGATGTATTACAGCATATGTAAATAAATTAATCTAACCCTCCAAAATCAAGATATTTCATTGAAAAATCTGCTGGACAGTTTTGGCAGATTCATTACACAACTTCAAAAATTGTTTGTTTGTTAATTACCTGATTATGTTTGTTTGTTAATTACCTGTTAATTATAATTATAGATTAAGTACTTTAATAGATTATGCTTTCATAATGCTGGAGAATAACTTAATGGTTTGAAATATTATAGTATAGCTTCAGATTTCAAGTCAGGGAATAGAATAAATAGGCCTTGAAAGTTTCTGGTTTCTTTTTAAAACAGTGTCTGAAATTTCCAACATGGTGGAAAAGAAATGTCTTTGCTTTGTCTTAAAAAGGAAGTAGTTTAGCAAAAACAGAAGCTGTTTTAATTATTGGTATTCTAGAGCTTCTCATAGAAAAGAGTGGGGTTTTTGTGTGTGTAAATACATTTTATTATGGATTCTGTATATGGCGTGCTAGATCTTTGAGATCAGAAGCATTTGATCTCAAACTCCTTGTTAAATGTGAGTTACTGTTGTGTGGTTTTAGAGGATTCAACTATTTGTTCTTTGTCTCTATAACATTGCTAGCTAACATAAAAACATGTTTTTTACTTACACTTTTCAATCACAAAGTCTAAAATAACTTGCTTTATGTTTGAGAAAAGATTGTTCAGTAGTCTGTAAGTAGACTTGTATATAGCCACAAACAGAGAACTTATAACTCAAGAATAATACGAAGTCTTCAAAATTCTCAGAATGGTGGGCAGATCCATCTGAGTCATGATAATTTTTCAATGGTTCTTATTTGTTTGCTCTATTTGGTAGTCTTATTATTATGAAATGTGTTTTTCATATGCATTTGTTTAATCTCCCCTTTTCAGGTTGTATGCTTTCTCTGTGCAGGGATAAAGTCTATTCATTCTGTTTTGTCTTTTACAAGATCTATTGCAATGCATTGCAGGCTCGGCAGAGTAAGTCCTAAATAAATGTTGACTACTCAGACCACTAACTGTTTATTTGTGTTGTTTACCCTTATTTTTTATGTCCTACTCTTCAAAAGATTACTAGAGGTGGGGTTTGCAGAAACAAAGGAGGACATTTTTCTCAATGAATGTTTAAAATTACTTCGGTGACTTGGATAGCAATGAAATTTTTAAGAATATATAGTCAGCTTTGGTGTGGGTGGACTTTTTGCTGTGGAATAGAATAATTCCTGAAAGACTTCTAAAGTTACTTTGAAAAAAGGCAGGAATTAGGGTGGGAGGTGGGAGAGGAGCAGAAAAAATAACTATTGAGTAACCAGGCTTACTATCTGGGTGACCAAATAATCCATACAACAAACCCCCGTGACATGAGTTTACCTATAAAACAAACATGCACATGTACCCCTGAACTTAAAATAAAAGTTAAAAAAGAAGAAAGGTAGGATTTAATGATTGATAGCTTAAAGTTCTCATCAAATTTTTTGTAATGAGGGAAGAAAATATTTCCCCAAAGCAGAACTGCATTCCCAGAAAGAACATTTCTTCACATCATGAATATGTGAGGAAAAAATGTATTTTAAACAACTGATAGGTACAGACCCTAGGAACCTGCATTCTAGCCCCAATGTTGCCACTCAGTGACATCTGCTATGTGACTTTAGACAAATCACTTAGTCCCTCTCATCTTCAGTTTCCTTATATGTTAAGTGATAAAGTTAATGTAGATTTGCTTTTTTCCTTCTGGCTCCAGAAATCTATAGTTTTTATCTGTGTGTTTGTGTGTGTGTGTGCTTTCCTCTTAGAAAGCTGTAGTATTGCTTTAAACTCTTTGAAGTTACTAAGTGATTCAATCTAGTGGAGTCAGTGTATTTTAAGAGTTTTGAAAAACAGCCATAACAAAAACAACAAAATGTGAAGTTACAAGGTGGGGCTATAAATTAATGAGTTTGTTTTTTGAATAGCTGGCAGTTTTGTAATTTATTTAATAACACTTATACAGAACACAATACGATAATCTTTAATCTTTATAATTGAGATAGGTGCAGTTATCATCATTTTACAGATGAAGAACCTGAGGCAGTCGTGTCCATTGTGAACTCCAATAAGAAAGATTAAAAAGAAGGAAGAAAAAGTCCGCTGTAGAAATGAAAAAACAAATTTATCCATTGTGACATCGTTTAGAAATAGCAGTCAGAATTTAACCAAGAAAGTCTGGCTCTATGTTCTTGATCATTTCCCTCTATTGCCTGTTTAAGATATCCAAATATCATATCTTTGAAGGTAGTCAACTTGGAGTTTAATTCCGTTGATCTCTCTTTTCAAAACATATTTTGAGTTGTTTCGGGATCATTTTCCAGAGACTAAGACAAAGCCCTGTGGAAAACCAAGCCACATGTTACTCAAAGTAATAGTGTAGGAGGAACAAGAGCCAGCAGGGAAACACAGAGGAAATTATTAGAAATATAGGAGAATTGGAAGAGTACAGATGAAGGAAAATAAATCAACTTGTTTATGTTATTTTAAAACCTAGAGGTCAAGGAAGAGTTCAGAAAACGAGGCTGTCAGTGGTATCAGATGTTATAGCGCTCCCTAAGAATGAGAAATGAAAGAAACTCATTTGTCTTGTGTAAACATTAAAATCATTGGTAACTTGAGATTACATTTATTGTAGAGTAATCAGAACAGAATCCAGAAAAGAGATAGAAGAGAATGGGAAAGAAAAACAATGGTTTGGTAAATCTGACACTGGAAGGAAATGGAGATAGCCTAGATATAGATAAGGAGAAGAGAACTAAGAGTGTGTATGTATGTGTTTGTGTTAAGGACAGGAGAGATATAGGGATAGGGTATAAGGTAAATAAGGACTATTGTAGTTAGTTTATATACATATAAGAATAGAGTTTATGTTTTATGCTTGACAGATGTTCTAAAGGAAAATAAACAAGTCATTGTTCCTCCTCTGTATTGTTTTCTGTTTAAAGTAAAAGCATGGAGAAAGTTGAACAGTTTTTGTTTATTTGCAGTAGGACTACAGAAAAGAAAAATAAAAGAGCGTATGGAATTAAAACCAGATTTTTGAAAAATCAAATCATATTTAAAGTACTGCTTGAGATATCAAAAGTCTTTTAAATCTTAAATACAGAGCTGGTTTTTAATAATGGTAAAGAGTTTTCAAAATGTTAAAGTTTATAGAACTATTTCTCATTTAATTATATGTAAATGGTTTTATAATTTTTTCTCACATTAAGTTAGAAAACTAGCAAAGTAACCTACATAAAATTTGGTATAACCTTTCTTATGATGTCACAAAACTTAATTATGGAGGAAGCAATTATTATAATTAGGAAAAATTGATGACTTATGATCTGACTCAGGATCAAGGTCTGAAACACTCATGTCATTTCCTCCCCTCTCCTATATAGTATACAGTGATTTGTTCATTTTGGACTCTTAATATTTTAACTTTTGACACCATCAGCAAATCTAAACACTGACAGTTGGTGTTTTCCTGAAAAATGTTAAGGCTAATAATTGTGTGATATTTATTTCAACACATTGCTGCTAGTCTTCTATAAAGATCTCATTATGGGTAGGCTTTGAAGAGATATCCAGTTCATAATATGGGCATCACACTGGAAGCCTGCAAGATGGATGATTGGCTGAGAGTAGGAGTGTAGTTTCTAAATAATAATAAGTCTGTTTCCCCTGCTAGGAAGTACCCTGAGGGCAGGAACCCTCTATCTTAGTCATGACTTTGTTCCCAATACATGGTATATCAGGCATGTAGCAGGTATTCAATAAACATTGAATGAATAAATGAACAAATTAATTAGATACCAAATCCATCAGTTTGACACTATATTCTAAATTAGTTTATATAGTCACCGTAATGTGATAAAGAAATTGTGATAGTCTAGTTTACTGAGCATTGTTATCAGGACCATCTGTGTCTCATGTTTAAGTCTAGAAATCAGTCTTTGAAAATGAGTGAATTCAAATGCATTTTTAAAAGTCTAAGTGCCATTTTGCATGAGGGAAATTATATACCTAGTAAGAATTTCTCTGGGTTTCAAAGTCAGAACACTGATCTTGGTAATACATGGACAGAAAGGATTATTTTTCAGTTAGGGTGTTAAACAGATTGTGCTATCATTTTAACCTCTGGAATGAATAAGCCCCAGATTTAATAAGCTCCTTATGTATAAGATGCCTGTTATAATGTGTCTGTAATGTCCTAGAAAGATGAGACTACCCCTGCATAGTGCTTATTTCTTGCATGGAATGAATTTAAGATAAGCTTGTCAAATTTTAAATCTGACATAGACTATCTTTTGAATAATTTATTTGGAGTCATCTCTGTCTGATTATAATATGCCCTAAAATAAATCTTGAAAAATTAAAATATATCATACAGAATAAACAGTCTACATGTAACAGTTAACAGTTACATGTAAAGTGTTATTCAGATTACATTTTACAACTATTTCTTTTCTGATTCCATTTTTTATTGAATAGAAGTTCAATAAATTTTATTCTGTTAAGAATGAGTCTGTCTTGGAGAGGGTCAGTGTCACATATTTACTTTGAAGTTCCTTAAAGAGGTTAGTTGAATTCTCCCCCCAAAATGTGCTTTGAATTAGCAGCTTTTGAATATCTATTCTAGTAGAGGTAGGAGCAATATGAACTAGAGAGAATGATATGCAATAAAAATAATAATTTTTCTTTGACTTTGGAATGAGGATAATCTAAACCACAGCCATGTAGGCAGACATTTTCTGATGTATGTAGGTATGTTTGCATGTCTGTCTATCTATCCATCTCCTTGTTTTCTATATATTTGACCCTAACCTTTCAGGCTCCTATTTTGCCATCAGGTCCAAAACCAAACTGAGCGATAAGAGAGTGGAGATCCTTAAATCAGTGGTTCTCAAACTTTTTGGTTTCCACATTCCTTTATGTTTTCAAAGAAACATTAATGAGAAGAGTAGCATTTTGTTAACATTAAGAAAAACCTCTTTAATAACTGGCTTAATAGAAACCAGCTGGATTCTTATATCTGTTCTTTTTGGTCAAAATATATGAAGAAAATCCAGCCTCACACAGAGATGTAATTGGAAAGGAAGGACTATTTTAAAAGCCTTTCAGATAATTGTGGGTATTCTTTGATGCTACACCAAAATGCAACAAGAGGTAGTTTCTTAAAGGTTAGTTGCAACACGGAAGCCAAATCTGTGAACTTTTAGTACTCTGAAATTAAAATCCATTGGTTGATCTTGCACTTTGAATGGATCTTTTACCTGTGCAAGGTTTTGTTACATCATACATTGGTCATTTGAAAATACTGGTTCACTGAGTTATGCAGATCTTCCAAATGTTGACACATTTTATTATGTATTAAAATGTCACATTCTTTAATACTATCACAAATCTTATCAGAAAAGTCTTTAAATATTGTGAGCAGTTCATGGTAGCAGATAGAAGTTTTCCAAAATTCTAGTTTTCACTTGAGGGTTCAAATTTTATCATTGTCAAAAATATGTCAGTTTTCCTTGAAGTGGTAGATTCACTAATTTATTTTCAAGAACATATCTGTCAGATACCCAAGGCTAAACAACTATAATTTATCAGTCTTTCAAGTAAAAGTGGTGTTCCATGAAGAAAGTAGCTAGTGCAGCTCACAACTCAGTTACACAAGTGGTTTTCCTCTAGACAACAATTGTACTTTGATATGCAGCAGAAATGCTTTATGTGTATTTCCCATTTTGTCGTACAGAATATTAAAAAGACTTCTACTCAAGGGTCAAGATTTCATAAAATTAATAACTTTTATTGCTTCATCAAAGACTTCCTTCAATTACATTGACTGTGTGTGGTATGTGCATGTATATGAACATAGGGCAGTAATATGATGAACTATATAATACAGTTTGATGTTGCTGTCTTAATTCATGCTAGGGCACCATCATTGCTTTTGCATCATCAGTGTAAATATCAACACAGTTGTTTCAAGATAAATGATGAGATTTAAGAAAGTTATTCAACACTGAATATTTCAGTACTGTTAGTGTTTGTTGCCAAGCATTCCTATAAAAGGTCTTTGTTGTTGATTACTTGGGGCTCATACTGAATAAATCTAAGCAAAACATAAAGTTTATAGATTCTTCCATTTGTAAAACAAAAGCACAATTCTGTAGTTGAGATATTAACTCAGCCTTCGTATTTGCAACTAAGTGTAATTTGATGAATTAACATATGGTTGGAAAGTGTCATGATTTCTTATACTGACTTTTCAGCAGGCATTGAGCAAGGTCGATTATCCACAATTTTATTAGTCTCTCAGCTATTATATGCACTTTTTCAGTCATTGCATTATATTAATAACTTACAATGTAGGATACTTCCGTGGTCTTTTCATTTCCAGTATGATAAGCTGTAATAGAATTTTTTTTTAGAGGATTCTTCACACCTGTGTTTAAAATATCCAGTTCCATTTTCTTTGAACTCTACATGATTGGTTTCAGAATGACATCACAACTTAATTGGCACCATTATAGTATTTGAAAGATTTTGTTGCATAAGCGACAAGAAGATAGATTATTCATATGTCTGAAACAAGAGAAAGATGGCTTTCAATGTATGGTCATTTTTTATTAACAATTTTGACCAGTTTCTTTGCTAGATTCCACCTTTCCGTGAGTCATAAAATTCTCAAATATATCAGTTTTATCTTTTCTGTATCTTATATGTAGACAGTATAGTTGTGGGTTAAGGAGGCAAGTTTTCTAATCTCCTGTCTTTTAAGCCAGCAATTCATTCTTAAATATAAGAAAAGTATGTAATAGATTTTTATATGAAATATTAAAATTTAAGAAGCTGTAGATAGATTTAGAAAACTTTTCCAAAAAGATTTAAAAATAATATTATAAAACAAAACAAAGTATACATTCTTCTTTGTTGTATTTAGATAGAAGTTTCAGTAGTGGAGTCCATATAACTAAGCTCCATAATAATGTGTTTCATAACTTTCTCCATTATTCTACTACTAGATCATAGAAGGCTTGTTTCTCTTAAGGTTTAGTTTTTTCATGCACTCAGAAAATAGTTTTTCAGGAAGTATGTACTGAGTATTCTGAGGATATGCAAGGAGCATGGGTTCCAGTGATAAATAATACATAGTCTCTGTGCTCAGGGAACTTATAGTTTAGTTGGTGCTAACCAGATAAATTAGCAAAATAATTGACAGATATAGTAAGCATGATGAAAACACACAATGGACTCAGAGAATAACAAGGATGCTCTCCTGAGACAGCGACATTTAGCTGATATCTCAAACATGGGGGGAATTCAAGGATTCCAGGCAGAGGAAAGAGCATATGAAGGCAGTTAAGTAAGGCAGGAAAGAGCTTTATTTGAGGCACTGAAAGAAAACCAATGTGACAGGAGACTAGTGAATGGGAAGGGGGATGAGTAATGAAAATGAGGTTTGGGAGATTGGAAGGGGCTAGTTCTACAAAGCCTTATGAGCTATAGTAAGTAGTTTGGGTTTTATTCTGAGGGCCAGCAAAGGGATTTAAGCAGCAGAATAACACGAATGATTTAGTTCGTAGAAGATGTTCACTGCTACATGGACAATGCATTAGAGAGAGACCTATTAACAGTAGGAGCAGAGAGAGCAGAGATACCAATTAGAAGGCTTTTTCAGTAGCTCCGGCAAAATGATGATGGCAGCAAAGTGATGAATGGATTCTAAATACATTTTGTGGATAGATTTAGTGAGAATTGGAGAGATATTAGATGTG
This sequence comes from Homo sapiens, assembly GCF_000001405.40. NCBI lineage: Eukaryota > Metazoa > Chordata > Mammalia > Primates > Hominidae > Homo > Homo sapiens. The sequence goes on from NC_000001.11 coordinate 161,877,874, forward strand.
TTCAGATTTCTGTCTTGAATTACTAGGTAGAAAGGACTATCATTTTTTACTAAGATGAAAATATTTGGGGGGCACGGTAATATGTTTGGTATAAATGTGGAGAGTTATTTTTGGATACATTTAAATTTGAAATGTCTGTGAGACATTCAAGGGAATGTGTGCAATTGGCTCTGTGAATCTGGGACTCAAGAGAGGATAGATCTGAGCTAAGAAGAGTAATTAAGAATTGTCAGCTCATACACATTTATTTATTTATTTGGAGACGAGTCTTATTCCATCTCCCAGGCTGGAGTGCAATGGTGTGATCTCAGCCCCCTGCAACCTCTGCCTCCTGGGTTCAGATGATCCTCCTGCCTCAGCCTCCTGAGAAGCTGGGATTACAAGTGTTTGCCACCACACCTGACTAATTTTTGTATGTTTTAGTAGAGATAGGGTTTCACCATGTTGGCCAAGCTGGTCTTGAACTCCCAACCTCAAGTGATCCACCCACCTCAGCCTCCCAAAGTGTTGTGATTATAGGCATGAGCCATCACACCCGGTCAGCTTACACACATTATCTCATGGATTTACATGGGAATAATGGAGTCATCAAGAAGAGAGTATATAGAGAGAGGAGGGTTCAGGACCAAATTAGATTTTGAATTGGAGAAGGATGAGAGCAGCAAAGGACGGTTCAGGACCAAATTAGATTTTGAATTGGAGAAGGATGAGAGCAGCAAAGGAGGAGGGTTCAGGACCAAATTAGATTTTGAATTGGAGAAGGATGAGAGCAGCAAAGGAGACTAAATAGGAGCGGTCAGCAAATAGGGAGAAAACCAAGAGAAGAGACTTTTGAATGGGGAAGGAGTGGTTTATTCTTGAATACTGTTGAGACGTTAGATAAGATGAAGGATTGGTTTTCACTGGATATGTCAACATGAAAGTCACTGATACACTTGACAAGAGCCTTTTAGTGATGACATGAAACATAAAAGTTAAAGATGGATTAAGTAGTAAGGAAGTGAGAACAGCATAACTATTTAAAAATGTTTGCCTATAAAAGAAAATAGAGAAAAGGTAGGGTTTTGTCTTATTTTCAAACTCTAGATATCAATTATATATTTTAAAGGAATGAACCCATAGATAGGAAGAAAGCAATGTTAAAAGAGAAGTCGAGTCCTTGAGAAGGGGCAAAAGGGTGGAATTCAGATAACAGGTGGAAGGATGGCCCTTTGCTAGTAAGGCAGGACATTATGGTAGAGGCAAGATGAGTTCATAGATAGGACCTTAGGTTCCAGGAAGATAAAGAGAAGACACTTCTAACAGTTTCTGTTTTCCCAGTGAAGGACATCTCAACTGATGTCATCAGCTGAAAGTAAGGATATTAGAGGAGGTGTAGAAGATTTAAGCAGAGAGGCACAAGTATGAAGTAGTTGTCTTGGCCAGTGGGATAGTGAGCCTACTAGAGACATTTGGATTGTGAGGCCTTGGTGGGGTGTCAGTATGCCGTATGCTTTAAAGTCAAATCTCTGCAACAGAATGCCAGGTGTAGAGTTACAGTTGATTAATAAGACACAGCCCCTGTACTCAAGGAGTTTGTAATCTAGAGAATGAAAGACATATAATTACAATATGGTGTGATGGTTGTGATGAACAAGGTAAATATAGGGTGTCATAAGAGCACACATTAACCAATCTTGGAGGGGCTGTCCTATGCAAGGAGGTCTTCATGGAGACCTAACAGCTAAGCTAAGACCTGCCTGTTCTGCAAGTACCTTACTTAAAGCTATTACATAATAGCTGCTGGGGATGAAAATATTCTAGAAGGTATGATAGTCACACTGTATTATTATATCTTTATGCAGTAGCTTTTATTTCTGCTGACATCATCAGGCATCTTTGAAATTTCTTTTTTTTTTAACACTTCGAAATGCTGTGAAGCAAAGTATCATCCCTCTCTTTCCTCACCCTCTTCTCTTCCTTAACACCTTTCTTCAGTTCTAGCTGTTGGCAGCTAGATGCAACTTAATAATGCCATTTTGTTTTCATTTGGCATGTCATTCATCATTTTCAAAATAAATAAACTTTAATTTTGTGCTGCCACAATCAGGAATATTTGAACATTTAGTGCTTATCTTGGGTATCTGCCCTTATTACTTTCTGAGGAGCTGCCCTTTATAGCAATCAGGGAACTATACCACTTGGAAGACTAATTGTCTTTATACAAAAATAAAATCCTTGTGTTCAGATTTCTGTCTTGAGTGGCTGGTTTGAATCTAATTTTCTGTTATATGAAGCAAAGATTTATTATTTAACATAGTTTCAAAATTAAAATTGATAGTGAAATTTTATGTGCCATGCAATGTCATGTGTGTTCTTTTAAGGTGAAGATTCATTTTTTAATAGCTTTATTGAGGTATAATTGACATATAATAAACTGCACATATTTAACACCACATTTTATGTGTGATATGTATGTGTGTGTGTGTGTGTGTGTGTATATATGTATATACTTATATAGGTGAAATCATCACCATAGTCAAAATAATCAGCATCCCCATCAGTCCCAAAAGTTTTGTTTCTCATGCCCCTTTGTAATTTTTCCCTGCCCTCTCACCAGTCAACTGATCTTTCTGTTACTACAAATTAGTTTATAGTTTTAAAAATTGTATATAAAGGGATCTTAATTATATATATTTTCCTTCCAGCAGAATTATTTTGAGATTAATCCATGGTGTTGCTTGTATCAGTAGTTCGTCTTTACTGCTAATATTCTGGTGTAGGGATATAGCACAATTTACTAATATATTCACCTTCTACTGTTAGCTACTACAAACAAAGCAACTGTGACTATTTGTGTACAAGTCTTTGTAGGGACAAATGCACTCACTTCCCTTGTGTAAATACCTAGGAGTGGGATGGCTGGGTTATATAGTAGGCATATGTTTAGCTTTTTAAGAAACTACCAAACTACTTTGGTACAAGTGGTTGTACCATTTTACATTCCCACCAGTGGGAATAAGAGTTGCAGTGCCTCCATATCCTTGGCAACACTTGATACAGCCTATCTTTTTATTTTTAGCCATTCTAATAGAGGTATGTAGTGGTATCTCATTGTGGTTTTAATTTGCATTTCCCTAATAACTATATTAATTTTGACCAACTTTTTATGTGCTTATTTGCCATCCATAAATCTTCTTTGGTGAAGGGTCTGTTCAAATCTTTCCCGATTTTTTATTGAGTTATTTTCTAATGATTGAGATTTCATTTTGAGGATTTTGTGTGTGTGTTGTTTTGTTTAGCAGCTTAGAACACACACATTTATTATCTCACAGTTACTATGGGTCAGGAGTCCAGGCATAGATTTGCTGGGTCTTCTACTCCAGGGTTTCATCTGAAAGTAACAATCACAGTCTTGGCCAGGGCTGCAGTTGCATCTCAAGGTTTTACTGGGGAAGGTTCCACTCATAAGTTCACATGATTGTTGGTAGAATTCAGCTCCTCGTGGGATGCCGAACTAAGGGTCTCAGTTATTTGCTCAGTTGGAGATTCCCCTCAGTTCCTGCCACATGGGCCTCTTGATATGGCAGCTCACAACATGACAACTTGCTTCATGAAAGCCAGCATGGAAGTGTTTATGTTTACTGGTTTATTATGATTAACAAAGGATACAGATGAATAGCCCGATGGAAGAGATGCATAGGGCAAGCTATGTGGAAGGGGTATGGAGCTTCCATACCCTCTCCAAGTAGGCTACCTTCCAGGCACCTCCTCATGTTCAGCAATCTGGAAGCTTTGCGAGTTCTTTATGTATTCTATATACAAGTCCTTTATCAAATACATGACTTGTAAATATTTTCTCCCAGTTTTTTGCTTGTATTTAAATTTCCTTTTTAGTGTTTTTCAAAGGGCAGAAATTCTTAATTTTGATGAAGTCCAATATGTCAGCTTTTTATTTTATGGACTGTGTTTTTATGGTTTTAAGAAATATTTGCCTAACTAAAGGTCACAAATATTTTCTCATATTTTTTTTCTTAAAGTCTTACAATTTTAGGTTTTACATTTAGGTGTATGATCCATTTTGAATTAATTTCTGTATATGTGCAAGGTGTATATCAAAGTTCATTTTGTGTGTGTGGATATCCAGTATTGTATGATATTCAATGCTGTGTTTTCACCTAATAGCTTTTAAAGGAAGAATTAAAGCAAAGCCAAGTTAAATAGGTTATACCAGACTGTTAGTTTTCTTTGTGTTATCCTTGACTTTGTTAGGTTGCACATTTTGCTGGAACTTCTTAAAACAGTATCCTATGATTGAACTTCTTCAACCTCAAATTTCCAGTCTTTATACTTAACCAATGAAATGTTATTTATATACTCTTTGGAAACATAACATATACTGTAGATAATTATAACAAAAGTGTAATGGGTAGCAGAAGATATTGCCAAACCAAAATTCTGGAGACCAGATGAGACAAACACATAATATGTGCCTGTATGGGTCACAGTGCTAGGAAATACACTGAAAAGTGAACAAAGAACTAAAAATAAGCCTCTTATAAGAAAAGCTGCTACTTCTGGGCTAATCTATTAGTAGTTTGTTTTCCTTAATTTGAAAAAGAGCTTCAGAATCAGACTCTAGAGTGAATCTTTTAAAACTATATATATTATGCATGTATACACATATACATACTCTATGCATTGGCTTAGATAATATAAAAACAGCACAGGAATAGTTTATGCTGTAGTATTGTGCAGTCTTATTCAGAAATAAGAAAAATAGTTTTTCCATTTAGCTGTGAGTCATTACTTTTTAGTTTCGTGGAGAAATTAAGTTTTAGTGGGGGTCGATACAGCTTTTTTTTTTTTGTAGAAAATCAGGTAGCATGGGCTTTGGAGTCAGACAAATCTCGGTTTTAATTTTCAGTGTCCTTATCTCTAATATAGTAATATTAATAGTTACCTCTTCCTGGGTTGTTGAGAGGTTTAAATGAAATAATAAGTTAAGTACTGGCACAGTGCTTAACACATAATAGGTATTCAAGATATGTATACTTCTTTATCATCAGGGGATTGACCTTGGAAGCATATGGGTACATAGAAAGAACCCATAAAAGGATATGACAAGGGGAGAGGAGTTTGTTTTCATTAGATTTAGCAAATTCATTCTTTCCCCCAACTCCCCAGAAAAATTCATTTTAATGCTATTATTTTCCTTATCACCCATAAACAGACAGAAAATTGGCATGTTTCGAAAGAGTGTTAAAACTGCAAGAGTATTACATGGTATCATTACACTACCATCCATTATCTAACTGGGTTTATTTATGAAGGTTAGATTTAGATAATTTAGACTTACCCTTTTTCCATTTTGTGGGGAAAGAGAATCAGAAACTTGAAAGGAAGAGCTCTTCCAAACAGAAAGATAGCTAGAATCTCTCTCAATAGTCTATATAATCTCTTCTAATAATCTTTAGCAAAAGTGACTTTTGAGTTCTTTTAAATATTTCCTGTATTGATTCTAATTCAGTGCTCATTTCATGTGATGTCTATAGAACTACAGACTTAGATTACAGTCAGAAAACTGAGTAACAGCAGACACCAGGTTTTCAGCTGTTTTTAGGGTTTATTCAGATTGACTACATCACATTCATTTGGATGGATTTAGTGACATCAATTGATAATTGTAAAGAAACTAGCCTTTAATCTGACATTTTCATATTGATATTAGATAGGAGCCACATGACTATGTCATGGGTTCATTCACAAGATATAATAAACATTATTTTCACTTGTAGCATAAAAGCAGTCTTTAGTGTTATCTTAGAAGCATTAAAACACACACATATATAAAATCATATAGATTAAAAAATTCTATCAGCATAGGTTCTGTAATTGTTAATAGATGTAATTGCATAAGGTCGCTATGCATTATTTCTCATTTTCAGATGAAGCCTGTCACCTTGACATTTTTATATATAATAGGAATCCACAGGTTGTTAAAAACATAAGGAAATTAAGATAATTTGAATTCAGATTATAAAATAGTTCAGGTCTATTCTGATGAAGCAATGTCACTTAGGTCTGAGGCTTTTGGGTCAGCTTTTAAAAGTTTATCTTATTTTTCATTAAAATATGTATGTATAATACTCTATCATGCAAAGAGAAATGGTCAACAGAATTTCTGTGCATATATGGTTGCTGGTTATTTGAAAGCCATTCTCCTCCTAGGATTATTTGACCAATTTTGTATTCAGCTTAGATTAGGGAGAATATAGTGTCTCCTTAGGTAAAATACTTACTAGAACCAAAAAGTCCAGATTAAATTGTTTTTATTTTTATTTTACTGCAGTTTTGTGCAGTTGACCTGATTTTAAAATATAAAACTAGGAAGGCATATTTTTCATCTACCAAAATGTGAATCTTACTTTCATTTTGAAACAAACACCTCTGCTTTAAGAAGATGAACGGTAGTGATAAATACAAAAACGTTAAAATTTTTTAAATGAATAGCGTTTGTTGATCTTTAAAGAAAACATAAATGTGAAATAACTTTAGAGCTTAAAAGTTTTCTTCCTCAAACCTTTTAGGAATTGATTTTATTATCCAAAACAACTTTATTCATACTAAGTGTGACTATCTGAATAATTACCTTACTTTTATAGTTTTTTTTTTAAAAAAGCTCTTCTAACTGTAATTATCCTCAAAGAATTGGATTAAGAAATTCAATAATTTTCTGTCATTAGTCCAGCGAGATATTTACTGAATAGCCATTACGTTCCTGGCTGTTAACACTACAAGGACTCCAGCAATGAGCAAAGCAAACAAGCCCTTGCTTTTCCAGAGCCCACATTCTAGAGTCAGATGCTAAACAAATACACAGATACATATATAATAAAATATTGGTTTAAGTGTTGAAAAGCAAAATCAGAGTAAGAAGGCAGGTAGTCATTTTAAATTAACATTGAGAAATGTTTCCATTTTAAGCATATAAATTCTTTGGCTTCTCTTTTTAAATTTGCTTTTGACTGTTTGTTGCTGGCGAAAATTATTTAAAGTAATTAGGAACTCATCGTAAATATTTTGTACACTACTCTAAAAATCTAATTCCAACTAGTGAATTTAGCATTTATAAATGGAGGTGTCTATAGAGGAATAAAATCTTTGGTTAACCACTACTTTACTTTTAGCAGTAAAGTCTGCAGCTCATGAAATTTGTAATTCTGGAGTGGTTTCAGTTTGCACCATCCCCTGGGGAGCCTGTTGATACAGCACTGAGCTACAGATTATTATTCAGCTGTAGAAGTTTTATGCTTAGGCATTTTCTTACATCTTCTTCTCTCAGTCAGTTGAAATCTTGTATTTTTGCCAAATAAAACAAATCCTATATTAATAAGAAGCTATAAATAAACAGTAGGAGCATGAGTCAGAGCCAGCATCACCCCATTCCTTGTGTGTACCTCTCTAGTACTCCCCAGTATGTTCCTTTTGCACAAACATGTAGTACTGCGTAACTACTGTTCTACAGATGAACTCCAGTTATTTAAGTGAGGCCTGTTTTTTAGAACTAAGTAATACTGTAACTAGTAGAATTCTGGCATGTTACCACAGTCAAAAGCAGAATGTGAAGCTGTATGCTATTGATGGGAGGAAAAAAGAAATATATTTCCTACCTTTCCTGTATAAAGCCCAGAAGATTCCTGTTAGATTTCCAAAATGGGTTTTTATATAATATAATATAATTCAACATTTTTTTCAGAGGAAAAAAGAAAAAGATAAGTTGCTTGAAAGTCCCATCTCTTTTGCTAGTCGGCTTCTGTCTGATAAAATTTTATTCTGTTTTGCTTCATTGTTTATTCATTCAGTAGATGTTCATTGAACACTTACTGTTACCAGGCACTGTGCTACCATAGACGGTATAAAGACAAATAAGCTAAAATCCTTGTTCTCAAGGAATTTATTATTGTAGAGAAAAGTGACTTGTAAATCCAAAATTTCATACTGGGATAGGAACTATAAAAGAGACATCCTGCAGAATACTGAGATTATAAATAAAACTAGTATGTTTGAAGCATTTAGTGTCCTAGCTGTTTTATAGAAGTCATTTCATTTAATCCTTTCAACAGCTTTATGAGGTAGATATCATTACACTATTTTACTTGTGCCAAGAGCACTACATTCATCAAGGAAGGAGGAGGTAGTATCAAATTTTTCAGAAAACAAGAGAGTTGGTTATAGAAGGATGAGTAGGGTAGAGAGTAGGAGGAAGATGAGGCAGTGTGGCATTTCAGACAGAGAGGTGAATATGTAAGCACACAGGATGAGTGAGAGAATTGTTGGAATGTAGTCAGTTCTAGGAAATAAAAGATGGCAGGGTCCAGATCATGAAGTTTGGTTCTTAACCTGTAGAAGACAGAAATATGATCAGACTTGCATTTCAGGAAGATAACTCTGTAATTGTTTGCAATTCCTGTTAAACGAAGAAATTTTCTCCAGCATTGACTTATGTTTATTAAATACATATAAAAACTAAATTCTAGAAACATCTTATACAGTTATACATCACTTAGCAATGGGATACATTCTAGGAAATGCATTGTCAGGCAATTTCTTCATTGTACAAACGTCATAGAGTATACTTACACAAACCTAGATGTATATCTTTGTTTATATTTATTTTTTCATATGGAAAACCAAATTTCTTAGCCATGTTACTGAATGTCAGTCATTTCCCTTACTTGATCTGCATCACCAACATTAAGTGCCATGTATCAGATTTCTGTATATGTTCCATTATAATCTCATGGGACCACCATAGTACATGCGGTCCATTGTTGACAGACACATCATTATGTGGTGCGTAAGTGTACTTATAGTTTTACAACTACAAAGTGAAGCACAGAGAGGTTACATAACTTAGCCAGTGTCACACAGCTAATAAGTAGCAAAGTCAGGATTCGACATGTTAAGCCAACTTCATGGACTTAACCACAGTCCTGTATTGCCACTCCTCTTCATTTAAAGGCATGCATGCACATATTAGATTTGGAGACAGTTCTAGAGACACTGAATTGGCAACTACAGTCGACAAAGAGACATTGCAGCAAGTACCTCTACGTTGTTTGTTTCTGTACCCTTAACTTGCAGTGGTCTACAAGAAAGAATGAAGGAAGGGAAGTGATATATTTGTCAACCCTAACTACATTGTAAAATGAAGCTTTTTTTTTTTCTTTTTTTGAGAGGGAGTCTCGCTTTGTCACCCATACTGGAGTGCAGTGGTGCGATCTCAGCTCACTGCAACCTCCACCTCCCGGGTTCAATCTGTTCTCCTGCCTAAGCCTCCCGAGTGGCTGGAATTACAGGCATATGCCACCACACCTGGCTAATTTTTGTGCTTTTTTTTTTTTAGTAGAGACGGGGTTTCACCATGTTGGCCAGTCTGGTCTCGAGCTCCTGACCTCAACTGATCCGCCTGCCTTGGCCTCCTAAAGTGCTGGGATTACAGGCTTGAGCCACTGCACTCGGCCTGAAGCATTTTATGATGCTCACTACCAAGTGTTCATAAGCGGTAAATAAAGCCCTTGGGCTAGGTAATGTAAGATCCATTGCAACCTGGAGATGAAGAACTTTGTAAAGGGGATAATTGTTATCACCCATCAGAGCATCAGAGTTTTAAGATGATCTAGATTTAGTCCCACTAATTATATTTCTCCTAACTTTTATAGACAGAGAAATCAGTGAAAAATATGTATTTCTAAGGATTAAATCCCAATCCATAGCTCAAGGCTACCTTTATGTCTAATAGTTGTGATATAATATGTTGCTTAGAATAGGTTCTATAAATGGAATTCACACATAGGACCCCAGAATCGCTTCTTCACAGGGTTTCAGAGTTGGAGGACATATAAAAGGATAAATCAATCCATAAATCTCTAAGTATTCCTAAAAGAAGAGTGGTGTGTCAGTTATTGGCACCAGTACATCATGAATCCTGCTGGGCTGTGGAGAAAGGAGAAACTAACCTGAACAAGACTATACTCTACACAGCTGTCCCTGACATTCTACCACCTGTTAGCATTCAGTATTAATTTCATGGATCAAATCAAGGCATGCAAGTGCATTAAATAACTTTTTAAAAAACAACTGCTGATTGCTGACGTCTATGAGGGAAGAAAAATTAGGGGCTGTTATTTTCCTATCAACCATCACTCTCATTAACAAGAACAGGAAACATTACGAATAAATAAAACTCTTACATCATACCAGAAAAAAGAACAGCTGAATCCCCTAAAGGATTTCATATTCTATCATCAGACAACGAAAGAAAATAATTCCATATAAATGGCTGCATGAATCATTGAAAGAAACTTCCCTGCTTTTTTAAAAGAGCAACTAGAAGTATTTACTTTTTGAAAATAGAGTAACCATTTGTTAAACCGTATATACCATTGAAGATGTTTTGGGTATAAAAGGGAATTTCCATAATAATTACATAGTAATCTTTTATAGCCAAAGTTATGAAGAAGATCAGGATTTGGGAAAATTGTGGTCAATATTTGATTTTCCTTTTCTGTTTGATAGCCTTATCTAAATTCCCCTAGCTTGAATGTAGTAAATATGAGTGTGTAAAAATGTGTATCTAATTCACCTCTTGGGGGAGGTTTAATGTAACTATAAATAAAAATTCTTTCCCCAGGTTAAAAAAAAAGTTACATAGTGTTTAATTCTACCTTTTCTCATTTCTCTATATCCAAAACTATCACCAAGTACTGTTAATTTTACTTTATAAAGCTCTCTTGATATGTCTCTTCAACCTCATCACCACTGCTTTAAATGAGGCATACTTCCTCATTTGGATTATGGCAGCAGTCTCTCTTCCTTTAGTCTCTCCTTCAAATCCACCTCCATCCTTCATATCATCCATCATGTATTTTTCCCTGCCTAAATTCCTTGGTTGGCTTCTATTAAATCCAAGTTCCTTAAGCATGGCAAACAGGGGCCAGCTTCCACGAGCTGGTCCATACCTCTCCTGCCTTATTTCCTGACACTTTCCCTTATACCTTGAGATCCAGCTTGCCAGTATTTCCCCAATACCTCCACCGCATATACAACCACATACATATACACCCTTATCCCCTCCCTCATGTACCACCCATATATAATTCTCTTTACCGCATCCTTTATCACACTCCTACAAGCCTTGAAGCAATCTGAACATAGAAACCATCTTTGATTTTCAACTCCTAATTGGGACTGAACATACTTGTCTTGAACACAGATTGCTGCCTTGTTAGTATAGGTATCCTAATATGGCACATGTGTATAGTTGAAGCTATAATGCATTCCCCAAGTTCCCTTTCAGGACTAAAGGGTTATTTCCCAACAGCTGGAAGTCCTGCTGCCAGACAGCCTTCTTCAGGAATTGCCTTGTCCCCAACTCAAGACAACCCTGAAGGACCTTTCCCAGTTTTCCATGGGGTCCACTGAGGCCTTGAGATTGTACTGAAGTCAACTTCTCCCTCTGCTGTCGCTTCCCTTCCACAGGTGTTTATCACAAGAACAATCCTTAATAAACTTCCTGTAAGCACACTCTCAGAGTCAGCTTGCTGGGGAACCCAAGCTATAACAACATGTTTATCTTGTTCACACTTTCTTCTGAGTTCTAAATCATGGGAAGTTACAGTTATCCAAAATCTTACTAATTGGAAGATCATTTCATCAGACGTGTATTGAGCACCTGCTTCATGTCAGGCATTGTGCCAGATACAATGGAAACAAATCAAGACTTGGCCTCTGTCCTTGAGTTTACAGTCTGAGGTGACAGTTACATATGAACCTAACTGTATTAAAGCATCTTGAGAATCTTTTTGATTCAAATGTCAATAATTTTAGTATAAAATTCAAAAGCATGGATTTTGTGGTGTTACAAAGAACAAAAGGAAAATATTTCAGGGGAAGGAAAATGAATATAAATAAGTAGAATGAAATTTTAGAAGAGCACAGAATTTGTCTTTATAATTCTGAAAGCCTTTAGGGAAAAGGTAATTTTTTCACTTTTTATTTTGACATAATTTCAAACTTACAGAAAAGTCACATGAATACTGAACTCCCATACACCCTTTATGCAGATATATCAGTTTTTAACATTTTCCCTCATTCTGTTTCTTTACACACATACAAATTATTTTTGTGAACTCTCTGAGAACAGGTTAAATACTACATTATATCACTTCATACCTTAAAAATGTAGTATTTCCTAGAAACAAGGGTATTCACCTCCATAACCACAATGCAGTTGTCAAATTCAGGTAATTTGACCTTGATCTTTAATCTACAGTCCAGATTCAGATTTTGTTAATTGTCCCCAAAAAGATGAGTTTAGGAAGAGTCATATAACTTAACATTTGTAATGTAAATTAAAGATCTCGGAAGTTTGCTAACCTGATTTAAATACCACAGTGAAATGAACCACTTCTGATTTTCTACGGAGAAAGCAAGGGTTAGGTCCAGGTTACCTGTAAAGGTGTGACTTAGGGCTCCCCAGAAGTGAACCTTGCTCTGGAGACCCCATTTGGTGAGGTTCTTTTCAAAAGAGATTGTATATTTTTGACCCAGGGATTGTCGATTTGTTGAGCTCCCATGTAAGTATGCCGCCTTGCCATTGACAGGTCTTCACAATGCTTTCTTAAACGACATTCTTTGGAACTGTCTTTCATAGTCAGGCGACCCGCCAGCCAGGCCGCCAGGTAGGTGGAAGGGCGGCTTCGGGAACTAGATCCGGCTGGTTCTCTGCTAACATGTGGTCCTCGATGCTCTAGCGGATTGGCCCCAAACCTCAGCACACAGAGCTTTGGTAGGGCTGGGGATGCAGGTCAGCCTGCTGAAGGCGTCTAGAGGACTTGGGCGGGGGCGTGACTTCCTGCTGCACCACTTCCTTTCCAGCCACGTGGGCTTCTGGGACCCTATGACATAATTTCTGGAGTGGTCTGTTGGGAGTTGTGGCGGCGGCGAGGCCCAAGCACAGCTGGCCAAGGCGGGTGTAAAACGCGGGTCGTGTCCACCCCAAAGCTCGACGCCTCTAGAAGCCATGGCTTTTCTGCTGAAGCTAGAGCCGGACATGCAGGGGAAAGTAGATTTGTTTCGAGCCCGTATCGCCCAGGAGGCCGAGGATCTCGTGTCCACCTTCTTTCCTCAGAAGGTCTTGGAGCTGAATAGCCGAGTTCAGGAGCTCCGGCTGCAAGACCTGTCCAGAATCCATTCGGTGCCAACCTCGGAGCCCCTGGCCACCCCAGGCAACAAGGGAGATGGGCCCAACCAAAATCTGCCAGTTCTGCTGACTCAGTTCTCCATCAAGGTCCCAGCACTGCTTGGCAGCGAGGGACAGCTTCTGCGGAGCAACCAGCATCTGGTGGAGTTGACTGAGTGGGTGAAACCTGAGATCAAGCTGCTGAGAGAGAAATGCAACACAGTGCACATGTAGGTGCACCCGCTTATCCTGAAGGTGCAGGACGGCAACAACTTCAGGGTGTCTATCCAGGAAGACACTGTGGACCAGCTGTGGACCGTGGATAGCACAGCGGCCTCCTCTCTATGCGGCTTCTCCACCTACTACAACACCCAGGCCAAGTTGGTATCCAAGATAGTGAAGTACCCCCAAGTGGAAGATTATCGCTGCACTGTAGCAGAGGTCGACGAAAACGAGTACCTGAGTGTGCGCCAGATCCTGCTGCACCTACGGAACGAGTATGCCACCTTGCGTGATGTAATCCTTAAAAACATTGAGAAGATCAAGATCCCTCGGAGCACCAACCGTGATAACCTATACTGATAGCCTTTCTCCACCCCATTTGCCTTCAGGAGTTGGCGGAGCTGTTTAGGCACCTAGAAGGCTGGTTATTAATGACTCTACAGGTCATGAAATTACTGGAAATGTGTGTTACCATTTAGAATTTCATACAGCTTATCCTCATACTGAATCATCTTTTGGTGTAATTTTTATTTGATTTTCCTTTTGTGAGGAGAATGGGGACAAACCATCAAAAAGAAAAGACTGCCATTTTTAAAAGCAGCTTTATAGATAAATGTTGGCCCAAGGTTTCTTTATTATGGCCTTAGCGACATTGAATGGTTTTAGGGGCTACTTAAAAACTAAATCTTAAAGTTAAATGAAGTTTTTCCTAAAGTTCTGCTATCCGTTGAACTTTGTTCAAACTTACAGAAATGCTCCTTTTACAGCATCATTTTTCTTTTTTTGCGAGGAACGGAGTTTAAAGGGATATGTTTAGGTCATTGTATGCCTCCAGTTTAACAGATTGAAATAAAACTTGGTTATAAAATTTTGTGATGGCCTGAGTGTGCTTATCTGAGCTTTAATTTTCGGATGTGGACAATTCAGATGATAATTTCCTACTTCAGGTGGACTCATACACTTGATATTTTTCAACTCTGATGGGTAAGAAAAGTAAGCAAAGAGTAATGTATTTTAATTATTCTAAACAAATGGACATCTACTTCCCTTAGAATGAAAAGAGGAATCTGTGGAAAATGACTTCCTTCCATAATCTTCTATCATCTCAGGATCTTCATTTCTTTTTACACAATTTAGAATTCCTTCTGTATATCCGTTTGTCTCTTTAAGTCTCTGCTAAATCCATCAAGCTGTGTATCCTGTAATACTTTTTCCCCCAGTTGATTTTCATTGCCCTTTCTTTTTGTCTCTTAGATATTTCTTAAAGTCCCTCATTAGCATTTCCCTCTCAGGTTATACAGGTCATTCTTTTTTTTTTTTTTTTTTTGAGATGGAGTCGCGCTCTGTCATCCAGGCTGGAGTGTGGAGTGCAGTGGCGTGATCTCAGCTCACTGCAGCCTCTGCCTCCCAGGTTCAAGAGATTCTCCTGCCTCAGCCTTCCTTAGTACCTGGGACTACAGGCGCATGCCACCACACCCAGCTAATTTTTGTATTTTTAGTAGAGACGGGGTTTCGCCATGTTGGCCAGGCTGGTCTCGAACTCCTGACCTCAGGTGATCCACCCGCCTTGGCCTCCCAAAGTGCTGGGATTACAGGCGTGAGCCACCGCGCCTGGCGGGTCATTCTTTAAAGACCCTAAAATGTGGCTTTGTGTTCTTTTGCTACGTCGTTGAGGGGAAGCCATTGTCTTCTCAACAGTAAGCTATATGGTTGGTATTTTTAAAGTTCAGCATTTCCAGATTTCATTTGCAGGTAAGATAAATTACTGCACTGTGAGTCTATTCTAACCTATGTAGATTAGAAAAATCATACACTGGTTTAGCGGAAACTTTATTTTCTTTCTTTCTTTCTTTCTTTTTTTTTGAGATGGAGTTTCGCTCTTGTTGACCAGGCTGGAGTGCAGTGGTGCGATCTCGACTCACTGCAGCCTCCACCTCCCAGGTTCAAGGGATTCTCCTGCCTCAGCCTCCCAAGTAGCTGGGATTACAGGCATGTGACACCATGCCCAGCTAATTTTGTATTTTTAGTAGAGACGGGGTTTCTCCATGTTGGTCAGGCTGGTCTCAAACTCCTGACCTCAGGTGATCCGCCAGCCTCAGCCTCCTAAAGTGCTGGGATTACAGGCGTGAGCCACTGCGCCCCGCCACGGAAACTTTATTTTCAAAGTAAACTCCTGAAAAATGATAACAAGTGAAACTATTCTTTTGTCGACCTTCTGAAAAGCCTGAGTCTTTCAAATCTGTGCTTAAAAAGCAACAACAGCAAAAGGTATTGCCTAATAGAAAGACGTCTTACTTCCTTCCCCTTCAAGTAAAAAGAGTTCTTTTTATTTTCCCTGTAAGGTGTTCTATCTGATTCAGAAAAGTGCTGGGAACCCTAAATCAGTTCATACCATTTGACAGGCTTTAATTGCACACAAGTGTATAATGGACAATGTAAGGGAAGAACAAATGTTGCTTAATTTTTCAACTAATGTTAATCATCTAAGACTTAACATATCTGTTCCTCACATAATATAATCATCTTTTGCTTGTTTCTTTTACTCAAACTGTCAAGCTTTATGACAGATTGAAATAAATTTTCTCCAATCCCTGGCATGCCTTTTACTGAGAAAATATGTCCTTTGTAGTTAAAGATTTCTGGTATATGCATTTTTCACCTTTTTCCAACTCTGTATCAAATTAAGTTGGCTCTGGAATACTTTATAAAGTCCCTACTTCTGCAAAAATTAATCTCTTTGTGATTTTCCCCTTTCTTGCAAATGGTTGGAAAAACTTTTATAATAATAAACTTAGGAACTGGTGTTACAATATGGTATCCAATGTGAATCATTTGCCTGTTATTAGTACTTGTTACTTGAAGCCACGTTTTTGTTCCTTTTAAGATGGCAGCTGAATTGAGCAGGTGTTTTTTTTTTTTTTTTTAAGAAATGGTTTTAAAAACTTATTTTGGAATTAAGTAATTTTAGTTTTAAATTCTAAAACTAAAACATGAAGACCACTAAAATTTGATTGGAAGTTGAAATTAGTAGATCTAATTTTTATGATTGAGTGAAATGTCTTAAACCACATAAATGATGGAGAAGAGTCTTAAAGTTCTTAAACTTCAAACTTCTTAAACGTTTGGGCTTAGTTTTAAAAAATTACTGAATCGTTTATAAATTTTTCTTTGGTTATTAGAGGCAACATTTGTTTTGTAGTCTTTTTTTTTTTTTTTTTTTTTTTTTTTTTTTTTGAGACAGAGTTTCACTCTGTCACCCAGGCTGGAGTGTAGTGGCGTGATCTTGGCTCACTGCATCCTCCACCTACCAGGTTTAAGCAATTCTCTGCCTCAGCCTCCCGAGTAGCTGGGATTACAGGCGCCCACCACTAAGCCGGGCTAATTTTTTTTTTTTTTTTTTTTTGTATTTTTAGCAGAGACGGGGTTTCACCATCTCAGCCAGGCTGACCGGGAACTCTTGACCTCGTGAGCCACCCGCCTTGGCCTCCCAAAGTGCTGGGATTACAGGCGTGAGCTGCTGTGCCTGTCCTATTTTGTAGTCTTTATGAGGTTTACATATTTATATAGAATTCTTACCAAGTAGTCTCAACCATTAATAGATAACTGTGTGATCAATTTAAGTGATTTTTAATTTCAGGCCAGATGCAGTGGCTCATGCCTGTAATCCCAGCACTTTGGGGGGCCAAGGTGGGCAGAACACTTGAAGTCAGTTCAAGAACAGCCTGGCCAACATAGTGAAACCCTGTCTCAAGCAAAAATTACCAAAGTTAGCTGGGCATGGTGGTGTGTACCTGTAGTCCCAGCTACTCTGGAGGCTGAGGTGGGAGAATTGCTTGAACCCAGGAGGCAGAAGTTGTAGTAAGCTGAGATCATGCCACTGCACTCCAGCTTGGCTGACAGAGTGAGAACCTGTGTCAAAAAAATAAATAAATAAAAAGCTTTTTAATTTCAAAAGTACCATCTCAATGGTCAGAAATTTGAAAAGTATAAAAGGAGAAATCACCTATGGTTTACTAGCCTAACAAAATCATTACTATTTGTGTGTGTTTTACTTATTTTAAAGGATGCATATATGTTTTTACATCATTGCAATATAGTATATGCCTACTTTTATAGAGGATAAACATCTGCATTTAAATCCAATCTAATATTATAACTTCGTTTGATAGATATCCCCTGATTCAGATAACAGATACATCCATTCCCCCAAATATTTTTAAGGCTCTGTTTCCTAATTGTGAAAATGATACTTGTCTGAGGCAGGAATTGTGATTAGAGTATGGAACATAGAGATCAAGTAGCTGGGAGGAAATGTGCCTATATGACTGTGAGAATGTCTAGATATTTAGAATAGGGTTTTACTCTGCTTTTAGGTTGGGGCTTCATAATAGCTTTAGCAACATATCTGATCATTTTATTACTCAGTGCTTTTTCCCTCCCCCTAGAGCATTTAATTACCTCTAAAAATATGTACAAGAAAGCATTCATGCCTTATACTGATTAGATGAACTGTTTCAGCTTTCATGATTTGGTATGAGTAGGAGGGAATTCTACTTCCTCTGTCAGCACTTAAACATTTCTGGAAAATGCTGTAGTGCATTGACATCAGGCATTTTTAAAAAATTACTGATCTTTGAGAAAAAATAAAGGACCCAGTGAGTTACAGAAATAGATGCTGGACCATCCCTGTTCTCTGCATTAGAAAACTATACTGCTAACACATAGAAATAACTGCTCACCTTGAACTGAAATTATCCATGGGAAGCCAAATACATCCGTCTATCTATCCATCAATCGATAGATAGATGTATTTGTCTCATTCTGTCGCCCAGGCTGGAGTGCAGTGGCACAATCTCGGCTCACTGCAACCTCTACCTCCCGGTTTCAAGTGATTCTCCCACCTCAGCCTGCCAAGTAGCTGGGACTACAGGTGTGTGCCACAACTTTTGTAATTTTGATAGAAACAGGGTTTCTTCACATTGGCCAGGCTGGTCTTGAACTCCTGACCTCAAGTGATCTGCCTGCCTCGGCCTCCCAAAGTGCTGAAATTACAGGCGTGAGCCACCATGCCCAGCCTCCATATTGGATGATTATACATTTGTATATATTTTTCTTTGCTTGCTTTATTTTGATGAGTCTTCAAGTCAGTAGCAGAATTTTATTAGTGAAGTGTAGTAATCCCAGTTACTCAAATTTAAAATGTTTCACTAGTAAACTGAATTTAACGAATTCTCTTTCATAGAGAATGTTGTGTTATTTTTCCTTATTGGTGAAAACCTAGCTGGTGCAGATGAACAGGAATCGAACCTATTATCAGTAAAATTAGATTCCTTTTACAATTTGGCCATTTATTTTAGCTTTATTATTTAATCTCATTTTTACAAAGTTATGCAATAGTATATTGGAAAAATAATATTGCTTTGAAAGTGTGAAGTATTTAGAATTTCTTAAATAAATATATAGTTTCCAGTTTAGATGTTTGAGATTTAGAGGTGTACTTTTAGCCCCTTGTTTTATAGATGAAGAAATTTAGAATCAGAGATATATATGGCAGCACACAACTCATCTGTGACAAAACAAGGTCTAGAAGTCAAATCATCTTCCATTTCAGGCTAGTGCACTTTTCACTGCACTTTACTATGTTCTAATCAGTAAATAAAATTACATTAGAAGAGAGTTCTTTCAGAAATACGCAAACCAGTAAAATTTCAACAAATTAACATCCCTTTCAAGTTGTGTGTTATTTTTTTCTGCAAAATGTAAGAGAAGTTGAAATGTTTCCAACTCAGAATGGACTATAATATTTTTACTGAATTAAATATTATGTAAAGAGCTGGGCTCGGTGGCACACACCTGTAATCCTAGCACTTTGGGAGGCTGAAGCGGGCGGCTTGCCTGAGCTCAGGAGTTTGAGACCAGCCTGGGCAACACGATGAAACTCCATCTCTACTAAAATACAAAAAGTTAGCCGGGCATGGTGGCATGCACCTGTAGTCCCAGCTACTCACAGGCTGAGGCGGGGGTGGGTGGATCACTTGAGCCTGGGGAAACAGCGATTTCAGTGAGTCAAGGTGCCATTGCACTCCAGCCTGGGAAACAGAGCGAGACCCTGTCTCAAAAAATAAAATAAATAAAAATATTCTACTGGCCAACTCCTCCCCCACCTTCTAACCTTCAGCACCAAAGAACTGCTACATAGATTTGTCATGGCTGCTGCTCCTAAAAAACCTACAGAATAAAAGGGGAAAGAAGAGCTGTAGTTTTCTGTTCGGGAGGAAGCCTGAAAGGGTCATTTCCCAAAAGAAGTTTATCTTTTAGAGCTGGACTGGTCAGTACAGTAGTCACTAGTCTTGAAATGTAGCTAGTCCTAACTGAGATGTGCTGTAAGTGTAAAATACACACTAGATTTTGAAGACTTAGGGTGAAGAAAAAGTAAAATATTTTAATAACGCTTATGTTGCTTACGTGTTGAGTGATAATATTTTGGATACATTAAATAAAGTAGATTATTAAAATTAAATTTATATGTTTCCTTTTACTTTTTTATTTTGTGTGCCCGAAATTTTAAGGTTATATATGTGGCTTGCTTATATGCCTCACAGTATATTTCTATTAAACAACACTGCTCTGGAACTAAGATTTCTAAGGTAACTGAGATGATCCTTGGAGTTGAGCCTAAACCTGCTCTTGTGGTATATTTTGGAGATGTGGGTTTCCATTAAGTATAGATTTTTTTGACTCCTAGTAAATTTTTATTGATTCGTCATCTGGTTCATAATGTACAATTCAGTAAAAGCCATTCAGAGAGAGGCTAAACATTGTAAGCCAAACCTTCTTACAGTGCAACTTGGTCTTGGAACTTAGAATGCTTACAGGAATGGATGGCTAGCATGTGCTTTATGCAAGCCTTTTAAATATCATATCCAGGCTTTTGGTGAGAGACTAGAGTACTAATATTCTGTATTGCTAATTCAGGGCTGCTCCATATGCTTTATAAACCAAATAGAGGGTAGATTTAGCATGAATATTGAGACATTTACCCAGTGTTTTTATCTGGATGAAAGAATAACGTACCTCTGGTGCCTCGAGAGTACCTATAGGCAGTTAGGCTTTTTCTCAAGGAGCAATATTTGAACACTCAATTAAATCCCCATGATTTCATTGAATTCCCATAATATAGTTATATAGTACTCATTGTATTCTGTGTGTGTGTGTTTTTTTTGTTTTTGTTTTTGTTTTTTTTTTGAGACAGAGTCTCACTCTGTCACCCAGGCTGGAGTGCAGTGGTGTGATCTCAGCTCACTGCAACCTCCACCTCCTGGGTTCAAGCAATTCTCCTGCCTTAGCCTCCCAAGTAGCTGGGACTATAGGCGCACGCCACCACGCCCAGCTAATTTTTGTATTTTTAGTAGAGACAGGGTTTTACCACGTTGGCCAGACCGGTCTTGAACTCCTGACCTCAGGTGATCCTCCCACCTCGGCCTCCCAAGGTGCTGGGATTACAGGTGTGAGCCACCGTGCCAGGCCTGTATTCTGTATTTTTATGTATATCCTCACTAAATAAGTTTCTTGAGAATAGTGTAGGGTTTTTTATTCACCCTTTTTCCATTATGGTGTTTTGCATATGGTAAAATTCTAAAGTATTCTGAATTAAATTGAGCTAAACCAAACCTGGATGAAACTAAAGAAAATCGTTTCTCCCCTTTCTTATTAGAGGAGGCACTTTGTTACAACAGAGGATATATGTGGATAAGTGTACCCAGGAATATGTAACAATGTTGAGACATCTACAAATCTGATTCAGAATTAAACAAAGGCCAATGAAGTTTCTACACTGTTTTCTGGCTTCTAATTAAACATTTTTTTCATATCACAATAATATAAATATTTTAAAGTACTCCAGGCAGTTCTCCTTCAG
Source organism: Homo sapiens (assembly GCF_000001405.40). Lineage (NCBI taxonomy): Eukaryota > Metazoa > Chordata > Mammalia > Primates > Hominidae > Homo > Homo sapiens. The sequence continues at coordinate 161,899,239 of NC_000001.11, forward strand.
TATTCCCAGGATGTCATTAAGCCTATTCACCCTGCAACAGCTGCAAGTTATTCCAAACATTTGTACTGAATCTTTACACTCTACAAGCCCATTTGAAATCAACTGTGTCACCCTATTAACAGCTTCAGTAATTCTCTATTACTTTTCTAACCAAGAGTTAGGGAGAAATAAGTCTAGTATATCAGAATGAAGAATCCTGAAAATTGCTTTTCAAAACCGATTCTCTGTGGTCACGAACATAATGTTTTTATTTACCCTTCCAGATTTTGGTACTTAAAAAGTTAGTTTCTTAAATGTGTAAAATTTAGATCATTTGATAAATGATTAAAAAGAATTTCCCTTAAGTTTATTAAGTCTTATTTGGTAGTAAATATAAAAGACAAAACATTCCATGTAAAAATTATTTCATACATTTTAAACAGTTTAAATAAAGTAAGTGTAGTCAACTCAAAACTCCACTGCCTTATTCCTCTGGGTCTTGCATATTTATTGGTGGAAATTTTTCTCTGCTATTTTTTTACATTTTACATTGTGGGATAGGCACAGAGTTATTGAACCTATGACCTATATATTCCACAGCTTACTTCAATGCTTCTATTAGGCACCCGTCCAGAGTTGAAGAAACGTCTCAGATCACAGCAGGTTCTCAAAAAATGTCATTTTGTTTAGCTTCATTTCAATATAACATTGATGAGAAAAAAAATCAGTTCCCAGCTGGGACCACTGTCTGTGTGGAATTTTCACGTTTTCTCCATGTGTCTGCACAGGTTTTCTCCAGTTTCCTCCCACATCCTTATAACTTTTGCTTCACAAACATTTATTGACTTAACTTACATCACTACGACCACCATCACTTACTGATTCACCAAAAATTGCATAAATTATCTTACTTGTTTTTATTAGTTTTTATTAAATGTATAGCTCACATTTATTTCAATATTTAATATTAGAAGTGCTTGGGGTCTTTATTTAGAAGTTTGGTGATGTTTTTATAGCCAGAAATATGCTGTAGGAACGTAACTCTCATTTATATCAATTAGGCTATCATAAAACTGGTTTCCTTTATGTCATTTCGCTTAAAGAATTTATGGACGACGTGAGGAATAGTACTCAACTTTTGCTTATAAATAATTAACAGATGGCATGAAAAATAATTAACAGATGACATGAAAAGAGACCTCTTAGGAAGCAATTTTTACGAGCCTGCTGAACTGGGAGTTAACATTTTCAATAAGAAGCCATTAAGTCAAATATAATCTTTTGCATTTAAACTCTACATCATTATATTACTAGAAGTCTAAAAACCAAACAGTATGGTAGGAAGAATAAAATGTTACTTATGAATATAATTTCTGATTATACTTTTAGAAAGAGGATTAAAAGTATTGACAACAAATGAAGTCAGAATAGCTTGATTAAAGTAGTTTATTTAAAGTATCTCCTTAATGTTATAGTGTATGCTAATTATTTGCTTTGCATATGTACACATCATGACATACATTTATGCATTAGCTGAGACATGTTCATTCTGTAAGTTTTGTACAAAACTAATGATCTTCAGTTACACAAGAACATTTAAAAGTTTTACATTTGAAATAGATAATTAAGCAATGCTGTGTGAAACTGAAAAATGAAAACTTTGATTAAAAAAAGTATTTTCAAATATAGGATAGTACATGTATATGAGAATACTTTTTTGGGTATAATCTTAGTAACATCATTATGGTGTTATGTAAACATATGACATATGACATATAAAATTATAGTAGATAGATCACTGTGTTACCCACTTACACATTCTTCTGTCGTATTAAGCAACAAACATTATTCTTATCTATAATAAAGCAGATATTTCTGTCTGTCATACATATGAAATATTTGTATGTATTTATTGGAAGTAATTTTTAAGGCTAGTCTTTTTTTATAATTTCAACTTTTATTTTAGATTTGGGGTAGATGTGCAGATTTGTTACATTGGCATATTGGGTGATGCTGAGGTTTAGGGTATGAATGATCCCATCACCCAATAATGAGTATAGTACCCAACCAGTTAGTTTTTCAACCCTTGAGTAGACATTGCTCCAAAGGAAGATATACAAATGGCCAATAGCACATAAAAATGTGCTCAATATCATTAGCCATTAGTAGAAATAAAAATTAAGAAATGTTTAAAATATTTAATGTTTTATTTGAAAAAAAAAACAATTAAAATTTTAAATAACATTTTTAATGGAAAATAATTATATCTCCCAAAGCAAAAAAAAAAAAAATTAGTGAGAAGAGTAGCACTGTTTTACAGTTTTGCAGATTTTTAATATGTGATTTAATGGAAGATAACAAGATTCTTATATATTTCTGTATTCAGTCTGTTGCAATATATTGTTTTAGTTGAAATATATGAAGAAAATCTACCCTCATGCAGGTAAGTAGTTGCAAAGGGAAGGAGTACTTTAATAGCCTTTTCAAATAATTGTGAATTATTGTTTTGATACTACATAAAAACTCAGCAAGTGGTAATTTCTTTAAAGATTAGTTGCACTATAGAATCTAAAGCCATATCAGTGATACTTTTACCCTCTGTAACATTAAAAATCCATTGATCTATCTTGCAGTTTGAATGGAACTTGTACCCATGCATGATTTTGTAACATCATTCACTGCTCATTTGGAAGATACTGGTTCACTAAGAGTTAGGCAGATCTTCTAAATATGAACATATTTCATTATACAATGTCAAAAAATCACATTCATTAATATCACCACGAATCACATCAAGAAGGTCATACTCATGGTGGTAGATACATGGTTTCCGAAATTCGGATTTTCACTCAAAATCCCAAATTTTATAATTTGCAAATACTGTCAAGTATTTTCTTTGAAATATCAGGCTTACTGCATTTTTAAAAAGTGCTTAATGGGTTACCCTTGCCTGAATAACAATAATTCGCCATTATTTCAAGTAAAAGTGGTATTGAAAAAAGTGGGTTGTTCAGCTTGTAAATCATTCACCCAAGTGCTTTTTCTTGAGATAGCCATTATGCTTCAGTAGGCAGCAAAACAGTTTTTTATGTTCTTGCCCTTTCATCACAGAGAATGTTAATAATTTTTACTGCTTCAACAAGGATATTCTAAACTGAAATTGGCTTTAAAATATTTTATTCATTTATTCATTTGTTGGCTGATTCATTGTTACTGTATGTGGCGGTGAAGAATACAGTGACTGCTAGACTAGCTTGGTGCCACTACATAGATTTATACTAAGGCCTAGCAGTTTGGCTTTGCTTTTTCACCAACAGAGTAAATTTCAACAAAGTGCAAAAAGGCTTGAAAATAGTTTGACCTGAAAGGGTCTTAGAGATTCTTGCCTCCTTAGGGAAAAAACTAGTTAAAAATCTATTATAATAGCTCTCCTTTAGCTAGTTTACATTATAAATCGTTTGTGGTTACCTACTATATGAAAGGTTGTAGTAGATCCTGGGGATTCACCAATGAACAAAACAGATGAAAATGTCTGCTGTTATGGAGCTCATGGAGCTCATTTATAAAGGGTAACGATATATAATAGGTGTTAGAGAGAAAAGTAAAGCAGAGAAAGGAAAGGAGGTGTGTTTGGTGGGAATGTGTGTGTACAATTTAACTAAGGTGGCTAGGAAAGACCTCACTGAGAAATTGACATTTGAATGAAGATCTGAAGTGGGAGCAGGTAAAGGTGTGTGCCTCTACAAAGGCCACAGCTGAGGCCGCCCTTCTTTATCTACCTCTTTTCATCTTTCCAACTTCCAGACCTTTTTTTTCTGCTGATAACTCATACCTTTTAATTAAACTTTAATTTAATTTAATTTAATTTAGTTTCTTCCAACTCTGCTCTCCACCACTTCCTTGCCCCTAGCACACACACAATTAATCAGCACTTACAAAAACAAAAATTTACCTCTTTACAAAAGGTACAGGGATAGAGTAGAGGCTTTGAATACTTGTGCTTCAATTATTTTTCTCCTGTCATCTTTTATATTAAAGGAAATAAAATATAGGGGTGTCTCCTTTTCCTGGTTGAATTGGTAGAGAATATCTATGGCAGTTAGTGCTAATGTTTATAAAAAGGAATAAACACAAGTGAGATCATGATGGAGAGAGACCAAATCAGTAGGGACCAAATTATAAAGAGATTTCATTTCTAGGCTAAAGAGTTTGGATTGGTCATGTGTGCCTGTCATCCTTTATTTCATTCAGTAGTGGAACAATGGCTCTCAACTATGTGGTTGAGGGAATAAACTTAAACAACAAATCTAAATTTCCTATATCAGTTGCATTTAACTGTTGCGTTTCCTCAGGGACTTCACTCTCCTCAAACTTTTTGGTCCCTTTTTTTAAAAAAAAAATTATTGAACACTTATAAGTGTTGAAATACTAACTTGTCTAATCTTTATAAACAATCGGTGCAATAGGTGTTGTTACTGTCCCTATTTTACTAAAGAGAAAATGAGGACACAGATTAAGGAACTTGCTCTATATCCTACAGCTAGAAATTAAGTGATGGAAGCAGAATTCAAACCCAGGCAGTCTAGCTCCAGAGTCCATCCTTTTAATCTCTGTCTGTGCCACTCTGGCCAGTGTTTGTGAATGCAGAGTCCTGGAACTATCTGCATCAGAATCACCAGGGATACTTGTTAATAGTGAAAAATTCTGGCCCACCTCAGACTTACCATGTAAGAAATTGTTTTTCAAGAGTTGAGGAATGTGGGTATTTATATTATAAAATCCTGCAGGTGATTCTGATATGTATCTTTTGTTAAGAACTTCTGTTTTAGAAGGACCTACCATTGGCACTGTTTTTGCTTCTGATCCCAGCTTCCTATGATTAAATGCTTTCTGAAAGATACATAGTTAGTACAGAACTTAATACTATTATACTATTCTATACTATTTTACCCCAGTTTGACTTTTAAGCTGTTACCACCTGAAATTTAAATGAAATCCTTTTTAGAACAATACTTGACCAAACAATTTAAAAATTGTATTTCCTACAAATGCATCATACCTTAAAAATGCACTTTAAAACTGAATGGAAGCCAGGTATGGTGACTCACGCCTGTAATCCCAGCACTTTGGGAGGCTGAAGTGGGTGGATCACCTGAGGTCAGGAGTTCGAGACCAGCCTGGCCAACATAGCGAAGCACTGTCTCTACTAAAAATACAAAAATTAGCTGGGCATGGTGGCGGGTGCATGTAATCCTAGCTACTCAGGAGGCTGAGGCAGAAGAATCACTTGAACCCAGGAGGCAGAGTTTGCAGTGAGCTGAGATTGCGCTACTGTACTCCAGCCTGGGTGACAGAATGAGACTGTATAAAACAAAACAAAACAAAAAAACAAAAAACAAAAAAAACAAAACACACACACACACACACACACAAAACTGAATGGAAACTGAGAACTTACTGTTCTATTTATGATGAAAGAAAACTGGTAGGCTTTAGAAAGTACACCCTATGTGATATGAAAAGTGAACTCTTCTAGATTGTGGAACAGCTTTATATAGTATCATACCTCCATCTTTAACTAGGATTGCAGCTGGCAATAAAGCTCAGCTTCTAATGCGAGCAAGTGTTGAGTTTGGCTATTTTGTTAACCCAAGATCCTGAGAGAAAATTTGTTCACTGATGTACATAAAGCATATTATGGTTAAAATTTCTTATTCCACTTTGTAGTTTGCCTTGTTAAGACTAGTCTTTCCTAAAATGTGCTTTAGGGGCATTTTATAGTCCTCCATATTTCTTTATGTGACGCCAACATCAAAATTGCTTTGAAAAGGATCAAGATCTGGAGTGAAGGCTGGAGGAATAGCTAGACACTGAGGCTCATGCAAGGAGAGTTAACTTTAGAAATATATATTACATGAAACCCCTTTTTTTCTCCCCTTCCAGAAATTTGTAGAATCATTGATATGAAAGAGTTGGCTAGTATATCTCCCTGTGTTCCCTTCCCACCCTGCTGTGCTATCCACACAAACACAAGTGGCATTTGAGGTAACTTTTGAGATTCTGCTGGGTTAAAAAAATATATATTTTTTGTCTCAACCCAATATGTTCCTTTTTTTCAACAAAAAGTATAATGATTCTCCTATATATCTATGTTTAGCTTTTTGCTAGAAGTGTTTCCTAATAACTTTTCTCAGGAAACTTGTTGACTCAATTTACTGTAGTCATAGAGCCTCCTACCTGACCCCCTGTGGTCTGCTTTGGTAACACACCTGTAGGAGGCAATGTAATCTTCAGGAAATTCACTTCCTACCAGTAGTCCTGAGTAAAGTGAATTTTCTAAAATGAAACATCTTGTAAACATTATATATGACAAACTCCCAAATGGTTAAACTCTTTATGCATTTAGTGTTTGATCTTTTTCCTTAAGAAGACTTTTTTTTGGATTGCTGTCCTGTTGGCACTCAACAAATTACAATTGCTAATAAGTTTCAGAGGCCCTAACTTATTTTCCTAAATCATATACTTCCCAGTTTTTGAAAAGGCTCTCTATTATAGCTAACAAAGTTTTGAACTTTGATTAACTCAAGTGTTTTTGTTGTTGTTGTTTTGTTTTTTGTTTTTTGTTTTTTTTTGAGACGGAGTTTCGCCCTGTCGCCCAGGCTGGAGTGCAGTGGCAGCGATCTCGGCTCACTGCAAGCTCAGCCTCCCAGGTTCACGCCATTCTCCTGCCTCAGCCTCCTGAGTAGCTGGGACCACAGGCGCCTGCCACCACGCCTGGCTAATTTTTTTGTATTTTTATTAGAGACGGGGTTTCACCATGTTAGCCATGATGGTCTTGATCTCCTGACCTCATGATCCATCTGCCTCGGCCTCCGAAAGTGCTGGGATTATAGGCGTGAGCCACTGCGCCTGGCCAACTCAAGTTATTGAATGAAGTAATATGAAGCACATGGGCAGAGACTTCCTGGTCCTATACCTGTCCAAGGCATGTAACCAACATTTTGTTTAAGAGCTTTCCCTAGGGAGATCAATCCTGACCTGGTTTAGAAACATTTTTTCCTGAAACTCTCATGAAAAGAGAAGAATGATTTTGGATGCTACTGTCTTATCGGAAAGTATTTACAAGAAACCATTTTGACCAAGAAACTCAAAATTAATTCTGGTTTTTAAAAAGAGAGGCATATATTACTCTTAGATTGAACCTTATGAAATTACTGATATTTGACTCACCAAAATGACAGTTTTTTATGGTCCAACCTAATACTTTTTGGTGTTAATAAAAGGGGAGGCAGGGTTAGTTGGGCAGTTTGTGGGGGACATCCTACAGAGTTTGACATGAAAAGTATATCTTAAATCAAAACTTGAATTTGTACTTATTAGGATTTCAAGCTCATTTTTCCTCTGGTGACCTTGCCAGCATTATCAGATTTGTATTAAGTGTCAAAAGTTTCCTCTTGTCAAAGTGTAAACCTTGGCTCATTCTTGGGCCATCTGTTGTACACTAATAGTTTTGATTTATTCTTCTGGCTGACATGCGTATTAATGGTACAGATGCAAGCTTTATATTTCCTTTTATGGGTCTGTAGTTTTATTGCATACATTAGTGGCACAAATACAGCATTCATATTAGCTATTTATATGAACTATTTCTAGTTTTGGGGTGACTAATATACTTTGCTTATGTTTTTACTATGCTGAGAAGCCCTGTATCGTAGACATTTTAATAGACTTTAAATGATTACATTCTACTTAATTTTACCACCCCTAATTTTGTTTTTTGTAATTTTTATTTTCAGGATATGTCATGATGTATGTCTGTATATTTTTATGATTTCAAATTCCCAAATTGCCATTGCTTTAATGAATGAGCACATTTGGTTTTTGATCAGGAATTACTATAACTACTAGAAAACAACACTAGTGCAAAATGTGAATTTAGATAAATAACTCTGAAAGGCCTACTTCTAGTTGATGCTTTGGCTCTGATTTTTGAGGGTTAATATGTTCTTCAACTTCTTTGACAGCTTGAAAGTTATGAAATAGAGTGATAGAAAACAAAAGCTCTCTAGGACAGGGACATAGGTTAGAGAAAATTTAATACAAAGCTGTTTTTGAAATAAGGCTAGGTGCTATTTTTATTTTTGATCTGCTTTTAACAGTTTCCTATATTGGAAAACCAAACCCATCTCTGGAATCCAGTGGATATGGGCCAAATATAAAATGTTAAGAGGCTGGTGTTACTATTGGTCTGCTATGCAAAACTTTTTCCCTAATAGAGGTCTGTGTTGATCTGTGTGAAAGCTGCTCAGTGTCACAAGTGCAGCCTGAGTTTCATTCATTTCTAGGGGAAATTATGATAGAAATAACATTCCTTTCTATTAAAGATAAAGGGCTCCAACCTTGAGCCAGAGTTTTCTAATACAGTAGAAGCCATCTTATCTATATAGTGGGTACTAGTAGATAGTCTGTTAATAAACAATACTGGCTAAAATAATTTTTTAAAAAGATATGTATCTTTATTTCATTTGATTATATTAATGTGCACTCATTGGCTAGTTTTGTATGCAGGGCCAATTTCTTTTCTTTGAGTCCAAATCCACTCTTCAGAGTTCCATGTTGCCATTCTTGCATAAACTATACTCACAAATCAGCAACCATAATTTCCAGTCTTGGTTACAGTTACTGTATATTGGAATAAGAACTTAAAGGTACTTGTTAAGCAATCTGAGGGCAGACTATTATGATTTTTATGGTTGCTTTGCAAGGAGAGAACATTTTAAAACTTACCTTTATCTTTTTGCTCTCTTTTCACACTATTAGTTTATGTAATATTTTATTACACAATTATACTAATACAATTAATGAAAGTAGTCTTGAAAAAAGACACAACTCAACTAGTCGTGAATGTTCCCTGTGCTATGGGCACCAGTCAGTGAGTTTTATAGGGGGAATGGGAAGGGTCATTTAATCAGTCTGTACTCTACATAGATACGTAGAATCAACATTTGATAACTCTCAGTAGGGCCTGAATTTTATTGTGAGTTACCATAATTAATTTCAGTGGAGCAAAATGTGGTCCTTTTCTTTTGATAAGCCAGTCTCCAATGCTTTTGTTTTCTTAAAAAGACAAGAAACGTAACTTTGAAGGCTGTGTTATACACTAATATTCTGTTGGTTTCTAACAAATTGCTTGGAAGAGGGAATTGGGAGAACTATATGAAAGTAGCATATTTTCTCATGCACAATATTGCACAACATTAGAAAACTGATGCTTTATTTTCATGGTGAAATGTTTTGATGTTTCTCCCCGCCCCCTCCCCTCCATGTTTCTCTAACTTTTTCTGGGAATAAGAGTAACAATACATTGATTATAATATTTGTCCACATGATTTCATTCCAGAGGAAATCCTATAGTATCTAAGCCCTACGGAAAGCCTCATAAAGACATTTCAGGAGTCCATTCGAAGATGTCTTAAAATTAATGACATTGTTTTGAGTGACAGTGCCGAAATATATTTCTTTCTATGGCAACATTCTTATTCTACTATCCTTTTTATTTTTAAGTAGTTTCATTTTTGTCACTGTTGGGTTATTTTAAACAATTTAATTGGAGGGAAAGAAATACAAATTCATCAAATTTTACCTCCAGAATTGAATTTCCTTCACTAGTTCCTTAATAAGTATTTAAGTAAAAGGGGGTGCAATATCAAGAAGACTAAATTATAAATATGGTTTCTATGCTGTTAAAAAATAACAGTCCTGTCCTTAATTAACCATTATGGAGATTCCTCTTGACCAAATACCTTTAGAACTGTTTCACAGATTTATAATTTAACTAGTAATTTGGTTTAGGTTTAGGTTTAAGTGACAGAAAATCCAAAATAATAGTGGCTTAGATAAATTATAAGTTTATTTCTGTCTCATGTATAAGTTTCAGAGATCTAATGATAGCTACTTAATCATCGGGATCCCTGTCTCCTTCTGTCTTCTTGCTCCATAATCCTCAACTTGCAGCTTCTGTCTCATGGAACAAAGACGGCTACTCCAGCTCTGGCAGTCATATCTGCCTTCTAGCTAGCAAGAAGGAGAAAGGGAAGGAGGAGGGAAGCCTTCCACCATTACCACCTTGAAGAAGTTGCCATTTCTTCTTACAGTCCGTTGACCAGACCGTGTAGCCTTATTTGGTTGCAAAGGAGGCTAGGAAATATAGTCTTTATTCTGGGTGGCCTTGTGCCCAACTAAATATCACAAGTCCTGTTGCTATTTTAATGTTACAGAGGAAGGAGAGCATATATTGGGTAAGAAAAAAAAAAAGGCTGTTTCTGCCACAATTCAGTTTCCCCAACAAAATAAAAACTTGGATTTATATTCTTTAAAAGAAAATATCCTCTGTAGCACAGTGCTGAATACATGACAGGACACTGTGCTCAGTAAATTTTTTTTAAGTGAACAGTAAGGGCCGGTCACAGAGGCTCACACCTGTAATCCCAGCACTTTGGGAGGCCGAGGCGGGCAGATCACGAGGTCAGGAGATCAAGACCATCCTGGCTAACATGGTGAAACCCCGTCTCTACTAAAAATACAAAAAATTAGCCGGGCATGGTGGCGGGCGCCTGTAGTCCCAGCTACTCTGCAGGCTGAGGCAGGAGAATGGCATGAACCCGGGAGGCGGAGCTTGCAGTGAATGGAGATCGTGCCACTGCACTCCAGCTTGGGTGACAGAGCAAGACTCCATCTCAAAAAAAAGAAAAGACAGTAAGAGGCCAGTAAATATTTATTGAGTGATTACAGCTCCTTTGTTTCTGAAAATGTGACTCACAGTACTAATGATCTGAAAAAGAGTAAGATGAACACAGAGAGAAAGTAATGATTCAGGATTCATTGTTGTGAGGTTCAAGAAACATTTATTTTGAGGAAGTGGAGGTAAATATTCAATGAAGTTAACTACATTGTCCCAGATATATAGATAAGATAGATAAAATGTATATATTATATAGACACTTATTTTTATTATAAGATATGTACTGTTAGAGTTGGTAGTATACCAGCTTTGGTTCCCTGCAGTCTGATTTTTGGGCCTCTTGGTAAACAAGTACTTAAAAACTGTTACCCCAGTTTGCAAACCTTTAATAATTAGAGACAAGGCAGGTTAACTGTAATAATTCGTATGCATGCAAGATATGATTCTTCTTTTTCATAAATCATACCTAGTTTTTAGCTTTCTGCTGCAAAAGTAACTAGTTTGTTAGAAATTTAGTGAAAAGAAAAAGTAGGAGACATTGTGTTCAGAAGATCATGTTTAAAAACAACAATTAGTATGGCATCTGTATCTTAGCAGGAAACTCAGAATTAAGTCTGAGCCTGACCTTAACCCATGACCAGTGGAATCTAAGTTTGTTTATTTTTACAATAGCCTTAATTTGGGGCTTGCAAGTTTTTTGGTTTGTTTTCACATTCAATTTAGAGACCCTGAAGCAGTATTTTAATGATAGGAATTAAGCTATGTATAACTTTCATGGCTTGAAGATCAGCAAATTCTGTTTTTTCTTGGTTATAATGTTATCTTAATCAGAAATGTGTGATCTTTGTGTCTAACAATGCACTTAAAAAAACAAAACAAAAAATTCCCTTGCTGCAATGCTGGAATTCTAACAGAATTTACTCATCTTCTCTCTCCTCCCCAATTTTTAAAAACATGTTCTCATGGAAATGTTGCCTTGAATTACACAAAATACAAGCAGTTACTGGAAATGTTTTCTACACAGTTCTGTTCATGTATATCAATTTCAATTTGTTTTTCACTTTTTAGATTTTTTTCTTAGTTTTGCTGATAATCACACTTCATAATCATATCAACTTTGAACTTTGAAGTTGTGTTGAATTTTTATTGCTCTCAGCTGTATCAGATCCTACTTTTTGATGAGTTATTTCATATAGTAAGTTTGTTGAATGAATGGTGAAACAATGAACACAGGAACAAGAAAAGAAAGCAAAATGCATCAAACTTAGGTTTAGTTTTATCTCCAGTTTAACCATGCTCCCTTAAATGGAAATGCTAATATACTTCTTTTTTTCTTTTTTCTGTAACAGTTCATATGTTTTTGCTAGGAAGAAGAGGAGTTACTGAAAACAGTAGTTAATATCAAAGTCATAAGTCATTTATAATCAGCCTTAGAATGCCTACAGATGTATATACATTTTTCAAAACACTTATACTCTGCCTTTTCTGAAGCCAAGCTTCTCTTGGCTTATTCTTACTTTTAGTACTTGTGTGCTGGAAATTAGAAACCTCAGATGCCCTGCACAGTGTAGGACTATACAATTGTGCTAGGCATGTATTTATAATTCTTTAACTCTTCTACCAAACTGTGTGCTTTTTAAGGGCAAAAACTGTACAACTTCTTTAGCATGCACCTGTCACTTGCAAATAAATGTCTAATTCTGTGGTCCCTTCAAAGGGAGAAGAGGAGGCTAAGCAGGCAAGGCTCTAGGCCTTGGCCCTGCTTCAGTCAGAATCTTTCTTGTACATGTTGATAATTTCTTTCTTCTACAGATAGAAAATTCCTGGGATAAGAATTTTGATGGGAAAAAGAGTTTATTGCCTTTAAAAAAAAAGTTTGAGAATGACTGTTTAGGGGAGATACTCTCAGTATCTTGTGACATTATCTAGTCTAGCCCCCATCATTTTACAGGACTGGAAACTGAAACACAGAAAGGATACGTAGTCTTGTCCAGATTATACAGCTATTTAGTGGCAGAATTAGAATTAAAATCCCTTGTCTTGACTGCTTGACCAGTATTCTTTATAGTGGTGCTACAGCATATGTGTTGTAAAAACCTAGGAGTTTTCCAAGATCACTGCATAGTGCCTGACAACGGTAGACACTCTGTAAATGTGTATTACATTAATGAATGAATGATTCTAAGCTGGTTTGTAGTTAATTAAGCCAACTTCAAATAAAAACTATAATTTTTCATCATCCCAACGAAATATTGACCTCTTAGAAGCCCTGAATTTGGCCTGTTCTAGGACTAAGCCAATTGTTATATATAACAGATTGTTCTTTGTTAATTTTAGGATCACCTGCTGTTACCAGCTACCACCCATAACAAGACCACAAGACCAAAAATGTCAATTGTGTTACCAGCAATAAACATAAATGGTAAGTTGAAATTCTGATGTATGAACAATATGAGATTTCTTTGTTTAACCAGGATTCTCTTCATTAGTTCAAAGACATTTAAAATGTTCAGTTAAATGAGTATATATCCGTACATTATTTCTGAAACATTTTTCCACTGTTTTATTATTTTTAAGATCCATTATTCTTTTAAAAAAAATTACTACATCCCTAAAAGAAAAAGTAGCTTTCTTTTACTTACAAAATTGGAAAAGCTAGCATCTTGACTGCTCTACAGACTTGCATCTGCGACCCTTCTAGTCATAAATGTAGTGTAAGAAGCCCCTGCTGTGTTCTGACAGTGAATTTGTAAATTAGATTTTTGGAACTCAAAGCAGTTTCCTGTGTTACCTAAATGTTGATATCATCCTAGACCATGCCACAGAAGCCTGTTTATGTTTAATTGATAATACTGATGAGTTTGACACTGATAGTATTACTATTGCATTTTGTTATATTACTAGCCCTGGACATTAAACAAAATACAAATAATAATATAATGCACAGATGTTAAGGCATAATATACCTGCTTATAGTTTAGAAGAAAAAAAAAGACAAGCACAAAAATCACTGTACTCCAAAGAGAAAGTCACGTAAGTAATATGTGAGGTACTAAGAAATCTAGTGAAAAGAGATTACTTTCAGCTTGATTCTTCATGGAGAAGTGAAATAACTCACTCCCATTACCAGTTGTGGATTATAAATGAGCACAGTGTATGTTATTGACTAATTGCTTTCTCTGACACATTATATTGAAAATCGGAGAGTTGGCCATCTTTTTCAAGTTTGTGTATCTCACATAATGTAGGTACTAGTAAATTTTCTGTCTGGTAGCAAAAACCTCAGTATATGAAGAAGATGGAAACGAAAAGCCCTTTGAACTAACCTGCAGTCGAACCAGTTCACATTTTGATTGATAAATATAATTAAACCTTCAAATACAATTATAAAACAAAACACTAGAATTTTGGGGGGATTCCAGATAAGTTTCAATAAAATTTAGTCTTTAGGGGAAAAGTGGTATTCATCATACATTTTAAGACCATAGAGGACCTTAGAATTTCATGATCTGTATATAGACAGCTTATTAGAAATGCTTAGGAAGTAACTTCATAGACATAAACATAAATGGGCTTTTTGTTAAAGCATAAAAATTACAATATTTACTTAGCCTTACAAAGACATTCAGAATAAGTTTAAGAAAAACAGTAACATTGAGAAGAACATCTCTTTCTTCAGTAAAGACATACCTTTGAAGTTACTCATGGAATAATCATTTACTACCTGAAGAAGAATATATTCCAAAGTGCATTTTATTACATTCCAAAGAATGTATTTAGGAAGTCTCACTTATACTCAATCTATAGGTACCTAAGTTTCTCTGCCTAAACTAGAATAGACCAAAGGGTCAGCTTATGCTCAGAAAGGCTATTTTCTAAGCTTTATCAAGGCAGAATTCACTTAATTTTGTTCTTCTGATATTGGGTTCTTATGCAAGAGAATGCCTGGTCTTATTTTGTAACAGTGAGCTATCTTTATATTAAGCCAAAACCAACAAGATGCTGTTTGACTATGTTTATCTTGGCCAGGTGACTGATTTTTGAAGAGGAGCCTTTCATGGATTTGGAAAAATCCAGTCATTAGAGGATCATTGTCTTTTTAATCTGTTTCAGACTCTTTGTAAATAGTCTTTTTAAAAACTTCCCTTTTTAGGATAAGTCCTATTAAAAAATCAAAATTCAAATTCAAGAAATATTGATTGAATATATACCGTGTTTCAAGTACCATGCTACATCCTCAGCCTTTTCTCTTAACAGTCTTGCTCTGAGGATACTTCTTAAATTAGAGCCTGATTTTTTCCCCTTCCTCATGTACCTCAAAGTCTGCAGCAGGGCAGGTGGTATCCTTGCTTCCCACTACAACTTTCAAATTATTTCTCCTTCAGTCCCCTTAACATCTTGCAAATCTGTCACATCACACTTTACTCCTCTAACCCTTATTTGTTGCTGCCGTCTACTCCACCTTCACTGACGACTCCTCCACTGCCTCTGTCATCCTGCTGTCTAACTTCAGCATCCGCATAGAGGAGTCATTAGTACTCTAGCCTTTTTTGATCCAGTCATCTTTTATTCCGCGCCACCTCAGCCTCCCATCCATATGGTCATAATCTAGACCTTATCATCATCAACAGCAGCACTCTCTTTGAAATCTCCTTTTCAGGCATCCCACTCTCTGACTGTTACTTACTCTCTTACTTTAAAACTCACACTCCAACTACTCTCTTAACTTACAAGTCTACAGTCCTTTGACCCTGCCACTTCTTTTCTGTGTCCATCACATCCTTAATGGCCATACATTCCTCCTTACCCAGCTTAAATTCCATGGTCCTGTCACCACTCTCTTGTGAACACCCCTTACTTCCTGGCTCCTTTCTTAGGTCCCACTTTCTTGGAAAAACTGCTTTCTAGGTAAACCCAGCTCTTCTCTCTATGCCTGCTCTCAAGCAGCTGAAAATTGCTAGAAAGTACCGTTCAGTGAGAACAAGTAGATTCACTTCAAATTTGTGACCATTAATTTCAAAGGGATATTTAATATGCCAGTCATTACTAGTAAATTCACTTTCCCTCTCTCTGAAAAAAAGAATTTCTCACCTTCTCTTGTCAAAACTCCAACATCCTCTCTCCCCACCCCCTCAGCTGATGAACTCACCAAATACTACACTGAGAAAATAGATGTCATCATGCAAGAGCTACATCATGTTTCCACTACCACCGGCCCAGCTGCATCTACACCCACAAACTCTGCCTTCCCTCTTGTTGCACTGAAAGAAAAGTCTCTTCCATTGGGTTCTAAATCCCAGCTTTGCTACTTGCTGGATATGTATCATTGGGCAAGTTAATTAACTTTTCTGTACCTCAGCTTCCTCATCTGTAAAAGAAGATATTAGTAATACCTTCCTCTAAGAGTTGATGTGAGAATGAAATGAGTAAAAAAGCTTTAAATAGTACCTGACTATTTTGGGGTTAGCTGCTGTTTTACTGCAATAATCATCATTGCCATTGTCCTTAAGACATCATTGCCAACTTCTAAGGTAATTTCTTCCTTTTGGACCCTGACTCCTAGCACTTCTCACAGTGCTCAAAGACTTTACTCTGCATTTATACCATTCGTCTTTTATACAGTTTCTTCTTCTCTACTGGGTCATTCCCATCAGCATACAAATGTCTTTTTTTTTTTTTCCTCGAGGGAGGGACTCATTCTGTTGCCCAGGCTGGGGTACAATGGCGTGACCCATGGCTCACTCCAGCCTCCACCTCCTGGGCTCAAGCAGTTCTCCCACTTCAGCCTCCCGAGCAGCTCCTGAACACAGGCACATTCCACTCCCAGCTAATTTTTAAATTGTTTGTAGAGACAGAGTCTCCCTATGTTGCCCAGGCTGGTCTTGAACTCCTAGGCTCAAGTGATCCTCCTGCCTCAGCCTCCCAAAGTGCTAGGATTACAGACATGAGCCACTGCACCCAGCCCAAAATGTCTTAATATTACTGTTACCTCTGGTGTAGGGAGACTTCTTTGACTTCACATCCTATTTCTCTGTTACCCTTTAGAGCAGAACTCTCAAAAGACTTACACTCACTGCTTCTACTTCCTTACCTCTGATTCTGTCTTCTTTTCACCCTTACCAAGCTTTTGCCATTTCACTTCATGAAATGCTCTTGCCCTTCCACTCCACTGAAATGCTCTTGCAAAACGGAAGTCAATGACAAATATCTCGCCAAGTCAAAGGTCATGTCTCCATGGTCATCTTACTTGACCTCTCAACAGTATTTGACACAGCTAACTATTCCCTCTTTTTTTTAGTCCACCCAATTCTTATTTTTAAAAATTTCAAATCTATAGAAAAGTTGACAGATGAGTGCAGTAAATATCTAGAGACCCTTAAATAGATACCACCAATTGTTAACATTTTTCTATATTTGTTTTATATCTATCTATGTACACTCACCAGATTTTAAAACCTATTTGAGAGTGAATTGCAGATAACATGGTGCTTTACCCCTAAATATTTGAAAATACATCTGCTATAGAAAGGACTTTCTCTTGCATAACCACAATAAAATGATGATACTAAAAAAAATTTAACATTGATACAGTAGAGTTCAATGTATAGCATATATTCAAATCTCTCCATTTTCCCCCAAAATATTCTTTATAACTTTTTGAATATATGTTCCAAAGATTATACATTACACCCACTCATCATACCTCTTTGGTTTCCTTTAATCTAGAAAAGCTCCTATCCTTTTTACTGTCTTTGATGACATTTACGTTTTTAAAAATTAGACTTATTTAGGTATAATGTACATACAATAAAATTCACCAATTTTTTGTATACAATGTAATGAATTTTGACAAAAGTAAACCATTGTGAAGCCACCATTTCAATCAAGATATAAATGTTGTCACTACTTCAAAAAATTCCCTCATGCTCCTTTCCAGTCGTTCCCCTCCTGTACATTTTTGACATCCCTTCTTTCTTGAAATATGTTATTTTCTAGGCTTTCATGATACCATGACTTGTCTAGGTTTCCTCCTGTATCTCCTCAGTCAGCTTATCCAGCTTCTCCTCTTCTGTCAGGATGGAATCTTGTTTGTTATGTTCGCCACTTACCACCATATCCCCAGCCCCTGGAACAGTACCTGGTGTAGGAAACCTTGAAAGATGAGGCACTTTCATTTACATTAACTCATGTCATGCTGAGCTGCCAGTTAAGTGCAGGCTAACTGTTCTTTATTCAAATGCTGGGATCATGTGGTGTGAATCCATTGGTCAAAAAGGAAAGATAAGAAGGACAAAATGCATGGGACCAGAATTATTTCAGATTTTGGATTGTTTCAGATTGTGGAATATTTGCATATACATAAGGAGATATCCTGGGGATGGGACCCAAGTCTAGACATGAAATTTATCATTTATGTTTCAGATACACCTTATATACACAGTCTGAAGATAATTTTATACACAATTTTTTTTTTTTTTTGAAGGCAGAGTCTCGCTCTGTCGCCTGGGTTGGAATGCAGTGGTGCGATCTCAGCTCACTGCAAGCTCCACCTCCCGGGTTCACACCATTCTCCTGCCTCAGCCTCCCGAGTAGCTGGGACTACAGGCGCCTGCCACCACGCCCGGCTAATTTTTTGTATTTTCAGTAGAGTTAGGGTTTCACCGTGTTAGCCAGGATGGTTTCGATGTCCTGACCTCGTGATCCGCCCACCTCGGCCTCCCAAAGTGCTGGGATTACAGGCGTGAGCCACCGCGCCCGGCCTTTATACACAATTTTTCACAATTTTGCTCATGAAACAAAGTTAATATACATTGAACCATCAGAAAGGGTCAGGTGTGGATTTTCTGCTTGCGGCATTATGTCAACACTCAAAAGGTTTTAGATTTTGGAGCAATTTGGATTTCAGATTTTTGGATTAGGGATACTCAACTTTTATTCTCTTTATTTTTTATAGATAATGCCTCAAGAAAGTAATTCATACCATTTGCACAACCACTATATAGCAGAGCCAAGATTTACATACATTGTATAAAATATCTTCTAATTAATTATATTGTTAATTCAATATTAAAGACAGATGTGCAAGGATTGAAAATATTTGGGACTCCAAAATTTAAGATAGATTTTATACCATTTTATTCCTACACTATAAGGTGGGAAAGATTCATTGGGAGCAGTATAACATAATACAGTCATTTGAATTTGATAGGTATATGTTTGTTGAATAAAAGAATAAGTAAGGTAAATGTTATTTGGTGATAACTTTGTGACCACTTGAAAATATTTTACTAGTTTAATAATATTTTATATAATTAATAATAGTTAGCAAGCACAGATTAGTCTAATCTTTTCAAGTGTAAAGTAATTAAAACATATACTAGGCTACCTTTCTACCACATTGAGATTTGGACTTCAGAGTGAATTGAAATTATTAGCCTCCTTTTCAGCAATTGTTCTATAAATAAAACCATGCAAAAAGTTGTCCTATAGGAAACTATAATTCTATAGGATTCTTCAAGACCCAGAGATAAATTTCTTTGGCTTATTAGACTTATGGATTTGACAAATTATATTATAATTACATAATGTATAATCTGAAGAGTTTAAGTTATGTAGGCACAAAAAGTTTGAGTACCTATTTATTGAAAGAGCAGAGACATTGTGAGGCTATCCCTAATATCAGAGTTGTTCATTCTGAGCATATAAGGGTTTGAGAAAGTTGAATAAAATACATTTTCTGTCATTTCTGAGTTTAAAAGTTACATACAACTTGGAAACAAAAATGAGTTGTGGAGGTGATCCCTCTCTCTGACTCAAGTGGAGCTTGTAAAATTTTGGAGAGGGTGGCAAAGGATAGAAAGTGAAGACAGAAATTCAGATTTTATTGAGCAACTGGTTTATGTAATATGCTGGATGGGGATATTTGTAAGATGAATTTGATTTTCCAATTTAAGCACAGTAAATTACATTTCCAGGTCAATGTCTGGTCTTAAACTGTAACGTATTATGATTATACTTTGTGGTTTTAAGCCATGGAAGAAAGTTTCAGAAATCGCTAAAGAGAGTAGGATATGGGTGTGAAATTAATGCCATTTAGAAATCACGTCATATCATCTGTGTTCTCCATGCCAGTTTTATTTTTGTAATTTATTGTTTTTTACTTTGCATTCTGTTTATTATTTAAATTCCTTTGTTTCATAAGAGAGTTGAAAACAGGTTAGTGAAGCTGCAAGAAAGTAAGTCTTTCTTTGTCTGAGGAAGTTGTCACACAAGATTATTGAAATAAAAATAGAATGCTAGGTATGCTTTGAAAAGGCTTTTTTAAAAAAGGATTGCATGGTTGGTGGAACAGTGGATGATGGACTAAAAGCTACTGATTTCTTTTTTTTAAAGGATTTTGGAAG
This sequence comes from Homo sapiens, assembly GCF_000001405.40. Lineage (NCBI taxonomy): Eukaryota > Metazoa > Chordata > Mammalia > Primates > Hominidae > Homo > Homo sapiens. The sequence continues at coordinate 161,919,363 of NC_000001.11, forward strand.
TTCTACTAGTAGTTACTGTAAGCTAACATTTCCTGCTTTCAAATTATTTCTACTTATGTTGTGGTAAAACTGTTCATTTCCTTTCTTTCACTCTTGGTAAATAATTGAACAAGATAGAGCATAGAAAAGGGGGTTTTTAATTTGATTTTTTAGTGATATGTTTGTTTTTTAATGGTAGATAGCTAAACTTTGTAGATATCTTTCATAGGGGAATGAATTCTATGAACAAGCCATCAGCAGATATGTTTCATAATTTGGCCAACATGTTCATTGATTTGTTTTTACTGTTTCCCTTCCCTTCTGTGTGCCAGGTACCTGTTTGTGTGGTACATGTGTAATAAAAATAAACAACTGTTTATAACTGTTACTTGAATTAAGGGCCCACGTAGATGAACAAATGACTACCAGGCTAAACTGTAATTATATTTAATCTCAAGGTAATTTCCATCCATATAAAGAAAATCTAGAAGAGCTTAATAGCAATGGTTGCAAATACTAGTGCCAGCACATGCAACACATTTTTAGTTGGAGAGGTCGTAACAGAAGGGTAGGAAGCAAACCAACCAAATAAATGTGTTGGTTTTAAAAATAAAAGAATATTCATATAACTGCTTTTGATGATCACAGTTTTTTGGACTATCCCAAGGCAAATATATTTGGAAACCGTCCTATTCATTCTGCTCAAGCAGCCTGGTTTCCTAAGCAGGTCGAGAGTTTTTCCTTTTATTCTTCTCAATATATTTCTCCTTAAAGGTCTGCAGGTTGTCTATTTTTTTTAAAAAAGTATTATCTACCTTGCATTTTCATTGTAATTCATTTCATTTCAGTTTCATATAATTGCATCCAGACAGTTGAATGGAGTCTTCACTTAAAACTATGTTTTAATTTTTAAAAAATACATAATCATAGTTCTCTTTCTCTCTCTCTCTCTCTTTTTTTTTTTTTTTTTTGAGACAGAGTCTCGCTCTGTCGCCCAGGCTGGAGTGCAGTGGCGCGATCTTGGCTCGCTGCAACCTCCACCTCCTGGGTTCACGCCATTCTCCTGCCTCAGCCTCCCAAGTAGCTGGGACTACAGGTGCCCGCCACCATGCCCGGCTAATTTTTTATATTTTTAGTAGAGACGGGGTTTCATGATGTTAGCCAGGGTGGTCTCGATCTCCTGACCTCATGATCTGCCCGCCTCGGCCTCCCAAAGTGCTGGGATTACAGGTGTGAGCCACTGTGCCTGGCCATCAGTTGTTTTTTGTTTGTTTTATTATATTGAGAAGTCCACAGCAAAGAATCACAGTGAATGAGCCAGTTGCTGTGTTGAGTCAACGGCTTAAGAGTGGCTAAGGCCGAGATTGCAGAAATTCTTTTGGCCTTTCCCAGATGATCACAAAGTGACTGTTGCAGTTCAAGCCATCATATTTGTATTACAGGCAGAAAAAAGGAGGTGTCTATCAAGAAAGCAGACATTTTCCAGAAATTTCTAGAAAGCTCTGCTTATGTCTTATTGAACATAAACTGTGTCAACTATTTAGGCCTGGCTTCAAAGGAGGCTCAGAAAGATAATATTTTAACTAGGCACATTATGATTTGAAAAAAAATTTGGAGTCTTTTTAGTAAGGATCCACCCTCGGCCTCCCAAGGTGCTGGGATTACAGGTATGAGCCACCGTGCCTGGCCATCCGTTGTTTTTTGTTTGTTTGTTTTATTATATTGAGAAGTCCACAGCAAAGAATCACAGTGATGAACCAGTTGCTGTGTTGAGTCAACAACTTAAGAGCAGCTAAGGCCAAGCAGCAGCTGCTTGCTGCAGCACTCCATCATATGCTAAATTGGAATTGAGCAAAGTGTCTGGGAAGAGACAGTAAAGAGAGGATTCATGTTGAAAAGAGAAATAAATATTTATTTATTGCATGGGATGCAGCCAGATGATTTAGGTCATTAATGAGTTGAGGAAGTAACTTTAAACTATCAAACATAAGAATAATACAATGAAGACTCTATTAAGAGATTATTAATCTGGCTAAGAATTGTATATAGAAAAAAATGAAGAGCGAAGATGAGCTAGGATAGATACTAGGATAGATACTTTGGAACAATCTCAAGATGAGGTGATTCAAAGCTTGGAATGGGAAGAAAGGAAAAATTTCCAAAGAAATTCCAAAGGAAAAATCTATAGCATTTGGCAGCTGATGATTTATAAAGGAGAGAGAAGGAAAAGCTGATTCCATGATTTTGAGACCAGACCACTGAGAGACTAGTACTGCCATTCAAAGAAATGGATAAAATGGGAGGGACAGTGTGAGATTTATGCATCTTGAATTAGAGATGTCATTGGTGGGTATTTTTGTGTATCTCTTGTAACAGATTGGTGTGTATTTCTGTGTGTCTCTTGTAACGGAATACCAAGTAATTATTGACTGATGAATTTCATTTTCTTTCCTTTTTGTTAGATACTACCAGCCCCCTCACAAGTTAGTGTCCCTTTCCATCTGTTGTATTGTCTTAGACTTCTCCTCATTCACCACCTTGATGCTTTTACAAGATAACAAAGCTTATGGAGATAGGCATGGGGCAGCAAGAAATATAGAGTGGGAATCTGCAGAGAAAAGAAAGATGAGCCCTCTTTCTTTGCTTGTTTTCCCTGTTTGTTTGTTTGTTTGTTTTTTCTCTGCTTTGCCTTGGGCATGATTGGGATTACTGAGATTATTCCTCTTGTCTATATTGTTGCATTAGTATTTTAACTGGTGTCCCTAATTTATTATTTTTCCATCTTAATTCCTACAATTCACCCTGCATACTGCTGCCAAGATGAGTCATCCTTACATACTGCTTTTGTTATATCATTATCCTTCTTGAGAACCAGCGGTGGATTTTCAGTGTCTATCAGATGAAATCCAAATGCTTTAGCCTGGCATCTAAGGCCCAGGACAGTCTGTCCCCACATTACCTTTTCAACTCAGTTCTAACCAAACTGTTCTACTAACAGTTCCTTGAATCTGTATTCATTAGTTCATTTAAAAATACTCATTCACTGATTCTCCTTTATGCCTAATGCTGGAGATACCAACATAGAATAAGGTACCCATGATTTGTACTTTACTGTAGCCTCTAAGTGCAAGAGACAGAAGAAAACAAAAAAAAATTAACAACCCAAACAAAACAATTGCAGCTTATGACAGTTTGGGAGAAAGAAAGAAATATGGTCCCTTCATGAAATATGGTGGGAGTCAGGGGTAGAGAAGACCTTTTTGATTGGGTAATGAGGGGATAACAGTTAAACCAAGATCTGAAGGATGAGAAGAATCAACTGTGAAGAGTCAAGGGGCAGAAGATTCCAAGAAGAGGGAGCAACAAGAGAGCAGAGGCCCTGAGGCTGGAAAGAATGTGTTCGTTTTAGGATTTGTCAGAAGACCAGTAAGGCTAGAGTAGGACCCAGTAGGGAGAGGAAGGAATGATACGAGATCAGATCGGGAAGGTAAACAGGGGCCACATCAGACAGGGAATTGTAGGCCACGGTGAAGAGTTGTGATTTATCAATATAGTGGGAAGGTGCTGAGGAGTTTGAGGTGGGAAGTGACTTGATCTGATGTACATGTAAAGAGATCACTCTATTTTTGCACATGTGGTGTCCATGTCTTGGATTACCTGTCCTCTTCCCTCCAGGCTATCTCCTACCCATCCTTCAAAATCCAGCTGAAATCCTACCACCTCTGCAAAACTTTTGCTTTACTTCTGTGGACCACTAGAATACTTCTGTAGGTCCTAGAATAAATAGTCTTTCCTCCACTGAACCTCCTTAATGTAACCACCTCTCATTTATGGCTTTATCTAACACTACTCAAAGATAATTACCTTGAAGGTGGTGGTGTTTTTTTTTTATTTAACTGTGTCTCTTCCTCCTCTTCATCCCATGCCTAAAGAAATGCTCTGATACTTAATTTTTAATATATACTTAGAGTTGGGAAATTTTTGCCTTTTTATGATTCACAAAAAATAGCTGTTCTATAGCTGTATCTTACCTCCCTCATTTCCTCTGGTTGGCCTTACTTCCCTCTTATTTCTTGAAGTCATTAGTGTATCCATTTTTAACTCTTCCCAAACCATTAGATTTTCTCCCACTTAGCAGAGCCTCTTCTGAACTCTCTACTATAAGGTAAACCTGGAAATAAATAGATTTCTTAAGTGGAAAAAATAGGGTTAATGGTAGAGCTGCCTTTATATACTTGGAATGTTATTACTTTGCTAAGAATGATTATTGTGTTGATGATTTATTGGCAGTTGCATGGGTAATTTTTCCATGAATAGTTTATATTCATTGTATTTGATTTACTAATTAATTATTTAGTTTATTAGAACCTTCACAAGACCCCAGAGGTTTAGATTCAATCAGCTTGCATTGATCCTTCTAGGATATTAGTTACTTCTTTGACCCAAAGGAGCCAGTTGCTGAGCCCCCTGTACCTAAGTGACCTTCAGAGTCCTGTTAGCTTTCAGTGAGATCACATTCACTCTTTCTGCCTTATGGCAAAAATCTGTTTCTACTCAAACAGATGGTTTAGCTTTCAACAAATAAAAACTAGAGATCAGCATCTACTTAAGCCAACAGAGTTGGTTTGAGCCTCCCACTAACTCTCCAAAGTCTGTTATTTTTTATTTTTTAATGTTAAGCTCCTCCTAATGGATTTATCTTTGTACGGGGAAATCAAGAACCTTGCACTTTGTCAGAAGATGAGCCACTTCATATAATCTCAAGTTTCTATGTTTTAGAAGAATTGCTTAGTAAGCACAGGTTCGACTGCTCTGCGTTCTCTCTTTTGCAGTTACACCAACTGGAAACATTGGGGATCATAACTTTCTGTGGAGTGTTACATAGGTGTGTCAGCAGTTACATGATACTTTCTTTGTTATTTAAGACATCTGCAAGCTGAGGATGGCCAGTGTCATTTCAGAGATGTACATGCCAAAGACATGGTAGTTTTCATTGACATTGGGAAATACTCCTTCTCTTGAGCTTTTACAAATAAAAGTTAGAGAGTGCTAAGAAATCCACATATTTAAAAAAATCTAGAATCTTGACATTGAAAATATAAATGCAGATTGTTAATTATATGTTCCTGTGTTAAGAAAGCATTCTTGCTTTGGGGATCTTGAGTACATCAGACAAAAGTTGCCTTTGAACTCAACCAAGTATCCATAGAGATATTTGCCTCTATATGTATTATTAATTTTACAGAAACAAATGCCTAGCTTAAATATAATATTTAGATTAAATAGTGAGACAAATGTAACCTGCACAATAGTTTGCTGCTAGGAAAGGAATTGTTAGGAAGGCCATATAAGCAGTTTCTTTGAAGATACCTAGGACCTATCTCTTTCTTTTCACTCTATTATGTAGGACAGAACCTTGTGGGAAATGTGATCTACTTGGCATCATTATGGTATGGATTAGGACAAAGAAAGATGCATTAATATTCCTGTACTCATGCCATAAAATATCATGGTTAAAAAGGCTTTAGTACAAAGTTATCCATGGTAACTCCCTTCGAGGGATTGGATTCCTTTCTGCAACATGTTGCTCTGTGGCCAACCAGTTTAGATATAATCACCGCCATGTATAGAGACTGCCTGCTTTAAATAGCTCTGGCAATTTGTAAATTGTTCCTTTTCTGTCTCTTAAATCCACAGGATTATATATAAATATAATATTTCTTCCACATGACAAACCTTCAGCTGTGTGTATACTATATACCCTCTGAGTCTTCACATCCCAAGACCTTCCGGTTTTTGGAAGCTATTCTTGTGACCTGGGTTCATGGTGCCTCGATTCTGGTCATTCTCTTCTGAATGGGCTCTGGTTTTTCCACATCTGTTAAAGAGGGCTGATGAATGCTGAGCATAGTGGAGGATCTCCTAATTCTATATAGTGTATTTCTATTGGTGAAACCAAGGTGTTTTTTTCTAGTTACATCATACATTGTACCTTCTGTCAAATATAGTCTTTAGCTTTTTCATATATGTTACTACCAAGCTTTTTAATTTTATTTGCTGATTTGGATTTTTGGCCTGAATTTAGAACTGTGTTTTTATCCTGATTAGATACAGTTTAAGTTCCTTACTCAATAAACATTCAGAGAAGGCTTCCCTAAGTCCATGGAATAGGTTAGGATCCCTTCCCAACTTTATGTACCCAGAATACTCCAAACTTTCTTATTTTTGTAACATTCATCTTACTTGTAATCAGTAGTTATCATCAACTTCCCTGCTAAATTGGAGGCTTCTTAAGGTTAGGACCTTATTTATTCAATATTCTTTGTTATTCCTACTGCCTGACAAGAGTAAGTGCTTAATACATAGTAGCTGCTCAAAAATGTTTGTTGAATTGAATTAAATATATGAAGTATCTATATAAGCCAGGCACTGTCCATTGTATCTAAGAAAAAAATGTAATTAATTAAATGAACACACAGTGAAATTTGAACTGAATCTTCAATACTGGCCAAGTGAATGAGGCATTCTGAGCATAGGGAACAGTATAAGTAGGGATATCAGAGAAAGAAAAGTACTTAGTCCATTTGGGGAATTAAAGTTGGACTAAAGTGCACATGGATCAAGGTACAGATGAAGCTGCAGAGGCAAGCAGAAGCCAGTTCATCATGGCCTTGTGTAGGACATGATACAGAGTTTGACTTAAGCCTCTGAGTAATGGGGAACTATTAAAATATTTTGAGCAGGGAAGAGGCACAAACAGAGTTACATTTCAAAAGATTTCCCCAGCAGCAACATAAAAGATAGATGAGAGGGGATTATGCTTTTATAGGGACAACAGTTAGAAAGTTATCATCTAGGCAATAGATGATGGGTAGTTCATATTTAAAAAAGGATTCTTTCTGTATACTATCTATTGTGTGTAACAAATTACTCCAAAACCTAGCAGCTGAAAGAAAACAAACATTATCTCAGACAGTTTCTGAGGGTCAGGAATCTAGGGCCAGCTTAGCAGGGTGATTCTGCTTCCGGATCTCTCTTGAGATTGAAGTCAAGCTGTTGACTGGGGCTGAAGACTTGATTGGGTCTCAGGGATGTGCCTCCACATTCACTCACGCAGCAGGTGGCCTCTTTCTGGGGCTGCTCACAACATGGCTTCCCCAAAGCAACTGTTCCGTAAGAGTGAGAAAGCAAGTGAGTAAGAGCACTCCCAAGATGGAAGCCACTGTCTTTTAAACTTAATCTTGGAAGTCTCATACCATCACTTCTGCTGCGTGCTGTTGGTTACTTAGACCAACCCTCGTACATTGTGGGAGGGGACTGTACAAGGGTATGAATACCAGAAAGTGGGGATCATTTGGGGGCATCCTAGAGGCTGCCTTCCATGCTGCTTGTCAAAGAATGTAAAGAGTAAGTCTACAAGTCCATAATATTTTGATGGCTTATGGAGATAAGAGGGCAGAACACTCCACCTAGAAACTATCCTATTACCTAGAGCAGGTAAATAAAGTCATTTGCTTGACTGAAAGGTAAGAGGGTTAAAACCCACCATTCTAAATGTCAAGTAATAGTTACGTTGCAGTCATTGCTTAGTTTTATACTATAAATTATGATGATTTGGTTCCATGTTTTTTTTTAGTATAATGTGATTGCTGTTCAGCTTTATATTCAGCGCATAGCACTATGCCAAGTAATGTACAGGTTTCAAAAGAAGACTAAAATGTGATTCATGCCTTCAGAGAGTTAATTTACTGGAAAACAAGGCATACATAGATCATAGAAAATCTTAGACCCCAGAGAAAACTTAGGGGAGTTTAACACAACAGCCTCATGAAACAGCTAAGAAAACGGGTTGAGGGAGGTGAATGGCTGATCCAGCCCAGCTACTGACAGAGCTGAGACCAGATCTCAGACCTTTAGGTCTGTAGGCAAGCATTTTATTTAAATATAAAATGTAATTTGTTTACGATACCAAGAACATTCTTTTTTAAATATAATGTAAAAAACATTTATAGAGACAGGGTCTCACGGTGTTGCCCAGGCTGGTCTCAAACTCCTGGGCTCAAGCAATCCTCCTGCCTCAGCCTCTTAAAGTGCTGGGATTACAAGCGTGAGCCACCACACCAGGCCAAGAACATTGTCTGAGGACTTAAATCATTTTTCTATTTGAAATCAGAATGACTTAGTATTTGATGTGGGGAAAGGCAAGACATAAATGTGTTAGAAGACATTTCTGTCTTCTCTTGAAAGACCAACTCATCCTGTCACTGATTACTGTGTGACTTTGAGCTAAATTACAACACATTAGTAAATACAGAAGAAAATAATGAGCAATGCCACATCCCTTGCATTTTTTAAAGCAAGGACCACCCTAATTGACAGTGAGATCTTTATATTAATTTTCCCATTTAAAATAGATAATATTCAGTGTTCGATGAAGAAAGAATTATGGGGTAGATTATGAAATAATAATTGGAATACTATTACTGTTAATAGTAAAAAATGTCTGAACTATACTGTTGGAATAATAAGAGTAGAAATGAGTAAAATTAAGTATTTACAAGGTTTAAAGTATTTTGGAGTTTTGTTTCCTTTTTTAAAAACAAAATGCTTTTTAACTGTTCATTGCCTATATTACCAAATAGTTTTAAGTTGTACATTCAGGTTCAGCTCCCCTTTTTTGAGTACCCACCATTTATGTTAAGTATATTACTGGGTTCTTTAACAGATATAATTGCATTTGGTCCTCATAAAGCCTATGTGAGATAAACATTTTCCCCATTTTACAGCTGAGATAACTGAGAAATTAAGAGAACCACAACTGAACTTTCTGCATGGTCCTTTGAGGTCATTTTTCTGAAAAGCAAGTGCTAACTTTTAATAGTGTCTTTAGCCTTTCCCTCAGGCAACAGCGTATGACTAAGTCAAGACAGCAGAACTAAATACGAGTTTATGTTACCATAATTTCAGAGTAACAGCTACTGTTTTATGTTCTGGTCATCTATTACATAAATATTTAATACTGAGCACATAATTTGGCATGATGGCAGCAAAAAGATGTCTATCCTGGAGTTTCCATGATAAACCAGAAAGGCTTTTTTTCCCCACCAGTATGTTAAAATATGGAGAAATAAATTAGGAGATGGTAAGCTATAGCTTTCTTATCATCTTAAGTTTACCTAATTAAAGCACTTTAAAATAAATTCATTCCATCCAAATTTAGCAGCCATCTATTGCAAAGTTTGCTTCCTTTTTCCATGACATTTAAATATACAAAAGCCTTTTTTTTAAAAAAAAAAGCATTTTTTAGTAGGTAAATGTCAGTCACTTTCTTAAACTAGCCTGTCCTAGACCAACAGACCAGTTCTACTTTCAAAACAAAACATAGCATTTAATAGTAAAAATAAACTGTCTTCTCACTAATGAATTTACTGTCTGCATTTCCATAGATGTGGCCATGTGTTTTCCCAGGAAAACTGGCTTGAACTCAAACTAAGATAGCTACTAAGATCCATTTAGACAAAGTGGGCTATAAACATGAGAAATCTTCCGCCCCCTATTCTGTGTTTGGTTAATTTTGCTGCTCTCATACATTCTAGCAATGTACCATTCTGTTCTCCCTTTTACTCCAGGGAGCCTCATTTGGCATATAGTTAGTCATACGCATACACCTTTGAAAACAGTCAATGTAACTCCCAGTTATTAAGAACCTGATGGGTGCTAGGCATTGCCTTATGAACTGAGAGGTACAAATATGAAAACTATATAAAAGCTCCTGCCCCAGATAAACTATGATACAGAAGAACATTTGTTAGCTACTTTTTAGGTGCTGTGTATCAATCAGTTTTCTTAGTTTCAGGTGACAGAAACTAACTCTGGGTAACTTAAGTAGAATTTCTAGGAGGGCCAAAGAATCTGACTTGGAGGTACGGTAAACAAAAACAAAGTCCTAAATTACACCACAGAGCTGGACATAGACCATAGCTTACATCAGTGATAGTGCTGATCCTGAACTGTACTTCCAGAACCAAAGCCATGGCTGGCCCTTGCAACTAGATACCACTCCTTCTAGGCCTTCTAGGGCCACCCTTCTTTCCAGAAGAGTCTCCTTTGCAGTCTGGAGCTGGTGCATCTGTGTGGCAGAGCCTAGGCCATATGCCTGTACCCTAGTTACAAGGAAGTCTGGGAAATAAATTATCTGGTACTTTATACACTTAACTAGTAGGAGGTCAGCTCTATCTCACAAGATAGGAGGTTCTGTAAACCTAGGTATGCAGTCAGGCACTAAGTGGCCAAAAACTTCTATCAGCAGCATTTTGAATAATCAGAGAAGATTCAACACAGGAGATGAGAACCAGGAAACAACAACCAAAAAAGAAATATGGTGAGTTTGGCCTTAATATCACAAAAAGATGAAAAAACAATGTGTTCCTAAACCAGTTTACAAACCCACAGTTAGTGAAAGGCTAGGTGATAGCTTATATTCTCCAAAGTTATAAAGTCCTAAAGAATGTAGCCTCTACTTGAGACCCATTTGGTCTGTGCAGGTACAGGCACTATCATCTCTCTCTGTAAAGGGTCAGTATGATGTTTAGGAAAGCAGCCCACATTTGGAGTCAAAGCCTTTTGTTCTTACCCTGCGCAGCCCTTAACCAGATGTGTGACCTGTAAGCAAGGAGTTCAGTTAGTATCCTCATCTATAAAATGAGAAGGTTGAGGTAGGTGATCTTTAAAGTTCCCCCTTGGCTCTAAAGTTCTATACTTTGTACATGATAGGCCAGTGACAACTAATGTTTTTACTCAAGCCGATTGTATGTTTTAGAAGGCAAATAAATTATGAGCTTATTTTTTGATGACAGTACATTTTCATAAACCCAAAATAATTAAATCTCCACCTCCCACTTAGTTTAGTTGTTTTGGGTTTTTTAAAACAATTTTATTTTCCCACACAGTACAGTTTAAGCATTCAAGTTGCAGCAGGGGAAATACTCATTGAATTTGTCATCATTATTTTTGGCTTCTATCTTTATGAGAGCCATTTTAGTTTTCTAGTTTCAGTGATCTATTTTTTAGATTTTAAGCTACAATATATTTTAACATTTGAGTATTAAATTGCATTTGTCATAATGAATTAGAACCTTACGTTTCTTTCAAAAATAGCTTTATCTCAATATGAAATGCAAGATTATTCACATTTATTATAAAGAGGAGAATTTTTGAGACATTCTATATCCACTGGTCAGTTACTGTTTTGATTTGGTGATGGAAAATCATAGCAAATTGTACATTTAAAGTAAACCAAATAAATAACTTTATGCAGAGATAGAGATTGAAGTAGCCATTTGGAGATGAGAATTTTATCTCCATGCCTTCAAGAAAGACCATATGTAAACCAGGTCAGAAAAATAAAAATTACACCATATTTATTTTAATAGGACCATCTTAGAATACAAGACATAACACAAGAGAATTTATTTCTGGAATGACGTGAAGGAATTTATTATACAAACTGCTCCATCTAAAACATGTTCCTAAAATGTAGGTTCGTAGAATTTTTTTTTTTTTTCCCCTGGGGACATAGTTTCACTCTGTCACCCAGGCTGGAGTGCAGTGGTGTGGTCTTGGCTCACTGCAACCTTCGCCTCCCAGGTTCAGTCTCTCCTGAGTAGCTGGGATTACAGGTGCACACCACCATGCCTGGCTAATTTTTGTATTAGTAGAGACGGGAGTTTCACCGTGTTGGCCAGGCTGGTCTCAAACTCCTGACCTCAAGTGATCCACTCGCCTCAGCCTCCCAAAGTGTTGGGATTACAGGCGTGAGCCACCGCACCTGGCTGGTTCCAAGAAATTCTAATATTTGTTCTGTTTTTAAGGAGAAAAATTATTGAACAACTTACCTCTAAACTATAGTCCTTTAATGATAAACACTACTGTTAAAAAATTCTTATAATTAACATAATCTGATATTGTTACTTAAGTCTTTGAAGAAATAGAGAAAAACTGGCTAACATCCCTTATGACTGCATGTTTTTATATATTAAATAGCAGTATCGAATTGCCTTCCACTATCTTTTTCAGACGAAATAATATATATTTAAACCTTGCAAGCCTTATCCTTTTTTATACTTCTTTTTTCTAGAACAGCTTTATTGAGTTATAATTCACATACCATACATTTCACCCATTTAAAATCTATAACTCAGTGGTTTTTAGTACAATTTTAGAACATATCACCCCAAAAGAACCCATCCCCATTAGCAGTGACTCCTCATTCACCCCTTTCCCCACTCCAGTAATGCTGAGCATCTTTTTATGTGTTACTGGCCATTTGTATATCTTCTTTGGAGAACTGTCTATTCAAAACATTTGCCCATTTTTTATTGGATAATTTATCTTTTTATTGAATTATAAAAATTATATCTTCTAGGTACAAGTCACTTATGAGATATATGACTTGCAAATATTTTTACTCATTCTGTGAGTTTGTCTTTTCACTTTCTTGAGCAAGCCTTATCTTGAGCAAGCCTTATTCTTAACTCTGGTTAAATTTTGGTTTTCTGAACATTTTGCTAAATTTTCTAAAGGTCTCCAGTTGTGGAGTAGCCTGAAATGAATACTTTATTTTTTGAAAGTGGAACTAAACTCTAATTTAAGTCTATAATAGAAAAGAGTAATTGCTATAGGAACCAACATTTTTTTTGGTTGTTTACCCTGTGCCAAGCATTGTGCTGAGTGCTTTGCAACCCTAAAATATAGGGTTGTTATTCCTGTTACATAGATGAAGAAACAAAGGCTTGAAGAAGTTAAGTAAGTTGCACAAAATCAAAAAGTGCTAATAAATGGTCAATTGGAATGACAATGCAAGTTATTTTTTTTGACCAACTTTCACATTTTATGTGGGGTGTTTGTATTCCACTATTGTACTTTTTAAGACAATATTATTTTACAGCCTCATTTTCCATCCACTACAATCCCTAGATTTTTTCAGGCATATTGGAACCGAATCATTCACTTCTGTCTCTTTAAAACTGGAATTTCTTGGTTTCTGAACCAAGAAATTTGATTTGATTTCTATAGCCTTTTGATTTTTTGACTGTCCCTTCCAAATTGGCCCTTTTTAAACAAATTATAACAATTTTCAAAGCTAAAAAAATTCTAAAGGTAAACTTGCCATTAAAATGATTAAATGTAAATTGCAGACCATTTTAAATGTCTTTTTGATTAGCTACTATTAAGAATTTAGCTGATCTACTTCATTAAAATGTTATATTAGCTCAATGAATAATTATATATTTCTGTGTAACAAATTACCCCCAAAACTTTAATGGCTTAAAGCAGCATTTGTTATTTCACAGTTTCTTTGGTTTAGGAATCCAAGTAGAGTTTAGCAATGTGGTTCTGCTCTAGGTCTCTCATGAGGTTTAAGTCAGGCTGCTGGCTGGTGCTGCAGTCTCATTTTTGGGGAGGATCTATGTGCAAGCTCACTCGTATGGTTGTTGGGAGGATTCAGTTCCTTTTGAGCTTTTGGACTGAGACCTGCAATTCCTCACTGGCTGTTGGCCAGAGTTCTCCCTCAGTTCCTTGCCATATGCGCCTCTCTATGAGACAGCACATGACATGGCCTCTGGCTCTGTCACAATAGCAACACAAGAGAGTGTCCAAGATGGAAGCCATAGTATCTTTGTAACCTAATCTCAGAGTTGATATATCATCACTTTTCCCATATTCTACTCATTAGAAGCAAACTATTATGTTCAGCCCACTCTCTATAGAAGGGAAATACCAAGGGTATGAACACCAAAATATGGAGCTTACTGAGGGCCATCTTAGAGGCTGCCTGTCACACTCAGTGAATCTATTGTTTAATCATGGAGAATCCAAAAGTCATGGTGTTTTTATATAGAACATTGATATGTACAGTTCCATCCTGCAAACAAGTGATAATTTTATCTGAAAATATATAAGGAAGTCTCTCCATCCTAAAATATGCATATGTGTATATGTATTATTTTTAAAGCATCTTTAGTCTGCATATACATTTGCTACTTATTAATCTGTTTTATCAAGAGACAACATTAAAGTTGTAAGACACAATTAGAATAGAAAATTTTATGTGTAACTTTATGTTCTCCCCTTGACTTATAAAGATTGCTATTGAATTTTAGTATTGGAAAACTTTGGCCAATGTAAAGATGATTTTAATTTGAACATGTACAACATGCAAAAGAATATTTTTTCTCCTTAAATCATACTTTAGAAGTCAACCCTAATTTAACAAAATAGGTGATCCTGAATGGACTTTAATTCATTTATTCAGCAAGGCTTATTGAATTACTCTTCTAACTCATCATGAGTTACACTCATAATAAAAGTCTGCACTCCTAATTTTGGCCTCCCATAGCTCAGTCAATCTCTGTCTATGTTTCCAGTTTCATTTCCTATTGCCATCTCCCTTAACCTTCCACTCCAGCACAGTTTTTCTTGCTCCTCCCCATGTTGATGCTCATGCATGCCTCAGGGCTTTTCCATCTTCCTGAAAACCTCTTACCCAGATCGTTACATGGCTCGCTTCACTTCATTTACTTCTCTGCTCCAGCATCACTACCATAAAGAAGCATCCCACCAGCACTCTTCACAATACAGCAGGGACCATCAAAAAGCAAGAGACACAATAAAAATGATAGTTGAAAAGATTAATCTCATGACAGTGTACAAGATAACTTGTACGTAAACAGGCTGGATTAGACATGGATGAGTGGGGGCCACAATTAGGAACTTTCACATTCATTCAGGTGTGAATTGATAATGATCCAGTTATGACCACCTTGGGCATGAGTAAAGCTACACAAACATTCTCCCAAAACCAGGTCTTCCCTCGGATTTGTGATGCCGGTAAATTGTTGCCACCTTCCTCCATCCTCCTCTAACAGAGCCATTTCAGAACCAAAACTTTTTAAAGAAAAGTTTGAAAAAAATAAGAAGCACCAAAGAATTAGCAGGAAATGGTTAGGTTTTAGGACTAGAAACCACAATGCAGTAGGGGCTCTGCAAGAGGAAGGAGTGAGTGCTTCAAAGTGACATAGCAGCTGTGTGCTGTTGTGCCTGAGACTCCTTCCAATCCTAGATGTTTCCTAGTGGTGCTGGCAAAGCTTCTGTTGGCTGTACCACATTCTTTCCCAATCCAACTCCCTCTATGTAAAGTCTCATAATTCTAAGGATCCTGGGTTCAAATGTAAGTTTCTTCCGTAG